>NC_000007.14:22740242-23990242 GCF_000001405.40 Homo sapiens | reverse complement strand
TACATGTGGCTATTCAGTTTTCCCAGCACCACTTTTTGAATAGGATATCCTTTCCCCAATTTATATTTTTGTATGCTTTGTCAAAGATCAGTTGGTTATAAGTATCAGGCTTTATTTCTGGGTTTGGGTTCTCTATTCCGTTCCATTGGTCTATGTATGTACTTTTAAACCAGTTCCATATTGTTTTGGTTACTACAGCCTTGTAGTATAATTTGAAGTTGGGTAACGTGATGTCTCCAGATTTGATCTTTTTGCTCAGGATTGCTTTCGCTATTTGGCCTCTTTTTTATTCCATATGAATTATAGGATTGTTTTTTCTAATTCTGTGAAAAATCATACTGGTATTTTGATAGGAATTGCATTGAGTCTATAGATTGCTTCAGGTAGTACGGTCATTTTCATGATATTGATACTTCCATGAGCATGGGATGTATATCCATTTGTTTGTGTCATCTATAGTTTCTTTCAGCGGTGTTTTTATAGTTTTCCTTGTAGAGATCTTTCACCTCCTTGGTTAAGTATATTCCCAAGTCTGTCTGTCTGTCTGTCTCTCTCTTTTTTTTTTTTTTTTTGCAGCTGTTGTAAAAGGGATTGAGTTCTTGATTTGATTCTCAACTTGGCTGTTGTTGGTGTATAGTAGTGCTACTGATTTGTGTACATTTACTGAATTCATTTATCAAATCTAGGAGTATCTTGGAGGAGTATTTAGGGTTTTCTAAGTATACAATTATATCATCAGCAAGCAGAGATAGTTTGACTTAATCTTCTCCAATTTGGATGCCCTTTATTTCTTTCTCTTGCCTGATTGCTCTGGCTAGGACTCCCAGTATTGAATGGAAGTGGTGAAAGTGGGCGTCCTTGTCTCATTCCAGTTCTTAGGGAGAATGCTTTCAACTTTTCCCCATTCAGTGTGATGTTGGTTGTGGGTTTGCTATATATGGCATTTATTATTTTTTGGTATTTTCTTTCTATGCCTAGCTTGTTGAGGGTTTTTATCATAAAGTGATACTGGATTTTATTGAATGCTTTTTCTGCATCTATTGAGGTGATCATATGGTTTTTGTTTTGGTTCTGTTTATGTGATGAATCATATTTATTGAATTGCATATGTTGAACCATCCCTGCATCCCTTGGATGAAATCCACTTGATCATGGTGAATTCTCTTTTTTATGTGCTGTTGGATTCAGTTTGCTAGTATTTTGTTGAGGATTTTTGCATCTATGTTCACCAGGGATATTAGTTTGTAGTTTTCTTTTTTTTTTTTTTTTGGTTATGTTCTTTCCTGGCTTTGGTATCAGGGTGATACTGGCTTTATAGAGTAAGTTAGGAAGGATCCCTCTTTCTCAATCTTTTAGAATAATTTCAGTAGGATTGGTACCAATTATTCGAATGTCTAGTAGAATTTGGCTATGAACTCATATGGCCCTGGACTTTTTTCACTGTTGTTGGCAAATTTTTTTATTACTGATTCAATCTCACTCTTTGTTATAGGTCTGTTCAGGATTTCTATTTCTTCCTGATTCAAGCTAGGAGGGTTGTATATTTCTAGAAATGTATCCATTTCTTCTAGATTTTCTAGTTTGTGTGCATAGAGGTAGTCACAGTAGTCTCAAACGATCTTTCAGATTTCTAGGGTGTCAACTGTAATGTCTCCATTTTCATTTCTAATTGAGCTTACTTGAATCTTCTTCTTAGTTAATCTAGCTATTGGTCTAACGATTTTATCTTTTCAAAGAAATAACTTTTCATTTAATTGACTTTTGTATTTTTTGTTTCATTTTATTTCATTCTACTCTGATTTTTGTTATTGCTTTTCTTCTGCTAGCTTTGGGTTTCATTTGTTCTTGTTTCTCTTGTGCCTTGAGGTATGATATTAGGATGTCAATTTGTGATCTTTCAGACTTTTCGATGTAGGCATTTAGCACTATAAACTTTCCCTTTAGCACTGCTTTTGCTGTATCCCAGAGGTTTTGATAACTTGTGTCATTGTTATCATTAATTTTGAAGAATTTTTTAAATTTCCATCCTTATTTCATTGTAAACCCCAAAATCATTCAGGAGCAGATTGTTTAATTTTAATGTATTTATATAGTTTTGAGGGTTCCTTTTAGAATTGTTTTCTAGTTTTATTCCACTGTAGTCTGAGATGATACTTGACATGATTTCAAATTTTTTAAATTTATTGAGACTTCTTTTGTGGTGTATCATATGGTCTGTCTTGAAGAATATTCCATGTGCTGATGAGAAGAAAGTATATTCTGCCATTGTTGGGTAGAATGTTCTGTAAATATCTGTTAGGTTCATTTGTTCTAGAATGCAGTTTAAGTCCAGTGTTTCTTTGTTGACTTTCTGCCTTGATGATCTGTCTAATGCTATCAGTAGTGTTGAAGTCCCCCACTATTATTGTGTTACTGTTTATCTCTTTCCTTTGGTCTGGTATTGTTTTATGAATCTGAGAGCTCCAGTTACCAATATATATGTAGGAATGTAATATCTTCTTATTGGGTTGATCCTTTTATCATTATATAATAACCTTCTTTGTCTTTTTTCTTTTTTTACTGTTGTTGCATCAAAGACTGTTTTATCTGATATAACAATAGCCACTCCTGCCTGCTTTTGGTTTTCATTTGCATGGAATATCTTTTCCCACTCCTTTACCTTGAGTCTACAAGAATCCTTGTGTGTTAGGTATGTCTATTTGGTTTGTGATTTTTTTTTATCCATTCTGCCAATCTGCACCTTTTCAGTGGAACATTTAGACCACTGACATTCAACTTTTAATATTGAGATGTGATATACTGTTCCACTCCTCATGTTGATTGTTACCTAGTTACTTTGTTTTCTTTATTGTATTATTGTTTTATGGGTGCTGTGAGTTTTATGCTGTCAAGAGGCTCTACACTCGGGGTTACTGACATTTTGTTTTAAGATTTAGAACTCTTTTTGTATTTCTTCTAGGGCTGGTCTTATAGTGACAACTTCTCTCAGCATTTTCTTGTCAAAAAGGAATATGTTTCTCCTTCATTTATGAAATTTAGTTTTTTTTTTTTTTGGATATAAAATTCTTGGCTGAGAGTTTCTCTGTTTAAGGAGACTAAAGATAGGAACTCAATCCCTTCTGGCATGTAAGGTTTCTGCTGAGAAGTACGCTGTTAGTCTGATAGGTTTTCCTTTATAGCTTGCCTGATGCTTCTGCCTCACTGCTCTTAGAATTCTTTCCTTCATGTTAACTTTATATAACAGAACCTTGGTTATGTCCTTTTTGCAGCAAATCTCCCAGCAGTTCTTTGAGCTTCCTGTATTTGCATGTCTAAAGTTCTAACAAAGTCAGGGAAGTGTTCCTCAATTATTCCCTCAAATAAGTTTTCCAATTTTTTTGCTTTTTTTCTCCCTCAGGAACACCAATGATTCTTAGGTTTGGCCATTTTACCTAATTCCATATTTCTTGAAGACTTTGTTCATTTCTTTTAATTCTTTTTTATTTTTGTCTGACTGGGTTAATTCAAAAGCCTTGTCTTTGTGCTCTAAAATTATTTATTCTACTTGGTCTAGTCTATTGTTAAACTTTCCAGTGCATTTTGTAATTCCTTAAATGTGTCTTTCTTTCTTCTTCTTGGTTAGTCTATTGTTACAGCTTTCCACTGCATTTCCTAATTCCTTAAATGTGTCTTTCATTTCCAGAAGTTCTGATTGGTTTTTCTTTAAAATGTCTATCTCTTTAGAAAATTTTTCATTCATATCCTAAATTTTTTTTAAATTCTTTATGTTGGTCTTCACCTTTCTCTTGTATATCCTTGAGTAACTTCATAATCAACTTTTTGAATTATTTATCAGGTATTTCAAATATTTTATCTTGGTTTGGAGCCATTGCCAGCGAGCTAATGTGATCTTTTGGGGGTGTTATAGAGCCCTGTTTTGTCGTATTGCTGGAATTATTTCTCTGGTTCCTTCTCATTTGGGTAGACTAATTATTCTAAGTATTTTTGAATTCATTTTTATTTTGACTGATTTTTTTTTTTTTTTTGAGATGGAGTCTCGCTCTGTCGCCCAGGCTGGAGTGCAGTGGCGTGATCTCACTGCAAGCTCCACCTCCCGGGTTCATGCCATTCTCCTGCCTCAGCCTCCCAAGTAGCTGGGACTACAGGCACCCGCCACCACGGCTGGCTAATTTTTTGTATTTTTAGTAGAGATGGGGTGTCACCATGTTAGCCAGGACGGTCTTGATCTCCTGACCTCGTGATCTGCCCACCTCAACCCTCCAAAATGCTGGGATTACAGGCGTGAGCCACCGCGCCTGGCCTATTTTGACTGATTTTTAAAATTTTTTTATTTTCCCCTTGAGGATGTGACTTCACTGTTCATAGTTTATTATAACCTAATTGGATTCTGGGTGCTTTCAGGGGTGAAGACTCAGTACGAATTCTTTCATTATAAAGAGTCTTTGCATGATGGCTTTCTCAGATGCTGGTTGTAGTAGCAATGTGCTCGGTGTGTATGTAGGTTCACTGTCTCCTGTGGGGTTGGAATGGAAGCGGTCTCTTGAAGCTTATCTCATTCTCCAGTGGTGTGCACTTATTTATTTATTTATTTACTCTTTTCCCCAGTATTTTACTCACTGGGTTGAACAGTTCAGGCTTTAGGCTAGTAGGAGGTGTCCATGGGTTAAAAACTGGCTGTGCCTAAAGCAGATAAGTAAATGCAATACCCATTGGTGGGCAGAGGTCCCTGCCTTGACAGAGGTGGCTGAGGGAGCTCTCAGGGAAATGCACTGAGGTCTTTTCAGGGAGAAGGGTGGGAGCCATCTCTGCTCCCCTGCCTGGCCAGTAGGAAGGTGATCCACCTCCAAGTCACACTCCTGACCCACTGTTGCAGCTATTCAGATCAGACAGGCACCTCTTTTTATCTGTAGGAATGCTGATGTTCCATATAGAGAGGGATTATGATTCTACCTATCATACAAGCCTGAACCTGGAGGGCACTCCTCTTGTAGGGATGCAGCCACACTGAAGTGTTACAGAAAGGCTGTCTACAGGTGCACCCATGCCGAGCTCCCATGGGAGAAGCCCCATCTGTGTCTGCAATGGTAGATGAGTGGGAGCAGACCTCTTCTCCAAGACCCTTCACTAGCACCAGGGCTACCTGACTGCTGCAGTAGAGCTACAGATGTTCCCCACTGAGCCCAGCACTGCACCAGTGCCTCTGCTAAAAGAAACTTCCCACAAATGGAGAGTTCTGAGACTGAAAGCCTGCCATTAGGATGCTTTCATCCCACGGGGTGCTCCTTGATGAGGTATACTCCCTCTTCTCCTGGGAGTAGCAGTTCCTAAGAGCTAGACTACTGGGAAGCCTGCTGCTCCTCTGGGTCTAGCTGCCAGTGGGGCTGCCACACTCCAAGCTGGTGCTGAGGAATGTCTACAAAGAATCCAATGATGTAAGCTGTCGAGTCTCCCAGCAGCATGTACTCGCACCATCTCTGATGGGGATGGCAAGGGAGTGATGTAGGTTCTGTGAGACTTTCTTGGTTATACATAGCCTTAGTATGTTGGCTTTCTCAACTGCTAGCTGTAATAGTGATGAACTGGTCACATGGACACAATCGGGACCTCCTAGTTAGCCAGGGTGATGCAGGAAACAGTGATAGTTGAGATCACACACAAGTTTTCTCCTTCCTGAGTGCTGTGTCATTTTGCCGGCAGATGTTGTAATGGACTGTGTCAGTTGACTTCCAACCAGGAGGTAGCACTTGCAAAAGAACACCAGCTGTATTTGTAGCGGTGGGACTTGTGCCTGCCTTATGTTACCCAGGGGAGGTACTCTAGTGTCTCAGGTAATAGGTGGGGCTATAGAGCTCCCAAAAGTTCCTGCCCTTTGTGTTAAGCTACTAGGGCAGAGAGAGAGGCAAAAGCAGGTGGTGGCTGTTTCAGGCAAGTCTGTGCTCGGGCTCCCCATGTGTGGGCACAAGCAGCAGCCCCAGTGGGGATAGAAGGCAGTTCTTTGGGCACTGGGGTAATGTTTCAGGGAGGAGTGCAGCCATCTCTGTTACACAAAAGAGTCTGCATGGGGAGTGGGGAGTAGCAGGTGACAGTAAACCCCACCAAGCTCCCAAGCACTTGGCAAGGCAGTTCTCACACCCACGATGTTCTGCTATCAGCAGCTAGCTGGGTTCCAGACAGTCTGTGCTCAGAACTCAAAACTGCCCCAGGCCATAAACCTTCCCCATAACACAGAAACCATGGCTTCCATGCCATGCCTCTCTCTGTCCACCCACAAAGCAGGGACATCCAGCTCTCTGCCCATGGCTATAGCACACTTCCCACTTGCCTCTTGGTTCTGGCCAAAGGGGTTTGTCCCCACTCAAGACTATACTGTGAATCTTTGTTTTTATTATTATGCTTTAAGTTCTGGGGTACATGTGCAGAACGTGCAGGTTTGTTACATAGGTATACACGTGCCATGGTGGTTTGCTGCTCCCATCAACCCATCATCTACATTAGGTATTTCTCCTAATGCTCTCCCTTCCCCACCCCCCCCCACCCCCCATGTCCATGTGTTCTCATTGTTCAACTCCCACTTATGAGTGAGAACATGTGATGTTTGGTTTTCTGTTCTTGTGTTAGTTTGCTGAGAATGATGGTTTCCAGCTTCATCCACGTTCCTGCAAAGGACATGAACTCATCCCTTTTTATGGCTGCATAGTATTCCATGGTATATATGTGCCACATTTGCTTTATCCAGTTTATCATTGATGCGCATTTGGATTGGTTCCAAGTCTTTGCTATTGTGAACAGTGATGCAATAAACATACACGTGCATGTGTCTTTATAATAAAATCATTTATAATCCTTTGGATATCTACCCAGTAATGGGATTGCTGGGTCAAACGGTATTTCTAGTTCTAGATCCTTGAGGAATCGCCACACCGTCTTCCACAATGGTTGAACTAATTTACACTCCCACCAGCAGTGTAAAAGCGTTCCTATTTCTCCACATCCTCTCCAGCATCTGTTGTTTCCTGGAGCTTCTCTCAACCTGTGACCACTGCCTGAGTTATCTGGCTGACTTCCATGAGGTCCCGTGAGGCAGGATCATGAGTGGCTTCCCCCTATTCCTGCTGGAGTCTGAGAGTGCACAGAAAGTGCATCCTGATGCCACTCCTTCTCATTTACTCCCCACTGATCATTAAATCAGCTCCAGCACTGGGTAGAGTTAAAAATCTTCCCCTGTGGCCTGGATTGCCAGGTTGCCTAGTGGGAGTATACATCCCAGAGACAGTTTCTCCCCCTCTCATACTCTGAGGACTTACAGTTTTCTACCTGGCTCAAGTAGGCTGCAGTCCATCACTTCTTTCAAAGGGTCTGTGATTTCTTTCAGTTTTCCTGCTCAGCTCCATGTTGCTTCTCAGAAAAAGTTCACAGTGTGACTCTCTACACACTATTTTGTCTTTGTAAGTGCAAGAGGTATGCTAATAATGCCTCCAATCTACCATCTTGGAGATAAAAATCATGGATCTCTTAATCCTGCCTGGAATACAAGTCCTTTCTCAATCTTTAGATTCAGATTTGCTTGGTTGTTTTGATAAGGAGTTTTCTTCTAATACAACTTGCATTATAAATTAATTCAACCTTAATTAATCATGTGTCCTCCTCCAGCAATATTTATTATTCCTGGGCTAGATCTTTGTGATCACTCTTTCATATCTGTTATCTTCTCTCATCATTTTCAACTTTCTATTGTTTATTCTGGGAGTGCCCTCTCAATTTTAGCCTCTACCTCAGTGGTTCTCAGTGTTCTAAAGAAACTTCAGTGGAAGCTCCAGAGAACCCCTTTGGGACCCACTGTTTGGGTGAAGGAAGAAAGTGTAGTCAATGGGGCACTGGGACCCCATCTGCACTTCAACCACAATCTCATTCATCACTTTTACATGGTAAGGGTCTATGTGTTCTTTCTTTAAAGAAGAGGATCCATAGCTTTTTAAAACATTTCAAAACTGCTGTCATATATTTTTTATTCCATTTTCTCTGCGGAATAATTTGTTCTTTTCTGACTTCAATATGGATTTGAATTTGCCTACTATGGTTTTCATTTCAGTAACTCCCTTCCTAAAGTTTCTTCCTGTTCATAGAGGCGATTTCCTTTTGTATATTAATAAAAATCATCAAGCAAATATCTTCTAAAATTTTCTTCTGGTTCTCATAGCAAAGTTAATTTATATTTTATAGTTTTATTCTGTGTCTTGTCTCCCTACTTTGGTGCTGTACAGGCTGTTCTTTCAACTGTTTATTTACTTATCATTAAACAGGAGGACCCGTCCAGGCCCTATATTGGAGAACAGACTGTACAAGTGTGTTTTCTATAATTTCCCCTCTAGAACTGGAAGAATCATCCATCAGATATGAAGCCAAGAGCAAGCTGATGTGCAGAGCTTTGAGCTCCGTTCTCAGTAGTTAGGTCAACTAAGTAATTTCACCCAACACTGGACCACCTCCATCATTCCCTAGTCATAAAGAAGAAAATTCATTTCCCAGGGAGACTGAGTCCATCTTTGAACCAGTCCTCTTTAATGAGGAAAGTGATGTAAGGAGAGTTATATCTTTTTAACATCTTTACTCCTGAGGGTTCTCAACAGGTGCTTTTCATTCTTCTCCATCTCCAGCCACATTACATCTGAAAACTGCAGCCTTAAAAGGAGAGTTGATGCTTATCATCTAGACATCATATCTTTCTGTTTTGTAACTGTACGTTTTTGCACATACTTAAAATGCCAGCTGTACCACCCTATCCTATATGACTCATCTATAAAACTCTAGATTATTTTTCAAACTTCTGTTTAGTGATTCCTTCCTCCATTAAGACTTTTCTGGCTAATCTCTCATGCACACAGGATTAATCTCTACTACTTTTCTCCATGCACATACTTCTATTCAATTTACTTGTTTAAATATCTGTCTTCTCTACTAGACTATCTCTTGAGGCTATCAAAAAAAAAAATGCCTAGCAGGGTGCCTAATCAGTAGTGTTAAACTGAAAGGACTGGTTCTGAGACATTTTCCAGCCATCTCCAGAAACAATTTTTGTTCAGAGAGAGGTGATTGCCTGACACTCTGGTTTCTAGAACTTTCACTGGGAAGATGCAGTGTTAGTGAACTAAGGGGTCACCTTCAAATTATACCTGGAGATGTTGCATTGTATAGGAGCAGCCATACCAGAAACAGTATGGCTAGAGTTTCTTAATCCAGCCCACCAAAGGAAACAGCAGAAATTCCTTCTGGGTAATGGAATGTAGTCAATTCTCATCCTTAATTTTGAGAGCAATTGCAGATTAAATCATGAGCCACTTAAGGGAAGGGACTGTGTTCGACATCTGCATCTCTAAAAACTGACATGGGGCTTCGCACTTCATAGGAGTACAGACGTTCATTGAATTAAATAATTATAGTAACTATGTGTTTTCATAGGTTTTTAATGGGTGATTGGGGAAAGTCCAGTCAGGATGAGTCACATAGCAACAATATTTTTTAAAGCTACATTTTAAGTAGAAGTGTAGTATAAGGATAGGCAAAGAGACATAGAGAAACTGCTTTCAAATACAAGGTCATTTAAAACCCACCACATTTAAAACTGTGGTGGGCTGTGAGCCCACCACAGCAAAACCTAGTTCTGGACAGACCCCCATGGCCCCATAATCCAGTCTGCCCCAGGACCAGGCAGGGTTTCACAGTTTCAGACCTCAGACTTGTGTGACAAACTTGATCTTTGGCCTGCACCATTACTGGGCTGATATCAACAGCCCATGCTCCAAATAGCCCTCTGCAGCAGACAGGCCTCAGCCACTCCAAGTTTTTGGCCTACACCAGCACTGTGCCTGCTGTAGTTAGCCCTGGTCTTCCAGCAGCACTATATCAGCTACAACTGCATTAGGCTTCTGGTGCACCACAGCACCATGCCTGCATGGTAAGCCCCCAGCTTCTGACAGTGCCATGCTAGCTGCAGCTGCCCCAGATTTCTGGCATACCCCAGTGACACACTGGCCACAAATGCCCCCAGCTTCTGGCACATCCCAGTGTTGCACCTGCTGGAGGGCTTTTCCAGACAAAGTTAATCTGTGAA
Source organism: Homo sapiens (assembly GCF_000001405.40). Taxonomy (NCBI): domain Eukaryota; kingdom Metazoa; phylum Chordata; class Mammalia; order Primates; family Hominidae; genus Homo; species Homo sapiens. Next base: position 23,980,134 of record NC_000007.14, on the reverse strand, counting down.
GACTGGAATAAGTATCCACTTCTTCAAATGCACAGACATTAATGTACAATCACAAGGATACAGAGCAATCAAGGAAACATGACAATACCCATGGACAAAATAAAGTGCAAGTGACCAACCCTAAAAAGATGAAGATGCATGAACTGCATGATAAAGATTTTAAAATAACTATTTTAAGAAAGCTCAGCAAACTTCAGGAAAATACAGAGGAAAAAAATCAATGAAATAAGGAAAACAATAAGGGACCAGAATGAAAGATGTATTAGAGTAGTTGAAAGTAATTTTTAAAAAATCAAACAGAAACCCTAGAGCTAAAGATACAATAAACAAAATGAAAAATGCAATAGAAAGCATCAACAGCAGAATTAATCAGGCAGAAGAAGGAATCTGTGTCTCAATGATAGCTTATTTGAAAATATATAGTCAGAGGAGAAAAAAGAAAACTGAATAAAAAAGAATAAAGAAAGCTTACAGGATTTATAGGACAGCATCAAAAGAGCAAACTTCAAACCACTGGAGTTTAAGAGAGAAAAGAGAAACATAAGTAGAAAGCTATTTTAAAGAAAAAGTAGCAGAACATTTTTAAACCTAGAGAAAGATTTAAATATCCAGGTACAGGAAAGTCAAAGATCTCCAGCCAGATTTAATCCAAATATGACTACATATTATAATCAAGACATGTTATAATCAAACTGTCAAAGATCAAAGGCAGAAAGAAGATTCTAAAAGCAGCAAGAGAAAATAAGATAACATATAAAGAAGTTCTAATACAGCTAGCAGCAAACTTCTCAACAAAACCTTACAGGAGGGGAACAGCACACAAGAGGGCCAGTGGTGGGGTGGGGATCAAGGGGAGGGAGAGCATTAGGACAAATGGCTAATGCATGCAGGGCTTAAAACCTAGATGATGGACCAGGCACGGTGGCTCATGCCTGTAATTCCAGCACTTTGGGAGGCCAAGGCGGGTGGATCACCTAAGGTCAGGAGTTCAAGACCAGCCTGACCAATATGGTGAAACCCCATCTCTACTAAAAATACAAAAATTAGCTGGATGTGGTTGCATGTGCCTGTAGTCCCAGCTACAGGAGAATTGCTTGAACCCGGGAGGTGGAGGTTGTAGTGAGCTGAGATCTCACCATTGCACTCCAGCCTTGGCGACAGAGCAAGACTCAATCTCCAAAAATAAATAAATAACGACAAAAAAAAAAAAAAAAACCCTAGATGATGGGTTCATAGGTGCAGCAAACCACCATGGCACATGTATACCTATGTAACAAACTTACACATTCTGCACTTGTATCCTGGAACTTAATGAAAAAAAGAAAAAGAAAAAATAAACCTTACAGGCTAGGACAGAGTGGATATTATATTCAAAGGGCAATTTTAAAAGGCTACTGTATTCAAACAAGAATACAGTAACCAGGAAATATGTCTCTCAGAAATAAGAGAGATAAAGACTTTTCCAGACAAATAAAATCTGAGGAAATTCATCACCACCAGACCTAGGTTACAAGAAATGTTAAAGGAAGTCCTTTAAACTGAAAGAAAAGGATCCAGATGAATAGCACAAAAAAATAACAAAAAAGTATAAAATTCACTTTTAAAAGTAAGTGCACAGTCAAATTCAGAATTATCTAATACTATAATGGTGGTGTGTAAATTATTTATATCTTGATTACAAAGGTTGAAAGATAAAACTATTAAAAATAGTAATAGCTGCAGTAATTTGTTAAGGAATATGTAATATAAAATGATGTGAATTGTGACATCAAAAACTCAAAAACAGGATGGGGCGCAGTGGCTCATGCTTCCCAGCACTTTGAGAGGCCAAGGCAGGTGGATCACTTGAGTCCAGGATTTCGAGACCAGCCTGGGCAATATGGCAAAACCCTGTCTCTACAAAAGCTACAAAAATTAGCCAGGCATGGTGGTGCATGCCTGTAGTCCCAGATACTTGGCAGGCTGAGGTGGGAGAATCACCTGAGCCTAGGAAGCGGAGGTTGCAGTGAGCCAAAATCACACCACCGCAGTCCCACCAGGTGACAGAGTGAGACCCTGTCTCAAAAAAAAAAATAAAAATAAAAATAAAAAATAAAAAATGGGGATGAAGCAAAAGTGTAGAGTTGGGTTTTTATTTTCTTTTGTTTTTACAGTCAAAGTTAAGTTGTAATCAGCTTAAAATTGCCTGTTATGACTATATAATTTTTTGTAAACATCCCGATAGTTGCAAAGCAAAAACCTATAGTAGTGTTAAAAGGAACTGAATATGGCCTGAGAAGGATTCTGTACTTTTTTTTTTTTTTTTTTTTTTGAGATGGAGTCTCGCCCTGTCACCCAGGCTGGAGTGCAATGGCTCGATCTTGGCTCACTGCAACCTCTGCCTTCCAGGTTCAAACCATTCTCCTGCCTCAGCCTCCCAAGTAGCTGGGATTACAGGCACCCGCCACCACGCCCAGCTAATTTTTGTACTTTTAGTAGAGACAGGGTTTCACCATGTTGGCCAGGCTGGTCTCGAACTCCTGACCTTGTGATCTACCAACCTTGGCCTCCCAAAGTGCTAGGATTACAGGCATGAGCCACCGTGCCTGGCCAGGACTTGGCGCTTCTATATTTGAATCCTTGTGGACGAACTGCAGCCTAACTTAATAGGTAGACAAGATTGAGAACCTGACTTGCGACTATGTGCCTGTAACAGTGGCTGGGTCTTGGCCAATCCCAGCAGCCATACACCAACTACTCATACACTATCAAGTGTTCAAACTGTGTTCAAATAAGGCAAACGCTTAGCTGTAACCAATCTAGTTATTTCTGTACCTCACTTCTGACTTCTGTACATCACTTCCCTTTTCTTGTCTATAATTCTTCTTCCACCATGAGGCTGCACTGTGTCTCTTTGAATCTGCTGTGATTCTGGGGGATGCTTTATTTGCAAATCATTCATTGCTCAATTAAACTCCTTTAAATTTAATTTGGCTGAAGTTTTTCTTTTAACAATAGACATACAAAAAATAAAAAGCAGGGAATCAAAACATCACTAGAAAATCACTTAGCTACAAAGGAAGACAGCCAGAAAGAAAGAAAAGAGCATAAAGGATCTATAAACAAGTAAATAGAAAACAATTGGCAAAATGGCAGTAGTAAGTCCTTACCTATTAATAATTACCTTGAATATAAATAGATTAAATTATCCAACCAAAGGCACAGAGAGGCTGAATGGATTACAAAAAAAAAAGACCCAACTATATGCTCCCTACAACAGACTCACTTCACCTGTAAAGATAGATACACACAGACTGAAGGTGAAGGGGCAGAAAAAGATATTCTGTACAAATGGAAATCAAAAGAAGCAAGAATAGCTATATTTACATCAGACAAAATAGACTTTTAGTCACAAACTATAAAAAGAGACAAAGAAGGTTATTATATAATGATAAAGTGTCAATTCAGCAAGAGGATATAACAACTGTAAATATATATGCACCCAACATCAGAGCACACAAATGCATAAAGCAAATATTAATAGATCTGAAGGGAGAGATTGATTGCACTATAATAATAGCCGGGGACTTCAAAAGCCCACATTCAGTAATGGAAAGATTATCTAGATGTAAAATCAGTAACAAAAACATTAGACATAAACTACACTCTAGATCAAATGGACCTAACAGACATATGCAGAACATTCCATCCAACAGCTGAAGAATTCACATCCTCAAATACAAATAAAATATTCTCCAGAAGAGATCTGATGTTAGGCCACAAAACAAGTCCGAACCAATTTTAAAAGATGAAAATCATACCAAGTATATTTTCTGACCACGATGGTTAAAAAACTAGAAATTAGTAACAGGAGGAACTTTGGAAAATCCACAAACACATGAAAATTAAGCAACATGTTCCTGAACAACCAAAGGGTCAATCAAGAAATTGAAAGAGAAATTTAAAATTTTCTTCCAACAAATGAAAATGGAAACACAGCATAGCAAAACTTATGGGATATATCAAAAGCAGTTGTCAGAAGGAAGTTTATAGCAATAAACACCTACATCTAAAAAAAGAGACAGACACATCTCAAATTAACTACCTAATGTTTCACCTCAAGAAACTAGGAAAACAAGAACAAAGCCCAAAGTTAGTAGAAGAAAGGAAGTAATAAAGATAACAACAGAAAATAATAGAGAAAAACAATAGAAAAAAACCTAAAAGTCAGTTGTCTAAAAGATAAACAAAATTAATAAACCTTTAGCTAGACTAAGAAAAAAGAGAGAGAAGACTAAAATGAATAAAATCAGAAAAAGGAGATATTACAACTGATACAACAGAAACATAAAGGATTATAAGAATTTTTTTTTTCTTTTCCTTTTTTTTTTTTTTTTGAGATGGGGTCTTGCTCTGTCACCAGGCTGGAGTGCAGCGGTGCGATCTTGGCTCACTGCAGCCTCCAACTCCCTGGTTCAAGTGATTCTCCTGCCTCAGCCTCCCGAGTAGCTGGGACTTCAGGCGTGTGCCACCATACCCAGCTAATTGTTGTATTTTTAGTAGAGACGGGGTTTCACCATGTTGGCCAGGATGGTCTTAATCTCCTGACCTCATGATCCGCCCACCTTGGGCTCCCAAAATGCTGGGATTACAGACCTGAGCCACCACACCTGGCCAAGAAATTATGATGAGTAATTATACAGCAACAAATTGGATAACCTAGAAGTGGATAAATTCCTTGATACATACAACCTACCAAGACTGAATTATGAAGAGGTAGAAAATCTGAACAGACCAAGTCAGTAATAAAAAATTTTCCATCAAAGAAGAGACCAGGATCTGAAAGCTTCACTGCTCAATTCTATCAAACATTTAAAGAACTAATAACAATTTTTCTCAAACTCTTCTAGAAAATTAAACTGGAAGTAATACTTCCAAACTCATTTTTCAAGGGCAGCTTCACTCTGATATGAAAACCAGACAAAGATACTCCAAAAAAAAGAAAAAAAGAAAACTACAGGCCTATATTTCTGATGAACATAGATGCAAAAAAAATCCTCAACAAACTATTAAAAAATAGAATTCAACAGTACATTAAAAAGATCATTCACCATGATCAACTGGGATTCATTTCAAAGATGCAAAGATGGCTCAACATATGCAAATCAATAAATGTGATACATCATATTAACATAATAAAGGACAAAAATGCTATGATAATTTCAGCTACTCCAGAAAAAGCATTTGACAAAATTCAACATCATTTCATGATAAAAATGCTCAACAAATTATATATCATATGTCTAGAAAACCATAAAGACTGCACCAAAAAACTGTTAGACCTGATAGACAAATTCAGTAAAGTTGCAGGACACAAAATCAAAACACAAAAATCAGTAGTGTTTCTATATACTAACAGTGAATGATCTGGAAAAGAAATCAAGAAAACAATCCCATTTACAATAGTTACCAAAATAAGTAAATTAATTACTTAGGAATAAATTTAGCCCAAAATGGAAAGATCTCTACACTGGAAACTATAAACTCCTGATGAAAGAAATTGAGGAAGACATAAATAAATGGGAAGATATCCCAGGTTCATGAATTGAAAGAATTAATATTGTTGAAATGTCTTTACTAATTAAAGTGATCTACAGATTCAAAGCAATTCCTATTACAATACCAATGACATTCATCACAGAAATAAAAAAAAAAAAACCCTAAAACGTACTTGAAACCACAGAAGACCCCAAATAGCCAAAGCAATTTTGAATAAGAAGAACAAAGTTGCTGGCATCACACTACCTGACTTCAAAATATACTATAAAGCTACAGTAAACAAAACAGCATTGTACTGGCATAAAAACAGATGCATAAGCCAATGGAACAAAATAGAGAGCCTAGAAATAAATCCACATGTTTACAACCAACTGATTTTCTATAAAGGAGCCAAGAACACACAACAAAGAAAGGATTGTCTCTTCAATAAATAGTGTTGGGAAAACTGGATATCTACATAAGGAAGAAATGAAATTAGACTCGTCTCACACCATATACAAAAATCAACTCAAAATGGATTAAAGACTCAAAAGTAAGATGCAAAATTGTAAAATTACTATAAGAAAACATAAGGGAAAGGATCCACAGCATTGGTCTGGGCAATGGCTTTTTGAACATGACCCCAAAAGTACAAGCAACAAAAGCAAAAATAGACAAATGGGACTACATCAAATTAAAAACCTTATGCAGACAAAAAGGGAAAGAATGAATAAATTGAAGAGACAACCTACAGAATGGGAGAAAGTATTGCAAACTATACATCTGATAAGGAGTTAATACACACAATTTATAAGGAACTCAGAAAACTCAATAGCAAGAAAACAAATAATCCTATTTAAAAATGGGTAAAGAATCTAAACGGGATTTTTCAAAAGAAGACATACAAATGGCCAGGAGGTATGTTTAAAAATGTTCAGCCTCACTAATCAACAGGAAAATGCAAATAAAACCACAATGAGATATCACTTCAAACCTGTTACAATGGCTACTATCAAAAATAGGAAAAAATAACAAGCATTTAGTAGGATGTGGAAAAAGGGAACTCTCGCACACTGTGGGAATGTAAATTAGTACAACCATTATGGAAAACAGTATGAAGGTTCCTCAAAAATCGAATTATCATATGATTCAGCAATTTTACAACTGGGTATATATCCGAAGAAAATGAAATCAGTATGTTAAAGAGATATCTGCACTTTCATATTTATTGCAGCACTGTTCACAGTAACCAAGATATGGAATCAACCTAAGTGGCCATCAGTGGATGAATGGATAAAGAAAATGTGGCATATGTACACAATGGAACACTATTCAGCTTTTTAAAAATGAGGAAATCTTGTCATTTTTGACAACATGGATAAACTTGGAGGATATTATGTTAAGTGAAATAAGCCAGACAGAGAAAGACAAATATCACATAATCTCACTTATCATGTGTGGAATCTAAAAAAGTTGATCTCATAAAATATAGAATAGAATGATAATTACCAGGGTTGGGTTGGTTAGTTGGGGGGAGAGTTGGGGAGATGTTGGTCAAAGGATACAAAATTTCAGTTGGGCAGGAGGAATAAGTTCAAGAAATCTATTGAACAACATGGTGACTATAGTTAATAATATTAATAATATGGTATTCTTAATAAATGCTGAGGGAGTGATATAAAATGTCCTCATCATAAAAGTGATAATATGTGAGGTAATGCATATGTTAATTTGCTAGATATAGTCATTCCACAATCTATACATACTTCAAAACATTATGTTATGCATGGTAAAGATGTACAATTTTATCTATCAATGTACAAAATCAAATTTTTAAAAACTTAGCAATAATCCAAAATTTTCTAATAGATTCAATCTGCCCAATAAGAAAGGCTTTTTCCATGTATATAGAATCAACTTTATTGAAATCAAAAGCTATTTTCTTTGTTGCTAATGTTTCTGTAATGTTTAAGAGCTTATTCATTTGTACTACAGAGTTGGACATGTGTTCTTCACTGGTCCATGCAGGACAAACAGCTGAAAATAATTTTTGGTGTTTATTAGTATATTTTAAGTTTACCTTTCTTGGTCTAGGCTGAATCTATCTACAATTAGCTTTTCTTATTAAAGTTAGCTCAGGTCAGTTTCTCTTTTCAGGTAATATTTAAGATATTGTACTATGTGTGTTCTGATTCTCAGTACACCCAATCGATACATGCAGTTCCTTTCTTCAGGTTCCCTCTGAGCCCTTATGCTGGCTGCTATGCTCAATTTTTCCAGATGCTGGTGAGAGAACTTTTACCATTGTCTGTGGTTGCCTCTCACTCACTGATCCCTACAGGTCAAGGATGACTTATCTGATATGTGGAAGAGGAACAAATGTCACTATTCATGTTGCAGTTTTTTTCCACTATGCAGAAGTAGACTGGGCAAAACTCTTCAGCTGCCCCAGGCGGGGGCCTGTATTAGGAAGCGTTCTTCAGAGAAAAAGAATGAACAGGGTTACTAATTCAGGAGCTATGTATTAGAGTTCTCCAATAGAAAGAGCAAAGGTGGAGGGAGTTATTATAAGGAATTGGCTCATATGATTATGAAGGCTGAGGTGTGCAGGAGGCAAGATGAGACCCAGGAGAGCCAATGGTGTAGTTTTAGTCTGAAAGCCAGTAGACTTGAGACTCAAGAAGAGCTGATGTTCCAGGTTGAGTCTGAAGGCAGGAAAAGTCCATTGCCCCGGCTCAAAAGAGTCAGATAGCAGGAATCTCCTCTAACTCATGGGAATGTCAGCCTTTTTGTTCCATTTCAGCTTTCAACTGATTGTGAGGGCACTCACATTAGAAATCTGTTTCACTCAGTCTACCAAATCAAATTGCATCCAAAAACACCCTCACAGACATTCCTAAAATAATGCTTGACCAAATAGCTGGGCATCCCATGGCCCAGTCAAGTTGACAAATAAAATTAGCAATCACAGAAGTTAAGTAACTTCAGTTAGGGGCAGTGGTTATTGTGTAGAGAGTCCCATTCCCACCTCCAGTGCAAACCACCTTCTCTAATCCAGCTTTCTTATAGAATGCCAAACTAGGTAATGTGGCTGGCACTTCACTTTTATCTTCTTGTGACAATTATGTCTTTCAAGTGGATCAAAACCCAGAATAGAAGAGGGTTTGCTTAATTATCAAATCCCCACAAGCAGTCTTCTTTAACAGCTAAGAAAAATTACTTTTCCTAATTTCTTCTGGTCCTTTCTTCCCACTCCCTGACTACAGGGCTCGAGGAGAGCTTCCCTATTCACTTTTATGTTCTGTTGATTTCCAGCCCACTTTGAAATGTCTCCATCTTTCTGTGGCCTGGTTCCAGTTACATTTTCCGCAATTAGCCTGGGGATAAATAGACACACAGATAATAAAATGCTCAGTCCAGTGGTGCTTCATCAACCACCATCGTGCTTTCTAAACCTGAAAGAATGTAACAAGAGACACTGGCCTTCCACTTGGTAATTTTCTACTAAAATCAGCCTGATACCACAAAATATTTTTTTAGCTCAGGCACTGAATACATCCCCACTTTCCCTCAAAACTAAAAAAAAAAAAAAGCTTAGAAAAACTGATGATACAATAAAAAAATATATATCATCTATTACATATTCTTACCAAACATTTTTAATCTGAATCTATCAGTCAAGCTCTAGAGTTAACTTTCAGTTTGCAGGAAATAGTAGGGACAAGAGGTTAAATGTTCCATGAGGAAACAGGCAAATCTAGAATCTATAAGACAACCAGCCTGGGCTCTTCAAAGAATCAAGGTTTTGAAAAACTATTGAGACATAACAACCAAATGCCATATGTAAAATTAACATGTAACCCTGTTCAAAAAGGGGTGGGGGAGCTATAGGCTCCTTTATAGATTTCATTTGGGGACAATAGTGGAAATTTTAGTATGAACCATACTAAATATCCACAAACCAGCCCCAAAGCAGTGTTTCCCAAAGTGTAATCTCTATTAGAAACTCCAGGCCAGATGCAATGGCTCATACCTGTAATCCTAGCACTTTGGGAGCCCGAGCCAAGTGGACAGCATGAGGCCAGGAGTTCAAGACCAGCCTGGGCAACATAGCAAGGCCTTGTCTCTACAAAAAAGTTTTTTTAAATTAGCCAGGCATGGCAGCACACACTTGTAGTCCTAGCTACTCATGAGGCTGAAGCAGAGGGTTGCAAGCCCAGGAGCTCAAGGTTACAGTGAGCTATGATTGCACCACTGCATTCCAGCCTGGGTGACAGAGCAAGACCCTATCTCCAAAACAAAAAAAAGGAGGAAAGAAAATTACAGGTTTCTCAGTGCTTTACTTACTGATTCTGACTCAGTCGGTCTGAAGTGGGGCCTGGAAATCTATTTCTCTTCATTTTCTCCCAGGTAATTCAGATGTGCAGCCACATTTGAGAACCATTGCCCCAGATAGCAAACATTTGTTCTAAGTAACCAGTCACGCACCACCACCCCCACCACACACACACACAGTCTCCTTCTTTTGGTTCTGCTTATTTTCCCCTTTCTGGCCCCATATTCCCTTCCTACCTCAATTTTGATACCCACTCTTGACCCAGTTGTTTTGGGTTATCCTCCTGTCTACCCTCTGGCTCGTTGGGCCTTGGACACATGTATTTGGTGCTTTTCTCACTCCCTTCTTCTTCCTCTAGGGCCTTGGAAACTCTTCCCTTCAGCCTGTCTAGCTCTCTAATGCAGCACAGGTCCCAAACACCCCTCCCTCAACCCAAAGAGAGGAAGGCATTCATGTAGAGCTCACTGATGGCCTTATCAAAACTCCAGTGCCAAAGCACAGGACTGTAAGCAACGTGAGGAAGCAGGGGCTGGACAGCTATCTCTTGATACTTTTATGAGGTCCAAGGGCCCCCTGCCCTTCCCCCACACTCTTTTAGTAGTTTAAACACAATCTCAGTTTCTTTTTTTTTTTTTTTCATTACATAGATAACACATGAATGCAGTCTCACTGTAAAATAATTCAAACAACACAGATAAGCTAAAGCTGCAGTGCCCCATTTCCGGGCACCTCCCCAAAAGTGACTGATAACAAATCGGCATGTTGTACATTTCTTCACATCTTTTTGCATTTACATACATCAAGTTAAAGAAGTTCTCAAAGGTGGGTGGAGAATTTTGCCCCTCAGGGGGAGATTTGGAAAAATCTGGAGACATTCTTGGTTGTCACAACCCAAGTCGTGACACTAGCAGTTAGTGCTCACACAGGACTGCCTCCACAACAGAGTTATCCAGCCCAAATGCCACAGTCCATCGCTGAGAACCCCTGAGTTGAACTGCATGAATCTGCCAATGACTGACCAATTTTGACCTTTAAAAAGGCCATTTCGTGTGGTACAACCCAATATATTTGTATACATATGGAAACGTACAGTTTTGTTTGTGGCTGTCTTACATAAATACATCATACAATGTAGTATGATTCTATAGCTTTCTGATTCCACAGCTTTCTTTTCTGATTCTATAGCTTTGTTTCTGATTCTACAGCTTTCTTTTTCCTTTAACAGTATGCCTGGAGGATTCTCTGTGTCGGGAGCCAGAGCTCTATCCAATTCCTTACAGCAACTATGTGATGTTCTGGCTGAGAAGGCTCTCTGTGGTCCCTTAGTCACTCCCCTGTGGAGGGATGTTGGATGTTTCCAGTTCTTTATTAGTGTAAACCAAAAGGCATATGAGCATCTGTCTCTAGGTCAGATAGACAGGTGTCAATCAGTTTAGACGTTTATTTTGTCAAAGTTAAGGATCCACCTGGGAGACAGGTCTGTGCCTTTTCCCAAAGAAGATTTTGAGGGCTTCAATATTTAAAAGGGAAAAGCAGGCTGGAGGGGAAAGGAAAGATAGGTCACATTACTGAATCCACATGTTGCAAGAGAAAAGGAGTAGGTAGGGGTTAGTTAATTATGTATTATCTCACATTCAGCAAATCGGCACTTTCCATAAGAGAAGGTGAACATAGAGTGGCTACCTGTGGAGATATTTAACTTTTTACCTGTAGCTATCTGCTCAGGAACAAAAGGAAATGCAGCTTCTTGCATGACTCAGCTTTCAGCTTCATTTTTTCCTTTGGCAGAGTGAATTGGGGCCCCAAGTTTTATTTTCCTTTCACACTAGTAAAAACCACACTCCAATGAGCTCCTGACCCACTCCCTTACCCACACACTGGTCAGGTCTAGAGGGTGGGGATGTTGAGGATGGGGGACACTGAGGACCAGAAAGGAAGGGACTGGGGATGAAGAAAGAACAGCTTGGGCTACCAGGGAGGGCAGGGACTTCCTTGAGCTCCTCCAGCCCTGGCTGCCACCAGCTCACGTAACTGCCTGTTATCCTGCACAGCAGAGGCCATTTCAAGCCATGGGTATTTACAACAGGGCTGTGTGAGTTCTGAAACCCACTTTTTAGGCTTTCCACCCTGCTACTCTCTCGGGGTGAGTAAAGGGCTCAGGGAGTGACGTACATCACTTGCCTGCCACCGAGGCCTCCCCCGGTGCTGCTGGGAGTTTCTGTCACACCTGTGAAACCTACTCAACTGTCAACACATCACTCAGCAAAACAGCCCCCCACATTTTCTAGGCATGCAGCATTGTTCTATCCAAAGAACCAGAGCCAGAAGAAACCTTTGCTTTAAGGGCTTTAATTACCATGGAAAACGGCATGCAGACTATTCCAAGACAAAAAGCCTTCTCCACATGTTCTGAGAGAAAAGCATACTGTCATCTGAAAGAGTAATTTATTTCCACATAATTGGCTGTATAAAGGGCATCTTTGGTATCTAATTCCTTAAACAACTGATGGCCTACTGGTGCCAGTGCTGACCCCACAGGGGAAGGAATGCGTAATTAATTTACTCATTTACGATTAATGCATTTCCAGCTTTCCTTTGCTGCCACTCTTCAAGGAGAAAATTGCCCAGCCCTGGGACTCTATTTCTGAACACCTAATTCATTTAAAATAGAGAAAGAAATCTGATGACAAGAAGTCGGTTGTTAATAGAAGACCCCTGAGGCCACACCTTTCCTGTGTGCCCCTGTCCGTCTCAGAAGTCCGTTTGAAAAAAGGTCTTTGCTCAGCTGTCACCAGTAAAATCCTTACTACACATTACTACATGTCTGCTTTTTAATTTTTGTTTGCTCATTTCCTGTTTTGTTTTTTAACCACTATGGTACCATATGGTACCGTAGTGTTTTGTTTTTTAACCACTATGGTAGGTAGGTAGTATGGTACCTACTACCTATTTAACATATTAACCACTATGGTAGGTAGGTAGGTAGGTATAGAGAAGTGAAGAAGGGAGGGAGGAAGAGAAAGAAAAAAAAAAAGCATTTCAAGTGGCCCCTACATCTTCACATAGCATAAAGGCTAACTATTTTGAACCACACCCAACCAATCTGTTTTCAGTGAGGAAAGATGATATAACACAAGCTGCCAACATTTTTTCCTGGTTATTCATGGTGTTTTGTGAACATCCTATTGTGTCTTTTTAATTGCTCTTTCTTGAGCTCAAATTTATGGAAAAGAGTAACTCAGTAATATGGGAACCCAAATATAGCTCTTCATTCATCCAGCACCATTTTTAAAGCAAGGCTACATACCAGGCACTCCCTTATTTCCTTTTTTTTTTTTTTTTCCTGTTTCTCCATCAAAACCAAGTTACCCTGTGTGCCATATTCTCTGTCTTACGAGATAATCAAGTTCATATTTAGAAAACTGTGCTCCCCACACCTCCCAAGGGTGGTTTATATTCCCCATTTGTGAGGTGTTATTATTCCAAGGAGGTAATATGCTGGTGTCTTTAATAGGGCACCCTCACAAATCTCCTAAATACTCTGTTATACTATTTCTAAAGCCATCATTTTAGTCCCTTCCCAACCCTGACTTTCTCAGGTCTCTGATGGCTGGGTTGGACTTTTAGCTTTTAATGAATGGCATCATTACACATCCTGGACAATCCCCGTGTGTCCACAGGATCCCCAGAAGCAGCAGATGGGATCTTCCATGTAAAGCTCATAGTTAGAACCCTTTAGGACCGCCTAAAATAATGCCCAACTTCCAAATGAATGTAGTCCATGTCTTTGTTTATGCTCAGAGTAACCAGTGAGGAAAATGTCAATGGGAGGGTTAATCACGACCTGCTTCAAGAAGTACATTTAGATTATTATTACTATTATTATTATTTACATTTTACAGATGAGAAAACTAGGGGTCAGGAATAAGTGTCAACCTTCATACAGCCCCATCAATGACACAAATTCATAGCTCATTGGCCACCAAATTTGTAACTCTTTTTTGCTAATACTGATTCAGTAAAAAAGAAAATCAAATGTGCAGTTTGAGGAATCAAGGAGGTAAGGGAGGAAGGCATGAGCTGCACCTCAGTGCACAGAGTTCCGACACAGTTGGGTGAGAGCCCATACAATGGGATTCTAAGGGTTCTTGAATGCACAGCTTGGCAAGATCCCCAACAATCATAGTTCCAAGACCTGCACCCTTAGCAGATATCCTAAACCCTCGGGCATGAGCATTGTCATCGCCCTGTAGCAAAAGTTCACAAACCCACGCTGCACATGAGAATCACCTGGGAGCTTTTAACATACGCAAATATCCAGTTACCAAGAGATTCTGATTTGGTAGGTCTGGGGTGGGGCCCAGGCATCAGAGTCAGTTAAAGCCTCCCAGTGGTTCTTATGGTTAGCCAGGGTTCAGAACCACTGGTCTGCAAGCAATCTTGGCCCATTGCTACCATGAATGGTCAGGATTGCTGCTTACTCTCTCTTCTGTGTCTCTCCTGGGGCCTGTCCTCTCAAGTTCTTTTTAGCAATTCCTTCTATTAAGGCCTTCCAAAATCACCTTCTCAAATTTCATTCCAATTAATAAATGTGAGCTTTTTCACAGGGAGTGGGGAGCAGTCAAAGGACTGTGGACAAAGGGAAATTTTGCATTATTATTTATCACTGAAAATATATGTAGTACTCACAGTGTGCTGGAATAAAGGATTTCAAGATTCCCTTATCTGGTTTTCAGCGGCTATGAGCACAGTTAGTCATGCGGTTTTATGCTCCTCTGTTTAACTGCCTGTGAAGTTAATAGGTAGATGCAATGCTGGAATTGAGCAGGTTCAACTCTGAACTCAATGTATGGCTTCTAAAGAAAGGAGCAATTGTCGCCTTTAAGATTGCAAAAATCCAATTAAGTATCACTCTCCCCTGCCACGCGATAGACTTAGACCCTGGAAGTAATGTTAATGACACCACACTAACATCCAGGACAATCACCATGCCCCTTTTACTGAAATCACCCCAGAGCCAGCGATTATATGGAAAGTGCAAGAATTTTAATGCAACCCCCTGGCTTTCAGGTGTCAAACAAAATGCTATGAGAGGCAGGGGCTGATGAGGGCCAGACAATAAATCAAAAAAGAAAAACGTGCCATTATTCTGTTTTCTTTTTCCGAGAAGAAGTATTCAAGGTCAGCAAAACAGACACAGACATTTTCCCCCAAAGATATGTCCTTTGGGATCCACTGCCCCAGCGTCCATGCCCCTCCGTTTGTTCTCCACTGTAATTAAGACATATGTACTTTTCTGGGCTTTGGGAGTTGCTGACAGACAGCTCAGCTGCCAACAAAGAATAAATTGCCAGAGGCGGATGCTCAGTGTTAGATGGCGCCCCAGGCAACGTGAGGCTGTGCGGCTACACCTGAGACCTAGGCAGACTACAAAGGAGGGTGTTAAACGGTTTCAAGACACACAAAAACTGGCATTTGATTTATATTGCAGTCTCCCCTTTAAAAGACAGGGATAAAAGGATCTTCCCAACACTGAGCAACTTCAGCTAATCCATGCCACTTGCCCCACTAGGTCCCAGCAGTCAAACCCCAGGCCTCTTCAGGGACCTCTTTCCTCCTCAGACTGGCTGAAAATGGGCCTGGTTTCTTTTCCACTCCAAAACGTGGGTCTGATTGCTCACACTGAGTGAAAGCAAAACCAGGTGACTGCGATGTGCTGAACTGTGTGCCCCTAAAATTCACGTGTGGAAGCTCTAGCCACCAGTACCTCAGAATGTGGCTGTATTTGGAGATGGGACCTTTAAAGAGATTACATTTAAATGAGGCCATTAGAGTGAGCCCTAATCCAATCTGATTGGTGTCCTTATAAGACGAGGAAATTCAGACACACAAAAGAGACACTAAGGATATGCACACAGGAGAAAAGACCACGTGAGGACCCAGGAGGAAGTTGACCATCTGCAAGCCAAGGAGAGACACCTCAGGAGAAACTCAACTTGCTGACCCCTTGATCTTGGGCTTTCAGCCTCTAGAATTATGAGAAAATACATTTCTGTTGTCTAAGCCCCCGGTTTGAGATATTTTATTGTGGCAGCTCTAGCAAACTAATCCAGGGGCCCCTATATTGATGTAATTGAACATTATATTGAAATGCAAATCTGAAAATACTGATGTTTTTGTTGTTGAGGAAGGCAGAGTGAGTGCTCTCCACCAGGCCATCGTGTACTTTGCAAACAGCAGCCAGCTTTCACATCTACACTAAGAAGAAGCTTCAAGAGAGAGCTGGCTGTGAGAAGAGCCAGTGCTCCCTCAGTGACCTCTTGAGACACAGCTGTTCGTAAAGACAGGAGGGAACCTCCGCCAGCCTTGGAAAGTGTTCTTGGGTGTTTGCCAGACCTTGAAAAATCCAAATTCAATCACAAAAGTGACAGCTATTCCACAGACAGGGACATTTGCTCCATTTGGGCTAGTGGGGGCCTGAGAAGGTGTCCTACAATCTTCACTTCAGTAGCGGGTAAAAGTAAGACATAGCTAATCATTTCAGAGAACTCTGAGACAAAGTACCTTCCGAATAGTCTGTTGTCATCCCTCGGACTCAAGAACAGCTTGAGATGAGAGCAGCTGCCGCCCAGCATTGCCAAGGACTGACCCTAGCACACACGCAAGATGACCAGGGCCCAAGGGAGGAATCTCTCAGGGACCTGCCACACACAAGCCCATCCAGATCCTGCCTCCAGAGCCATCCCTCACCTTGGACCCTAAGTCATGTCTGCAACACTAAAAGTTTCTTACAAAACTTTATTTTCTTGTAAGGCAATGCCATGAGTGATAAGAGGTGCCATCTGACTCAAATTTACCTGTATTTACCAACCAGAAAATATTTTCCAGACAAATTTAAGTAACCTTTGCCCCAGTGTCCAAGTGGAAATGAGGAGAGGTTGACAGAGGGTAGGTAAAAGGAGAGTCGTATATCAGTTCACCAGAGAGTCATTACCATGTTTAATTTCCCAATGTATTGCCTCATCAGATTTGCACAAAATCTCCCTGGCTTTCCAGAGTGATGTTCATTGGTGCCACACATCACAAGACCTAGAATTCACCAAGTTCACAGCTGGGCCAGGGTCCTGCCTGGCTTAGTCTGTTCAGGATGCTATAACAAAATATCATAAACTGGGAGCTTATAAACCACAGAAATTTATTTCTCACAGTTCTGGGGTCTGAGAAGTTCAAGATCAAGGCACTGGAAGATTCAGTATCTGGTGGGACCGGCTTTCTGGTTCATAGATGGTGCTTTCTTGTTCTGTCTTCACATGGTAAAGATGCTAACAAGGTCCCCTGGGCCTCTTGTATAAGGGCACTAATCCCATTCACGAGGGCTTTGCCCTCATAACTGAATCACCTCCCGTATGTCCCTGTCTTCTAATATCATCCCCTTGGGGGGTTAGAATCTCAACACATTAATTCTGAGGGGACACAATATTCAGATCAAAGCACTGCCATTAATGGCCCCATGTAGATCTCTCATATAGTCTACTTACTCTACCTGTCAATTCTTTTCAATGTAAACAATTTCATAAACAACTCCAATTTAACAACTTCTACTTTAGAGTATTTCATATTAAATTACATTAAAATATAAGCTGGCCTCACTTTGTTCTATAACTTCTCTCTTCATTTTTCATTGGACTCCCATTCTAGCTTTAAATAGCACATTCTTTTGCTCAGTATTCAATTTGTCATCACTTCTAAACTATAGTTTTCAGTTTCTGGACTCCACATTATTGTCTACCCCATAGATGAGGGGACAAGGAATCTTTGTATACATCAAAGAGTTCCTGTTTAAAGGTTCCTTGTAGATCCCCTTGCAAGGTCATTTTGTGCTCTACCTATTCACACATACATAGAAGTATATTTGCCTCATTTTGCAGGCTTTGAAAGATGGCTTTTCTGTATACAAGATTTCCTTAAAGTGGAAACTTCTTTACATACACAGAAATATATTCGCCCCATTTTGCAGGCTTTGAAAGTTGGCTTTTCTGTATACACAATTTCCTTAAAGCAGGAACTTCTTTGTATTCTTCTCTAGGAGGAAAAGTGCTTCCTTCTTTAGTCTTCTCAGAAATCGGTTTTTCTGAGAACACTTAATTTTGGAGGGGGCACCTAAATTCTTTGAAAAACATTTTTACTGGTTTATAATTTCTTTTTGATTCATGCTCCTTTTGTTTGCTTGTTTGGTGCCATGGGATATGATACGGTTTGGATGTGCGTACCCACTCAAATCTCACGTTGAAATGTAATCTCCAGCACTGGAGGTGGGGCCTGGTGGGAGATGATTGGGCCATGAGGCTGGACTTCTCATGAACGGTTAGGCACCATCCCCTTGGTGTTGCTCTCATGACAGTGAGTGAATCCTCACAAGATCTGCTTATTCAAAAGTGTGGGGCATCTTCCCCACCCCACCATTCTCTCTCCTGCCTCTGCTCTGGCCATGTGGTGCCTATGCCCCCTTCATCTCCTACCATGATTGTAAGTTTCCTGAGACCTCCCCAGAAGCCGAGCAGACGCCAGCATCATGCTTCCCGCGCTGCCTGCAGAATCATGAGCCAATTAAACCTCGTTGCTTTATAAATTACCCAGTCTCAGGTATTTCTTTATGGCAATGTGAGAATGGTCTAATACAGAGTAATACCTTGATTTCCTACTACTTTACAGTTTTATCATTACTCAAATGGGGTCTGGAAGGGAAAAGAAAAATATCTCTGCAAACTCTCATACAGCCATATCTCACCATGCACTTGATCTGATTTACTCTTATCTTGCTTTGCAAGGATCCTGACAAATCCTTCTCAGATTTGGATGGCTTTTCTTAATCGATTTGTCCTGAGTTTCTAAAACTATCTGTCCCTTGATCTTCTCAATGATCCATCTTCCTACTCCAGCCAAAGCTGCATTGTCCATTATATACCTAGTCAGTTTAACTAAACATATATATAATTTTTAAAAATTTCTTAGACTTTACCATGTTAGTAAGATCAGCTACCTTATTTATTTGAGATATATAAAATCTTTACTTTGCTTTTCCTAAACATTTCCCAGTTGTGACAACTTAAGTAAATGGTAAGATTTATCTCACTTGAGCTCTGCCATAAAATGCCAGTGGAAGAAGTACTATTCTGATTATTTTGTATGAAGTAACTGAGGGTTCAAAAAACATAATTCACTTTTCTGGGGCAGTGAAGCCAGAATTCAAGTCCTGGCAGTGGTACCAAAGCTGCATTCTTAATCTCTAGCTTAAATACCATGACTGGGGAGAACAGGGATATTTAAGTGATTAGATCAACAAACTATTGATACAAGTTTGGAGACTGTTCAAACACCCAACACAACATCCACTCAAGGTGACCCACGGGAGGCATGACTGAATGGTAACTGGACGATGAAGCTGACACTCAGTAATTGCATTGTGTTCTGGAAAAAAGAATATGCTGATGAAAAGTGGGTTGTTACCTCTGCTTGTTATCCATAGCAAGAAGCCCAAAAGAAAAATATCATCAGGGTGCAGCAGCATTATCCAGGGAGAGATGCCCAGGCCGAGCTTCATGAGTGTTTATGAACATGAGTGTGGCAGACAGATGCCACAGTGAAAATGGATGCAGGCAGACACCTCCACACTGGCCTGGGAAGCACCCCAGAGAAAGACAGGCGGCTCCTGGAGAAGTGGGAGGCCTTAGGCAACCAGAGCTTGGAGTAGGTGGGTGATTATACCAGGTGCTGTGAAAAGCACTTGACATATATCACCTTAATCATTTCAACAACCCTATGATGTATTGTTATCCCTAAATTGGGGTGTAATTGCATAAGTTCTCACAGATAAGAAATAGCTGAAACTCTATACATGAAGTAAGTGTGCTTTTCTTAATAGCTTGTGTATCTGCAGGCAGATAAATGGGTTCTCTGCATTTCTCTGCATTTCTCTGCCTGCAGATACACACGCTTTTTTTTTTAAAGTGCATTCTTGCACCCTCTAATCTGCTGGTTTGAGAGAATCCTGTAGTATCTGAGAAACAGCTCAGGGATCCATGCTCAGTTCTATGGGGTGTGGGAAGGGGTCAATGTAGAGACCTTGTTTCCAGTGGAAGCCAGAAAAGTTCATATCCCACAAAAACGAGTCTTAACAGAAAGTCCAGGCTGACTTGAATCACTCTGTGCTGATCCAGAGCTTTCCTCGGATCAGCTGGAGAGCTTTAGAAAATACTGAGAAATACTGAGAAAATCTCCTCCACCAGAGATTCTAATTTAACTGGTCCAGGACGCAGCCAGAGCCTGGAGGATGTCTTAAAGCTCCCCAGTGGTTCCAATGTGCAGCCATGGATGAGAAACACAAGGAGCCTTTCAAATTCCTTGATTAAGTTTAAGATTGGCCTCCATAAACTGAAAGAGAAAGTCCTCAGTCAAGGGGCTCCCAGGTGGAAGGAGAAAATAAGGGGTGGAGCAGGAGCTAAGCTCGTCAAGAAGAAAAAGTTCATATCCAAGAGCTTTTATTTTTCTTCCTTCTAAAAATGTTAAGAGGTGTGGCAAAAAAATATTGATTAAAGAGATATTGTTTGCTTACCAAACTGACAACATTGTATGATACTACCCATTGACATTGGTGAGAAAAAAGTGCTAAGGGTTCTCTCATTTACTGAAGACTGAAATGCAAACTCTACAGTCTTTAGGGAAAGAGACTTGGCAACATGTATGAAGGACCTTAACAGCACCTGAAGCTTTATATATGCATAGAAGACAGGTAAGGAAAGATATGCACCAAATCATCAGTGATTTTCTCTGGGTGGTAGGATTTCAGGTGAATTTTGTTTCTCTGCTTTTACATACCTATGTTTTCTATATTTTACACAATGAGTATGTCTTGCTTTGGAGAGGGGAATGAAATGTAAAAATAATGTTTTGTTAAAAGTTTTGTACCTATGGCATGACTTTTACACTCATTTATTTCCCGTCAGTTCTTCTCCACCACTCTAATTTTGCTTTTTGGGGCTCATAAGTTATTTGCAACCAAATCTGACTGCATGCTGATTCCCTGTAGAATGGAGCACACAGCCCTGGGTTGTGTTTCTCAGATTCCTCAAGATTCTCTCAAATAAGATTTAGGATCTGTAGATACAGCATTCTCCATTTATCTGCCTATATAGATACACAGGCAAAAAAAAAAAAAAATCCAGCACATGTCATTATGCCTTGTTCAGCAGGGTTGCTTCACTCTGAAGCCCAAACATTCGTTAAGAGCATGGACTCAATATAAATGGTTAGTCCAGCCACTGTGGAAAGCAGTCTGGAGATGTCTCAAAGAACTTAAAATAGCGCTACCATTCAACCCAGCAACCCCATTAATTGACATATACCCAAAAGAAAATAAATCATTCCAGCAAAAAGACACATGCACTCTTATGCTCATTGTTGCACTGTTCATAACAGCAAAGACAAGGAATCAACCCAGATGCCCATCAATGGTACACTGGATAAAGAAAACATGGTATATATACACCAGAGAATACTACTACACAGCCATAAAAAAGAATGAAATCATGTCTTTTGAAGCAACATGGATGGAGCTAGAGGCCATAATCCTAAGCAAATTAATGCAGGAAAGAACCAAATACTGCATGTTCTCACTTATAAATTGGAGCTAAACATTGAGCACACATAGACATAAATATGGGAACAATAGACACTTGGACTTCTGAAGGGTGGAGGGAGGGGGGTAGGTTTAAAAGTTACCTATCAGGTAGTATGCTCACGACCTGGGTGACTCACTCCAAACTCCACACCTCAGCACCACCAATATTCCCATGTAACAAATCTGTACAGGTACCCCCATACCTAAAATAAAATTGAAAGTTTAAAAAAATCATATTATGCCCCATAAATATACAAAATTATTATTTGTCAATTAACATTAAAAACAAATATTTTAAAATGATGTTAAAAAATTAAAAATAAGTTTTAAAAAAAAGAACATGGACTCTGAAGTCAGAGTCCGGTTGGAATCTGAGTGGTGTGAACTTGGGCAAATTAATTAACCTTTCTGGGCCTCAGTTCACTAAAATGTAAAGTGGGGTCGAGAAGAAAAGCCACCCCAGGGAACAGAGATGAGTTGCATTGAGTTTAGCAGGTGTCAGCCTTTATTCTGCCACAAGGCAGAACTTCGTTGCTGTAGGATCTGGAACACATCTCAACTTCCCTGAGCTTCAGCTTCCTCACCAATAAAAGCTGGATGATAATAATAAACCCTCCCCTCTCACTTCGTAGTGTGAGGACCAACTGAAACAGTGTATGAAGAATCTAAAGGGATGTGCAAATGCCAGTTATTATTATTCGTAGTAGTAGTAGTATTTTGAGATGGAGTCTCACTCACTCTGTTGAGAGGCTGGAGTGCAGCGGCATAATCTCAGCTCACTGCAACCACCGCCTCCTGGGTTCAAGCAATTCTCCTGCCTCAGCCTCCTAAGCAGCTGGGATTACAGGTGCCCGCCACCACACCCAGCTAATTTTTTTGTATTTTTAGTAGAGATGGGAGTTTCACCATGTTGGCCAGGCTAGTTTCGAACTCCTGACGTCATGTGATCTGCCTGCCCTCAGCCTCCCAAAGTGTTGGGATTACAGGCGTGAGCCACCACACCCAGCAGTTATTATTTTTATCAGTTTGTATTACATTCTCTCATCCTTGATCCTCTCATCCCCGATGGCTATACAGAAGCCAAGAGTAGGGTTGTGCAGCTTATATTTTTAGGGAAGCAAAGAGGCCCAGAGCCTTCCACTACCCTCATCACTGTCAAAACAAATGAGTGACTTTGGCAGTATTTCAACTCTATGATGTGTGCCGAGCCTCAGAAACCTGGCAGGGCACAGCAATCGGTCACACACCTGAGGTGACTGCTGAACTTTGTGACTTTTAACTAGAAACCCACACAGCTCTGCCCAGATGACCGTGCTGGCACAGTGGGCATGGATATAACTCCACAACACTTAAGAGTTTTAAAATGTCACATTTCTACAGCTTTCTAAATCAAATAAAAAACTGCTCTGAACATTCACCCACCAGGAACTGCAAGGAAATTCCATCTCTGTCACTACAGCAACGCTCTAGTCCCCTCCATGGGGTCTTACAAGATTCCCTGATTAACAGGACACACAATGCAAACGTCGTGAGCTTCAGTCCAAAGTAACGTTTGCCCCCTGAAGCTGCAATCAAGCCTAGCCAGCTTTGAGCTGGATTCTGTTCTGGGTGGACTCAGAGAGAAACCCCTGGCCTGGGTGCTGTGGAATGTAAGACAGTGGACTCAGCATTGTAAACAAACTTTGTCCGTTTTTCTAAAAATAGCTGGCAGGAAGGCAGAAAGATTAGGAACCCACAGCCAGAGGCTGGACAACCACTGCACCCAGTTTATTTACGCAGCAAAAGTTTTGTTTGTTTGTTTGCATGCTGTGCAAAGTTCCTCTTGCCTATTAGTACCAACCTAATATCTACTGAAGAATTACTTTGTGGTCAGCAGGGAAGGAGGCTTAGCCACTCCAGCAAGTGGAGGGCAACTTGTAAAACTCAGGGAGGAAAGGGGGTGCCTTATGGTTATACCTCAGCAACCTGTAAAAGGGCCGTTTGTAAAGGATTCTGATGACATGCATTTGAAAGGGGACACAGTATTTGTCCAGTAAGATGTTCAGAATCCATCATTTTATTGAGACAATTTTTCTCTGTCAATTTATGTAACATGAGGTTTTGTCTATTAAGGGCTGGGGAGAGAAGGCCATCAACACAAGGCAAATGAAATTCCCCTAAGGGCCAGTTCCAGACAGGAAGCTTTGTAATTTTTCCAGATTCAAATGATCAATTAAATTGTTCCAACCAGGCACAGTGGCTCATGCTGTAATCCCAGCACTTTGGGAGACAGAAGACAGCAGATCACCTGAGGTCGAGAGTTCGAGATCAGCCTGGCTAACATGGTGAAACCCTGCCTCTACTAAATATACCAAATTAGCTGGGTATGGTGGCACATGCCTGTAATCCCAGCTACTCAGGAGGCTGAGGCAGGAGAATCGCTTGAACCCAGAAGGTGGAGGTTGCAGTGAGCCGGGATCGTGCCACTGCACTCTAGCCTGGGTAACAGAGTGAGACTCCATCTCCAAAAAAAAAAAAAAAAGTTCCAAAATGGAGATTTATGTTTCATGTTTCAGCTTTTAACTCTCTCTCTGACTTGCTTTCTCATCAGCCATCTTCCCCAAATGACTATAAATCAGACCTTGTCAGTCAGTGCTTAAACCCTCCAGCAGCCTTCCATACAGTCAGGAGACAATCCAAATTCTTTCCATAAGGTGGCCCTGTTACCTCTCTGAGTTTATCTCCTATTGTTTCTTTCCCCCAATGCCTGCCATTCACTTTACTCTAGACGTTCCACCATCCTTGCTGTTCCACTGACATTCTGGCACACTCCTGCCTCAGGGCCTTTGCACATGCCTTTCCCTTTGTATGAAACGCTCTTTCCACAGATAGCCACATGGTTTCTGCTTCACTTTAGTCAGGTCTTTAATGAGATGTCACCTCAGTGAGGCTTTCCACCACCACCATGTACATAGTGGCTGCACTCGTCTACATTCCCACCAATGGGTATAACAGTTCCTTTATCTCCACATCCTCATCACCATCTGTAATTTTTTGTCTTTTTAATACTAGTCAATTCCAACTGGGGTAAGATGATATCTCATTGTGGTTTAAATTTTCATTTCTCTGATGATTAGTGGTTTTCAGCATTTTTTTCATATACCTGTTGGCCATTTGTATGTCTTCCTTTGAGAAATGACTATCCATGTCCTTTGCTAACTTTTCAATGGCATTATTTGAGGTTTTCTTTTCCTGTTAAGTTGTTTGAGTTCCTTGTATAGTTTCTATATTAGTCATGTGGCCAGCTTCATCCTGTCAGATGAATAGTTTGCAAATATTTTCTCTCATTCAACAGGCTGTCACTTCACTTTGTTGATTGTTTCCTTTGCTGTGCAGGAGCTTTTTAATACAATATAGTCCCATTTATCTATTTTTGTTTTGGTTGCCTATACTTTTGAGGTCTCAGTCATAAATTATTTGCCTAGACCAAGGTCTAAGAGATTTTTCCCTAGGTTTTGTTTCAGTATTTTTATAGTTTGGGGTCTTATGTCTAAGTCTTTAATCCATTTAGAGTTTATATTTAAATATGATGAGAGACAAGTATCCAGATTCATTCTCCTGCATGTGGCTATCCAATTTTCCCAGCACCATTAGTTGCAGAGGGTATCCTTTTCCCAATGTGAGTTCTTGTTGGCTTTGTTGAAAATCAACTGGCTGTAAATAAGTGGCATTATTAGTAGTTTCTCTTATTCTGTTCCACTGGTCTACATGTCTATTTTTATACCAATATCATGCTGTTTGGGTTACTATAGCCTTGCAATACATTTTGAAGTCAGGTAATGTAATGCCTCCAGCTTTGTTGTTCTTCCTCAGAACTGCTTATGCTATTTGGGCTTTCTTTTGGCTCCATATGAATTTTAGGATTGTTTTTTCTAATTCTGCCAAGAATTACATTGGTATTTTCATAGGAATTCCATTGAATCTATAGACTGGGGCAATATGGTCATTTTAATTATATTCATTCTTCAAAACCATGAACGCTGATGTGTTTGCATTGATTTGTGTCATCATCAATTTCTTTTATCACTGTTTTATAGTTTTCCTTGTAGATATCTCTCACTTCCTAGGATAATTTCCTAGGTGTGTTTTGTTTTGTTTTGTTTTGTAGGTATAGTAAGTGGTGTTGCCTTCTTGATTTCTTTCTCAGCTACATCATTATTGGTGTATAGAAATGCTACTGATTTTTGTACATAGATTTTGTATCCTGCAACTTGACCAAATTAATTTATCAAATATAAGAGTTTATTGGTGGATTCTTTAGGTTTTTGTAGATATAAGATCATATCATCAGCAAAGAGGGACAATTTAACTTCTTCTTTTCCAACTTGGATGCTTCTTTCCCTTTCTCTTGCCTAATTGCCCTGGCAAGGACTTCTAGTACTATGTTGAATGGAAGTGGTGAAAGTTGGCATTTTTGTCATTTTCCAGTTCTTAGAGAAAAGGCTTTCAACTTTTCCCCATTCAGTATTATGTTACCTGTAGGTTTGTCCCATACGGCCTTTGCTGTTTTGAGATATGTTCCTTCTATCCCCAGTTATAGAATTTTTATCATGAAGAGATGTTGAATTTTATCAAATGTTTTATCTGTGTCTCCGAAGAAAATCACATGGTTTTTGTTCTTCATCCTGATGATATGATGATGTATCACCTTTATTGATTTGCACATATTGAACCATCTCTTGCATTATTGGGGAAAGTCTCACTTGATCATTGTATACTGTCTTTTCAATGTATTGTTGGATTTGGTTTGCTGGTACTTTTTTGATGATTTTTGTGTTAATGTTCATCAGAGATACTGGCCTGAAGTGCTTTTGTTTTTGTGTTTTGTCTTTATCTGGCTTTAGTATGAGGGTGATACTGGCCTCATAGGATGAGGTGGAGAGAATTCCCTCCTCTTAGACTTTTTTGGAATCATTTTAAGAGAATGGTATTTTTCTTCTTTGTGTGTTTAGTAGAATTCAACTGTGAATCCATCCAGTCCTGAGCTTTTCTTCGTTTGGAGACTTTTTGTTACTGATTGAATCTTGCTACTCAACATTGGTTTGTTCAAGTATCTATTTGTTCCTGATTACATCTTTGTAGGTTGTATGCTTCTAGGAATTCATCTATTTCCTCTAAGTTTTCCAGTTTCTCAGCGTATAATTGTTCATAATAGTCTCTGATGATCTTCTGTATTTTTCAGGTATGAGAAAAAGGGTATGTTTCCTTTTTCATTTTGTTTATTTGGGTCTTCTCTCCTCTTTTTTTATTTTATTATTATTATACTTTAAGTTTTAGGGTATATCTGCACAATGTGCAGGTTAGTTACATATGTATACATGCGCCATGCTGGTGTGCTGCACCCATTAACTCGTCATTTAGCATTAGGTATATCTCCTAATGCTATCCCTCCCCCCTCCCCCACCCCACAACAGTCCCCAGAGTGTGATGTTCCCCTTCCTGTGTCCATGTGTTCTCATTGTTCAATTCCCACCTATGAGTGAGAATATGCAGTGTTTGGTTTTTTGTTCTTGCGATAGTTTACTGAGAATGATGATTTCCAATTTCATCCATGTCCCTACAAAGGACATGAACTCATCATTTTTTATGGCTGCATAGTATTCCATGGTGTATATGTGCCACATATTCTTAATCCAGTCTATCATTGTTGGACATTTGGGTTGGTTCCAAGTCTTTGCTATTGTGAATAGTGCCACAATAAACATACGTGTGCATGTGTCTTTATAGCAGCATGATTTATAGTCCTTTGGGTATATACCCAGTAATGGGATGGCTGGGTCAAATGGTATTTCTAGTTCTAGATCCCTGAGGAATCGCCACACTGACTTCCACAATGGTTGAACTAGTTTACAGTCCCACCAACAGTGTAAAAGTGTTCCTATTTCTCCACATCCTCTCCAGCACCTGTTGTTTCCTGACTTTTTAATGATTGCCATTCTAACTGGTGTGAGATGGTATCTCATTGTGGTTTTGATGTGCATTTATCTGATGGCCAGTGATGGTGAGCATTTTTTCATGTGTTTTTTGGCTGCATAAATGTCTTCTTTTGAGAAGTGTCTGTTCATGTCCTTCGCCCACTTTTTGATGGGGTTGTTTTTTTCTTCTAAATTTGTTTGAGTTCATTGTAGATTCTGGATATTAGCCCTTTGTCAGATGAGTAGGTTGGGAAAATTTTCTCCCATTTTGTAGGGTGCCTGTTCACTCTGATGGTAGTTTCTTTTGCTGTGCAGAAGCTCTTTAGTTTAATTAGATCCCATTTGTCAATTTTGGCTTTTGTTGCCATTGCTTTTGGTGTTTTAGTCATGAAGTCCTTGCCCATGCCTATGTCCTGAATGGTAATGCCTAGGTTTTCTTCTAGGGTTTTTATGGTTTTAGGTCTAACGTTTAAGTCTTTAATACATCTTGAATTCATTTTTGTATAAGGTGTAAGGAAGGGATCCAGTTTCAGCTTTCTACATATGGCTAGCCAGTGGTCCCAGCAACATTTATTAAATAGGGAATCCTTTCCCCATTGCTTGATTTTCTCAGGTTTGTCAAAGATCAGATAGCTGTAGAAATGCGGCGTTATTTCTGAGTGCTCTGTTCTGTTCTGTTGATCTATATCTCTGTTTTGGTACCAGTACCATGCTGTTTTGGTTACTGTAGCCTTGTAGTATAGTTTGAAGTCAGGTAGTGTGATGCCTCCAGCTTTGTTCTTTTGGCTTAGGATTGACTTGCTGATGCGGGCTCTTTTTTGGTTCCATATGAACTTTAAGGTAGTTTTTTCCAATTCTGTGAAGAAACTCATTGGTAGCTTGATGAGGATGGCATTGAATCTGTAAATTACCTTGGGCAGTATGGCCATTTTCACGATATTGATTCTTCCTACCCATGAGCATGGAATGTTCTTCCGTTTCTTTGTATCCTCTTTTATTTCATTGAGCAGTGGTTTGTAGTTCTCCTTGAAGAGGTCCTTCACGTCCCTTGTAAGTTGGATTCCTAGGTATTTTATTCTCTTTGAAGCAATTGTGAATGGGAGTTCACTCATGATTTGGCTCTCTGTTTGTTTGTTATTGGTGTATAAGAATGCTTGTGATTTTTGTACATTGATTTTGTATCCTGAGACTTTGCTGAAGTTGCTTATCACCTTAAGGAGATTTTGGGCTGAGACGATGGGGTTTTCTAGATATACAATCATGTCATCTGCAAACAGGGACAATTGGACTTCCTCTTTTCCTAATTGAATACCCTTTATTTCCTTCTCCTGCCTAATTGCCCTGGCCAGAACTTCCAACACTATGTTGAATAGGAGTGGTGAGAGAGGGCATCCCTGTCTTGTGCCAGTTTTCAAAGGGAATGCTTCCAGTTTCTGCCCATTCAGTATGATATTGGCTGTGGGTTTGTCATAGATAGCTCTTATTATTTTGAGATACGTCCCATCAATACCTAATTTATTGAGAGTTTTTAGCATGAAGCGTTGTTGAATTTTGTCAAAGGCCTTTTCTGCATCTATTGAGATAATCATGTGGTTTTTGTCTTTGGTTCTGTTTATATGCTGGATTACATTTATTGATTTGCATATATTGAACCAGTCTTGCATCCCAGGGATGAAGCCCACTTGATCATGGTGGATAAGCTTTTTGATGTGCTGCTGGATTCATTTTGCCAGTATTTTATTGAGGATTTTTGCATCAATATTCATCAAGGATATTGGTCTAAAATTCTCTTTTTTGGTTGTGTCTCTGCCCGGCTTTGGTATCAGGATGATGCTGGCCTCATAAAATGAGTTAGGGAGGATTCCCTCTTTTTCTATTGATTGGAATAGTTTCAGAAGGAATGGTACCAGTTCCTCCTTGTACCTCTGGTAGAATTCGGCTGTGAATCCATCTGGTCCTGGACTCTTTTTAGTTGGTAAGCTATTGATTATTGCCACAACTTCAGAGCCTGTTATTGGTCTATTCAGAGATTCAACTTCTTCCTGGTTTAGTCTTGGGAGGGTGTATGTGTCGAGCAATTTATCCATTCTTCTAGATTTTCTAGTTTATTTGCAAGGAAGTGTTTGTAGTATTCTCTGATGGTAGTTTGTATTTCTGTGGGATCGGTGGTAATATCCCTTTTGTCATTTTTTATTGCATCTATTTGATTCTTCTCTCTTTTCTTCTTTATTAGCCTTGCTAGCGGTCTATCAATTCTGTTGATCCTTTCAAAAAACCAGCTCCTGGATTCATTAATTTTTTGAAGGGTTTTTTGTGTCTCTATTTCCTTGAGTTCTGCTCTGATTTTAGTCATTTCTTGCCTTCTGCTAACTTTTGAATGTGTTTGCTCTTGCTCCTCTAGTTCTTTTAATTGTGATGTTAGGGTGTCAATTTTGGATCTTTCCTGCTTTCTCTTGTGGGCATTTAGTGCTATAAATTTTCCTGTACGCACGGCTTTGAATGTGTCCCAGAGATTCTGGTATGTTGTGTCTTTGTTCTCGTTGGTTTCAAAGAACATCTTTATTTCTGCCTTCATTTCGTTACGTACCCAGTAGTCATTCAGGAGCAGGTTGTTCAGTTTCCATGTAGTTGAGCAGTTTTGAGTGAGTTTCTTAATCCTGAGTTCTAGTTTGATTGCACTGTGGTCTGAGAGACAGTTTGTTATAATTTCTGTTCTTTTACATTTGCTGAGGAGAGCTTTACTTCCAAGTATGTGGTCAATTTTGGAATAGGTGTGGTGTGGTGCTGAAAAAAATGTATATTCTGTTGATTTGGGGTGGAGAGTTCTGTAGATGTCTGTTAGGTCCTCTTGGTGCGAAGCTGAGTTCAATTCCTGAGTATCCTTGTTAACTTTCTGTCTCGTTGATCTGTCCAATGTTGACAGTGGGGTGTTAAAGTCTCCCATTATTATTGTGTGGGAGTCTAAGTCTCTTTGTAGGTCACTCAGGACTTGCTTTATGAATCTGGGTCCTCCTGTATTGGGTGCATATATATTTAGGATAGTTAGCTCTTCTTGCTGCATTGATACCTTTGCCATTATGTAATGGCCTTCTTTGTCTCTTCATCTTTGTTGGTTTAAAGTCTGTTTTATCAGAGACTAGGATTGCAACCCCTGCCTTTTTTTTGTTTTCCATTTGCTTGGCAGATCTTCCTCCATCCTTTTATTCTGAGCCTATGTGTGTCTCTGCACGTGAGATGGGTTTCCTGAATACAGCACACTGATGGGTCTTGACTCTTTATCCAATTTGCCCGTCTGTGTCTTTTAATTGGAGCATTTAGTCCATTTACATTTAAAGTTAATATTGTTATGTGTGAATTTGATCCTGTCATTATGATGTTAGCTGGTTATTTTGCTCGTTAGTTGATGCAGTTTCTTCCTAGCCTCGATGGTCTTTACAATTTGGCATGATTTTGCAGCGGCTGGTACTGGTTGTTCCTTTCCATGTTTAGTGCTTCCTTCAGGAGCTCTTTTAGGGCAGGCCTGGTGGTGACAAAATCTCTCAGCGTTTGCTTGTCTGTAAAGTATTTTATTTCTCCTTCACTTATGAAGCTTAGTTTGGCTGGATATGAAATTCTGGGTTGAAAATTCTTTTCTTTAAGAATGTTGAATATTGGCCCCCACTCTCTTCTGGCTTGTAGAGTTTCTGCCGAGAGATCTGCTGTTAGTCTGATGGGCTTCCCTTTGTGGGTAACCTGACCTTTCTCTCTGGCTGCCCTTAATATTTTTTCCTTCATTTCAACCTTGGTGAATCTGACAATTATGTTTCTTGGAGTTGCTCTTCTCGAGGAGTATCTTTGTGGCGTTCTCTGTATTTCCTGAATCTGAATGTTGGCCTGCCTTGCTAGATAGGGGAAGTTCTCTTGGATAATATCCTGCAGAGTGTTTTCCAACTTGGTTCCATTCTCCCCGTCACTTTCAGGTACACCAGTCTGACGTAGATTTGGTCTTTTCACATAGTCCCATATTTCTTGGAGGCTTTGTTCGTTTCTTTTTATTCTTTTTTCTCTAAACTTCCCTTCTCGCTTCATTTCATTCATTTCATCTTCCATCACTGATATCCTTTCTTCCTGTTGATCACATCGGCTCCTGAGGCTTCTGCATTCTTCACATAGTTCTCGAGCCTTGGCTTTCAGCTACATCAGCTCCTTTGAGCACTTCTCTGTATTGGTTATTCTAGTTATACATTCGTCTAAATTTTTTTCAAAGTTTTTAACTTCTTTGCCTTTGGTTTGAATTTCCTCCTGTAGCTCGGAGTAGTTTGATCGTCTGAAGCCTTCTTCTCTCAACTCGTCAAAGTCATTCTCCGTCCAGCTTTGTTCCGTTGCTGGTGAGGAACTGCATTCCTTTGGAGGAGGAGAGGCGCTCTGCTTTTTAGAGTTTCCAGTTTTTCTGCTCTGTTTTTTCCCCATCTTTGTGGTTTTATCTACTTTTGGTCTTTGATGATGGTGATGTACAGATGGGTTTTTGGTGTGGATGTCCTTTCTGTTTCTTAGTTTTCCTTCTAATAGACAGGACCCTCAGCTACAGGTCTGTTGGAGTTTGCTAGAGGTCCACTCCAGACGCTGTTTGCCTGGGTATCAGCAGCGGTGGCTGCAGATCAGCAGATTATCGTGAACCGCAAATGCTGCTGTCTGATCATTCCTCTGGAAGTTTTGTCTCAGAGGAGTACCCGGCCGTGTGAGGTGTCAGTCTGCCCCTACTCGGGCGTGTCTCCCAGTTAGGCTGCTCGGGGGGTCAGGGGTTAGCGACCCACTTGAGGAGGCAGTCTGCCCGTTCTCAGATCTTCAGCTGTGTGCTGGGAGAACAACTGCTCTCTTCAAAGCTGTCAGACAGGGACATTTAAGTCTGCAGAGGTTATTGCTGTCTTTTTGTTTGTCTGTGCCCTGCCCCCAGAGGTGGAGCCTACAGAGGCAGGCAGGCCTCCTTGAGCTGTGGTGGGCTCCACCCAGTTCGAGCTACCCGGCTGCTTTGTTTACCTAAGCAAGCCTGGGCAATGGCGGGCGCCCCTCCCCCAGCCTCACTGCCACCTTGCAGTTTGATCTCAGACTGCTGTGCTAGCAATCAGTGAGACTCTGTGGGCGTAGGACCCTCCAAGCCAGGTGCGGGATATAATCTCCTGGTGCACCGTTTTTTAAGCCCGTCAGAAAAGTGCAGTATTAGGGTGGGAGTGACCCGATTTTCCAGGTGTCGTCTGTCACCACTTTCTTTGACTAGGAAAGGGAACTCCCTAGCCCCTTGTGCTTCGCAAGTGAGGCAATGCCTCGCCCTGCTTTGGCTCACGCACGGTGCGCTGCACCCACTGTCCTGAGCCCACTGTCTGGCACTCCCTAGTGAGATGAACCCGGTACCTCAGATGGAAATGCAGAAATCACCCGTCTTCTGTGTCACTCACACTGGGAGCTGTAGAACAGAGTTGTTCCTATTTGGCCATCTTGGCTCGAACCCCCTTCTCTCCTCTTTTATTTGTTACTTTAGCTAGCGGTTTATCAATTTTGTTTATCTTTTCAAAGAACTAACTTTTGTTTTGTTGATGCTTTGTGACGTTTTTAGTCTCATTTCATTTAGTTCTGCTCTGATCTCTATTACTTCTTTTCTTCTGCTAATTTTGGATTTGGTTTGTTCTTGCTTTTCTACTTCCTTAATATGCACTGTTATATTGTTAGTTTGTAATCTTTCTACCTTTTCAGTGTAGGCATTTATTGCTATAAATGTCCCTCTTAGCACTGCTTTTGCTATGTCCCACAGGTTTTGGTATGTTATGTTTCCATTTTCATTTGTTTCAAGAAAATTTTTAATGTCCATACTAATATCTTCATTGAACCAGTGATCATTCAGGGGCAAGTTGTTTAATTTCCACTTATTTGGACAGTTTCCAAAGTTCCTTTTTGTGTTAATTTCTAGTTTTATTCCATTGTGGTCCAAGAAAATAACTGATATGATTTTGATATTTTTAAATTTGTTGACACTTGTTTTGTGGACTATGTATCACATGATCTGTCCTACAGATTATTCCATGTGCTGATGAAAAGAATGTATATTCTGCAGTTGTTGAATAAAATATTCTGTAAGTGTCTATTAGGACCATTTTGTCTAAAGTTCAGTTTGAACCCAATATTTCTTTGTTGGTTTTCTGTGTTGATGATCTATCTAATGCTAAGAATGGGGTATTGGAGGCTCCCATTGTTACTGTATTGCAGTCTATCTGTCTCTTTAGATTTAGTAATATTTGCTTTATGATAATGGGTACTCTAGTGTTGTATGCATATATTTAGAATTGTTATGGCCTCCTGCTAGATTGATCCCTTTGTCATTACATAATGACCTTATTGGTCCTTTTTTTACTGTTCTTGATTTAAAGACCTTTTTATCTGATATAACTATAGCTACTCCTGCCTGGTTTTGCTTTCCATTTGTGTGGAATATATTTTTCTATCCCTTTACTTTTAGTCTATATGTGTCTTTACTATTAAGGTTAGTTTCTTGTAAGCAGCATATAGTCAGATGATGAGGTTTTTTTTGTTTTTTTTTTTAATTTTATCCATTCAGCCATTCTGTGTCTTTTAAGTGGAGAATTTATTTACATTAGAGGTTATTATTGATATGTGAGGCTGTTCTTTCCTGTCTTATTATTGTTTTCTGGTTGTTTCATATATTATTTGTTCCTTTCCTTTTTCTTACTATTGTCATTGTGGTTTAGTCGATTTCTGTAGAGGCATCATTTGAGTCCTTTCTTGTCCTCCTTTGTGTAATTGCTTTACTAGTGAGTTTTATACTTTCATGTGTTTTCATGATGGTAAATGTACTTCACTTCCAGGTTTAGGAATCCTTTGTGCATTTCTTGTAGGACTGCTCTAGTGGTAATGAATTCATTCCATACTTGTTGTCTAGGAAGGATTTTATTTCTCCTTCATTTGAGAAGGATAATTTTGCTTGGCTGGCAGTTTCTTTCTTTTAGCACTTTGAATATACCATGCCATTCTCTTCTGTCCTGTAAGGTTTATACTGAGAAATCCAAAGTTAGTCAAATTGATTTTCCTTTATAGGTAAGTAGATACTTTTCTCTTGCTGTTTTGTAGAATTTGGTCTTTGTCTTTGACTTTGAACAGTGACTAAGATGTGCCATGGAGAAGACCTTTTTGTATTATATCTGCCTGGAATACTTAGCCTTCTGTATCTTGATGTCTAAATCTCTTGTTAGACTTGAGAAGTTTTCTTCTGTTATTTCATTAAATGGGTCTTCTACTTCTTTGTCTCTTCAATCTCAGTAATACCAATCATTAAAATATTCAATCAGTTTATGTTGTTCCAAATGTGATTAGTGTTTTGCTGACTTTTTTTATTCTTTTTAAAAAAAGTTTTGTCTGACTGGATTACTTCAAAAAACTTTCAAAAGGTGTGGGACCCAAGACTTATATTCAAGTTCTGCGATTCCTTCTTCTGCCTGATCTACTTTATTGCTGAAGATTTCAATGTATTTTGTATTTTTTTCAATCAATTCTTCCGTTCCAGAATTTTTATTTTGGTTCTTTTTAAAAATATGTATCTCTTTTGTAAATTTCTCATTCATACCCTGAATTGTTTTCCTAATTTATTTGTATTGTTTTTCAGAATTCCCTTATATCTCACTGAGCTTCTTTAAAATCAATATTTTGAATTCTTTATCAGGGACTTTGAAAACTTGTTTTGATTCAAAATCAAATTACTGGAGAATTATTGTGTTCCTTTGGAAGTGTCATATGTCTTTGCTTCTTCATATGTCTTGTGCCCTTATGTTAATATCTGTGCATATGGTGTAATAGTTGTTTCTTCCTATTTTTGAATTTGTTTGGCAGGGCATAACTTTTTCCTGAAGATATATCTATGGCATCAGTTATACAGGGCACACTGACTTTGATTCTTCATGCATGCAGTAGTGTAGTCTCTGTATGATTTCTTTGGCTCTAAACATTGTCAGTGGTGTCTGTGATATCCTCAGTAGGTTAGGGCATGGTTATTAGTGGAGGCTGTAGTGAAGTTTTGCTGATGACTGAAATGCCAGGTGGGCCAATCTTCAATCTCTGGTGGTGGTAGTGGTGGGATGAGTATGCCTATCTTTGTGCCCCAGGGTAGTGTACACTGGCACCTGTGTTTACAGTTGCTGGCAGGCCAGGTCTTGAGCTTTCAGGTGGCTTGCTTGGATGTCAGCAGTGGCAGTGGTGGACTGGGTAGGTGGGCAGGTGCTTAGGCCTCTGTGCAGCCAGTGTGGGATGAGGAATGGCCACAGCAGTGGCGGGACAATTTTCTGGGTCCTGAATGGTGTCTATTGATGTTGGCAGAGGCTGCGATGAGCTGAGTAGACCAGTCCCCAGGTCCTCAGGTGGTGCTTGCAAGTAGGTGCAAGCTGAGGTGATAGCAGCCAAGAGTTTAGTCCCAACCTTAGGCCCCTAGGAGAAGTGCCCAGGTGCCCAAAGTTGTGGATGGGGCTGGCAATCCCCAGGACCCGGGGCTATATGCTCTGTCTGAGAGGGGATAAAACTGGGCTGGACAGGCTTGTGCTCAGGCCCCCCAATGGTGGCAGCAGGCACCAGTCATCGTTGGCAGGGGTGGAGCAATCCTCGGGCCCTAGGCAGAGTGCTCAGGTGAGGGGTGGTAGCAGCTGCACTGAAGCCCTGCCACTGGGAGGATGGGGCTGCCCTTGGTGGCCACAGCCTGGGCCACTGGGTAGGGAACATGTGTCTCTTTCACACACTAGTCCCAGAAGGGCTTGCCCCCACCCTAGTGGTGGTACTTCATGCCTAGCTCATACATCAACCCCAGCTGCAGGAGCTTCCACCAAGCTGACAACCAAATTCCAGGGGCAACTCACACTCTGCTCGCTTCCTGGCACCAGCAGCTGCAGCCCATACCTCACTCATTTCTTAGCCCTGCCTATGGTAGAACTCCCAGCATGCTCCCCAGCCTCAGGAACAACAGCTCACGTTTCTGTAATGCCTCAGTTCTGGCACCATTGGGCCCCAGAACAGTGTGCAGTCTGCCAAAGACTAGGTTTAAAAATGGCATCTTGCTGTATTATCTGTTAAGGTCTCAGAAAAGGTGTGGGACCCAGCAGTGGGAACTGGAGAAGTTACATCCCATGGTCTTCCAGCAGCTCACTGGGTTCGTTTCAGGGGTTGGGAGGGTCATGTGGTTCTCCTATGGCCAGAACTGTACAGTTCCATGGTGGGACTGTGGGCTACTGGAAGAGTCTCTCACTCACCCTTTCCCCACATTACGAAGTTGCTCTAAACCAACAAATGTTTAGGGGGATTAAATTGCCCATTCACATTTCAGTTACATTCATGGAAAATATACAAATTAGGGAACTGAAGACTCTACTCCATGGGCTCCATTTTCTTAATAAGTAAATTAAGGTAACTGGATTAGATACGGGATGACAAGCCCTTCTGGTTTAAACAAAAGTTTAAAACCTTCACAGACCTTATATTCTAGCAAAGAACACAGATAGTAAGCAAATAATCACAAATGTGGTGAGTATTTACACAAGACTTATAAGTATATAACACATGGGCTTAACTTGGCGGGGGGGTATGTAGTTACAGTTGAACAATACTCGCCTTTGAAAGAGATATTTTAAATATTCGTGCCAAGACCTGAAGTAGCTGGGAAAGAGGGGGGTCAGGGAAAAGGAGTTGGAAGAGTCCATTCCCAGCAGAAGGGGCAGTGTGTGTGAAGCCCCAGGGTGGGAGAGAGTCTATGTTAGATCCAGAGGGCAGCAGGTAGAGCAAGAGGGCTAGGCAGGGCTGGATTATATAAGGTCTTGTTGCTTATGGCAAAAATATAGGGTATTACCCTATAGGCAATTGGAAGCCTCTGCAGGGATTAAACAGGGGAATGTCATTAAAAGATCATCTGCCTGCAGAAGAGAGAGAGAATGGATGGGAAGAGGGTGACACTGAGATCAGCAGACCAGTTGGGTGGTTAAGGTGATAATCCAGGAGTAAGACCAGGGTCACAGCAATGGGATGCAGAGAAGCAGGGAGATTCAAGAAAGATATATGTAAAGAAGAATGAACAAGACTTGGTGAGATTGACAGGCTATAGCAGGTAAAGAGAACAGAGGGGCCAAGGAAGACTTGACCTTTCTTCTTTGTGTAACACAGTAGATGTTGATATTTACTGAGATCAGATACTGGGAGAAGAAAACAGACTTGAAGGAACATACGGTGAACTCTATTTTGGCCAGATTTTGGCCAGATTTGTAAGGCATCCATACAGAGAAGCCAAATAGATAGTTGGATAGATAGGCCTAGATCTCAGAATAAAGGTCTAGGCTCTGTTGTTTACTAAATGGCAAGATTAATAGATTCTAGAAGTGCGTAAGAGCCAATATTATTCCAACAGTCAGCAAATTGACCTTTAGTTCAAGGTGGGAGATGCCATAAGCTCTCCCAGAAGCAAAGAGACTTAAGGGCAGTGACAGGTAATTCCATGTGCCTAATGCCAACTAGACAATGATCTAACCTTGGTTCTCTAACAGTAGAACATGCTCATCTAAACCAAAGACTCAAGAGTCATTGGAGAATTGAATTATGGCAGCTTACATTTATTAAACCAATACTACATAACAAGCCCTACATATTACCTTATTTATTACTGTGGGGATAATCATTGTAAATAGTTGTTGATATAGCCCTGAGTTCATATTATCTATCTTATCTTTTTGTTGGGTTGTTATCTGTTATCTCACTCAATCCTCAAAACAACTCTATGAGGTAGGCATTATCATCATCCCCATTTTATACATGAAGAAACTAAGTTTCAAAATTATGAATGACTAACCCAAGACACTTGACAAGGGAGTGCAAATGCCATGATGCAAACCCAGACCTGTCTGACTCCATAGCTCTCCTCCTAATCTCTAGGCAACAAGCTTCCAGAAAGTTAACCTAGCAGATGGATTTTTTCTTTCCCTGAGGTTTAAGAAACAAGCTCCGAAGCAAAACAACTAGTCATTCTGCTAAGCCTCCAAGTGTCCTGTCCATACTGTCATCTCCTATTAAGAAATACAGTCAGGAAAGATGCTACTAGCAGGAAAAGGTCTACTTTACAGTTACAGAATGAAATTGCCAAAAATCCAATTTTTCCAGCCCACTACAGCATATGGTCCTAGGGAGCCCAGGGCCAAAAACAAGTCGGTATTGCTTATTTTTCAAACCTCCCCACACCTAGAAGTATTGCAGGCCATCAGACAACAGTCACGTATCTCAATGTAGCAGTGGGAGAAGTCACTTCCTCGGTATGTGACCTTGGACAGGAGACTTAATTTGAACTTTAGTTTTCTAATGTGTTCAATGGGGCTAATGGTGGTGTTACTTTATTTCAATAATGGCTAGCCATACCATAGGGCTTAATACAGACGAGGCACTGCTCTAAACACATTGCATATATTAATTATTTCATTTTTCCCTAACCCCACAGGATACACTGAGTATTATTATTATTAATCTATTATTATCCCCACTTTACAGATGAGTGAACGAGGGAAGGAAGTTCAGTAATTTGCCTAAGTTTGCTAGCAGTCAAGTTGCTTAACAGAACTAAGACTCGACCCCAAGCAATCTGAGAATGACTCGCCACCAAACTACACAGCTTCTTCATGCTGTGAGGATTAAATGAGATGATGTATGTAAAATATTCTAGCACATACTATATGCTTTATTAACACTATCCCATTATTTTTATTATAATTATTATGATTTAAAAACTGAAGCACAGGATGGTATTTAAGACTGAGGCATAACAGCACAATTTCAGAGTAGACTTCCAACCTTTCTTAAGTTGCGTGAAAAAAAGAAACATTATTTACAAGCAAGACTCTTAAAACCCATCCTGGAGGAATGGTACATTTTTAAGCATCCCATTTAGAAAAGCAGTTCAGTAAATGCCAAGGGAGCTGAATGGCACTGTGGACCAACTGCTGAGGGAATTCCCCAAACAACTATCTGGAACACTGTCTTCAGGGGATCATCAATGCACTCATCCTTGCAGTCTCTGCCTCCCTACCTGACAAACTTGAGAAATTGTCACACTCTTTTTTTGAAGGAGAAGAAAATAAAACTAATTAGAAAAGCCTTCTATTGCAATGTGAAGCCTACTTTTAATCCTAAACTTAGAAGAGGTAAGGCAGGACTGTGACTGTGTGTAGAGGCTTTTATGTTCTTCCCACAGCAGGCTCCTCCTAAAAATGTAATGATATCCCCTGAGAGTAGTGTCCTCTGATAACCACATTTAAAGCAGACTCCTCAACTTATCCTCCTTTATTCCATCGTATAACACAATCCCTAATTACATCATTTAACTTCTGTTTCTCATCTATTTATCCCAACACACACCTCTATAGAAAAGCAAGTCCCCTAGTCTGTTCAGTCTGCAAGGGTTCTGTCTTGTTCACCAACATATCCCCAGTACCTAATACATTTCAGTAAAGGAATAGAAATTCCAATCTCTATGAACATCTTTGAAAAACATTTAAAGACGTCCAAATGTACAACCCACAGCAATCACTACAAAAATACCCTTTCTTTTCCTACTCTCAAGCACAGTGTTGTCCAATAGAAATACACCACTAGGTACCAATGTAATTTTAAATTTTTGGTAGCCACATTTTATTATTTATTTATTTATTTATTTATTTATTTATTTATTTATTTTGAGACAGGGTCTCACTCTGTTACCCAGGCTGGAGTGCAGTGGTGTGGTCCCAGCTCACTGCAACCTTGACCTTGACCTGCCAGGTTCAAGTGATCCTCTTACCTCAGCCTCCCAAGTAGCTGGGACTACAGGAACATACCACCACGCCCAGCTAATTTTAGTAATTTTTGTAGAGATGGGGTTTTGCCATGTTGCCCAGGCTGGTTTTGAACTCCTGGGCTCAAGCAATCCACCCACCTCAGCCTCCCAAAGTGCTGGGATTATAGGTGTGAGCCACCATGCCTGGCTATAGCCACATTTTAAAAAATAAAAGTAGAGTGACATCAGCAAGATGCCTGGCATCTCTACTCCCTCCCACAAGAAAGGACCAAGGCAATGAAAACACAGCTAAGATTTGACTGGCATGTCTAAGGGAGAGTGCTGGAGTGCAGCAGTAGAGTAGAGGCACACTTGTAGTGATTGGAAGTCCAGGAGAGCAACATGGAGGCACGCAGCCTCTGTAGCCCCATCTCCTCCACTCAGATCAGATCAGCCTGGAGATAGGAGGGACATTTGTGGGGAAAAGGTAAGCAGAAGATCCCTACCAGCTCTCATTGTCACTGCAAACACCTATAGTCCTTACTACAGGAGAATCCCACAGTCCTCACAAGCCCTGAGTCCAGTTTGGAGAACTTTCAGGAATTCACATGGCTGCATGGTCCTGGATTAGGAGCACAGGGTGTGTACTCCCTATCCACCCCTGACCGTGAACCAAGCTGCATATGCCCTCAACCTGAGAAATAGCTCAGTGAGCCCTCTCCTGGCAAAGCTGCAACACTGTCACCACAAACTCTGTCACCCTAGGCCTCTGAGAAACTCACAAATGCCACTAGTATGGATTACAGCTGAGGAAACTATACGGAGACTACAACACTGCATCCATCTAGAAGCAAGGCCAACACAACCCAGTGAAATGACAGGCCAACACCCATTCCAACGAATAAGGACTTCCCCACAAAACCTACTCCAGAAATTTGGAAGAAGCAAATATCCAGCTACATAAAAATCCATGTAGGAACACAATCATGAAAAAGCAAAGAAACATGTCACTTCCAAAGGAAAAAATTATTCTCAAGTAACAGACCCCAATCATAAGGAAATATATAAAACGCCAGAAAAATAATTCCAAATAATAATCTTAAGGGAACTCAGTAATAAGAATAATAAAAATAATTCCAAATAATAATCTTAAGGGAACTTTCTTACAAGAGAAAACAGAAAGACAATTCAATGATATTGGGAGGAAATTATTATCTGAATCAGAAATTCAACAAAGAGATAGATATCATTTTTAAAAAGCAGAAATTCTAGAGCTGACGAATTCAAGGAATGAAATTTAAAAACACAATCAAGAGCTTCAAGAAATGAAAAAACACAATCTAGTATAGAACAGAATACACCAAGCAGAAGAATGTCTGAACTTGAAGACAAGGGTTTTGAAATAACACAGTCAGACCAAAAAAAAGAAAAAAGAATGAAGAAAGCCTACAGGATATATGACACACCATTAAACAAACAAATATTTGTATTATAACATTCCACAAAGAGAATAGACATGAAAAAGTGAGGAAAACTCAAAATAGATTCAACTTAAGCAGGTCCCCTCCAAGGCACATTATAGTCAAATTGTCAAAAGACAAAGATTTTTAAAAGCAGAAGAAAAAAGTATTAAGTCACATATAAGGGATCCCCACTAGACTGGCA
This sequence comes from Homo sapiens, assembly GCF_000001405.40. Taxonomy (NCBI): domain Eukaryota; kingdom Metazoa; phylum Chordata; class Mammalia; order Primates; family Hominidae; genus Homo; species Homo sapiens. The sequence goes on along the minus strand of NC_000007.14, from coordinate 23,938,177 downwards.
GGAGATTTCTCAGCAAAAATCTTACAGGCCAGGATAGAATGGGATGATATATTTAAAGTACTAAAAGAAAAAAAAATTGTCACCCAAGAATATTGTACCCAGGAAAGCTATCCTTCAGAAATGAAGAAGAAATAAAATCTTTCACAAAAAAATAAATAAATACTAAGGGAATTCATCACCATTAGACTGGCCTTAGAAGAAATGGGAGTCTTACACATAGAAGTGAAAAGAGGGTAACTAGCATCATGAAAACATGGAAAACTATAAAACTCATTGGTAGAGCCAATACACAAAGGAGAAAAAGAAAGAAATCAAACCTTAACATTACAGAAAATCACAGGCAGACAAAAAAAGAAACAATGAGAGAGGAAGTAAGAAAGAAAGATACACAAAACAATCAGAAAACAATCATTAAAAATAACAGGTGTTAAGTCCTCACATTTCAATAAAAAATTTAAGTGCAAATGAATTAAATTCATCATCTAGAAGAGATATACTGACTGAATAGATAAAAAACAAGACAAAGCTATTAGGCTGGTGCAAAAGTAATCACAGTCTTGTCATTTTTAAAAAAGTAATTTAAAAAACTACAATTTCTTTTGCACCAAACTAATATATGCTGCCTACGAGAAATTCATGCCTCCTGTAAAGACACACATGCACTGATAATGAAGGAGTGAAAAAGATATTCCATGCAAGTAGAAATCAAAAGTGAGCAGGAGTAGCTATACTTATGTCAGACAAAACAGACTTCAAATTAAAAACTGTAAAAACAAAGAAGGACATTATATAATAATAAAAAGATCGATTAAGCAAGAGAATATAGAATTGTAAATATATATGCACCCAACACCAGAGCACCCAGATATCTAAAGCAAATATTATTTGATTAAAGGGAGAGATAGACTCCAATACAATAATATAATAGTTGAGAACTTCAACACCCTACTCTCAGCATTAGACAGATCATCTCAACTTAAAAGCAACAAAGAAACATTAAATTCAAACTTCACCATAGTCCAAATGACCCGACAGATATTTATACAACATTTCAACCAACTGCTGAAGAATTCACTTTTTTCATAAGCACATAGGACATTCTCCAGAATTGACCATATGATAGGACACAAAACAAGCCTCAAAAAATTTAGAAATATTGAAATCATATTATGTATTTTATCTGACTACAACAAAATCCTTCACATCAACAACAAGAAGAACACTTGAAACTATATAAATGCATGGAAATTAAACAGCTTTCAAACGATCAATGGGTGGAGGAAGGCACTAAGAGTAAAATTTTAAAATTTCTTGAAACAAATGAAAACGGAAACACAACCTACCAAAATTTATGGGACACAGAAAAAAACAGAATTAAGAGGCAAATTTATGGCAATAAATGCCTATATCAGAAAACTAGAAGGATTTCAAATAAACAACCTAATGATGCACCTCAAGCAACAAGGAAAGCAAGAACAAACCCAACTCAAAATTAGTAGAATGAAAGAAATAGTAAAGATCAGAACAGAAATAAATAAAATTGAGATTAAAAAAAAAGATTGGCTGGGTGCAGTGGCTCATGCCTTTAATCCTAGCACTTTGGGAGGCCAAGGCAGGCATATGGCTTGAGTTTGAGACCAGCCTGGGCAACATGGTGAAACCCTGTCACTACAAAAAAGTATAAAAATTAGCCAGGTGTGGTGGCATGCACATGTGGCATGCACAAAAAAAAAAAAAAAAATCAACAAAACAAAAAACAAGGTTTTTTTTTGAAAAGATGAACAAAATCAACAAAACGTTAGCTAAATCAACTTTTGAAAAAAGAGAAAGACCCAGATAAATAAAATCAGAAATAAAAAAGAAGACATCACAATGGATACCACAGAAATACAAAGGATCTTTAGAGACTACTATGAACAGCTATGTGCCAATAAATTTGAAAAGATAGAAGAAATGGACAAATTTCTTGATGCCAACAATCTACCAAGATTGAACCAAGAAGAAAGAAAAAACCTGAACATAACAACAACCAGTAAAAAGTCTTTGACAAAGAAAAGTCTAGGACTGGATGGCTTTACCACTGAATTCTACCAAATCTTTAAAGAAGAATTAATACCAATTCTTCTCAAACTATTCCAAAAAATTGAAGCAGAAGGAATTCTCCTTAACTCATTCTACGAGGTCAGCATAACCCATTACCAAAACCAGACAAGGATATAACAAAAAAGAAAACTACAGGCCAATATCCCTGATGAACATAGACACAAAACTCTCAACAAAATACAAATTTGGTTTAGCAAACCAAACCCACCAACATGCGAAAAAGATAATACACCATGATCAAGCGGATTTATCCCAAGAATGGTTCAACATATACAAATCAATAAATGCCATATATAACATCAATAGAACGAAGGACAAAAACCATATGATTATCTCACTAGATGCAGAAAAAGCTTTTGATAAAATCCAGTGTCCCTTCATGATTTAGAAACATCTTAATAAATCAGGTAGACAAGGAAAGTACCTCAACATAATAAAGGCCATATATTGATAAACCACAGCTAACATCTTACTGTCCAGGGAAAAGCTAAAAGCTTACACTCTAAGAACTGGAACAAGATAAGGATGCCCACTCTCACTGCTTTTATTTGACATAGTATTGGAAGTCCTAGCCAGAACAATTACGAAAGGGGAAAAAAAAAAGTCATCCAAATTGGAAAGAAGGAACTCAAATTGTCCCTGTTTACACATGACATGATCTTATATGTACATAATCTGAAAGACTCTATCAAAAAAACTCTTAGAACTGATAGACAAATTCAGTAAAGTTGCAAAATACAAAATTAATATACAAAGATTAGTAGCACTTCTATACACAAACAATAAACTAGCTAAGAAATTAAAGACAATAAAAAAACTACAAAATACTGATGAAAGAAATTGAAGAAGATACAAACAAATGGAAAGACATCCCATGCTTATGAATCAGCAGAATAAATATTGCTAAAATGACAATACTATCTAATCTACAGATTCAATGCAATCCTTATCAAAATATCAATGACATTCTTCACAGAAAGAGAAAAATATCCTAAAATTTGCAAGAAATCCCACAAAAGATCCAAATAACCAAAGCAATCCTGAGCAAAAAGAACAAAGTTGGAGGTATCACACTATTAGACCCCAAAATATACTACAGAGCTGTAGTAACTCAAACAGCATGGTGCTGGCATAAAAAGAGACATATAGACCAATGGAACAGAATAGAGAACCCAGAAATTAATCCACATGTCTACAGGCAACTGATTTTTGACTAAGGTGCCAAGAACACTCATTGGAGAAAGAACAGCCTCTTCAATAAATGATTCCAGAAAAACTTGATATCCATTTGCAGAAGAATAAAACTAGACTATTCACTTCTTACCCTATACAAAAATAAATTCAAAGTGGATCAAAGACCTAAATGTAATGCCTGAAACAATGAAGCTACCAGAAGAAAACACAAGAAAAACACTTCAGGACATTAGTCTGGGAAAAGATTTTATAAATAATTCAAAATCACAGTTAACCAAAGCAAAAATAAACAAATGGAATTATATCAAACTGAAAAGCTTCTGCACAGCAAAAGAAACAACAAAGTAAAAAGATAACCTACAGAGAGGAAGAAAATATTTGCAAACCACACATGCAATGGGATTAATATCTAGAATATAAAAGGAACTCAGTCATCTCAACAGCAAAAAAAAAAAAAATCCAATTTTAAAATGGGCAAATAATTTGAACAGATATTTCTCAAAATAAGACATACAAATGGCCAAAGAATGTATGTAAAATGCTCAACATCATCAGGGAAATGCAAATAAAAACTACAATGAGGTATCATCTCACTCCAGTTAGGATGACTTTTTTTTTTTTTCCAGACAGTCTCACTCTGTCTCCCAGGCTGGAGTGCAGTGGCACAATCTCAGCTCACTGCAACCTCCGCCTCCTGAGTTCAAGTGATTCTCCTGCCTCAGCCTCCTAAGTAGCTGGGATTACAGGCACCCGCCACCACGTCCGGCTAATTTTTGTATTTTTAGTAGAGATGGGGATTCACCATGTTGGCCAGGATGGTCTCAAACTCCTGACCCAGGTAATCCCACCTCGGCCTCCCAAAGTGCTGGGATTACAGGCGTCAGCCACCACAGCCTGCCAGGATGACTATTATTAAAAAGAAAAAATAACAAATGCAGGTGAGAATATGAAGAAAAGGAACTCTTACATGCTGTTGGTGGGAAAAGTACAACCACTATGGAGAATAGCATGGAGGTTCTTTAAAAACAAAATACTAAAAACAGAACTACCATATGATCCTGCAATCCAACTACTGAGAATTTATCTAAAAGAAAGGAAATGATTATATCAAAGAGACTTGGGCACCATCATGTTTATTACAATGCTATTCACAATAGCCAAGATACAGAATCAAACTAGGTGTCCAGCAACAGATGAAGGATAAAGAAAATGTGGTATATATATACAATGGAATACTAGTCAGCCAGAAAAAAAAGAATGAAATCCTGTCATTCATGGCAACATGGATGGAACTGGAGGACATGATGTTCAGTGAAATAAGCCAGGAACAGAAAGTTAAACACTTCATGTTCTCACTCACATGTGGAAGGTGATAAAAGTTGATCTCATAGAAGTAAAAACTAGAACAGAGGATACTAGAAGCTGGGAAGGGTAGCAGGAAGGAAGGGACAAGAAGAGATGTGTTAACTTTAACACATCTTTAATCCAGATAGATAGGAGGGTAAGTTCCAGTGTTCTATACCACTGTAGCTTGACTCTAGTTAACAATAATATATAAATAGCTAAAAGGAAGATACTGAATGCTCCCAATACAAAGAAATGATAAATGTGTGAGATGATGGATATGTTAATTACCCTAATCTGATCTCCATACATTACATGTATCAAAATATCAAAATGTATCCCATGAATATGTACAATTATTTTTTGTCAATAATACAATTTCTTATAAAGTAGATAAACAAAATTAATTTTAATAATGCATTTAATTTAATCTAATATATCCAAATTATTGTCAACATATAATCAATTTTTTAGTTATTAATGAGATCATCTCATTGGGCCAGCCACACTTCAGGTGTTCAGTAGGCACATGTAGCTAGTGATTACATATTGAACAGCACAGGTCTAGCACCTTAAAACTTCCAAGAACCTCTCTCTCTTTCACATCTTAGGAAAGCTCTCTGTGTACTTGCTGTTTCTTCTGCCTAAAATTTCCACTCCTTTCTCAAGAGGCATCTCCTCATTGCTTAGGTATCCAAACTGCATTATTTATTGCATATCTGCTGTTTAAGAGCTGTCACTCTCCATTAGAACATAACCCCCCTGAGGCAGAGACCCCCAGGGTCTAGCACAGTGCCTGGCATACAGTGGCCCTTAATAATTATTTTTGAATGAATGGATAAATGAATCCATTAGATACCATCCCTTTCCTCCCTTGCATCTGCCTTCCTAGAGGGCACAGACACACTCCAATTTAGTGCTACCCTGGGGAGTGTGAATCATATTAGGCCGTCCCTGGCTGCTTTTGTGCAGGGTTTTGATCATTCGTGGTCACCGAACCCCTTTGACAGTTTGTGTTATCTATGGACTCCTTCTCAAAATAATGTTTTTTAATGCATAAAATAAAATTCACAGGATTACAAAGAAAACTGATTAATTATATGTAATTATAGTTGGTAATTTTTCTTAAAAATTGTGGTATAGTAATATTACTTTTTATTAATGCATTAAATAACAGGACCCTGCAATGAGTCTAACAGCTTCCCTAATTTTGCAGTAGTGGTGAGGATACATAATATCTTGAGATATCTGTCAAACTATTATATAATATGATATGAAAACATTTCTAACTCTTATGGGTGACAAAATCTTAAGTGCTACTAATATTACTCTACTCATAATTGAAGGAAATGGTACAATTCAGTTAGGAAAAATAAAGAGGATTTTTTTCCCATACGAGTTCACAGATTTTCTTGGATTCTATCCCCTTCTTGGCATCCATGGACCCCAGGTTAAGAATCCCTACTTTATTGTGAGAATACAACCCCTCAATTTTGTCCTTTTTCTGCTCAAAGATTGGGAAATTAAATAGAAAATGCCTCAGTGCTCCTTTCCACTGCAGTCTGGGAGTGCGGGTTAGCTGATGCATGAAAAGTAAAAACATTCTGTCCAGGTAGCATACATACTGGTCAAAAGCATGAATTTTAGACTCACACTAGCCTGGCTCTGTCACACCCTAGCTCTTTGCCCTGGGGCAAATATCAGCCTCTCTGAACCTCAGCTGCTTTACCTGTAAGATGAGACAAGACTTTCTACTCACAAGATGGGCAGCAGGATGATATACAACAATGAATGTACCAACAGCTGGGGACTACACACGCACTTAGCAGATGTTCCCTGGTAGTGTTGTTGCTGCTTCTGTCAGCCCAACCCTGCTTCACCCCCTTCCTCTGATAACAGCTCCAGTATCTAGCAGGTTCTCCACACTGAATTCCTGAAGTTTTCTAACTGGCATCACTTGCCATCTTTGGTCTGCACTTAGGTAGGCTCCTTCATTGGCTCCCATCAGACCTCATGCCATGGCGGAAAGCAATTGGAGTTATCCAGGCCGGAGCTGGCATCCGGGAAGTCTATAGGTAGGTGAGGTTGGTCAAGTTATTTTACCCCTCAGGGCCTCATATTAACACTATTAAAAACAGGCCTCCCTCGCAGTGCTACCATGAGAATTAAGTGAACATACCATTTTGTACAATAAATGCTAATTATGTCTTTTAGATATTTCTTCAAATAGAAATAAATTACTAAAGGAAGCACTCAGGTATAGCAAAAGTTGTTGACAGAAGGGAACAATAAGAAAACAGGCTTTGTCACAAAAACTTCATTTCATTTTCATTAATTTAATGTTTTTCTGACTTCAAGTTTCCTAGCCACAACCTCCAACCAAACACCTATGGAAAGATAAGACTCCCCAGTAAGAAGATGGAAAGCCCCCTATCCCTACCCCAATTATGATGAGGGCTAGACTGTGCTGCTGGCAAGTGAAATGTTAGTTTTGCTTTGGGGGCAAAGGGAAAAGTCAAATTTCTCTCAGGGTGGCGAGAACACCTCCATGAGCAATGTGATTCACCCTGAGCTGTCCTGTAACTCAGGGTGGTTTTGTTTTTTTGTTTTTTGTTTTTTTTTTTTTTGTTTTTTTTTGTTGTTGTTGTTGTTTTTAATGGTTTCTAGGTAGATGGGAAAATATTAATAAAAGCTAGCTCTCAGGGGCTAGTCTCAATACTGTGAACACATAACCATCATCTCCCTAACCCACCTCCTCTGTCCCCAAACTACAGGGAAAGACCATGCATTTTGGAAACAAATGTGGGCTTAGAGTCAGACAGATCTGGATTTATGTCCCAGCTCAGTCACTTACCACCTGGATAGATTTCAACAAGTTCATTTTTTCTGAGCCTCAATTTTCCACATCTGCAAAAGAGAAAACACTGTTGTTATGGAGATATTCTGGGGACTAAAGTTTCCATAGATAAAGCACCTGGCACACAGAAGGTATTCGGTAAACAGCAAATAATACTACATCACATGAACCACAAGAGTTGAAAAGCAGGGCACAGTGACACAAAAGAAAGAAGGTGACAAATCATGGTACAAGGAAGGATGGCAAGAAATCAAAATGAGAGACTGGATTGCCAAAGGAATTTCAGTTTATTCAGTGCTGCTGTGAAATAGAAAAGAATGTAGAGATGATTAGAAGGTAATTTTATGTAACACAAAAACAACTTATTCATTAGCACAGGACAGAGCAAGAGACGAGAAGTGACCTGCACAGGAGGACGATTACAGATCTCACCCACAGCATCTGAACAGGCATCTCATCACACATCACATCTCACAACAGCCCTGTCCAGCCCTCCCTGTGCACGTCCTTGCTCACCAAGAGGCTTGGAAGGGAAAGGCAAAGTAATGGCAACAATTAAAATGCTAGAAAAGAGTAACTGAATTGTCACTATTTTTTTGTTAATCAGGTTATTTTTAATTGTTCAATTTCCCTTCCCTGACCTTTGGGACCCTAATAAACAGTGACAGTCTAAAGCCCTAAGCATACACGAAATCTATTAATTTTTCATTATTTAATTCTATTTCCAGTCCTCTTTTCCCTTGCAGATATAAATAGGAAGATATTAGTGCCCAACAGCAAATAAGAGGTTTCTTTTTGCTGTCATATTCTAACCGGAGTCCCGGGAAGCTCTATTCTTGATGAATACTTCTTTTTTCTACCCTTTTTTGCCTACTCCCTGCATCCTCTTCCTGTCTGCAGTCACACTCCCTACTCTCTTCCCTAGACAGCTATGTTGCCTAAAGGACTGTGAGGAGAGCCAGGCCTGAGACCCACAATGACAAAAGAAGGAAGATGAAGAGGTGACAATGGCTCTTGCCATGTGCAGGGCATTATTCTAGATCCTGCAGGGGAAGACAGGGATGGCCCACCAGACACTTACATTCTCCTTATCCTACACAATGAAGTCAAACGTCCTTGCTTCACCAATACACAGAGGCTCCACAATGTGCCCTCAACCATCAATTCCAGCCCCATCTCTCCCCTCTTTTGCTACCAACACACAGACTAGAATCCAGAACTAACTCTGGGTCCTGGTTCTTTGCATGGAGCTGTGCTACATCTGAAAATGTGGGACAAAGTGAAGCTTGACTCCAACACTACCTCTTACAGGCTGTCTTCTTGGGCCAATTTATTGACCTCCCTGGGCCTCAGTTTCCTCATTTGCAAAATGTGGCTAATACTTTCACAGGACCACATGAAGATGACATGAGATGACACGCCAAGTGCCTCATATGTGAATGAGGAAAAACTCCTACTAGAGGCTCACAGCTCCCTGCTGGGTTAGATGCGGGTAGGACAAAGGGAGGGGGAAAGAAGCTCCCTATTAAAAAACATTTTTCTCCCATATTAGTAAGCCAATAAGAGATTCAATTGTGTCAACAATCTCTTATTACAAATGCAAATCACCCCTGTGTTAAGCTTATCAATTCCCACCTTTGTATAAATTATTTAAATCAAATCAGTACCTTCCAGAGTTTGAGATTTCAGTGTTGTGATTATGATGCAGAAGAGCAAGGTTATTTTTAAAACCTTTTTAGGAGGTTGCCTCAGTGCTCCTTTCCACTGCAGTCTGGGGGCGGGGGTTAGCCGATGCATGAAAAGGAAAGACATCCTGTCCAGGTAGCATACATACTGGTCAAAAGCATGAACTTTGGACATTCAGAGCACAGCAACTAGGTGGCTGGAAGTCAGGGCTGGGTTGGGGAAAAGAAAATAGTAGAGGGTAGAGGAAGGACGAGAATCCTGAAAGTGAAGCAGAAGGCCATGACATACCAATTTGTCCCACTTTGTCACTGTGCCTTGGGCTCAGATGGCAGCTGGAATGCTACTGACAATCTCCAGGCCTGCTGCCTTTGGCTCACCAGCAGTGGATTGAAACATCCGGATGCATTTGTCAGGCTGTCCTGTCAGCTTCCTCATGCAGCCAGACTTCTTAGTATAGGCTCTTTCAACTCCCACCAGCCCAGGTGCCTCCCACATAAAACCCTTCCCTGTCCCTTACAGAGATGACATTAAAAGTATGGAAAGAGAAGTGAGGGAAAGGACGGAGAGCAATGAGCACACATAAAAGTAGGTCAGAATCCCCCTCCGCACTCCTCCTTCACAATCCGTGCAATATTTCCAAACCAAAGGACTGTAGGAATGCATCCCCCACATTGCACACATGCTCCTCAGCATCTTGCATGTATATGGCATTTCATATGTTTTCAAACCATTTGATTTGAAATAACAGACGTGCGAGCAGATTGTGAGCAGAGCAGGTAGGACTATCCCCATTTAAAATAATGAGGAGATTATGGTTCAAAAATGTTGGCCCTTCCCCAAATTCCAACTGCTAATTAGAAAGTAGGCCATTTTGGGACCCAAGTCTCTTGATGCTTCACTGCAAGATAGCGGGATTCAAATTTTATATGAGGCCTTTAAATGACTACATCTCAGGGACCTGGATGGGAAGTCTCTACCTGCATGAGGCTATGTGCAGGAACTACAGGTTTCAAACCCTGCCTCTGCCAGTGACTACTCATGAAATGTTTAAGAACTTTCTCTGTGATCATTGACTTTCTCATCTGTCAAATGAAGTGGGTGTGGACAATCTTCTGACTTTAAAGCACACATGTGTGTATGTTTGCATAATGTGGGGGCAGCAAGAAGTGCTGGGAAGGGAAAAAACAGAAAGGGTATAGAATAGATACTTGACACTTGTGACTCTGCATAATCTCATTCACCCACTATATTCAATATTCTGTCAAATGTTCTGAGTCTCTGCAAGACCTGAAATAGACTCAAATACTGGCAGCATTGCCAGCAACCCACGGTGAGGCTCATCACCCTTCTCTTCCCATTCAGGACTCTGTCTCACAGATACCACTGACCCCCATCCCTAAAGAGCAAACAAGGTAGGACTTGGCCACCCTCAGTCCTAGTGCCTTGGCCATCAGATACCAGCAGATACTCTTGGCCACCCTCAGTCCTAGTGCTAAGCAAGCAGATACCAGCAGCATTGGTTAACCAGAGGGAAGAGACCCTAGAAGTGAGCTCAGGACTTACAGGCAGAAAAGCCGGGGCCTCAGATATCACAACAAGGTCTAGAAGAGAGGCGTGTTCTAGGCGGGTGCATCCATTTGGCCCTGTGAGGAGAAGTGTTGCATGGGGGCCAGAATGGGGCCTCTAAAGCATAGGCTCAGGACAGCAGCCCCATGGCTATGGTCTAAGGGTAGCGTTGCCCATTGCTATTTGCTCTTCTCCATCTCCAAATATCTTCTCCCAGTTCCTGTTGCTGGCAAAGTTCATTCATTAAGACTTCTTCAAGTATAATGCAGATAAAGAAATTGCTTTGTCCTATCCAATCACCCAATGATTCCTAGTCTTGCTTTCATGCAAATATCTTCCATTATCTTGAAAAGGAAGGCAAGGAATTCTCAAAAATCATTTTTACCATAATTTAAATTAATCTTAATTTAAAAGGTAAAGTGCAAATTTATAAGAGGCAAAAGGTGGAAACAATCCAAATGTCCCTCACCAGATGAACTGATAAACAAAATGTAGTATTATATATACACACAACAAAATATTGACGCATAGAAAGGAATGAAATTGTGATACATGCTACAACATGGATAAGCCTTGAGGACATTATGGTAAGTGAAATATGTCAGACACAAAAGACAAGTATCGCATGATTCTACTTACACGAGGTACCTACAACGGGCAAATTCATCAAGAAGGAAAGTAGAAGAGTGGTTACAAGGGACTGGAGAGAGAGGGGGATGTAGAACATTGTGTAATGGGTGCAGAGTTTCTGCTTGGGACGATGAAACAGCTCTAGAAAAGGGCAGTGTTGATGGTTGCATCACAGTGTGAATGTACTTAATGCCACTGAATTGGACACTTAAAAATGGTTCAAATGATAAATACTGTGTTATGCATATTTTGCCACAGTAAAAAAAAAAAAAGATAAAATGCTACACAGTACCCTCAAGGTTTTCTGGAGAAGAATGACAAAGAAGAGAAGACTCACGCCTGTAATCCCAGCACTTTGGGAGGCCAAGGTGGGCGGATCACAAGGTCAGGAGTTCGAGACCATCCTGGCTAACACGGTGAAACCCCATCTCTACTAAAAATACGAAAACAAAAAATTAGCCGGGCATGGTGGCGGGCGCCTATAGTCCCAGCTACTGGGGAGGCCGAGGCAGGAGAATGGCATGAACCCGGGAGGCAGAGCTTGCAGTGACTAACTGAGATCGCGCCACTGCACTCCAGCCTGGGTGACAGAGAGAGACTCCATCTCAAAAAAAAAAAAAAAAGAAGAGAAGCGACAGCTCAAAATCAATTTTCCAAAAACAGTGTCACCTCCAAAAAGACTGGGGGTGCTTCTTGCTATGGTCTGAATTTGTTTCCCCAAAACTCATATGTTGAAAATCACCAATGTGATAGTATTAATAGGGGGAGCCTGAAGGGGGTGATTAAGTTACAGGGAAGAACGCTGATGAATGTGGTAGTGCCCTCATAAAAGAGGTTGAAGGGAGCCGCTTTGCTCTTTCCTCATGTGAGGACACAGCAGCAAGGCACTATTTTGAAGCTGGAAGCAAGCCCTCACCAGACACTGAACCTGCTGGCACCTTGATCTTGGACCCCCCAGGCTCGAGAAGGGTAAGCAATAAATGTATAGTATTTATAAATTATTCAGTCTAAGATATTTTGTTATAGCAGCCCTAACAGACTGAGACACCTTGGGAAGTCGTATAATATTTCAGCATCACCCAAGTGTCACATCATTCTTTTGCTCTCTTTATTTGTACCTTGTCCATTATCCCAAAAGTCTGCATTTATATAAGTTGGTTCTTCCTCTTTTGCTGTTCTGCACCACAATATCTTCAGTAGAAAGCAAACACCAAATTAAAAACCACACTCAGACCAATGCTAAACTCAACTTTGTTGCTAAATCAGTCCTAGATTACAGAGCTAAAACCTTCACCAACACCTAGCATTAGAATTAGCCATGGTTTGGGGTTTCTTTTTAATTTTCAGCTTTTATGGCTTTTCGAATTAAATGAACCCTCTGCACCCACACTCATTCTCAATAGGTACAGAAATTTCCACTGGCACTCAGAAAATGATGACACATTACAGATGTAACTGCTGAAGCAATTATCTCTTTGTTATTTTAAAATGGCCACACGCCATTTTTAGCCAGGTCTTAACTGCCACAGCGGGAAATGAGGCCATCGTCTAATTAATTTTTATCTCAATTATCTGGGCAGCTGCCTGAATCCTGATCTTCCGTTTGTCAGTGGAAATATGACATGATTGGAAGAGGTATATACATGAAAGAATATGGGCTCAAAAAAACTTTAATAAAACTGCCTAACTTCTCCCTTCAGTAATCCCTTCTATGCTCATCTCTACTCCATATTTACCTTCTTAAACTTGTTCCTCAAAGCGTGGTCCATGGACCTCCAACACCAGCATCACCCAGGAGCATTGGAAATGCAGCAGCATCTAGGGCACCACCCCAGACCCACTGAATAAGAATCCCAGTTGCATCCTGTTCCCTAGGGGATTCCTGTGTACAGTACCGTTTGAAGAGCCCTGTATTAGCTTCCTGTGGCTGCTGTAACAGATTACCACGAACTTGATGGCTTAAAACAACAGAAATTTAATCCCTCACAGTTCTTTCTGGAAGCCAGATGTTCAAAATTTGTTTTTTTGTTTTGTTTTGTTTTGACCAAAATAAAACAAGATGTTGGCAGGCACACATTCCCTCTGCTGGCTTGAGGAGAGAATTTGCTCCTTGCCTCTTTCAGCTTGTGATGGCTGCTGGTATTCCTGGGTTTCCAGCCCAATCTCTGTCCCTATCTTCACATCACTTTCTCCTCTATATGCATCTCAGCTCTTTCTCTGCTCCGTCTCTTATAAGGATGTTTGTGATGGAATCTAGGGCCCACTTGGTTAATCCAAAATAATCTCATCTAAAGATCTTTAATTTAAATCATATCTGCAAAGACTCTTTTTGTAAATAAAGTAACATTTACAGTTTCTAGGGATTAGAATGTGGATATCTTCTGGGGAGCCATTTTTCTGCCTATCACAGTCATGCGTCTGGAAAGTTTTACTTTCACATGCCAGTCAGAATATAATGACACTACATAAATGATCTGTATAAATCACTTGTATAAATATCATCTCCAAACATAAATTTAGTAAATTTAACAAAAGGCCATCCTTCAAAACCTATTGTCAGCAAAGAAGCATTGAAGTTTCAAAGACTGCTCTGTGAACCAAATACAAGGCCTCTGAAGTTTCATTCTATTTGCAGCTCATAAACATATCCCTTACTTGCCTGGAATGCCTGTCAAACATTCTGATTTCTATGTCCCAACCCAGGCCTCCCAAATCAAAGTCACCAAGAAAGGGCCTGGGAATTTGCATTTTAAAAAGGCACTCTAAGGTGATTCTACCCATCCGTTTGAGAAACCCTGCTTAAACCAACACTTCTCATCCTGCACTGCACGTTTAGGAAATGTCTTAAAAATACTGAGGCCCAGATCCATCCAGACCAATTCAAGCTGATTCTCTTGAGGCGAGTATTTTCCAAAGCTCCCCAGAGATTTTAACTTGCAGCCTGGCTTGAGACCCACTGATTTTACCTCTCTGCGCCCAGTTACGAGTTAGAGGTGACTTAACAGACCCAGGCAAACCACTCATGAAACTATCTGGGCTGCTGCCCTTTTCAGAATACATGTTGAAGGGCCCTTCTTCACAGGATGGGTCACGCCTATGACAAGGCAATTATGAAAGTGCTTAGGAAAATCAGCCCTGCAGGAGTTCTCACCCCAGCCATGAGAAGCCATGGACAAATAACATTCACCACCCACTCATAAGCATCCTGCACCAGAGAATAAAGCCGTGCCCAAGCAATCCTTTCACCCAACCCAAATTCCATCCTACTTTATGAAGAGGAACTTATTTCTCTTCTTCTTCACCTCCCTCCCCAATCTCCACCACGCCACATACACTTTCTTCTAGCCCCACAATACCAAAGTCATCAAGGTTTTAAAATTTTTAATGTTTTATTTAATACATTGAAATGTTCCCTACTTTCATGTAAAGATGAAAAGTTTATGTCTTTGGTCTTTCCCACAGAGTGTTATTGTCTAGCTGAGGAGCACATTGGCCAAACGATAACAATTGAAGTCAAAAGTTCTGCAAGGAACTAGCAGAAATCAGCAGAACAAGGAAAAGGGTGTGAGAAGGAGAGAGTAGTAGCTCCTGTTGCTATAGGGAAGAATTTGTGTTCAGTGGAAAATTATGCATTATCTACAACTCACTCTTCCATGTTATCTGATTCTGAGACTACAGAGGCTATTCATCAACTCTAAATTATGGATAACTGATAGTAATGCAAAATAATCTTTGTCTATAAACAGGAAAATTCTGTCCTATACAGTAAAGAAAAAAAAATTTCAGTTGAATTGAATTTTTGAAGTGAGGACTTCCCTCCCCACTCAATGGGGGGGAAAATTGCCTTGATTTGCATGTTCACATCAATTTTTCTTTATTCCATACAAATTTGTTCTTTTTATAATTTTTCCTTTGAACCAGTTATAATATCATGATAAATACATCCTTAATGAATGTTTATTTTTATAGTTGCATAAAAGTTACGATTTTACCCTTTTTTGAAAATTCTCTTTTAACATTGATCATGACCACTTTAGATGCCAAAGAGGACAAGACCCACAATGACTGCTCAAGCTTATAGATAAACCCTAAAACAATCAGATGAAGGTAAAGAGATCTTGCCTCTGGGAATGAGTCTTTTAGACTATCCCAGGCCTCTAGCCCCAAACTTGTTTTCTCCTGGCTCCTTCATTTCTAGCCAAGGGAGCAATCACCACCTAGGACCACAAACTGTTCTCCACCTGTGAAGCTGAATGCAGGTACAGAATGTATCAGAGCAAGGGATTCTTCTCCCTGGGACCTTGTTTGAGAAGAAGTCTTGACTGTTTAAATCAGCTCTCTCCCACAAGGGGCTGTGGTGCTGTTTATAGGTGCCCACAAAAACCTGGAGGTTTAGAAACAATATCAGGAACAATGGCCAGTGGTGTTTTCTCCAAGCCCACAAGGATAGTAAAGGTAATGTGAGAGGGTAGGAAGTTTCCCAAAACGAAAAGAAAAAACTAGCTGTGGGGAAAATTACAGAATTAACCTAACTGCATGACATCACCTAGGTTAGTTATATTTAAAGCATGATTCTATTTATCTCATGACGATCAAAATTACAAATATTTCATCAAGAAAATTTTAAGCCACTATTACCTCATTCAAATAATTTGTGCCACACATACACAATATTTTAGTTATGATATATGTATGGTTGCTTTGATCTAAATTTTCCCAAGGTCTCTGAAATTAGTCTTACTCTTCGATCATATGATTCTCTACCCAAGGCCTCATCATCACCCCAGATTTGTTTATCTCCAAAGTCAGTATTTCAACCATGTAGCTCTTCAATCACAATCTTTTTGTTTTCCAGCTGGTTAAGATGATCCCACAACTTTTTCTTCAACTTTGTTGGTGTACCTACCATCGAGCCCTCCACTTTCTCCCTATCCACTGGGGTATCTCTCTACTTCTCCTTATCAATTACCTCCTTCCTGTCTTCTCTTCTGTCCCTCTCTAGCTTTGATTTCATTATTATTTTAAGTCATATTTTACAAATATCCTATACTCCCTTGCCCCTCTGCCTCTAAATCCCACTTCTCTAGCAAAATCTGTAACTCAGATGAACCCAACTACCATTTTCTTCAAAACTGTACCTGGGGATCTAAGGGATGCTGGGAAAATCTCATAGCTGGGTTAGTTGGTGGCACTGTACATTATATTGAAGGCCAATCTCAACCAGATCCTCAACTTGACTTCATAACCTCATCACATGGCTACAGACAATTCCCTGCCCACTCGCACACCTATCTCAAATGTTCTCTCTTCTCCTATTACCTGTGACTCCATCAAATCCCTCCCTTGCTCTCAGCAAACAATGCAAGGTCACAGGGAAGCAGGAGTCTTCAGATGCAGAGGCCATCGATATGCTGATGACTCCCTAATTCAAGCCTCCAGCCCTGGCCTCCGTATAAGCTCCAACCCCAAAATCAAACTCTTGATCATCCCCCTTAAAAAACTGTGGTCCTCTTTCAGTTCCCCATCTCAATGACTGGCACCACAATCAATTTCATTGGACAAAGCAGACATTTTCAAGCCATCCCTTTTACATCCTTCCCCCCAGCCTGAAAATTCATTTCCTCACCAAGTCCTGCATTTTGCTTCCTCTTTACATGTCAAATGAATCCACATCTTTCCATCTGTATTGCCATCTCTGAATTGCCATCCCTAAGCTGTTATCTTGCCTTGCCTAGGCTCTTGTTTGATAACCAACCACTACCTACAATGCAAGTGGCTCGTGGGCAGGCACTTTCACAGTAAATCACTCAAATACACAAGGCCTGGAAGAAACAAGACTTGCTGGATTGGCCACTGTAAAAGAGCTTATTTATTCAACAAATACTTTTTGCATTTCTACTCTGGTCTAGACATTATATTAGATAATGGAGAAAATATGATCTAAGAGTTCCTCCTCAAAAAAACTCACCATCTAGAAGGTAGTGGGAGCACTCAGTCAACAACAATAATATAAAGCAGAATACAAACATTCTGTAAGCAAAATGCTGGGGCAGGGAGGATGGCAGGTACAATTTAAAGAAAGAACAAATCCCAGACAAATGGATGTTTAAGAAAAACTTCATGAAGGAGATGGTGTCAACACACAAAGACAGGGTAGATGGACAATGAACACATTATAGGAGAAGTTGAGTTTCTAAGCAAAGAAGTAAAAGCCAGAAAGTACAGGGGAAAAAATTCAACCCGGTGATCACGGACTAATGAGAGATGGAGTTAGAATGGAAGAGTTGTTGGAAATCCACTGGGAGAAATTCAATGGGGCATGGGAAAAACTTCAAACAGAGGGTTTCTCTCTTTAAGTGGCTTTGCTTTAGGTGTAATTAACATTTTGAGTGACTTAGCTAAAATGAGGGAATGCTTTAAGTCTATGCCACTCCATGCAGACTTGGGAATGAATTAAGAAGAGCCCTGTTGATGACATCTATGCACTTGGTACTTGTATTGGTCATACCTGAGACTGGGCAATTTATAAAGAAAAGAGGTTTAATCGGCTCACGATTCCACAGGCTGTACAGGAGGCATGATGCTGGCATCTGCTCAGCTTCTGAGAGGCCCCAGGAAACTTACAATCATGGCAGAAGCTGAATGGGAAGCACACATATTACATGGCTAGAGCAGGAGCAAGAGAGGGGAAAGGGGAGGTGCTCACACTTTTAAATGACCAGATCTCACGAGAGCTCACTCGCTATTGTGAGGACAGCACCAATGGGGAAATCTGCCTCCACAATCCAATCACCTCCCACCACACCCCACCTCCAACATTGGGGGTCACACTTTGACATGAGATGTGGGCAATGACACAGATCCAAACCATATCAGTACTCCATAGTTTCTCACAGCAGATGTAAAGAGGAGATGTGCCTGCAATTTCTACATTCTTAGATCTTCACAGTATTTAGATTGGCACCTAAGAATCCAACTGTAGTGCCTAACAGATCAACGTTGTCCATTCCTTCACATAATAACTGTGACTGGCCTGTTCTACTGTTCTTTCTCAGAGGGAAGAAAACACATTAAACTTCTCTATCAAAGAAGCCATAGGCACATGGGCTTGTGTAGTTGCCTGAGTTACCCACAATCAGAGCCGAAGAGATACCCACAGCAAGATCAGGACAGAAGAGAGTAGCACTTAAGCTTCACAGGTGGTATTTCTTATTCTTTTTATCCCTGGTGCAAAAAAGCAGAATGCAAAGAAGCAAATTATGGCACAGTGTTGGGGAAAGGGTGGGACATGGGAAGTAACTAGACAGCAATATGCCACCACATCTTCTCCCTCACTGCTGGCAGATGTCACCAGTCAATCAAAACATCTTTTCCCACAGAGTCTAGCAATGGCCTCGAACCATTTCTGAACTTACCACTCCAGAAAACCACTGCCAATCAGTCAAAGTTGGCCCACAAGAACAAATGTTTTTTCCGTTCTTAGAATAACAGAAAGAAAATCACAATCTGTAGATCTGTGTTCAAACCCATTCAGACTGTTCCTAGCTATGTGGCCATGGGCAAATTCCCAATTCTCTAAGCCACAACTTTCCCACAGCTTTGAATGGAGATAACAACTTTGCCCTTACCACCTGCCAGAGTTGTGGCAAAACTCAAATGTGACAGTGCATGGAAGAATGCTTTGAAAACAGCAGGGCTCTATAGAGGTTAGATGTTCTCCAGATGGGAGGCATTACTACTTGTCACTTCCAGAACATTCCATGTGCCCTGCCCAGAGCACATTCCTTAGCCTTGGTTAGCTGCCTGCAGGGTCACATGTGAAAAGAAGCCAGCAGGAGGAATTCAGCAACTCTCTGCTGTCCTTTGCACCTTTTCATCTGTTCTTCCTCATCCAAAGCAGACAGCATGTGGACCAGCCAGACTGCCATCTTTACTACAATTCTCCTGGCAGCACAGAATGGCCCGTGCCCAAGGAGCTGAACTTGAACTCAGCTGACTGGCTGAAGCCAGTCAGTGCTTAAGGGTTTGTAACAAATGCAAAATGCAACCACAGCTGTAGCTAAAGAAAACAATTTATAGCAGATTAAACAATTAACTTTTGAATAATAATTTCATATGAATTTATTTTGCATTTTGTGATGGTACAAGGTGCTCTGTGCAGATGCTTTCCTAAATTAATGAGGCACAGGGATTATCTAAAAAGAACCATTTGGCTGGAGGTTCTGGAGTTTTCCTCAGCAGGCTAAAGTTGGATGCCAGTGAAACTAAAAGTTGGAATGATTATGTCCTTGCAGAGAAAGTAACACCATGAAGAATGCTGCCAAGAGCATCCAAGGAGCAGCACCAAGACTGCAGGAGCCCTGTTCATGTTCCCAGCATGCACAGTGCACAGCTTCCTGCCATTTTTATTCTGAGATGTGGAGAATGAATTATAGGGGCAAGTGCAGAGGCAGATAGATAGACTTAGGAGACTATTGGAACAATGCAGATAAAGATGATGGCAGTGCAGGGGGAAAGGGGACTGAATCAGGGAGGAGGATTGACCAGATGTATTAATGGATCAGATGGAGGAGATGAATGAAAGGGATGAATTGAGAATGGCTCTAATGTTTTTAGCTTGAATAACTGGATGGATGGAGGTGGCATTTACTGAAACAGGGAAAACACAAAGGAGGTGTGGCTGAGAATCCAGTTTTATCTTGAGCATTGAGAGGGTTTTTCCTCCTGACATCAAATACATGGTCTTTTCCCACACCACTTCTCCAATTTTCCAACACCAACGAAGTGTCCTATAATTCAATTCAATTCAGATGCTAACTACCTAGAGTTTAGCTTCAGACTCCGCAGTTTAAGGGCTCAATCCCAACAGACTGCCCTCACTTCATATGCCAGGCACAAGTATCAGGTCACCTGTACTTGACCTGATACTTACTAAATTGGAGGTTCCCACGACCCCCTCCTAGTTTTAATAATTTGCTAGAATGGTTCACAGAACTCAGGAAGCCACTTTACTTATGTTTATGAATTTATTATAAAGATACAGCCAGGTACACAGGGCAAGGTCTAAAAGGGTCCTAAGAACAGTGTCTTTTGTCCCTTGTGGAATTGGGGTATATCACTCTCCTGGCACGTGGATGCGTTCACCCACTCAGAAGCTCTCTGAACTCTGTTTTCAGGGGATTTTATGGAATTTTAATTATGTAGTAATGATTGATTAAATATTGGCCATGGGTGATTGACTGAATCTCTAGCCCCTCTCACTTCCCTAAAGGTTACATGCATACATAAAAGTTCCAAGGTTCTAATCAAGGTTGGTCTTTCTGGTGACCAGCCCCCATCCTGAAACTATCCAGGGGCTTGCCAAGAGTCACCTCATTAGTACACAAGATGTTCTGTAACCCTTATCATGCAGGAGCTCTGGGTTCTAGGAGCTCTGTGCCAGGAACCAAAGACAAAGACCAAATATCTTTCTATGATACCACAGGGATGTAAGTTTCAGATGCTGTCTCTACTATTCTATATAACAGGTAGTCATATATGAAGCTGGGGCTCAGGGAGAAATCAGAGGCTAGATTCAAATTCTATCTCTGCTGCTTATTAGCATCTGTGACTATTAATAGGTACTTAACCTCTCCACATCTTAGCTGCTTCATTTCTAAAATGTAAATAATAACCAGCTTGCAGGGTTCTATAAAACTAAGAAAGAGAGCATGTAAAGCTACTGTTCATTCAAAAAATATGTGTTGAGCCCCTGCTATGTTCCAGGAACTATTCTAGGTGCTGGAAATAGAACATGGGACAAAACAAACCAAAGCCCAACCCTCATAAATTTACATGCCACTGGAGAAGATCGACAATACAAAAATAAATAAGAAAGTATGCACCATGAAGTTGGTGGTAAGTGCTACAGAGAAAAATGGGGGGAAGAGGAATGTCATCATCTCAAATAGAATGGCCTGACTGAGAAGAGCACAGGTGAGCAGACACCTGAGCAGGTGAGGGAGAGAGCCATGAAAATATCTGTAGAAGAGCATCCAGGCAATGAGAAAAGCAAGACAAAGAGACCTGAGGTGGAAGCCAGTGAGGCCAGAGGTGGCCCACTCAGAAGGGATGGCCGCTGCTCAGAATTCCAATAGTGTTCATTGTCAGGATGGCCCATGTGACATGCATCCTAGGCTACTGCTTTCCAGAGGTACATTGCTGTAACTCCCAACTTCATTGTAATCATTTACCTGCTCTTTAACTCATTAAAGAAGAGCCCAGAATATTTTTATACTGCCATTCCTGTCCCCCAGCCAAGTGCCTCAGACATGGAAGAGCAATTGTCATCTGGAACCTGACCAAACACATAAACACACACACACAAACAAGCAAATTGCCGACTCATCCTACTTACTGAAATATTAGTCTCTTCGCTTAAGTTTCCTCGTCTCCACCAGAAACTAAGTTATTTTGAATTTATTTGCATTAAGGAGTATTCACTCTTGGGGAATACACTTTTAACATGGCATTCTCCAGCAAGCCTGGCTTTCCTGAAACTCCTACGACAAGGACGACTGCCTATATTAGCTGCATCAGCAGCTAACCTAACCCTGGAAAGAATGAACCTAAGTCCCACACACCTGAATGCTTTAGCGTGCAGGATGCTTTATTAGCAACACGTTTTCTCTGCTGATCATAAACATCTGCTGTTCCAAGGACCATAATTTGAGGAGCAAGCTTCTAGAGAACTAGAAATGCCTGTGGAGAAAGTTAAAATAATAACCAGTCTTCAAAATGCTCTGTGAGCAAAGAATAGGCACTCCAGTGACAATAGTCACTACCATTTATTGAGCACTTACTATCAGCCAGGAACTGTGCTTAATGCTTTACTTACCCCAGCTAATTAAGTTAAATCTTCACCATACCCTTGGCAAGGTAGATATTTGCCCCATGCTACAGAGGAAGAAGTGACATCTCAGAGGGAGGTTAAGAAACGCCAACCTCAGTGAGGTGTAGTTACTGGCCCAATGTCAGGCTACTGAAGGGTAGAAGTAGGATTTGAACCCAGATCAACTAGTATTGAAAATAGCATATCAAATGTATATGCAACAAAGATCCAACAAGGGATCTCATTCTAAAAGTCAAGCGAAGTTCTTTTTGCAGAAATGAAAGGCTTGTCCTTACTGGTAGCCATGAAAAGCTAGAGCTGAGTACCTGGTCTGATTGAGACCAATGCCCAGGACAGGAGGGAGAGGCATGCTGAGAGCCTGGCCCCCTTCCACAGGAGTGAACTGACAGACGAGTTGGACTTTGGTGCAAAGCACTGGAGTTTTTCCCCATGAATTAGCCATGGGTGCTCGATGCTGATGACTGAGAACAATTATACTGCTCACAGCAGATGGAAGCATATGGTGCCAACCACAATGAATCAATGCGTCACAGCAGCCAGGCTCTCAGATACGATTTAGAAAATGTTGCCAAACAATGATTACGATATTAACAGGGGGATGGGGCCAGCAATTAACATCTTTCAGTCAATCACTTACAGCACTTTTTAAAAACCTTTATCCAATAGCTATTGCCACGGCTTCAGTTTATAGACAGAAAAACAGAGGTACAAAGCAGTTTGCCTCAATTTACAGAGTAAGTCATTGACAGAATTTGTGGGGTTTTTTGGGAGCCTAATACGTAGATTTCCTCTTCTGCCTGGGTCTTGAACTAATCAAGAAATAAAATGGCAGAGGCAGAGATGGAGCACCAAATACCATCTTTATTACAGATAAAGCTAGGCTGGAAGACAAATGGCCTGGCTGACTCCCTTATAACCAACTTGGAGGGGCCACCTGAGGGGAAGGTAAAGCTCCCAGGGTCATTGGCCCCATGGTCTGGATGGATGAGAAAGGAGAAATCCCCTGCTCTCAAGACCTTGGTTAGATAGATTAACTCCCCAAGTGAAAAACATGGCTCAAACAAAGGCTGTTGCCAAACAGGTAACTCACTTAATCTGCTTAAGAAGTTTGTCTATTTAGGGGTGTCACTCTTTTTGTGATTTTTCTCTTCAGGGTCTTTGAGTCAATTATATTGCTGTAATTGGGAGAGGGGCTTCCATTAAAGGGAATGAATATTATAATACCACTGCCAATCATCCCAAGAACAGGTTGACCCTGGCAGGAAATTAGGATTCAGGGAGACAAGCCCAAGATTGAGATGAGGATAAAATCTCTTCTCTCAGGCAAGAGATAATATCCAAGCAGAAGATCCTGTCCCAGTGTATTAGTCCGTTCTCATGCTGCTACAAGGACATACTCACGACTGGGTAATTTATAAAGGAAAGAGGTTTAATTGACTCAAAGTTCTGCAGGGCAGGGGAGGCTTCAGGTAACTTATAATTGTGACAGAAAGGGAAGCAAAAATGTCGTTCTTCACAAGGCAGCAGGAGAGAGAAGAATGAAAGCTGAGTGAAGGGGGAAGCCCCTTATAAAACCGTCAGCTCTCAGGAGAACTTACTGTGATGAGAATAGCAGCATGGGAGTAAGTGTCCCCATGATTCAATTACCTCCCACCCGCTCCCTCCCACCACACATGGGGATTATGGGAACTATAATTCAAGATGAGATTCAGGTGGGGACACAGCAAACCACATCATTCTGCCCCTGGCTCCTCCAAAATCTCATGTCCTCACATTTCAAAACCAATCATGCCTTTCCAACAGTCCCCCAAAGTCTTATTCCACCATTAACCCAAAAGTTCAAGTCCAAAGTCTTATCTGAGACAAAGCAGGTCCCTTGTGCCTATGAGCCTGGAAAATGAAAAGCAAGTTAGTTGCTTCCTAGATACAATGGGAGTACAGGCATTGGGTAAATACTCCTGCTCTAAACGGGAGGAATTGGCCAAAACAAAGGGGCCACAGGCCCCATACAAGTCCAAAATCCAATAGGGCAGTCATTAAACCTTAAAGTTCCAAAATGATCTCCTTTGACTCCATGTCTCACATCCAGGCCACATGGATTCAAGAGGTGGTCTCCCATGGCCTTGGGCAGCTCCACCACCCCTGTGGCTTTGCAGGATACAGACCCCCTCCATGCTGCTTTCACGGGCTGGCACTGAGTGTCTGTGGCTCTTCCAGGCACATGGTGCAAGCCGTCAGGTGATCTACCATTCTGGGGTCTGGAGGACAGTGGCCCTCTTCTCACAGCTCCACTAGGCAGTGCCTCAGCAGGGACTCTGTATGGAGGCTCCAACCCCACATTTCCCTTCTGCACTGCCCTGGAGAGGTTTTCTATGACAGCTCTACTCCTGCAGCAAACTTCTGCCTAAACATCCAGGCATTTCCGTATATCCTCTGAAATCTAGGCAGAGGTTCCCAAACCTTGATTCTTGTCTTCTGTGCACCCCCAGGACCAACACCACATGGAAGCTGCCAAGGCCTGGGGCTTGCATCCTCTGAAGCAATGGCCAGAGCTGTGCCTTGGCCCCTTTTAGCCATGGCTGGAGCTCAAACAGCTGGGACACAGGGCACCATGTCCCAAGGCCACATAGAGAAGGGGGACTCTGGGCCCGGCCCATGAAACCATTTTTCCCTCCTCAGCCTCTCAGCCTGTGATGGGAGGGGCTGCTGTGAAGGTCTCTGACATGCCCTGCAGACATGCCCTGTAGCATCATTAGGCTACAAATTTTCCAAATTTTTATGCTGTGCTTCCTCTTGAACGCTTTGCCACTTAGAAATTTCTTCCAACAGATGCCCTAAATCATCTCTCTCAAGTTCAAAGTCCCACAGATTTCTAGGGCAGAGGCAAAATGCCACAAGTCTCTTTGCATAGCAGAGTGACTTTTACTCCAGTTCCCAAAAAGTTCCCCATCTACATCCAAGACCACCTCAGCCTGCACTTCATTGTCCATATCACTATTGGCATTTTGGTCAAAGCCATTCAACAGGTCTCTAGGAAGTTCCAAACTTTCCCACATTTTCCTGTCTTCTTCTGAGCCCTCCAAACTGTTCCAACCTCTCCCTGTTACCCAGTTCCAAAGTCGTTTCCACATTTTCAGGTATATTTATGGCAGCACCCCACTCTCTGTGGTACCAATTTACTGTATTAGTCCATTTTCACACTGCTATGAAGAAATACCTGAGACTGGGTAATTTGTACAGGAAGGAGTTTTAATTGACTCACAGTTCTGCATGGCTGGGGAGGTCTCAAGAAACTTACAATCATGGTGGAAGGGGAAGCAAACACATCCTTCTTCACAAGGCAGCAGGAGACAGAAGAATGCATCAGATCTCATGAGAACTTACTATCACAAGAATAGCAGCAAGGGGGTAACCACCCCCATGATTCAATTACCTCCCACTGGGTCCCTCCTAACACACATGGGGATTATGGGAACTACAATTCAAGATGAGATTTGGGTGGGGCCACAGCCAAACCATATCACCCAGGAATGACAGAAAAGGAAGTATACATGTTTCTGCCTGCTCACTCTTGAGATTTGTTTCCAGGGCACTATCAATGCTGTCTGGTCCGACTCTTTGTCAATGCTGTCTCAGCAACCAAGCAAGAAGAGTAAACAAAATCTCACTGAGAGCTGGACACCACAAAAGCCATTACAGCACTGAGCAGATACCATCAGCCTGAATGTCAAATACAGCCGCACCAAGTCCATAGACCAAGCCTCACTAACTCTGAGCATCACCTTCTCTCTTTAGCCCCTGACCTGCAGCCTGTTACTAAGTCCCCTACTAAGAGAATTCCAGAATTCCTTAAGGGAAAAAAAAATCTTATGCCCCACTTCCAACTGAAATATTCCTCTATTCCACCCAACTGAAGATAACTTTCACAGTTTACTGCAGACATGTACTTTAAACAGAAGCAGTTTAGCTTCTGGTTGCATTAAACCTTTGTTCTCCAGAATAGTTTCTTGCGTTTATCTTTACATAACCAGAAGGCCTACTGAAGTGTTGCTGTTGTTGTTATAGGAGTAATCTGCCCCCAAAAGTCAAGTCAGACTTCCATCTCTAGGAAAACAAAAAGGGTACAATCTTTAAATAACTATTGCTAACCTGCATCCAAGCCTTTGCTTCTACCCCACAAGGTTTCAAAGAATATTAACGATTCCATCTAATTCCATTACAGAAGGCCTAGTCCTATCTCAAAGTCGAGTACAGACACAGACATTTTTCTGTTTCCCTCTGACCCTAATAGAATGTTTATATATTTGGAGCACTCTCTGTCAACATATTTTTATGCCTCAATATCTCCAGGAAAACAATAAACTCTGTTAGTAACAGCACCTCACAGACTCCAACAGAGTTTCATTTTGGAGAATATATAAGGTCTGCAATACACAGACCTTACAAAGACAAAGCAGAATTTTGAGAGGTGAATATTTTCATAGCTGAATTGTGTCTTAGTCTGTTCAGGCTGCTATAACAGAATACCTTAGACTGGGTAATTTATAAACAATATTAGTTCATTCCTCACAGTTCTAGAGGCTTGGAAGTTTAAAATCAAGATGCCAGCAAATTCAGTATCTGGAGAGGACACATTCCTCATACATGGCAGCTTCTATCTGCCTTCATATGGCAGAAGGGGTGAACAAGTTCCCATGAGCCTCTCTTCTTCTCCAAGGCCCCACTTCTTACTAATGTTGCATTGGAGATTAGGTTTCAACAAATGAACATGGGGAGGAACACAAACATTCAGAACATTCCACCTTGGCCCCCAAAATCCATATCCTTCCCACATGCAAAATACATTTATTCCATCCCAATGGTCCCCAAAGTCTTAACTGGTTCCAGCATTAACTAAAATCTAAGTCCAAAGTCTCATCTAAATATCATCTAAATTAGATTTGGGTGAGACTCAAGGTATGATTCATCCTGAGGCAAATTTCTCTCCAGCTGTGAATCTGTGAAATCAGAAGTTATACGCTTACAAAATACAATGGTGGGACAGGCACAGGATAGATATTCCCATTCCAAAAGATAGAAATAGGAAGGAAGAAAGGGGTGGCTCATCCCAAGTAAGTTCAAAACCCAACAGGATGAACAATCTTAAACCTTAAAGATGCCCCACTTCCGGACACACTGGGGAAAAGGTTAGGTCTCCAAGGCTCTGGGCAGCCCCACCCCTCATGGCTTTGCTGGGCACAGCACACACAACTTTCCCAGGTTGGAGTCTCCTGCCTGTGGTTCTCCCAGCCTGGAGTAGCAGTGGTTCTACCATTCTGGGGTCTCAGGGATGGCCCCACTCCCATGGCTTTATGAGCTATTGTCATAGTAGGGTCTCTGCAATATCTTCTCCCCTGTACCATTTCTCTGCCTGGGCTCTGAGGCTGTCCAGAGCATCCTATGAAATCTAGGTGGAGGTAGCCATGACCCCACAGCTCATGCGCTCTGAGCATCCATGGTGATGACACCTCACAAACACCGCCAAGGTTTACTGCCTGTGTCCTCGAAGGGACAGCCACTGTGGACTGCACCACACTTGGGCCCACTGGAGCCACACCTGGGCTAGCTGAGAAGCACTGCACCAGAATGCAGGGAACAAAGACTTGAGGCAATACTGTGCTGTGAGGTCCCACAGACTCTAGAGGCCCCTCTTTTGACATGTCATGCACAAGACATTTCAGTCAATGACAAACTATACACAATGGTGGTCCCATTAGATTATAACACTATATTTTTACTGTACCCTTTCTTTTTTAATTTTTAATTTTTATGGATACATAGTATGTATATATATTTATGGAGTACACATGATGTTTTGATACAGCCACATATTGTGTAATAAACACATCAGAGTAACTGGAGTATCCATCAACTCAAGCATTTATCACTTCTCTGTGTTAGGAACATTGGACTTTTTCTATATTTAAATATGTTTAGAAACACAAACACTTACTGTTGTGGTACAGCTCCCTACTTATTCAGTACAGTAATATGCTGTACAGGTTAGTAGCCTAAAGCAATAGGCTATACCATATAGTCAAGGTGTAGCAGGCTGTACCATCAAGGTTTGTGTAAATACATTCTATGATGTCCATACAATGATAAAATCACCTAATGACCCATTTCTCAGAATGTATCCCTGTCATTAAGGGATGCATCACTGTAGTTGATCTAGTCTGTCCCCCAGTCCCTTGGCCCCCTGGGCTTTTGAGTAGAGTGGCAGCCCAGATGATCTCTCTGAAATGCCCCAGGGGTCATTCTTCATTGCCTTGATGAATAACACCTGGCTTCTAGTCTGACCACGTCTTACTAGTCTCTTTATGAAATAGTCACTTGGCCACACTGTTTCATTTTTTCAAAAGAATGAAAAGCATTCTTTTTCATTTTTTAAAACATGGCCAGGTTGACAATTTTCCAAATATTTAAGTTCTTCTTTCCTTTTGATTATAAATTTCATTTTTAATTTGTTTCTCCCTTCTCACATTTTACTTTATTAACATAGAGAAGCCATGCCACACCCTCAACACTTTGCTTAGGTATTTCTCCTACCAAACATCCTTTCTTCTCACTCAGAAGTTCTACCTTCCACAAAATACTAGAATACAAACTCAATTCAGCCAAGTTCTCAGCCACTTTATAAAAAAGATTGCCTTTCTTCCAATTTCCAATAAGATGTTCCTCATTTCCATCTGAGACCTCATCAGAATGGCCTTTGCCATCCATATTTCTACCAGCATTCTGTGCATGATCTCTTAGGTAATCTCTAAGAAGACGGAGGCTTTCTCTACATATCTCTTCTGAGCCCTTATAAGAATCACCCTTACTGCCCTGTTCACTTCAATGTAGGTTTTTTCTAGCATGCAAACTCCAAACTCTTCCAGCCCCTCCCCACTACCCAGTTCCAAAGCTGCTTCCACACATGTAGGTATTTGTTATAGCAACACCCCACTTCTTGGTACAAATTTCTGTCTTAGTCTGTTCAGGCTGCTATAACAAAATACATTACAGTGGATAATTTATAAACAACAGAAATGTATTGCTCACAGTTGTGGAGGCTGTGAAGTTCAAAATCAAGATGCCACCAGATTCAGTGTCAGCTAAGGACCCATTCCTCATACATGGCAGCTTCTTAGTGTCCTCACATAGCAGAAGGGGTGAATAAGCCCCCTTGGGCTCTTTTATAAGGGAACTAATCTCACTCACGAGGGTTCTGCCCTCATGACATAATCACCTCCTAAAGGCCCCACCTCTTAATACTATTGCATTGGAGATTAGATTTCAACATGAATTTTGGGGAGACACAACATTCAGACCATAGCATCCCTCCACTTTCAACCCTCACCTTCCCCAAAATAAGAATAAGTTCTTGGGAGGCTCTAACTTACTGACTTTCCCCCTCTCAATATTTAATCAGCTTCATGTGTTTATTTCAAACTTTATCACTTCAAAAGTTCAAGTCCTTCTGTTACATTAATGTCTGGTTTCATTTTTCTTTATTCTCTGTTCAAACAAGTTGTTAAAGTCTATAGTTAAAGAGGAGCCATATAGAGAAGGCTAATGCTCATTTCATTAGAAAGAACTAAATTTTACATTTGTAGAGTAGAAACACTGCCTCAAAACATAGTGATCTCTGATTCCTTCTACATTCTCCTTAGCTTACAGATATCCTGAAAATGATACGCATTTGGTAAGCAAGGAAGAGTGCTATCCTACCAAATTTACTACAAATTTGAAGACTTCTTCTGGTTTTTCACGTTTAATTTTCTGTTTTTTTTGTTTTTTGTTTTTGTTTTTGTTTTTGTTTTTGAGACAGAGTTTCACTCTTGTTGCCCAGGCTGGAGTGCAATGGCGCAATCTTGGCTCACCGCAACCTCCACCTCCCAGGTTGAAGCAATTCTCCTGCCTCAGCCTCCCAAGTAGCTGGGATTACAGGCATGAGCCACCATGCCCAGCTAATTTTGTAATTTTAGTAGAGACAGGGTTTCTCCATGTTGGTCAGGCTGGTCTCGAACTCCCGACCTCAGGTGATCCACCCTCCTCGGCCTCCCAAAGTGCTGGGATTACAGGCATGGGCCACCACACCCAGCCTTCACTTTTAACTTTCAAAATGAAACAGTTGTATCAGGAATACTCCTCCGATAAACAAGACCAATATATGGAAATTGTATTATATAAAAGAAAAATAAATGCATATTCACTTTGTAAAATAACTTATCCAGTGAATTTCTTTACTAGCAAGTTTCCCCAGTACTTCAAAAAAATGACACAATATATTTTGAATTTTGATTTTTACACATGGGAGGACAGACTTATATAAAATGAGGTACAACTACAGCCGTAAAGAAAATTCTTCCCCACCAATTCACCAACCCTTCTCTATACATTAATATATTTACGTACATACTCGTTCTAATCATGTGTATCCTAATGTATATAGAATATGAGTAACTGCACAAGTATACAGTTGCTATCTGCTATTTGGATAATTGCTGCAACACAACCTGTTTTCCATATCACACTAGAAGAGACTGA
Organism: Homo sapiens; assembly: GCF_000001405.40. Classification (NCBI taxonomy): domain Eukaryota; kingdom Metazoa; phylum Chordata; class Mammalia; order Primates; family Hominidae; genus Homo; species Homo sapiens. The sequence continues at coordinate 23,907,335 of NC_000007.14, read as the reverse complement.
GCTGAAATGTCAGTTTTCAGAATAAACACTTTTAAGCATCTTACTTGGTGAGTTAGGAGTTCAGTATCTCAGGTGCCAAAGGGCTCTGACCTAACATTTGCTCATTCCTAGAGAAAACAGTTATGTTGAGTCACAGGCAGAAAGATAAGGAAAACACTTTTAGTTCTCAAATTAAGTTAGTCACTCGTTTTGCAACTGCATTCACGTCTGACAGCCTTGATAGACAAATATTTCAGGAGAAACTTATATAAAGAAAATAAATTGCCATTTGGCACTTTTCATGCCTGGCACCCTCAAGGAGAAGAAGACCCCATCTTTATTCCACAAGCAGCACTTCCTGCTGCTTTGTTCTTTATTTAGTTCTCTTTAAAGTTCAGCAGCATTTTAATTCTTTTTCAAATTCTCCAAAATTCTAAACCATTCCATACGTGACAGAATTTTAAATAAATCCTCATAGTTTCAAAAGTATAAATAAAGTCCTGAGCCACCACTGAAAGCAGCAACCAGTGTCTTTGTCAGGTACCCTTGCCTTCAGGCCCATCTTGATGTCCTTGGCTAGCACCATCTCTCCCTTCCCTCAGGCCACAGCCACCTGCTGCCTTCCACACACTTGGGGCTCCTAGTTTCATCCGCTATGTCTGCCTGCTACAGACTGCATCTCTCAGCACTGAATGCATTGCGTTGCATACTCTCATCCACCTTTCCTTTTTCCTAACAGGATCCTTACCTTTTTTTTCCCCAAAAATTCACTCCTGCTCCACACAGTCATGTTCTTCAGGGAAGCTAACTCCATTCCCAGCTTTCAAGCGGTGGATCTGATTAGTGTGAGTAAATCAGTACCTAGCAGTCTCCCGGTGACTATCATGACTTAAGTTGGCCCAATCAAACTGAAGGGAAAGACAGTTGGAAAAGCAGTTTTTTTCTCACTCTCCCTTCCCTCTTCCGGACGTGAATAAGGAAGCATGAGGCCCTACTTGTCAGTGGCAGCCCTCTTGTGACCATAAAAAGAACCATCTTCAGTTTGAAATTGATGTGGAAATATCTGGGATGAATTCTTGATGTCATTGTTGAGCCACTAATCATACTCCTCTGAAGCTCACCTGACTACTGAACTTCTTTCTTGTAGCACTTCTCAGAGGCTTTACCATTCCAAAATACACTGTGGCCCTTCAAGAGGGAAGTGTGGTAGTCTGCCCTTCCCAACCAGATTTGATCACGCAGCCCTGTCTCTCTCAAGGACTAGTGTTCCACGGAACTCAGCTTGGGGAACACCACACTGTGGTCATTTTAGGATTATCTGGGGCCAAAATTTCTCCTGACATGCTGTCAATCACCAGCTACTAAAGAGCTGGGGGTAAAGAACACACAACGTAAATCCTTAAACCCAAAATGTCCTGCTTGAGATATACACTATGTGTTAATAGTTTGGACACAATCCAAATTCCACAATCACCTAATAATTTCTTTTTCTAAACCAAGTCAATACTAATTTATTAAATTATATATTTATTTTATTCACAAATATTTGGCATGATTCCTCTGCCCCAAATATTAAAATATCAACAAAAACAAGGCTTACTTCTGCCTAACATTCAAAGCCATCCTGATCTGACCCTTCCCTTATTAGCTGTTTGTCACAACTCCCCAGCCCAGTCTTCACCTTAGACTCATTACTCTCTCCCATCTCTTGAGTCCTCAGCTCAGATCCCAAATGCAGCAGCCTCATCCTTTCCAATTTTTTTTTCAGGTCTGGAATTGCAAATTAATTTTAATTATACATTTAGTTATATAAGCAATACATTAATACATGCTCCTTATAAAAATCTAAATGCTAGGCTAACATCCCCTTTGATAGCCCCAATTGTGGTTCTTTTCCTGCCTCTACAAAAGTAACCACTGTTATCAGCTTTATGTGTAACCTTCCAGACCTTTTTCTGGGCATTTATACACACATATATGGACCCACAGAACACATGCAGGCATCTTCCATTCTATTTCTGCTCACTGTCCTCACCTTGGTTATGGACAGCTTTAAGGTCCCGGAAGCCAGGAGAGGTATTGAGAGGTGACAGCATGCTGGCAGCCCTCGTGGCCCTCACTCGCTCTCGGTGCCTCCTCGGCCTCGGCACCCATTCTGGCCGTGCTTGAGGAGCCCTTCAGCCCGCCGCTGGACCATGGGAGCCCTTCTCTGGGCTGGCCGAGGCCGGAGCCGGCTCCCTCGGCTTGCGGGGAGGCATGGAGGAAAAGGCACGGGCGGAACCAGGGCTGCGCGTGGCGCTTGCGGGCCAGCTAGAGTTCCGGGTGGGCGTGGGCTTGGCGGCCCCGCACTTGGAGCCGCCGGCCCGCCGGCCCCACCGGCCCCGGGCAGTGAGGGGCTTAGCACCTGGGCCAGCAGCTGCAGAGGGTACACCAGGTCCCCCAGCAGTGCTGGCCCACTGGCTGTGTGCTCGATTTCTCACTGGGCCTTAGCTGCCTCCCCGAGGGGCAGGGCTCAGGACCTATAGCCCGCCACGCCTGGGTCTCACCAGCCCAATCCCCCCCACAACTCCCCCCAACACCCCAATCCCCCCGCCCCCACGCCGCCACGCCACACTGTGGAAGCTTTGTTCTTTCGCTCTTTGCAATAAATCTTGCTGCTGCTCACTCTTTGGGTCCACACTGCCTTTATGAGCTGTAACACTCACTGCGAAGGTCTGCAGCTTCACTCCTGAAGCCAGTGAGACCACCCACCCGGAGGAACAAACAACTTCAGACGCGCGGCCTTAAGAGCTGTAACACTCACAGCGAAGGTCTGCAGCTTCACTCCTGAAGCCAGTGAGACCACGAACCCACCCGGAGGAACAAACAACTTCAGACGCGCCGCCTTAAGAGCTGTAACACTCACAGCGAAGGTCCGCAGCTTCACTCCTGAGCCAGCGAGACCACGAACCCCACCAGAAGGAAGAAACTCTGAACACATCCGAACATCAGAAGGAACAAACTCCGGACACGCCGCCTTTAAGAACTGTAACACTCACCGCGAGGGTCCACGGCGTCATTCTTGAAGTCAGTGAGACCAAGAACCCACCAATTCTGGACACAGTATTAGCTCCTAGAAACTGGGATCAAGGAAAAGAGAAGTACAACTTAGTCCCTCTGGAAAAATGGATAATACACAGCATCCACTGTTACACCAAAAATGTCATATTCTCAGAGGGCAAGAACCGGACAGCAAAGCCCTCTCACAGTAATGCATGGAGGAGAGAAGAGGAGCTATGGGGTGTTAGGAGCAAGGCTGTCAGGATCCCTGAAGAAGCATTATGATGTGGTTTGGATTTGTGTCCCCACATCTCATGTTTAATTGTAATCTCCCATGTTGGAGGAGGGGCCTGGTGGGAGATGATTGGATCATGGGGGTGCATGTCCCCTTTGCTGTTCTTGTGATAGTGAGTTCTCACCAGATCTGGTTGTTTTAAAAGTGTGTGGCACCTCCCCCCCACGCCCTCTCTCTTCTGCTCTGGTCACGTAAGATATGTCTGCTTCCCCTTCACCTTCCACCAAGATTGAAAGCTTCCTGAGACCTCCCCAGCCATGCTACCTGTGCAGCCTGTGGAACCATGAGCCAATTACACCTCTTTTCTTTATAAATTACCCAGTCTCAGCTATTTCTTTATAGCAGTGGGGGAATGAACGAACATAACTTACAACCTGGATCGGATGTCACAGGGCAGCAATGGTTTGACGTAGGCAACACTCCAACCCTCATCAACATTGTGCAGTCCAGCTCTTCCCTGGGATCTTCTTCACAAGCCACACTCCACTCCCCCAGCCCCTCTCTACTTCCCACCCCTTCCGTCTGGAAAGCTGGGAGAGCTGCCATTTTGGATTTGGACAGCTACTTCCCAAATGTCCAACCAAGGGAAAGTGGGGAAAGAAAAGAAGGCCCACCCATGTTTAAAGTGGGTTTGCCTGTTCCTTGCCCACTCTTCATCGTTACAGCCAAAACCGTTCTCTCCTGAGTTTGACAGAAACACTCTTAGGACAAATGTGCTAATAGTGGCATGTTTTCCCCCAGGATCAGAGAGAGAGCACAACTGGGGGTGAGGTGGAAGGGACCCCCTGATGAAGTGGCAGTACAAGGGGAAAAGGGTGCTGAGCAAGAGTCAGACACACATCTGCACTGGCTCCCATCACCTCCCTCCCCACGCACTCCACCTTCCCCCTCATTTCCTGCACTGAGCCTTTGGTTATGAAACCTCTTTTGTTAATATCCACTAGATGTATTTGAATAAAATAACAAAATAGCCAAGTATAAATGTAAAGTTTCCATTGAAGATGACCTCACTAGATTCACAACTCCTTCAGAACAGCAAAGCCCTGTGTGAAGCCAGCAGAGTGGGTGAGTGGGAGCTTCACCTGGGTTCAGGCAATGCTTTTAATTGACTACAATCCTCAATTCGGGCTCATGTCCCAGAATACAAGGCAAGGCTGCTCTCTTCTGGTCATCTAAGACCTCTGCCTTTTCTTTTTTTTCTTTTGAGACGGAGTCTCGCTCTGTCGCCCAGGCTGGAGTGCAGTGGTGCGATCTCTGCTCCCTGCAACCTCCACCTCCCAGGTTCAAGTGATTCTCCTGTCTCAGCCTCCAGAGTAGCTGGGCTTACAGGTGCCTGCCATCACACCGGGCTAATTTTTGTATTTTTAGTAGAGATGGGGTGTCGCCATGTTGGCCAGGCTGGTCTTGAACTCCTGACCTCAGGTGATCCGCCTGCCTTGGCCTCCCAAAGTGCTGGGATTACAGGCGTGAGCCACTGTGCCCGGCCTGACCGCTGCCTTTTCATAAAGAAAATCCAACAGCAAAAAAGAATACATATATATTTGGAATTCTGCCCAGCATAATAATTTCTGCCTTCCTCCCTGACTTCATGTCCTCCCTCTGTCTCCTCCCCCACTCTGTCCCTCACTGTCCCACTCACAGGTGATGCTCCTTCCTGGTTTAGGCCTTTGCACACGCTGTTCCTCCTGCCTAGAGTGCTGCTCCTCCTGGTCTCTGCATGACTATTTCTTACTTGCCATTCACACTAAATGTCTTGTCTTACTCTAAATGTCATCTCTCAGGCCTTTTCTGGATTTCTGCTCCAATATAGTCACTTTTTTATATCTATTTTAGCTTTCTGCATAGAACCTAGCAATATCTGATGTTTTTCTTTTTTCTTTTTGCTGTTGCTGATGTTGTTTTTTAATTGTTTGACTTCTAGACTAGAATGGGAATGGGAATTTGCCTTGTTCATCCCAGCATCCCAGACATCTGAAAACAGAGCCTAGCATAAATAAGTATTGAATGAGTGCATCTTTGGACCTGCAACTTCACATGTAAGCCCTTGCCTAATCCTCCTTCTATCTCAAAGCTTGTTTCTCATCCTTCCCTCCAACTCATGCTTTCCTCCAACCAGACTCATTTATTTAAAGTTCTCCTTTCATGCATGCTGTGTTGTCTTCCATTCTTTTCCACATACAGTCATGGGCCACATAACAATGTTTCACTCAATCATGGGCCACATATATGACAGTGGTCCCATAAGATTATAGTACTGCATTTTGACTGTACCTTGTTAATGTTTAGATGTATTTAAATCCATTGTGTTACAATTGTATTGCCATTGTGTTACAATTGCCTACAATATTCAGTACAGTGGTATGCTATACAGAGTTGTAGCCTAGACACAATAGGCTATACCATATAGCCTAGGTGTGTAGTAGGCCATGTCATCTAGGTTTGTGTCAGTACACTCCGTGATGTTTACACATTGATGAAATTGCCTATCAACACATCCCTCAGCATATATGCCCTTTGTTAATCGACATGTGACTGTACTGTTCTCTCCCTTTTCTGTTCCCCCACTTGCCTGAAACCCTAGCTTCTCCACCTAGCTGAATCCTTCCTGTCTTTTAGCTGTTAGATCAAACATCACCTTCTTCAAAAACAGTCCCCATCTACCTCCTTCCATCCTCAGCCAGGCTACAAGTTTCTCCTCTGTGTTGGGAATTCTCTGCTTGCATGTACCAAATTATTTATGTCATTGTTCTGGTTATGTGTCTATTTACTCCTATTTACTCTCCTAGAGATTGAGATCATGAATGGGGATCATGTTAGTTTCCATACATCTGCAGCCCACTGACAGGTGAGTACTCAATAAATGGCTGCTGAATGAATAAATAGAAAACATGTAAATATTTGAAAGAAAAGAAAGAAGAGCAATAGAAAGAGGCTCTGCATGGTGGCTCACACCTGTAATCCCAGCACTTTGGGAGGCCGGGGCAGGTGGATCACTTGAGGTTAGGAGTTTGAGACCAGCCTGGCCACCATGGTGAAACCCCATCTCTACCACAAATACAAAAAATTAGCTGGGTGTGGTGGTACCCGCCTGTAGTCCCAGTTACTTGGGAGGCTGAGGCAGGAGAATCGTTTGAACCTAGGAGGCAGAGAGTGCAGTGAGCCAAGATCATGCCACTGCACTCCAGCCTGGAGTGCAGACAGAGTGAGACTGTGTCTCTAAATAAATAAAGGGAGGGAGGGAGGGAGGAAGGAAGGAAGGAAGGAAGGAAGGAAGGAAGGAAGGAAGGGAATTACTGAAATGCAAGAGAAAAGACTTCATCTAAATCTTTTAGATTTAGAAAAAAAATCCTGAATGAGACCTGAGAAACATCATATCAAAGTTAGGGGGATCTAAGACCTGCAGTGACCCTCCTTCATCTATTCCACTGGTTTTGATGCAATGATGTAGAAACCTACTAGATGTAGCCTTTTCAAACTATTTCTATTTATTATAAAATTATTGAACACAGCAAAAGATAATCCAGTATAAAATTACCTGACATCTAAACTAGGCCTTCCTGTTAATATACATACACCATGTCTTTGGGGTAGGAGTAGAAGGCCACAGTAGTAACCTATAGGTGGGATCCATGATTGTGCACTATCACCCTGTAGGTATGGATGTGTGCCCTCACCAATCCACAGGTGCCTAGGCTCTCACTGGGGGTTGGATTCAGTAGGAGGGCTCTCATTAGAGCAAAATCAAAAATCTTTCTCCAGAGGCTCACCCTCCCAGCTCAGGCAAGGGGATGGAAACAATGTATCCCTGCAGCAGGAGCAAGTATCATGAAGGTATGAACGTTTGAGATCTTATAATTAATGGACACCTCTTGGTTGTCCTGGTTCTGTATATATATACTGTTTCTGTTACCCCAACCATATGATTGTAAATCTTATGTATATGTAAACTAAGCAACCCCAAAGGATTGGTTTTAGCTGTAGTTTTTATGTATATACAAATTAGACAACCCAATGTCAATTCTAGATATGGTTAAGCAGACTTCCAGAGTAGGCTTATTCGATACCCCCATGCATGTGGCTAGAGTTTTACATATTCACGAGTTAGGCAACCCTAGTATGTAGCTCCTAATAAGATGTGGTATTTCCTTTCACTGGACACAAGCAGCTCTTATAGGTTAGTATGATAAGATAATGAGACCAGGAAGGGCGCGGTGGCTCACGCCTGTAATCCCAGCACTTTGGGAGGCAGAGGCGGGCAGATCACAAGGTCAGGAGATTGAGACCATCCTGGTTAAGACAGCGAAACCCCGTCTCTACTAAAAATACAAAAAATTAGCCGGGTGTGGTGGCCGGCGCCTGTAGTCCCAGCTACTCGGGAGGCTGAGGCAGGAGAATGGCGTGAACCCGGGAGGCGGAGCTTGCAGTGAGCCGAGATTGTGCCACTGCACTCTAGCCTGGGCGACAGAGCGAGACTCTGTCTCAAAAAAAAAAAAAAAGATAATGAGACCAGAACTAGGACTATGTAATCACACACATACTCTATGCAGCGGAGGCTGTAACATACACCACATAGTCTTCCTTCTCTTATAGAGAGAAGTACACATATGATCTATTTCATTCTGCTCATAAAAGTGATAAAGGGAGCCAAAGGACTCGAGGCTCCTTCCCAGGTCTATGATACCTTGCATCGATCCTCAACAAAGTAGTTTCCTTTCTATCCTCCTTTATTTCCTGGTGGTACCAAGGGTATGAACTGGGATAGACAGAAAGGGTTTCTCAATGACAAATTCTGCTTCCATGACATAAGTTCTCTGCCCTTGACCACCTAAAACTTCTAATTGGCCAATTTCTCTCCTTGATGTCTTAAGAGAAAAAAAGAAAAGTAATAAAAATTACAAGTCAGAAGGTTTATGGCCCATGTCAAGCAACATCTTTCTAAGAAGATGGAATCAATACTGATGCAACCCATAGCCATATAATATAAAGCAAAGAGATGGATTTCCCCAAGATTCATGTAGGCCTATTAGTTTCATTTCTGTAGTTGGGCCTCATATGTGAAAAGTCTCCAACAGGGAGAACTAATCATCTAGAGATATAATATCCTAACTTTTCAAATACAGTCATGCATCATTTAATGATGGGGATATGTTCTATAAAATGTATCACTAGATGATTTCATCATTGTGCAAACATTATAGAGTGCTCATACACAAACAGATGGCAGAGCCTACCACACACTGAGGTTATATGGTATAGCCTAGTGTACCTGGCTACAACCCTGTTGAGCATGTTACTGTACTGAATACTGTAGGCAACTGTAACACAATGGTAAGGATTTGTGTATCTAAACATAGCTAAATGTAGAAAAGGTACAGGGAAAATATGGTATAAAAGATTTAAAAATGATACATTTGTATAAGGCACTCACTGTGAATGAAGCTTGTAGGACTGGAAGTTGCTCTAGATAAGTCAGTGAGTTAGTGGAGAGTGAATGTGAAGGCATAGGGCATTACTATAGTACTGTACTACAGTAGAACACTACTCCAGACTTTATAAACACTGTACTCTCAGGCTACGTTAAATTTATAAAAATATTTTTCTTTCTTCAATAATAAATTAACTTTAGCTAACTGTAGTTTTTTGACTTTATAAACTTTTTAATTTTTTAATTTTCAATTCATTTGTAATAACATTTAGCTTAAAACACAAGCACATTGTACAGTTACACAAAAATATTTTCTTTTTTTTTTTTTTTTTTTTTTGGAGACAGGGTCTTACTCTGTCACTCAGGCTGGGTGCAGTAGTGCAATCACAGCTCACTGCAGCCTCAACCTCCTGGGCTCAGCTGATCCTCCCACCTCAGCCTCCCAGGTAGCTGAGACCACAAGTGTGCACCACCATGCCTGGCTAACTTTTGTATTTTCTGTAGATACGGGGTTTTGTCATGTTGCCCAGACTGGTCTTGAACCCCCGGGCTCAAGCAATCTGCCCACCTCAGCCTCCCAAAGTGCTGGGATTATAGGTATGAACCAGTGCACCAGGCCTATTTTCTTTTTTATAGCCTTATTCTATAAGCTTTTATCTATTTTTAATTTTGTTTTTAACTTTTTAAACTTATTTGTTAAAAACTAAGATACAAACACGCACATTCATCTAGGCCTCCACAGGGTCAAGATCATCAATACCAGTGTCTTTCACCTCCACATCCTGTCCCACTGGAAAGCCTTCAGGGGCAATAACACTCATGGCGCTATCATCTCCTATGAGAACAATGCCTTCTTCGAGAATACCTCCTAAAGGACCTGCCCGAGGGTGTTTTCATAAGTAAAAGGTGTACACAGTAAAATAATAAGAGGTATAGTAAATACATAAATCCATAACATAGTCATTTATTATCATCAAGTGTCATGTACTGTACATAATTGTATGTGGTAGACGTTCACGTATCTGGTAGCACAATAGGTTTGTTAATACCAAGGGTCACCACAAACACAGGAGTGATGCATTGTGCTTTGAGGATACAATGGCTATGACATCACTAGGCGATAGGAATTTTTCAGCCTGATTATAATCTTCTGGAACTACCTTTGTATGTGAGGCCATTATTGACTGAAACAGCCTTCTGCAGTGTATGACTGTACCTGCATTTACTACGGTAGGAAAATACACCGTGCCCTGGGAATCCTGGGCCCACACTCCCCAAGAGCTACATGGTTGTGGGGCCGTGTGGAGTGAAGAGGTCAGGAGGAGAACCAAGTCAAGGTATAAACATGGCACATCTTCCTAAAGCTCAATTTTCTTCAGAGATTTAGAGAGGAAAATTATGTATATGTATGGTATAAAAACAAAGTTGAACATAAAGCTGCCCTTGCCTGAAGGTATTTGACGTGCCTTTTTTTTTTTTTTTTTTTTTTTTTTGAGACGGAGTCTTGCTCTGTTGCCCAGGCTGGAATGCAGTGGCGCTATCTCGGCTCACTGTAAGCTCCGCCTCCCGGGTTCACGCCATTCTCCTGTCTCAGCCTCCGGAGTAGCTGGGACTACAGGCGCGCGCCACCATGCCCAGCTAAATTTTTTTTGTATTTTTAGTAGAGATGGGGTTTCACCGTGTTAGCCAGGATGGTCTGGATCTCCTGACCTCGTGATCCGCCCACCTCGGCCTCCCAAAGTGCTGGGATTACAGGCGTGAGCCACCGCGCCTGGCTAACATGCTTATTTTTTATGAATGAAACGTCAACATCTAGTCTGGCTAGTAAAGAGATTCAGGAAGGAGAGGGTCATTATTGATGATGGAATGAATTATTAATGGATGTAGTTCATCATAATGTTTAATGCAACATGTTCATGAATTTTAAAGATTAAATGAAGCATTTTTATTTATGTATTTATTTTAGAGACAGGGTCTTGCTCTCCTGAGCTCAGACTGGAGTGCAGTGGCGCAATCACAGTTCTCTGCATCCGCAAGTTCCTGGGCTCAAGGAATCCTCCGGCCTCAGCATCCCGAGTATCTGGGACTACATCTGCAGGCCGACACAGCTGGCTAATTTTTTTGTAAAGACTAGATTTTGCCATGTTGCCTAGGCTGGTCTCAAACTTCTGGGCTCAAGCAATCCTACCGCCTCTACCTCCCAAAGTGCTAAAATTAAAATCGCATGCATCTAGCCATTGTGGGTGTGCTGCAGACAATTTCAGGTTTTGACCCCAGCCCCTACTTTTCCCAACCCCAGTCAGGCTGGTGGTCACTCCCCTTTGCCTTGGGGTATTTTGCAGTGGAAAAGTTTAAGAAGTATTGAATGCCTGTGGATTTTCATAAACATTGAATGAGGGCTGAAACCAAAAGGGATATTTGTGTATACTTTAAATGTAGAGAAAATTTAACTAATCAGAACATAGCATCTCTCCATTCTAGAGTCTGTCCTTCCTTCTTTCTGCTACACCACAGTCTCTCCCCAGCAACTCCTGCAAAAAGAAACCCACACGCCTCCAAACATTCTGAGTCAGCAAAGCTTTATTTGCACTGATGATAATGTGCACCATACATGGACATATCCATCTACCCCGACGTCTAACAAACCGGGCTGGGCACCTCTGAGGATACAAAGATGAGTGTGGTGTTATCCCTACCCTAGAGAAATTCACAGGCATGTAAGGAATCCAGCTATCAATTTTTAAAAGATTTTATAATGTGATAAATTCATTAAAAAGCCACAAAGTGCTGCAGGAGCAGAGAGGGGAAAAAAAATTCCCTGCTCTACAAGGGCAGGATAGTCAGGGACGATTTCTCAGATGAATCAGCATTGGGGGCTCCACACTTCCGGGGTTTTTGCAGCAGCAAAGTGAGCCTCCTGGGTGGAATCAGATGTGCCCTAGAAATTCGTCTGCCAAGCTGATTCTTCCTCACAGCCCTCCCTCACTCCAGTCCTAAGTGCTCCCATTGCCTACACTTCCCTCACAGCCTATTTTTCTAACTTTTAAATTATATTATCATTGCACAAGTATTTGTTGAACATCTTCCCTGTGAAAGGCTCACCTTGCATAGCTTTTAGTCTAACATTTAATACTCCCAAGAAACATATTTTCTACTCCTACTTTACTCATTGAGGCCGACAGAGGATAAATTACTTGCCCAAAGTCATGGCCAGGATGTGGCTGTGCTGGGTTTCAGACCCAGATCAGTCTCCACTCTTTCCATTGCACCCACTGTTTCCCTTGGTTATAAAGCTGCCCTTGCCTGTAGGCATTTGACATGCTTACTTTTATAAATGAAATGCCAGCATCTAGTCAACATCTAATAAAAAGATTCAGGAAGGAGAGGGTCATTTTTTATATTAGAATGGATTTTTTAAATTTTTTCTTTCTACTTTTACATGTTTCAAAAAAATTTCATCTCCATCCTTTTGTGGTTCAAGAGCGTGATGATTGGGTTTTCACGCTCATGTGTGAGAAGTGCCTCCCTCGAATCTTGTTATGACTCCATGTTGGCAAATTATGTCTGAAGTGAAAAAAAATTTATCTTAGTTTGAGAATGTATTATTTATAAATTGGAAGTTGTGCATTATTTATTTATTTCTACTGAAAGAAGCAGTGCCATGCATAAGGAGATAACAGAGAAACCCAAATTAGGAGATGGGTAGGGAGGGAGCAGTGCAGAGTACGAGGAAAAAAAAAAGCCAGAGATATAAAGTGAGTATAGAGTGAGGCAGCTTAGCGGAAAAGCTCACACGGCCCAATCTTGATGTCCTTTGAAATTTAAAAGACTCAGAAACAGTATCTAGAAAATGCTGATCTAAAGCCACAGGGGCATCCGACCACAAACCACATCTGGGAAATGTCAGAGAAGCAAGGTCCTCAAACCCTGAGTGTAAATGGCTCAACCAAGCAACCCCTGGGCGAGTGAAACTCTGAGTTCACAATACACAGTCATGCTCAAAAGAGTGCCCAGCAGCACGGTTCTGCCCTTCCATGAGGTGGAGAAAGAGCTTTCACTTGTGTCTGTGGCCCTGTCAGCTCCTCCAAGCTTGGATGCAAAGCCGAAGCTGGTAACATGCTGCCCCACCCCCCTATACCCACCAGGCCCAGGGTGACACTAACGCTGCCTCAGAGCGAGGGTGTGTGACCGGCCAAAAGGGGATGACAAAAGTCAACAATCCAGGGGTCCAAACATGAAAACATCCTCCCCTTGTGAAATCTCTGCCTTCTGTTATGTGCCTGAGGATGATCAGAGGCAGCACTTCCACTGCCACTTTGTCAGAGAACATTTCTCAGGGAAGGTCTGCCAGGGCTTTCTGCCAGATGCCTCCTGCTCTGACTGAGGTGGCTCAAGAAGCCATCTCAAGCTAAAGACCTGCCCACAGGGAAGTTAATATGACGTTTTCAACTCCTATTTGATTTCTACTCTATTTCTGTGAGGTCCTTTTCAAACCTATGTGGGTTCATTAAATGCTCCCATAGACCTACGTGAGGAGGAAAAAACTAGTAAGCCAAACAGGCCACGTCATTCTTTCTTCCATAGCTGCCATATCAAAGGGCTGGTGGATGTGGTCATAGTTGCCATTTCCCAGGAGCTGATATCACAGAGGAAAAGAATTTTATTTAAGGCAAAAAAATAAAAAAAAAGCCAGCAAATTTACAATTTTATGTTTCCAGGAAGCAGCAAATGCCAGGGGCTAGATGCAGATAAGATGATCTGAAACTAAAAGTGCAGCAGGGATAGCCTATCTCCCGGTCCATTTCTAAAATTCCATCTACTGATAAAGAATTGTCAGGTGAAGAAAACCTCAGACTTGCACCTGTGCAAAAGGGAAAGGGAGCCAGTAGTCAGACTGAAAATCAGATCAGAAAGTATCAGCAACATTCCAGGAAAAAAGTTGAGAGAAAAAGAAAATGTTACACACACACATACACACACACACACACACACACTGCATCAGGGAGTAGTCCTGCTGGTCAAAACAGATGCATAGCTCTGAGGTATGATTAATCCTTGCTTCTGTAACCTCAGCAACACAAAGGCTGTTTTCCACCCAAACCCTGGAGAGCCTGTCAAAATGAGTTAGACTGGATCTCCTGATCCAGTTCTCCTGTTACACAGTTGAGAAAAGTGACATGCCACAAATGCAGAGTGCTCAGGGCACTGACAAGAGCCCTCCACATGTGGCAGCTTCTGTCCCTGCTCGGTGGCAGTTACAAGCAAACATTTTCATATTTCTAGGAATGCTTCTTACACAGAAGGTGAAATCCATCCCTCTCAACAGTCATGACCCTGAGAAAATGAGCCTAAGCTGTCAGATCCGCCCGTGACCTGAAGTCCATAGGGACTATCTTCGCGCTCTCACTCTGCCCGAGGGTCTCACATGCAGCCTGTCTCTCTTCTTACTCTCTAAGTGATGTTCCTCATAGTAATGACTGTTTCTCAGGAAGAGTCCATTGTCTTCTCTTCTTATTTTCTGTGTGCTTCTCTTCCATCTAGCTCACTTTCCCATAGTAGACGCACTACAGGAAAGCAGTAGTATGAAAAAACACCTCACCACAACACAGCGTTTCCCCAAGACGGGGTTATCCAAGAGCACAGGGAGGGCCCACAACAGAGGAGATATCGTTTTAAAATTGTACCTGTGTTAATTCAAATAGGCCTATCACGGGGTCTGAAATTCTACCATTAATGATGATTTCTAGAATACAACAGAGTCAAATGTGCCCTTATAAAATAAAATACTACAAATAGAAAACACTGAAAGTAGTTATTAGTGCAAAGCAATTAATTTTCTCAGCTATTGGATGACTGTGTGGGAATCTGATAGAGGAAAGAACAGGCTAGACATTGGAGACCCGGAAGGGTGGGAGGTAGGGAGGAGGTGAGGGATGAGAAAGTACTTCATAGGTAAAATGTACATTTGATTCAGGTGATGGATACACTGAATGCCCAGACCTCACGACTGTGCAATATATTCGTGTAACAAAACTGCACTTGTATCCTTTAACTTAATACAAATAATTTTTTTTTAAGAACAAAAAAACACTCTTAGAACTTCTACAGCAACCCAGGAAATCCCTGCTCCAGCCCAGCTCTTCCCAACTGTTCTGCCCTGGTGCTCGGGGGTTCATGAGATGAGGCTGAAAGTACCCTGATAGGCAGCATCAGCTTTGCATAGGTTTTATGCTTAAATACAACACTAAACTCTCCTCAGCCTGGCAGGCCTATTGTTGCTCATCACTGGCCTTTAGCTCCTGGCCATTTCCCAGTTAAAATCAGTAGTGCCCTTCCTGGAAAACTTCATTTTCCTTCCAGCCACTCCCTGACAAATATCTTTTATCTCCTTTCTCTCTCTCCTGCCTTCCTCCCTCCTCTCCCCTCCTTCCTTCTACTAACCATTCTCCAAACTTCCTCTCCTTTATTAGGCAGAAATGGGATGAGTTACACCATCAAACATACCACATGAAGCATCGTCTCAAATGGATTTCCAGTGAATTAAGAAAAACTTGGATATAATATTTCTTGTATTTCCACTGAGCTCATAAAAGCCCAGGTTTTAGTCTGAAAACATTGCAGATAGTAAGACAGTTGGAACTGAACTGACTGCCTAAGGATTGCACCGAGCTCTGCCAGTACGGGCACAGGGTGGAAAATGCATGCACTTCAGAGGCTGCTGGCCTAGGGAGTCAGAAACAACTGGACTCAAATCCCAGCTCCACCTTAATAGCTATACAACTTTGGAGAAGTTGTTCAGTCTTTCTGAACCTCAGTTTTCTCATCTCTAAAATGGAATAACAATTCTTCAGAGTTGTACTAAATGAGTCAATAAACGTAAAAGAATATATTAAATGAATGTAAATAGAGTCTTTTAAAAAAAAATTGCTTTCCTCTCTTCTTCCTGGTCAAGGTATCATTGGTTTCTTTTGATTTTGAGAGCAGAGAGCTGGTCCCAGTTCCATTTTTATAATCCTGGGACTTCAATCAAAAGTATGTGGCTTCTTATACTGGCACTGGATACCTTGGGCTGTAGTAAGATGAAACCAATGTCAAATAAAGGACATGGTTTCATCAGATGAAAACTCCTGCTCAAGCTCCATATCACACCTCTCCCTATCTTTACTTCTTTAAAAAAAAAAAAAAAAAAAAAAGGTCTATTTCAACGAATAAAACCAGCCTAAAATCACCTCCTCTCTAAAGCTATGTTTGATCCATTCTTCCCACTGATTGATTCATTCAAAACTAGCATCCCTCTATATATACAAAAGATTGGTTCCAGCCCCTCTACCCCTGCCAACCTCATATATACCAAAATTCTCACATACTCAAGTCCCACCGTTGGCCCTGTGGAGCCCGAGTACAGAAAAAAAACAGCCTGCAGCCATAAAAAAGAATGAGATCTACCAGGTGCAGTGGCTCACACCTGTAATCCCAGCTCTTTGGGAGGCTGAGGTGGGCAGATTGCCTGAGGTCTGGAGTTCGAGACCAGTCTAGCCAACATGGTGAAACCCCATCTCTACTAAAAATCCAAAAATTTAGCCAGGCGTGGTGGCATGCACCCGTAATCCAGCTACTTGAGAGGCTGAGGCAGGGGAATTGCTTGAGGCAGGGAGGTGGAGGTTGCAGTGAGCTGAGATCGTGCCACTGCACTCCAGCTTGGGCAACAGAGTGAGACTCCATCACACACAAAAAAAGAAAGAATGAGATTGTGTCCTTTGCAGGGACATGGATAAAGCTGGAGGCCATTATATTTAGCAAATTAACACAGGAACAGAAAACCAAATACCACATGTTCTCACAAGTGGGAGCTAAATGATAAGAACACATGGACACATAGAGGGGAACAACACACACTGGCATCTTTCAGAGAGTGGAGGTTGGGGGAAGGAGAGGATCAGGAAAAATAACTAATGGATACTAGGCTTAATACCTGGGTGTTGAAATAATCCATACCCCCAAAAAAAAACCCATAACACAAGTTTACCTATATAGTAACAAACCTGCACTTGTCCTCCTGAACTTAAAAGTTAAATAAAATAAATAAAAAGAAAAAAGAAGCCATCCATATTCTTGGGTTTTGAGATGAAGAGTTTATGGATGCTTATATTCAAGCATAGTATCTACTTTTTTTAATTCCATGAATACTGTCTTCCATCTGCATGTGGTTGAAAAAAATCCATGTAGAAGCGGACCCACACTGTTGAAATCCATGTTGTTCAAGGGTCAACTGTAATTGAATGCCCTCTGTCCCTATTAGACAATGTGGATTAAATGGTGAGAAAAAAAGAGAGACATGAGCCCTGCCTTTCAGGAGTAATTACACATTTACAGATAGATCTCTTCCACTAGACTCCAGAGTCAGGGCCCAGCATTCTATATTCCAAGCTTGGCATACAGTGGTCAAAGAAAAATTCTGAATGAATGAATGATTGGTTGATTTCAACATTTCATGAAAGTCGTGCTTTTCTAAAAAGGAGAAATCAGATCTGGTTTAACTATGTTTTTACTTTTAAAAATCAGTATCTTTATTTCTGGTACATTTTTAGTTGATTGGCTTCCATCTTAGTCTACTTAGGCTGCAATAACTAAATACCACAGGGATTTATTTCTCACAGCTCTGGAGGCTGAGAAATACAAAATCAAAGTCCCAGCCAATTCAGACTCTTTCTGTTTTACAGATAGATGCATTCTTTCTTGCTGTATCCTCGCATATGGACAGACAGAGCTCTGGCTTCTCCTTTTCTTCTTATCAGGACACTAATTCCATCATAGGGGCCCCACCCTCATGATCTCATCTAAACTTAATTACCTTCCAAAGGCCCCATGGCCAAATGCCATCACATTGGGGGTTGCAGCTCCAACATATGAATTTGAGGAAACTTAGACATTCAGTACATAACAGCTACAATCTTTCTTTACACAACACAGGGAAACTAGAAGTTTCCAGGGGAGATTTTCAAACAATAATTAGTTTGTTTAAAATAAATTTTAAAAGAAAAGAGAGGTTTCCAGGGACAAAAACTATGTTTCATGGAAAAATCAGAGCCAGGAGTGGTGGATTCTGACACTAGCTCTGCAACAAGCTATGTTAGACTTTGGTCAAGTTACTTTACTTCCTTATTCCTGAAAGAGGAGCTGGACTGATGATCCTTGGGCTCCTCTCCAGTTCTGCCATGCTAGGGTTCTCATGGGTATCTACCCTTAAAGATTATTTTTTAATTTGAGGGTCCCTATTGTTACCTTTCCTCACTAATCTCTGATACAAATTGAAAAGAATCCCACAAACAATAATGATGGCTGTTTTCATTCAAGATGGCCCCATCCATCAGGGAAACAACAGCCCTCCACTCCCCCCACCCCACCCACATGTGTTACCACCAACATGTGTTGCCACCCCACCAACATGTGTTTAGTTGGAAAGAAAAAAACAGAAACCAAATCGAAGCTCTTTCAGAAGGTACTTTGAACTAGAAAAAAATACCTAATTCCACTTATATAGGAGATACTTCTTAAGAGTTTACAGATGCTTATATTCAAGCATAGTATCTATTTTTTTAACTCAACACCAAAACCATACAACTCAATTTTTAAAAAGACTGAGACTGATGTAGTGCTGTAATTGACATACACTTTTTTTATTTTGAATTCTGCAAATGTGTAATTGCAGTCAAGAAAAATATACCCACAGAATCTTCAAAGAACAGAAAGCCCCTGGTTGAAGACCTACTACATAAAATATTCATGTTACTAGTTCAGGTTTCCTCTCTGTGTTTCTCCAAGATAGCCTTAATCTCAACTGGAGATTTTAATAGAGGTAGATTGGCAATAAAAATTAAAAGGACTCCTCTCTGTCCCCCTGCTGTTTTCTATTAGCAAAGTGCATTACATCGTATTATTTTCCAATGTTTACTTAAAAGAGCTAATAAATATTAGATGGATACCTCAGCTAACAAGAATGGTGACCACAAAATATTGAACAGCTGAAGATTAGAATTTGAACAAAAAAAGTTTACATAAGCCATACTTCCGTGCATGTAGGCATCCCAGCCCCCATTGATTACAGTATATACTGTGAAATCACATAGGAAAGCAAAGCAGATTTATTCTCTTTTGCATTGAACCCTACAGTTATTTCCTTTTTGCTGGTAGATTGTGACTCTGAAGTTATAAGTGTGAACTGTGAAATCAATAATAAAATTACAAATCAGCAGGCAAAGTGCATATCAATAAAATTGTCCATTCTTGAGCATCTACCACCTGGCAGACCCAGGGCCAGAACCTTGCACATGCACTGCCTCATACAAGTCTCACAGCACTGTAAAAAGGCAGCATTATCTCCATTTTACAGGTGAGAGATCTAAGAGAGGTCAGGCAACTTCTCCAAGGTCACACAGTTGGTAAATAATAGACACCCAGTTCTGGTGGATTCCTAAACTCATATTTGCCCCTGTAAACTATGAACAGGGAACACAGGTGCCATCGAAGACACTGAGGGATAGAAAGACACCCTCTCCTATGGATTGAATTGTGCCCCTTCAAAATTCATATAGTGAAGGCCCAACATGATTGTATTTGGAGATAGGGCCTCTTTGGAGGTAATTAAGATTAAATGAGGTCGTGGGGTGGGGCTCTAACCCAATAGGATCAGCGTCCTAATAAGGAAAACCAGAGTTTCCTCTCTTATCTCTTCAGGGAACCCACAAAGAAGAGGTCATGTGGGCACACAGTGAGATGGCAGAAGATTACACACTTGAATTGTGGCTAGTGAAACTGAGATTGCTGTTAAGTGTAAACACTAGAGTTCAGTCTTGGTATTAAAAAAAGAATATAAAATACTTTATTAATAATATTTATATTGATTACATGTTAAAATAATTTTTTTTTTTTTTGAGAAGGAGTCTCGCTCTGTCGCCCAGGCTGGAGTGCAGTGGTGCGATTTCGGCTCACTGCAAGCTCCACCTCCCAGGTTCACACCATTCTCCTGCCTCAGCCTCCCAAGTAGCTGGGACTACAGGCAACCACCACCATGCCCGGCTAATTTTTTGTATTTTTAGTAGAGACGGGGTTTCACTGTATTAGCCAGGATGGTCTCGATCTCCTGACCTCGTGATCTGCCCACCTCAGCCTCCCAAAGTGCTGGGATTACAGGCGTGAGCCACCGCGCCCGGCCTAAAATAATATTTTTAATATATGAGGTTAAATAAAATGTATTATTATATTTAGTTTCACCTATTTTTTTTAATGTAGCTACTAGAAAATTTAGAATTACATATGTGGCTCCCATTATATGCAGATTGGACAGCACTAATCGAGAATACATAGTTAACAGGAAGAAAAATAGATTTCAGAATGACCTAAGTACAGAAGCTCCTCTATTTATAAGCAGATCAGATTCTGAAAGGCTGGTTCTAAGTCCATGTGTTGTGACTTCTAAGTGAGGTTGTCAATTGGTCCTCCTGGAAACAGATGCCAAGAAGGTGTTAGAAATACAAAAGATGTATTGGACATAATGCCAGCGAAAGATAAAAGAAAACCTTCAGTCTATGATGTAGGGCTGAGTCCTATACAAGGAGAAGGGAGGGGAAAGAGAAGAGGGTAGCAGGAGGCTCAGACTACAGTGCAGCTCTTAGGAAATTCTGGCCAGCCCAGTAGGGAGCTCTGGCAAGCCCTTTCATCACTCCTGATGCTGCCTGGAAATCAGATGGACAAAACTCTAAATCTGAATCAGATATTGAAGGCATCTGCAACTACGGGCTATCAACTTACTGCACTCCTTGTGGCCAGTTCTCTTAAAGAGAGATCTGATAGGCACACCTCCACAGTCACCACAATGAGCAAGTGGGCTTTCACTTTGCACTCCTCGGATATTTTCCAATAAATAGGAAATATCTGCCCCATCCCCAAAATTTCCTGTCTCAATATACCTCCATTCATCCAGTGGGTTGTTACTCTGACTAAAAACTAGGAGTCATCTCTGATTCCTTTCCTTTGCCCGCACTAATCATCTTCAGTAAGTCCTGTCCCCACTGCATTCAAAATGTATCCTGAATCTTACCAATACCACCTTCATCACAGTAACTCTAGTTCAAGTCATTTTCTCTCTCACTTGAGTTACTCAGTAAACTCCTAATTGGTTACTTATTTTAATGCTTGAAATCAACAGTCTGTTCTCCACAGAATAGCCAGAGCAATATTTTTAAACCATAGATAAGATTATGTCACTTCTCTACTTAAAATCCCCCAGTGTCCTCCTGAATGACATAAAATTCAGACTCCGTGCCATCTAATACCTTGCCACATTACCAGGGAGCTCGTTAGAAAGACATCATCTTGGACCCCACCCCAGACCTAAAGAATCAGAGGAGAGCCCCAGATGACTGATGTGCACATGCAAGTTTGAGAAGCATCCTCTCCTACCAACCCCGTCCTCAGTCATTACACATTAGCCACATGATCCCCCAGCTGTTCCTTGAACACACTAAGTACGTCCTATCTCTAGGCCCTTCCACTTGCTGTTCCTCCTGCTTGGAATACTCTTCCCCAAGATCTTCACACTCCTATTTACTGTCATCATTCAGTTCTTTTCTCAAATGTTACCTGCTCAAAGAAAATGTCTCTAATTACCCAAAATAATCCTCCCTCCATCTCAAGACATACTGTATCCCCTTTATCTGCTTTATTTTTTTCATGATATCTATAAGCACCTGAAATTTTTGTCTACTTATGTATTGCCTGTCTCTCACATTAGGATGTAAGCTCCATATGAGTAACAACTTATTTTGTTCACTGTTATAATCCTGGTGCTTTAAAAGGTGATTGGGACGTGGTAGGTGCTTAATTAATATTATTTGAATGAATTAGTAAAAAACTGAGTGCAGGCCAGGCTTGGTGGCTCATACCTGGAACTCCCAACACTTTGGGAGGCCAAGGCGGGAGGATTGCTTGAGCCCAGTAGTTCAAGGCCAGCCTGGGCAACATGGAAAGATCCCATCTCTACAAAAAAAATACAAAAATTAGGGGGGCAAGGTGATGCACACCTGTAGCCCCAGCTAATCAGGAGGCTGAGATGGGAGGATCACTTGAGCCCAGGAGGTCAAGGCTGCAGTGAGCTTTGTTTGTGCCCCTGCATTCCAGCCTGGGCAACAGAGCAAGACCCTGTCTCAAAAGAAAATAAGAAAGAAGGAAGGAAGGAGAAAAGAAGGGAAGAAAGAAGGAAAATGAGTGCATATGTGAATGTGCCTCTCTTTACTACGGATATGTGCTTTGTCAAAAATGTGGAAAATTGTTGAAACAAGTTTCTGCCTAATCTTTTTTTTTTTTTTTTTTTTTTGAGACTCACTCATGGAGTCTTACTCTGCCGCCCAGGCTGGAGTGCAGTGGCGCAATCTCAGCTCGCTGCAACCTCTGCCTCCCGGGTTCAAGTGATTTTCCTGCTTCAGTCTCCCGAGTAGCTGGGATTACAGGCATGCACTACCACACCTGGCTAATTTTTGTATTTTCAGTAGAGGTGGGGCTTCACCATGTTGGCCAGGCTGGTCTCAAACTCCTGACCTCAAGTGATCACCCGCCTCAGCCTCCCAAAGTGCTATCATCTGCCTAGTCTTTAACTATCTCTGCGAATGTAGTATACGATGCCTTAGCCACTATAGAACCCAAATTTTTCATTTCACTACTCACTTTAATAGACAGTATATCCAAAAAGGCTTTAAATCTATGGGATAATTCATGATTTATGAGGCTAAAGTCTCAGAAGAACTGTTATATGTTGAGCCTCTAAATTCCTCAACAAAATCCCAGCCTTCACCTGATTTAATATTATGCTAATATGCATCCAACATGGATGTTGGCCTCTGGTCACAGGTAAGTTTTTCCATTTTTCCAGCCCTTAATGATTATTTTATTATTGAACAGTATTATAGCTGAAAATCTTAAAGACACAAAAGGCCTTACAGTGAAAAGGCCTTCTCCTTCCCAATTTTGTCCTCCCTATTGCCCTCCCCAACTGCACCTAATGCTACCTATTTCTCATAGAGATATTCTACACATATAAAAGAGAATCTTTTTGTATATATTTTTATTCTTTTTCTTACAGAAATGATAATATATTATTAATGTTCTGCATCTTGATCTTGCTTAGCTTAACAAATTAACATGAAGGCTATTCAATATCAATACATAAAGAGCATCCTTGTTTTTTCAGATGTTCGTAGTTTTCATCATATGGATCTATCATCATTATTTATCTGGTCCCCTTTTGTTGGGCAATTTGTTTGTTTGTAGGCTTTTTATCTATTACAGAGAAAGCCACAGTGAATAGCTTTGTGCATGAATTATTTCATACAGGCCTACTTACCTACTTTTGTCCACTGCACAGGCATGACATTTGTATGTTGCAGAATTTGTTCTTGGACCTTCAAAATCAATCCTACCATTAAACAGTAATCTTATGTACCTCTTTTCTTACCATTTCATTATTTTTCTTCTTTGCTTTCATCTTCACCCTAATTGCATTCCTCTATTAACTAGAACTGTCAACATTCTTTCTGTTTTGCACTTAAGAAACATGACAGCCAGGTGTGGTGGCTCATGCCTGTAATCCCAGCACTTTGGGAAGCCAAGGCAGGTGGATCGCCAGAGATCAGGAGTTCAAGACCAGGCTGGGCAACGTGGGGAAACCCCGTCTCTACTAAAATACAAAAATTAGCCAGGCATGGTGGCGTGCGCCTGTAATTCCAGCTACTGGGGAGGCTGAGGTAGGAGAATCGCTTGAACCTGGGAGACAGAGATTGCAGTAAGCTGAGTCACACCATTGCACTCCATCCTGGGCAACAAGAGTGAAACTAGGAAGGAAGGGAGGAAGGAAGGAAGGAAGGAAGGAAGGAAGGAAGGAAGGAAGGAAGGAAGGAAGGAGCGAGCTAATAATATTCATATTCAACTTCAAAACCAGGTAAAAAGACCAGCACACATGCTGAACACTGATAAGTAATGTAGTGACTACACACAACAACTGCTTCATCATCTATCTGTTGAAGGAGGTCATGGATTATATACTTTGGCTCTGGAGTGCAGCTATGTTCCTAATCTGTGATATTCAAGTAAAACTATGGGTAAAGGAGCTTCTATAGCAATAATAAGGACCACATCTTCTTCATAGTAAAGCCCCTAAATTCTCAGAGCCTGTCTATGATTGGTTTATAGGCAACTCTAATGAGTAACATTCTCTGAGTTTTCTCACCAGAAAATTAAGAGTAGCATGTAATAAAGCTAGAATCATACACTGATAACAGCCAGAAGTGATGCTTTACAGCGAAGGTGAAGCATCTAAACCATGAAAACATAAAATAACTCTAAGACCATTTACTATAGAAGAAATAGCCCTATGCAAGTAAAATGCTCCTGAGGGTGCTACTTACCATATTATAGCGCAGTAGCTGATGAACCAGAGACACTAAGACACTAAATTATGCTTACTCTTTTCAAGAAGGCACAAAAAAACAGCATGAACAACGAAACACAAAACACAAAACAAGAAACACAAAAGTATTTTGTCTACTTCCAAAAAATAGAAAATACCTTGAGAAGGCTTTTCATATTATATTATTTCATTCAATCACCAATCACTTTGGATAGACATTATAGTTCTCATGTTATAGACATGATTCAGAGAACTTAATGATTCCAACGTCCTCACTTTTTACCACAATAGCACACTGATATGGTTTGGATCTGTGTCCCCGCCCAAATCTCATGATCAATTGTAATCCCCAGTGTTGGAGGTGGGACCTGGTGAGAGGTGATTGGATCAGGGAAGCAGTTTCTTATGGTTTAACACTGCCCCCCTTGGTGCTGTCATCACGATAGCGAGTTCTCACAAAATCTGGCTGTTTAAAAGTGTATGGCACTTCCCTCCACCTTCCTCCTGCTCTGGGCATGTGGGGTGCTTGCTCCCTGATTCCCTTTCGCCATGATTGTAAGTTTCCTGAGGCCTCCTTAGAAGCTGAACAGATGCCAGCATCATGCTTCCTATACAGCCTGCAGAACCATGAGCTAATTAAATCTCTTTTTTAAATAAATCACTTAGTCTCAGGTATTTCTTCATAGCAGCATGAGAATACAAAAAATTGATACTGAACAGTGGAGCACTGCTGTAAAGATACCTGAAAAGGTGAACGTGGCTTTGCAACTGGACAACAGGCAGAAGTTGGAAGAGTGTGGAGGTCTTAGAAGACAGGAAGATGAGGGGAAATTTGGAACTTACTACAGACTTGTTATAATAAATTGTCGTGACCAAGATGCTGATAGTGATATGGACAATGAAGTCCAGGCTGAGGAGGTCACAGATGAAAAAACAATAGATTTTGGAGGGGACAGGGCAGAATAATACGGTTTGGATCTGTGTCCCCACTCAAATCTCATGTTAAATTGTAGTCCCCAATGTTGGAGGTGGGCCTGGTGGAAGGTGACTGTATCATGGGGGTGGATCCTTCATGAATAGTTTAGCACCATCTTCTTGGTGCTGTTCTTGTGACAGTGAGTGAGTTTTCCAAGATCTGGTTGTTTAAAAGTGTGTGGCACTTCCAACCCTGCCCCCCTTCCTCCTGCTCTGGCCATGTGAGATGCTCACTCCTCCCTTGCTTTCTGCCATGAATGTAAGTTTCCTGAGGCCTCTCCAGACTCTGAGCAGATGCCACCATCATGCTTCCTGTACAGTCTGCAGAACCATGAGACTATTAAACTTCTTCTCTTTATAAATCACCCAGTCTCAGGTATTTCTTTAGAGCAGTGCAAGAACAGACTAATACACATACATTGTCTCTCTTGCCATGCTCACTGCTACATTGTGGATGAAACTGCTATGAATTGACCCAGGAACTTAAATCCCTGTTTATAACACCATTTCTGTGGGGAAAATGGTGACCCTGGTCAAATAACCTACACGCGAACTTTAAAAGCCCAGCTTATTCACCCCTTGTGTTCCTCCTGTGGTACATTTGTTACTCCTTAAAGATCTACCTAGCACAATGCAGGTAAAAGAAAAGGCTCCACAAATAAGGGTTTATAGCTACTTTCCCATGTCTTATTACCATCCATTTACTGCCATGTTACTATCCATTTAAACTCCTGTTTGGGGCAGATCCTTATAATTTTCTAATATTTGGTGTAAATGTTCTTTTTATGGACATAAGATATCTTCATCAACTATGTGTTATATATACAATGGATAAAAGCATTTTCTTTCTTAGATTTACTGGCAGAAGTTTTTCACCTAAAATAGTGTCAGACACACAGTAAATGCTTTAACGATTGCCAATCAGTGAACGCATAAATTAATGAGTATACAGTGTGGCTTACAAAAGGCAACTCAACTTTGGCAAACTGGTTAGCATGGGAGATCAGAATCTGGACATAGACCAATTCACTGAAAATCAATTCACTGAATGGGCAATTTGTCAACGTTATGCCCAAACTGAAACAAATTGTTGAATTAACCATCTGACAAATTAATCATTTGGTAAACAGATGTTGACAAACTAGTTAATAGATAAATTGGCCACTTGAAAAATCAGCCACTGTTTTTAAAGCACTTCTTGAGCAACAACTGAGGCTTGCCTTTTAAAAGCAGGGATTTAGCCTGGACTGCCTCTGTGGAAATGTCCATCTGATCAAGGATATATCAAAGTCCATCTATTTAAGTTCTCCTCTCCTCCACCTAGATGACCCTTCTCTTCCCTATTTTGTGTTCTTCCACTCCTCTAGCTACTGCCTCCTGTCATAATTAATCTCCCATTCTCTTATCTCTAGTATATGCCTCCATCATTCCTGTCAGGTCTACACCTCTGGGCACAAAATGTTGAATGTTTATGTCCTTTCTGCTGTCACTTCTACTTACCCTAGTTCTGCCAAAACCCACCTTCTACATTGTGAATTTTTTGAGGCAAACATCTGTAGAGAGGGAAAAAAAAGTATGTCTCAATAAAATGCTACGCATTGTCCAGAGGATATACCTCCAGGTCATCTGATTCTAGCCTTTCATTCCTGAGTACTGTCTGCATACATCACACTGTGCTAGATTATCTGATTCTAGCCTTGTTCATTATCTTTGAGTTGTTTTCCAACTATGTATAAGTATGTCTACTCTTTGAATTCTCTTCCAACTAGTTATAACATCTGCCTAGTCCCTTCATTGAATGAGCTAAGTAAAGTCTTCAACACATGTTCATTTTCATATCTGTATAAGAATCATTTTACCCTTTTTTGAAAATTATCTTTTAACACATTCCTTTTTCCTACAGCCTACTTATATTTGCACAGTATTAAGAGCATTATCACAGTCTATAGTCTTGAATTACAAGCCAGGGTACCTTGGCTCACTGGTGACCTTTGACCAATTGCTCCCAGTGCTTATGGTTTCTTCTTTGCCTTCATTTTTATTATAATTTATTATAATGAAAATATTTACAAATAGTTGACTCTCTTAGCTATTTTTAAAAGCTTTATTGACATATAATTTATACACCATACAGTGTACCATCTAATGGTTTTTAGCATAGAGCTGTATAACCACAGATACAAATCAATTTTAGTACATTCTCCTCACTCCAAAAAGAAACCCCATATGGATTAGCAATAATTCTTCATTTACCCCTGTCCCCCAGTTCCCTGGCAACCACTAATATACTTTCCATTTCTATGAATTTACCTATTCTGGATATTTCATATGAATGAAATTATACTATCTGTGGTCTTTGTAACTGGCTTCTTTCACTTAGCATGTTTTCAAGGTTATTCCATGTTGTAGCATGTATCAGTACTTGATTTATTTTTATGACCAAATTATATTCCATTATATGGATAGACCACATTTTATTTATTCATTTGTCAGTTGATGGACATGTAGATTGGTCTACTTTTTAGCTATTATGAATAATTCTGATATGAATGAGCATTCACAGACAAGTTTGTGTGCGTGTGTATGTGTGTGCCTGTGTGTGTGTGTGTGCGTGTGTGTGTGTGTGTGTGTGCTTTTATTTATCTTGGGTGTATACCATGAGCTGGGTCACATGGTACATTTCACCTTTTTGGGAACTGTCAGACTGTTTTCCAAGACAACTGCACCATTTTACATTCCCTCCAGAAATGTGTGAGGGTTCTCATTTCTCCACGTCTTTGCCAACACTTGTCTATCTTTTTTATTGTAGCCATTTTGGTAGATGTGTCATAACTTAGGCTTTAAAGTTTACATGATTGACTTAATTTTCTTTAATTTTCACGATTTTTTCATTGTTAATTATTTTCATTGCAACCACAAGTTTCTAAATACCCTGTAGAAAGTTTTTTGAGGGAAAGGTAGAATGTACATCCCATGGAAATCATTAGTGACTACTCATCCTACCTTTCTTACTCCTTTCCTGACTATCCATGAAGATATTATCATTCTCTATTACCATTATCTATAGAGGCTCCATGTCATCTAACTTAATGTAAGAGGGTGAGAGAAGCTGGTCTTATGCTCATTCCTAACACCATTTTTGAACCATGTAATTGACACATATATCTCATTTCTTGACACAGAAACCATTCTTATATATGCTTCTCCTCAAATGACTGTTGCTACTGCTTATCACCATGTGGAAAATACTATTAGTTATCCTCCAGGACTCATTCTCTCCTACTTCCCTTATTAATAGAATACTCAGTTTCATCTGGCCACACAGTTACCCAGGTAAAAAACACAATCTCAGTCTCTCTTGCACATGACCACTCACCTGTCCTCCTATGGCCACATGACTGGAGATTATGTGTACAATGTCTGAAACATTGTCTTACAAGGAAAAAATATATCTTTCCCTTTTTTTTCTTCTTTAACAAATGTAGACACAAAGATGGTGAGCCATCTTTGACCATGCAGATGAGGGCACAAGATGCAGATGGCTGGGCAGCAAGAGAGGAGTTTCAGTCCCTGACACCTTGAAACTTCCTTGCATCTTTATTTACTTATGTTCAGATTGCTATATGAAAGAGAATAAACCTCTGTCCAATTTAAGTCACTGTTATTTTGGGTCTATGTTATGGCAGCCAAATCTGGGCCCGAGTAATACATCCTGTCACCATAACTACCCCCACACACACTTCCTAGCTACTTTCAAACTTCCCAGATAATGGTTTTGCTCACCACTCCATCTTTTACAGACCGCTTTAGTGATCACATACCCACCTCTGTTGGTGAGGTCCTTTACTCTTGATATTTCTCAGCCTCTCTTATTCAACAGATTCTGCACTTCCATTTCATATCAGTACAGTACCAGCATATGCCAACCTTAATCAGCTCCTTATCACTTCTTGTAGTGTTTATATTTACCTTTTATGTAGCACATTCCTGAAAATATCATTTCCCCTTTTGAGTTAGGGCTGTTTTCTTTCATTTCCCTCTTGAACTTTTCAAAAGAGCAACCCACAAATGATATCCCTCACTTTTCTCCATATACTTCCTGTATTAATCATGATTCTTCAGAGAAATAACCCAAAAATATAAATATAGAAATAGATACAGATATACATCTATCTAGATCTACAGAGAGAAAGATTGATTTTAAGGAATTAGCTCACATGATTGTGAAGGCTACAAAGTCCAAAACTGAAGGATAGGCTGGCAGGCTAGAGACAGACTGCAGTTAAAGTCTGAAGGCAATTCAACGGGCAAAATCCCCTCTTCTCGTCTTTTTTTTTTTTTTAATAAGGTTGGTCTTCAACTGATCAGATGAGGCCTACTCACATTATGGATGGTAATCTGCATTACTTAAAGTCTTCTAATTTAAGTGTTAAACTTATCTAAAGGATACTTTCAAAGAAACATCTAAAATAAAGTTTGATCAATTATCTGGAGACCATGGCCTGAGCTGACCATCATACTCTCCCCCTTTAATTCCATTAAATCTCATTTCTGTTCCTTCGGTGCTACAGAAATTGTACACAACCCCACAATTACCAGAATTAAGCTGGAGATTATAAAACCCTAAATGAATCCAAAATTTTAAATGTTTGGTATATAACCTTTTTTCTGGGGAAAGAGTCCATCAAATTCTCCACAGATTAAAAATCATCATCCTAATAACTGAACCCAGTAGTCTTTCCCATCATCCTCCTCCTTAACCCATCCGTGACCTCTTGTACTCCCTCTGGTTGTTTAAGAAGCCAATAAGAAGAGCTTTTGCACAGCAAAAGAAGCTATCATCAGAGTGAACAGGCAACCTACAAAATGGGAGAAAATTTTTGCAATCTATCCCTCTGGCAAAGGGCTAATATCCAGAATCTACAAAGAACTTAAACAAATTTACAAGAAAAAAACAAACAACCCCATTAAAAAGTGGGGGAAGGATATAAATAGACACTTCTCAAAAGAAGACATTTATGCAGCCAACAAACATGAAAAAAAAAGCTTACCGCTGGTCATTAGAGAAATGAAAATCAAAACCACAATGAGATACTATCTCATGCCAGTTAGAATGGCAATCATTAAAAAGTCAGGAAACAACAGATGGTGGAGAGGATGTGGAGAAATAGGAACACTTTTACACTGTTGGTGGGAGTGTAAACTAGTTCAACCATTGTGGAAGACAGTGTGGCAATTCCTCAAGGATCTAGAACCAGAAATACCATTTGACCCTGCAATCTCATTACTGGGTATATACCCAAAGGGTTATAAATCATTCTACTATAAAGACACATGCACACGTATGTTTACTGTGGCATTGTTCACAACAGCAAAGAATTGGAACCAATCCAACTGCCCATCAATGATAAACTGGATAAAAAAATGTGGCACATATACACCATGGAATACTATGCAGCCATAAAAAAGGATGAGTTCATGTCCTTTGCAGGGACACGGATGAGGCTAGAAACCATAATTCTGAGCAAACTAACACAAGAACAGAAAACCAAACACCACATGTTCTCACTTGTAAGTGGGAGTTAAACAATGAGAACACATGGACACAGGGAGGGGAACATCACACACTGGGGCCTGTCGGGGAGTGGGGGACTAGGGGAGGGATAGCATTAGGAGAAATACCTAATGAAGATGATGGGTTGATGGGTGCAGCAAACCACCATGGCACGTGTACACATTTGTAACAAACCTGCACGTTCAGTACATGTATCCTGGAACTTAAAGTATAATTAAAAAGGTGTTTTTTTTAAAAAAGCCAATAAGGTCCAATTAATTGTTCATATCACTTCAATTTGATTTCTGTCACTGGCAACCAAAGGAGTCCTGACTAACCCTCCTAGGGTTAGTTTCTTAGTCCACTGATCCTCTTGCTATACATTTTCTCTGGGAGGTTTTTTTCCTGCTCTCATAGCTTTAATTCTACCTCTGAGACAATAGTTTAGAAAGATCTTGGGTGTTGGAGCATTTTGACCTCAGTTTATATTCCAGCTCTGCCACTTTGCACCTGAGCAAGTTTACTTAATCTCTGAGTCCCTAATCTTCATCTATGAAGTGGAGTCAATAAAATCTACTTTATAGAACAAATCATGTTTCTCTCTCCACCTTCCTTTTCTAAGCAGACGACTCCTAGGACAAGGCCTTCAGCTTTCACTTATCTATCCACACTCAAGTTCAGCCTTTCTCTCTGCCTGCCAACTATTTCCATTCAGACCTTATGCCATTACATGTTTAGCCTGCCTAAAGGTAAGGCTATGACCTCCTCAAAATCACTTCCTCCTCCTCCTACTGTTTCTCTCCATGGTGTCACTGTCCTCCAAAGCAAATCTTCTTTGACTCCTGTCTCTCCCTCAACTTCCTTACTCAACCAGGCACCATGCCCCCTCATTCCATCCTTTGGGATGTGTCCCTTTCTTTTCATTTCCATGACACCATTATAATCTACGTCCTAATTACTTCAAGCCTAAACTGTTGTCTCTTGAGCCCTTTCCATGCCTCTACAATCTATCCAATACCAGGTTAAGGATCAGAAAACACTTTCTTTGACCATGTTGTTTCTCTTTTAAAGTGGGACCTCAAAGACTGCAAGATAAAAAACAGACTCTCTAGCCTGGTATTCGAGGCTGTGCATGATCTGATTCCAACTCATGATCTTCCTTCACAAACCTCCTACTTTAATCAAATTAGTTTTTAACTTATCCAAAACACACCTGGTGCCCACCCCTTCACATCATAATACGGTTCGTCATCCCACCCTCTATGAACACTTGCCACTCCTCTCTAACTACTCTACCCCTTTCTATCTTTTGAGATCCATCCAAATTACCATCTACTCTGTAAAGCCATTCTTGATGATCCAGCCTAAAGCAAACTCTTAATCCTCTGAAGGCAATTTAGCCTCAACATAATTGTATTAGTCAGGGTCCCAGCAGGAAACAGATGATATACTATAATTAGGATAATTAGAGGAGAGTTTAATAAAGGACATTTTATAAAGGTGTGAGCAAGAAAACCAATCAACCATCAAGAGTCAAGGCCTTCTGTGTGAGGGATATAGGCAGTCACCAGCAACCATGCAGAGAGGAAAACTGGTAGTTAAGTAACCCAACTTTGCTTACCTTCCTCCCTCTTATTTCTTACCAGTATTCTCTATTAAATCCAACCAGGCACCAGAGGTTAGAGAAACCCATTGATGTAATCAACTACCACAGCACAGAACAAAGAGTGGAGGAGTAGAACATGGATCTAAAGGAATAAAGATACTTAGCATAGTAGACTACAGTACAAGTTCTCTAGTCCCTCCTATGAAATTATATCAAAAGTATTTTTAAACAATTTATTCTTAAATCCATCAAAAACAAAATGGATTAGAGAGTGGATAGATAAAGCAAATATGATAAAGCAAGTACGGTAACATGTCAATCATAGAATTTAGAGCTGGGTATATTGGTGTTTACTACAAAATTCAACTTTATAATACAATTAAAATTTTTCATAATTTAATACTTGGGAAAATGTGTTTTTAAAAAGCAGTGAATACTTTGCTGTGAAGCATGTTTCAAAAAGTATAAAAACTTTTTAAAAGAAGCAGTGAAACTTTCCTATCTACACTATCTTTTCCTCCATACTCTTTATATCTTAAATGTAGCTTCATATCTGTTTGTCATAACCAGGCTACTGAAACCTCACAAGTAAAGTTATTTGGAAAGGACCAGGAAACAAAATATTTAACATGTAGTAGTTGTCGTTTAACATCTTTTAAATATGTAAATGCTTCTTCCACAATAGATATCCTAGTTCCATTATATCAGCTTTCCTCTAGTCCTAAAACCTCAGGAAAGATAGAGATAATAGAGATAGAGAGATAGAGATAGAGATAGAGATAGAGATGGAGACAGAGATAGAGGTAGAGATGACAGAGATAGAAAAAGAGACAGTGAGATCATTTTTAAAAGAGTGGCCTGAGGGCGAACAAGAATTCGAAGATAGACTACCCATAAGATGGAACTTGGCAGTATAAGTGAGCTTTCACCCTCAGTGTTTCCAAAGCTATTACCATCAAAAATCAATTATGAAATACTTGTATGCCTCCTAAAAGCCAGAATGTAGAAAAGACTGATGGTCTATAAAAGTCCAATGGCTACCTCCTACTGGATAGATATCCATTTTGCAATTCCAAGTACTACCATAGGAAGAATTCTGGGGGAAAATGTGACAAACTTTAATTACATTTAAAAAGAGATCACTCACTCCCTGCCGTCTTCTCTCATCTCAGTGGCAGTGCAAAACAGATCACTGATTTTTCATAATACTGTGGTCACATTTACATCCCTAATGAGGAACTAATCTTACCTGTTATGACATGTCTGTCCTCTCCTATGAGGGCAGTAATAGAACACAATTGTGTTCTATCCTGTGTTCCCAGTATCTGGCATACTGCTAGGCACATGGTTTAGAAATGACTTACAAATCTTTGGGGATGTATTTTGAATTTACAATACCACAAAGATGTGGGGAGGCAGCATGGTGCAATAGAGGATGGAGAAATTAAGGAGAAAAGCTCACTAGGCATGTGCAGGGAATAGTGTGCCTCCTGTGAGGCCAGCTGTCTTCCAAGCCAGCTGCCCAGGCAGCATTCTCTCCATAGCGGGCTAACTTCCTTTCAGTTTGACACATCAGGTTTTAAGACAGAATAAAACAGTCAATCAAATTATAGTTATGTGACCATAGGAAAGGACATTTCTGAGTTTTCTTTCTTCATTGGTAAGGTGAGGAGTTCATGGTTTGTATGGTAAGTGTATGTGTAACATTATAAGAAACTGCCACTCCATTTTTTAAAGTGGCTGCAGTATTGTACATTCCCAGAAGCTCCAATTTCTTGCCAACATGTAGCATTGTGAGCCTTTTGGGTTCAATTAGAATCCTTTCTAATTGATGTATAATTTATCTATCCTCTTTGTGAAATGTCTTTTAAAATGTTTTGCCCCTTTAAAAAATATTTTGGGTTGTTTATCTTAATACTGAGTTGTAAATGTTCTTTGTATATTTTGAGTATGAGTTGTTTGTCAACTAGGTGTACTGTGAATATTTTCTGCTAGTCTATGGTGTGTATGCCCTTTCATTTTTGTAACACTGTCTTTTGAAGGACAGATGTTTTTAATGTAATAAAGTTTATTTTATCAATTTTTTAATGGTTCATGCTTTTTGTGTTCTAAGAAATATTTGCCTATCCCAAGGTCACAAAAACAAAGACTTTTTTTAATGTTGTCCACCAGAAGTTTTAGAGTTTTTATGTTCACATTTAAGTCTATCATTCCTTTAAAGTTAATTTTGGTGTATGGTAAGAGATAATCACTAAGGTTCATTTTTTCCCCAAATGACATTCAAGTGTTCAGCACCATTTTCTGAAAAGACTGCCTTTCCTGATAGGGTTATATGGGCATTTTTATCAAAAGACAATTGACTAAGCTGGGTGTGGTAGACAGCACCTATAGTCCCAGCTACTTGGGAGACAGAAGCTGAAGTGGGAGGATTGCCTGAGCCCAGGAGTTCAAGGCCAGCCTCAGCAATATAGCAAGACCCTTTCTCTTAACAAACAAGAAAAAGAGGCAACTGACCAAAATGTGTGAATCTAGACTCTTTATTCTCTTCTGCTGATCTGCATGTTTCTATCCTAATGCTAATACCACACTCTTGATTACTATAAATTTACAGTAAGTCTTGAAATCAGGTAAGTCCTCCAACTTTTATCTTTTCTTTCAAAATTATTTTGGCTGTTGTTAATCCTTTCCTTTTCCATGTAAATTTTAGACTCAGATTATCAATTTCTGCAAAAATATATCTTGCAATTTTAATATAATTAAAATCAATTTGAAGACAACGGACATCTTAAGAATACTGAGTCTTTAAATACATGACATTATTTAGGTCTTTTAAAAAATTATCTACTCGATGTGTAGTTTTCAGCATACAGGTTCTACAAGTATTTTGTTAAGTTTATTCTAAGTATTGCACATTTTTGGATGCCATTATTAGTATTGTTTGCTTAATTTGAATTTCCTATTGTTGATAGTATATAGAAATACCATTGATTTTTATGTGCTGACCTTGGATCCTGTAACCTTAATAAAAAACTCACTTATTATTCTAATAGCCTTTTTTGGAGATGCCATCAGATTTTCTACACAGACAATTATGTCGTCTCTAATTAAAGACTACATTATTTCTTTTTTTCCAATATTTATACCTTCTATATCTCTTTCTTATTTCACTGGCTAGAACCTCCAGTGTAAAGTAAAATAGAAGTGGTGAGAGTAGGCCAGGCACGGTAGCTTATGCTTGTAATCCCAGCACTTTGGGAGGCTGAAGCGGGCAGATCACTTGAGGTCAGGAGTTTGAGATCAGCCTGGCCAACGTGGCCAAAACCCCATCTCTACTAAAAATAAAAAAATTAATTGGGTGTGGTGGCACATGCCTATAATCCCAGCTACTTGGGAGACTGAGGCATGAGAATTGCTTGAATGTAGGAGACAGAGGTTGGAGTGAACCAAGATTGCACCACTGCACTCCAGCCTAGGCAACAGAGCGAGACTCCGTCTCAAAAAAAAAAAAAAAAGGAAGTGGTGAAAGTAGTCTTATTCCCAATTTTAGAGGCAAAGTATTCATTCTTTCACCATGAGAAATGATGTTTTTCATAAATGTCCTTAATCTGATTGAAGAAGTTCCTTCCTATTCCTAGCATACTGAAAACTGAAATCATGAATGGACGTTGAATTTGGTGAAAGATTTTTTTTTCTGCATCTACTGAGATGATCATATAGTTTTCCCCTTTTAGTCTGTTAATATGGTAAATTTTATTGATAGATTTTCAAGTATTGAGCCAACCTAGATTTCCTGTGATAACCTCCATTAGAGTGTGACATATTATCCTTTTTAGGTATTGCTGGAATTGATTTGCTAATATCTTTGTTAAAGATTTTTGAATCTATGCTCCTGAGAGTTCTTGATCTGTAGTTTTCTTGTCTTGTAATGTCTTTTTCTGGTTCAGGCATTAACATAATTGTGCCCAACCTCATTAAATTAGTTGGGAAGAGTTACTTTTTCTTCTATTTTCTGAAAGATATTTGTGTGCGATTGACATTATATCAACATTAGATATTTGATAGAATTCCTCTGTGAAGTTATTTGTGTTGAGTTTTCTTTGGTGAAATGCTTTGAATTATGAGCTCAATTTGTTTAACTGATAAAGAGCTATTCTAGTTTTCTATTTCTTCCTGAGGGAGTTTTGGCAATTTGTGTCTATCAAGGAATTTGTCCATGTTAGCTTTTCACGTATTCAATGGTTAGGTTTAAATTTACTAGCATAAAGCTGTTCATAATACAATCCTGTAAACCTTTTAATTTTCATAGTATTTTAGTGATGTTCCTATTTTCATTTCTAATATTGGTAACTTGTAACTTCTCTTTTTCTCTTTATCAGTCTAGCTAAAAATTTATTAATTGTATTGATCTTGTCAAAGAACCAGTCTTGGGCTTCACTCACATTTTTATATTGTGCTTTCTTTTTCATTTTATTGATTTCCACTCCTTATTACATCCATCCTTCTACTTCCTTTGGGGTTAATTTGCTCTTCTTTTCCTAGTTTCTTAAAGTGGAAAATTAGATCATTGATTTTAGACCTTCCTTCTTTTCTACTATAGGTATTTAAAGCTGTAGATTTCCCTGTGAGCATTGCTTTAGCTTTTTTCTGAAAATTTAGATCTTATGTCTTCATTTCCATTCAATTCAAAATACTTCCTAATTTCTCTTGTTGTTTCTTCTTTGCCTTGTGGTTTGTTTGAAAGTATATTGATTTCTCAATGTTGAGCGTTATTTTCCCAGATCCCTGTCAATGTCCCTGAAGCATGGAGCATTACAGTTTTTGTTAATCTTGTCCCGAACCTGTTTATCAGCTTAAGGAGTTTTGGGGCTGAGACGATGGGGTTTTCTAAATATACAATCATGTCATCTGCAAACAGAGACAACTTGACTTCCTCTCTTTCTATTTGAATACTCTTTATTTCTTTCTCTTGCCTGATTGCTCTGGCCAGAACTTCCACTATGTTGAATAGGAGTGGTGAGAGAGGGCATTCTTGTCTGGTGCCAGTTTTCAAAGGGAATGCTTCCAGCCTTTGCCCATTCAGTATGATATTGGCTGTGAGTTTGTCATAAATAGCTCTTATTATTTTGGGATATGTTCCAAAGCATTCCTATACACCAATAATAGACAAGTAGAGAGCCAAATCATGGGTGAACTCCCATTCACAACTGCTACAAAGAACATAAAATACCTAGGAATACAACTTACAAGAGACATGAAGGGCCTCTTCAAGGAGAACTACAAACCACTGCTCAAGGAAATAAGAGAGGACACAAACAAATGGAAAATAATTCCATGCTCACGGATAGGAAGAATCAATATCATGAAAATGGTTATACTGCCCAAAGCA
The DNA here is from genome assembly GCF_000001405.40 of Homo sapiens. Lineage (NCBI taxonomy): Eukaryota > Metazoa > Chordata > Mammalia > Primates > Hominidae > Homo > Homo sapiens. The sequence continues at coordinate 23,869,619 of NC_000007.14, read as the reverse complement.
GTTTGTAGATTCAATGCCATTCCCATCAAACTACCATTGACTTTCTTCACAGAACTATTTTAAAAAACTACTTTAAATTTCATATGGAACCAAAAACGAGCCTGTATAGCCAAGACAATCCTAAGCAAAAAGAACAAAGCTGAAGGCATCATGCTACCTGACTTACCTGACTTCAAACTATACAGTAACCAAAACAATATGGTACTGGTGCCAAAACAGATATATAGACCAATGGAACAGAACAGAGGCCTCAGAAATAACACCACACATCTACAACCATCTGATCTTCGACAAACCTGACAAAAACAAGCAATGGGGAAAGGATTCACTATTTAATAAATGGTGCTGGAAAAACTGTCTAGCCATATGCAGAAAACAGAAACTGGACCCCTTCCTTACACCTTATACAAAAATTAACTCAAGATGGATTAAAGAGTTACACATAAAACCTAAAACCATAAAAACCCTAGTAGAAAACCTAGGCAATACTATTCAGGGCATAAGCATGGGCAAAGACTTCATGAGTAAAAGACCAAAAGCAATGGCAACAAAAGCCATAACTGACAAATGGGATCTAATTAAATGAAAGAGCTTCTTCTCATCAAAAGAAACTATCATCAGAATGAACAGGCAACCTACAGAATGGGAGAAAATTTTTGCAATCTATCCCTCTGACAAAGGGCTAATATCCAGAATCTACAAGGAACTTAAGCAAATTTATAAGAAAAAAAAACAACTCCCATCAAAAAGTGGACAAAGGATATGAACACACACTTCTCAAAAGAAGACATTTATGCAGCCAACAAACGTATGAAAAAAAAGTTCATCATCACTGGTCATTAGAGAAATGCAAATCAAAACCACAACGAGATACTATCTCATGCCAGTTAGAATGGTGATCATTAAAAAGTCCGGAAATAACAGATGCTGGCAAGGATGCAGAGAAATAAGAATGCTTTTACACTGTTGGTGGGAGTGTAAATTAGTTCAACCATTGTGGAAGACAGTGTGGCGACTCCTCAAGGATCTAGAGCCAGAAATACCATTAGACCCAGCAATTCCATTACTGGGTATATACACAAAGGATTATAAATCATTCTACTGTAAAGACACATGCACACATATGTTTATTGCAGCTCTATTTACAATAGCAAAGACTTGGAACCCATCAATGATAGACTGAATAAAGAAAATGTGGCACATATACATTATGGAATACTATGCAGCCATAAAAAAGGATGAGTTCACGTCCTTTGCAGGGACATGGATGAAGCTGGAAACCATCATTCTGAGCAAACTAACACAAGAACAGAAAACCAAACACTGCATATTCTCACTCATAAGTGGGAGTTAAACAATGAGAACACATGGACACAGGGAGGGGAATATCACACACCAGGGCATGTTAGGGGGTTGGGGGGAAGGGGAGAGAGAGCATTAGGACAAATACCTAATGCATGCGGGGCTTAAAACCAAGATGATGGGTTGATAGGTGCAGCAAACCAACATGGCATATATATATCTATGTAACAAACCTGCAGGTTCAACACATGTATCCCAGAACTTAAAGTAAAATAAAATAAAATTAAAAATCAAAAAAAGAAAAAAATCTTGTCCTTAACCTTGATCTTTAGGTTGCTTCTAAATTCTGTTAATTTGGGGAACTTTAATTATTAACTTAAGTTTGGAATCCAGACTCCTGTTCCACCCTCTCCTACAGCCAGGTCACCCAACTAACCTAACCCTGCTATTGCCTCCTAGCTTCCAGAGTAACTAAACAAACAATATTCATGAAATTAAGTGACCTATGGCATATTTACTTAAAGTAGTACCTTTAAACCCATTTTTAAAAGACTTATGCAGACTTTATAATATGAAAAAATAGCTATAATATAGGCTCAACCAAAAAGAATTACATATACAATATCATAACAACAGGGTATTTAAAAAAAAAAAAAAAAAGAAAAGCTATGCATAGAGAAACAATGGAAAGGAAAACACCAAAATGTGAAAAAATAATTTTTAGGCGATTGAAATGTGGTATTTTATTTTCTCTTATTCCCACTCTTTTAAGTTTTTCTATATATATATATACACTTTTAATAATTAAAAAAGCATCCAAAATATAACTTTAAGAAACAAAAAAGTCTAAGGAATAACTTAATACCATTTGTGTATTAATTTTTTAAAAGCAATACAGACATAATCAAATATTCCTTTGTCACCTCAGTCAAAATCCTTACATTGTCAAAAGTTCTACCCAGAAGTTGATTTTCAACTTCCAGGGTGCTATAGTCTTCAAAGGCCTCAGTTTCTTTATTACTAGAGGCCAGCTGTCCCTTTGTCTCAGCACCCATTGCTCTCTTTACTCCTTGCTGTATAGGATTATGTTAACATAGGCAACAACTCATCAGTGTACCACCAACCCTTCACAGGGGAGCCATCACACATGCAAAATTTATTTTTGCTACAAGTAAGGATATAAAGATACATACTGCTACAAGGTATATTAGACTTATAGGTTATGCAAGAGATTAATTCAGAGAAGATACAACTTGCTTCAAGTTAGCTATAAGAAACATGATGCAGCATCTGGCCAGTAATCAAAACAGTTCATGATTTACTAGAAAATGTGACAACCGAATGCCTCTGAGAATGCAGGAAAATGTAGACAAATGGTCAACAGCCTTAAACGGTAATCATGAAATATACAGTAACTGTAATATGTATTTTCTATTTCCCAAAACTTTAAGATAAAAATTATATCCATCCTCTAAGTCCCTCAAATGATCTGCAAAAATTCTACTCTGCAAAAGTGTATAACAAATACAAAGTTTGGGAACGCTGAGGGTAACCCTTCTTTTGAATCCCACCACGTTATGGTGCCTCTGTCAATTACAATGTCTCCCTTTCTCCCAAACTTTGATAATAAAGAGTGAAAGCAAAAACCATCGAGCATATCTACTGTGTCTGTTTTCCCCCAAATTGGTGTAATTAGTTCACTTGAATATTTTACTCAAGCTAGAACTGACAATTTCACATTCTATATTGAAGTTACTAGCTCTACAGAGATGGTCCCTAGAAATGACTTTAGCCTGAAAAATTAGCTTCAATTACAGACCGTTTCTATTAAAGAGACAATATTCCTACAACAGAACATTTTGATAAAAAATTAAACATGCACAGAGGTAAAAATGTATTTCTTTACAAGTGTATAATCTACCAGTCATTCAAGAAAATGGTCTGTAAACTTGAAAATAACAAGCTTCTAAGTTACCAAATTAGTTAAGTAATATATGGCTTGATATCTAGGGTAAGAACATTTCCTGTACAGAAGCTATCCTATGCCACATCAAGAAAACAATAAGGGAGAATAATCTACATTTTAACTCTCTCAAAAATGTAAGGGCAGTGAACAGATTCACAAAAATAGTAGAGCTGTACTTCATTTTATACTCCTCTTCTAAGATAGAGAGTCTTCGATAGGTTTGCTGACCCTATGATTGCTGGAAGATATACCATTTTAGGATTAGTGGCACTTAGAAAGTGATTCTTGTCTCTTTTTTTTTTTTCCCACAGATATGCCTTGCCTCAACAACCATACTGAAGACTCTCTAGGACAAAGACTTATAACTCTTAGTGCCTTCAGCATCTATCCAGTGTTCTACACATAATTTCAATTATGATCAATGTGATTCTTGCCAAGAACCTAGTCTCTTGTGCCTCACTTTCCTTCCTCCTATGTAAAAGAGGAATAACAGTTACACTTTAAAGGGTTGTTGTGAAGATTAAATTAGATAATGCAGGTGAAATGCCTGGTACCCAGTCCACCTCATGCACTGTGCTAATTGATTCTACACGGCCTTTAATTATGAAACAAAATAACATTTCCACACTCTATAAATTTTTAAAGAAGGTGAGAATTGAAAGTAATAGATTCAACTGACAGCCAAAGTGTGCTTTTAAATCAACTGTTGTATCAGGGTCTGAGAGTTTACTTGGTAACATCAAAGTTATCTATGGCTACTCGGGTTCAGACTTTCACTCTAAATGTGCTCATGTTATAATAAACCACATCCCTTCCCAATGTGCAAAAATACAATGAAACAATTTTGTCAAGCACATTACTTAGTAATTTATTTTAAAATAACCTTTAAGCACAACTTTAAACACACTATGAAATAGGGGGAAGGTGATCATTTAGTAGGGAATAAAGTTTGTTTGTTTTAAAGAAAAAGAAAAAAAGCTTGAAAATTTTTATAGCAGCCCAAAAGAAATTATCTAGGTTTTGCTCTGAAACAAATTTTCATCACATATTTATCTGCTATGTCTGACGCTTATGTGGGGGGTTAAAAAGGATGTAGTGAAATAAAATTTTGTGAATCATAGATCGGATGGCAGAAGATGATGCAAGCCATGACTCAGGCAAGTACAATAATCATGATCAAAATTATACTTGCAATTTGTCATAGCAATTGTAATTTGCAAATACCAGTTGTTTGCCATAAATGGAGCTGATATCAGATAAAAATGAATCATGACGTTCAAGGAAAAGCAAATAAATGTCAAAACATTAATCTGCATAATATTTTTGGGGCAGTTATGAAAACATGATGGTAAGAGCTTGGTACCTTAACTTTCTCAAGAAATATTTCATGTTTCCAGAATATCAGCAATTTAAACTAACTTTTAACTAGTAATGGAAAAATGGGGGGCAAGGAGAAAAAAGAGGGGAAAGAGGAGGGAGGAAAGAAAGGAAGAAAGCGAAGGTACACAAAACAGGTATGCAATATAGACATTACTTACCTTTCAAGGAAATGAAGGGGAGAAAAGAGCATCAAAGTCCCAGCCCTTAAATATATAATGATTCTTCCTTATAAATAAGTATAATTTGAAAGATGACATGTAAAAGCAGAACACAATTATAAAAATAGTAAGTCAATAATTTAATTCTTGAGCTAGGTAAATTTGTGATCTTGTTTCTCTGGAATCTTCCCTTTCCTGTAAATAAATAGGAGTCCTTCTAAAAACAACAGCTCTAATATTGTTCATCTTCTCCTTTGATGAATCTTTCCACCATCCTATCAGATATTCAAAAGCATGACACTAAATTCTTTGAGAGAGACATCTCCTTTATTTACACTAAAATTCTCCCAGGACCTTTTACTCTAAATAGCGTCATTTTATTTAAAAACCTACTGTTTCAAATATAGCTTATTAAATATCTCCTTTAAAAAAATACTATAAATTGGAGAAAATTCTTTCATCTGGTTATTCCAGTCGTTTACTTGGCCATATTACTGGATTTTTGCCTCTATGATTTTATTTTCTGGTAGGTAGAAACAAATTGGCAGTTGATGACACCCTGCATAGAAAGAAACCCAGGATTCCTTAAAGGGGAAGAAAAAGAAAAGATCTTGTTGGTTAAAATTGATTATAAAAATCTATTTTAAGTAGTTTAAGGCTCTACTTTCCTTTAAAAATAGCTATTTTTCACAAATAAAACCAGAAAAATATTTTCATGTTGGAGCAATTTTAAAACTGTAAAGATTATTTAAAATTGATCCTGTTATTAAAAGAAAATTTAAAAATGGAACAAGCACATTCTTAAGGAGTAGACTTACCAATTGTTACAAAATAGCCTTCAGTCAATTTCAAATCATTCTTTCCATTTATTCATTCACAAATATTTACTGAATGCCTGGAATTGTTCTACATACATTTTCAAACCTTATGGAGTTTATGTTTAAAAAGATATAGACATCAATCAAACAATCACACTAAAGAAAAATTCGAGTTGTGATGAGGTTTTGTTATACAAAAGAAGTCTGAATATTTGAATGTCCATGACTAACTTAAATATTTCTAAAATTAACCTTTCAAACAGCTGCTGACATAAACATGTTTGCTGCATAAGCCAAAACTTATTACCTTGAGGCTGTGGAGTAAGAAAGTCACACTCCAGGTAAGAGAAAACGTGGTGGAAGCTTTTGAACAATAAAGAAAATATATAACCTAAATCAAATCCTTGAAATCCTTCAAGGAAGCAGGTTTTGATTCTATATCAAGGTTTATATAATTACTTTACATCTTAATGAAGGTTAAATTTATTGTACTCTCCCTCACCCAAATAAACAAATCAAGTTTGATTTCATTTAGAAGTTGCCTTTCCTAAAACCCTCCCTGCAGATGCTTATCACTGAATGCTGTGGTCCAGAGCTACACCTGGTGGCCATACACAAACTTACAAGAAACCATTCTGATCCTCAACAGAAGTTTAAAAATTACCCCTCTGTTAATCAAAAATCTCTCAAGACAGCAACAGGTTATTTCTTGATAGCTGGGGAAAGTTGAACTTTTAATGGAAAAAAATGGAAAAATGTTAAGGTAGATAGTTATAATAAAGTATAACACCATGTTAATGGTAGAATGTAAGTGATGGGTATATGGATATTCACCAAATTATTTTAACTTTCCAGTATGTTGGGAAATAGTCATTATAAAATATTGAAAAGTAAGGATTTAAATTAAGAATTTTGCACCCATTTTTTTAACCAGAAATACCTTTTAGATATTGTTTCCTTTATGTACTAGCATAATGTGTGTCTTCATAGTTCATGCTGTGTAATAGTCTATTATATTGCTGTACAATATTTTATGAAAAAATTCACTCATTCCACATTTATTCAATTTCCAATTGGACATTTACACATGTGTATTTTTGTTTCTATTAAGTCATGTTCCTAAAACAAACTTCTAAGAATTATGTCATTGGGATCAAAGGAGATCATCATTTTTATGGCTTTTGAGACATATGACCAAGCTACTTTCTACCAAGTTCACACTGTTATCACAAATGGAAACATACACCAATTTTAACCAATATTATAGGACCTAGACATTTTTAGATTTTACTGCTTTACTAAGCATGAAATACAATCCAAAGGTTAATTTGTACTTCTTGGAATTAAAAAAAAAATTACATATTTATTTTTGTACTTATCTACTGGAATCTCAATAATTTCCTTGTAAATTTGAATAATCACTTTATGTGCTTTAACTATTAACCTTTGTCTCCTAAACTCATGTAAGTTTTCCTGGTCAACTGCCATACTTTAGTTATTTTCACTATGGTGACTTTTATATACTCTAATCTGTCAATCTTAACCTTTGTGATACCATTCAAAGCTAGGAAATATACTATCACTCCATGAATGTGACAAACACTCTAAAAATTTTTTTGTTTTAATTAGTCAATGTCAGAGAGCAAAGCTCCCTTTAAGAAGATAATGGGGAAATAATAATATGGCTGGTAAAATTGAGAGCACATTGTCTCAGAGCACTGTATTTCTAAATGTGGTTCCCCCATATTAGCTCATTTATGCCTAGTGTTCCATTATTGGAACGCTAAGCTTGGAGTTATTTCATATCCTACTGAGAGGTGAAGCCAGCTGGACTTCCTGGGTCAAGTGGGGACTTGGAGAATTTTTCTGTCTAGCTAAAGGTTTGTAAACGCACCAATCAGCACTCTGTAAAAACGGACCAATCAACACTCTGTAAAACGGACCAATCAGTGCTCTGTAAAATGGACCAATCAGCACTCTGTAAAACAGACCAATCAGCAGGATGTGGACAGGGCCAAAAAAGGGAATAAAAGCTGGCCACCTGAGCCAGCAGTGGCAACCCGCTCAGGTCCCCTTCCACGCTGTGGAAGTTTGTTCTTTTGCTCTTCATAATAAATCTTGCTGCTGCTCACTCTTTGAGTCCACACTACCTTTAAGAGCTGTAACACTCACTGTGAAGGTCTGTGGCTTCACTCCTCAAGTCAAGCGAGACCACAAACCCACCAGAAGGAAGAAACTCCGGACACATCTGAACATCTGAAGGAACAAACTCCGGACACCCCATCTTTAAGAACTGTAACACTCACCATGAGGGTCCGCAGCTTCATTCTTGAAGTCAGCAAGACCAAGAACCCACTGGAAGGAACCCATTCCAGACACATTTTGGCAACCACGAAGGGACTACCACCAAGCAGTGAGTACCATCGGACCCCTTTTGCTTGCTATTCTGTCCTATTTTTCCTTAGAATTCGGAGGCTAAATACCGGGCACCTGTCAGTCAGTTAAAAGTGACTAGCACAGCCGCCAGACTAAAGACATGGGTGTCAGGCTTTCTGGTAAAGGACTCTATAACAACCCCCAACTATTTGGAGTTGGGAGCGTTGGTGTGCCTGGAACAAGCTTCTGCTTTTCCTGTACTTCTGGGCTGAGCTGAGGGTCAACAGAGAGGAAAGCCATTCAGCTCCCAGGTCCTAACAAGTTGGTTGACCCTGCGGCCAAGAGCAGAACTCTCAAAGTCATGTCGCCCAAGTGAGACTCGACCATCTAACCTATCTATGCTGACCCTTGCCTCCTGGGTCCTAATGCCTCTCAGACAAACTTCCTCTCACCTCTCTTCTCCAAGGCTAGTCCTGCTTCTAAAAACCACTCCCTGTCTCTTGTGCTTTTCTAGTTTCTCCTGTAAGAATGATTTCCAGTATAAACCTCAGGACTCTGTTCCCTTCTTTAGGCACCCAGGCTCACCAATCAGAAAGGCATAATTTTTGCCCAAAGCCCCATTATAGGGGGGACTATCTGGAATTTTAGGATCCCTCCTCAGACTAGCAGGCCTAACAAAAGCTATTCTTGAAGCTAGGATGTGGGGAGCTTCAGAAATGGTATCTTTCCTATTCACATAAGTGAGAACAAAAGGTATCACTCTTTCAACCCTGGAGATCCCTTCCCTCCCTCTGGGTATGACCCTCCACTTCATTTTTTGGAAATAACATCTTTATAGGTCAGTGGTAAGGTCCCAATACTAACAGGAAAATGCTTAGGACTCTAACAGGTTTTTGAGAATGTGTCAGTAAGGGCCACTAAATCCAACCTTCCTTGGGCCTCCTTGGGGTCTAGGAGGAAAAACTAGTGTTTCTGCTGCTGTGTCGGTGAGTGCAACTATTCTGATCAGCAGGGTCCAGGGACCATTGCAGGTTCTTAGGCAAGAGGTGTTTCTGCTGCTGCATCGGTGAGCACAACTATTCCAATCAGCAGGGTCCAGGGGCTGCACCATTGTGGGTTATTGGGCAAGAGGTGTTTCTGCTGCTTCATTGGTGAGTGCAACTATTCTGATCAGCAGGGTCCAGGGACCATTGCGGGTTCTTAGGCAGGGGGAGAAACAAACAAACCAAAACCGTGGGCAGTTTTGTCTTTCAGATGGGAAACACTCAGGCATCAACAGCTCACCCTTGAAATGCATCCTAAGCCATTGGGACCAATTTGACCTGCAAATCCTGAAAAAGAGGCAGCTCATTTTTTTCTGCACTATGGCTTGGCCCCAGTATTCTCTCTGATGGGGAAAAATGGCCACCTGAGGGAAGTATAAATTACAACACTATCCTGCAGTCTGACGTTTTCTGTAAGAGGGAAGGCAAATGGAGTGAAATACCTTATGTCCAAGCTTTCTTTTCATTGAAGGAGAATCCACAACTATGCAAAGCTTGTAATTTACATCCACAGGAGGACCTCTCAGCTTACCCCCATATCCTAGCCTCCCTATAGCTCCCCTTCCTATTAATGATAAGCCTCCTCTAATCTCCCCTGCCCAGAAGGAAACAAGCAAAGAAATCTCCAAAGGACTAGAAAAACCCCTGGGCTATCAGTTATGTCCCCTTCAAGTTGTAGGAGGAGGGGAACTTGGCCCAACCCAGGTACATGTCCCCTTCTCCCGCTCTAATTTAAAGCAGGCAGACCTAGGGCAGTTTTCAGATGATCCTGATAGGTACAGAGATGTGCTACAGGGTCTAGGGCAAACCTTCAATCTCATTTGGAGAGATGTCATGCTATTGTTAGATCAAACCCTGGCCTTTAATGAAAAGAATGCGGCTTTAGCTGCAGCCCAAAAGTTTGGAGATACCTGGTATCTTAGTCAAGTAAATGACAAAATGACAGCCGAAAAAAGGGAAAATTCCCTACCGGTCAGCAAGCCATCTCCATACTGGGACCTCAACTCAGATCATGAGGACTGGAGTCGTAAACATCTGTTGACCTGTGTTCTAGAAGGACTAAGGAGAATTGGGGAAAACCCATGAAATACTCAATGATGACTACCATAACTCAGGGAAAGCAAGAAAATCCTTCTGCCTTCCTCGAGCTGCTACAGGAGGCCTTAAGAAAATATACTCCCCTGTCACCCGACTCACTCGAGGGTCAGTTGATTCTAAAAGATAAGTTTATTACCCAATCAGCCGCAGACATCAGGAGAAAGCTCCAAAAGTGAGCCCTGGGCCCTGAACAAAATCTGGAGGCATTATTAAACCTGGCAACCTTGGTGTTCTATAATAGGGACTAAGAGGAATGGCCCAAAAGGAAAAGCGAGATCAGAGAAAGGCCACGGCCTTAGTCATGGCCCTCAGACAAACAAACCTTGGTGGTTCAGAGAGGACAGAAAATGGAGCAGGCCAATCACCCGGTATGGCTTATCAGTGTGGGTTACAAGGACACTATAAAAAAGATTGTCCAATGAGAAACAAGCCACACCCTTGTCCATGTCCGCTATGCCAAGGCAATCACTGGAAGGTGCACTGCCCCAGAGTGCAATGATTCTCTGGGCCAGAAGCCCCCAACCAGATGATCCAACAACAGGACTGAGGGTGCCCAGGGCAAGCACCAGCTCATGTCATCACCCTCACTGAGCCCCAGGTATGTTTAACCATTGAGGGCCAGGAAATTGACTTCCTCCTGGACACTGGCACGGCCTTCTCAGTGTTAATCTCCTATCCTGGACAACTCTCCTCAAGGTCTGTTACCATCCGAGGAATCCTGGGACAGCCTGTAACCAGGTATTTCTCCCACCTTCTCAGTTGTAATTGGGAGACTTTGCTCTTTTCACATGCCTTTCTTGTTATGCCTGAAAGTCCCACACCCTTATTAGGGAGGAATATATTAGCCAAAGCTGGAGCTATTATTACATGAATATAGGGAACAAGTTACCCATTTGTTGTCCCCTACTTGAGGAGGGAATCAACCCTAAAGTCTGGGCATTGGAAGGACAATTTGGAAGGGAAAAAATGCCCGCCCAGTCCAAATCAGGCTAAAAGATCCCACCACTTTTCTTTATCAAAGGAAATATCCCTTAAGGCCTGAAGCTCATAAAGGATTACAGAATATTGTTAAACATTTAAAAGCTCAAGGCTTAGTAAGGAAATGCGGCAGTCCCTGCAACACCCCAATTCTAGGAGTACAAAAACCGAACAGTCAGTGGAGACTAGTGTAGGATCTTAGACTCATCAATGAGGCAGTAATTCCTCTATATCCAATTGTACCCAACCCCTATACCTTTCTCTCTCAAATACCAGAGGAAGCAGAATGGTTCACTGTTCTGAACCTCAAGGATGCCTTCTTCTGTATTCCCCTGCACTCTGACTCCCAGTTTCTCTTTGCCTTTGAGGATCCCACAGACCACATGTCCCAACTTATGTGGACGGCTTGCCCCAAGGGTTTAGGGATAGCCCTCATCTGTTTGGTCAGGCACTAGCCCAAGATCTAGGCCACTTCTCAAGTCCAGGCACTCTGGTCCTTCAGTATGTGGATGATTTACTTTTGGCTACCAGTTCGGAAGCCTCATGCCAGCAGGCTACTCTAGCTCTCTTGAACTTTCTAGCTAATCAAGGGTACAAGCGTCTAGATCGAAGGCCCAGCTTTGCCTACAGCAGGTCAAATATCTATGCCTAATCTTAGCCAGAGGGACCAGGGCCCTCATCAAGGAATGAATACAGCCTATACTGGCTTATCCTCACCTTAAGACATTTAAACAGCTGCAGAGGTTCCTTGGAATCACCAGCTTTTGCTGACTATGGATCCCTGGATACAGCGAGATAGCCAGGCCTCTCTATACTCTAATCAAGAAGACCCAGAGGGCAAATACTCATCTAGTGGAATGGGAACCAGAGGCAGAAACAGCCTTCAAAACTTTAAAGCAGGCCCTAGTACAAGCTCCAGCTTTAAGCCTTCCCACAGGACAAAACTTCTCTTTATATGTCACAGAGAGAGCAGGGATAGCTCTTGGAGTCCTTTCTCAGACTCGCGGGACAACTCCACAACCAGTGACATAACCTAAGTAAGGAAACTGATGTAGTAGCAAAAGGCTGGCCTCACTGTTTACAGGTAGTTGCAGCTGTGGCCGTCTTAGTGTCAGAGGCTATCAAAATAATACAAGGAAAGGATCTCACTGTCTGGACTACTCACGATGTAAATGGCATACTAGGTGCCAAAGGAAGTTTATGGCTATCAGACAACCACCTGCTTAGATATCAGGCGCTATTCCTTGAGGGACTGGTGCTTCACATACACATATGTGCAGCCCTCAACCCTGCCACTTTTCTCCCAGAGGATGGGGAACCAATTGAGCATAACTGCCAACAAATTATAGTCCAGACTTATGCCACCCGAGATGATCTCTTAGAAGTCCCCTTAGCTAATCCTGACCTTAACCTATATACTGACGAAAATTCATTTGTAGAGAATGGGATACAATGGGCAGTTTATGCCATAGTTAGTGATGTAACCATACTTGAAAGTAAGCCCCTTCCCCCAGGGACCAGTGCCCAGTTAGCAGAACTAGTGGAACTTACCTGAGCCTTAGAACTGGGAAAGGGAAGAAGAATAAACGTGTATAGAGATAGCAAGTATGCTTATCTAATCCTACATGCCCATGCTGCAATATGGAAAGAAAGGGAGTTCCTAACCTCTGGGGGAACCCCCATTAAATACCACAAGGAAATCATGGAGTTATTGCATGTGGTGCAAAAACCCAAGGAGGAGGTGGCAGTCTCACACTGCTGAAGCCATCAAAAAGGGGAAGGAGAGGAGAAAACAGCAGCATAAGTGGCTGGCAGAGGCTGGGAAAGACCAGCAGAAAGGAAAGACAGAAAGAGACAGAAAGAGAGAAAGAGGAAGAGACAGAGACAAAGGAGGAAAAAAGAGAGAGGAAGAGACAGACAGACAGAAAGTCAAAGACAGAAGGAGAGAGAGAGAGGAAGAGACAAAGAGGGAGTCAGAGAGAGAGAAAGAGAGAGACAGAAAGTCAAAGACAGAGGAAGAGACAGACAAAGGGGAGTCAGAGAGAGATAAAGAAGTCAAAGAGAAACAAAGATGGAAGTAGTAAAGAAAAAACAGTGTACCGTATTCCTTTGACAGCCAGGGTAAACTTAAAACCTGTAATTCATAATTGAAGGTCTTCTCTGTGACCCTATAACACTCCAATACCACCTTGTTGTCAGTGTAAACAAGGGCATAGCCCAAAAGCACTGAGGCCACTGACAACCTGTAGCCTTCCTATCAAAAATCCTTAACCTAGCAGGTTTCCTAACAGGGGATCTAAATCTTAATTAATTACCATACAAAGGTCCAACCAGACCTAGGAGGAACTGTCTTCAGGACAGGACTATAGATGCTTCCTCCCAGGCGATTAAGGGAAAAAGACACAATGGGTATTCAGTAAGTGATAAGGAAACTCTTGTAGAAGCAGAGTTAGGAAAATTGCCTAATAATTGGTCTGCTCAAATGTGCGAGCTGTTTGCACTCAGCCAAACCTTAAAAGTATTTACAGAATCAGGAAGAAGCCATCTATACCAATTCTAAGTTAATATGGACTGAACGAGAACTTATTAATAGCAAAGAATAATTGAAATCCCAAACTTACAAGGTTTTCAACAAAAGCACAGTTTGCTAAAAGTTAACTGTGTAACATGTATTATCCTACTACCACAAACTCTCAAATGATTTCTCAGACAGTTTGCAAGAAACAATGAAACCTATCCTTACTCTACAATCCCAAATAGACTCTTTGGCAGCAGTGACTCTCCAAAACCACCAAGGCCTAGACCTCCTCACTGCTGAGAAAGGAGGACTCTGCACCTTCTTAGGGGAAGATTGTTGTTTTTACACTAACCAGTCAGGGATAGTGTGAGATGCCACCCAGCGTTTACAGGAAAAGGCTTCTGAAATCAGACAATGCTTTTCAAACTCTTATAGCAACCTCTGGAGTTCGGCGACATGGCTTTTCCCCTTTCTAGGTCCTGTGACAGCCATCTTGCTATTACTCGCCTTCGGGCCCTGTATTTTTAACCTCCTCGTCAAATTTGTTTCCTCTAGGATCGAGGCCATCAAGCTACAGATGGTCTTACAAATGGAACCCCAAATGAGCTCGACTAACAACTTCTACTGAGGACCCCTGGACCGACCCACTGGCCCTTTAACTGGCTTAAAGAGTTTCCCTCTGGAGGACACTACAACTGCAGGGCCCCTTCTTTGCCCCATCCACTAGGAAGTAGCTAGAGCAGTCATCACCCAATTCCCAACAGCAGTTGGGGTGTCCTGTTTAGAAGGGGGATTAAGAGGTGAAGCCAGCTGGACTTCCTGGGTTGAGTGGGGACTTGGAGAACTTTTCTGTCTAGCTAAAGGTTTGTAAACACACCAACCAGCACTCTGTAAAAATGCACCAAGCAGCACTCTGTGTCTAGCTAAAGGTTTGTAAATGCACCAATCAGCACTCTGTAAAAACAGACCAATCAGCACTCTGTAAAATGAACCGATCAGTGCTCTGTAAAATGGACCAATCAGCAGGATGTGGGCAGGGCCAAATAAGGGAATAAAAGCTGGCCACCGGAGCCAGCAGCAGCAACTCACTCGGGTCCCCTTCCACACTGTGGAAGCTTTGCTCTTTCGCTCTTCATAATAAATCTTGCTGCTGCCCACTCTTTGGGTCTGCACTACCTTTAAGAGCTGTAACACTCACTGCGAAGGTCTGTGGCTTCACTCCTGAAGTCAAGCAAGACCACGAACCCACCGGAAGGAAGACACTCCAGACACATCTGAACATCTGAAGGAACTCCAGACACACCATCTTTAAGAACTGTAACACTCACCACGAGGGTCTGCAGCTTCATTCTTGAAGTCAGCAAGAGCAAGAACCCACCGGAAGGAACCAATTCCGGACACACTACAGCTCAAGGTCATCACCAAGATCTGGTTTTTCACAAAAAACATTTGCAACTTCTGGCACAAATGGGTTAGCTACATCAGAGATACTTAAGGTACTTGTTATACATATAGATTCCCAAGTCCTATCTCTGATGTACTGAGGCAGAATCTCTAGGTAGAGACAATAGGGAGCTGCATTTTTAATAAGATAGTCAGGTGACTCTTACATAGATTTAGGCTTGAAAATCACAAACCAGAAGATTCCATGTGAGTCACACACAGTGGGATTAATGGAAAATAAGGAAACAACATAGATGCCTGATAATCAGGAGTCACTCAAATATTTATTGAAATAACACATACATATGACTTTTCCTTACATAACAGCTTTTCACAATCTAAGTCACTTACCATAAAATTTGCCCTTTTAAAAAAATAAATAGTTCAGTGACTTTTAGTCTATTCAGAGTTGTGAAATGATCACCACTATATAACTAGAGAACATTCCTATCTCACACACACACACAAAAAGATCCTATGCCCATTAGCAGTCATTCCCTCTATTCTCTCCCATCCCCAATCACCAAGCTACTTTCTGTCTGTACAGATTTTTCTTCTGTGTGCCTTGGCCATCATTTCCCAGAAAACTTTTGTCTAGCCCAAGGTCACAAAGATTTATGACTCTATATATTCTTCTAAAAGTTTCATAGTATTAGCTTTACATTTATGTTTACTAATCATTTTGAATTAATTTTTGCCTATAGTGTGAGATGGGATTTCAACTTCATTCTTTTACATGTTGATATGCAGTTGTCCCAACACTATTTGTTGAAAAGACTTTTTTCCTTATTGAATTGTACTGGTACCTTTGTCAAAAATCAACTAACCAGATATATAAGAGTTTATTTACATATATGTAAATAGAAACAGAAACTCTCAATCCTATTCCATGGATCTATATGTCTATCCTTATACCAGTACCACACTGTCTCAATTATCTTTGCTTTGCAGTAAGTTTTGAAATTAGAAGTGTTATTCCTCCTACTTAGTTATCCTTTTTCAATATCATTCTGTCTATCCTAGGTCCACTTGTAACCAACTCAAGTCTGGCTGCTCACTGCTCAGAAGTCAAAGCAGGAGAAGCAAGCTGTGGTAAAAGGAAAGTAGCTTTTCTTGATCATGCTAGCAGATGGGAGAATGGCCAAGCTCAAGCCTCAGAGGAACCATATCAGCCTTTTGGGATAAGTAGGGGGGTTTCAGAAGGAAAACTTGGTGTGGAAAATATGCAGGAGTGGTGCAGGAGGGTACAGGTTTGCATATCTTGGCTATTTTAAGTAATTGCTTGTCTGAAGGTCCAGACTGCATCATCTTGACTTCGCCCAGTGGTGGTGGACTAATCGTTCATAACTCCCCCTAAGTGGGAGGATTCCACAGCTGTGTCTCTATGCCTGCTTTGTTTCAAAATTAGCCTCTGAAATTTCTAAGTGAGCACATAATTAGATAAGTGAGCACTGTGCACAGAGTGCCTGGTGGAAAAGGGAGAGAAATTAAGAGTTTTAAAGTACAAGGCTACATTTAAAGTACAGGGTTATATTCTGAGATTAGAAAAGAAGGGGAAAAAAGTTTCAAAATGCATTTTCAATCTAAGCTACTCAGTTACACATTCAATTTCCACATGAATTTTAGGATACGCTTGCCAATTTCTGTAAAAACAGAAGCAGAGATTTTTACAGAGACTGCACTGGATCTCTAGATAATTGAAGAGTATTGCCATCTAGTATCTTCCAATCCACTAACATTTCTTTCAGTTTATTTAGGTCTTCTTTACTTTATTTCAACATGTTTTGCAGTTTTAATGTGCAAGTCTTATACTTCTTTTGCCAAATTTATACGTACACTTTTTCCTTTTTGATGCTATTATAAGTCAAATTTTTAAATGTCATTTTCATATTGTTCTAGTTCACTTTCATATTGTTGCATTTCTATAGAAATGAATTTTTGTATACTGATTTTATAAACTACAAGCATGCTGAACGTATGAGTTCCAAAGTTTTTTGTGTATTCCTTAAGATTTTCTATATACAAGATCATGTCACCTGCAAATAGCAACAGTTTTACTTCTTCCTTTCCAATCTGGATGCCATTTATTCCTTTTTCTTGTCTAATTGCCCTGGATAGAAACAACACTACAATGTTGAATAGAAATGGCAGGAGTGGACATTCTTTTCTTGTTCTTTATCTTATGGGCAAGCATCCAGTTTTTTACCATGAAGTATAATGTTAGCTATGAATTCTTCGGCTATTTTTAGTTTGTTTAGTGCTAGCTGTGGGTTCCTTGCTATTTTTCATTTGTTGAGTGTTTCCATCATAACAGGGTGATGGATTTTAAGTGCATTTTCTGCATTTATTGAGATGATCATAGGTTTTTGTCTTTATTCCATTAATATAGTGTAAATACAGTGATTGGTTTTCAAATACTAAACC
The DNA here is from genome assembly GCF_000001405.40 of Homo sapiens. Classification (NCBI taxonomy): domain Eukaryota; kingdom Metazoa; phylum Chordata; class Mammalia; order Primates; family Hominidae; genus Homo; species Homo sapiens. Next base: position 23,852,115 of record NC_000007.14, on the reverse strand, counting down.
AGCCTTGCATTCCTGAGACAAATGCTACATGTTCATGGTGTATATTCCTTTTTAAATGTTGCTAGATTCAGTTTGCTAGTATTCTGTTAAGGATTTCTGCACCTGTATTCATAAGACATTTTTGTAGTTTCCTCTTCTCGCGATTTGTCTACCATTGGTATCAGGGTAATATTGGCCTTATAGGATGAGCTGGAAAGTGTTCCTCCTCTTCTGTTTTTCAGAAGAGCTTGTGAAGGAATAGTAGTAGCTCTTCTTTACATGTTTGGTAGAATTCACCATGTAGTCATCTTGGCCTGTGTTTTTCTTTGTAAGAATTTTCTAATTACTTATTCCCTCTCTTTCCATGTTACAGGTCTCTTTATATTTCCTACTTCTTGTATCAGTTTTATAGGAATATAACCTTTCTAGGAATTTGTCCATTTCATCGAGGTTCTCTACTTTGTTGGCATGCCATTGTTCATAATATTCCCACATTATCCTTCTTATCCCAATAAGTGTGTTAGGCTGTACTTGCATTGCTATAAAGAAATACTTGAGACTAGGTAATTTATAAAGAAAAGAGATTTAATTGGCTTGAAGTTCTGGAGGCTGCACAGGAAGCATGGTGCTCGCATCTGCTTGGCTTCTTGGGGAGCCTCAGGGAGCTTTCAATCATGGCAGAAGGCAGAGAGTAGAGCCAGCATCTTACATAGTGGGAGCAGGAGCAATGAGCAGGACAACACCCAGAGGATGGTGCTATATCATGCAGAAGAAATCTGCCCCCATGATCCAATCACCTCCCACTAGACCACACCAATATTGGGGACTACAATTCAACATGAGATTTGGCAGAGACTATATACTCAGAGTCACAATACCCCCTATTTGGAAGATCAATATTCCTTATATATCACTTAGGTTTATAGATAAGCCCTTTCTTTCATTCTTCATTTTAATAATTGGAGGGTCTTGTCTTTTTTTTCTTAGTCTAGCTAAACTTTTCCCAATTTTGCTGATGTCTTCAAACAACCAACTTTTGGTTTTACAGATTCATCTCTATTTTTTTATTCTTTATTTCATGTGTTTCCTCTCTCATCCTTATTATTTTCTTCTTTCTGCTCACTTTGAGTTTAGTTTGCTCTTATTTTTCTAGTTTCTTTTTTTATTATTATACTTTAAGTTCTAGGGTACATGTGTACAACGTGCAGGTTTGATACATAGGTATACATGTGCCATTGTGGTTTGCTGCACCCATCAAACCGTCATTTACATTAGGTATTTCTCCTAATGCTGTCTATCCCTCTCACAGCCCCCTACCCCCCGACAGGCCATGGTGTGTGATGTTCCCCACCCTGTGTCCAAGTGATCTCATTGTTCAATTCCCACCTATGAGTGAGAACATGCAGTGTTTGGTTTTCTATGCTTGTGAGAGTTTGCTCAGAATGATGGCTTCCAGCTTCATCTATGTCCCTGCAAAGGACATGAACTCATCCTTTTCTATGGCTGCATAGTATTCCATGGTGTATATGTGCCACATTTTCTTAATCCAGTCTGTCATTGGTGGACATGTGGGTTGGTTCCAAGTCTTTGCTATTGTTAATAGTGCCACAATAAACATATGTGTGCATGTGTCTTTATAGAAGCATAATTTATAATCCTTTGGGTATATACCCAGTAATGGGATTGCTGGGTCAAATGGTAATTCTAGTTCTAGATCCTTCAGAAATAGCCACACTGTCTTCCACAATTGTTGAATTAATTTACAATCCCACCAACAGTGTAAAAGCATTCCTACTTCTCCACATCCTCGCCAGCATCTGTTGTTTCCTGACTTTTCAATGATTGCCATTCTAAATGGCATGAGATGGTATCACATTGTGGTTTTGATCTGCATTTCTCTGATGACCAGTGATGATGAGTTTTCATATGTTTGTTGGCTGCATAGATGTCTTCTTTTGAGAATTGTCTGTTCATATCCTTTGCCCACTTTTTGATGGGTTTTTTTTTCTTCTAAATTTGTTTGAGTTCTTGGTAGATTCTGGGTATTAGCCCTAGTCAGATGGGTAAATTGCAAAAATTTTCTCCCTATCTGTAGGTTGCCTGTTCACTCTGACGGTAGTTTCTTTTGCTGTGCAGAGGCTCTTTAGTTTAATTAGATCCCATTTGTCTATTTTGGCTCTTGTTCCCATTGCTTTTGGTGTTTTAGTTATGAAGTCCTTGCCCATGCCTATGTCCTGAATGGTATTGCCTAGGTTTTCTTCTAGGGTTTTTATGGTTTTAGGTCTAACATTTAACATCTTGAATTAATTTTTGTATAAGGTGTAAAGAAGGGATCCAGCTTCAGCTTTCTACATATGGCTAGCCAGTTTTCCCAGCACCATTTATTAAATAGGGAATCCTTTCCCAATTGCTTGTTTTTGTCAGTTCTGTCAAATATCAGATGGTTGTAGATGTGTGGTGTTATTTCTGAGGCCTCTGTTCTGTTCCATTGATCTATATATCTGTTTTGGTACCAGTACCATGCTGTTTTGGTTACTGTAGCCTTGTAGTATAGTTTGAAGCCAGGTAACATGATGCCTCCAGCTTTGTTCTTCTTGCTTAGGACCGTCTTGGCAATGCAGGCGTTTTTGGTTCCATGTGAACTTTAAAGTAGTTTTTTCCAATTCTGTGAAGAGTCATGGGTAGCTTGATGGGGATGGCATTGAATCTGTAGATTACTTTGGGCAGTATGGCCATTTTCATGATATTGTTTCTTCCTATCCATGAGCATGGAATATTCTTCCATTTGTTTGTGTTCTCTTTTATTTTGTTAAGCAGTGGTTTGTAGTTCTCCTTGAAGAGGTCCTTTACATCCCTTGTAAGTTGGATTCCTAGGTATTTTATTCTCTTTGTAGCAATTGTGCATGGGAGTTCACTCATGATTTGGCTCTCTGTTTGTCTGTTAATGATGTATAGGAAAGCTTATGATTTTTGAACATTGATTTTGTATCCTGAGACTTTGCTGAAGTTGCTTATCAGCTTAAGGAGATTTGGGGTTCAGACGATGGGGTTTTCTAAATATGCAATCATGTCCTCTGCAAACAGGGACAATTTGACTTCCTCATTTCCTAATTGAATACCATTTATTTCTTTCTTTTGCCTGACTGCCCTGGGCAGAACCCCCAACACTATTTTGAATAGGAGTGGTGAGAGAAGGCATCCTTGGCTTGTGCTGGTTTTCAAAGAGAATGCTTCCAGTTTTTGTCCATTCCGTATGATATTGGCTGTGGGTTTGTCATAAATAGCTCTTATTATTTTGAGATTCCTTCCATCAATACTTAGTTTACTGAGTGTTTTTAGCATGAAGGGCTGCTGAATTTTGTCAAAGGCCTTTTCTGCATCTATTGAGATAATCATGTGGTTTTTGTCATTGTTTCTGTTTATGTGATGGATTATGTTTATTGATATGGGTATGTTGAACCAGCCTTGCATACCAGGGATGAAGCCAACTTAATCATGGTGGATAAGCCGTTTGATGTGCTGCTGGATTTGGTTTGCCAGTATTTTATTGAGGATTTTTTCATCGATGTTCATCAGGGATATTGTTCTAAAATTCTCTTTTTTTGTTGTGTCTCTTCCAGGCTTTGGTATCAGGATGATGTTGGTTTCATAAAATGAGTTAGGGATGACTCCCTCTTTTTCTATTGATTGAAATAGTTTCAGAAGGAATGGTACTAGCTCCTCTTTGTACCTCTGGTAGAATTTGGCTATGAATCCGTCTGGTCACGGACTTTTTTTGGTTGGTAGGCTATTAATTATTGCCTCCATTTCAGAGTCTGTTATTGATCTCTTCAGAGATTCGACTTATTCCTGGTTTAGTCTTGGGAGGATATATGTGTCCAGAAATTTATCCATTTCTTCTAGATTTTCTAGTTTATTTGCGTAGAGGTGTTTATAGTATTCTCTGATGGTAGTGTGTATTTCTGTGGGATTGGTGATGATATCCCTTTATCATTTTTTATTGAATTTATTTGATTCTTCTCTCTTTTCATTAGTCTTGCTAGTGGTCTATCAATTTTGTTGATCTTTTCAAAAAACCAGCTCCTGGATTCATTGATTTTTTTGAGGAGTTTTTTGTATCTCTATCTCTTTCAGTTCTGCCCTGATCTTAGTTATTTCTTGCCTTCTGCTAGCTTTTGAATTTGTTTACTCTTGCTTCTCTAGTTCTTTTCATTGTGATGTTAGGGTGTCAATTTTAGATCTTGCCTGCTTTCTCTTGTGGGCATTCAGTGCTACAAATTTCCTTCTACACACTGCTTTAAATGTGTCCCAGAGATTCTGGCACATTGTGTCTTTGTTCTCATTGGTTTCAAAGAACATCTTTATTTCTGCCTTCATTTCATTATTTACCCAGTAGTCATTCAGGAGCACATTGTTTAATTTCCATGCAGTTGTGCGGTTTTGAGTGTGTTTTTTTTTTTTTTCAAAGGAGACTCACTCTGTTGCCCAGGCTGGAGTGCAGTGGCATGATCTTGGCTCACTGCAAGCTCCAGCTCCCAGGTTCACACCATTCTCCTGCCTCAGCCTCCCAGGTGGCTGGGACTACAGGCACCCACCATCACACCTGGCTGATTTTTTGTATTTTTAGTAGAGACAGGTTTTCACTGTGTTAGCCAGGATGGTCTCGATCTCCTGACCTTGTGATCTGCCTGCCTCAGCCCCCCAAAGTTCTGGGATTACAGGCGTGAGCCACCATACCCAGCCTTGAGTGAGTTTCTTAATCCTGAGTTCTAATTTGATTGCACTGTGGTCTGACAGTTTGTTGTGGTTTCTGTTCTTTTACATTTGCTGAGGAGTGCTTTACTTCCAATTATTTGGTCAATTCTACAGTAAGTGAGATGTGGTGCTGAGAAGAATGTATATTCTGTTGATTTGGGGTGGAGGATTCTGTAGGTGTCTATTAGGTCTGCTTAGTGCAGAGCTGAGTTCAGGTCCTGGATATCCTTGTTAACCTTCTGTCTCGTTGATCTAATATTGACAGTGGGGCGTTAAAGTCTCCCACTATGGTGTGGGAGTCTAAGTCTCTTTGTAGGTCTCTAAGGACTTGCTTTATGAATCTGGGTTCTCCTGTATTGGGTGCATATATATTTAGCATAGTTAGCTCTTCTTGTTGAATTGATGCCTTTACCATTATGTAATGGCTTTGTCTCTTAAGGTCTTTGCTGGTTTAAAGTCTGTTTTATCAGACTAGGATTGCAACCCTTGCTTTTTTTTGTTTGTCTGTTTTCCATTTGCTTGGTAGATCTTCCTCCATCCCTTTATTTTGAGCCTATGTGCGTTTCTGCACGTGAGATGGGTCTCCTGAGTACAGCACACTGATGGGTCTTGACTCTTTATCCAATTTTCCAGTCTGTGTCTTTTAATTGGGGCATTTAGTCCATTTACATTTAAGGTTAATAGTGTTATGTGTGAATTTGATCCTGTCATTATGATGTTTGCTGGTTATTTTGCCCATTAATTGATGCAGTTTCTTCATAGCATCGATGGTCTTTACAATTTGGCATGTTTTTGCAGTGGCTGGTACCAGTTGTTTCTTTCCATGTTTAGTGCTTCCTTCAGGAGCTCTTGTAAGGCAGGCCTGGTGGTGACAAAATCTCTCGGCATTTGCTTGTCTGTAAAGGATTTTATTTCTCCTTCACTTATGAAGGTTAGTTTGGCTGGATATGAAATTCTGGGTTAAAAATTCTTTTCTTTAAGAATGTTGAGTATTGGCCCCCTCTCTTTTCTGGCTTGTAGGTCTAGGGTTTCTGACGAGAGATCTGCTGTTAGTCTGATGGGCTTCCCTTTGTGGGCAACTCGACCTTTCTCTCTGGCTGCCCTTAACACTTGTTCTTTCATTTCAACCTTGGTGAATCTGACAATTATGTGTCTTGGAGTTGCTCTTCTCAAGGAGTATGTTTGTGGCATTCTCTGTATTTCCTGAATTTGAATGTTGGCCTGCTTTGCTAGGTTGGGGAATTTCTCCTGGATAATATGCTGAAGAGTGTTTGCCAACTTGGTTCCATTCTCCCCATCACTTTCAGGTATACCAATCAAATGTAGATTTGGTCTTTTCACATAGTCCCATATTTCTTGGAGGCTTTGTTCATTTCTTTTTACTCTTTTTTCTCTAACCTTGTTTTCTTGCTTCATTTCATTAATTTGATCTTCAATCACTGATACCCTTTCTTCCACTTGATCGAATCAGCTATTGAAGCTTGTGCATGTGTCATGAAGTTTTCGTGCCATGGTTTTCAGCTCCATCAGGTCATTTAATGTCTTCTCTACACTGTTTATTCTAGTTAGCCATTTGTATAATCTTTTTTCAAGGTTTTTAGCTTCCTTGCGATGGGTTTGAACATCCTTCTTTAGCTTGAAGAAACTTGTTATTACCGATCTTCTGAAGCCTACATCTGTCAACTCGTCAAAGTCATTCTCCATCCAGCTTTGTTCCATTGCTGGTGAGGAGCTGCAATCCTTTGCAGGAGAAGAGGCACTCTGGTTTTTAGAATTTTCAGCTTTTCTGCTCTGGTTTCTCCCCATCTTTGCGGTTTCATCTACCTTTGGTCTTTGATGTTGGTGGCCCACAGATGGGGTTTTGGTGTAGATGACCTTTTTGTTGATGTTGATGCTATTCTTGCTTGTTAGTTTTCCTTCTCACAGTCAGGATCCTCAGCTGTAGGTCTGTTGGAGTTTGCTGGAGGTCCACTCCAGACTGTTTGCCTGAATATCACCAGAAGAGGCTGCAGAACAGCAAATATTGCAGAACAGCAAATACTGCTGCCTGATCCTTCCTCTGGAAGCTTCGTCCCAGAGGAGCAGCTGCCCATATGAGGTGTCTGTCGGCCCCTACTGGGAGGTGTCTCCCAGTTAGGCTACAGGGGGTCAGGGACCCACTTGAGGAGGCAGTCTGTCCGTTCTCAGAGCTCAAATGCCATGCTGGGAGAACCACTGCTCTCTTCAGAGCTGTCAGACAGGAACGTTTAAGTCTGCAGAAGTTGTCTGTTGCCTTTTGTTCAGCTATCCCCTGCCCACTGAGGTGGAGTCTAGAGGCAGCAGGACTTGTTGAGCTGGGGTTGGCTCCGCCCAGTTCGAGCTTCCCAGCCACTCTGTTTACCTACTCAAGCCTCGGCAATAGCAGAGGCCCTTCCCCCAGCCAGGCTGCTGCCTCGCAGATCCATCTCTAGACTGCTGCACTAGCAGTGAGCAAGGCTCCATGGGCGTGGGACCTGCCGAGCCAGGCATGGGAGAGAATCACCTTGTCTGCTGGTTTCTAAGACTTTGGGAAAAGTGCAATATTTAGGCAGGAGTGACCCATTTTTCCAGGTAGTCTGTCACGGTTTCCCTTGGCTAGGAAAGGGAAATCCCCCAACCCCTTGCGCTTCCCAGATGAGGCAACATCTCGCCATGCTTCAACTTGCCCTTGTGGGCTGCACCCACTGTCCAACTGGTCCCAGTGAGATGAACCAGGTACCTCAGTTGGAAATGCAGAAATCACCTGTCTTCCACGTCGATCACGCTGGGAGCTGCAGACTGGAGCTGTTCCTATTCGGCCATCTTTTCATATTTTTCTAGTCTCTTGAGGTGAAAGGTTAGGTACTGATTGAGATCTTACTTTTTAACATAGGCTTTCTCTGTATGCACTGCTGTGGCTGCATAAGTTTTGATATGTTTTTGTTTTCATTCATCACAAACTATTTTATAATTTGCCTTATTTCTATCTATGACTTTTGATTATTTAGGAGTATGTAGTTTAATTTTCATATGAAAACTGTAAATTTTCTAAATTTCCTTACTGATTTCTAATTGCATCCCAAAGTGGCTAAAGGATATGCTTTTTATGATTTAAATCCTTTTAAATTTATTAAGGCTTTCTTTAGTCCAAGATAGTGGATAGGAGGCAGGACTAGCATGCCTCTCCCATTTGGACAGACAGAATAGTGCGTGAAGATTCAGATTGTGAACTTTTGTTCCTAGAACCAATGCAGGAATGTATCAGGAAAACTGAAAGAATTCACAGATCCTTTTAAAGAAGTGGCACACCACTGCAAACTCCATGAAATATGTGAAAAACTGAGTTCCCAACGTGTGAGAGAGGGAGAACTGGCTGGGCATGGTGGCTCACACCTGTAATCCCAGCACTTTGGGAAGCTGAGGCAAGATCACCTGAGGTCAGGAGTTCAAGACCAGCCTGGCCAACATGGTGAAACCCCATCTCTACTAAAAATATAAAAATTAGCTGGTCGCGGTGGCAGACGCTGTAATCCTAGCTACTTGGGAGGTTGAAATAGGAGAATCGCTTGAACCCAGGAGGCAGAGGTTGCAGTGAGCCAAGATCACGCCACTGCACTCCAGCAGCCTGGGCGACAGCACTCCAGCCTGTGTGACAGAGTGAGATTCTGTCTAAAAAGAAAAAAAAGAGAGAGAGAGAGAGAGAGAACCTACCTCTGAACATACATCCCCACTGGGGAATCTGAAAATCCAGATCACAGGAGAATGGTTTAACCTTACCTAGAGCTGGAATGGATTTAGGGAGTGGCACAAAAATAAAAATAGAAGCAGCAGCAGGAAGAGCCTTGTGGGCACTCCCAGTCTTCAGCTCGAGAACAAGGAAGCCATGCCTGACTATACCTCACAGGGACCTGTAGGGAAGGCAGGCAGCAGAATTAGGGAGAGGTCGCAGGGTGAAAGAAACTCCCAACTGAATTTTGTAATAATTTTGAGTGGGCACAAACCCCTTGAATGGAATCCGGGAGGGAAGGGAAACTGCAGCAAATGTGAACGTGAGTGTGGGGTGCCCAGCATTACCAGTAGACGGGGAGCGGCAGGGCTCAAAAACCATGCTTGCTTTCCCAGCAGGGAAGATTATGACCTGGGGCAGGTCTGAATTCTGTGCACAGGCTGCCTGGATCTAACTTGGGGCTGTTAGCAGGGCACTGCAGGAGTGAGACTGGCCTTGCCAACTGCATGGGAGTTGGGTGAGGCCTTTCACTACCAGCTAATCCCCACTCCCCTGGTGAGTTCTTCTGCACAGCAGAGGCAGCCATACTCCCTTCTGGAACATAACCCCACTGATCTGAGAACCACCTTCCCATCCCCTACAGGGCTGTGACAAGCCCCACCCAAGGAGAGTCTGAGCTCAGACCCACTTAACCATGCCCCAACCTGATGGTATTTCTCTACCCAGTCTGGTGGGCACAAAACACATAAACTCTTGGGAGCGTCATGGCCTCACCCATCACCTGAGAAACCAGAATACTTCCCCTGGCCAATGTAGGGCAAGCTCAAATCCCAATACTACTACTGCAGCTGGTGCTCTCTTGCAAGTGCTACCTCCCGGCTGGAGGCCAACTAATTCAGGCCATTATAGCAACTCTTGGCAGAATAACACTGCTCCCAGGAAGAAGAAAACAACAGCTAACATCACTGCCTGCAACAGCCTGGCTAGCCAGATGTCCTGAGTCTGTCCACATGGCAACTCCACAGCTAACACAGCCAACATTTGAGAAAGCCAGCAAACTAAGCCTATCTACAACCAAGGAATCTCACAGCCTACATCACTACGCTGCCACCTCCATCAGAGCAGGTGCTGGTATCCACAGCTGGGAGACCTGAAGACTAGCCACATCTTTGGACTCTTTGCAGACATTCCCTAGCACTAGTCCAGAGCCTGATAGCCCCACTGGATGGCTAGACCTAGAAGAGTAATAACGATCACTGCAGTCCAGCTCTCAGGAAACCCCATTCCTAGGAGAAGGAGGAGAGCACCCTATCAAAGAATCACCCCATAAGACAAAAGAATCTGAAAAGCAGGCCTTGAGTTCCAGATCTTTCTGCTGGTGAGAAGTTTCTCACAGCAGAGTCACAAGTACAGTGCTGGGTGCAGAAGGGAAAGTCTGCACCTCTACCTCAATAGGCAGGCAGCCTCTGTGACCAGGAAGGGCCTTAAAGAAGGGGTTCTTGTTCTCCCCTGGCACTCTACTACAGACGTAGCTTGGACTTCCCCACGGGAATGCAGCATCAAGGCACCTATAGACAGCCTTTGTGGAACAATCCAGGGTAAGCTCAGCCCCAAAAGAAGAGCACCCCCTAGATTCAACCCTACACGAGAGACAGAGACACAACTCCTCCCTACTTGGAACATCAACATTCCTATACATAAAAAGAGGTGCCTGTCTCATCTGAATAGCCGAAACACTAGGACAGAAGTGAGGCTGTGAGGGGAATAACTTTCCTGCTGGCCTGGCAGGGGAGCTCAGGTAGCTCCCACTCTTCATCCTGATAAAACCTCAGCACATCTAACTGAGAGCTTCCCCAGCTACCCTCATCAAGGCTGGGACCTCAGCCCACTGTTAGATATTACATCTATCTACCTGCCTTAGCTACAACCAGTGCTTACCCAGGGATACCTCCCCTATTGGCCTGAAGCCAGAATCAGCTCAGCAAATTAAAAACTGAGAAAAAATTAAATAAATAAATAAAACATACACCATGAGAGAACAATATAAGCTCCAAGAGATCCCTGTCATTCCAACTCCATAGGAGACAGTGAACCTGCCCACACACCAAGAACATAACTACTACAACCAGCATCAGGGAAAGCCAGCACACAAAGACTCTCCATAACTAGAGAACTCATACAGTGTCTTCACCCCTACAAGCACCAAGAATCAAATTAGGCTAAAACAAACATTAAAGTCCAATCCTTAAGGGAAAATATGAAATTCTTAAACACACACACACACACACACACACACACACAGTTCCATCAAAAATTTCAAGAACAATCTGAAGAAACAGGCTACCCAAAAGAAAAGGATCCAGAAAAGTAATTCTGGTAATATGACAAAACAGGGTTCTATAACACCCCCAGAAGATCATATTAGCTCTCCAGCAATGGATCCAAACTAAGAAGAAATCTCTGAATTGCCAGAAAAAAAAAATTCAGAAGGTTGATTATTAAGCTACTGAAGGAGGTACCAGAGAAAGGTGAAAACCAACCTAAAGAAATTAAGAAACAATACCAGATATGGATGAAAAAAATTCCAGACAAGTAGATTATCATAAAGAAAAAACAATCACAACTTCCAGAAATAAAAGACATACTTGGGAAAATCCAAAATACAGTGGAAAGTTTCAAAAATAGACTAGAACAAGTACAAGAAAGAACTTCAGAGCTCAAAAACAAGGCTTTCAAATTAACCCAATCAGACAAAGACCAAGAAAAAAGGATTAAAAAATGAACAAAGTCTCCAAGAAATATGGGATTATGATAAACGGCCAAACCTAAGACTACTCAGTGTTCCTGAAGAAGAGAAATCTAAAAGTTCGAAAAATTTATTTAAGGGAATAACTGAGGGAAACTTCCCTGGCCTCGCTAAAGACCTAAACATCCAAATACAAGAAACTCAAAGAATTCCTGGGAAATTCATCACGAAAAGATCACCAAGACGTGTAGTCATCAGGTTATCCAAAGTCAAGATGAAGGAAAGAATCTTAAGCTGTGAGACAAAGCATCAGGTAACATACAAAGGAAAACCTATCGGATTAACAGCAGATCTCTCAGCAGAAACCTTACAAGCCAGAGGGACTGGGGTCCTATCTTTAGCCTCCTTTATCAGAGTAACTCTCAGTCAAGAATTTTGTATCCAGCAAAACTAAGCTTCATAAATGGAGAGATAAAGTCTTTTTCAGACAAACAAATGCTGAGAGAATTTGCCACTACCAAATCAGCACTACAAGAAATGCTAAAAAGAATTCTAAATCTTGAAACAAAACCTCAAAATACTCCAAAATAGAATATACAATTATGCCAACAACTAAGACATGGTAAAGCTTATCATTTGCTGAGATAAAAGAGAGATGCTAACAAGAAATGTAATAAATGTTGGCATTAAATACACACTAAAATGACTTGGCACTGATAGGAATTGGACCAGAGGAGGATTCCCATAAGTTTGAGGGAAAGTTTATACTTCTTTAAAACTGCAAAAGGACAGTTTAATTAGAAGAATAATGAGCCTACAAAATTGAGTCCATTCTATTGGGACAATAAAACTGGAGGAAAAATCTTTCCCACATGTAAATGGGAACTTGTGGTTTTAAGAAACCACATCAGGTCCTCAAGTTTACTTTCATTACTAATTTTTTTTTTTTACTGGATGAATTTTTTTTTTTCTTGCCAACTTTCATTTTAGATTCAGGAATACATGTGCATGTTTGTTACGTGGGAAAATTGCATGTCATGGGGGTTTAGTGTACAGATTATTTCATCACCTGGGTAAGGAGCATAGTACCTGATGAGTAGTTTTTCAATATTCACCCTCCACCCACTCTCCACCTTCAACTAGGCCCCAGTGTCTTCTGTTCCCTACTTATATACTCAATATTAACTCCCACTTATAAGTGAGAACATGAAGTTTTTGGGTTTCTGTTCCTGTGTCACTTTGCTTAGGATAATGGCCTCCAGCTCCATCCATGTTGCTGTAAAGTACATTATTTCATTCTTTTTATGGCTGTTTAGTATTATACGCTGTATATGCACCACATTTTCTTTATCCAGTCCACCACTGATGGGCATCTAGGTTGAGTCCATGTCTTAGCTATTGTGAATCTTAATATTCATAATACTTGTGCAAATACCTCATCCTTCTCTTCCTTTCTTTTGGTGACATAGGTTATTGCTCTTATTATAGCTTATTACATGCTGCATCACTCAAATACTGCCTACAGGGCAGTGAACATCACTGTCTGCCTTTGCATTGGCTTTATGCTTATGTTCCATGATGATAAACATGCATGTGCCCTTATGGTAGAGCAACTTAATTTGGGCATATACCCAGTAATGGGATTGCTGGGTCAAATGGTAGTTCTAAATTATTTGAGAAATCTCCAAACTGCTTTCTAGAGTGGCTGAACTAATTTACATTCCTACCAGCAGTGTATAATAAGCATTCCATTTTCTCTGCAGTCTTGCCAGCATCTGGAAGTTTGTGTTGCTTTTTTTTTTTTTTTTCTGACTTTTTGGTAATATCTATTGTGACTGGTGTGAGATGGTATCTCATTGTGGTTTTGATTTGCATTTCTCTAATGATTAGTGATGCTGAACATTTTTTAATATGCTTGTTGAACATGTGTTATGTTTTCTTCTGAGAAGTGTCTGTTCATGTCCTTTCCCCATTTTTTAATGGGGTTGTTTTCTGCTTGTTAATTTAACTTCCTTACAAATTCTGGATATTAGAATTTTGTCAGATGCATAGTTTGCAAATATTTTCTCCCATTCTGTAGGCTGTTTATTCTGTTTTCTTTTGTTGTGCAGAAGCTCATTAATTAGGTAACATTTTTCAATTTTTGGCTTTGTTGAAATTGCTTTGGGAGTATTATACGAAGACGTATAATATCTTTGCCAGGGGCTACATCCAGAATAGTATTTCCTTAGTTTTCTTCTAGGGTTTTTATAGTTGTAAATTTTACAGTTAAGTCTTTAATTCCTAAAGTTGATTTTTTAACATGGTAAAAGAAAGGGCTCCAGTTTTAATCTTCTGCATATGGCTAGCCAGTTATCCCAGCACCACTTATTGAATAGGAAGTCCTTTCCCCATTGCTTTTGTCGACTTTGTCAAAGATCAGATGGTTGTAGGTGTGCAGCTTTATTTCTGAGCTCTCTAACCTGTTCCCTTCAGTCTCTGTGTCTCTTTTTGTACTAATACCACACAGTTTTGGCTACTGTAGCCTTGTAGTGTAATTTGAAGTGAGGTAGTGTGATCCCTCCAGCTTTGTTCTTTTTGCTTAGCATTACTTGAGCTATTTGTGCTCAGTCTTGGTTCCACATGAATTTTAGAATACCTTTTTCTAATTCTGTGAAAAATGTCACTGGTAGTTTGACAGGAATAGCATTAAACCTGTATTGCTTTTGGCAGTATGGCCACTTTAACAATATTGATTCTTCCTATCCATGAGCATGGAATGCTTTTCCATTTGTTTGTGTCATCTCTGATTTCCTTGAGCAGGGTATTGCAACTCTCATGGTAGATATCTTTCACCTCCCAGATTAGTTGTATTCCTAGGTATTTTATTCTTTTTGTGGCTAATTTTACCTCTCTCAAATCCACCCACTGAACTTCCTTACTTTTCTTGGCCTGAAATGCCCCTCTTCCAGTTTCAAACAAGCATATATCTACTGTCTTCCTCCAAAATGAGTCAACTGTCTATTCCTCAACCTCATCATCTTTCTTTTCCCTTCCTCTTCTTTTGGTGACATACGTCATTGCTGTTACTATAGAATATTGCATGCTGCATCACTCAAAGACTGCCTACAGGGCAGTGAATACATTTGCCTGCCTTTGCATTGGCTTTATGCATATATACACGTATTTCAAGAGACATTTATTTCATTACACAGATACATGTAATTTGTCTCTTCTCACCACCCATTAGTATTTTCATTTTAAGACATAAAATTTTAAAAAAAATTACCTTATCCCACAAAATCTGATCCTCACACTAGTTTTATAAGAGAGAGGTTGCTACGTATTATGTGGGGGAAAGGGGAGTTATCACTGTATATTTGGCAAACACTGGGCTAAATAAAACTAATCAGGTTTCTTTCCTATAGGACTTTTTAGAAACTTTACTGTCTAACATGCATGACCAATCTGTAACAGCCCAACAGGTTCTTCTTGCCCATTGCCTAGATAGAGCTGACTTATCAAGACAGGGGAACTGCAATAGAGAAAGAGTTTAATACACATAGAAGCAGCTAAATGGGAGTCAAAAGTTTTATTATTACTCTAATCAGCCTCCCTGGAATTTCAGAGGCTAGGGTTATTTAAAAATAGTTTGCTGAACAGGGGGCTATGGAATGAGAAATGCTGATTGGTTGGTAGGGGATAAAATCATAGGGAGTCTAAGCTGTCCTCTTGCACTGAATCAGTTCCTGGATGGGGGACCACAAGACCAGATGAGCCAGCTTACTGGTCTGGTGGCACCAGCAAATCCATCAGAATGCAGGATCTGAAAAAATATCTCATATACCAATCTTAGGTTTTACAGTAGTAATGTTATCCATAGGAGCAATTAGGGAGGTTAGGAACCTTGTAGCCTCTGGCTGCATGACTCCTGAGCCATAATTTCTCATCTTGTGGCTAATTTGTTAGTTTTACAAAGTCAGTCTGTACCCCAAGCATGGGAGGGGTTTGTTTTGGAGAAGGGGGTTATCATCTTTGTTTCAGAGAGAAACTATAAACTAAATTCCTCCCAAAGTTAGTTCGGCCTATGCCCAGGAATGAACAAGGGCAGTCTGGAGATTAAAGGCAAGATAGAATTGCTTAGGTCAGATCTCTTTGACTGTCATGTTTTCTGACTTGTATAACTTCTGCAAAGGTGGTTTCAAATCTCCAACTTAGCGTTCATTTCATAAACAACAAATCACAGAACTCATTTTTGTGCTGAGACTCCCCAAAAGCTAGTCTTCAGAAAACACTTAGAAAATATAGCTCTAATACTTTATTTAAAATAGTGAATGTTAAAAAAAAAAAAAGGAGTTTATCCTTGTTCCCGTTAATTATCCAAGTTTGCTTTAAATCTACTGCTGTGCTTTTACTACTGAGTCAACTGAAATTAAATTCTACTATAAAACAGAAAAGCTGAAAGGCTGCAAAGACTTGAATATGTGGCAATATTTCCCTTTAGTATTCACAGAATGACTTAAAGGGCTTATTAAAACACAGATTGTTGGCTCTACCCCTCACCCTGAGATTCTTACTTAGTAGGTCTGCAGTGGAGCCAAAAATTTGCATTTCTAACAACTTCCCAGGTGATGCTGAAGCGGCTGATACAGGAACCACATTTTGTTTATTCTCTCAACATAAAATCTCAAGGCTAGTACAGAGGCTCCAGAATGATGACCAGCTCCTTCTAACTTGCTGTTCCGCCAACCTAGCTCATGGCTTGCATCCTCAAAATCACCTCATGATCCAAGGGAGCTCCTCCAATTCTAGCCATCGTGTTAGCTTCAGGGTAGTAGTAAAGGAGTGAAGGCAAAGGGAACATCTCCCAGCCTCGTCACCTCCTTTTTAGGAGCCTTATTTGCAAAAACTTAGTCAAAAGGCCTCATTACAGAGAAAATGGCAAAGATACTCTTGCTGAGTACATCAACAGTCCAAATAATACTAGGGATCTATAACTAAGGAAGACTGGATATTGAATAGGTAACAAAAAAACTCTGCCATACTACTTAAGTCTACATATACTCCAATTACCAAGTCCTACTGATTTTGCCTCCCAATTATTTTGTAAGTTTGTCCTGTAGGTTTCATCTCTAATTCTACTTCTCTAGATCTTGCTTTAATCATCTCTCCCCTACTTTATCATAATTGCCATCTAACTAGTCTCCCTACCTACTATCCTGATGATAGGTAGAAGATGGATTTCGAGCGAGCTAAATCTGCTTATAATTCTTCAATAACTCCATATTTCCTATAAAATAATTAGGTATAAGCATTTTATTATTTCATATGAAGCCCTCATCTACCTATTCCCTGCCTTTTACTTCATACTACTTAAGACAACAAACTGTTTCTCCCTTTAGTGATTTCATGATGTTTTCTCTGCTATTAAGATACTCTTGTGCCTGTAATCCTTCTACTTGGGAGGCTGAGGTGAAAGAACTGCTTGAGCCCAGGAGTTCAGGATTACAGTGAGCCATGAGTTCACCACTGCAACTCAACCCTGAGTGACAGAGCAAGCCCCTGTCTCGAAAAAAGAAAAAAGAAAAAGATACTGCTGCTACTCTCTTTACCATTTCAACTAATCCTCTAAGATTTAACCAATATACTACCTTCTCCAGAAAGATTTCCTTGACAACCCTCCTCCATAGGAAGAGTACTACTGTATAATCTCATCAAGCCCAGAGCTGTCACTGGATATTCCATGTTGTATTATAATCTGTTTGTATCTCTGGATTTCTCAATAGATGGTAGTCTTCATAAGTGTAAGGACCAGTTTTATGTATTTTTATATTTCCAGAACTGGATACAAAGCAGATTACAACTATTATTTGTTGAATAAAAGCATGAGCCTTCATATCCAGCTAGCCAGTACACTGAAAATCTGCATAGGACTTGTCAAGCAATGCAATATCTTTTCCTATCACAAGTATCACATTCTAATTACTCAATTTCAAAAGATAATTAGAATCAGAATATCCTTCTTTAATAACTCTATATTAGTCTGTTCTCATGCTTCTGATGAAGACATACCCAAGACTGAGTAATTTATGAAGGAAAGAGGTTAAATGGACTCACAGTTCCACATGGCTGAGGAGGCCCCACAATCATGGCAGAAGACAAAGGAAGAACAAAGGAACATCTTACATGGTGGCAGGCAAGAGGTCTTGTGCAAGGAACTCCCATTTATAAAACCATCAGATCTCATGAGACTTATTCACTACCACAAGAATGGTATGGGGAAAACTGTCCCCATGATTAAATTATCTGCACCTGGGCCCACCCTTGACACATAGGGATTATAACAATTCAAGGTAAAATTTGAGTGGGGAGACAGCCAAACCATGTAATTCCATCCCTGGCCCTTCCCAAATCTCACGTCCTCACATTTCAAAACCAATCATGCCTTCTCAACAGTCCCCCAAAATCTTAACTCATTTCAGCATTAACTCAAAAGTCCAGAGTCCAAAGTCTCATCTGCGACAAGGCAAGTCCCTTCTGCCTGTGAGCCTGTAAAATCAAAAGCAAGTTAGTTACTTCCTAGATACAATGGGGGTACAGGCATTGGTTAAATACACCTGTTCCAAATGGGAGAAATTGGCCAAAATAAAGGGACTACATACAAGTTTGAAATCCAGTGCTCCATGCAAGTTCAAAAGCCAGCAAGGCAGACAAATCTTAAAGCTCCAAAATGACCTCCTTTGACTCATATCCAGGTCACACTGATGCAAGAGTTGGGTTCCCATGGCCTTGGGCAGCTCTGCCCCTGTAGCTTTGCAGGGTACAGCAACCACCCCCCACCCCAGCTGCTTTCACAAGCTGGTGTTGTCTGCAGCTTTTCCAGGTGCAAAGTGCAAGCTGTCAGTGGATCTACCATTCTGGGGCCTGGAGGGCCGTGGCCTTCTCCTCACAGTTCCACTAGGCAATGCCCCAGTACGGACTCTGTGTGGGGCCTTTGACTCCACGTTTCCCTTCCACACTGCCCTAGCAGGGGTTCTCCATGAAGGTCCCACCTCTGCAGAAAACTTCTGCCTGGACATCCAGGTGGTTCCAAAGATCCCCTGAAATGTAGGTGGAGGTTCCCAAACCTCCATTCTTACTTCTGTGCACCTGCAGGCTCAATGCCACGTGGAAGTTGGAAGTTGCTAAAGAGTTGGAGCTTGCACCCTCTGAAGCCATGGGCCGAGCTGTACCTTGGACCCTTTTAGCCACAGCTGGAGCAGCCAGGATGCAGGGCACCAAGTCTCTAGGCTGCACACAGCAGGGGGACCCTGGGCCCAGCCCATGAAACCATTTTTTCCTCCTAGGCCTCTGGGCCTATAATAGGAGAGCCTGCCACAAAGGTCTCTGATATGCCCTGGAGACATTTTCCCCATTCTCTTAGTGATTAACATTTGGCCCCTCATTACTTATGCAAATTTCTACAGCTGGCTTCAATTTCTCCTCAGAAAATAGGTTCTTCTTTTCTATCGCATCATCAGGCTGCAAATTTTCTGAACTTTTATGCTCTGCTTTTAAACATAAGTTCCAATTCCAAACCATATCTTTGTGAATACATAAGACTGAATGCTTTTAACAACACCCAGGTCACATCTTGAATGCTTTGCTACTTAGAAATTTCTTCCACCAGATGCCCTAAATCTCTCTCTCTCAAGTTCAAAGTTGCACAAATCTCTAGGGCAAAAATGCTCCCAGTCTCTTTCCTAAAACATTGCAAGAGTCACCTTTATTCCAGTTTCCAACAAGTTCCTCATCTCCATCTGAAACCACCTCAACCTGGACTTCATTGGCCATATCACTATCAGCATTTTGGTCAAAGCCATTCAACAAGTCTCTAGGACGTTCCACACTTTCCCACATCTTCCTGTCCTCTTCTGAGCCCTCCAAACTGTTCCAACCTCCGCCTGTTACCCAGTTCCAAAGTCACTTCCACATTTTTGGGTATCTTTACAGCAGCACCCCACTCATAGTACCAATTTACTTTATTAGTCTGTTCTCATGCTGCTAACAGACAAACGTGAGACTGGATAATTTATAAAGGGAAGAGGTTTAATGGACTCACCGTTGCTCACATGGCTGGGGAGGCCTCACAATTGTGGTGGAAGGTGAAGGAAGAGTAACAGCATGTCTTACTGGTAACAGGCAAAAAGCTTGTGTAGGGCAATTCCCCTTTATAAAACCATCAGATCTCATGAGACTTGCTCACTACCATGAGAACAGTATGGGAAAAACCTGCCCCCATGATTCAATTACCTCCCACCAGGTCCCTCTCACAACACGTGGGGATTATGGGAATTACAATTCAAAATGAAATGTGAGTGGGGACACAGCCAAACCATATCAAACTCCAAGTAAACTAAAGTTCAAAGCATACAAACTATTTTGTGCATAGCCAAACATCTTTATTTTTCACAACCTGAATACTAAAGATACAACTCAACTAGTCCCAGAACATTTCTAGATATTTCTGTGTATTAACCAAACCAAAGTTTTTAAAAAGAACCTCTGCAACAACAACAATAATAATTTAACAATCAAAGTTGGCTTCACCATTTCTTGTCTTCTCCATACATTTATCCAAGTTCTCCGTCTTTATTTCTTCTTCCTTTTTATATAGGGTGTATTCAGTATCTTTTTCTGGGTTTGGAACTGATTGCTCCTTTGGCATCAAGAAACATTCAGCATTTAAAACTTGTTCAGCAGTCATTGAACTTCTATAACATATCAAGCTACAGAGGAGGGATTTGACTTTATCATCCTGCAAGGAAAAACAGGTGTTACAAAACAAAGGAACAAAAGGACAAATCTGTAATGAAGAAGGAAGTGGACTTATTTTTTCAATAAATACAGTCAGGAAGGAGGGGTTTCAAGATGACTGACGAGGTATCTGGTACTCCCCTCAACAAAAAAAAACACCAAAATAATGAGCCGATAATCACACTGCAAATAGATCATCTGGCTGGGCACAGTGGCTTATGCCTGTAATCCCAGCACTTTGGGAGGCCGTGGTGGGGGGAATCACCTGAGGTCACCTGCGGTCAGGAGTTCAAGACTAGCCTGGCCAACACAGTGAAACCCCGTCTCTACTAAGAGAGTTGTATACTTGGAAGTGAAAGAACAATATCTACCATTACAAAACACATATAAACTCCACTGGTAAAACAAACACACAAATAAAAGAAATAATTCAAGTGTTACCACGACAGAAAACCACCAAACCACAATGAATAAGAGAGAAAATAAGAAACAAAAGATACACAAAACAACCAGAATCAATTAATACAATGACAGAAATTAACCCTCATGCATGTATCAATGACAGCCTTGAATGTAAACCAGTTAAACTTTCCACCTAAAAGATATAGACTGGTTGAAAGGAGTTTTTCTTTTTTTTAAATGACCCAATTGTATGCTGCAAAAAGATGGGAAAAGATGTTCCATACAAAAGGAAACCAAAAGCAAGCAGGTGTAACTATACTTGTATCAGGTAAGACAGACTTTAAGTCAAAAAGAGCAAAAAGTGACAAAGAAGGTCATTATATAATAATAAAGGGATCAATTCAGCAAGAGAATGTAACAATTCTAAACATATACATGGATCCAACAACAGAGCACCCAGATATATAAATCAAATATTATTAGATCTAAAGGGAGAAACAGACTCCACCCAACTCTCACCACTAGACAGATAATCTAGAGAGAAAATTAATTTTAAAAAAACTGATTTTACACTGCACTTAAAAACCAAATTAACCTAACAGATATTTACAGAACACTTTACCCAACAGCAACAGAATACACATACTTCTCATAAGCATATGGAACATTCTATAGGAAACGACCATATCTTAAGCCACAAAACAAAGCTCAAAAAATGTTTTAAAATTAAAATCATATCCAGTATCATCTCAGACCACAATGGAAAACTAAAAATCAACAAGAGAAACTGAAAACTATACAAACGCATGGAAATTGGCCAGGCACGGTGGCTCATGCCTATAATCCCAGCTCTTTGGGAGGTGGAGGCAGGTGGATCACTTAAGGTCAGGAGTTTGAGACCAGCCTGGCTGACATGGTGAAACCTCGTCTCTACTAAAAATACAAACATTAGATGAGTGTGGTGGCAGACACCTATAATCTCAGCTACTCAAGAGGCTGAGGCAGGAGAATTGCTTGTACCCATGAGGCAGAAGTTGCAGTGAGATGAGATCACACCACTGCACTCCAGCCTGGGCAACAGAGTGAGACCCCCAGCTCAAAAACAACACACACACACACACACACACACACACACACACACAACATGGAAATTAAACAACGTGCTGCTGAATGACCACTGGGTCAAGGAAGAAATTAAAGAGGGAATTAGAAAATGTCTTCGAGCAATCACTGGTTCAAGGAAGAAGTTAAAGAGGGAATAAGAAAATGTCTTAGAACAATTGAAAATCAAAGCAACATAACAAAACTGATGAGATATAGCAAAAGCAGTGAGAAAAGAGAAGTTTATAGCAATAAATTCTTCTATCAAAAAAGGAGTAAGATTACAAATAAACAACCTGATACATATTAGTAGAAAACGAAGAATAACGATGGGAGCAGAACTAAGTGAAATACACTAAAAAAAATACAAAGGATCCACAAAAAAAATTTTTTTAAAAGATAAACAAAATCAATAAACTGCTAGCTGTACTAAAACTTTAAAAAAGCTGCAATAAACACAATCAGAAATGAAAAAGAAGACACTATGCCTGATATCACAAAAATACAAAACATAAAATTAGCTAGGCGTTGTGGCGGGCGCCTGTAGTCCCAGCTACGTGGAAGGCTGAGGCAGGAGAATGGCATGAACCCGGGAGGCGGAGCTTGCAGTGAGCCAAGATTGCACCACTGTACTCCAGCCTGGGCAACAGAGGGAGACTCTGTCTCAAAACAAACAAACAAAAAAATACAAAACATAAAGACTATTATGAATAACTATACATGAACAACTGGAAAACCTAGAGGAAATATATAAATTCCTGGACACATACAACCTACCAGGTTTGAATCAGTAAGAAATAGAAAACATGAACAGACCAGTAACAAGTAACGGGATTTGGTCAGTAAGAGAAAGTCTCCCAACATAGAAAAGTCCAGGACCACAGAGCTTCACTGCTGAATTCTACTGAACTTTCAAAGAACTAACATCAATTATCCTCAAACTACTGCAAAGGTTCAAGAGGCGAGAATTCTCCCTAACTTGTTCTACAAGGCCCAGCCCACCATTACCTTGATACCAAAACCAGACAAGGACACAACAACAACAAAAAACTATAGACCAGTATCCCTGATGAACACAGATGCAAAATTTTTCAACAAAATACTACCAATCCGAATCCAACAGCACATCAAAAACATAATACACCATGATTAATTAGCATTTATCCCAGGGATGCTAGGATGGTTCAACACACCCAAATCAGCGACATGATCCATCACATCAACTGAACAAAGAGCAAAAACCATATGGCAAACGATCTCAATAGACACAGAAAAAGTATTTCATAGATTAAAACATCCCTTTATGATAAAAGCTCTCAACAAACTAGGTATATAAGTAACACACCTCAACAAAATAAAGCCTATCTGTAACAAAGCCACAGCTAACATCATTACTAAATGGGGAAAAGAAAAGCAATCCTCTAGTGAGACACAGTGGCTCACGCCTGTAATCCCATCACTTTGGGAGGCCGAGGTGGGCACATCACGTGAGGTCAGGAGTTCAAGATCAGCCTGACCAACACAGTGAAACCTCGTCTCTACTAAAAAATACAAAAAAAAAAAAAATTTGCTGGGCATCATGGCGGGCGCCTGTAATCCCAGCTACTTGGCAAGGCTGAGGCAAGAGAACTGCTTGAACCCAGGAGGTGGAGGTTGCAGCGCGCTGAGATCACGCCACTGCACTCCAGCTGGGCAACACGAACGAAACTCCATCTCAAAAAAAAAGAAAAACAAAAAAAAAGAAAGAAAAAGAAAAACATTCCTCTAAAGAACTGGAACAAGACAAGGATCTCCACTTTCACCACTTCTCTTCAACACAGTCCTGGAAGTCCTAGTCAGAACAATCAGGCAAGAAAAATAAAAGGAATCCAAATTGAAAAAGAACAAGTCAGGGGGTGGAGCCAAGATGGCCGAATAGGAACAGCTCCAGTCTACAGCTCCCAGCGTGAGCGACGCAGAAGACGGGTGATTTCTGCATTTCCAACTGAGGTAACGGGTTCATCTCACTGGGGAGTGCCGGACAGTGGGTGCAGGACAGTGGGTGCAGCGCACCATGCGTGAGCTGAAGCAGGGCGAGGCATCGCCTCACCCGGGAAGCGCAAGGGGTCAGGGAATTCCCTTTCCTAGTCAAAGAAAGGGGCGACAGATGGCACCTGGAAAATCGGGTCACTCCCACCCTAATACTGCGCTTTTCCAATGGGCTTAACAAACGGCACACCAGGAGATTATATCCGGCACATGGCTCGGAAGGTCCTACGCCCAAGGAGCCTCGCTCATTGCTAGCACAGCAATCTCAGATCAAACTGCAAGGCGGCAGCGAGGCTGGGGGAGGGGTGCCTGCCATTGCTCAGGCTTGAGTAGGTAAACAAAGTGGCTGGGAAGCTCAAACTGGGTGGAGCCCACCACAGCTCAAAGAGGCCTCCCTGCCTCTGTAGGCTCCACCTCTGGGGGCAGGGCACAGACAAACAAAAGACAGCAATAACCTCTGCAGACTTAAGTGTCCCTGTCTGACAGCTTTGAAGAGAGTAGTGGTTCTCCCAGCACACAGCTGGAGATCTGAGAACAGGCAGACTGCCTCCTCAAGTGGGTCCCTGACTCCCGAGTAGCCTAACTGGGAGGCACCCCCCAGTACGGGTGGACTGACACCTCACACAGCCGGGTACTCCTCTGAGACAAAACTCCCAGAGGAACGATCAGGCAGCAGCATTTGTGGTTCACCAGTATCCACTGTTCTGCAGCCACCACTGCTGATACCTAGACAAACAGGGTCTGGAGTGGACCTCCAGTAAACTACAACAGACCTGCAGCAGAGGGTCCTGACTGTTAGAAGGAAAACTAACAAACAGAAAGGACATCCACACCAAAAACCCATCTGTACGTCACCATCATCAAAGACCAAAGGTAGATAAAACCACAAAGATGGGGAAAAAACAGAGCAGAAAAACCGGAAACTCTAAAAATCAGAGCCTCTCCTCCGACAAAGGAACGCAGCTCCTCACCAGCAACTGAACAAAGCTGGACAGAGAATGACTTTGACGAGTTGAGAGAGGAAGGCTTCAGAAGATCAAACTACTCCAAGCTAAAGGAGGAAGTTCGAACCAATGGCAAAGAAGTTAAAAACTTTGAAAAAAATAAGACAAATGGATAACTAGAATAACCAATGCAGAGAAGTCCTTAAAGGACCTCATGGAGCTGAAAACCATGGCACGAGAAATACATGACGAATGCACAAGACTCAGTAACCGACGCGATCAACTGGAAGAAAGGGTATCAGTGACGGAAGATGAAATGAATGAAATGAAGTGTGAAGAGAAGTTTAGAGAAAAAAGAATAAAAAGAAATGAACAAAGCCTCCAAGAAATATGGGACTACGTGAAAAGACCAAATCTACGTCTAATTGGTGTACCTCAAAGTGACGAAGAGAATGGAACCAAGTTGGAAAACACTCTTCAGCATATTATCCAGGAGAACTTCCCCAACCTAGCAAGGCAGGCCAACATTCAAATTCAGGAAATACAGAGAATGCCACAAAGATACTCCTCAAGAAGAGCAACTCCAAGACACATAATTGTCAGATTCACCAAAGTTGAAATGAAGGAAAAAATGTTAACGGCAGCCAGAGTTTAGAAAGGTCGGGTAACCCACAAAGGGAAGCCCATCAGACTAACAGTGAATCTCTCAGCAGAAACTCTACAAGCCAGAAGAGAGTGGGGGCCAATATTCAACATTCTTAAAGAAAAGAATTTTCAACCCAGAATTTCATATCCAGCCAAACTAAGCTTCATAAATGAAGGAGAAATAAAATACTTTACAGACAAGCAAATGCTGAGAGATTTTGTCACCACCAGACCTGCCCTAAAAGAGCTCGTGAAGGAAGCACTAAACATGGAACAACAGGTACCAGCCACTGCAAAAACATGCCAAATTGTAAAGACCATCAAGGCTAGGAAGAAACTGCATCAACTAACAAGCAAAATAACCAGCTAACATCATAATGACAGGATCAAATTCACACATAACAATATTAATCTTAAATGTAAATGGGCTAAATGCTTCAATTAAAAGGCACAGACTGGCAAACTGGATAAAGAGTCAAGACCCATCAGTGTGCTGTATTCAGGAAACCCATCTCACGTGCAGAGACACACATAGGCTCAAAATAAAGGGATGGAGGAAGATCTGCCAAGCAAATGGAAAACAAAAAAAGGCAGGGGTTGCAATCCTAGTCTCAGATAAAACAGACTTTAAACCAACAAAGATCAAAAGAGACAAAGAAGGCCATTACATAATGTTAAAGGGATCAATTCAACAAGAAGAACTAACTATCCTAAATATATATGCACCCAATACAGGAGGACCCAGATTCATAAAGCAAGTCCTGAGTGACCTACAAAGAGACTTAGGCTCCCACACAATAATAATGGGAGACTTTAACACCCCACTGTCAACATTAGGCAGACCAACAAGACAGAAAGTTAACAAGGATATCCAGGAATTGAACTCAGCTCTGCACCAAGAGGACCTAATAGACATCTACAGAACTCTCCACCCCAAATCAACAGAATATACATTCTTTTCAGCACCACACCACACCTATTCCAAAATTGACCACATACTTGGAAGTAAAGCTCTCCTCAGCAAATGTAAAAGAACATAAATTATAACAAACTGTCTCTCAGACCACAGTGCAATGAACTAGAACTCAGGATTAAGAAACTCACTCAAAACCACTCAACTACATGGAAACTGAACAACCTGCTCCTGAATGACTACTGAGCACATAACGAAATGAAGGCAGAAATAAAGATGTTCTTTGAAACCAACGAGAACAAAGACACAACATACCAGAATCTCTGGGACACATTCAAAGCAGTGTGTAGAGGGAAATGTATAGCACTAAATGCCCATAAGAGAAAGCAGGAAAGATCTAAAATTGACACCCTAACATCACAATTAAAAGAACTAGAGGAGCAAGAGCAAACACCTTCAAAAGCTAGCAGAAGGCAAGAAATAACTAAGATTAGAGCAGAACTGAAGTACATATAGACACAAAAAACCCTTCAAAAAATCAATGAATCCAGGAGCTGGTTTTTTGAAAAGATCAACAAAATTGATAAACTGCTAGCAAGACTAATAAAGAAGAAAAGAGAGAAGAATCAAATAGATGCAATAAAAAATGACAAAGGGGATATCACCAGTGATCCCACAGAAATACAAACTACCATCAGAGAATACTATAAACACCTCTACGCAAATAAACTAGAAAATCTAGAAGAAATGGTTGAATTCCTCGACACATACACACTCCCAAGACTAAGCCAGGAAGAAGTTGAATCTCTGAATAGACCAATAACAGGCTCTGAAATTGAGGCAATAATTAACAGCTTACCAACCAAAAAAAGTCCAGGACCAGATGGATTCACAGCTAAATTCTACCAGAGGTAAAAGGAGGAGCTGGTACCATTCCTTCTGAAACTATTCCAATCAATAGAAAAAGAGGGAATCCTCCCTAACTCATTTTATGAGGCCAGCATCATCCTGATACCAAAGCCGGGCAGAGACACAACCAAAAAAGACAATTTTAGACCAATATTCTTGATGAACATTGATGCAAAAATCCTCAATAAAATACTGGCAAACCGAATCCAGCAACACATCAAAAAGCTTACCCACCATGATCAAGTGGGCTTCATCCCTGGGATGCAAGGCTGGTTCAACATATGAAAATCAATAAACGTAATCCAGCATATAAACAGAACCAAAGACAAAAACCACATGATTATCTCAATAGATGCAGAAAAGGCCTTTGACAAAATTCAACAACGCTTCATGCTAAAGACTCTCAATAAATTAGGTATTGATGGGATGTATCTTAAAATAATAAGAGGTATCTATGACAAACCCACAGCCAATATCATACTGAATGTACAAAAACTGGAAGCATTCCCTTTGAAAACTGGCACAAGACAGGGATGCCCTCTCTCACCACTCCTATTCAACATAGTGTTGGAAGTTCTGGCCAGGGCAATCAGGCAGGAGAAGGAAGAAAGGGCATTCAATTAGGAAAAGAGGAAGTCCAATTGTCCCTGTTTGCAGATGACATGATTGTATATCTAGAAAACCCCATCATCTCAGCCCAAAATCTCCTTAAGCTGATAAGCAACTTCAGCAAAGTCTCAGGATACAAAATCAATGTGCAAAAATCACAAGCATTCTTATACACCAATAACAAACAAACAGAGAGTCAAATCATCAGTGAACTCCCATTCACAATTGCTTCAAAGAGAATAAAATACCTAAGAATCCAACTTACAAGGGATGTGAAGGACCTCTCCAAGGAGAACTACAAACCACTGCTCAATGAAGTAAAAGAGGATACAAAGAAATGGAAGAACATTCCATGCTCATGGGTAGGAAGAATCAATATCGAGAAAATGGCCATACTGCCCAAGGTAATTTATAGATTCAATGCCATCCCCATCGAGCTACCAATGACTTTCTTCACAGAATTGGAAAAAACTACTTTAAAGTTCATATGGAACCAACAAAGAGCCCGCATTGCCAAGTCAATCCTAAGCCAAAAGAACAAAGCTGGAGGCATCACGCTACCTGACTTCAAACTATACTACAAGGCTACAGTAACCAAAATAGCATGATACTGGTACCAAAACAGAGACATAGACCAATGGAACAGAACAGAGGCCTCAGAAATAATACCACACACCTACAACTACCTGATCTTTGACAAACCTGACAAAAACAAGCAATGGGGAAAGGATTCCCTATTTAATAAATGGTGCTGGGACCACTGGCTAGCCGTATATAGAAAGCTGAAACTGGATCCCTTCCTTACACCTTATACAAAAATTAATTCAAGATGGATTAAAGACTTACATGTTAGACCTAAAACTATAAAAACCCTAGAAGAATAACTAGGCAATACCATTCAGGACATAGGCATGGACAAGGACTTCATGTCTAAAACACCAAAAGCAATGGCAACAAAAGTCAAAATTGACAAATGGGATCTAATTAAACTAAAGAGCTTCTGCACAGCAAAAGAAACCACCATCAGAGTGAACAAGCAACCTACAAAATGGGAGAAAATTTTTGCAACCTACTCATCTGACAAAGGGCTAATATCCAGAATCTACAATGAACTCAAACAAATTTACAAGAAAAAAACAAACAACCCCATCAAAAAGTGGATGAAGGATATGAACAGACACTTCTCAAAAGAAGACATTTATGCAGCCAAAAAACACATGAAAAAATGCTCATCATCACTGGCCATCAGAGAAATGCAAATCAAAACCACAATGAGATACCATCTCACACCAGTTAGAATGGTGATCATTAAAAAGTCAGGAAACAACAGGTGCTGGAGATGATGTGGAGAAACAGGAACACTTTTACACTGTTGGTGGGACTGTAAACTAGTTCAACCATTGTGGAAGTCGGTGTGGCAATTCCTCAGGGATCTAGAACTAGAAATACCATTTGACCCAGCCATCCCATTACTGGGTATATACCCAAATGATTATAAATCATGCTGCTATAAAGACACATGCACACATACGTTTATTGCGGCACTATTCACAATAGCAAAGACTTGAAACCAACCCAAATGTCCAACAATGATAGGCTGGATTAAGAAAATGTGGCACATATACACCATGGAATACTATGCAGCCATAAAAAAGGATGAGTTCATGTCCTTTGTAGGGACATGGATGAAGCTGGAAACCATCATTCTCAGCAAACTATCGCAAGGACAAAAAACCGAACACCACATATTCTCACTCACAGGTGGGAACTGAACAATGAGAACACATGGACACAGGAAGGGGAACATCACATACCGGGGACTGTTGTGGGGTGGTGGGAGGGACAGCATTAGGAGATACACCTAATGCTAAATGACGAGTTAATGGGTGCAGCACACCAACATGGCACATGTGTACATATGTAACAAACCTGCACGTTGTGCACATGTATCCTAAAACTTAAAGTATAATAATAATAAAAAAAGAAAAA
The DNA here is from genome assembly GCF_000001405.40 of Homo sapiens. Taxonomy (NCBI): domain Eukaryota; kingdom Metazoa; phylum Chordata; class Mammalia; order Primates; family Hominidae; genus Homo; species Homo sapiens. The sequence continues at coordinate 23,822,596 of NC_000007.14, read as the reverse complement.
GAAAAAGTCAAACTGTCCCTCTTTGCAGATGACATAATCTTCTATCTAGAAAAACCTAAAGACTCCACCAAAAAGCTTTTAGATCTGATTAATATAGTAAATCGCAGGATATAGAATCAACATGTAAAAATCAGTAGCATTTCTATAAACCAATAATGAACTAGCTAAGAAAGACATCAAGAAAGTAATCCCATTTACAACAGCTACAAAATAAATATATTACCTAGGAAGAAATTTAAACAGAGAGGTGGAAGATATCTACAAAGAAAGCTACAAAACACTGATGAAAGAAACTGAAAAGGACACTAACAAATGGAAAGACACTCCATGCTCCTGGATCAGAAGATTAGTATTGTTAAAATGCCCATACTACCCAAAGAAATCTACAGATTCAAAGCAATCCCTATCAAAATAGCAATGTAATTTTTCACATAAATAGAAAAAAATCCTAAATTTCATGTAGAACTAAAAAAGAGCACAAATAGTCAAAACAGTTATCAGCAAAAAGAACAAAGGTGGAGGCATCACACTGACTTCAAAATATCTTACAAGGCTATAGTAACCAACACAGCGTTTTATTAGTATAGAAATAGATATATGCACCTATAGAATAGAATTGAAACCCCAGAAATAAACAGCCAACCAATTTCCCACAAAGGCACCAAGAACATATACTGGGGAAAAGACACCCACTTCAATAAATGGTGCTGGGAAAACTGGATAGCCATACGCAAAAGAGTAAGAGTAGACCCTCACCTCTCACCATATATAAAAATCAATTCAAGATTGATTAAAGACTTAAATGTAAAACCCAAGACTATAAAAATACTAGAAGAAAACATAAGGGAAACACTTCATGACATTGGCCTAGGCAAAGATTTTTATGGCTAAGACCTCAAAAGCACAGGCAACAAAAACAAAAAGAGACAAATGGGACTATACTTAACTAAAATGCTTCTGCACAGCAAAGGAAATAATCAACAGAGTGTAAGAGACAATTTGTTGAATTGAAGGAAAAATTTGCAAACTATTCATCCAACACAGGACTAATATCCAGAATATACAAGAAACTCGACAGGGAAAACAATTCCATTAAAAAGTGGGCAAAGGACATAAATAGACATTTCTCAAAAGAAGGCATACAAATGACCAATAAGTATATGAAAAATGCTCAACATCACTAATCATCAGAGAAATGCAAATCAAAACCACAATGAAGTATCATTTTACATCAGCTAGAATGCCACTATTTTAAAAAATGACAAAAAATAGCCAAATACTATTTTGAAAAATCTCCACAAAGATGTGGAGAACAGGAAACTGTTATACATTGTTAGTGGAAATGTAAATTAGTATAGCCACTATGGAAAATAGTACAAATATTTTCCAAAAAACTAAAAATGGAACTATCATACAATCCAGTAATCCCACTACTTGATAGTTATCAAAATAAAAAGGAAATCAGTATATGAAACCTGCATCCCCATGTTTATTGCAGCACTATTCACAATTACAAAGGTAAGGACTCAACCTAAGTGTCAAAATATTTGATATTCATCAAAATAAAAAGGAAATCAGTATATGAAACCTGCACCCCCATGTTTACTGCAGCACTATTCACAATTACAAAGGTAAGGACTCCAACCTAAGCGTCCATCAATGGACAAATGGAAAAAGACAATGTGGAACACTATTAAAGAAATATAAAGAAAATGTGGAATACTGTTCAACCATAAAAAAGGAATTAAATTCTGTCATTTTCAGCAACAAGGATGGAACAGTCATTCTGTAAAGTGAAATAAGCCAGGCACAGAAAGACAAATATCAAATGTTCTCACTCATATGTCGGAGCTATAACAGTTGATCTCATAGAGGTAGAGTTGAATGACAGATACCAGAGACTAAGAGAATGTGGGTGAGGTGGAAGGGGGTGAAGAGAGTTGTTTAATGGGTACAAACAACCAGGTTGACAGAAGAAATAAGTACTAGTGATTGATAGCAGAGTAGGATGACTCCAGTTAACAATGTATTAAATATTTCAAAATAGCCAGAAGAGAGGACTTGATATGTTCCCAAAACATAGAAATAATAAATAAGATAATGGATACCCTAAATACCGACTGTCATTAACACATTCCATACAAGTTACAAAATATCACATATACCCCATAAATATGTACAAATATTATGTATCAATATGAAATAAGTAAGTACAGTCAGCACTCCCTATCTGCAGTTTCCACATCTGCAACCAAACAGATCAAAAACACAGTATTCTCAGGACTCAACACCCACAGATACAAAGGGCTGATTTTTCATATGCATAGGTTCCACTGGGCCAACTGTAGGACTTGGGTATGCGTAGATTTTATCTGTACCAATCCCCTGTGTATACAGAGGGACGACTGTACTTTTTGGTGAAATGGAATGCCTCCAATACTGAAACAATGGAATTGAATTATGGGGAAAAAGTGTAAAAGGAAAAAAATCATAGCTGAAATCTCTCAAAAACAAGTGAAATACGAACAAATAAATTTTATTACTTCCTTCTCCCTCTTTTAACAAGGTACTGGTCAGAATTTGACACTATTAAAATGTCACACTGAAGCTTCTCTGTCTGGAAGGGTAAATTTCTTCATCTAGTCAACTATTTCTGGTTTTGGTTTTTAAGTGATCACTCTCTAGGATCACCTCTACTGCTGCTATCATTATCACCATCATTATGGGAGCTAGAATTTATTATATCCCTCCATTTCAAAGGACATTATTTGTATTAGAACATGTAAATGATCCTGTAATGTTGCTATTCCATTATTTGACACCTTAGTATACCTTTTATTTGCCTCTTATGATTACTCCAACCAAAGCACATATCAGACTGAATAAAAATAATCTGTTTAACTGCTGGTCAGGCAGGCACTTTGGGAGGCCAAGGCAAGTGGATCATTGAGGCCAGGAGTTTAAGATCAGCCTGGCCAACATGGCAAAACTCTGTCTCAACCAAAAATACAAAAATTAGCTGGGCATGGTGGCGCATGCCAGTAATCCCAGCTACTCAAGCTGCTGAGGCAGGAGAATCGCTTGAACCTGGGAGGCAGAGGTTGCAGTGGCTGAGATCGTGCCCCTGCACTTCAGCCTTGGCAACCAAGCAAGACTGTCTCAAAAAAAAAAAAAAAGGAAAGAAATCATCTGTTTACTGCTAGTGTCTGCATTACACTCTAAGATCCTTAAGATTTGAAATTTTAGTTTGTCACTTCATCTCCAGAAAGTAGCAAAAAACAGTATCTGAATATAGCAGACATTCAGTAAATATTTGATAAATGAATGAATGCCAATGTCTGTACTCTACAGAATATGTTTTTAAGAACATTTAAAGATAGTTACCTTCCCTAGGTGCAAACAATTAAATATTACAAAATCCAAATGAGAAAAAATAACACATGCTCCTGAAAACCACAAAAGTAGATCAGGAACAAAAGTCTTATTATGGTCTTCAACAAAAATGACTCTCATAACAAATGGGACAATTTTCCCTAAGTTGACTTAAAAAGTTTATATTAATCCAATAAAAATATAATTTTTTTCCTTGAGACCAAACAAGTTAATTATAAAGATGTCTTAGAAGAATGACAACCAAGAATAGCCATGAAAGCTGATTTTAAAAATAGCAATGAGGGCCAGCAGTGGCTCACACCTGTAATCCCAGAACTTTGGGAGGCTGAGGCAGGTGGATCACTTGAGGTCAAGAGTTCAAGACCAACCTGGCCAAAATGGCAAAACCCCATCTCTACTAAAAATACAAAAATTAGCCAGGTGTGGTGGCATGTGACTGTAGTACCAGCTACTCGGGAGGCTGAGGCACGAGAATCACTTGAACCTGGGAGGCAGAGGCTGCAGTGAGCTGAGATCGTGCCACTGCACTCCAACCTGGGACTTCGGACTTTATTTTTTTGTTGCTTTTTGTTGTTTTTTTTTTTAACAAAACAAAAAAGCAGTGAAGAAGGAACTAGCCCTATAAGTATTAAAAAGCTACTATAAAGTCTATTTTAGTTAAATGAGTGAGGCACTGGGATATGAATAAACAAACCAATGGGATAGAAAAACTAAAAATATACCCCTGTACATACAAAATTTTCTGCCTGAACACACTGATCAATCTTACTGTGACAATCAAACACCAAATGATCCCCCTCATATGACACAATAATATAAAATATACTGCCTGTAAAAACTGAATGTAAATTTAATTAACCTCTGTATCTACCACTTTTTTCAACTGGGGAAAAGAGAACTATGAAATAATACCATAAGGATGCAATCAGCCAACTCCAAAGTATGGAAAATGAAATCATTTTTTTCACATAATACATGGCATGGAGAAAAAGAGTTGTGGGGGAACTTTATAGCTCAACAGAGATTAAGAGATATATTAACCCAATACAGGTAGATCTTGTTGATATGCTAATTTCAAAAAAGCAACCATTTAAAAATATATTTAAGACAATTAGGGAAATTTAAATATAATATTACAATTTGTTAATTTTATAAGGTGTGATAACTGTGTAATATATGTTGTAAACTAAATCTAAAGCAAGCAGAAGGATAGAAATAATAAAGATTAGAAAGTAAGAAAATAGACAACAGAAAAACAATACAGAAAAATTAATAAAACCAAAAGCTAGGTATTTAAACTTATTTGGACTAACGAAGAAAAAAAAGAGAGAAGACTGAAACTGCCAGAATCTGAAATGAAAAAGGGGACACTACTGAACTTAGAGAAATAAAAATAATTATAAAGAAAATATGTACAACTGTATGCCAACAAGCTAGATAACTTAAATGGAATGGACCAACTTTTAGACACAAACTACCAAAATCAGCATTACTCTACTTAAGCAGAGGCTGAAGGCCATCTCTTGGGGATATTATTGGAGGGATTCTGAAGGATGAGAAGGGTGTATTAATTATCCTCTAATAACTCTCTCAACTACATGGTTCCATACATTTATATTCTTCTCCATTTGTGGTATGGTATCTGTAAGGTGCTGACTACAGAGCCTTGACTTGTTTTGCAGCTATGTGTGAACACAAAATGTAGGTAAAGGTAATTCCATTCCCAGCACTAATAACTGACTCAGATCACAGAAGCAAATACTATACAAGCCAAGATTTTTATAATTTGAACTTGCTTATTACTCAATTTATAAATCTTGCTTACTTGTTCAAATTTCTAAATTATTAATCTCATTTTCAATGCCACAATCCTTGAATCCATGAGTAGCTACCCACATTAAACGGGGACTGTGTATTTACATTTACTTTCATTATACATATACCTAGCTGCATGCCTAGCAAGGCATGATTACTTGCAGATTACAGGCAGATTATTATTATTATTTTTTTTTTTTTGAGACAAAGTCTTGTTCTGTCGCCCAGGCTGGAGTGCAATGGCACAATCTCGGCTCACTGCAACCTCTGCCTCCCAGGTTCAAGTGATTCTCCTGCCTCAGATTCCCAAGTAGCTGGGACTACAGGCACCCGCCAGCACATCCAGCTAATTTTTTTGTATTTTTAGTACAGACAGGGTTTCACCATGTTGGGCAGGCTGGTCCTGAACTTCTGACCTCAGTTGATCTGCCCACCTCGGCCTCCCAAAGTGCTGGGATTACAGGCGTGAGCCACCATGCCTGGCCAGATTACATTTTAGAGTAAGCAGACTTCTAAGATTGCCCCAAGACCCCAACCTTCTGTTATTCATAACTTTACATAATTCTTTCCTCTTGGACCTAGAGAATTGCTTTAGAGAGAATACTATCAAAAACTATGGGATATCACTTATATGATTTTGCTATGAAAAACTGTGACTTCTGTCTTAGTGAACAGAGTCTACTGCCTTCTCTGCGTATACATTTCAATGAAACACGCTGCCATGATGGAAACAGGGCAAAGGATTGAGGGCAACCTCTGGCCAACAACTAGAGAACAACTGAGGTCCTCATTCTAATAAACTGAAAGAAACAGAATCCTATGAACAAACATGTGAGGTTAGAGGCATATTCATCTCCAATCGAGCTTTAAGATGACTGTAGCCCAGCCAACATCTTAACTGCAACCTTAAATTAACTGAAGCAGAAATCCCAAATAAGCTGTGTCCAGATTCCTGACTCACGAAACTGTAATATAAGTTTTAAGTTTAAACTAAATTTCAGGATAACTTGGTACAAGGTAATTTTTCTATCAAACCTGAAAGCAAGGGTTCTGGATGTGCACTTTTGGTGAAGTTGTAACCTCTAATACAGAATTTCTGGTATTTTTCTATCTAATAGCAATAAATTTTTATCATAGCCTTTTCAAAACTGTAAACCATAGTCAACCTTCTTTGTTATCCCCTTCCACAGAGATAATCAGGAAGTGTAACACAAAGTTTTATAATCTCACAAAAGTTGTCTGAAATGCTTTTTACTGCTACCCAAGAAGTGTGGCAAAGCTCCTTAATATCATTTCTAAGGTATGTTTTTTTAAAATGATTTCGTGGGACATTAGAAGGTATTATACAATATTTGTGTGGTCAAATAAGGAACTACTGAGTTTAACAAAATTATATGTACTCTTTCATTGTAATCTTAACTCAAAATAGCTAAGAACTTCCAGAGTCTGATCATTATACTCTTATAGACTCATTTACTGCCATATTTATCCTCTTTATATCTAGTCATACTGAATTCCCCCTTTCTTTGCAGAACTAAAAATCAGCTTCCCCCCAAGTACTTTTTTTAGGGGCTTCATTATTTTTAAATCTTTATGGGCATACTTATGAAGTACATGAGATATTTTAATACAAGCATATGATGTGTAATAATCAAATCAGGGTAAATGGAGTACCCCCAAAGTACTTGCTAATTACTCAACTTATAGATGTTAATCACTTACTTGTTCACATTTCTAAATTATTCATTTCATTCTCAATGCCACAATCCTTGTAATCCTAGCACCTGGTTCAATTCCTATCACAGAAATAGCTACTCAAAATATGTTGGCTGAATACATATGTGAATGACAAAGATATAGTTAGGTACTTACAAAAAACTAAGTTATAATAAAACATTATTTTACTATAATATGATCTTGAAACACATAGTAAACAATATTCTTCCCTAATTGTTAGATTATTTATATAATCTGTGTGACAAACAACCCAGCAGAGTAACCCTGGTGTATTAATTAAGTGGTGTTAAGTAGGGCACCTGAATTTTTTTCAATACTTCATTTATTGCAAATGTTAATTTGGATTCTTAGAAAAACTGGAGGACAACTTTCAGTCAGATATCTAAGTTTATATTACTGCATGTGTTTCAAACCAGTAAATGTCAAAAAGGTCACATACCAGATGAAACTGATCCACTTTGGGGATTCCATCTTTATTTATCTCAAACTCCTGATTTTGAACAGAAAGCTGTGAAAGAAAGTAAGAATGAATAAATGTCCAATGTATTAATACGCCAATCTATAGAAGAGTCAACTCTGGAACTTCAGATCCTGGTGACTAGAAAAGAGCTTACTTAAAGAAAGCACATTAACTCTCTTACAGGGTAAAAGCACTTTCATTCTAATTACAAGCAACCAAATGGTTCCTGGGGCTCCTAAAGTACCGATCAGAGGGGATGTACACACTATAAACACTTTAATATTTCCTCACCTTATAAGAAAACGTGTTAGAACTTGGTAGCCTATATTATGTTAGCCTCACCAATACTCAAAAATTAGGTACAAAGAAAATAAATCAGGCAAGTTTCTTTCTACCATAATATCTAAACTTTGTTCAAGAAATATAAGCTAAACTTAAAAAAAAACTTCAGAAATCAGGGGGATGCAAAAAATAAATTAATTAAATTTAATTTAAAAACATGGAGAATTTTTTACATACACAAAGGTATTCTGAGTCCCACATATTCATCCCCTAGCCCTAACAACCATCAGCCAATGACCACTCTTACCCTATGAACAAACGCATATATATTATCTTTGAGGCAAATCCTATGTATTTCATAATTTCACCTATAAATATCTTAGTACATATCTCTAAGAGACAGTCTTTTATTTTTACACAATCATATCATTATAGGAAAAATACTTTTATACAAAATACCTAGCTTTCAAAATTTGAGTAATCTCATATCAAATTAGTTTACTTTTTTAGTTTATTTAAATCCAGATCCAAATAAGTTCCACCCATTGCAATTAAAAAATGAGCAAAAGGGCTTTTGGTCTCTTCCTGTTCCTCTCCATTAAGTACAATTATAAAACCTGAAAATACCATAAAATATAACCAAAGGAAAACACTGAAAGGTTTAAAAAAGGAAGAAAAACTAGTTGAAGACCCCAGGACTAGAGGAACAACATAGTAACAGGTTGTCTTATAACCCTCCCAACTGAAAAAAAAAAAAAAATAAGTGAGCCAGATCTGATGTTTCCCAACTCCTAAGCCTGCAACAGAAAGCAGCCCAGGTAGATTCATTCTTCTCTTGAATTTAATAGGATTGCCATCAACACCACCATGTGAGGCCAGAAGAAACAGCAAGAAGGTTCAACTGGAAACCTCCCTGTCAATAAGCAGCCAGGGGAAGCATTCACCATCCTCAGCAGCAGCACCACCTGAGACACCAACGAGGCCACAGGCACCAACAAAGGAAAACCACACCACAAGCAGCTGGTCCAGTAAATACACTCTGACACCCATAAGTAGGGGGATCCCACCATAACAAGGGATGGTTCTGGAGGTATTCTGCATCGGTCATAGGAAAGGAGAGATCCTGCCACAACTAGCACCCAGCTCAAGAAGCTTCATCCCATAGACCAGGGTCTCCATTCCCATACTTAGAAGCACCAGGCAGTTCAGCCTTGAAAAGTTCCTTTCATTCCCTCAAACACCATCAGCAGGGACCACTGGAGGCCCAGCAGCACGCAACAACTCAAGCAGATCAAAATATAACTGAAAAGTTTCTGAAAATTAGATTGTCGTTAAAACCACAGTTCAAAAAGTAGTCCAGGACCTCTGTTTAAACCTAAACAAGGTGACTGCCTGCTAAAATAAAATTTTCAGTAGGACCCAGAATCTATTAAAATAGTATCCAAAATGTCCAAGATAAAATTAAAAATCACTTGTCATACAAAGTACCAGGAAAACCACAACTTCAACGAGAAACTGCAATCAACACCACAATGAATCACATAATTATCTGACAAGAACTTTCAAGCAATGGTCATAAAATGCTTCAACAAACAATTATAATTTCTCTAAGGTAAATAAAAAGAAATTTCAGCAAAGAAAAAAGTTATTAAAAAGAATCACATGAAAGTTACAGAACTACAAAGTACAATAACCGAAATCTTAAAACTGGATGGGATAAATTGAAATGACAGAAATGACAGAAGACAAAATCAGTGAACTTCAGAACAGATCAATACAATCTGCTCAGCCTGATCAGAGAGAAAACAGACAAAAAAAAAAAAAAAAAAAAGAACAGAGAGCCTCAAGGACCTGTGAGACAATAACAAAAGATCCAACTTTCAGAGTCTCAGAAGAAAAGGAAAAAAATAATGGGGCTAAAGGAGTATTTTAAAATAGTGACTACAGATGAGTGAGTAAAGAAACGGTGGTGTGTATGTATGTGTGTGAGTACACATATACACATACATACATATGTACACACACATGCATACAACAGAATATTCAGCAATAAAAAAGAATAAAATCATATCTTTTGCAGCAACATGGATGGAATCGGAAGCCATTATCTTAAGTGAAACAACTCAAAATCAGAAAGCCCAATACTGCATTTTCTCACTTATAAGTAGGAGCTAAATAAAATGTGCATATGGACACAGAATGTCGAATAAAAGTCACTGAAGATTCGAAAAGGTGGGAGGGTGGGAAAGGGGTGGGGTATGAGAAATTACTTAATGAGTACAATGTACACTGTTCAAAATTACACTAAAAGCCCAGACTTCACCATTAAACAATATACCTGTGTAACAAAACTGCACTTGTTCTCCCTAAATCTAGAGAAATTTAATAAAAAAAAGTTTAAGAAAATAATGGTTGAAAAGTTCCCAAATTTTGAAGAAGATTAAAGAAGATGTGCAAACCCCAAATAGAAAAAAATCTTAAAAAAAAAAAAAAAAAGGAAAGGAATGAAAAAAGATGTTTGGGAAAACTAAAGACAAAGAAAAAATCTTGAAAGCAACCACAGAGAAATAAAACACTACCTATAAGAAATACTACCTTGTATGATAAACGTTTATCATATGAAATTATGGAGACCGAAGGAAGTAGCACATTTTTCAACTTTTAAAAGAAAATAACTCTCAACCACCACAAATTCTATGTCCAGTAAAACTATCCATCAGTAATGAAAGTGAAATCAAGATGTTCTCAAATAAGGGAAAACGAAAGGAATTTGTCACTAGACACAATCTTAAAGAGTGGCTAAAGGAAGTACTTCAAACAAAAAGAAAATAATTTTTTAAAGGAGTCTTGGAGCATCAGGAAGGAAGAAATAACAATGGAAAAAAACAGAAATATGACTAATACCACAGACTATCCTTCTCATCATGAGTTTTCTAATCATATATGATGATCCAAACCAAAATTACACCACCATCTGATACTCAAGACAATGATATTTAAAAGTGGGGAGAATAAAGGAACCTCAAAGGAAGTGAGGTTTCTATACTTCACTCAAAATGGTGAAATGCTGACATCACTAGAATGTAATAAGCCACATATGTATATTGTAATACCCAAACCAACCACTAGGAAAACTGTAAGAGGCAATACACTCAAAAACACAATATACTTTTCTGGATGCTTCCTATTCCCTGGAGTGCCTTTCCAACTGCACCATACTTGCTCCAAGCTCCAGGCTTCTGCTATAAGCGAGCACTGCTATCATCTACCTCCAGCCACCATCATGATTATCTCTGACAATTACAAGATCTGAGATACTGCAAACAGGCTGTGCCTGGAGGGGGAGAGGAAGATGGTCAGTAAGACATAGGGTAATATTGATGACTTGCTCATTGGTGGAAATGCCTCTACTGAAGGACCCAAGGGTGAAGGTACTGAAAGCACAGTAATCACTGGTATTGATATTGTCATGAACCATCACTTGCAGCAAGCTGGCTTCATAAAAGAAGCCTACAAGATGTATATGAAAGATTACATTAAATCAATCAAAGGCAAACTTGAAGAATGAAGACCAGAAAGAGTAAAACCTTTTATGGCAGAAGCTGCAGAACAAATCAAGCACATACTTGCTAATTTCAAAAACTACCAGTCCTTTACTGGTGAAAACATCAATCTAGATGGCACAGTTGCTCTGCTAAACTACTGTAAGGATGATGTGACCCTATATGTGATTTTCTTTATGGATGATTTAGAAATGGAAAAAAATTAACAAATCTGGCAATTACTTTGGATCTATCACCTGTCATCATAAATGGCAGGTGCTTATCATCTACACAACACCCGGCCTTTAGACAAATGGGAATAATGTCATCTTGAGTTTTTCATTTATTTTGACCATATTTATCTGGAGTACAGGTGTTGTTTAAAAAAAATAAGACATCATGTAGGTGTGTGTGTGTGTGTGTGTGTATATACACACACACATATATACATATATTTTATGTATATTTATATATAAATATATATTATACATATTTATATATAATATATATTTATACATATTTATATACAAATATATATTTATACATATTTATATACAAATATATATACATATTTATATATTTATATATAATATATATTTATATATTATATATTATATATATCTATTTTATATATATCTATTTTATATATATCTATTTTATATATATCTATTTTATATATAATATCTATTTTATATATATTATATATTTTTATATATATAATTTATATATTTTATATCTATTATATATATTATATATATATATATATAAAAAGATGGACTCTTAAAATTTTTTCAAGTAATGCACAGGAAGGGAAAAAAAGAAAAAGAAACAAGAAACAAACAAAACCAGTAATACAATGGTAGAAAATTTTTTCAAGTAATGCACAGGAAGGGAAAAAAAGAAAAAGAAACAAGAAACAAACAAAACCAGTAATACAATGGTAGATTTAAGCCCTAAAATATCAATAATTACCCTAAATGTAAATGGCCTAAAAACCCCAATTAAAAGACAGAGATCAGCAAGAGTAAATAAAAAACAATGCAACTATATGTTATTTACAAGAAACTTACTCCAAATTCAACAATGTAGGTACCTTTGGAGTAAACGGATGGCAGAAGATATACCATGCAAACATTAATGTTGAAACACAAGAATGGCTGTAATATCAGACAAAGTAGACATTAGAGCAAAGAAAATTACTACAGAAAAAGAAGGATATTACATAATGATAAAAGTATCAATCTACTAAGAGGACATAACAATCCTAAATATGTACATATTATACAAGATGACCTTAAACCACAAGATAGAGTTGAAAGGAGAAATAGGCAAGTCTACAATTATAGCCAGGGACTTCAACTCTCAGTAACTGACAAAACAACAGTCGTGCTGTTTAACAGCAGGAATACATAACAGGAATATATTCTCAGAAATGCATCATGAGGCAATTTCATCCTTGTGTGAACATCATAACAAATGTACTTACACAAACCTAGATGATATATCCTACCACACACCTAGGCTATACATGTAGCCTACCGCTCCAAGGTTACAACCCCATATTGTATGTTACGGTACTGAATTACTTGCACTGGGGAAGGAGCACTTTAATTCTCTGAAATAGGAGGCAAAGATAGAAGACTGGGTAAACAGATAATGTAGTCCCTTGAACAATGTAGATTTGAACTGTGTTGGCCCACTAACATGCAGATTTTTTTCAACCAAACATGGATGGAAAAATACACTATTAATAAGACATAAAGCCTGCATATATAAAAGGTCCACTTTTCGTATTAGCAGGTTCCACAATACTCACAGTGGGACTTTGCGCAGATTTTGGCATATGTGGGGGTCCCGAAACCAATTCCCTGTGTATACTGAGGGATGACTGTAATTTGTAAGTGCTCAAATTTGATGAAAAGCACATAACATGATCTCAAGTTTTTCAGTAAAATAAGAAGTAAGATCATCTGAGAAGAATGAGGATAGGATTTAAGTGGAGAATTGATGAAAAGGTTTAAAATAATTGTTGAGAGGAATGTGAGAATGAGGTGGCTGTGAGGAGGTCAAAGAACCAAAAGAAAGCACCAAGGGCTCAATTAAAGTAATGCAGTGCAACAGCATTCAGCTCCCAAGGTACAAGAGCATGCAAGGGGTTCCAGCCAAGGAGTAGTCACATTTCACATCAACCTTTCCTCTTAAAAAAAACAAACAACTCTAGCTATAATACAACACAGGAAAACCCTAAAAGATGGAAAGAAGAAGGTGAAGTAGCTAGGACCTTGCCACTTGAGGAACAATATAATGGTGAGTTCCCTGGGCTTTCTTTTTGCCCCCCTATATCTCTGATGGGGTCCTTGAGAAGTCTGCCACCCAGAAATGCCAACAGACACAGGCACACACACACACACACACACACACACAAAAGCTCCAAGAAAAGCCTGCTTCCTGTAGCCACAGGACTGGGAAGAGGGTGGCCTAGCAGAACAGAAAACTGTAATAGGTAATATACCCTATTCCAGTCACACACCAAACGAAAAACTGCCCCCTATCCCATCCGTAGTATTAGTAGTGCTGAGTGAGGAGCTGGACTTTCAGCCCTACCCAGCAGCAACAAGTCATGGGAAGTCATCCCTTTGCTTCCTCCACTAGCATGGTATCCATGAAGCCAAACAGGGAACTGAACTTCTACTTCCACCCATCAACAGAGGCAGAAGACAGCAGTGAGAAACAGCACTAGCTGTCACTCTACAGTCTGGGATACTGTCAGTGGGACTCAGAACAGGGCTTACTTCCACTCCCACCCAGCAGCCAAAAAAAGTGAAACAAAGCAGTGTGAAGTAGTACGAGTCAGCATTCAGTTTTTCATTGCCCACTCCCCACGGTGTTGGCAGGACCCACTGGGGAGTAAAACTTCCACTCTCACCAGGTAGCAACAAGGCACAAGAAGGTGGAATAAGGTGGTGGTGAAACAGTTATAGCTAACACTTTGCTCCTCCTGGTCTCCCGGTGTCAAAAGAACTCAATAAAGTGCTGAATTTACACTCCCATCTGTCAGCAGCAAGGAGAAGTAAGGCAGTACAACTGGGCATTCCACTTTTGCTGGGGTGATGTCAGCAGAGCCCAGTGGGGAACTACATATCTAACCCCATCTGGAACTGCATACTATACCTAAACAGGGTGGCTGCCTACAAAAAATATATATATATATATATATTAAAAAGGATTCATAGTCTCACAACATAATAACCCAAATGTTTAGGGTACAATAAAAAATCACTTTATATCAAGAACCAGAATAATCTCAACTTGACTGAGAAAAAGACAACCACCGGACACCAAATAGAACAGATGTTGTGATTATCTGAGAAGGATTTTAAAACGGCCATCATAAAAATGCTGCATAGAGCAATTACAAACACACTTAAATTTTTAAAATAGAAAGCAAAGAAACAGAAGACAGAAGATATAAAAAAGAATCAATTGGAAATTTTATAACAGAAAAACAGTAATCAAAAATGTTAAAACTCATTAGGTGGACTGAATGATAGAATAAATATGACAGGAAAGCACTAATGAATCTGAAGATGAAAAAATAGAAAATAACCCATTTGAACAACCATCATTACAAAAAAAAACACCCTGATAAACAGAGCCCCAAGAACCTGTGAGACAATAAAAGACAGAAAATTTGTATAATCAGAGTCCTAGAAAAAGAGGAGAAAGGGTGGGGGGCTAAAATGCATTTGAGTAAATAATTGCTGAACTTCCCACATTTGTTGAAAAACATAAGCCCACAGGCTGAAGAAGCTGAGAAAACCTCAAACAGAATAAACTTAAAGAAACACATGCCACTACATACCATAATAAACTTAAAACTAAAGAAAACAAAAATCTTGAAACTGGTTAGAGAGAAATGTAATATTACCTATAAAGGAAATGATTCAAATGACAGTGAATTTCTCATCAGAAACCATGGACACCTAAAGAAAGTAGCACAATCTTTTCCAAATGCTAAAAGAAAAAGAACTACCAATCCAGAATTCTATTCCCAGTGAAAATATTCTTCAGAAATAAAGGTGACATCAAGATGCTCTCAGATAAAGGACACTAAAAATTTGTCACCAGTAGACTTACCTTGAAAGAATGGCCAAAAGAAGTTATTAGGATAAAAATGATAAAAGGAGAAATGCTGAAACATTAGAAATTTTAAAAAGAATAAGAATAAAAATATGGGTAAATAGACTATCTTAAAAAACAAAAACAAAAACCTTGAAAGGTGAACCTCCTCCAAGTTCTCTGCATTTGGATCTGATAAGACAGGAATGACCAGTCTAAGGTTCTTGATTGGCTCTCAAAGCAGTTTCAGAAATATTAATACACGAAATTCCTGTACAGGGAAGGGTACTAAAGAGATTAGTGAGTCCGTCCATCCTGTATCTCTCTTTTTTTTTTTTTTTTTTTTTCTGAGACGGAGTCTTGCTCTGTCACCCAGGCTGGAGTGCAGTGGCGTGATCTCTGCTCACTGCAAGCTCCGCCTCCCGGGTTCACACCATTCTCCTGCCTCAGCCTCCCCAGTAGCTGGGACTACAGGTGCCAGCCAACACGCCCGGCTGATTTTTTGTACTTTTAGTAGAGACGGGGTTTCACCATGTTAACCAGGATGGTCTCTATCTCCTGACCTCGTGATCCACCCGCCTCGGCCTCCCAAAATGCTGGGATTACTGGCGTGAGCCACCGCGCCCGGCCCAACCTGTATCTCTTAATCCTCCTACATTCAATTCTACAATAATGAGTTCTATTCCCCAGTCTGCTTCATTATGATGTTAGAATCATAAAACCTCTAGATTTTAAGGGGCTGCTACCCATGTTCCTTTCTCTCCATTTATCTTAGTTAGCATATTCCTGAGAGGCACTGCTAAGGTTCAGAGAAGGTGGGAGAGCTTATCACAAGTCACGTGAGCTGGTCCTCAAGAAAGGACAGCATATGGAACATAACTTTCCCATTGTCTCTTATTTTTGGATTACACATGAAAACCAGGTATCACGTGTGAAAAGTGTACCTGTATTCCAAACAAAAGTATTAAATACATCCACGCAAGACTTTGTAAGCAGAGAACTTCTTAAAAAAACAGCACATAGGAGACAAGCCTAAAGATGCCTAAAAGGGGAATAATATGATACAAGGGACTTCATAGTGGTCAATGCCATGACATTTACTGGTAACTTATTTCCCAGCCCTGGGTTCCCTTCATCAGTTGTTCATCATTGGCTTCAGTGAAGACTGCCTTCCAGGCTTAATAATATGTGATGTGAAGGCAGAAGGTGGTCTTGCATGGAGCCTCGAGACACTAAAATTCTGAAATGGGGCATCACTCAGGTACTTCCTCTCTGACACACAAAATTCTCATATCTATACTTTGGATAATAACATACTCCCTCACATGCTTGTTAGGAGGGTGTAATGAGATAAAACTTTCTAAAGCAGTTAGTTCCAAACATGTTCTATGTGCTCTCACCAAGGGAGGATGTTACCACCATGTTATAAAGAGACATAATAATGTCCTTAAATTAACAAATATGGGCTGGGCACAGTGGCTCATGCCTGTAGTCCCACCATGTTGGCAGACAAAGGTGGACAAATTGCTTGAGCCCAGGAGTTTGAGACCAAGCTGGGCAACATGGTGAAACCCCATCTTTACAAAAAAAATTCAAAAATGAGTCAAGAGTGGTGATACAACCTGTAGTCCCAGCTACTCAGGGGGCTAAGGCAGGAGGATCACTTGAGCCCAACAGATTGAGGCTGCAATGAGCTGTATAGTGCCACTGCACTCCAGCCCAGGTGACAGAGCAAAACTCCATCTCCAAAAAATAAAAAAATAAAAAATAAAAACAAATATGTTTGGTCACACTCTGTTAAAGAAATAAAATGTAATGCCTTTAAAAAAGTTATTGACGCATAGAAATAAAACTTTTTAAAAAGGAGAAATGGGGCTGGGCGTGGTGGCTCACGCCTGTAATCCTAACACTTTGGGAGGCCGAGGCAGGTGGACTGCCTGTGCTCAGGAGTTCGAGACCAGCCTGAGCAAGATGGTGAAACCCCATCTCTACTAAAACACAAAAAATTAGCCAGGCATGGCAGCGTGCGCCTGTAATCCCAGCTACTCAGGAGGCTGAGACAGGAGAATCGCTTGAACCTAGGAGGCAGAGGTTGCAGTGAGCCGAGATCACACCACTGCACCCTAGCCTGGGCGACAGAGCAAGACTCCGTCTCAAAAAAAAAAAAGAGAGAGAGAGAAATGAGAAAGAATGTTTTACTCACAAATGGCAGGCCATAGCTTATCTAAAATTGAGTTTTTTCCAAAAAGACTAAACAGAAGAACAGGAGTAAATGGGAATATAAGGCATAGTCTGGGAATTGTATGATAGGGTCCAAGAATGAGTAAATAAAGAAAAAAGCTAGAAGGCTGCTGATAAACTGGAAGAAAAGAGAGACAGTAAATAAACCCACTGGAGATTTAAGATTAGCAGACACAGTAAATGAGAGGACAGGAAATCCTGTTAGGAGAAAAATATAATGGATTGGACTCTATTACTTTTGAAAAATAACAATTGTAGAGATTCACAAAATCCTGGTTTGGGGAAGTGACTGAAATTACATAAAGGTTTGGGTCTCACGTTATTAAGAAGGTCCAGAAATGCAAAGTTAGGTTCACTGGGTGATCAGTATGACCACTAACATCTCCTAGAAATATATTAAGAGTCGGAATAAAATCTTCATGCAAGGTTTTAAAGAATAAAATGATGTACATGGGGCCATAAATGAGAGGTAAGTAAATGAACTCAGGAAAAAAACATGGAACTATTTTTTAAAGCCTAATACTTCAGCATATAACTGTGGCTAAAATTTAAACATTCATTCAACTAATATTTGAGTGCCCACTTTGCACCAGGCACAGTTCTAGGCATTTGAGGATATAGTGGCAAACAAGATAGATAAGCTACTCCCAAAAAGCTTCCACTCGAGTGGTAGAAGCAGACAATAATAAAGATAAATAAGTGTATAATATGGTAACAGAAAAATAAAGCAGGAAAAAATGCATTTTAGGGAAAGCAACACTGAAAATGTGTCTCTGAATAAATAAAAGGGGGACAGACGTGGTAGTTCATGCCTGTAATCCCAGCACTTTGGGAGATCGAGGTGGGAAGATCGCTTGAGCTCAGGAGTTTGAGACCAGCCTGAGCAATATAGTGAGACCCCATCTCTTAAAAATAAATAAATAAATAAAAATAAACAAAGAAAGGGGGCCATTCTCTTCTTTATATTCAACTTCTTCACAGCAGTACTCCTCAACACACACAGAAACACAATTCTTTTTCAATGTAACATCAGACAGAACTGTTATACTTTTTAAAAACTGGCTTCTAGAAAACACCTTTAAGATTTCCATAATAACCTAAAAATATAGTGAAGAACCTTAATACAAATGGTGTCATGATAAAACTATAGTCCATGTATTTCAGTTAAAAGATATAGAAAACCAAATACTCTGTGTTCTCACTAAATGTTGAGAACTCATGAACACAAAGAAGGGAACAACAGACACGGGGCCTACTTAAGGGCAGAGGGTAGGAGGAAGGAGAGGGGCAGAAAAAATAACTATTGGGTACTAGGCTTAGTATCTGGGTGACAAAATAATCTGTACAACAAGCCCCTGTGGCACGAGTTTATCTATATAACAAACCTGCATATGTACCCCCAAACCTAATTTAAACGTTTAAAAAAAGATATGGTTTATTACTGAAGGTAATAACCCACAACACTTGAATTGTCCATTGTTTTGAATTTTCTGTAGGCAGTCTTCAGAACACTTCATTTAATCTGGATCTCATAAGAAAAATGATCTAAAACCACAGTATCTTTGATATGCCCAAAATATCTAGTTAGTATTCTAGAGCTTTGCTATCAAACTATTACTTTTTTATTATTGCTATTTCTAAAATTTTTTTAAAGACAAAGTGACAGTAATCCCTTCATGGCCTTGTAAATAAAATCTTTTGATAATGCTTCCAGTTTAACTCTGAATATTACCTTTTTAAGCACAGCCCTTGGATCTTGACTTTTTGCCCTTTTATATATTTTACACTATGTGCTTTCATAATAAATTGCCCAATTCTTTGAGGAGGAAGGTCAAAGTATACACAGCCTTTCGTACCAAACTAACTTTACTATCAAAAAAATACTGTTGTAAAAAAGAACTTGACCAACTAGAAAACAAAAATTTTTAAAAAACACAATAGCTTCCAAACATGAAATTCTTAGGTATAAATCTAACAACACATGTATAGAATCTGTAAGCCCAAAATAACAAAACGTTGATAAAAGAAACCAGAGAAAATTTAAATAAATGGAGTTCACAAATTAAAGGCTCAATGTAGTAAAGATGTCAATTCTCCCCATATTGATCTACAGATTTAATGCAATTCCAATCAAAATCACAGCAGGGCTTTTGTGCACACAGACAAGCTGTTTGTAAAATATACATGGAAAAGCAGCCAGGCGCAGTGGCTCACTCCTGTAATCCCAGCACTTTGAGAGGCCAAGGCAGGTGGATCACTTGAGGTCAGGAGTTCGAGACCAGCCTGGTCAACATAGTGAAACCTCATCTCTACTAAAAATACAAAAATTAGCCGAGTGTGGTGGCGGGTGCCTATAATCCCAGCTCCTCGGGAGGCTGAGGCACAAGAATCATTTGAACCCGGGAGGCAGAGGTTGCAGTGAGCCAAGATTGTGCCAGTACACTCCAGCCTGGGTGACAGAGTGAGACTGCGTCTTAAAGACAAACTGCCCCATAAAGCTTCTTGGCGCTCCCCTCAAACGTCTCCGTGCTGTCCACCCTTCCCCCAAGCCTCTTTACATTTCTAAGCCCTTATCTAGGCACCACAGTGAAGCCAGCAGACTTCACTTATCAGACCTTGCTGGATAAACAAACCCCAATTACGAACCATCTGGACCGCACAGCGGGAGGTCGTTGGAAGAATAAACAAACTTTACCTACACCTTCCTGAAAGTTCTGCTACCACAAATGTCACAAGGTGATATGTGACAAAATTAACCAGCAAACAACCCTGGAATGCGGCCACACCAAAGAACTCCCTCAAACTCCCTTCTCCAATATAAACCCCTCATTTTGTAAACTCAGGGCTGCCTCCTCTGAGTGAGGTGAAGCAGCCCCTCAGGTTCAATAAACTTACGCGCCTGACTTTAGGTCTATTTTTCCTTTCTCTCGGCTGACCTTACACGTCTCAATAAAATAAAATAAGGTAAGATGTAAAATATAAAATAAAATATATACAAAAAAGGAAAGATAGCTGAATAGCTAAAATCTGAAAAAGAATCATACTACCCAATTTTAAGACATACTATAAAGATACAGTAACCAAGACAGTATGATGTTGGTAAACGGATAGACACACAGATCAACAGCAGAAAGAGTCCACAAACAGACTCACACAAAAATGGCCGATTTATTTCTGACAAAGATACAAAGACAATTCAACAGAGAATAACACTCTCTTAAAAAAATGGTGTTGTAAAATTGGACATCCATATGCAAAAACATGAACCCTGACATAAACCTCCCACCTTACACAAAAATTACATCCAAAGAGATCTCAGCTCTAAATGTAAACCATACAACTATAGAGCTTTTAGAAGAAAATATAAGAAAAAATATTCAAGTCTTTGGGTTATGCGAAGAGTTCTTATACACAACACTAAAAGCATGATACATAAAAAGAAAACAATAATAAATTAAACTTCAAAATTAAAACCCTTTTCTCTGCAAAAGACACTGAAAAGAAAATAAAAAGAAAAGCTACAGGCCAGAAAAAAATCATTGCAAATGACATCTGATAAAGGACTTCTATCTAGAATGTATTTATGAATGCCCAAAACTCTACAGCAATAAAACAAAAATCCAATTAAAAAACAGGCAAAAGACAGACACTTCACCAAAGAAAATACAGAAAGCCAATAATAAACAAACTAAAAGATGCTCAACATCATTATCTATTAGAGAAATTAAAACCACAATGAAACACTACCACACACCTATGAGAATGGCTAAAATAGAAGATAATAACAATACGAGGTGCCGACAATGATGCTGAACTGAAACTTTCATAAATTGCAGGTGAAAATCAAAAACAGTACAGCCACTCTGGAAAACAGTTTGGCAGGTCCTTAAAGAATAATACATACGATTACAATCTGACCCAGAAATTTCACTCCTGGGTAATTACCATAGAGAAACAAAAACTTACGTTCACATAAAAACCTATACACACATGTTCACAGTAGCTTTATCTGCAATAGTCAGACACTGGAAACAATGCAAATGTTCTGCAACAGGTGAACAAACAAATTTGGTATGTACATACAACAGAGCACTATTCAGAAACAAAAAAGGGAAAAACTACATTAGACAACTTGAATGAATCACAAAAGATGATTCACATGCTGAATGAAAGAAGCTAGACTCACAAAATTATATACTGTATGATACCACTAATATGATATTATTTTTATTTATATTTTTTTCTATTTTTTCTTTTTTTTATATACTTTAAGTTCTGGGATACACGTGAAGAACGTGCAGGCTTGCTACATAGGTATACATGTGCCATGGTGGTTTGCTGCACCCATCAAACCATAATCTACATTAGGTATTTCTCCTAATGCTATCCCTCCCCTAGACCCCCACTCCCCAACAGGCCCCACTGTGTGATGTTCCCCTCCCTGTGTCCATATGTTCTCATTGTTCAACTTATGAGTGAGAACATGTTCACTTATGAGTGAGAACATGAGGTATTTGGTTTTCTGTTCCTGTGTTAGTTTGCTGAGAATGATGGCTTCCACCTTCACCCATGTCCCTGCAAAGGATATGAACTCATCATTTTTTTAAGGGTGCACAGTATTGCATGGTGTATATGTGCCACATTTTCTTTATCCAGTCTATCACTGATGGGTATTTGGGTTGGTTCCAAGTCTTTGCTATTGTGAACAATGCTGCAATAAACTTAAGTGTGCATGTCTTTATAGTACAATGATTTATAATCCTTTGGGTATATACCCAGTAATGCGATTGCTGGGTCAAATGGTATTTCTGGTTCTAGATGCCTGAGGAATCGCTACACTATTTTCCATAATGGCCGAACTAATTTACACTCCCACCAACAATGTAAAGCGTTCCTATTTCTCCACATCCTCTCCAGCATCTGTTGTTTCCTGACTTTTCAAAGAGTGCCATTCTAAGTGGCATGAGATGGTATCTCATCGTGGTTTTGATTTACATTTCTCTAATGACCAGTGATGATGAGCTTTTTTCATATGCTTGTTGGCCACATAAATGTCTTCTTTTGAGAAGTGTCGGTTTATATCCTTTGCCCACTTTTTGATGGGGTTGTTTTCTTTTTGTAAATGTGTTTCAGTTCTTTGTAGATTATGGATACTAGACCTTTGTCAGATGGGTAGATTGCAAAAATTTTCTCCCATTCTGTAGGTTACCTGTTCACTCTGATGTGTTCACTTCTGCTGTGCAGAAGCTCTTTAGTTTAATTAGATCCCATTTGTCAATTTTGGCATTTGTTGCCAGTGCTTTTGGTGTTTTAGTCATGAAGTCTTTGCCCATGCCTATGTCCTAAATGGTATTACCTAGGTTTTCTTCTAGGGCTTTTATGGTTTTAGGTCTTAAGTCTTTAATGCATCTTGAGTTAACTTTTGTATACGGTGTAAGGAAGGGGTCCAGTTTCAGTTTTCTGCATATGGCTAGCCAGTTTTCCCAACACCATTTATTAAATAGGGAATCCTTTCCCCATTGCTTGCTTCTGTCAGGTTTGTCAAAGATCAGATGGTTGTAGATACTTCTGAGGCATTACTTCTGTGGCCTCTGTTTTGTTCCATTGGTCTATATATCTATTTTGGTACCGGTACCATGCTATTTTGGTTACTGTAGCCTTGTACTATAGTTTGAAGTCAGGTAGCATGATGCCTCCAGCTTTGTTCTTTCTGCTTAGGATTGTCTTGGCTATACGGGCTTTTTGGTTCCACATGAAATTTAAAGTAGTTTTTTCTAATTCTGTGAAGAAAGTTAATGGTGGCTTGATGGGGATAGCACTGAATCTACATATTACTTTGAGTAGTATGGCCCTTTTCATGATACTGATTCTCCCTATCCATGAGCATGGAATTTGTTTTCCATTTTTTTGTGTCCTCTCTTATTTCCTTGAGCAGTGGTTTGTAATTCTTCTTGAAGAGGTCCTTCACATCCCTTGCTAGCTGTATTCCTAAGTATCTTACTCTCTTTGTAGCAATTGTGAATGGGAGTTCACTCATGATTTGGCTCTTTGTCTGTTACGGGTGTATAAGAATGTTTGTGAGTTTTGCACACTGATTTTGTATCCTGAGACTTTGCTGAAGTTGCTTATCAGCTTAAGGAGATTTTGGGCTGAGATGATGGGATTTTCTAAATATACAATCATGTCATCTGCACACAGACAGACTTTGACTGTCTCTCTTCCTATTTGAATACCCTTTCTTTCTCTTGCCTGATTGCCCTGATCAGAACTTGCAATAGTATGTTAAATAGGAGTGGTGAGAGAGGGCATCCCTGTCTTGTGCCAGTTTTCAAGGGAATGCTTCCAGTTTTTGCCCATTCAGTAAGATATTAGCTGTGGGTGTGTCATGAATACCTTTTATTATTTTGAAATACATTCCATCAATACCTAGTTTATTGAGAGTTTTTAGCATGAAGGGTGTTGAATTTTATCAAAGGCTTTTTCTTGCATCTATTGAGGTAATCATGTGGTTTTTGTTTTTGGTTCTGTTTATGTGATGCATTATGTTTACTGATTTGCATATGTTGAACCAGCCTTGCATCCCAGGGATGAAGCTGACTTGATTGTTGTGGATAAGCTTTTTGATGTGCTGCTGAATTCAGTTTGCCAGTATTTTATTGAGGATTTTTGCATCAATGTTCATCAGGGATATTGGCCTGAAATTTTCTTTTTTTGTTGTGTCTCTGGCACGTTTTGGTACCAGGATGATGCCGGCCTCATAAAATGAGTTAGGGAGGATTCCCTCTTTTTCTACTGTTTGGAACAGTTTCAGAAAGAATGGTACTAGCTCCTCTTTGTACCTCTGGTGGAATTCGACTGTGTATCTGTCTGGTCCTGGACTTTTTTTGGTTGGTAGGCTATTAATAACTGCCTCAATTTCAGAACTTATTGTTGGTCTATTCAGGGATTCGACTTCTTGCTGATTTAGTCTTGGGAGGGTGTATGTGTCCAGGAATTTTTCCATTTCTTCTAGATTTTCTAGTTGATTTGCATAGAGGTGTTTATTGCATTCTGTGACGGTAGCTTGGATTTCTGTGGGATCAGTGGTGATTTCTGCTTTATCATTTTTTATTGTGTCTATTTGATTCTTCTTTATTAGTCTGGCTAGTGGTCTATCTATTTTGTTAATCTTTTCAAGAAACCAGCTCCTGGATTCATTGATTTTTTGAAGGGTTTTTCATGTCTCCAGCTCCTGCAGTTCTGCCCTGATCTTAATTATTTCTTGTCTTCTACTAGCTTTTGAATTTGTTTGTTCTTGCTTCTGTAGATCTTTTAATTGTGATGTTAGGGTGTCGATTTTAGATCTTTCCCGCTTTCTCCTGTGGGCATTTAGTGCTATAAATTTCCCTCTAAACACTGCTTTAGCTGTGTCCCAGAGATTCTGGTACATTGTGTCTTTGTTCTCATTGGTTTCAAAGAACTTATTTATTTCTGCCTTAATTTTGTTAATTACCCAGTAGTCATTCAGGAGCAGGTTGTTCAGTTTCCATGTAGTTGTGCAGTTTTGAGTTAGTTTCTTAATCCTGAGTTCTAATTTGATTGCACTGTGGTCTGAGAGACCATTAAGATTTCCATTCTTTTGCATTTGCTGAGGAGTGTTTTACTTCCAATAATGTGGTCAATTTCTGAATAAGTGTTATGTGGTGCTGAAAAGAATGTATACGCTGTTGATTTGGGGTGGAGAGTTCTGTAGGTGTCTATTAGGTCCACTTGGTCCAGAGCTAAGTTCAAGTCCTGAATATCCTTGTTAATTTTCTGTCTCGTTGATCTGTCTAATATTGACGGTGGGGTGTTAAAGTCTCCCACTATTATTGTGTGGGAGTCTAAGTCTCTTTGTAGGTCTCTAAGATCTTGCTTTATGAATCTTGGTGCTCTTGTATTGGGTGCATATAATATTTAGGATAGTTAGCTCTTCTTGTTGCGTTGATCCCTTTTCCATTATGTAATGCCCTTCTTACACTTTCTTGATCTTTGTTGGTTAAAATTCTGTTTTATCAGAGACTAGGATTGCAATCCCTGCTTTTTTTTTTGCTTTCCATTATCTTGGTAAATATTCCTCCATCCCTTTATTTTGAGCCTATGTGTGTCTTTGTATGTGAGATGAGTCTCCTGAATACAGCACACTGATGGGTCTTGATTCTTTATCCAATTTGCCAGTCTGTGTCTTTTAATTGGGGCATTTAGCCCATTTACATTTAAGGTTCATATTGCTATGTGTGAGACATTCTTAAAAGCACAAAACACAGTGATAAAAGGTCAGTGGTTGCCAGCGTTTAAGGGTTGGGAGGAGGCTGTGACTACAAAGGGATGGCACACAGGAATTTTCAGGGTTATGGAACTGTTCTGCATCCTGGCTGTGGCAGTGGTTATTACACTAATCTATAGGTGTGTTAAAATTCATAGAATGTATACAAAAAAAAGTCCATTGTACAAGTTAATCTAAAAATAAAGTTTTTAAAGGACTTAATCAACAATACATAAGAGTAGAAAATCAGACAATATATTTACTCATGGAGCTTTTTACTATCATTTAAAGGAAATAGGTGGAATAAAAACTGCTATTACCACACTTATGGGATATCTTATGAGTCCTCCCAGAAACAAAAAAAAAAACTTGATATGTTTACTTTCACCCTTCTGATATAAAGAATAGATTACTGAAGCATTGATGAAAATCATGCTAGTTTATTTCCATGAGGGTGCTGGTTCAATGAAACCAGACAACTTTAAATATACATGCAGGCATAGGGCTAAAGTCATGAGAACAGTATGGGGGAACCACCCCGTAATTCAAATATCTCCACCTGGGCCTGCCCTTGACACACAGGAATTATTAAAATTCAAGGTGAGATTTGGGTGGGGACACAGCTAAACCATTATCATTCCACCCCAGGCCCCTTCCAAATCTCATGTCTTCACATTTCAAAAACAATCATGCCTTCTCAACAGTCCCCCAAAGTTTTAACTCATTTAAGCATTAAGTCAAAAGTCCACAGTCCAAAGTCTCATCTGAAATAAGGCAAGTTCCTTCTGCCTATGAGCCTGTAAAATCAACAGCAAGTTAGTTACTTCCTTGATACAATGGGGTACAGGCATTGGGTAAATACACCTGTTCCAAATGGGAGAAATTGGCCAAAACAAAGGGGCTACAGGCCTCATGCAAATTCAAAATCCAGCAGGGCAGTCAAATCTTAAAGCTCCAAAATGATCTCCTTTGACTCCATGTCTCACATCCAGGTCACACTGATGCAAGAGTGGGCTCCCACAGCCTTGGGCAGCTCTGCCCCAGTGGCTTTGCAGGCTACAGCCCCGCTTCTGGCTGCTTTCATGGGCTGGCATTGAGTGTCTGTTGCCTCTCCAGGCACACAGTGTGATCTGTCAGTGGATCTACCATTCTGGGGTCTGGAGGACTGTGGCCCTCTTCTCACAGCTCTACTAGGCAGTACACCAGTTGGGGCTCTGTGTGGGAGCCCCAACCCCTCATTTCCGTTTTGCACTGTCTTAGCAGAGTATCTTCATAAGGGCTCCACCCCTGCAGAAAACTTCTGCCTGGACATCCAGGCATTTCCATACATCCTCTGAAATCTAGGTGGAAGTTCCCAAACCACCATTCTTGACTTCTGTGCACCTTCAGGCTCAAACCACATGGAAGCTAACAAGGCTTGGGGCTTGCACCCTCTAAAGCCATGGCCTGAGCTGTACCTTGGCCCCTTTTAGCCATGACTGGAGCAGGTGGGACACAGGGCACCATGTCTGAAGGCTGCACACAGCAGGGGGACCGTGGGCCCAGCCCATGAAACCATTTTTTCCTCCTAGGCCTCTGTGCCTGTGATGGGAAGGGCTGCTGCGAAGCTTTCTGACATGCCCTGGAGATACTTTCCCCATTGTCCTAGCGATTAACATTCAGCTACTTGTTACTTATGCAAATTCCTGCAGCTGGCTTGAGTTTCTCCCAGGAAACGGGTTTTCTTTTCTACCACATCATCAGGCTCCAAATTTTCCTAACTTTTATGCTCTGCTTCCCTTTTAAACATAAGTTCCAATTCCAAACCATATCTTTGTGATTACACAAAACAATGCTTTTAAAAGCACCCAAGTCACCTCTTGAACACTTTGCTGCTTAGAAATTTCTTCCACCAGATGCTCTAAATCATCTCTCTCAAGCTCAAAGTTTCACCAATCTCTAGGACAGGGGCAAAATGCCACCAATCTCTTTGCTAAAACATCAAGAGTCGCGTTTATTCTAGTTCCAACAAGTCCCTCATCTCCAGGTGAGACCACCTCAACCTGGACTTCACTGGCCATATCACTATCAGCATTTTGCTCAAAGCCATTCAACAAGTCTCTAGGAAGTTCCAAACTTTCCCACATCTTCCTGTCCTCTTCTGAGCCCTCCAACCTCTGCCCATGACGCAGTTCCAAAGCTGCTTCCACATTTTCGGGTATCTTTACAGCAGCATTCCACTCTCTGTACCAATTTACTGTACTGGTCCCTTCTCACACCACTAATAAAAGACATCCCCAAGACTGGGTAATTTATAAAGGAAAGAGGTTTAATTGACTCACAGTTCAGCATGACTGGGGATTCCTCAGGAAACTTACAATCATGGCAGAAGGGGAAGTAAACACATTCTTCTTCACATGGGGGCAGCAAGAAGTGCCAAGCAAAAGGGAAAATGCCCCTTATGAAATCATCAGATCTTGTGAGACTTACTTCCACAAGAACTGCATGGGGGAAACTACCCCCATGATTCAATTATCTCCACCTGACCCCACCCTTGAAACATGGGGATTACAATTCAATGTGAGATTTGGGTGGAGACACAGCCAAACCTTATCATCTGGCTTCTTTCTCTTGGCAGAATTATTTTAAGACTCACCTATCTTACTGAGTTATATTTATAGTTCAATCGTTTTATTCCTGAGTAGTATTCCAATGGATAGACACATACATAGCAGACTGTTTTTCCATTCATCTGTTGATGGACTTTGAGTTGTTTCTAGTTTTCATCTATTACACATAAATTCTTTCAATATTTACATACAAATCTTTGTGTGGACATATGCTTTCATTTCTCTTGGCTAAATATCTAGAAGTGGAATTGCTGGGTCATAGGGTAGGAATATGTTCAACCTTTTAACAAACTGCCAAATGTTTTTCAAAGTGGTTGTTCCCTTTACATTCCCCTGGGCAATATATATGAGTTCTAGGTACAACAGATCTAAGCAACCGTTGGTACGATCTTTTTAATTTTATACATTATAGTGAGTAGTATAGTGGTATCTCATTTTGGTTTTAATCTGTAGTTCCCTAATGACAAATGGTGTTCAGAGCATCTTTCACATGCTTACATGCCATGTGGACACCTTCTTTGGTAAAGTACCTGTTCAAATATTTTGCCCATTTCTTAACTGGGCAGTCTTCTTAGTATTGATTGTAGGAGCTCTTGATAATCTGGATATAATATTTTTGTCAGATATATGTTTTGCAAATATTTTCTCCTAGTCTGTAGCTTGCCTTTCATTTTTGTGACAATGTCTTTAGAAGAGCAAGGTTTTCCATTTTGATGAAATCCAAATGATTTTTTTCTTTTAGAGTTGATGTTTTCTGTGTCCTACTTAAGAAATCTTTGCCAAATCGAAAGTCAAATATTTCATCCTATGTTTTCTTCTATAAGTTTTAGACTCACGTTTTACATTTAGGTCTGATACACATTTTGAGCTAATTTTTGTGCATGGTATAAGAAATGAATCAAAATTTATTCTCTACATATGGTATGAGTTGGCCTGTATCATTTTTGTTGAAGATTCTCCTTTTACCCAGAGAACTGCCTTGGCATCTTTGTCAAAAGCCAGTTATCATACATGTGCAGTCTATTTATATTGTCTCTATTCTGCTCCATTCATCTGGACATCTAACTTCACAGCAGTATCACTTGTGTTTTTAGAAACAGGGTCCTGCTCTGTAGCCTAGGCTGGAGTGCAGTGGAGCAGTCATAGCTTACTGTAGCCTTAAACTCCTGGACTCCAACAATCTTTCTGTCTCAGCCTACCAAGGAGCTAGAACCACAGACACGCCATTACACCCAGCTAATTTCTATTTTTTGTAGAGACAGGGGGTGCTCACTTGTGTTGCCTAGGCTAGTCTTCAACTCCTGGCATTAAGCAATCCTCCTGCATCAGCCTCCCTAAGTGCTGGGATTACAGTTTTGAACCACCACTCTAGGCCTACATTGTCTTAATTTCCTAGAATCTATTAAGTCATAAAATCAGGTAGTTTGGGTCCTTCAATTTTGTTCTTTTTCAAACTTGTTTTGGCTATCTCAGATCCTCTCCATTTTTATATTAATTGTAAAATCTAATTGTCAATTTCTGAAAAAATAAGCAAAATCTACCAGCAATTTTGTTGAAATTGCATCGAATCTATAAGCCAAGAACAACTGATATCCATACAATGTCTTCTAGTCCATGAGCATGGTGTATCGCTCCATTTATTTATGTCTTCTTGAGTTTCTCTGAACAATGCTTTGTAGTTTTAATAGTGTGCAACTCTTGCACATCTTTTACTAAATTTACCCCTACAAATTCCATATTTTAATACTTTTGTAAATGATTTTTAAATTTTAATTTCCTATTATTTGTTGCTTATATAAAAACACAATTATATTGAAATTAAAACTGCTATCTTTCTAAACTCATTTGTTCTAGTAGCTTTTATGTACATTCTCAAAGATTTTCTACATAATTAAGCATGTCATCTGCAAATAAAGACAGCTTTATTTCTTCATTTTCAAACTCTATGACTTTTATTTCTTTTTTTGACCTTATTACACTGATTGGAACAGAGATCAGCAAACTATATGGCCTCTGCACCAAACTGATTCCACTACTTGTTTTTGTACAGCTGCAAGCCAAGGGTAGTTTTCACATTTTTAAATGTTTAATAGCAAACTGAAGGAATACTATTTCATGCACATGCATACTACATGAAATTCAAATTTCAATATCCATAAATAAAGTACTACTGGAAAAGAGCCACACTGATTTGTTTACATACTGTCTATGGCTGCTTTCATGCTATAGCAGCAGAACTCAGTACTTGCAACAGAGACCATCTGGTCCTTTACAGAAAATGCTTGCTGGCCCCTGGGCTGATAAGAATAGTCTTCCTTCTCTTAATACTTAATCCCTCTTAACTCTTGTTTTTCTAACAAGGAGATTATTTTTATTTATGTGATCAACAAAGATAAGGTTTTGTCACACTCAAGACTTTGGAAAAAGAGGCATTCTCTACGTAAAATAGCAGTACAACATGAAACAAGCTTTTTATTTTTTTGTCTTCCAACTTTTATTTTAGGTTCAAGGGGTACATGTGCAGGTTTGTTACATGGGTAAACAGTGTGTCATGGGAGTTTGGTGTACAGATAATTTTGTCACCCAGGTAATCAGCCTAATACCTAACAGGTAGTTTTTCAATCCTTACCTTTCTCCCAACCTCCACCCTCAAGTAGACCCCAGTGTCCCTTCTTTGTGTCCATATGTACTCAGTGTTTAGCTCCCACTTATAAGTGAGAACATGCAGTATTTGGCTTTCTGATCCACAGTAAATTCGCTTAGGATAATGGTCTCCAGCTCCATCCAACTTCTTAATTCTTAAACTATGGATGAGAAACAGCTATTTGGTCTACACTGGAAGCAGGAATATACCCAAGGCTTATTTAACATTTATTTTCCATATATGCATGAACTGCTTTCAGATTAATGTAGGACAAAATCATCTTCACTGTTAATCTTGACTTCAACAGAACCAAGACAATAGCATGATACCTAAAATATACATCAAGCCAATTTGTAGAAAGTACACAATAGGTAATAGGAAGCATATCAATAGTTTTTGTTAAAACTTAAAGTTCTACTAAAAGTCTGCTGCTTTTTATTTTTAAGGAGAATCACTATAAAATCATCACTTTATATACTGAAATATATATATATATGATCTATTTCAACAAAAAAATAACATACCCATAATAAGAGGCAGCCATAAGCATATAAGTCTGAACCTGGAGAAGCAGGTTTTCCCATTTTCAACTCAGGTGACATCAAACTCAAGTCACCAACCATCATGTTCACCGAGGCTCGCTGACTCTGCAAAAACAATATTTTACATATTTCAGATACAACACAGTTGAGGTGACTTTCTGTGAAGTACTCTGCATTTAATCAATACAAAAAACAAATTCATTTTAAATATTTCATTCCCTTGCTTTCAAATATTTTTACCAATTTCTGCTATTATAAATTGCTCTTAAAATCAGTCTAATAAATTAACTATGGGACTTTTTTTTACATTCACTTTGTAGACTTGAACAGATTTAATACTAACAACCACTTATTCTGTGATTAAACATTTGATACTCTTTTTAAAAAATAAATTTCACAAGAGTGAGCAGCAGTGCCATGTTCTAATTCTGAAAATTCTAAATAATTCATTTAAGAACTGAAATCCTACAAAGCACTTTCCTTCCTTACTGATCATTCTCTAAATATACCATTTCTAACATGTCAAAGATGATCAGTGACAATAGCATGAATCCTATATTCAGGCAGATCTTGGTTACAATTCCCCACTCTCCTATTTATTTGCTGTGGGACCGAGGGCTTTAACCTCTTTTTTGTCCATTTTTAAAATTTATTTTTAATTTTTATGGGTACATAGTAGGTGTAAACCTCTTTGAGCCTGAATTAATTTGTAAAATGGAAATAATGTCTACCTTACAGAGATACAATGCCTAGCATGTGTCACTAAGTGCTATCTTTTTTCTAGCTACGATTTTGATCCTTGCTTCTCAAAGTATGGTCCAAGGGCCAGGAGCTACAGCATTAACTGGTAGCTTGTTAGAAATGCAGATGATCCACTGCAGAAATGCTGAATATTAATTTGCATTTTAACATGAACCCCAGGTGAGTTGTATGCACTATAAGGCCTGAAAAGCAATGATCTTGACCTCAGACTACTTTTCAAATTTATCTTCCTGATAACCACTTCAATCTGAAAATTGCATGGAAAATGTAGCAAAAGGTGAGTTTGATCAATATTTCAGAATAAATATTTTTAACTGAAAATTAAAAACAATGTTTTGGGGAATAATAACAGATGACGAATGACTAAAGAGTAATTATTGTAGTCATATCTATAATTATGCAAATAGTATGCTCAAAAGGTAAACTAACCAGAACCCCTGAAGGTTGAGATCTTTCAAAATTCATAATTTAGTTATATTTCTTAGGATATCTTAATTTTGTTAAACTAATGTAATAAAGTAAATATTTCAGAAAATCAATCTGTATAAATCCTGTACAATCCAGCTTTTGATTACAGTTGCAGTTTCATTTTCTCATCTTTTTGAGCTACCATATCAAAACCATTAAGACTATATATACTCCAGTAGCATTACACTATGACTTGCAGATGACCAAAGTATAAAAGCATTATAACATATACTAGTCAAAGGGAATTGCTCAGATAATAAAAAATATTGGCAAGGATGTAGAGAAAACAAAATCCCTATACATTACTGGGAAGAATATAAAATGATGTAGCCACTTTGGAAAACAGTTTGGCTCCTCAAAAAGTAAAACAATGTAACCCAGTAATTCCACTCCCAAGAGAAATGAAAACATGTCCACACAAAAAATATTGTATGCTAAAGCTCATAGCAGCATTATTCATATAACCAATAAGTATAAACAACCAAATGTCCAGCAACTGATGAATATATAAACAAAATGTGGTGCATCCATACAATGAAATATAATTTGGCAATAAAAAGGAATGACATTTTGATACAGTCAATAACGTGGATGAACTCTGAAAACACTATGCTAAGTGAAATTAGCATAAAAGGCCACATATTGTATCATTCCATTTACATGAGATGTCCAAATAGGCAAATCCATAGAGACAGAAAGTGTATTCGTAGTTTCCAGGCTTGAGAAGAAGTGGGAAATTTGAGTGACTGCTAATCAGTATGGATTTTCTTTTTGGGAATGTTAATAATGTTCTGGAATTCAATACTGGTTATCACTGCACGACTTTGTGAATGTACTACAAACTATTAATGAATTGTATACATTATGTGAATTGTATCTCAATAAAGCTGTAATGTTTAGAAAAATAATTACTGATTTGGCCACTCCACATTGTATACATACTTCAAAACATCATGTTGTATATGATAAATATATACAATTTTTATTTCTCAATTAAAATAGAGAATTGTTTCCATTATAACGACAAAAAAATCACAACATGCTCTTAAATTGTGTGATTTTGCTATCTCTACAAACTGCCTATTCTGAGGTAATATGACACTGAATTAACAGCCATTAGAGGTGAATCAGGATTTAAACTAAAAAGTCCAAGGTTCCCCGGTTTCTAAAAATGCACATTATTAATCAAAAAACAGCAAAGTACGTATATGTAAATTGTATCTATAGACGGAGGGACACCAGTGGAGAGAGGTTTAGGAGATGGCCACCTAGTTTCCTTACATGTTTCCTAGCAATTAAATGTTTCCTAATGATGACAAAATTATTAATGTTGTCAATGCCATTGAGTATATAATGTCAGGTAGCTCCTAAGACTTATGGTTAAAATACACAATACTCCTGCTGTTCTAGCATCTAGCTGAGGGCAAATAGTTGCTTATACTACATGACACAGTTTAACTGAAGACAAAGATCCTATAATAAAGTATTATATTATATATAAGTGCTGAACTACTGCTTAATAATATTAAATAAAGTCTAGAACCTATTTGTAAAACCATGATATCTTACCACAGATTTGGTGAAGTCAAAATCTCCAACAATTCCTTGTTCACGGTTTAAAGCAAATACATTGTTCTGATGAAGTGATCCATGAATTATGTCAGCCTTATGCAATGTATGCAGACCCTGGGCAACACCTTTCATGACCTTTAAAGTTTCCTATAGATAAGTACACATAAAAGAAGTGAGGAAGTAGGCAAATCATTTTAATCTTGAAACTGTTCTCTAATTAAAAGACTGCTCTAGAAGTGAGTAAAGTTTCCTCGAAATGAACCATTAATAAGAATACAGCATAGAGAAAGACCAGATGAAGGCTTGATTTTGTAATGGTGATACCATGTGTGCCTGTGTGTGTTTGTGTGTGTGTGTGTGTGTGTGTGTGTGTGTGTGTGTGTGTACAATCATACCTTTTGGGCACCAGGGACCGGTTTCATGAAAGACAATTTTTCCATGGATGCAGGGGGTTGGTTTCAGGATCAAACTGTTCCACCTCAGATCACAGGCATTAGATTCTTACAAGGAGTGCGCAACCTAGATCCCTCACATGCACAGTTCACAATAGAGTTTATGCTCCTATGAGAATCTAATGCCTCTACTGATCTTACAGGAAGTGGAGCTCAGGCAGTAATGCTTGCTCACCTGCCACTCACCTCCTGCTGTGCCGCCCTGTTCTTAACAGGCCACAGACTGGTACCAGTCTGCGACCTGGGGTCTGAGGACACCTGTTCTATCATCTCAAAGAAGACTTGGATTACAAATACCAACCATGTAAAGTAGCTATAAGAGACTGAAACAGTGTTACTCCATAAGAAGAATCAGGGCCTCCTTTACTGTTATTACTAATCCTAAACTTACAATGACAAAAATTAAAGCTGCCACTTAAGCACTTACAGTACCAAGTGCTATATTAGGCAGTTCACATACAGCACAGCTTAGCAGTTGTAAGTTTGGGCTTTGGAACCAGAAAGACTTAATTTCGAGTCCCAGCTCTACCTCTGGCTAACGGACCCTGTGCAAGTCACTTAATCTAATCCCTTTAACGCTTTTTCTCATCTATATAACACGATAACTTCTATCACAGGCTTGAGGTGACAAATAGAATACCATGAGTCAAAATTTTACAAAATACATAGCATGTAGTATGCCTGAATAAATATCAGGTGTTATTTTCTCATTTAATACATCCATGGAAATAAATAGTGCTTTTTACTTACTTCTGAATTTAAAGGCATGTTGGCTTGAACAGCATTCAGGTTTGCCCTAGGGTAGTATGGGACCATCAGATAAGCCATAGGATCAGACTAAGAAGCAAAACAGAGAATGTGACTCCAAGTAAAAACTTCTTCAACATATTTTTAGCATACATTGATTCTATGGGATAATTTTTCTTTTATGTTAAGGGGAATGAACTGCTGCTCTAAAACCTGGAGCTAAAATTTATTTTAAATAAAATAGTTTCTGCAAGATAAAATGGTTTCTGCAAGAGATTAGCATAAGAACTTTACCTTACATAAAAACAGGAATATCAATGGCAGTAACCCTGAGTCTCCTTCAGCTTCTCTCCAAGCTCTATGGTAGGTGGCTGCTCTCTCAATCACCTTGGCTTCTGTGTCAACATCCACAGAATAGCCCTTGTACCAAAGAAAGAGGCACTCGTAATTCCAAGATGAAAATCTCATTATAATTATACATCATTCCAATTTAAACATAATTCATTATTTTAAGTTAAATCAAATCTAATTTTATTTTTTAATTTTATAAGTACTTTTCTATCTTCTTTGAATGCTATAATTTGGAAAAGGAAAGTGCAATTCTACCTGTAGCCTGCTACACATTCTAGAATGTGTAGCAACTAAGGCCAAATTAATTATCTTATTATCATGATTAACAGTTTCCCAGATCAATGAGAAGAAGAAATTAAAGAGTAGAAGATTGTACTGATAACACAGCTGAGATTTCAAGGAGAAATGTAAGAAAATCAAGAATTTTAAAAAGATATTGGATGACTATAATAAGTTCACCCAAAAAAAAAGGAAAGTATATCCTATTAAGGACATATTCTATTTAGGGAAATGAGGGAAACTTTATTTTTTTTTCTTGTGAGACAAAGCTTTATTTAATGACTTTTATATACTTATTTTTATTATTATACTTTAAGTTCTAGGGTACATGTGCACAACGTGCAGGTTTGTTACATATGTATACATGTGCCATGTTGGTTTGCTGCACCCATTAACTCATCATTTACATTAGGTATTTCTCCTAATGCTATCCCTCCCCCTGCCCCCCACCCCATGACAGGCCCCCACGGGTGATGTTCCCCGCCCTGTGTCCAAGTGTTCTCATTGTTCAATTGAGGGAAACTTTAAAAGTGAAAATTAGTTCTGGCAACCAAACTACAAGCACAATTATCATGCCAGTCAACTTATACACTTTAGAAAACTAACAGTGAGGTTTTTTCTTTCTTGAAATGTAACAGCACCACTATCCTTTATGCTGCTGAATCTCCCACAAGTAAGAAGAAGTTAGACTTACCTTTAACAGAATTATCTGCCCATTAACCTCAGAACGTACCAAAGGACGCTTGCTGCTAAGTTCCTTCATGGGCTCAGCATCAAGAAGATCTCGTTCCAAGCTCATTGTAAGGAGACCACCAGAGTTCTAGGCACAAGTTTTTATCACAGTTAAAGAATCCAAACAATCCCAGCACTTAAAAATCATCAAAATAATTAGTTACACGATATTAAATGACTTGGACACCATCAACTGTACTGGAAAAACCAACAAAATTAAAATCTTTAAAACTGTGTACTTTCTCCAGTTCCTGGCTCTTAAACTCCTCCTACCCAAAGTGTAATCACCATACATTTAATTACTGCTATAATTTTAGAACAGATTCAGGAAATGACTAGAATCAACCAGACATGCATCCTAGGATCCCTAATGTTTACTTGAAAAACCACTTATGTTTCCTAAAAAATACTAAAGTAACAACTGATTGGGACGGGGGTGAGGAATGAGGGACTACATATTGGGTTAGTGTACACCACTCAGGTGATGGGTGCACTAAAATCTCAGAAATCACCACTAAAGAACTTATCCATGTAACCACAAAACACCTGTACCCCAAAAACTACTGAAATAAACATTTGTAAAAAAACAAAAAATAAATAAGGTAAAATAATGACAAAAATGTAGGTATCAAATGGGAAAGATTAGTCCAAAAATTATGACTACCATGAAGTAATTCTAACACCTCTGCCCCTGTTTGGAGTCCTCAAAAGTGAAAATGGCTTTCAATAACTAATTTTACTAGATATTTCTGCTACTTTTTAAAAGGAATAATTTTTCACACTAAAATATGATCATCAACATTTTAAACAAAGCTAAGTTTTACTGTGGTGCAGTTTCAGTAAGAGGCATTGTAGAATTGTTTTCTGGGTTTTTTTTTTAAGTCTTGTCGGTACATTTAAGTATTCTACAATACATAATCAACCTACAAAAAATTCCTAAGCATACATTACAGTTAAACATCAGAAAGCCATTAAAGACTTCAATAAACCATGAGTCAAACCTTTTATAATCTTCCATAATAAAGTAGATTAGCATATTTTTAAATATTAATTTTCAAGTCCCATGTGGCAGTACATACTTATTTGCCCACACTGCATAAGGTAATCACTAAGCTAAATAGTTGCAAGAAAAAACTCACATCATTTTAAAGTCTAGTCTAGAAAGAGTTTAGAGTAATTATTTAAGTTAGGGAACTTTAATCTTAAATATTTTTTAGAATAAACTCACATGTCTACACAAATATCCCTCTCTGTACCATATTTAAGCCATTATAATGGACTTCGTGACAATCTTAATGAATAAATACCTCATCTAGGCCCTCACTGTAGAAGGCAATATAAATCGCAGGACTAACAGATTCAGGACTAACAGATTAGTAAACCAGTGTTTACTAATCCTGCTCCCTATGGCCCCTATTTAATATGCTGATCTCCAGCTTTTGAATCCTGCCTACCTAGAAAACCATACCCACCTCAACATCTCTACCTTAACCAACCTCTCTAGAATTTTTTCCCAGACTGCTTTAACTTAAAAAACCCATTGTGCTCAAATCCCTCAGGGCTAGCAATATCTTGTTTTTATCCTAACTCTTGAAATAGCAGTTAAAATTTTATTTTGTCATTTCAAAAAGTAAACACCTATAATTCAAATAAGTGTCATGCAATGTACTGAATGAGGATGAGGAAAGCAGAAAAACGGATAATGCAAATTTACATAAAAATACAAATATATACCATGCAACTATTAAAGGGTCATAAGAAAAAGTTCTAATACCCATAAAATATTCATCAGGAGTATTTTTATTTAAAAGATACTATAAGTTTAACACTGACACAAATTTAATATTATCACTTTTCAACACCCTCTGAAGAGTAGTAATTCGCAAGGGAAACAAAGTTTACCATGTATTTGAGTAATCCTATTTCAGGATGAAGCAGAGGCAGCTCAGGGAACCATTTCTGTGCCAAACTAGTTAGCATCTCCTAAAGTTAAAAAAAAAAAGTTTTTAACTGTAGATCAATATATATTCAATTTTGACATGTTGCTCTTCAGGAAAATATATCAGCATCTACCTTATAACATATCCAGTAAGATACATAATCACTGATTTTGCCTTCTACTTCAAGAAATAACAAGTGAAAACCACGACTCACCTTGCATCTGCTAAAGCAAATTAAACATGGCCTGAGAAGGACTCCGTACTTCTATATTTGAGTCCTTGTGGATGAACTGCAACCTAGCTTAACAGGCAGACGAGACTGAAAATGTAACTTAGCAGTGTGGACCTATAACAATAGCTGAGTCTTGGCCAATCCCAGCCGCCATACTTCAACCACTTACAGACTGCTAAGTGTTCAAACTGTGTTCAAATAAGGCAAACACCAATCTGTAACCAATATAGCTGTTTCTGTACCTCGCTGCCAATTTCTGAAAGCCACTTTCCTTTTTTCGTCTATTAATTTGTTCTGACCACAAAGCATCCCCAGAGTCTCTCCGAATATGCTGTGATTCAGCTGCCCAATTTGCGAATTGTTCATTGCTCCTTTAAATTTAAGTTGGCTGAAGTTTTTTTTTTTAACCCATCTAAACTACCATCTTACTAATTGAAGAAAAATTTAATTACCAATTTTAAGCTTTGGATACATACATAAGCACAAATCTTGCAAGGTCAAAGTCCTCACCCACTTCCAAACTAAAATGAAAATGTCTGATAATATTTCAATTTGAGGCATAAAACTGTCATTATTTCTCAAAATATTAAGAACACAGTGACATTTTAAAATAACAGCTGTTTCGTTAAGAAAAATTTTTAAAGCCTAAGAGAAAAAACACATAGCTCTACATAAGTAACTTTGAAATAAATGTGAAAATTGAGTACCCTCACGAAAGAAAAGCCACTTATCACATATTTATTAAGCAAAACTTCTAAACACTTGTCAAATCATTGCAAGATCGCTATTTTAACCCAAGGTCCATAAGGTATTTACATATACGCAGATGAATTTGCTAAAGAAAGCATGACACTTACCTATTGTTTTCACAGTATTAATATTATTACTTTCTTTTCTTTTCTTTTTTTTTTTTTTTTTTTTTGAGACAGGGTCTTGCTCTGTTGCCCAGGCTGGAATGCAGAGGCATGATCATAGCTCAATGCAGCCTCAACCTCCTGGGTTCAAGCAATCCTCCTGCCTCAGCCTCCAAAGCAGCTGGGACTACAGGTACATGACACCATGACCAGCTAATTGTTGTATTTTTTGTAGAGATGGGGTCTCACCATGTGCCCAAGCTGGTCTCAAACTCCCGGGCTCAAGTGATCCGCCCGCCTCGGCCTCCCAAAGTGCTGGGACTACAGGTGTGAGCCGCCATGCCCGGTCAGTATTTTTACTTTCAAAGCACTGTTTCTTAACTAACTTCTTCCTGGTAACATCTCCCAGATATAAAATACAATATTCTTCCATTTTAAAGAAAAAATACAATGACTTATTTTCCCAAGCTCACAAAAATCAGTGGTAAAAATAGAGACTTAAAAGATGTAACTTCTCCTGCCCCCAAAACCAGGTAGACTTATTTTGTTACATTCTTCAACTAAATTATGTGCTCCATTAATGTTTTCACTGCAACATTATGGGAAAATGACGTTGATGTAAGGAAAAGGTCTTTAGGTTTTATGTTAAACAGAAAAAAGGCAATATGCAAAAGTGTGTCTGTGCTATAATCTCAATTCTAAAAACAAACAAAAAAATACTAAAAGAAAGTCAAAAGTTAACAGTGATTACTACTATTATCACTGAGTGGAAATATTACAAGTGATGTTTTTCCTTCTTTACAATTTTCAGTTATTTCCACACTGGTACAATGGTCAGAATATTTTGTCATGTGAAATTTATTTCTAAATTTACAAAAATCTTACCAGGTCAATATATATATAAACTTTCTATATAATACCTCTAGCCTTGTGATTACAGTCCACTTCATAAAACGGGTATTTAAATTCAATTTCTAGAGTAAAACCTAATGTAAAACTTCAAAGAACCAAATACTTACATATTCCTCTCTCTCATGATAAATTTCCTGAAAGACATTATTGCGCAGCTGAGTTATTTCTTCTTTTATTTTCTCAATTTGAGAGCCATCAGGATCATCTGACTTGAATCAGAAAGAAAAAGTGTTTTTTATTAACATAGAGAAAACAAGTCTTCTTTTAAGAATTCAAGTTCTATAGTAAATTACTCTGTGTGGTTTCTATGTATCCTTCAGTACCTAGCACATAAAAGACCCTTCTAATACTTGCTGAATTAACTTAGGTCAATTTATTCTAACAATGACTTTTCTGAAACCTAGAAAAAGGAATTACAAAAAGTAAAGACATAAAATCAATTATACAGATTTTTCTTGTCTCTTCATCTGCTGTAGATTTTCTCTAAGATAAAGATGGCCAACTGCCATTCGAACAAAAG
Organism: Homo sapiens; assembly: GCF_000001405.40. Lineage (NCBI taxonomy): Eukaryota > Metazoa > Chordata > Mammalia > Primates > Hominidae > Homo > Homo sapiens. Next base: position 23,781,107 of record NC_000007.14, on the reverse strand, counting down.
AAATGTTAATAATAGCAACCAGAATACACCTGAATTCCCTAGAATTGTCTTCTACATGATATTTAGTTAAAAACAAAACAAAAGGATGAGTAAATGTGTGAACTGTCTCCAATGATAATACATAAGCCACCTTAAAAAGTATGTATGCTTTTGTGAAAGGAAAATAAATCTTGTGAACTTTAAATCACTAAGCCAAAGGAAAAAGTCAAGCTGGGAACTGTGTCAGGCAAACCAGCTTCTCATTTTATTCCTAAATAAGATAGCTACAACCATAAAAACCCTGCACACCTCTCTCACAATTTGCTCAGTAGGAAATTCCTTATGGGTCTCAGGATCTTCACCCTAAAACAGTTCTGTTGAATTTTACCCTGACAAGGTAAATTGATGGCTTATTTTCTCAGGTGCAGGACAAAGGACAGAACTCTAAGTCATCATCCCTTTGCTCAACTGAGACAAATGCATATCTGATTCCTTCCTCTGATGTAAAAATGCAGATTCACTGAGCTAGTGACTATTCCTCTACCCCTCTCTCAAATGTAAATAGTGTATTTGCTGAAAGGTGATCAAGGATTAAAGAATTCAAACCATCTGTCTCTTATCTACTCACATCTTTTTAAAATTTCTTCCTCTTTCCCCAGTATCCATCCTTTCCCTTTTAAATATTTAAGCCCTCAAAATCATCTCTGAGAAAGGCACAGACCTGCCTCCCAGGCATGCATCCTTAACCTTGGCAAAACAAACTTTCTAAATTGATTGATACCTGCCTCAGATAGTTTGGTTTACACTTTAAAAGTCAGATTTCAAGGATCCAGATACTAAGATGGCCAAATAGTAACAGCTCCGGTCTGCAGCTCCCAGCGAGATCAACAGACAAGGTGAGTGATTTCTGCATTTCAAACTGAGGTACCCGGCTTATCTCACTGGGACTAGTTAGACAGTGGGTGCAGCCTACAGAGGGCAAGCAAAAGCAGGGTGGGGAGTCACCTCACCCAGGAAGTGCAAGGGGCTGGGGAACTCGCTCTCCTAGCCAAGGGAAGCCATGAGGGACTGTGCCATCAGGAACGGTTCATTCTGGCCCAGATACTATGCTTTTCCAACAGTCTTCACAACCCACAGAGCAGGAGATTCCCTCAGATGCATACATCACCAGTGCCCTGGGTTTCAAGCACAAAACTGGGCAGACGTTTGGGCAGACACCGAGCTAGCTGCTGGAATATTTATTCATACCCCCCTTGCACCTGGAATGCCAGCAAGACAGAACCGTTGACTCCCCTGAAAAGAGGGTTGAAGCCAGGGAGCCAAGTGGTCCTGCTCAGCAGATCCCACCCCCATGGGGCCCAGCAAGCTAAGATCCACTAGCTTGAAATTCTCACTGCCAGCATGGCAGTCTGAAGTCAACCTGGGTCACTCCAGCTTGGTTGGGGGAGGGGCCTCTGTCATTACTGAGGCTTGAGTAGGCAGTTTTCCCCTCACAGTGTAAACAAAGCCACCAGGAAGTTCAGACTCCACGGAGCTCACCGCAGCCCAGCAAAGCCTCTGTAGCCAGACCGCCTCTCTAGATTCCTTTCTGGGCAGGGCATCTCTGAATGAAAGATAGAAGCCCCAGTCAGGGGCTTATAGATAAAACTCCCATCCTCCTGGGACAGAGCACCTGGGGGAAGGGGCGGCTGTGGGCATAGCTTCAGCAGACTTTAATGTTTCTGCCTGCCAGCTCTGAAGAGAGCAGCGGATCTCCCAGCACAGTGCTCGAGCTCTGCTAAGGGACAGACTGCCTCCTCAAGTGGGTCCCTGACCCCCATCCTCCTGACTGGAAGACACCTCCCAGCAGGGGACGACAGACACCTCATACAGGATAGCTCTGGCTAGCATCTGGCAGGTGCCCCTCTGGGATGAAGCTTCCAGAGGAAGGGACATGTAGCAATCTTTGCTGTTCTGCAGTCTCCACTGGTGATACCCAGGCAAACAGGGTCTGCAATGGACTTCCAGCAAACTCCAGCAAACCTGCAGCAGAGGGGACTGACTGTTAGAAGGAAAACTAACAAACAGAAAGGAATAGCATCAGCATAAACAAAAAGGACGTCCACACAAAAAAAAACACATCCAAAGGTCACCAACATCAAAGACCAAAGGTAGATAAATCCAAGAAGATGAGAAAAAACCAGCACAAAAAGGGTGAAAATTTCAAAAACCAGAACATCTTTTCTCCTCCAAAGGATCACAAGTCCTCGCCAGCAACGGAACAAAACTGGATGGAGAATGAGTTTGATGAATTGACAGAAGTAGGCTTCAGAAGGTGGGTAATAACAAACTCCTCCGAGCTAAAGGAGCATGTTCTAACCCAATGGAAGGAAGCTAAGAACCTTGAAAAAAGGTTAGACGAATTGCTAACTAGAATAACCTGTTTAGAGAAGAACATAAATGACTTCATGGAGCTGAAAAACAAAGTATGAGAACTTCATGAAGCATACACAAGTATCAATAGCCAAATCAATCAAGCAGAAGAAAGGATATCAGACATTGAAGATCAACTTAATGAAATAAAGCATGAAGACAAGATTAAAGAAAAAAAATGAAAAAGAACAAAGCCTTGAAGAAATATTCGACTATGTGAAAAGACCAAACCTACGTTTGACTGGTGTACCTGAAAGTGACAGGGAAAAGGGAACCAAGTTGGAAAACACACTTAAGCATATTATCCAGGAGAACTTCCCCAACCTAGCAGGACAGGTCAACATTCAAATTCAGGAAATACAGAGAACACCAAAAACCTACTCCTCAAAAACAGCAACCCCAAGACACATAATTGTCAGATTCACCAAGGTTGAAATGAAGGAAAAAATGTTAAGGGAAGCCAGAGAGAAAGGTTGGGTTACTCACAAAGGGAAGCCCATCAAACTAACAGCAATTTCTCTGCAGAAACTGTACAATGCCAGAAGAGAGTGGGGGCCAATATTCAACATTCTTAAAGAAAAGAATTTTCAGACCAGAATTTCATATCCAGCCAAACTAAGCTTCACAAGCAAAGGAGAACTAAAATCCTTTATAGACAAGCAAATGCTGAGAGACTTTGTCACAATCAGACCTGCCTTATAAGAGCTCCTAAAGGAAGCACTAAATATGGAAAGGAACAACTGGTTCCAGCCAATGCAAAAACATACCAAATTGTAAAGACCGTCGACACTATGAAGAAACTACATCAACTAATGGGCAAAATAACCAGTTAGTATCATAATGACAGGATCAAATTCACAAATAACAATATTGACCTGAAATGTAAACAGGTGAAATGCCCCAATTAAAAGACAAGGACTGGCAAATTGGATAAAGAGTCAAGACCCATTGGTGTGCTATATTCAGGAGACCCATCTGACGTGCAAAGACACACCATAGGCTCAAAATAAAGGGATGGAGGAAGATTTACCAAGCAGATGGAAAGCAAAAAAAAGCAGGGATTGCAATCCTGGTATCTGATAAAACAGACTTTAAACCAACGAAGATAAAAAAAAATAAAAATAAAGAAGGGCATTACATAATGGTAAAGGGATCAGTGCAACAAGAAGAGTTAACTGTCTTAAATATATATGCACCCAATACAGGAGCACCCAGATTCATAAAGCAAGATCTTAGAGACCTACAAAGAGAATTAGACTCCCACACAATAATAGTGGGAGACTTTAACACCCTACTGTCAGTATTAGACTAGACAGATCAATGAGATGGAAAATTAACAAGGATATTCAGGACTTGAACTCAACTCTGGACCAAGTGGACCTAATAAACACCTACAGAACTCTCCACCCCAAATCAACAGAATATACATTCTTTTCAGCACCACATCACACTTATTCTAAAACTGACCACACAGTTGGAAGTAAAACACTTCCTGGCAAATGGAAAAGAACAGAAATCATAACAAACAAGTCTCTCAGATCACAGTGCAATCAAAGTAGAACTTAAGATTGAGAAACTCTCTGAAAACCACACAACTACATGGAAATTGAACAACCTGCTCCTGAATGACTACTGGGTAATTAACAAAATTAAGGCAGAAATAAATAAGTTCTTTGAAACCAATGAGAACAAAGACACAATGTACCAGAATCTCTGGGACACAGCTAAAGCAGTGTTTAGAGGGAAATTTATAGCACTAAATGCCCACAGGTGAAAGCGGAAAAGATCTAAAATCGACACCCTAACATCACAATTAGAAGAGCTACAGAAGCAAGAACAAACTAATTCAAAAGCTAGTAGAAGACAAGAAATAACTAAGATCAGGGCAGAACTGGAGGAGATAGAGACATGAAAAACCCTTCAAAAAAAAATCAATGAATCCAGGAGTTGGTTTTTTGAAAAGATCAACAAAATAGATAGACCACTAGCCAGACTAATAAAGAAGAATCAAATAGACACAATAAAAAATGATAAAGGGGATATCACCACTGATCCCACAGAAATCCAAGCTACTATCACAGAATACAATAAACACCTCTATGCAAATCGACTAGAAAATCTAGAAGAAATGGAAAAATTCCTGGACACATACACCCTCCCAAGACTAAATCAGGAAGAAGTCGAATCCCTGAATAGACCAACAATAAGTTCTGAAATTGAGGCAGTTATTAATAGCCTACCAACCAAAAAAAGTCCAGGACCAGACAGATACACAGGTGAATTCCACCAGAGGTACAAAGAAGAGCTAGTACCATTCTTTCTGAAACAATTCCAAACAACAGAAAAAGAGGGAATCCTCCCTAACTCATTTTATGAGGCCAGCATCATCCTCGTACAAAAACCTGGCAGAGACACAACAAAAAAAAAGAAAATTTCAGGCCAATATCCCTGACGAACATTGATGCAAAAATCCTCAATAAAATACTGGCAAACTGAATTCAGCAGCACATCAAAAAGCTTATCCACCAAAATCAAGTCAGCTTCATCCCTGGGATGCAACGCTGGTTCAAAATATGCAAATAAGTAAACAGAATGCATCACATAAACAGAACCAATGACAAAAACCACACGACTATCTCAACAGATGCAGAAAAAGCCTTTGATAAAATTTGACACACTTCTTGCTAAAAATTCTCAACTAACTAGGTACTGATGGAATGCATCTCAAAATATTAAGAGCCATTTATGACAAACCCACAGCCAATATCATACTGAATGGGAAAATCTGGAAGCATCCCTTTGACAACTGTCACCAGGACAAGCATGCCCACTCTCACCACTCCTATTTAACACAGTATTGGAAGTTCTGGACAGGGCAATCAAGCAAGAGAAAGAAATAAAAGGTATTCACATAAGAAGACAGGAAGTCAAATTGTCTCTGTTTGCAGATGACATGATTGTATATTTAGAAAACCCCATCGTCTCAGCCCAAAATCTCCTTAAGCTGATAAGCAACTTCAGCAAAGTCTCAGGATACAAAATCAATGTGCAAAAATCACAAGCATTCCTATACACCAATAATAGGCAAACAGAGAGCCAAATCATGAGTGAACTCCCATTCACAATTGCTACAAAGGGAATAAGGTATCTAGGAATACAGCTAACAAGGTATGTGAAGGACCTCTTCAAGGAGAACTACAAACCACTGCTCAACGAAATAAGAGAGGACACAAACAAATGGAAAAAATTTTCATGCTCATGGATAGGAAGAATGAACATCATGAAAATGGCCATACTGCCCAAAGTAATTTATAAATTCAATGCTATTCCCATCAAGCCACCACTGAATTTCTGCACAGAATTTTTTTAAAACTACTTTAAATTTCATATGGAACTAAAAAAGAGCCCAGATAGCCAAGACAATCCTAAGCAAAAAGAACAAAGCTGGAGGCATCATGCTACCTGACTTTAACTATACTACAAGGCTACAGTAACCAAAACAGCATGGTACTGGTGCCAAAACAGATATACAGACCAATGGAACACAAAGAGGCCTCAGAAATAATGTCACACATCTACAACCATCTGATCTTTGACAAACCTGACAGAAGCAAGCAATGGGGAAAGGATTCCCTATTTAATAAATGTTATTGGGAAAACTGGGAAAGCAATGGGGAAAGGATTCCCTACTTAATAAATGGTGTTGGGAAAACGGGCTAGCCATATGTAGAAAGCTGAAACTGGATACCTTCCTTACACCTTATACAAAAATTAATTCAAGGTGGATTAAAGACTTAAATATTAGACCTAAAACCATAACAACTCTAGAAGAAAACCTAGGCAATACCATTCAGGACATAGGCATGGGCAAGGACTTCATGTCCAAAACACCAAAAGCAATGGCAACAAAAGACAAAATTGACAAATGGGATCTAATTAAACTAAAGAGCTTCTGCACAGCAAAAGAAACTACTATCAGAGTGAACAGGCAACCTACAAAATGGAGAAAATTTTTGCAATCTACCCATCTGACAAAGGTTTAATATCCAGAATCTACCACGACTTAAACAAATTTACAAGAAAAAAACAATCCCATCAAAAAGTGGGCAAAGGATATGAACAGACACTTCTCAAAAGAAGACATTTATGCAGCCAACAGACACATGAAAAAATGCTCATCATCACTGGTCATCAGAGAAATGCAAATCAAAACCACAGTGAGATACGATCTCATACCAGTTAGAATGGTGATCATTAAAAAGTCAGGAAACAACAGACAGTGGGGAGGATGTGGAGAAATAGGAACACTTTTACACTGTTGGTGGGACTGTAAACTAGTTCAACCATTGTGGAAGACAGTGTGGCAATTCCTCAAGGATCTAGAACTAGAAATACCATTTGACCCAGCCATCCCATTACTGGGTATATACCCAAAGGATTATAAATCATGCTACTATAAAGACACATGCACACGTATGTTTAGTGTGGCACTATTCACAATAGCAAAGACTTGGAACAAACCCAGTTGCCCATCAATAATAGACTGGATTAAGAATATGTGGCACATATACACCATGGAATACTATGCAGCCATAAAAAAGGATGATTTCATGTCCTTTGCAGGGACATGGATGCAACTGGAAGCCATCATTCTCAGCAAACTATCACAAGGACAGAAAACCAAACACCACATGTTCTCACTCATAGGTGGGAACTGAACAATGGGAACACTTGAACACAGGAAGGGGACCATCACACCCCGGGGTCTGTTGTGGGGTGGGGGGTGGCAGGGAGAGAGACAGCATTAGGAGAAATACCTAATGTAAATGACTAGTTAATGGGTGCAGCAAACCAACATGGCACATGTATACCTATGTAATAAACCTGCACGTTGTGCACATGTACTGTAGAACTTAAAGTATAATAATGAAAAAAAAAACAACATAGGCAACATACAAATACACACACACACACACACACACTCACACACACACACACAAGTCAGGAAACCACAGATGCTGGAGAGGATGTGGAGAAATAGGAATACTTTTACACTGTTGGTGGGAGTGTAAATTAGTTCAACCATTGTGGAAGACAGTGTGGCAATTCCTGAAGGATCTAGAACCAGAAATACCATTTGACCCAGCAATACCATTACTGGGTATATACCCAAAGGATTATAAATCATTCTACTATAAAGACACATGCACATGTAGGTTTACTGCAGTACTGTTCACAATAGCAAAGACTTCGAACCAACCCAAATGCCCACCAATGATTGAGTGGATAAAGAAAATGTGGCACATATACACCATGGAATATTATGCAGCTATAAAAAAGGACGAGTTCGTGTTCTTTGCAGGGACAAGGATGAAACTGGAAACCATCAGTCTCAGCAAACTAACACAGGAACAGAAAACCAAACACCGCATGTTCTCACTCATAAGATGAGGTGAACAATGAGAAAATATGGACACAGGGAGGGGAACATCACACACTGGGCCTGTCAGGGGGTGGGGGTCTAGGGGAGGAATAGCATTAGGAGAAATACCTAATGTAGGTGACGGGTTGATGGGTGCAGCAAACCACCATGGCACGTGTATACCTATGTAACAAACCTGCACATTCTGCACATGTATCCCAGAACTTAAAGTATAACAAAAGTCAGATTTCTCCAAAAGTTGAAAAATCAGACTAAAAAAATCAACTTCCCCAAAGCCCAGAATAGAATAAAACTAGAAAGTTCTTCAACTATGATATTAGTTCTAGAATAGTCCTCCGCTCCACCCCCAATTCAGTGCTCAGAAGTAGAAGACAGATAATTCAAATTGGATTAAGGCATAATACAGATCCTTGTACATAAATCAAATCCTCAAAGGAACACAAAGTTTACTATCTTATTCACAAAGTTTCAAGCCTAAAGGAAGAAGTTAGTCCAGATTAGGGCATCCTAATCCTCTCCAGTTCTATTATCATATAAAAGCAACTTAAAATACTTGCAAGAAATATTACATCTATCCATAAAAAGGGAGTTAACAAAAGATACCATGATCTTAAAAATACTTTATGACAAAACGCTACCTTCGAGGGGGTACCCTGTCACCTGCATGTAGCAAGTTGGTATTACAATAAACATTCTAACAGTCCAAACTAAAAGAGCTTTTAAAATTATTCTAAAATGTTCATGTTACTAAGAACCAAGGCAGCCTAGGAAAATGTTTTTAAAGAATATTTAATGATATAGGAAAATTTTTACACTATTACTGTAATCTCAATTTTATTTATATACACAGAAAACAAGATAAAGTATATAAAACAAAATGTGAATGTAATGGCTCTCTTATTGTAAAGAGTGTATTTATGCATTATTTTTATGAAGCAGAGACCAAGTAAAATGAGATGCACATAAAGATCAGTAAGAAACAACTGTTTCCTTACCTCTTCCAAATTACTCTTTTCAACCAATTTCCATCTGAGTAGAGCTTTTAAGCTTTTCAATGTCTTCTTAATGGATAGCAAGTGATCCACACTGGGACTCTTATTTAAATATTCAATAAGCTGCTTTTTAAACTAAGTAAACAAAAGTTACGTATTTTCAAACACATAAGAAAAGTATTTATTGAACAGTGATCATTTATTATTTCTCTGTTAAGATTCAACTAGTATTTACTGAGTTCAGACTGAAATACCAAGAAAATCTATAATTTTCAACAAGACAATTCAATAGATTTCCTTTTTAATCCATGTTTCTATTTAGAAGAATATCAGTTCCAGCACTCAAAGTAACAAAGACAAAAGTAATATTTCAAACTGAGACATACAATAAAACACACATTGTTAGTATGGATGAAAAAGGAATTTCTAGTGAGGATGTAAACTGAAATCATCTTTCCCAAAAGTGGTTTGAAAATATGTATCAAGTTTTAATTAATAATGTCCATTCCTTTTAACTCAGTAATTATAGAATTTAGAAATCTGAGAAATAAAAACAAAAAATTATGCACAAACATATGTACAGTGTTATTTATGGTAGGAAAAATTGGAAGTAACCTTAATGTCCAACACACATGAAAGGTTAATGTTGTTGTACATCTACATAGGGATGAGGATTTAGTCACTCAAGATGACAGTATAGAAAAATCATATAGAAAAATGTTCATAATATACCATTAAATGAAGAAAGTATGTTTGAAGTAACTTAAAAAACAATGCAATGCATATATATATGCTCACAAACATACAGATGCACATCCAGTGAGTAAATACTCTAAAACTATCTCTTAGGCTAAGGGAATTATAAGCAATGTTTTATTTCTTATCTTTCTGTATATAGCAAATTATCTACAGTAGACTCATACAGGCAAAAAGAAAATGATGTTAAAAATTGTGGTTCTCATGGACATAATAAAATATTTAAAACAATAAAAAATTTGATATATTTATATCATCAAAAATCACCATTTCCAGTTGACAGTGAATTCTAGTAATAACAATTTACTGACACTGAGTATTAAACAACAATAGAAAAATTTAAGTACTGAAAAATTCAAATCATCAATTTATAAGATCAATAAGAGAAAGCACAATCAAACCTCAATACTGTCCTTGTACTTAGCTTGTACTGTGGCAATGAGCCTTTCCTCTGAATGAATCTTTTGCAGTACTTGACTATATGTATTTGAAATTATCTCCTTGTCTGCATCACCTTGATCCTAAATGAAATCACACACATAGAATTATACACAAAGGAATATCCAAAACAGCTAAGGCCTCCAATAACAATAGATAAACTTCAAAATTATGCCTTTAACAGATTTCCGCAGTGATTTCAAAACAGTTCTTAAACACAAATGTTTTCCTAGTCAGAAGATAGATAGATATCAAAGATGTTCATATGGCAGCCAGGCAACATAGTGAGACCAGTCCCTAAAAAAAAATTTTTAATTAGCTGAGCACAGTGGTATACACCTGTAGTCCTAGCTACAAGGGAGGCTGAGGCAGGGAGATTAAGGAGTTCAAGGCTGCAGTGAGCTAGGATCACATCAATGCACTCCAGCCTGGGCGACAGAGCAAGACACTGTCTCTCTAAAAAAAGCAAAGCCATTCATATGGGAAACTTTACCCGTATTACACCATTATTCCCAAAGCTGTGTAGAATAAGAGCATTAATGGAAATCAGGGATACTAATATGCTAAATATAAGAACTATAAACAATATATAGACCTTCAACACTTTACTTTTAGAAATCACCTGTTAACAACTACTACTAAAATCAAGTCTGACAAAACTATCTACATCAGGACTATTTAACAATATAAAACTTCTTAATGTATTTTTAATGCCAATATGAGTAAAATTATAAAAAGTAAAAAAAAGAAAAAACAAGTAAAATGAGAAGCCTAACCACTGAAACATTGGAAAGCAGCCTGAATAACTGGGAAGAGTCCCAATGAGCAATAATTAAAATTACAAAACACCCTTTGGAGTAGCTACACTAATTTTTACCTTGACACTGTAACAAAGAATATACACAATGGAGAAAGAAAGAGGATGACCACTCCATCTTGTGTGTCAACTTTCAGAGCTCTCTCAGATTTTAAGTTTTCACAAACTCTAAGGAGTCTCTTCTTATAGTCATTTGGTATGACGCATTCAAGAATCAAAATATAGACAAGATTGTCCACTCAAATTAAGAGCAGTTTTCTTAGAATTAAACAGATTTTTTATGTGAAATGTCCTATTAAAACAAAAATGTCACCTAAGAATAAGACTTTGCATGGTGTCTGGATTAGAACTAGACATTGTTACTCTTTCAACAAGCCTATTAGAAGAAAGCTAAGATCAGTCTTAATACTTTCTAACTAGCAAGAAAAACTCTATTATTGGTTAATACTTTCTAACCATGAAAGGAAACCACACTGCTTCAAAGGAGGCAATAATAAAGAATATCGATACTCACAACCAGAGCTATCTCCAGCTCTTTGCAGACACTTGACTCAGTCTTCTCTAGGATTTCATCAATATTATCCATTGCGTCTTCTGAAATCAGTGATCCTTCCACAGATAGGTCAAAAACCTCATTTGCAAAAATAAACACATGAAATATCTCATTTAATTCAATCAGCATTCATCGTGCCTTAATACCTGAAGCAGAGTATTAAGCTATACCCTGGGCAATGTAAAAGAACTAGGAATGCAGGAAAAAAAAGTGCCTACCCTCATAAAATTTATGCACTGAAAGGAAAAGGTACATACACATAGCATACTGTAAGAAAATAAATAAATGGTTAAAAGAGGAAAGAGGACAATCCTTAGGAAAAGCTGAGAAAAAGGAGGAACAAGACCGATATGATTTTTTTGAGACTAATAAAAGGAGCAATCTGACTAAAAGCTAATAAAGAACCTTGACTGGTAAGGTGGCAATTTTAAATCTGATACATAGTAGGTAGATGATGTCAGCTCTTGAACAAAGCGCGTGATTTTTAAAATATATATTCCCTGGTTTATGCTACAAACACAACCGGGCAGGAGCTTTTATTACCTTTAAGGTTCTTTGGAACCATGCTACAAGACGGTGCAGAGAAGCGTCTGTTTCACTTCTAACACTGGTGAACTCCTCTCTTTTATCACACTTCCAGTCATAAAATTTTTTAAGTATTTCATCAGAATTTGCTCCTTCTTTGGCTTGTCCATACACTGCTTCTAAAGAGACTGACAAATCCTGCAGAGAGATATACTTCTGTTTATTAAAGTTTATTAACTAATTCAGGATTCGAGCACTGTGTTAGGATCTAAGGGGTAGAAAAGCAGTATGCTGAATCCCCATTCTTGAGAATTTCATAAATACAACTTAGAATCATCAGATAGAGATGAAAACACAAAACTACCTAGAAGGTGGTTTATTTGGACCATAACAGTAAAGTTTATTAAGTGAATTAGTTACAAATAGAAAGCTTTATATCCTTATGGTTTTTAATTAAGTAGACATTACCCTGTTTTCCCTAACTTTTTGTATAAATTTATTAAGTACAAGAGTAATTTTGCTACATGGATATATTGTGTAGTGGTAAAGTCTGGGCTTTAGTGTATCTATCATCCAAATGTACATTGAACCCATTAAGTAATTTCTCAACATCCACCACTCTCCACCCCTAATCACCCTTCTGAGTCTCCTTTGTCTATCATAAGAATCACTACTGTTTGTCCTGGCATGAAAGTTTCTAAGACCGATTGCCAAATAAAAATAAACTACACGCTAAAATATACAAATAATTCTAATTAAGTAAAGACATTAAACATATATATGGACAATCATGCATCACTTAACAACACGGATATCTTCTAAGAAATGCATCGTGAGGCAATTTCATCATTATGCAAACATCATGGAGTGTACTGATGCAAACCTAGATGGTATAAATTTACTACACAACCAAACTACATGCTATAGCCTACTGCTCCTAGATATAGCATGTTACTGTGCTGAATAATGTAAGCAATTGTAACAATGATTGCCTATGTAAACACAGAAAAGGTACAGTTAAGTACTATAATTTTATGGCACCACCACCATATATGCAGTCCATCACTGACCAAACCATGCAGCCCTTGACTGTACTTAAAGGCATTTTTTTAATGAATTGGCCTGGCTGGGTTTGTCGGGGCAGGTGCACAAAAAAAAAATAACAGTAACAATAAAATTTTTTAATGTAATAAAGAATTGGAAAAGACAAGATAGGCACAGCCTGCTAGCTCTCTCCAGAAATCAAACCCTAGAAATTTTACAGAGATAAGAAAAAAAGCTTAAGAGATCTCAGAAGTTTTTAATCACAAAACTCTGAGAAATCTTAGGCAGAGGATGGTTGGTGTTTAGCATTGAATTAACAAAGTCCCTACAAGTGAAAGAAGGACTGTGTCACAGCACAGAATTACCTGTGGGAAAAGAAAACTTTTTTCATAGGCTCTTCTCTCTCCCTCACATCAGAAAGAAAAACAGCAGCACCATCAAGAGGCAACAGGTTTATGCAAGTACAGCACAAGAACACAGATGAGGCAAAAACTGATAACCAATACAGAAGAGCTGGCCAGCCCCTGACCATTCTCTTTCCTTCACTTCTCCCCTGAATATCTGGCAGCATTTACATCTAAGGGTGGTAGTGCCTGGAAAGGAGCAGTAGCTGAGGCAGAGGGAATAGAGGTTTGCTGAAGAGTAGGACAGACCACCCAGGAGAGAAGCAAAGAGGAAGTAGATAATCCCAGATGGCAACATCAGAAGCTAGACCCTTAAAAATAAAAATAACCCCATTCTATTCCCTAAACCTATCCAAAGTCTTAAAAGTTGTGGTCCAGACTTTCACTCTTCCCTAGGCCCTTCATATAACTACACAACAGCAAAGAACTAAGGTAGCTTATAGTTCCAAGGGAATATGAGATCTTGAGGAGAGATAAGAAGAGGATAAAATGGTGTGAACAGCACAAGCACTCTGAAAGAAGTATAAAAAACTAAGCCACTTTATAAAAAGGAAGCAAAATCAGTGTCAATGGCCCAGATAACAGTAAGAACTCAAAAATAAGCATAATAAATATTCTCAACAAAAGAAAGAATATTGGAAACACAAAAGCCAAGTACTTATAAATAAAAAATAACCAACTGAAGATATTAAATATAAAAGAAATAATCTTTGACATACAAAATGCAATGGATTGGCTAAATGGCAGAAGGGACACAGCTAGAGGATTAATTCATTAGCTACATGGTTAAGTCAAGGATCCCTCCAAAAAGACACCAACAAGATAAAAAGATTGTATTTATTTATTTAGTTTAACCCACCTCCTACATAAGATAAAAAGATTTTAAACAATAGATTAGCCATTAAAATATGTAGATAACAGAAATAGAAGCTGAAATATCTATCAGAAGTCTCAGAATAAGAGAAAAAATTAATGGGGGAGAGAAGTATCTCAATAAATAATTATCAAGTATTACCTACAATTAAAGAAATATATAAAACCTCAGACTGAACTGGCTCAGATTCAGTCAAAACATAAACATGTTCTGATGCAACTTAAGAACAAAGTCAAGAGAAAATTTTAAAACTTCCAGAGGGAAAAAAGATCACAGAAGAACAAAGATTAGACTGATAACAATTATGGAAATAAGAAGGCTGGGCACTTTGGCTCACACCTGTAATCCCAGCACTTTAGGAGGCCAAGAGAGGCGGATCACTCGAGGTCAGAAGTTCGAGACCAGCCCGGCCAACATCGTGAAACCCCATCTCTACTAAAATTAGCCGGGCACAGTGGTGCATGCCTGTAGTCCCAGCTACTCGGGAGGTTGAGGCATGAGAATTGCTTGAACCCAGGAGCCAGAGGTTGCAGTGAGCTGAGATGGCACCACTGCACTCCAGCCTGGGTGAAAGAGCAAGACTCTGTCTCAAATAAATAAAGAAATAAAATGATAGAAATGAAACAATAGATTATTATTGTCAAAGGTGTAAAGGAAACATGGCCTTTGAACTTGCTATTTTATAGTCAGCTAAACAACTATTTGTATTTGAGATTGAAATGAGATATCCTGAAATATCAAATAACTCGCAAAATCAAATACACAAAGATTTCTTTGAAAGCACTCTTAGAGAAAATATTCCAATATACAGAGAAAGCCAAGAGATAAACGACTTATGAAATAAGAATGGAAAAATAACTCTAAAGTCTATTTAACTGAGCTATCACACACAATATCTATAATAACCCGTGACTAAAATCCTAGACAATTGTGGTAGGTTCACTGGTTGGTTTGGGGAAGGAGGTAGAGAAAGAGAGGAAAGACACCAAAGGCAGATAAGAATGTTCTAAAGTATTAGAAGAGTGGCCGGGCACAGTGGCTCACGCCTGTAATCCCAACACTTTGGGAGGCTGAGGCGGGTGGATGACTTGAGGCCAGGAGTTCAAGACTAGCCTGGCCAACATGATGAAACCCCATCTCTATTAAAAACACAAAAATTAGCCAGGCCTGCCTGTAATCCTAGCCACTCATGAGGCTGAGGAAGGAGAATCACTTGAACCCAGGAGGCAGAAGTTGCAGTGAGCCAAGACTGTGCCACTGCACTCCAACCTGGGTAACAGAGTGAGACTCCATCTCAAAAAAAAAAAAAAAAGTATAAGAGGTGTAAGTTAGAAAAAGAGAGAAAAAGAAACGATGATAAACAGAAATAAGTTTTAATAAAACAGTAATTATAAATATGTAAATTAAGTTACCAACAAAAAAGATATACGTTGGGTGCTTTCAAAAATTAAATCCATTAGTGTGTTATCAAGAGGTTATTTCAAAACGTGAATACAAAAGGTTAAAAATAAAGGGAGAAGCCAGGTGCGGTGGCTCACACCTGTAAATCTAGCACTTTGGAGGCCAAGGTGGGTAGACTGCCTGAGCTCAGGAGTTCGAGCCCACCCTGGGCAACATCGTGAAACCCATCTCTACTAAAATACAAAAAATTAGACAGGCATGGTGGTGTGTGCCTGTAATCCCAGCTACTAGGTAGGCTGAGGCAGGAGAATCGCTTGAACCCGGGAGGCAGAGGTTGCAGTGAGCGGAGATCGGCCACTGCACTCCAGCCTAGGCGACAGAGCGAGACTCCATCTCAAGAAAAATAAAAATAAATAAAATAAAAATAGAAAAAAAGAAAAGATGTTGCAGTGTTAACCAAAAAGAAAGGTGGGATACGAACTTAAAAGGCAAACAAAAAAATTTTTATTTTTTAAAATCTAAGTGAAAAAATAAGATTACATAGTAGTTAAAAAGAAAACATTTTTATTATTATTTTTGACTTTTAGTTTAGGTTTGGAGGTACATGTGAAGGTCTGTTACATAGGTAAACATGTGTCATGGGGGGGATACACATTTTTAAATACATTACAATCATGAATACCTTAACACCCAACAATGTGGCGCTGAAATACTTTGAACAAGAACCAAAAGAACAATAGGGACAAATAGGGACAAACCTATCTATTTCAGATATATGTAACAAAAATATCTCAAAGACTGATATACTGAACCAACCAAAACCTAAGCAAGTTTTAGATATATCTAAAACTGTACACCAAGAAAACCGAGAATACAATTTCTTTTTGAACTTAAGAAGACCAGTCACAAAAAATCAAACATGTATTGTATGCCACAAAAGAAGTCTAAATAAAATGCTGAGGAAATCAGAAATCAAGAACTTTCATTTATTTGACCTTCATTATAGAAATATCTTTCTTGGATACTTGAAAAATATAAACTATTTCTCAGCAAAATAAAGAGAAGTTTAAAGAATATTTTGGTGACCTGAGGGAATACTAGAAGTGGAGACAAGCCAGTTAAGGCAAAAAGTCTTCTAGCATTGAACTTTTAAAAGAAAAGAGGTTTAAAGATGATCTTAATTACAGAACCTTAACCTACATTTACTAACAGTGAGAAGAAATAAACCTTTAAGGGACAAAGTAGAAGCTGCATTGTGGAAAGCTAAATTCTTACTATATTACTGCCCTTTTATATGCAAGGCTTACTTCAACATTCTGGAAGAACTTATACTATTTATGCAATTCCAATTAAGAAAATGTTTCAAACCAGGGCTCCAATGGTTCTTAAGCCATGTGGTGCATCATCAAAACTACATCTTCATCCAGCAGGACAGAAAGAAACAATGCCCAGATGTCCCTGAATATCTTCTTCTCCAAATTTCTAGCAAGCTTACTCCCTGCAGTCCACAACAAGATCGATATTAGCTACTGGTCAGCTTAGTACTAGGGTAACTGACCAAAGCAGTAAAAATTCAAAGATACATAAAAGGTAAAAGGACTAGAAGAGAAAAGATTAAAGAGTTATTGTTTTCAAATGAAAACACTTGAAAATGAAATGAAAACATTTGAAAATGAAAACATTTCAAATGAAAACATTAGAAAATGAAAACATTTCAAATGAAAACATTTGAAAACACAGAAAGCAGAGTATCAACAGACAAATGAGAACTAAAAGAGAGATCAGCAGAGTTATCAGAGAAACACCAGTACATAAAAATGAACAGTATTCCTCTATTCAATCAAAACTAGGAAATGACAAGATAATATTCATAAAAGCAATCAAAAGCATAAATAAATAAAAGTTAAATGAAGAAAAAAGCATGAGGACTTATAGAGAAAAATTTTAAACAATATTAAAGGACAAAAAAAGATCTGAATAAGTAGAGAGAAACACTATTATTAGGTGAAATTACTTAACACTGTCATGTTCATTCACCCCGAATTAAAGTCATTCCTGAGCTGGCAAGACAGAGCTGAAGACAAGATTCCACCATATCATATAGCTATATGTACTACAGTACTCTAGCCTCTGATCACATCAGGGAGAAACTTCCCTGGTCATGGAGCCTAAAAACCCTATAATTTATGGATCAGAGTTGATCCCTTCTCCCTGTAACATGTGGTCCTACTACATTTTCTGCTAGAATGCAATGGACGATAGGGACCCACATACCTGCTACTGCTCCTGTCTCCATTAATTTCCCCAGTGAATACTGGAGTCCCTAGCCATTTTACCTTGTTTGCAAGATAGATATGCATATAAACATAGCCACAAAATATATTAATATAAACTTTTAATCCCATTAAAAAGAAATCAGAATTCAGGAAACAGGAAAAACTTTTGCAACCATCACAGAACAATCTAAAGTCTTAAGGTAAATGCTAATTTCACTTCTTAAATAAACTTACAATTTAACGTATATTTAATATATTTTTAATTCCAACCTGCAATGTTTTTAAGCGTTTATTAAGAGATGACTCATCAACTTCCAGAATAAAATCTTCTACTGACATGTACAGCTTCTGCTGCATTTCATTTCTTTGGGCAATCAAAATATTCCCTTCACTCTGGAGGAAGAAAAAAAGAATAACCATCATTAATACATCAGGTCTTTTCCGCATATGACCTATATGAAAAAAAGTGATCTCCAAAATTAACTTTATATTCTCCAAACATTATAGCACTTAGGACATTTCTCTCCTTAGATCAACAAAATGACAAAAAAACTTCCTTTCTCTTAATTAAAAATAAAACATTTAAGTTCAACAACTCTGATCTAATTTTTATTTTTCCCATTATTTCTGCAACAATGAAATTTTTGTTTTTCTTACAGAAAATTATATAAGTTCCTACTAATTACATATGGCCTCTTTTCTATTCCCATCCCATTCTCAACTCCTTCAGCTACTCATCCTTCAAGATACACTTAAACACCAGGATAAACCCTCCAATTTGTCCAACAGGCTGTGTTTGGAAATACATATGTGAAAGATATCCAAGAACTCTATGCATTTTCTTTATTATAGCACTTACCATACTGTATTAAAACTATATATTAATATATCCATCCTGTACCCAAGAAAGAAAGAAAGGATATGTCTTTTAAAAATTTTTATCTCGGGGTGGAGGGAGGGGGGAGGGATAGCATTAGGAGATATACCTAATGCTAAATGACGAGTTAATGGGTGCAGCACAGCAGCATGGCACATGTATACATATGTAACTAACCTGCACATTGTGCACATGTACCCTAAAAGTAAAATAATAATAAAATGAAATAAAATAAAAAAGTTTTAATCTCTATTACCTATAACAGTGTCTGGCACATACACTTAAAAGCCTGAATTTTAGGATATTTTTTCTTGCATAAGCTCAACCAGATTATTTTAAAACTATAAATAAAACTATAAAATGTATTATAAAACTATAAAACTATAAAAGCCTGAATTTTAGGATATTTTTTCTTGCATAAGCTCAACCAGATTATTTTAAAACTATAAATAAAACTATAAAATACATTATAAAACTATAAAACTATAAAAGCCTGAATTTTAGGATATTTTTTCTTGCATAAGCTCAACCAGATTATTTTAAAACTATAAATAAAAAAGAAAAGACCTCAAGTAAAGCCTACTGTTTTCATCATTAAAAAAAAAAAACATCTGGGCACGGTGGCCCACGCCTGTAATCCCAGCACTTTGGGAGGCCGAGGCAGGCGGATCATGAGGTCAGGAGATCGAGACCATGGTGAAACCCCATCTCTACTAAAAATACAAAAAATTAGCTGGGCAGAGTGGCAGGCGCCTGTAGTCCCAGCAACTCGGGAGGCTGAGGCAGCAGAATGGCACGAACCCGGAAGGCAGAACTTGCAGTGAGCCGAGATCACACCACTGCACTCCGGCCTGGGCGACAGAGCGAGACTCCGTCTCAAAAAAAAAAAAAAAGCATATGGCCACATGGCAATCAAGTTAAAGAACTATGCAAAATACTTGAATAAAAGTTATCAATTCTAAACCAAAATAAGTACAATAAGGGAAATAAAATGACGATTTCATTTGAGTGGCTATTATGATTATATATTTAGCCAATAATCTACACTTCCATCTATCAAGTAAACTTTAAGTCCGGAAACACAAGCAGTAGTAGAAAAAAAAAATTCTGCTTTCAAAAAAAGTCACATCTGTACTCATAGGATAGTAAGTGCTAAAGCTCCATCCTGAATACTTTCACTATGCTCAAACCACAAAAACAAATAAGGCAGGTTTTTTTACATCTTTTCATCTTACATGAAAATACATTAAGAAGTATTTTAATATCAATAGTGTGGTTTCAATGGAAAAACAATAGGCTTTGCTGTCAGACATGTCTGGGTTCAAGTTCCATATTAACATTTAGAACTAGGGTACGGGCATGGTAGCTAACACTTGCAATCCCAGGACTTTGGGAGGCCAAGGCAGGAGGATTACTTGAGCCAAGGAGTTCAAAACCTGTCTGGACAACATGGTAAAACCCCGTCACTATAAAAAGTACAAAAAAATTAGCCAGGCATGGTTGGTAGTACACCGCCTGTAGTCCTAGCTACTTGGGAAGCTGAAGTGGAGAATCTCTTGTGCCCTGGAGGTTGAGGCTGCAGTGAGCTGTGATCGTGCCACTGCACTCCAGCCTGGGTGACAGAGTGAGACCATACCTCAAAAAAAAGAGTAATTTTTTAATTTTAAAAAATTACAACTAGGTAATCTTGAACAATTTCCTTACCCTTGTAAGCCTGTTTCCTCACTTATAAAATGGGAGCAAATATGCCCATTTTAAAAGTTAATGTAAGAAAATGTTTATAAACACACTGCCTGTGTTTCATAGAAATTAAAAAATTAATCATTCTGCTGTCATCTTCTTTCTCCCATAATCAGAAGTGATCAGTTAGAATCTAATACGTAAAATAACCAAAATCAAATCCCTTCTCCAAACTAAACATTCCTGGCATTTTCAAAAGCCTAGTTATCCTGCTCATACTTCTCATTCAGAGGCAGTCAGGCTGCCAACTGATCAACCTAGGTATGACTAGGGAGTAAGATTTACAGGGTATAATCCACAGAGGCAGAAACCACAAATATTTAAGATGGAACAAGTCCAAACACAACAAGTATAGAGCTCACAGGTGCTAGGGAAAGTTATGGTGGTTGTAGGGAATGGTTTACAAGAAAAACAGGAAGTTCTGTTCAGCCCAATACAATAAATTAAAGAAAACTGCAACAGGAAATAAATATACTTGTACCTAAGCTAATAAAGAATTTATGTAAAATATTTCATTTTCACACCCCTACTCACACACACAAACAACTACCTCCCAACAATAGGTGACTCAGACACTAATTAATAGTAAGGCAGAGTCTTACATGCATAAAACACACCACTCAGACCAGAAAAGTTCCACATTAGCATGTATGAAAGCCACTCTGGTTTACAAGCCTAATGTCCCTCAAAAGCCAGTATCTCTTGTAACAACTCCATAGGTATAGCTTCCAGGGTCCCTCAAGGGGCATGTTTAGTTACAAGAGTCCACATCAAGTATTTGTAGTTTGTAGTTTCTCCCAGTACAGATGCAGTTTGACAATCATAAGTTATACTTACCATAAATAATGTTGCCTAGTAACACAGTTGAAATATTTTATCACATTACCAAGGGAACAAAGAGAGGGAGTTAACCAAAGGTAAAGTTTTCATGCAAAAAGGGAAAAGATTTTGCTACCCCTTATCCACAATCACCAGTTGTCTATTACACCTTTCTTATAAGGCAATAAATGAAGGAAATTATTAATATGAAGATACTGTAAAAGTTAAAGGTTTTACACAAACTATCATTACAATATCTCCAGTTCCTTGTCTTTCTAGAAAGATAACATTTCCTGAGTTCTAATTTGATTACACTGTGATCTGAGAGACTGTTTGTTATGATTTCAGTTCTTTTGCATTTGCTGAAGAGTGTTTTACTTCCAATTATGTGGTCAATTTTAGAATAAGTGCCATGTGGCACTGAGAAGAATGTATATTCAGTTGATTTGGGGTAGAGAGTTCTGCAGACGTCTATCAGGTCCACTTGATAGAGAGCTAAGTTCAAGTCCTGAATATCCTTGTTAATTTTCTGTCTCGTTGATCTAATACTGACAGTGGGGTGTTAAAGTCTCCCATTATTATTGTGTGGGAATCTAAGTCTCTTTGTAGGTCTCTAAGAACTTGTTTTATGAATCTGGGTGCTCCTTGGGTGCATATATATTCAGAATAGTCACCTCTTCTTGTTGAACTGTTTCCTTTACCATTACGTAATGCCTTTGTCTTTTTTTATCTTTGTTGATTTAAAGTCTGTTTTATCAGAGACTAGGACTGCAACCTCTGCTTTCTTTTGCTTTCTATTTGTTTGGTAAATTTCCCTCCATCCCTTTCTTTTGAGCCTGTATGTGTTTTTGTGCGGAAGATGGGTCTCCTGAATACAGCACACAGATGAGTCTTGACCACTTAGCTAATTTGCCAGTCTGTGTCTTTTAATTGGGGCATTTGGCCCATTTACATTTAAGGTTAGTATTGCTCACTCAAAACCACACAATGTCATGGAAACTGAACAACTTGCTCCTGAATGGCTCCAGGGTAAATAATGAAATTAAGGCAGAAATCAAGAAGTGCTTTGAAACCAATGAGAACAAAGAGACAATGTACCAGAATCTCCAGGACACAGATAAAGTAGTGTTAAGAGAGGAATTTATAGCACTAAATACCCACATCAGAAAGCTAGAAAGATCTCATATCAACACCTTAACATCACAATTAAAAGAACTAGAAAGGCAAGAGCAAATGAACCCAAAAGCTAGCAGAAGACAAGAAATAAGATCAGAGAAGAATTGAAGGAGACAGAGACACACACACACAAAAAAAACACTCCAAAAAAAAATCAATGAATCTAGGGTCTGTTTTTTAAAAAAAGTAACAAAACAGACCACTAGCTAGACTAAGAAGAAGAG
Organism: Homo sapiens; assembly: GCF_000001405.40. Taxonomy (NCBI): domain Eukaryota; kingdom Metazoa; phylum Chordata; class Mammalia; order Primates; family Hominidae; genus Homo; species Homo sapiens. Next base: position 23,758,357 of record NC_000007.14, on the reverse strand, counting down.
AGAGAAGAATCAAATAGACTCAACAAAAAATGTTAAAGGGGTATCACCACTGACCCCACAAAAATACCAACTACCATCACAGAATACTATAAACACCTCTACACAAATAAACTAGAAAATCTAGAAGAAATGAATAAACTCTTGGATGCCTACACCCTACCAAGACTAAACCAGGTAGTGTGGGGAAAAGAAAGGCAGATCAGACTGTTACTGTGTCAATGCAGAAAGAAGTAGACGTAAGAGACTCCATTTTGTTCTGTATTAAGAAAAATTATTCTGCCTTGAGATGCTGTTAATCTGCAACCCTACCCCCAACCCTGTGCTCCCTACGACATGTGCTGTGTCGACTCAAGGTTTCATGGATTTAGGGCTATGCAGGATGTGCTTTGTTAAACAAATGCTTGAAGGCAGTATGCTTGTTAAAAATCATCACCACTCCCTAATCTCAAGTACCCACGGACACAAAACACTGCAGAAGGCCGCAGGGACCTCTGCCTAGGAAAGCCAGGTCTTGTCCAAGGTTTCTCCCCATGTGACAGTCTGAAATACGGCTTCGTGGGAAGGGAAAGACCTGACCGTCCCCCAGCCCGACACCCATAAAGGGTCTGTGCTGAGGAGGATTAGTAAAAGAGGAAGGCCTCTTTGCAGTTGAGATAAGAGGAAGGCATCTGTCTCCTGCTCATCCCTGGGCAATGGAATGTCTCGGTGTAAAACCCGATTGTATGTTCTATCTACTGAGACAGGAGAAAACCACCTTAAGGCTGGAGGTGAGACATGCTGACGGCAATACTACTCTTTAATGCACCAGATATGTTTATGTATGTGCACATCAAAGCACAGCACATTTTCTAACCTTGTTTATGACACAGAGACATTTGTTCACATGTTTTCCTGCTGACTCTCTCCCCACTATTACCCTATTGTCCTGCCACATCCCCCTCTCCGAGATGGTAGAGATAATGATCAATAAATACTGAGGGAACTCAGAGACCTTTGCCGGCGGGCGCGGGTCCTCCACATGCTGAGCGCCGGTCCCTTGGGCCCACTTTTCTTTCTCTATACTTTGTCTCTGTGTCTCTTTCTTTTCTCAAGTCTCTCGTTCCACCTGACGAGAAACGCCCACAGGTGTGCAGGGGCTGGCCACCCCTTCTGGAAGAAGCTGAATCCCTGAATAGACCAATAACAAAAACTCTGAAATTGAGGTAGTAATTAACAGCCTACCGACCAAAAAAAGCCCAGGACCAGACAGATTCACAGCCGAATTCTACCAGAAATACAAAGAACAGCTGATACCATTCCTTTTGAAACTATTCCCAACAACTGAAAAGGACGGACTCCTCCCTAACTCATTTTATGAAGCCAGCATTATCCTGATACCCAAACCGGGAAAAGACACAACAAAAAAAGAAAACTTCAGGCCAATATCCCTGATGAACATCGATGCGAAAATCCTCAATAAAATACTGACAAACCGAATCCCGCAGCACATCAAAAAACTTACCCACCACGATCAAGTCCACTTCATCCCTGGGACGCAAGGCTGGTTCAACATACGCAAATCAATAAACGTAATCCATCACATAAACAGAACCAATGACAAAAACCACGTGACTATCTCAATAGATGCAGAAAGGGCTTCGATAAAATTCAACATGCCTTCATGTTAAAAACTCTCAGTAAACTAAGTATTGACGGAACATATCTCAAAATAGTAACAGTTATTTATGACAAACCCACAGCCTCAAATTGAATGGGCAAATGCTGGAAGCATTCCCTTTGAAAACTGGTACAAGACAACGATTCCCTCTCTCACCACTCCTATTCACCACAGTATTGGAAGTTCTCGACAGGGCAATCAGGCAAGAGAAAGAAATAAAGGGTATTCAAATAGGAAGAGAGGAAGACAAGTTGTCTGTTTGCAGACGACATGATTTTATATTTAGAAATCCCCATCGTCTCACCCCAAAAACGTCTTGAACTGATAGGCAACTGCAGCAAAGTCTCAGGATACAAAATAAATGTGCAAAAATCACAAGCATTCCTACACACCAACAAGAGGCAAGCAAAGAGCCAAATCATGAATGAACTCCCATTCACAATTGCTACAAACAGAATAAAATACCTAGGAATACAGCTAATAAGGGATGTGAAGGACCTCTTCAAGAAGAACTACAAACCACTGCTCAAGGAAATAAGAGAGGACACAAACAAATGGAAAAATATTCCATCCTCATGGATAGGAAGACTCAATATCATGAAAATGGCTATACTGGCCAAAAAATTTTATAGAACCAATGCTATTCCCATCAAGCTACCATTGACATTCTTCACAGAATTAGAAAAAACTATTTTAAATTTCATATGGATTCAAAGAAGACCCCATATAGCCAAGATAATCCTAAGCAAAAGGAACAATGCTGGAGGCATGATGCTACCTGACTTCAAACTATACTACAAGGCTACAGTAACCAAAACAGCATGCTACTGGTACCAAAACAGACATATAGACCAATGGAGCAGAACAGAAACCTCAGAAATAACATCACACATCTAAAACCATCTGATCTTCGACAAACCTGACAAAAACAAGCAATTGGGAAAGCATCTCCTATTCAGTAAATGGTGCTGGGAAAACTAGACATATGCAGAAAACTGAAACTGAACCCCTTCCTTACACTTTACACAAAAATTAACTCTAGATGGATTAAAGACTTAAATGTAAAACCTAAAACTATAAAAACCCTAGAAGAAAACCCAGGCAATAGCGTTCAGGACATAGGCATGGGCAAAGACTTCTTGACAAAAACAACAAAAGCAAATGCAACAAAAGTCAAAATTGACAAATGGGATCTAATTAAACTAAAGAGCTTCTGCACAGCAAAAGAAACTATCATCACAGTGAACAGGCAACCTGTTCTCCTGAACAGAAGAAAATTTTTGCAATCTACCCATCTGACAAAGATCTAATATCCAGAATCTACAAAGAACTTAAACATATTTACAGGAAAAAGACAACCCCATCAAAAAGTGGGCAAAGGATATGAAGAGGCACTTCTCAAAAGAAGACATTTATGTGGCCAACAAACATATGAAAAAAAGCTCAACATCACTAATCATCAGAGAAATGCAAATCAAAACCACAAGAAGATACCATCTCATACCAGTTAGAATGACGATCATTAAAGTCAGGAAACAATAGATGCTGGAGAGGATGTGGAGAAACAGGAACACTTTCACAGTGTTGGTGGGAACGTAAATTAGTTCAACCATTGTGGAAGACGATATGGCGATTCCTCAAGGATCTAGAACCAGAAATACCATTTGACCCAGCAATATCATTACTGGGTATATACCCAAAGGAATATAGATCATTCTACTATAAAGACACATGCACACGTATGTTTACTGCAGCACTGTTCACAATGGCAAAGACTTGGAACCAACCCAAATGCCCATCAACGATAGACTGGATAAAGAAAATGTGGTACATATACACCATGGAATACTATGCAGCCATAAAAAGGAACGAGTTTATGTCCTTTGCAACGACATGGATGAAGCTGGAAGCCATCATCTTCGGCAAACTAACACAAGAATAGAAAACCAAACACTACATGTTCTCACTCGTAAGTGGGAGTTGAACATTGAGAACACATGGACACAGGGAGGGAAACAATACACACCAGGGCTCGTTAGGAAATGGGGGGGTGAGGGAGGGAATTTAGAGGACAGGTGCAGCAAACTACCACGGCGCATGTATACCTATGTAACAAATCTGCACATTCTGCACATGTATCCTGTTATTTTTTTTAGAAGAAATTAAAAAAACACTTCCTTATGTTCAACAGATAAAAACCACAATAGAGAAAAATTCCCAACTCACCACATATTCACAAGTTTTAATATTCTCCTGAGCCAGACTGTATTCTGCCCATATTATCTCTAATCCATTCAAAGAAGCTGGAGTAGTAAAGCACCCTTCATCCAACACTTGTATAGCATCTGAAAGGTCTTTTCCGAAACGGACACTGATGTCGACATGCCTATTTTTAAAAACATCAAAAAGAAGAAGATCAATAAATTAGAAAGCTGGTGTGAGAAAAAGTTACACTTTAATAGTAATGGTCTAAAAGTTAGTGTTTACAGCACTGGCTTTGAAGGGGTACCTTTTAAAACTTTATATAAAATCATGTATAACTTATTTTTTTCAGTCCACATATTTTTATGCAGACATGCATAATTTAATATAAACTTTTAATTAAAAAACAACTGTGGATATACTAATTTCATGACATAAAAAATATGAAAAAATTAAAAATTTTTTAAACTATAAAAAAGGCAACTTCGAAAGTCTGCAGAATTTGAAATGGTATCAAATGAACCTTCAATTTTTGGTCTACAGATAATTTACAATGTCTAAGAGAAAAGACATATAAGAAACCCATAGTATCATAGGCTAATTGATCTAAACAAGAGTTAAGTTCCTATGGCATATTTTTAGTCACAAAAACAGCACTTCCAAATAAAGACCCAAAACATTTCTAATATTAAACACTAAAATATACGTGTCCTATACACACATTTAAGAAAAAGCAATAAAAACAACAAAGATAATTATTTACCCAAACTTTGGTGAATGAGTGGGTGACAGTAGGGTTAAATCAAGGAATAAATGTTTGCAAGCGAAAATTCTAAGAAGCGCCCCCTACCACCACAGGTTCAAAAACAAACAATAACAAACGTAGTGGGCTTGCTGAATGCTTTCATGTCACATCGCTTATTGCAAAGGCATCTGTATGATTCTTGCATACTTCACAAATTTTTATTTTATGATAATCTGTATATACTCATTCACTCATTCATTTTCCAACCCGCTTATTCCAATCCAGGGGTTGCAGGTGGCCACATCTATCTCAGCAGCTCAGAGCATTAAGGTAGGAACCAATCCTGGACATGACACCCTTGCATTGCAGGGCACACTCACCCTCATCCACACACTCACTCATACTGGGACAATACAGACACACCAATTCACCTAAGTGGGATGTGAGAGGAAACCACAGTATTCCAAGAAAACCACCCAAATATGGAGAGAATGTGCAAACTCCACACAGACAGTGGGGCTCCAGCTAGGAATTGATTTTCTTCTTCAATGTTATAATGAAATAATGTTGAATGAAAACACGTTATTCAAGGACATGCTGTACTCCTGAAAATAACCCCAAGCAAAATAACTGGATATGGTAGTTTCCCATCAAACTATCACTTAAAAGCTATGTTGCTGTTTTTTCAATTTCAGTCTCAGTTATAACCTTAGAACACTCTAGCTCCAAGCAGTGACAGTAGAAACCTGACAAAAACAGTATAAAATTCATCTCAGAAATAACTATCTTTCTCTCTTTGAAGTCATAAAAATACAAAGGTTAAATTTTAAAGCAAAAATGGCAAGCACACAATTTAAACAAAGCACCAATTGATTAAAAATTAGTTTAAAATATCCTTCTGAAAAATATGCTTTTACCTACCTCATTTCTTTCAGTATTTCCATCTTAGCTGCCAGATTTTTCATTCTGGTATCTATATAGGTCTTCAGAGTGTATTCTAAGTGGTTAGTCAAATCCACAGCAGCTGCCTTCTCTTGCTGAAACAAAGAATAAACACATTCTCGTGAGACCCAAATAGGAAACTGTATTTCTGCTATAATTTAAATAATTTTTGGCTGGGCACAGTGGCTCATGCCTGTAATTCCAACACTTTGGGAGGCCAAGGAGGACAGATGGTTTGAGCTCAGAAGTTTGAGACCAGCCTGGACAATGTGGCAAAACCCCGTCTCTACGAAAAAATACATGGGTGTGGTGGTGCATGCCTGTAGCTTAGCTACTTAGGAGGCTAAGGTGAGAGGATGGCTTGAGTTAGGGAGGCAGAGGTTGCAGCGAGGCGAGATTGTGCCACAGCACTCCAGCCTGGGCAACAAAGCCAGACTCTGTCTCAAAAAAAAAAAAAAAAATTCCAAATTTGAATAAAATATAATAGAATCTAGCTGCTGATTTTTATTTCAAATTAATATTTATTTTTAACTGCTTCAATTAAATAAAGAATGAAGGCTTCAATGATTCTAAACAAACTATACATTATCACTCCTGGCACAGCTTTTTGGAATTTATTCATTCATCATCTTTTTTTGGTGCTATGTCTTTTTTTAAATTGTGGTAAAATATACATAACATAAAATTTATCATTTTAACCATTTTAAAATGTATAGTTCTGTTGCATTAGGTACATTCATATTGTTGTGCAATCATCAGCACCATCCATCTCCAGAACTTTTTCATCTTTCCTAATTAAAACTCTATCTCTCAAACACTACTCCCTATCTCCCCTCCCCCTCCCCCAAGCCCCCAGAAACCACCATTCAACTTTGGGTCCCTACAGATTTGACTGCTCTAGGAACTTCGAATAAAAATACTATATGCAAATATGCCTGTATTAATGTCAAGCAACAACTCCCTTTGGCACAGGGAGTATTTTCTAAGCAATAAAGAGAGACATTTCATAAAGATAAATGGGTCAATTCATCAAAAAGATCCAACAATTCTAAATGTATATTTGCATAATAATAGAACTTTTTTTAAAAAAATCACAAAATCTAATAGAACAAAAGGGAATAAAACAGACAAAACTACAATAATATTTAGATTTCAGTACTTCTCTCTCAGTAGTTGATTGAATAAGTAGAGAAAGAATCTGTCAGGGTCTAAAAGACTTGAAGTCCACTATCAACCAATTCAGCCTAATATTTATAAAACACTTCACCCAACAGCTATAGGATACACATAACTTTTAAAAATGCATGAAACATTTCCAGGCAGACCATATGCTGGGTAATGAAACAAATGTCAATCAACTTAAAAGGACTGAAACCATTCAGAGTATGCTCTCTGATACCAATAAAATTAAATTAGAAATCAGTAACAAAATATATTGCAGGAACCACTGAGTATTTATCCAAAAGAAAGGAATTAACATGCACTCCTAAGTTTACTGCAGCACTATCACAACATCAAAGACATGGAATCAACCTAAGTGTCCATCAGTGGATCAAGAAAATGCAGTATATACAATGGGATACTATTCAGCCATAAAAAAAGAATGAAATCCTGTCATTTGCAGCAACATGGATGGAACTGGATGTCATTCTATTAAGTGAAATAAGCCAGGCACAGAAAGAAAATATTTTACATTCTTGTTAATATGTAGGAGCTAAAAAAAGTTGATCTCATGGAGGTAGAGAGTGGAATGATAGATACCAGAGGCTAGGAAGGATGTGGTAGGGATAGAAGAATAAAGAAAGTTTGGTTAATAAGTACAAACACGCAGTTAGATAGAAGGGATAAGTTCTAATGTTTGATAGCAGATGACTACAGTTAATGATGTATTGTATATTTCAAAATAGCTAGAAGAGAGGTCTTGAAATGTTCCCAACACACAGAAATGATAAATCCTTGAGGTGATCGATATCCTAAATACCTACACTTGATCATTACACATTCTAGGCATATGACAAAATATCACACATACACCAGTAAACATATACAAATACTATGTACCAAGAAAAAAATAAAATGTATATTGGGGAAATCTTCAAATTTGTGGAAATTAAGCAACATGCTTCTAAGTAGCTCATGGTTCAAACTAGGATTCACGAGGAAATGTTGTAAATATGCTTCACTAAATAATAAACAAAACATATCAAAATTTGTGGTTTGTAAATAAAGCAATGCTTAGAAAGAAATCTTTATCTCTAAAAGTATATTACAAAAGAACAAAAGATTTAAAACAATAATATGGGGACTTCAGGTTTTGGTTTCACATGTAAGGAGCCTGGAAGTCACTATGCCATCCTAACACATATTAAAAAGCTGAACAAAGTGGAAATCAACAACTTTTCTCAGATCTGTAAGAAAAGGTGAGATAGGTAGGGTCACTGGGAAAACTGCTACTCCTAAAATTAAACAGACAGACAGGGATACAGAGAATCACAACATACTGGAACAGAAATTTCTACAGGAAGCAGTGCCTAGATAGGAAAACCTGGACTGCTGACAAACTGCTGGAAACTAGGTGTGGGCACGACTGAGAGTTGAAAGCTCCAGGGGCATCCAGTCATGGGGGCCCCCATGCTTTTGTGAATTTTACCTCCAGGAGCTAGATCAGGTTCTCACAGTAAATACAGTATCATACATATCATCGCAGTAAAATCCCCTCATGTTTCCAGCAGTGGCGGGGGGGGAAACAAACCATTCTGAAATATCCCAGAGCACTCTGTACTTCTTAATAAGATCTACCCTGAAAAGAAACCAGTTAAGCAGAGCCTAACCTGCTGAGGTTTCATCAAAGCCTAACTGACCTGGGGGATGGAAATATCCAACTCCAGCCAGCTCTATCCTTCCACATGGGAGGAGGTAAATACCCAATTCCATCCTACTCTAGCCATCCTATCCCACCTAAAGGGGGAGGAAAAAATTGAGAAATGCTTGTGAATTCATGGGCCAGAGACATAGACTCACAAAAAGACTGAGACCTAATCACAGGACTATACAACACATCACTCCCGCGTACATCTTACAATTACATTATTAAAGACATATTTAAACCAATTGCTTTTTTACCTGATATATCATATACAGTTATCAAGAAAAAATTACAGCTAGGCACAGTGGCTAATGCCTATAATTCCAGCACTTTGGGAGGCTGAAGTGGGTCAACTGCTTGAGCCCAGGAGTTCAAGACCAGCCTGGGCAACAAGACAAAATGGTCTCTACCCCCAAAAAAAAAAAAAAAGCAAAAATTAGCCAGGCATGGTGGTGCACACCTGTAGTCCCAGTTACTCAGGAGGCTGAGGTGGGAGGATCACTTGAGTCCGGGAGGTGGAGGTTGCAGTGAGCCAAGATCACGCCACTGCATTCCAGACTAGACAACAGGGCAAGACCCTGTCTCAAAAAAAAAAAAAAAACAAGAAAAGAAAAGAAAAGAAAAAATTACAAGGCATACTCTAGGGCAAAAACTACAGTTTGAAGAAAGAAAACATTCAGAACCAGATGTAGACGGGATGTTGGAATTATCAGACAATGAATTTAAAACAATTATGATTAATATGCTACGCATCATAATGGAGAAAGTAGATAGCATGTAGTAACAACAGACGGGCAATGTAAGCAAAGAGATGGAAATCCTAAGAATGAACCAAAAAGAAATGTTAGATATCAAAACACTGTAACGGAAATCAAAAATGACTTCAACATCCCTCTATCAGAGGTGGACAGATCTAGCATGGAAAAATCAGTAAAGATACATTTGAACTCAACACCAATAAATTGGATATAATTAACATCTATAGTGTACAGTTGATAATTAACATCTACAGACTACAGCTGACTCTTGAACAAAGCAAGTGTTAGGGGTGCCAACCCCCAACAGTCTTGAAAATTTATGTATAACTTTAGATTCCACAGAAAGCTAATTACTAATAGCCTACTGTTGACCAGAAGCTTTATTGATAAGACAAGCCATCAGTTAGCAAGTATTCTGTATGTTATATGTATTATATACTGTATTCTCACAGTAAAGTAAGCCAAAAAAAAGAAAATGTTATTAGGAAAAGCATAAAGAGAAGATATATTTACTATTCATTAAATGGAAGTGGATCATCATTAAGGTCTTCATCCTCCCTCATCTTCACATTGAGCAGGCTGAGGACAGGGAGGAAGAGGAGAGGTTGGTATTCCTATCTCACCGATGGCAGAGAGGGAAGAAGTGGAAGGGGAGGCTGGAGAGGCAGGCATAACTGATGTAACTTTTATTTAAAATATCCACATATAAGTGGACCCATGTAGTTCAAACTCATGTTCAAGGGTGAACTATGCTTCATCCAATAACAGCAGAATATACATTCCTGTCAAGATCACATGGAAGATTCACCAAAATACGCCACCACATTCTGGGCCATAAAACACACCTTAACAGAGTTAAAAGAATAGAAACCGTACAATGTCTGCTCTCAGGCCACAGTAGAATAAGCTAAAAATCAATAACAGAAAGATAATTGAAAAAAATCTCAAAACATGTAAGGATTAACCAACATTACTAATAACACATGAGTCAAAGAAGAAATCTCATGACAAATTTAAAAATACTTTCAAGATAAAAATACAACTTACCAAAATTTGTAGAACGCAGCACAGGCAGTGCATTGACAAAAATTTACAGCATTGAAATGCGTATATATTAGAAGTGAAAAGAAACTAATATTAATAATCTAAGTTTGCTTCTTAGGAAATTAAATCTCCTTTAGCAAATTAAATCTTAATATGCAAAAATAGGAAAGTATAAATCAATCAATTTGAAAACAGGAAATCAGGAGAGAAAAACCAGCAAAACCAAAAGTTGATACTTTGAAAAGATGAATAAAATTGGTAACACTATAACCAGGCTAATAAAGGAAAAAAAGACAGAGGACACAAATTGCCAGTATCAGAAATGAAAGAGAGGGCATCAGTACAGATCCAATGGAAATTAAAACTTAAAAATATTATGAACAACTCAAGTCCCACAAATTTGATAACCTAGATTAAATGAACTAATTCTTTGAAAGACGTAATCTGCCAAAGCTCACACAAAAATAATCTGAACAGGCCGGGCATGGTGGCTCACACCTGTAATCCCAGCACTTTGGGAGGCCGAGGCGGGTGGATCACGAGGTCAGGAGATTGAGACCATCCTGGCTAACATAGTGAAACCCCGTCTCTACTAAAAATACAAAAATTAGCCGGGCATGGTGGCGGGCGCCTGTAGTCCCAGCTGCTTGGGAGGCTGAGGCAGGAGAATGGCGTGAACCCAGGAGGTGGGGCTTGCAGTGAGCAGACATCGCGCCACTGCACTCCAGCCTGGGCAACAGAGTGAGACTCCGTCTCCAAAAAAATAAAAATAAAAAAATAATCTGAACAGACTTATTTCTATTTTTAAAATTGAATCAACCATTAATAACCTTCCAAAACAGAAAATGTCAGGCCTATATAAGTTCACTGGTAAATTCTACCAAACATTTAAGGAAAAAACTATACCAATTCTCAGTCATTGAATAGAAGCAGAGGAAATACTTCCAAACTCATTCCATGAGGCCAGCATCACCCTAATACTGAAATCAGAAAACAACATTACACAAAAAGAAAGCCACAAACCAATATATGTCACGAACATATATGTAAAAACCCTCCAAAAAATTAGAAAACTGAATCCAACAATGTATGAAAAGAAACATAGTTGATGCCTGAACAACACAGGTTTGAACTGCACAGATCCACTTACAAACAGATTTTTCTCAAAAAGTTACACAAGGTGTGCCTGCCTGGTACACCTTGTATAACTTATTGAGAAAAAAAAGTAAAAAGTTTAATTTATTTTAAAATAATTTTAACTTATTTTTAAATAAGTTAGTAAGTTAAATAATTTTAACTTATTTTAAAATTAAATAATATTAAGTTAAAATTATTTAACTTATTTATCCCTCCACCTCTTCCATCTCTGTCACCTGTGAGACAAGACCAACCCATGCTCTTCCTCCTCAGCCTACTCAACATGAAGACAATGAGGATTAAGACTTAATAAAACGTAAATACATTTCTTCTTCCTTATGATTTTCTTAATAATATTTTCCCTTCTCTAGATTACTTAATTGTAAAGATACAGTATACAATAAATATAACACACAAAAACGTGTTTGTTAGATTACATTATTTCAGACAGGGGCTTCAAGATGACTCACTAGAGGCCACTGTTATTTGCCTCCCTCTGAGAAAAGAGCCAAAATAGCAAGTAGATAATCACACTTCAAATAGATCATCTAAGAGAGAAATGGGACTTCAACAGAGAAGTGACAGGAAACACATAAAGGAAGGAAGGAGAAAGAAGAGAAGCAGCCTTCTTGGCTGGGAGCCTGGACAGGCTCCTCAATGCATAGAAGGGGTAAATGAGAGACCCCAGTGGCCCATATTCTCACTGCAAACTCCTGCAATTCTAGCCACGAAAGGGACCTTTGATCCTCATGTGCTCTGAGACACAGAGAGCTGCCCAGAGACTACACAAGTATATTGCTCCATACAGGGAGCTCATGTTGGGTCCCATACACCCACCCCCCAATCCTAAGCAACTACAGCATGCTGCCATTTTGTGTGCCCAGCCCCAAGTAGACTGCATCATGGTCTAGGGCCCAACATCCCCTACAACTCCACAACCCTGGAGCAAAGCTGACATCTCCTGCCCACAGCCACCACTGCAGCTGGCTGCAAGTACCCGCGAAGAGGTAGGAGCCACTGGCAGCAACCCTGTTCCCTACGGCAGAGGAACAGCCATACATCTTGATGGCCCTGAGGAAATGCTATCCTGCTTGCAGCCACCACCACTACTGGCTGCTGCTGCCACAGAATCAAAACACAAGCCACTGGCAGCCACTCTACGCCCAAGAAGGGCAACCATGCATTTTCACGGACCCAGAGGAAAGGCTACCCCATCCCACAACCACCATTGTCACTAGCTGCTGCCACACCTGAGGCCAAACTGCAAGCCACTGGCAGGAACCCCAACCCCACCAGCAGAAGGGTAGCCATGCATCTTCACATGACCCAAGGGAGGGCTACCCAACCCAGAACCTGAGGCAATGCTAGCTGCTGCTGCCACCAGTGTCAAAGTGTGAGCCATTTACAGTGACCCCGCTGCCCTAAGCAGCAAAGCTGCTGCACATTTTCACACACCCAAAGGACAAACTTTCCCACCTGCAGCTGCTGCCCTTGCAAACTGCCTCCACTGGAGCAAATGTAAGAGCAAAGTACATGTTCACCAGCCACCTCCACACATCTGCTGCCAGTGAAAGCAACCTCACCCTCCCCAGTGACAGGGCTGCAAAGCAACCACTGCCACCCCCACTCAAGCATTCCACTGGAAACCTGGGCATCATCCTGCACCTGCCTACCGCAATCAGAGTCTGCACTCACCACCTGGACCTGAGGACAGGTCCACTCTACCCAGCTCCATAACCCCTCTCACCAGTGTCTGAGCACACCACCCAAGGCCCTGGGTATCACCCAGCCCAGTCCACCATTGGTACCTCAACACTCCTCCCAAGGGCCCAAGGTCAGGCCTACCCAACCTGCCACTACCAACACAGCTGGCATCCACTTGCACATGCTACCTGTGGGCCTGACTGACCCACTCAGCACATCACAGCCAGCACTAACACCAGTGTAGACCACTTGGAAAGCACAGGGTTGTCAAGCCATTGCTACTATCACCCACATCGTGCCCACTGCCTAAGAGCCCAAGAACACACTCACCTGTCTGGCCCACCACTGCTGCTACTAGCACCCAAGCAAGACTCCTGGAAACCCAAGCACTGGCCAACCTGGGCTTTCTAACAGTAGTGCCAGCATGTGCTGTCCTGGAAACCAAGGACAAGCATACTTGGCCTGGCATTGCCACCATTGGGGTCTGAGGACTGGCAAACATGGCATTCCTTTACCCAGCAAAACTTCTCCGCAGCCCCCACTAACAACCACACCCTAAGCCATTGAGGAAATCACAAACGCCACTGACTATTCACATCCAAAGGAATCATACAAAGACTATGCTACTGCATGAACCCAGAATTAAAGCCAAAGGGCCCTACCCAACCAACACCATGGGTACATCTTCAGGAAAAGATCCTCCCCTACAAAATTATTTCCAAAAAATTGGAAGAAGCAACTGTTACACCCAATGCACAAATATCAATGTAACAAAAGAAACATGAGAAGACAAGAAAATATAACTCCAAAGGAAGTTAGTAATTCTCCACCAACAGATCATAATCAAAAAGAAATTCTGAAATTCCAGATGAAAAATCCAAAATACTGATTTTAAATAAGTTCAGTGAGATAAAAGATAATTCTGAAAAATAATATAAAGAAATCAGAAAAACAATTCAGGTTATAAATGAGAAATTTACCAAATAGGTATCATTAAAAAAAAAAAAAGAAATCCTAGAACTAAAGGATTCACCGAATGAAATACAAAATACATTCCAAAGCTTCAACAATATACTAGATCTAGGCCTGGCATGATGGCTCACGCCTATAATCCCAGCACTTTGGGAGGCTGAGGCAGGAGGATCACTTGAGCTCAGGGGTTGAGAAGAGCCTGGTCAACATAACAAGACCTCATCTCTAATAAAAATTTAAAATATTAGCTCAGCATGGTGGCATGCACCTGTAGTCCCAGCTACTCAGGAAGCTGAGGCAGGAGCACTGATTGAGCACAGAAGTTGGAGGCTGCAGTGAGCTGTGATTGTGCCACTGCACTCTATCCTGGGCAACAAAACAAAACCCTGCCTCAAAACAAAACAAACAACAACAAAAAATACTAGATCAAACAGAAGAAAGAATTTCAGAACTTAAGACAAGACTTTTGAACTAACCCAGTCAATCAAAAATTTAAAAAAAGAACAAAAAAGAATGAAAAAAGCCTACAAGACATATGAGACACCACACTGCAAACAAGTATTTGAATTTTCAATGTCACAGAAAAAGAGAAAAAAAGGGATCAAAAACTTCTTATATTTAATAAAATAGCTGAAAACTTCCCAAGTCTAGCAAGAGATTTAGACATTCAAATAAAAGAAGTTCAGAGATGCCTAAACAGATAAAATTCATAAAGGTCTTCTCCACAGCATATTACAGTCAACCTGTCAAAAGTCAAAGACAAAGATATTTCTAAAAACAGAAGGAAAAAGGCGTGTCATCAATTATAAGGAAACCCCCATCAGATTAACTGTAAATTTCTCAGTAAAATCCTTACAGGAGAGAATGAAACAATATATTCAAAGCGCTGAAAGGAAACTGCTAGTCAAGAATACTATATCCAGCAAAGTTGTCTTTCATGAATGAAGAAGTAGTAGTCTTTCCCAGGCAAGCAAAAGCTGAGGGAATTCATCAGCACTAGACCATCCCTACAAGAGATGCTTAAGGGAGGGCAATACACAATCTGTGATCATAAAAACACATGAAAGTTAAAAACCCAGCTGGACGCAGTGGCTCACGCCTGTAATCCCAGCACTTTGGGAGGCCGAAGTGGGCAGATCACCTGAGGTCAGGAATTCAAGACCAGCCTGGCCAACATGGTGAAACCCCGTTTCTACTAAAAAGTACAAAAATTAACTGGGCATGGTGGCAGGTCCTTATAATCCCAGCTACTCAGGGGGCTGAAGTAGGAGAACTGCTTGAACTTGGGAGGTGGAGGTTGCAGAGAGCCAAGACCGTGCCATTGCACTCCAGCCTGGGCGACAGAGCAAGACTCTGTCTCAAAAAAAAAAAAAAAAAAGTATAAAACCCACAGAGTAAAGCAAACACACAAGTAAAACAAGAAAGGAATCAAATGTTCCCACTACAGAAACACACCAAACCACAATGATAAACAATGAGTGAGAGAGAAAATAATCAAGATGGCCAACTAGATAGTGTGTGCCTTTTCCACAGGGAAGAATCAGAAATAGTTAAGTAGACACATTTTGAACAGACTAAGAATGAATATTTGGATTCACCAGAGAAGAGAGAGAAAGCCCCAGAAGTAAGAAAGGAGAGGGTTTGAGGAAGCATGCCTAGCCAGAAACCAGCTGAGAGCTGGGAAAGGCTACTGTACGCAGGGAAACAGTAAGAGAAAAATCCCCAGAGCTCTGAAACAAGCATTTACAACATTGGCTATAGGAGAAACCCTCGATCCACTAGGGCCTCACACCTCACATATGGAGCTGCCTAAAGATCACACAAAGACATTGTTCCAGAAAAGGAATCCACACAGAATCCCACAGGCACCCAAGTCTGGAGCAGCCTCAGCAGGGAGCCACTTTAAGAGTTTAGATACCAGGGACCTATAGACATGGCTGCAGCCACTGTACTGCTCCAAAAAAGGAGAGGGAGAACAAGCATGCCCATGCACCCCCAGGAGGATACTTGTCACCCTGCTACAAGCTGCTGTTGAGACTGAGACATAAGTAGATCATACTCCATACACCTTCTTGCTCATGCTGCTTGGCTGGGTGGTGACTCATTCTCTCTAGCCCCATGCCCAAGGCACCATTTTCTGAGTTCAATGCTGGGCTGAGTCCTGCCCTTGGCCTGAGTTTGGGCTGACACAGCCCCAGTCACTGCCCAGCAAAGGACCAACAGGGAAACCAGGCTACCCCACACATATCTATAGAATACCCACAGCCCTGCAATGGGCTGCTGTGAAACTGAGACACAATCAGACTACACTTCCCACAGCTTTTTGCCCATGCTGTTCACCAGGGTGGTGCCCCAGTATCCCAGGGCACAGGCCAAAAGTGTCACTTGGAGAGTTTAATTCTGAGCTGTGGCCCAACTTTGGCCTGACTTTAGGCTGACATGACTGCAGCTGCTGCCCAGCCAAGAAGGGGCAGAAAAGCCAGGCTCTCCTATGCACACCTGGGACAACACCCAAAGCTCTGCTATAGGCTGCTGTGAGACTTACACTTGAGTAGAACACACTCCCCACTGCTTCATATCCACACTGCTCACCTGAGAGGGGCCCCACCCTCTCTAGTTACAATACTACAGATGGCACCCTTATGAGAGTTTAGAGACATTGTTT
This sequence comes from Homo sapiens, assembly GCF_000001405.40. Taxonomy (NCBI): domain Eukaryota; kingdom Metazoa; phylum Chordata; class Mammalia; order Primates; family Hominidae; genus Homo; species Homo sapiens. Next base: position 23,741,665 of record NC_000007.14, on the reverse strand, counting down.
GATGCCTGGCAGCAGTAGCCACAGCAGACATTCTAGTCTCTGGTCAGAGACTGGGGCACCTGCTCTGGAACAAAGGAGTCTCTTTGTTACCTGTGTCCCTGAAATTATTGGTAGAGCTTGATACTAGGTGAAATATCTGATTAATGATAGTTTCATCAGCCAATCTTGATGAGGGTGATTCAGGTTACATGAGAGTATACATACGTCAAAATTTATCAAGTTCTACACAGTATTTGTGCATTTTTACTATATGTAAATGATATCTCAATATAGCATTAGAAAATAATATTTCCTAACCCTATCAATTAGACATTCTATAACCTAGAAGCAAAGACTAAAGCAATAGCTATATATATCCCTAGCACCCAAAGTCTGGTATCTAAATACCTCTTGCCACTAAAAAGAACTATAGCTTGGAGAAATAACTTTTCCAGGATTAGGGTAGGAAATGCAGATGAGTATGGAACATCTTGTGACACCAGAAAACAAGGAAGCTATCAGACTACTGGAATCACATCAAAAGGACAGAGCAACAACTTAAAGAGACTTCCAAAGAGTATAAGATGGGCATCAAAAAGAATAATGGCTGCAGTGAATTAAAACACTCAAATATGTTTAAAATTCATTAGTTCATAATAATACTTAAGGAGAACAAATAACCCTTGCTGGTCAACACTGGACAATCCTAGGGAATAAACTTATTTTTCTGAAAACATGTACATATAAAGGGAATGAATAAAGTATTTATCTTGCCTTTACTGAACAAACTAGGCTTCAGCATGACTAAATAGTTGAAATTTTCCAGCTAAGAAATACAGCACCTGGCCAAAAAAAATGATGAGTTAATGTCCTTTGTAGGGACATGGATGAAGCTGGAAACCATCATTCTCAGCAAACTATCGCAAGGACAAAAAACCAAACACCGCATGTTCTCACTCATAGGTGGGAATTGAACAATGAGAACACATGGACACAGGAAGGGGAACATCACACATCAGGGACTGTTGTGGGGTGGGGGGAGTGGTGAAGGATAGCATTAGGAGATATACCTAATGCTAAATGACGAGTTAATGGGTGCAGCACACCAACATGGCACATGTATACGTATGTAACAAACCTGCACGTTGTGCACATGTACCCTAAAACTTAAAGTATAATAATAAAAACAAAAAAAAGAAATACAGCACCTGATGAAAACATGCTTGCAGACAACAACCATCGATGGCTGCAAAAATCATTAGGTCACAGATTAATGAAAAACTTAATAATGGTGATTTATCCATTATGAATATCAGCTGTTATGATGTCAAAAGGACACAGAAGCTAATTTAAAAAGACTTCAAAGGGGATAATGTGTGCATCAAAAAGAAAAAAAATGGCTTCAGTGGATTAAAACATGTCAAATGTGTTTAAAGTTCATTAATTTAGCAAGGCATGGTGGCTCGCCTGTAGTCCCAGCAACTCTGGAGCCAAAAGAGGAAGGATTGCTTGAGCCCAGAAGTTTGAGACCAGCCTAAGCAACACAGCAAACCCTGACTGTACAGAAAATACAATTCCATGCTCGTGGACAGGAAGAATCAATACCATGAAAATGGCCACACTGCCCAAAGTAATTGATAGATTCAATTCTATTCCCATCAAACTACCACTGACTTTCTTCACAGAACTAGAAAAAACTACTTTAAATTTCATATGGAACCAAAAAGAGCCCGTATAGCCAAGACAAACCTAAGCAAAATGAACAAACCTGGAGACATCACGCTATCTGACTTCAAACTATACTACAAGGCTACAGTAACCAAAACAGCATGCTACTGGTACCAAAACAGATATAAAGATCAATGGAACAGAACAAAGGCCTCAGAAATAACACCACACATCTACAACCATCTGATCTTCGACAAACCTGACAAAAACAAGCAATGGGGAAAGGATTCCCTATTTTATAAACGGTGTTGGGAAAACTGGCTAGCCATATGAAGAAAACTGAAACTGGACCCCTTCCTTACACCTTATACAAAAATTAACTCAAGATGGATTAAAGACTTAAATGTAAAACCCCAAACAGTAAAAACCCTAGAAGAACACCTAGGCAATACCATTCAGGACATAGGCATGGGCAAGGACTTCATAACTAAAACACCAAAAGCAATGGGAACAAGAGCCAAAATAGACAAATGGGATCTAATTAAACTAAAGAGCCTCTGCACAGCAAAAGAAACTACCATCAGAGTGTACAGGCAACCTACAGAATGGGAGAAAATTTTTGCAATCTGTCCATCTGACAAAGGGCTAATATCCAGAATCTACAAGGAACTTAAAATAAATTTATAAGAAAAAAACAACACCATCAAAAAGTGGGCAAAGAATATGAACAGGCACTTCTCAAAAGAAGACATTTATGCGGCCAAAAAACTATGACAAAAAGCCCATCATCACTGGTCATTAGAGAAATGCAAATCAAAACCACAATGAGATACCATCTCACTCCAGTTATAATGGCGATCATTAAAAAGTCAGGAAACAACAGATGCTGGAGACGATGTGGAGAAATAGGAACACTTCTACACTGTTGGTGGGAGTATGAATTAGTTCAACCATTGCGGAAGACAGTGTGGCAATTCCTCAAGGATCTAGAACAAGAAATACCATTTGACCCAGCAATACCATTACTGGGTATATACCCAAAGGATTATAAATCATTCTACTATAAAGACATATGCACACATATGTTTATTGCAGCACTATTTACAATGGCAAAGACTTGGAACCAACCCAAATGCCCATCAATGATAGACTGGATAAAGAAAATGTGGGCTGGGCACAGTGGCTCATGCCTGTAATCCCAGCACTTTGGGAGGCAGAGGTGGGTGGATCACCTGAGGAGTTCGAAACCAGCCTGGCCAACATGGTGAAACCCCGTCTCTACTAAAAATACAAAAATTAGCCAGACATGGCGGCGGGTGCCTGTAATGCCAGCTATCAGGAGGCTGAGGCAGGAGAATCGCTTGAACCTGGGAAGCAGAGGTTGCAGTGAGCCGAGATCATGCCATTGGGGATATAAATAAGGCAAGTTTGAGTTTAAAAAAAAAAAGAAAAGAAAACACAAAAATTAGCCAGGAATGGGGCACATACCTATAGTCCGAGCTAGGCAGGAGACTGAAGTGAGTGGATTGCTTGAGTCCGGGAGGCAGAAGTTGCAGTGAGCAGAAATTACACCACTGCACTCCAGCCTAAGCAACAGAGCAAGATGTTGCAAGACTGTCTCAAAACAAACAAACAAACAAAACCAAAATACTCTGAATGAGATTTGGGGAGCTTCTGGGTTGATAAACACATCCATGACCTGGGAGGGTGGCACACTCAGAAAGGGCATGGAAGCTCTGTACCTCCTGCCCCAGTACCTTGCCTTATATATATCTTCCATTTATTTGGCTGTTTCTGAGTTATATCCTTAATAATAAAACTGTAAGTATAGCACTTCCGTGAGTTCTGTGAGTAGTTCTAGTGAATTATCTAACCTGAGGGAGGGTCATGGGAAACCCCGAATTTATAGTGGGGGGGTAGATATGCAAGTAGCCTGGGGACCCCATTTGTGGCTGGCATCTAAAGTAGAGGCAGCTTTATGGAACTGAGTCCTTAACTTGTAGGGTATATGCTAAGTACAGGTAATGTAGTGTCAGAATGGAGCTGAATTATTAGACACCCAGTTGGTGTCAGAGAATTGGAGGAACTAGTGCAGGAACAACAGATTTGGTGTTAAACACACATACACACACACACACACACACACACACACACACACTTATCAACCACACTGTATCCCTGGGGGGGAAAATTTCTGAACTAAAATCTGAGCAAATCTGGAGACGTGATTACCATAAAAGAAGACACACGTGGAGATCAAGAATCCAGTTAAGCAACACAAGGAAACACATTAAAGCAATTTAAGAGAAATATCAACCAAAATGCAATGTATGTGCCTAACTGGGATCCTGATTGGAGAAAACTACAATCAACATGCCTACAATCATGTGGCATTCATGACACAATATGGCAAATTTGAATACTGCCTGGATATAAATAATATTAAGGAATTATTGTTTACTTTTAAGTATGAATAGTATTATTATTACGGTTTTTTAAAGTCCTTTTCTATTAGTCATACATACTGAAGACTATGAAATAATATGAATGGGACTTCTTCTAAAATAATCCAGGAAGTGTAAATTTTTAAAAAGATTGGCCATGTGTTATAATTGTATAAACTGGGTGATGGGCACATGAGAATTAATTATTCAAGTCTCTCTCCTTTTAGAATGTTTGAAAATTGCCTTAGTTGAAAAGTTTTTAGAACATAAAGGGAAATGTAAATGAGAAATTATTAAATTTGCAAACATCCAATGAAATCCAAAGATGATTAGTCTGGAGTATATGAAAAAAAATTCACCTATAAACAAATACAGGGATTAGCAAAGGAGAGAATGAGGTGGGGAAGGAAAGGAAAGTGACAGAAAAATAAATAGCAGCAGATGAGTACACAGATTTCCCAGTTGGACACTCTTCACCTTAAGCCACTGAACATACCTGCAGCTCCTGGGCAATCTGCTCTACTTTCAATTCTAACGCCTTATAACTTTCAAGAAGAGCGTCCTTCTCTGTTTTAAGTTTTTCATTTTCTTCAATCAGTTTCTGGTCCTGCTTAATTTTTTCCAGGCTGACGTTAGACCCTAAATTAAAGTCACCAACAGCCAAACTTTCCCTATAAAAACAAATTCATTTATTTTGACAAACAAACTGTATAAGGCTGACACAGAAAACAAATCTAAGTTATCTTGGTCCTTTTATGCCACAATATATCTGAAAGTTAATTTTGAAAACTAAAATATTTACCTAGTTCATAATATTAAAAAATAATTTAATGCAAACAAGATTTTATAACTGAAGTCGTAATTCAATAATGCCTCTAATTCTCAAAAAAAAATATTCCAACTTCTTCATAGCACTATCAACTACAGAGAACAAAGTAAAAAGCATTTCTGTATTAGTTTTTTTCCAGTCCCTCCTGTGATCCCCCCCCCGTGATCCCCCCGTCCTGTGATCCCCTGTGATCCCCCCGTCCACCGCCTCCCACCCCCATTTGACAGTTTAGCTCCTAAAGCACTGATGAGATCCCATCAAACAGCTATGTCATCCAAGATACAGCATCATGGCTTGGACCATGATATAGAAGACTGTTTTGATACATATAAATATCAAATCTGGATTTCTGCTTCAAGTTGATAATTTAAAATTATCTAAAAAGTAAAGTATTCGGAATAATCAAACTCCATCACAAGTTTTCACAAGAAGAAGAAAGAGCCTCACTTTTATTAAAAAAGTAAAGGCAATTTCCTGAAACTCTTTAAAATATTCCTAAAGCCATAGGAAGAACTTCAAATCTTATCTGAAATTCTGACTTTGCCTGAATAATTCAGATTTAGGAGCAGATTTTTATTTTTGATAAGTGTATTCCAAATAGTTGGCATGAAAAGTTGGTATGTAAACTTTAAAATAATTCAGGAGTTATTTTTCTTTCAAAATAGCTTTTAATGAAAATATCCCTGCTAAAGCAGAGAGGAATACATTTGAGAAAAACAGAAATATCAGCATCAGCCCTTAAAATCACTGACACAGTAAAGGATTCCAAAAGCATAAGCCTTAACTTCTATTCTACTATGACAGGGACCTCTACCATCAATTAGAAATTAGTGAAGACTAAATTCTTACTTTGGAAATGTTATAAGATTGCCTGCATCATTTTCATCCTTCAAGTCAAGAGTCATTTTCTCACTTAAGTGCCCCTTGGGCCTGCTGAAGGTTGACTGGTTTGATCTATGCCCCCACAAAGGAATGGGGCTTTTGAGGTTCCTGAGAACAAGTTGACCAGGATCCAATTTTTTTTCCTCACAGATGTCAGTTCTGGAAGCAAGTCTGCATTTCTCTGCAAATCCTTTCTTAAGCACCTCTTCCCCTATATCCACACTGCCATACTCAGCCTGAGCAATAACTGTTCCATCTTCAGAGGTTGCTTTAATTCTCATTTTTATTTCCTTTTCAAAAATCAAGCTCCCCAAAAAGGTTGTGCCCTAAGAAAGAAGAAAACATAAACCAGCTACACCAACATGTTTCTCTTCCCTTATTTTGTTCCTACCCATTTTTTCCAAGCATCATATTTCTTCATTCTAAAATCTCTATATTACTTTGCTGTTGGCTATAATATGCAAATATGCATCTCCACGTATATGAATGTATTCCAATTACACACTTGCTAAAATCAAGTAGAGCTAAATACTTGTACAGGCAGCCACCTTTATAAATCTAAAAATGTATACTAAGTAAATATCCTAGAATAGTTTTTTTTAACCCAGCAGATTACATTGATTACTTTGGCCCCAACTAAATATAATGGTCTCCTGAAAAGCAATAGCGCATAAAAATGAATCTCTGATATCTAGAAAAGGTACTCGATTTTACAAAACTTTGAAAGTTTTAGAGGCAGAGTCAGGAACTCTGGTTTTAAAGTAAGACGAGCAGAAGCAAAAAAAGCCACAAACCGAAAGCACAAAATACGAACAAATTCTTTAAAAATCAACAAACTGAAATTATAAAATGTGAGGTGTCACAAATACATATTCAAAACTTTGTTTTTCTTCTTTTTTGAGACAGAATCTCACTCTGTCGCACAGGCTGGAGTGCAGTGGCACAATCTCGGCTCATTGCAACCTCTGCCTCCCCGGTTCAAGCGATTCTCCTGCCTCAGCCTCCCCAGTAACCGGGACTACTGGCACACACCACCACACCTGCCTAATTTTTCTATTTTTAGTAGAGATGGGGTTTCACCGTGTCAGTTGAGCTGGTCTCAAACTCCTAACCTCAAGTGATCCGCCCACCTCGGCCTCCCAAAGTGCTGGGATTACAGGGGTGAGCCACCTCGCCTGGCCTTCTACATTCAAAACTCTCTTAAATAGACTTTTGCTTAAGAGGGCTACAACTGTACAACTGGCATATGAGAAATTAGGTGCTTGCTAACTTTGAGCTACTGAATATCTATCAATAGAACTAAGCAAAGATACACCTAAAACATATTTGGGATTGGAACATATTGAGACTTAATTTTAATAAGAACTTATCTACTCCTCCATAAAACTGTAATTACTAAAATTACTTTGACACAATCTAACTGCTCTTCCCAAATTTCTCTAGGTTATTTTCCTGAATTTCACCCTGTGCGTACTATAAAGGAAATTAAAAGTAAGTATTCTTTTTCGGAATATATAAAGCATAAACTTAAAACACAAAATGGGTAGGTACAGCTCAAATTTACTGGTTCACAACTTCCTTGAAATAGGGACATCATCTGATGAAACGTATCTCTCTTAGAAGGTGGAGCTGTATTTTTAGCTACATTCCCACTCTATAAATACAAAAAACAATATAGTTTATGCAAACAAAGCAAACCGAACAGGACATCATACCCGTAATAATCAGACAAACAAGAGTGTAAAAACACACTAAAAACCACAAAATACAAACCGGTCACATTTTTAAAAGAAATAGGGGGTGTGGGGAAGTCAAGGTCCAAGAAACTAAATAACATTTTTAAGAACTATTTTCTCTTCAACTACACAGTAGTATAGAGGGTAAAATTGAGACCGATGTAGGAATTCTTAACCTTTTTGTGGCCATGGGGCTCCTTTATCAGTCAGGTGAAATCTTTGGACTTTTTCTCAGAATGTTTTTAAATGTATGAAATACATAGGATTACAAAAAAAATTATTTCATTGGGACACATTTTTTTTTTATTTTTTTATTTTTTGAATGGAGTCTGGCTTTGTCGCCCAGGTGGGAGTGCAGTGGCGCTATCTCGGCTCACTGCAAGCTCCATCTCCCAGGTTCACACCATTCTCCTGCCTCAGCCTCCCAAGTAGCTGGGACTACAGGCACCCACCACCATGACCAGCTAATTTTTTGTATTTTGTAGTAGAGATGGGGTTTCACCATGTTAGCCAGGATGGTCTCGATCTCCTGACCTCGTGATCCGCCCACCTCAGTCTCCCAAAGAGCTGGGATTACAGGCGTGAGACACCGCACCCAGCTGACACATTTATTTTAACAACAGGTTGAGGATACCTGGGCCTACAAGGATGCATCTGAAGGGGCAGAGAAGGAGACTCAAACTACATATGCTCAAGAATCACCAACTATCACTACCCAAAAAAAAAAAAAAAAAGAATTTTTTAGATGGGGTCTTGCTATGTTTGCTCAAGCTGGTCTTGAACTCCTGGGCCCAAGCAATCCTCCCACTTCAGCCTCCTAAGTAGCTGTGATTACAGGCACACACCCTGTGCCTAGCTGAAAAAATAATTTTTTAAATCCACAAAACACGAAAATACTTTAGGTTAACAAACACACAGGTTTTATAAATTTTTCAAGGCATAAAATTCCTATAATACTTTAGGTTAACAAAAACACAGGTTTTATAAATTTTCCAAGGCATAAAATTCAGAAATACACACATTATATCAAGAGGTTTGAATTCACCAAGAATTCAATATATTATATCAATATATTATATCAATTATATCAGTATAAATAACAAATACAGTCCAGAAGTTATCACCAATCAAATGGGATCAAGCAGGCAAAGCTAACAACCTCAAAATATAACTAACTGAAATATATGTTAGGATTTTAATCAATTAGATGTAGTTTTCCAGTTAACCTCTTTCACATAAAAACCCTTGCTTTCAACTCTTATTATCAAAAGTCTATCTAAAATTCAAGAACAACTTCTGCCCCTAGGAAGTCTTTGAAAATTATTGCTGGTATATGTGGAATTATTAATATTTCAAGAAACCCTGTCTTTGGGCAATACGTGAATTCAAATGGAAATAACCTATTGTCTACAAAAGTTTCAATTACCTAAAGCTGAATGTTCTAAAGGTCCATTACTCCTTGCATAGAATTTTTATGCAGAAATCTAATTTTAGATTTCTCTCTGAATTCAAATTCATTTTAGTTACAGTCACCAATCACAATTAGTATGAAGTGGTTCAAACAGATTCTCCCTGAATCATATATAATCATAAACACAGAACCCTGAACTTGAAATAAAATCTGAGTCTTCCTCAGTTCCAACTAACAAAAAGAATGACAGAGTATATGATACATGGGTGTTTTAATACTATACCAAAAATATGTATGTTTTCTCTTTATATATAATACATATAAACATTTAATTTTTATCATAAGAAATATATTTTCCACTAACCCTTATGAGCTGGAGATATATACCTGCACTTAAAAAATATATTTAGGCATTTAAAAGGTATAAAACTTAACTTTTATCTTTTTTTTTTCAGACAGGGTCTCACAGCCTTGACCCCTCAAGCTCAAGCAATCCTCCCACCTCAGCCTCCTGAGTAGCGGGGACTACAGGCATGCGCCACCATGCCCAGCTAATTTTTTTGTATTTTTTATACAGACAGGGTTTTCCCATGTTGCCCAAGCTGGTCTCAAACTCCTGGACTCAAGCCATCCACCCACTTCAGCCTCCGAAAGTGCTGGGCTTACAGGCATGAGCCACCGCACTGGACAAAACTTAACTTTTTAAAATAAATCTGGTCACTGGTTTAGAACATAAGGCTTTCAATCATTAAAAAAGATGAATGTCACTTTTTAGAAATATATTTCATTCTGTTTTCCAAACTGGTAAGCTTCATTCAGAAACAAGAAAGGATCACTTGCTTTCTACTTTATTCCTCTGAATTCTGCCTGTATATATTAGAAAACAAGCTAAAAGGCCTTTAAATTGTTAAACACAAATTCCAAGCTCTAGCTCTCATTCCCTTACCCTACATATAATTTTTAAAGTCAGGCATGTAGGACTAGTAATGTAATATTCTCTCGATCTTCAGCAAACTACCATTCTGAGCATCAATTCTGACTGTGCTGCAGCATAGCGTGAAAGTGTTAGTTAAAAAAATGTGAAGGAATTTCAGTGCCCAGGACACCTTCTGGAAAAGGGGAAGGAAGGAGGTATTTGTGTTGTTACTGAATCCCTGCTGTTCATCTATTTATTCAAATGTTAGATAAACTAATGCTCATCTAACACCTACCTGGCAGGGAAATTAGGCACAGAAAAGTGAATACTTATCTCTACCAAACTCACTAAGCTTGTAGGGGAGGAAAAAATTACAACTTTATAGGCTTTATATACGGAGTGACTAAAACACCACAGAGGACCGGGTAAGTGGGTATTAGCAAAGACTTCATATAGAAGATTAGAGTTGAGCTTTGGGCTGAGAATTAATAACTAAACACGGACTTTCTAAGCAGAGCTATTCAAGAATAGCTCATTTTTTTCCAGAAAACATTGTGTGCCAATTAGCTTAACTCTAATCAATGATCTTTTTACTGAACTAAGCATCCAAATACAAATGTTTAGCCGGGTGGCTCATGCCTGTAATCCCAGCACTTTGGAAGGCAGAGACAGGGGGATCTCTTGAAGTCAGGAGTTCAAGACCAGCCTGGCCAACATGGTGAAACCCCACCTCTACTAAAAATACAAAAATTAGCCATGCGTGGTGGCGGGTGCCTGTAATTCCAGCTATCAGGAGACTGAGGCAGGAGAATCGCTTGAACCCAAGAGGCGGAGGTTGCAGTGAGCCGAGATCATGCCATTGCACTCCAGCCTGGGCAACAGAGCAAGACTTCAACCCCCAACCAAAAAAAAAAAAAAAAAATATATATATATATATATATATAAATGTTTATATACAGTACCATATATAAAGAATCTTTGAAACATACAAAAACATTCTCAGCTGCAGTTTATTAATTCAGTTCTAAAATTAACTTTTTTTAATGTCTTTTTCCCCCTTGATTCATGTGTGTTTCAATCAACACAAATCTGTGCATTTTACTATGAAAAGAACAACAGACTTGAGTTCTAGGCCTAGCTCTTCCCTAGTTAGCTTCACGACTTGAAGTCATTTAATTATTCTAGACTACAATTTCCCTATATGTAAAACAAAGTGAGAGCAGATAATATTCTAAGGTCCGTAAACAAGATTTTAGAGTTTTATGCATGCAAGAAATCCAAAACAAGCCTCCCCAACCTTGGTCAAAGCATTTATATTAAAGAAGAAAGTAACAAACTTTAGATTTTAAACCAGAAACTTGGGGTGTAATTTTATAATATCTATATTTCATGTTTATGAAAGCCTGAGTTTCATGTACAGAAATGTTTTTTATAAGTAACTACATAGCAGACAAAACTATACCCAACACACCTACAAGATTCTCAAAGAAAAATAGAGGCAATTTTAATTAATTTCTTTATAATGCTTACAATGATTAAACTGTTTTCCACATGAGCTACTTGAGCTGCTATTATAAATAAGAATTACAAATCTGATTACTTTCCAATGTAATATCTCTCACCAGCATTACCATTTACCAAAAGAATCATCTTTGTATAACAGATTTTAAAAGAGGTAGAATTCCTGTAAGACTACCCCTGAAATTATCGAACGTCTTCCAGAATTAGGTTACCAACCCAAAATTCAATGGAAAGTAATATAAACTAGAATCCACATAAGCAAAACATCCACTGCCAATTATTACATCAAACAGTATGAGCCTCTGCCAAAATAATACAATCTGATTAATTATAACCCCATTAATTTCAAATTTGTGGTATTTATGGCCAGGACTAGGTAAAGATCACTTTTATTTAATAAATACTTTCCCAAAACAATTATAGAAATAACTGTATTCATTATTTTCTCCATCATATAAGAGACTATCCTTGGCTGGGCGCAGTGGCTCATGCTTGTAATCCCAGCACTTTGGAAGGCCAAGGTGGGTGGATCACCTGGGGTCAGGAGTTCGAGACCAGCCTGGCCAACATGGTAAAACCCCAACTCTACCAAAAATACAAAAATTAGCTGGACATGGTGGCACAGGCCTGTAATCCAGCTATTCGGGAGGCTGAGGCAGAAGAATTGCTTGAACCTGGGAGGCAGAGGTTGCAGTGAGCCGAGATCACGCTACTGCACTCCAGCCTGGGCAACAGAGTCAGACTCTGTCTCAAAAAAAAAAAAAAAAACAAAAAGAGACTATCCTTTTAAACATTTACATCAGAAGGAAACTATTTACATATATTATATATGTGTATGTCATTCTTATCTGTTCAATGTTTACCTAGCAAAGATGAGCATAAATATATAATTGCTTTCTAATTATAATTCCTATTTTTCACTAATTTATACAGACTTTTATATTAAAGTAAGATTTAACTATACCTACATTTTGTTTCAAGCACATAGTTTTACTTTCATTAGCAAAAATATTTAAAATACGTGACTTGCCTGATCAAACTGGGTAACTTCTTGATCAGAAGGAATGTGTAGTCCCCAAAGTTTATACTTTTTGGCAACACTAGAAAACTGCAGCTCCAAAGGAATTTCAACTATATCAGATCGATTTAGAATTTCAGTATTTCCATAGTCAATGTACCTCACCAGACACTGGAAAAAATAAGAGACAAATACGAATACTGACCCCAGATTAAATGTTTCCAAAGAAACCACCAATTTGCTGCTCTCTGTTAATGACCTGTATATCAAAATAGCATTCTTACCTCAAAATGACAAAATACATTCAGAAACAGATTTCTAATATCTTCAAAATAAAAAAAAAATCCACAGTCCATGAAATTACAGTGATTTCTTTACTTGTTACTAGTTAAATTCCAACAGTACCATTTCTCATTAGGGTGCTTTTTGTTTTTAGACAATTGATATTTTAAATAAACATCAGCCTATGAAGCTTACAGCCCTCTCCTGTTTCTCCTAATGTTAAAATCAATCAACATTCAATTCAATTTCAAGTTGGAAAGAATAAAATCTGAAAAGAAAGGCAAAGTTATCAAACTTCCTTTGACACAATTAAACTCACTCCAGGTAGACCATGTAAACTAATCAGATTCACCACCCTTACCTCCAGCTCTACATCTGTTTAAAAAGTAAAAAAGAAAAATAGTTATTACAAGGTCAAACATCATGCTGCCCTTTAATTTAAAAAATTAAAGCCAACTGAAAAACATATGTAAAATATCATCTCCAGTTGTCAAATTATGGGAGAAAGGTCAATTAGAAAGTTCCATTCCACTAAAATAAACCATTTTCTATGACAGCAAAAAATGAAATTTTTTTAAACCAAGCTATTCAGAATATTAATCAAATTGTCACATCTTAGCATCTTATCACACCAAAGAAAATATTTCTGAAACATACATATTTTTAACTTTTTCTCTTTTATCCTGAACCACTTTCCCTGGTTCAGTAAAAACATACATATTATAATTTAAGTACAGAAAGGAGGTGTAGAAAAAACACCAAAGGAAATCTTACAGAGGTGCTTTCACCCAGCCTGCAATATGCAACTGTCACCAAACAGCTATTCAGAATTCTGTCTCCCTAAATCCTCTTAAAAATCCTCCACAAATTCACAATGTCAAAAAAAAAAAAAAAAAAAAAAAAAAAAGCTTAACACAAAGAAAACTCACCACATTTAACCCAGGCATAAGAAAGTGGCAAGCCAATCATTATTATTAACAATATTCACATCAACTAAATAAAAGATATACCTAACTTCAGAAGAATCAATCAAAATGTTCTTCTCCTACTTATAAAGCTTAATAAAATGAACATTTAAAAGTTACTCAAGAACCAAATATAATTATTAAGATCTGAGGCAGGCTGGGCACAGTGGCTCACTCCTGTAATCCCAGCACTTTCGGAGGCTGAGGCGGACGGATCACCTGAGGTCAGAAGTTCGACCAGCCTGACAAACATGGTGAAACCCCGTCTCTACTAAAAATACAAAAATTAGCCAGTGTGTTGGTGGGCGCCTGTAATCCCAGCTACTTGGGAGGCTGAGGCAGGAGAATAGCTTGAACCTAGGAGGCAGAGTTTGCAGTGAGCCAAGATCGTACCACTGCACTCCAGCCTGGGCGACACAGAAAGACTCCATCTCAAAAAAAAAAAAAAAAAAAAAAAAGAACTGAGGTAAAAATAACTAGTCACCAAAAATAACCTACATATTATATAATCTATTCTTGAATAATCTGAGGTGATTATAAAACAACATGTTTTTTAGCAATTAATTTCTTCTGTGTTTTAATCACTGAACCAGGTATCAGTACTACGAATAAGCAATGAAGGGCTAAATAAGCATCAAATTTTTGAACCACAATAAATATTTCTTAAAGCAAAAAAAAACTGAACACTTAATTTCCTGCCTTTTCAACGCTGATGATTTTCAGTACTTTGCATCTGTACCAACACTGATCTTCAGAAAATAATCCACCATAAATCTACAAAGAGAAAAGAAAGCAAAATTACTTGGCATTTAAAGCATGGTGAACAGATCAGAATAAAGGTTAGCATTTAAGCTCTTCCTATATGTCAATAAGTACTTTATATATAACTCATTTAATTCTCACAATCCTATCAGGCAGGTACTTTGTTTATGCCACTATGTATCCAAAGACATAAACTAGTAAACTGCAGAACCAAGATTCAAACTTCTGACTTCAGAGTTCATTATGCTATTCTGCATCTCCAAAATGAGGAGGGAGGGGTATAAAAAGCAAAAAAAAAAATTTTTTAAGGCACAAGCATCAAACACTTAAAATCACACTATTATAATATCTGAGGCGATAATTGGTACAATTTTTTTTAACATAAACATGGCAAGTACATGCCACGTAAGTCTAACTCTCAACTATAGTGGAATTCATATTTCCTACCAAGCAAGAAAGATTTCATACTTTTTACTTTACGTATAAGGACATTAGTCCTATTAAGTAGATAAAACTAAATTAGATAATATCTTTAATACTGTACTTTATTTTATATCTCAATTGAATGATGTTTAATAAAAGAATAAAGAGAAAATTTATGTACTTTCAATCATTTTCTTTTCTTTTTTTTTTTTTGAGACAGGGTCTCATTCTGTCGCCAGGCCTGGAGTGCAGTGCAGCAGTCATGGCTCTCTGCTGACTCAACCTCTCCAAGCTCAAGTGATCCTCCCACCTCAGTCCCCACGGTAGCTGGGAACATGGGCACGCACCACCACGCCTGGGCTAAGTTTTGTATTTTTTTTTTTTTTTTTTTTTTTTTTTTGTAGAGGCAAGGTCTCACCATGTTGCCCAGGCTGGCTTTCATTTTCTCGAACTTCAAAGTAGCCTTAGCACTACTGGCACTTGGGACCAGATGAGTCTGTGTTGAGTGGCAGAGTGGGGCTGTCCTCTGTCCTGTGCATTGTAAGATATTTACCAACATCCCTTCTGGCCTCTAGACACTAGATGCCAGTAGCACCACTTCCAGTTGTGACAAGCAAAAACGTCTCCAAACACTGTCAAATGTCTCCTGAAGGTGTCTATGATTTAGATGGATATCATTTGGATATCATCCACCAAATCTCATGTTAAAATCTGATTCCCAATGTTGGAGGGGGGCCTGGTAGGAGGTGATTGGATAGTAGAGGCAGATCCCTAAAAACGGCTTGGTGCCATTCTCGTGGAAGTGAATGAGTTTTCACTCATAGTTCCTAAGAGAACTGGTTGTTGAAAAGAGCCTGGCACCTCTTCCTCCCTTTGCTTCCTCTCTCACCATGTAATCTACAGACACTGGCTCCTCTTCACCTTCTAATATTTGTGGAAGCACCCTGAGTCCCTTGTTAGAGTTGTATAAAAAGCAAAAAGACTTTTTTTAGAAGACACAGGCATCAAACACTTAAAATCATACTATTTTAATGTCTGAAGACATAATTGGTATAATTTTTTTAAAACATAAACATGCGAAGTACATGCCACTTAAGTCTAACTCTCAACTATACTATGTTGGAGTTATGCTTTTTGTACAGCCTACAGAACCATGAGCCAAATAAACCTCTTTTCTTTATAAATTACCCAGTCTCAGGTATTTCTTTACAGTAACAAAAATGAAGTAAGCCATGATTGGATTGGGAAGGATACAAAAATCACTGCAGGCTGATAACTACTTTTTTTGAGATAAGGTTTTACTCTGTTGTCCAGGCTGGAGTGCAGTGGCATGATCATAGCTCACTGTAGCCTCAAACTTCTGGGCTCACACAATCCTCCCGCTTCAGCCTCCCAAATATCTGGGGTTACAGGCACACATACCATACCTAGCTTTTTTTTTTTTTTTTTTTTTTTTTGTAGAAACAGGGTCTCACTATGTTGCCCAAGACTGGTTTTGAACTCCTGGCCTCAACCAATCCTCCTGCCTCGGCCTCCCAAAGTGCTGGGATTACGGGCATGAGCCCCCATGCCTGGCCTTAACAGCTTTAAATCATACATTCTCAACTGGGGCAATATCCCTAAGGGGAATAAAAGTGGTCCTTATGGAGAGTTGGAAATCTTAAACACTACAATGGTCTGTAGCCCTCCAAAGTTCAACCCTACTGATAACATAGTTATTATATACTGTATATCTGTAGTATTAAAATATCTGAAGGGGAGAAGGCCCATTAGGCCATTAGGGAGAAAACAGGTCTAAAAATGCTCCTTAGGAGGGAATAATGAGAAAAATGGCTGAAGAATACTGCTTTAAGTTATGGATTATAAAATTAATTTCAATGTATCACTCTGAACTAGGACAAATCCACAGATTTATTTTATGAAACCTAAACACCAAACCTATTCACCAAAACAATAAAGAACACATAAATTCAGACAAACAAATAAATAAATAACAATTCAAAAGCTACAAAGGATAAGTGTATTCAATTCATAATTAACTCCGGTTTCTTCAGCTAACATTAAACAACTAAAGGGCAAGAGAGAGCAGTAATAGTACGGTACTCTCTCTCAACCCTGGTAAGAAGACAGGGGTAAGTAGCAAAAATAGCTGACAATCAACAGTCCTAACCAATTTCAATCCCTGCAAAAGACTGCATCATCTTTAATTAAGGCTTTGTAATAACATCACAATATGATTAATAATTTGGTATAAGGTAAGCGACAGATATGCAATGGTTTATTGCAAACCAGGTGAGGCAGGGCTGGGAACACTTGTGTCCAAGAATAGAGCTGGTACTGTAATGCCTAACCTTGTTTTTACTCTAACTCGCTACTTTAAATTTTGTCCTGTTTGTCTCTTTAATCACCTAGCCTTGCTTCTCAAGTAAGACTCTCTCTAGCTGGGAAAGCCGGACAAACTCCAATTGACCCCTTAATTTACAAGACACTAAGGGCTCCTTACCCAACCTCCTTCCGCAAGGAGTTGACCTGTGTAAGCAGATCCTCAGCATTTCAAAGGAGCCCAATTAACTGATAAGGTACTGGCACAAACAATGTATGAAGTTCCCAGGATTTTTTTCAAAGAGATAACAACATAAAGCCTTGAGTTCCTGTCCGGCATAGCATTTATATCTAATTATAATGAAGGATTTAGAGCCCTGCACCTGGTACCTTGCTTTTTGTAACCATTTGTCTTTTAAATTGTTTATCTCTCTGTAACCATTTGCTTCTTTTGATTCTTGCATGTTTTTACTTCTGTAGAATTACTGCATTTGAGTTCCCCTCCCCTTCCTAAACCAAGGTATGAAAGTTAATCAAGCCCCTTCCTCCGGGCCGAGAGAATTTTGAGCATTAGCCGTCTCTTTGGCCGCCAGCTTAAATAAAGGACTCTTAATTCGTCTCAGAGTGTGGCGTTTCTCTAACTCGCCTAGGTATAACAGTACTCAACAAAGTGAAGAATCTGAAGTTCGTGGCTCTGTTAGTGTAATACAACCACCAAAACATGTAAATCTATCCCAGATAGACTTATCTGTTCTCATGACATAGTGAAAACTATATATTCACTCTCATTGTGCCTGGGCCCAATCTTCTCCTCCCACAACTCCACTATTCATAGCCTATGACCCTTCTACATGGTGGCAGAGGGAGAGAACCATTTAGATCACTAAGGAAAACTGACAAAGTATAATCCATTTATGAACAATCAGAAGTAGCTGATTAATCACTTAATTACTGACACTTGTTTAAATTTTTGATAAGGTAATTAATTTTATATTCAATAGAAGAAAAGGAGTATGTCTTAATTTATAACAATATTAAACACAGTCATAGGTCAGGCACAGTGGCTCACACCTGTAATCCCCCCATAAAAAAAATTTTAAAAATTGAGGAATGAGTTGGCTCCAATGATGGGTCTCAGATGGGCTAATTTTTATAGACATAGTCTCTGAAAGAAATCTGTCAAGGAATCATATAGAGACACTTATCTGCATGCTCATTCTCCATTAATATAGAAAGGAGAATTGGCATTAGACTGTTTCAGCAAATAAAAGTAAAATCAAGATTTATAAAGAAAAGAGGAGAGAGAGGTTCCAAGATGGCCGAATAGGAACAGCTCCAGTCTGAAGCTCCCAGTGTGAGCGACGCAGAAGACGGGTGATTTCTGCATTTCCAACTGAGGTACCGGGTTCATCTCACTGGGGCTTGTCAGACAGTGGGTGCAGCCCACGGAGCAGGGCAGGTATCGCCTCACCCAGGAAGTGCAAGGGGTCAGAGAATTCCCTTTCCTAGCAAAGGGAAGCCATGACAGATGGTACCGGGAAATTCGGGACACTCTCACCCTAATACTGCACTTTTCCAATAGCCTTAGCCAACAGCACACGAGGAGATTATATCCCACGCCTGGCTCCGAGGGTCCCATGCCCACGGAGCCTCGCTCACTGCTAGCACAGCAGTCTCAGATGAACTGCAAGGCGGCGGCGAGGCTGGGGGAGGGGCGTCCGCCACTGCTGAGGCTTGAGTAGGTAAACAAAGCCACCGGGAAGCTTGAACTGGGTGGGGCCCACCACAGCTCAAGGAGGCCTGCCTGCCTCTGTAGACTCCACCTCTGGAGGCAGGGCATAGCTGAACAAAAGGCAGCAGAAACTTCTGCAGACTTAAACGTCCCTGTCTGACAGCTTTGAAGAGAGTAGTGGTTCTCCCAGCATAGACTTTGAGATCTGAGAACAGACAGACTGTATCCTCAAGTGGGTCCCTGACCCCCGAGTAGCCTAACTGGGAGGCACCCCCCAGTAGGGGCAGACTGACACCTCATACAGCCGGGTGCCCCTCTGAGACGAAGCTTCCAGAAGAACGATCAGGCAGCAACATCTGCCATTCCGCAATATTTGCTGTTCTGCAGCCTCCGCTGGTGATACCCAGGCAAACAGGGTCTGGAGTGGACCTCCAGCAAACTCCAACAGACCTGCAGCTGAGGACGTGAAGGTCCTGACTGTTAGAAGGAAAACTAACAAACAGAAAGGACATCCACACCAAAACCCCATCTGTACGTCACCATCATCAAAGACAAAAAGTAGATAAAACCACAAAGATGGGGAGAGACCAAAGCAGAAAAGCCGAAAATTCTAAAAATCAGAGCGCCTCTTCTCCAAAAGAACGCAGCTCCTCGCCAGCAACGGAACAAAGCTGGATGGAGAATGACTTTGATGAGTTGAGAGAAGAAGGCTTCAGACGATTGGTAATAACAAACTTCTCCAAGCTAAAGGAGGATGTTCAAACCCACTGCAAAGAAGCTAAAAACCTTGAAAAAAATTAGACGAATGGCTAACTAGAATAAACAGTGTAGAGAAGTCCTTAATGACCTGATGGAGCTGAGAACCATGGCACGAGAACTACGTGACGCATGCACAAGCTTCAGTAGCTGATTTGATCAAGTGGAAGAAAGGGTATCACTGATTGAAGATCAAATGAATGTAGAGGATCATGCCTGTAGAGGATCAGTTAACGCAGAACTGGACAAAACACTTGGGAAAGGAAAAATATCCTTATTGTGTCATTTGCTCCACTTGTGCAGCCAAGTAAGAATGATAATGGTAAACCAGATTCTGTGGGACTCCCTCCCTGTGCTGTCAGGAATCCACAGGGCTTGGCTTGTATTTACATTCGACGCACACTTAGAAATTTCATAAATGATGAGATGCAGGCCAAGGGGATTCCGCAAAGGGCTCCACCCAAAAGGAAAAAAAAAAAGAGAGTTAAACAGAGAACTAACACATACATATTTGTGGGTAATCAGCTTATTCCTCAGCCTCTGGACAGAGAGGAGGATGAAAAAATGGAAGATAACAAAGAAGAGGAAGAAAAAGATCACAGTGAAGCAATGAAGCCAGAGGAGCCACCTCAAAATTTACTGAGAAAAAAATCACAACGCTGCCCCTTCCTGAATCTTTAAAAGCTTACTTGACATATTTTAGAGACAAATAGTTTAGATCAAGGAGAAAGAATGCCACCAGTAATTCCCTTAGTCTTGAAAATGTAGCGTTTGTTAGGAGTTAAGAGAGAGAATTATTTCTTTCATCAGAGCGAATTATAGTGGAAAAAAGCAAAACTTGTTTCTGTCAGTAACAATAATAATGTAAAAGAATCCCTTTTATAAAATCTATTTTTCTTTAAATCTTGGAAGAATGCTGTTTTAGCTCAGAGTGATATCAAAGTGGAATGAAACAGTAATCAAGACTTGTGTACTATAAATCCTTTTCTGATTCCTTACAGATTTGTAGTGGTAAGGGTTAGATTTAATTTTATATAAGGTTTAAATAATCATCAAGCTTATATAATGTGATCTGAATTGCAGTTGTTTGCATTTCCTCTATAAAAACTTTCTCTAATAAGGAAATCAAATGCTTTGTAGACCTATTTACCTTACTTTTGTTGCAGTCACTGTTGCTGGGATGCTGTACATATATTCCGGGGTAATATATGGGTACAAAACTGTACAAGATATTGAATAATTTAGCTTTAAAAAATCCCACAAATTTTATGAAATTTTACAGTCCTGCTACTTCTGCTTTTGAATCTCTTGCCAGAAGACATGGGTAAAATATCTGCTTCTCTCATTTTAAGAGCACAGCCAAGTGAATTATTAAAATAGAAAGTATACACTTAATACAGCTCTTAGTTTGTATGGACCCTTTACATTTTCAGTATTTTTTCTTTAATGAGGTTATCTTAACTCTCTAGCATTTTAAAAGTGTATTTAGAATTGTTTTTCCTGTAGTTCACTATATAAAGCATTTGGTTTGAAAAAAAAATTGTTACGTGTGACTCTTGATAAGACACAGAAAGAGTGAAAGAGCATGAGTGATGGCCACCTTCCTGGCTGTCTCTAAGTAGCAGGGTAGATATGATCCCAGATGCACTTTAGCAAACGGAACTTCCAACTTATCTGAGTATTTATCTTTGACAAGGTAGGGCTAAGCTTGCCTAGATTTGCTTTGGATCTTTCTAGTATAAGAAATATTCACAGAAATTGTTTGTTTTCAAAATCCTGTTCTGAAACATATCGTAATCTTTGGGACCCATGCCATGTTCATTTCACTTCTTCCCATATTTTTCGTGTTTCTTTTGGTAAAATTATAATGGCTTTCATTTTGTACTTAATATCACACACGTAAACCATCCATCATTTGAGCTTTATTGTAGCTTATCAGTGATAAAAACAGGCAGTAACTGCCATTGTTTGTTTGTTTTCCTAGTAAGGCCTGAAAACAGACATTCTTTGTTAAGAAGGTGTACAATGTAACATATTTACTAGTATTACATGGATTATATATTTCTTAAAGGGAAAAAATTTGAGAGTATCATGGACTACCACCAGCATTGTTATTACAGTAGTTGCTCAGATTTGGTTAAGGAAGCCCAATCAATGTATAGTGAAAGTATTATTATATCTCTGCTAAGATTCAGATATTGTTTCAAAAATCTCAGCTCCAATAATTCCACACACCTAAAAACAAGTGTTTATACTCATCTAAGCATGAAATTGTCCCAAGTAAGTGAGGATATTTCAGTAATGTGAAAGATACTTTCATGGAAGGTATCTGTTTTATACCAGTGGGTGGGGTGGTAGAATTGGGAGTATTTCTACAGTTATTCTTAGATGATTACTGAAATGCCCCATCTCATTTCTATTTAGGAAAGGAAAAATCAGTTTCATACTACTGTTGTCACCTGTCAGAAATGTTCACTTTATTTTGAGTTAAATGTTGCTTTAGAAGTTTAATCTTGAATTCCTGGTGACCACATGTTTATATCTGGAAAACTTGTGGAGAGTTATCATCTGCCCTTTCCCCCACTTTTTTTTTGGTTAGAGCTTCTGTTTAGATGTGTAAAGACAAATATTCTTAAATGATAATTTTACTATTTAGGAGGGAGTTTTTGTTGAGGATATATTTGAAGATTGGCTTTTTCATATTGTCTTTCATTCTTTGGCCTTGGCAAAGTGTACAGTAGATTTTCATGATCATTGCATACTTTTTGTCATTGAAATATATCTTTTATTTTTTAAATGCATTCATTTTACAGTTGTGACTTTATCATTGACTTTAAGAGGTAGAAACAAAAATGAAAATTAAAGTGAAAAAAACATACAGAATGCCTACAAATCAATCAAGACAAATAACCTAATTTAAAAATGGGGAAAAGATGTGAATAGGTACTTCACAAGACCCCTTCCAAAGGGCTAATAAAAATATTAAAACACAACCTCAGTACACTAGCAAAGCAGGGGGCTGGTGAGGATATCGAGGAACTATAACTCTCATAAATTGCTGATAAGAATGTAAATTGGTTCAACACTTTTGCAAAGCTGTTTGGCAGTATCTACTTTGGCAGAAACATGTCTACCCTACAATTTAGCAATTCTACTCTAGATATATGTGCAAAAGAAATGAGTCAATACATCCAGCAGAAGACTTATATAAGGATTTCACGGCAGTTTCATTCAGAGTAGTTAAAAACTGCAAAAAATCCAAATGCCCATCAAAGGAGAACAGATCGATAAATTGTGTTATATTTATACAATGAATGTTAAATAGCTTAAAAAAGAACAGACTACCAATACACTAATACACACAACAATATAAATGAATCTCAGAAATTATGTTGAACAAAAGAAGCCAGATACATACAATAAACTACATACTCCATGATTTAAGAACAGACATACGAATCTATGGTGATAGTATCAAAATGAGGGTTATACCTCTGATGGAGAAACTACTGACTAAGAATTGACTGAGAAGGGGCCCGAAGGAATTTTCTGAAATGATAGAACCATATGTTGATCTGGATGGTGGTTACATGGATACATACACACGTAAAAACTCACCAAGCTATATACTTAGGATCTTAAGAGATATATACCTTACTGTATACAAGTTATAACTCAGTAAAAAAGAAAAAAGCCAAATTGCTCTGCATAAAGATGCATCTTACAAATTTTTTGTGAATCAAAGTCAAATGCAAGGAATCTAGTTTGTTCACCACTGCATACTTACTTAATGCTTAATACAGTGCCAGGTACATGGCAGACAGTACATACGTTTTCTTCACTTTTGTTTTTTTGGCTAGAATAGTGTAGCTTTTAATTCTACTTTTCCTATTTTTAACTGTAGTAAACTATACATAACATAAAATTGACTATCTTGACCATTGTTAAGTATACAGTTCAGTGGCATTAAGTACATTCATACTGTTCTGCAACCTTCGCCACCATTCATCATCCATCTCCATAGCTCTTTTCATGTTGTAAAACTGAAACTCTACACCCATTAATCAATAACTCCTCATCCTCAATCTTCCCCCAGTCCCTGATAACCATCACTCACTTTTTCTGTCTCTATGATTTTGACTACTCTAAGTACTTCATACAAGTAGAACCATAACAGTATTTGTCCTCTTGTGACTGGCTTATTTAGCTAATGTCCTGAAGATTCATCCATGTTGTAGCTTACGTCAAATTTCAAGACTGAGTAATATTCAGTCCATAAGTATTTTTGAATTAATAAATATACCATAACAGTAGTTTATACAAATTCCAAAAATCAGCCTCTTCTTTTCAAATATACCAGGAACTCCAAAAACTAAATATCTAAGACACAGGAAAGCTGACAGGAGGAATGAAATAATTATATTCAAGAATATGGCTCACCTTGTTTGGGTCAAGATTCCCCAAAACTGAACTGGCCTGGGGGCAAACTTCAGACAGTGAGCAACCAATCTTCATGATATCCTTATTTCTATTGATACTCTAGAAAGATTAGATATAGTATAAGATACAGTAAAATATTATTTTACAGTGTTACACGCTTGAGGGTTCTAAGCATGATAAACTTAAAAGATTTTAGGCCATTAGAAATTAAATCAACTTCTTATGCCTGTATTTTTTCATAATTTAAATGAGTTATTTATAAGAAATGAGACTAGGCCATAGAAAAAGTTTACTTCCCAATGTGTTCAAATTAGGTAGAATTCAAACAAGATACCAAATATAATTAAATCATATGGAAAGGATTCCTTAAAGATTGATTTGATTGCAGAGCTCAAACTGGGAAATAAAAGATGATCCTGGGACATTTGATGGTGCCAGAAAGTAAAGAAATGCTAAAAAAAAAAAAAAAAAAAAAAAAAAAAGCAGGTTGCGATGGCTCACACCTGTAATCCCATCACTTTGGAGGGCCGAGGTGGGAGGATCATTTTTGAGCCCAGGAGTTTGAGACTAGCTTGGCAATGTGGTGAAATCCTGTCTCTACAAAAATAATACAAAAGATTAGCCGGGCATGGTAGTGTGCACCTATAGTTCCAACTACACAGGAAGATGAGGTGGGAGGATTGCTTGAGCCCAGAAGTTCGAGACTGCAATGAGCCATGAGCACACTACTGCACTCTAGCCTTGGTGACGGAGACCCTGTCTTGAAAAAAAAAAAAAAAAAAGTGCTCAAAAAAAGAATAGGAGACGTTTAAGGACAAGTACCAATCTGTATTCTTTGGTGAACTTTGTCCCAATGGCCAAGGCTGAATAATTTAAACAACAAAATAAATTATGATAGCATAGGATTATAACCCACGGAATAAATATCCTTGAGTTTATATTAATATAAATAATTGAATAAATAAATGGCAGAGAAGAGACAGCTCTTCCTTACAGAAGAATTCCAATTAATAAATGTGGAAGGAATGAGGGGAATAGAAAATCATCATTAGGCAAGCACTAGAGCAATAAACAATAAAATTCGTGGGTGAAAAGTTGAACAGAAACTGGATTAGACAGCCACAATAAGTCTCCTAAAACATTAATTAATTACAAAAGAAAAGAGTAACTTTACAGCGAAAAAACCTGGAAGTTGCCACCTTACCCAAGTGAATCAAGGTTATCATCAATAAGAAGGTATATCACATCATGAAACCCCAATATGATATACTGAGAGGACTACAATATCACTTCTGTGGAACTCTTGCTAATCTATTCATAAGAAATCATCAAACAAACCCAAATTAAAAGATACTCTACAAAATAACTAATATTCATCAGAAGTGTCAAAAGTCTTGAAATACAAGGAAAAACTGAGGAACATTCAGAGGTTAAAGGAAACCAAGGATACACAACTAAATACAATTTGGGATTCTGTATTGGATCCTGGAACACAAAAAGACAAAAAACTGCTAAAATTTAAATAAGGGCTGTAGTTTAGTTAATAGCATTGTACTAATGTTAATTCCCTGGCTTTGATCACTGTACTGTGGTTATATAACACATTAGCATTAAAGGAAGCTGGGTGAAGAGTATACAGAGCCACATTCTAGCCTCTGTACTAATTTTGCAACATTCCTGTAAGTCAAAGTTTCTTCAAAATAAAATGTTAAATATATATATATGTTCTAAAGAAATATACCAACAAAATATTCAATAATGCTAGAAAGAACATGATTATCCGTGATGACTGAAAAAAAACTCTGAAAGAGCAGTTCAAAGAACATCATGATGAATATCAAAGTCTCAGCATAGAACAGGAACTGAATTTAAACTGACCCTGAGAAACAAGAGAAGCAGCCTTTGTGAACAAACCCCTGGAATCAAAATATTCCATATAACTATATTTTTTCACTATACAGACTAAAACAAATAGGAGCTCTTTGTTTGTTTGTTTGTTTGGTGCAATCTCAGCTCACTGCAGTCTCAATCTCCTGGGCCCAGGCAATCTTCCCACCCTCAGCCTCCCACATAGCTGGGAACACAAGCATGCACCACCATGCCTGGCTAATTTTTTTTTTTTTTTTTGTAGCGACAAGGTCTTACTGTTGCCAAGGCTGGTCTCAAACTCCTGGGCTCAGGCGATCCTCTCACATAGGTCTCCCAAAGTGTTGGGATTACAGGCATGAGCCACCATGCCTGACCAGAAGCTTGTTCTTTCAAAGAAACAGGTGGAGTCAAATACGTCAGATTCCTTCAGCTGCCACTCATCCAATCTGAAGTGTTTGCTTATAAGTGGTTTATAAGGCAGAAGCCCACAGGGCAAAAAAAAATGGAGAATACACGTGAGCAGATTTTCATCCTAATCTGCCTACGCGTATTTCCAAATCTCTAGTCTTCTCTATGCCTATATCCCACCATAACCCCAACCAAATTTGCCAATTTGCTTATTGAAATAACCACTACATTCATTTATATACCATTAGTAGTTTTAATGTTTAATCTTTTCATGCGCATGTTTCCTGTTTTAAACGTTCTTCTACAAGAGCCTCAACTTCATGGTTTAACTCAGAGGTTGGCAAATTACAGCCGCCTGTTTTAGTAAATAAAGTTTACTGCATCACAGCTACACACACTCATTCACATTATGTCTATGGCTGCTTTGCACTATGTTGGCAGAATTGAATAGCTGCAAAACAAACTGTATGGCCTAAAAATGGTAAAATACTCATCATCTGATCCTTTACAAAAAAAAAACTGCTGACTCTTGAATTTGCTCCAAATTCAATCAACATATTCACAAATAAAGTAAACTGAAATCAAAGTCTAGAGCTGCACTAGTGAATACAATAGCCAATACCCACTTGAAATATGGCTAGTCTAAGGAGATATGCTGTAAGTCTAATATACACACTGGATTTCAAAGACAATATTAAAAAGGAAATATAAACTATCCTGTTCACATTTTTATGCTAATTATATTTTGAAACAATATTTTGGATATATTGAGTTAAATAAAATGTACTTATTAAAATGTCACCTGCTATTTTTAGTTTCTTCAATGTGGCTGCCAAAAATGTTTTAAAATTACTTACATGGCTCATATATTTCTACTAGACAGCACTAGTCTAGAAAATCTTTTTACACTGATAAATGATGTTTCTGTATAATAAGCTTAAATATAATTTATCATCCACCCTGGGACACTGTTGAGAGTGATGCAGTTGTCACTAATACAGAGACAATGGGCATGGAACCAGAACGTGTGAGCAACCTTTAGAGAATATGCATAAGCAGAAACAAATTTGCCAAATATATGTGCATAAGCAGACACACGAATTTGCCCCAAGTTTTCTATAACATCACCCTTCTACAATTTTTTTTTACATGCAGCCATGCCCCACATAGTGACATTGTGGTCAAAGAATGAACCACACACACTACAGTAGTCCCGTAAGATTATAATGAAGCTGAAAAATTCCTATTGCCTAGTGTAGTCCTAGCCATTGTAACATCATAGAACAATGCATTACTCACATATTTGTGGTGATGCTGGTGTAAACCTACCGTGCCCCAGTCTCACAAAAGCACAGCACATACAATTATGTACAGTACATAATACTTGGTAATGAAAATAACTATGTCACTGGTGTGTGTGTATATATATATTTTTTTTTACTATAATTTTTCTTATTTTAGTGTACTCCTACTTATTTAAAAAAGTTAACTGTACAGCCGCCTCAAGTCCTTCTGAAGGTATTCCAAAAGGGCATTTTTATTACAGAAGATGACAGCTCCATGCACATTACTGACCCTGAAGACCTTCTAGTAGGACAAGAAGCGGAAGTGAAAGACAGTGATATTGAAGATCTTGTCTTCGTTTTTAACCAAAAAGTTTTTAAAGTAAAAAAAAATTAAAAGTTTAAAAAGAGAAGAAAGCTTTAGAATAAGGACGTAAAGAATATTTTTGCACAGCTCTACAATGTTTGTTTTAAGCTGTGTTACTACAAATGAGTCAAAAGTTTATTAAAAGTTACAGTAAGCTAAGGTTTATTGAAGAAAAATATTTTTATAAATTTAGTGTAGCCTAAGTGTATGGTATTTATAAAGTATACAGTAGTGTACAGTAATGTCCCAGGACTTCACATTCCTCACTACTCACTCAATGACTCACCCAAAGCAATTTCTAATCCTGCAAGCTCCATTCATGGTGAGTGCCCTATACAGGTGTACCACTTTTTAATCTTTTATAATATGTTTTTACTGTACCTTCATGTTTAGATACATAAAGACTTAATATTGTGTTACAATTGTCTGCAGCATTCAGTACAGTAACATGAGGTACAGGTACACCACATGGCCTAGGTATGTGGTAGGCTATATCATCCAGGTTTCTCTAAGTACATTCTATGATGTTCATACAGCGACGCAGTTGCCTAATGATGCATTTCTCTGTATGTATCCCAGTCATTAAGTGATGCATGACTATATATTTAAGAACTCTGGGTTAATCATATTCTTCTAGAACTTTCTTCTCATATATTCTCCTTATTTCCCACATTACGAGTTCACCTCACCCCCCACCAAAAGGAGTTCCCATGCTGTAGGGAGTATAGAGAAACGTAATTTCTTTCCCTTCCGTATCATGTATAGTTTACAAAACCAAAAATTAGCAGGTCGTTCTGTGCATCAGAGGAATTTACCTTCTTAAATTGTGGAACACAGCCCTTCAGTGCTTGCTTTGTATTTAAAACTGAGTAACCTTACCTAACTGACACCCTCCCAACAGAAAATCAGAAATGTTTCATTCATGCTTCCAATTCTATAATGAGAAAAATACCACATCTCAAATTTAAGCCATTAGAAAAAACGACCGAGATTTTTAACTTATCCTCCTTCAAGAAACAATCTTATAAAAGACCCCTAGATGGGGCT
The DNA here is from genome assembly GCF_000001405.40 of Homo sapiens. Taxonomy (NCBI): domain Eukaryota; kingdom Metazoa; phylum Chordata; class Mammalia; order Primates; family Hominidae; genus Homo; species Homo sapiens. The sequence goes on along the minus strand of NC_000007.14, from coordinate 23,712,605 downwards.
ATAACTTCACAAATACAACAGGCTCTCAGAATCCAGCAAAAGCAGCCTAGAATTGAGTGGAATTCTGAAATCACAATCTTGCCAATTTTCTTTTTTCAAACTTGGTGTATTATGGGCATAACACTTGACTCATAATGAGTCAAGTAACATCACAGCTGTCAACATTTGTCTCCTAATAATGCCTGGTGATAAATAATTCAATAAATATTAGGCAATGAGAATGACAAATGTATTTATTCCTGGGTTTTATTTTTGTTTTTGTTGGGGAGGAACTGGATTGGGGGAGGTGAGGGGGGATATCAACCAGTTTGCTATTTACCTGGGCCCAAAATGTTACTGCATCTTCTATGTGACTTCCAACCACATCTTCCACTAAAATCAAATCACAATACAAGGAAAATTAGAAATTAATCAGTATCATCTAGCTCTTACACCCCAAAATAATTTTTAGTGTCAGTACCTTTATCGTAATGTGTATCTTCATCCATTTGAACAATTCCTGAAAAACTAGAACAATACCTTAAATTAGATTACAATAATCCACCATTAATAATGAATGAAGACTAAACTACATCATGTTCAATTCTTACAAATGTTTTGTCCTAAATGCAGTTATCAAAATTCAAACTCTATATTAAAAATGAGCTCAATATTTCCTTCACTAACTAATTCTTTTGAGTATTTTGTAGTAGATGCAATTTTATCATATATAATCTCTATCCTTAAAATTATCTCTAGCCAAACTTTTACAAACTTATACTGAACTCATATACATTTTGATCACTTACATAAATCAATACTTTGAAACAATGTACATATTCTTTTTTTAGAAAATATCCTCCCATAAAAAGGACTTCCACAATGTAAACAAAGAGAAACATTACAAGTAATAGAACAAATGCTTTAAACTGGTAGTCTATTTTATGTAAAAGGCACGGTGGTTACTATTTTTGAAGATTCCGTGGGATTAAAGACTGCAAAAATACCTAAAATTTTGCCTATTACTTCAAAAATAATTTTAATTACATAATATTATACTTTATCAAATGCAAAAATATTCCAAAATAAATGTACACTATGTAATTTTATCTGTAATATACTAAAATACTGCACTTTCCATTCATAAGTGTTGAAGGAAAATTAAAACACAGATTTTTTATGGGTTTTTTTTTTTTTCCCCCCAAACGAAGTCTTGCTCTGTCGCTCAGGCTGGAGATCTTAGCTCACTGCAACCTCCACCCCCCGGGTTCAAGCAATTCTCCTGCCTCACCCTCCCAAGTAGCTGAGATTACCGGCGCGTGACACCACGTCCAGCTAATTTTTGTATTTTTAGTAGAGACGGGGTTTCACCATGTTGGCCAGGCTGGTCTTGAACTCCTGACCTTGTGATTTGCCCACCTCGGCCTCTCAAAGTGCCGGGATTACAGGCCTAAGCCACCGCAATTTTTTAAGAGCTTTAAAAGTTGTCTAGGAACACCACTATACTAAAGTTTCAAATGCTCTCTCATTATGAAAAGGAAAACATTAACTCCTCATCACAGAAAAATAAAATTTTAAAAATGGATTACTTTGTCACAACTTAATTTTTTAAAAAAATTTTTCGTAAGTGGCATGAAAATGTCTCCAAAGCAAGGGTTCTTTTCTACTGGTCAAAAAGCAGTTTTTAAATTCAACTGACTGAAAAGCTGTAATAACTTTTAGGGAGACTATATATTCCCACGGAAAGCATTAAGGCTTAAATTCAGTAAAAGTTAAAATTACTTTGGAAATCTCTCCACACACTCCAAGAAGCTACTTCTAGAGTAGTTTTTAAATCTTATTTTAAAATGACTTGCCCTGATTATGAAGGCACTGATGCCGTACCCACTTTCTGCAAACAGAGATCACAAAATAGTACGTCCAAATCTCCACTTCGTGATGAAAATTTGGAAGAAACGGGTACACGTAGCTCTCTGACACTTATTTTATAAGGGATTTTGAAACTTAAATGGCACAGAATTTTCGAGAAGGGGAAGAGAGTGTGGAGGCTGCGTGACCGCGTCTTCATGGAGATCATTCAGGCCGGAGGTCTTTTCGAGCCACTTTCGCCTGCCTGCATGCACTCAAAAACTGGGGCATCTGGCACCCCTCTGGGGTGGCGGGCGGCTAGAAGGTGACAGAAAACCCTGAAATGGGCCTCGTCCCAGGATTGGAGACTTAAAACGCAAGCAGCGACGAAAATAGTCCTTGAAGCGGCCACCACTGCACGTACCACAAAAACTACTACTGACCTCACACTTTCCGTTGCGGAAGCTCTAGAAGAGTGACCCTGGACCCACATACTGGACTTTCGGCCCTCCGCCCGCCGTAGCACACGTGCAGCGGCTTACCGCGTGAGCTTCGACCGCAAGGGCCCCACACTGCGCCTGCGTGCACAGCGCTGCGCCATCATCCGGTGTTAGCGGGAGTCACGTGGCAGCCACGGCCTGCCGCCTAGGAAGAAGCGTGCGGGAGCCGCCTGACGCTGGCTGCTGCCGACCCCCAGGCACTGAGGCTGCGCCCTGGTGATTTATAGGCCGGGGTGGGGTCTAGGGCCAGTTCCTTTCGCAAGGCTTCAAGCTGTGACTTTAGAGGTGACGTAGGATTTCGTGGTCTTTCCTAATCTGTTCACGTGGATTTAAATTTTAGAAACACCCAAATTAGAAGAACCCCGACATTCTATTTACACGATGGAAGAGAGAAAATAACTTTGGTAACTGAAAATGTGTTTTTCAGATTGGTAGCTTTACAAGCGTTGGTCAACTAATCCTTAGATTCCACAGCTCTCTGTAGTATTACAACTTTTTCCACAATCTTAAGAAGAAAAAATTAGTTGTCTGCTTCTTTGCAGATATTACACTTTGTGGCAAACCTTACACAACAATTGAAAATTATCTCCGGTTAATTTTTAACAGCTTGAAGGTTAAAGTACAATAAACTGCAGATATCAAAAGTGCATAATTTGTTAAGGGTGAACATATGTATACACTGTTGAAATCACCTCCACAATTAAGATAAACTTTTCCATCACCTCAAAGTTTCCTCATGCCCGGTTGTAATACCTGACTCCTCCCAGCTCCCGTTCTGCTTTCTGTCACCATATATTAGTTTGCATTTTCTAGAATTTTACGATAATAGAATCATACAGTATGAACATTTAATCTAGCTTCTTTCCAATAGCATAATTATTTTGATTGATAAATTTCGTCCTATGTGTCAAGAGTTTGTTGGGTTTTATTGCTGTTACTATTCCACTGCATGAATATAACACAATTTGTTTATCTACCTTTTAATAGGTGTTTGGACTGCTTCCAGTTTTGAATTGTTTCAAATAAAGCTGCTATTGTGTGCAAGTCTTTGTATGGACATATGTTTTCATATCTCATGGGTTAGTACCTAGGAGTGGAATGGCCAAGTCATAGAATTGTATATGTGCTTAAAAAATTGCCGCATAGTTTTACACAGTTGTACTATTTTATATTCCCACCAGCGGGTTTCAGAGTTCTAGTTGCTCTATATCCTCACCATCATTTGATATGGTTTGTGTTTTTAAGTTTAAACATTCATGTATAAATGTTTAAAGTGGTATCTCCTTGTGATTTTAATTTGCATTTATTTCTCTACTAACTAAAAATGTTGAGAAACTTTTCTTATGTTTATTTTCCATCCAGATCTTCCTAAATGAGGTGTCCAAGCTTTTTCCTGTTTTCTAACTGAATTTATTATTGAGTTTTGACAGTTCTTTATATACTGTGGATAAAACTCCTTCAGGTTTGAAAATATTTTCTCCCAGTCTACAGCTGTCTTTTTGTTTTCTAAAAAGGGTACTTCAAAGAACAAAAGTTTTTAATTTCAATAAAGTCTAATTTATCGGTTTTGTCTTATGGTTCATGCTTTTGTGTTGTATGTAAGGAATCTCCGACTAGCCTGGTTCACAAAAGTTTTCTTCTATATTTTCTTCCAGAAATTTTACATGTTCAAGCTTTACATTTTGATATATAGTCCTTTTTGAGTTTATTTTTATAACATGTGAAACAATCAAATTTTATTTTATTGCATATGGATATCTAATTTTTCCAGCATCATTTGTTTAAAACACTGTCATTTGTCTATTGAATTGTCTTTGCACTATTGTCAGAGATCAATTAACCATACATACGCAAGTCTATTTCTGGATTCTCTGTTCTGTTACACTGATCTATTTGCTTTCTTTAGACTAATACCACACTGTCTTAATTACGGTAGTTTTATTTCATGCGATCGTAGAAGCAATTTGTCAGCATCTACACACACACACACACACACACACACACACACAGAGCCTGCTGTGATTTTGATTGGGATCACATTGAATGTATACACCAATTTGAGGAGAATGGACATCTTAGCTATATTGAGTCTTCTGATCCATGAGCACAGTATATTTATTTAGGTCTTATTTTATCTCGCTGAGTGATGTTTTATGCTTTTCATTATAAAAGTTTTACTTTTGTCTGATTTATCCCTAAGAATTTCATTTTTCATGCCGTTGTAAATTGTATTATTTTCTTAATTTCAACTTGTTTGTTTTGTTGCTAGTATATAGAAATATAACTTTAGTATATTGTGTATTATTTCTGTGATAGTTTTTTTGTGGGTGGGTGTGTGTGTGTAAGACAGGGTCTCGCTCTGTCACCCAGATGAGAGAGCTGCGGTGCTATCACAGGTCATTGCAGCCTTGAGCTCCCGGGCTTAAGCAAGCCTCCTGCCTCAGTCTCCCAAAGTGCCGGTATTAGACACTGAGTCTAGCCTATTTCTAGTGATAGTTTTTAAAATAAATTTAACAGGATTATCTACATAGATGATCATGTCTTATGCAAATAAAGGCTGTTTTTACTTTCTCCTTTACAATCTGGAAGTCTTTTATTTATTTTTATCTTGCCGTATTGCAGTGGCTAGATCCTTCAGTGTAATGCTGAAAATAAGTGCTGAGAGCAGACACCCTTGCCATGTTCCTATTCTTAAGAGGAAAGCATTTTCCTTTCACCATTAAGTATGATGTTTGCTGTGGGTTTATAGTAGATACCTTTAATAGATTAAGGAAGTTACTTTCTATCCTGAGTTTGCTGAAAATTTTTATCATGAATGTGTGTTGAATTTTGTCAAATACTTCTTTTCATATCTATTGAAATGATCATGTGGTTCTTTTTTAGTTTATTAATATGATGAATTACATCAATTAATTTTCAAATGTTATACCAACCTTACATTTCTTGGATAAAATTCACTTGGTCATGATGTATTATCCTTTTTATATATTGTCTTATTAGGTTTGCTAAAATTGTTAAGAATTTTTGCATCTATGTTCAAGAGGAATATTGGTCTGAAATTTTCTCTTCTCATAATGGCTTTGTCTGGTTTTGATATCAGAGTGATGCTGGCCATATAGAATAAGTTGCAAAGAATTCCCAACTTCAGTTTTCTGGAAGAGTCTTATAGAATTGATATTCTTTGTTCCTTTAAGGCTTGGTGAAATTCACTGTGCGGCCATCTAGCCATCTAGGCATCATTTCCTCTAGTGCACATTCTAGCCATCTAGAATTTTCTTTGTGGTAAGGTTTTTAACTACAAATTCAATTTCTTTAATAGATATAGGGCTAATCATGTTACCCATTTAGTATTTAATGAGCTTGATAGTTGTGTCTATATTGTAATTTTTTTAACTTTATATTTTCCTGGTGCCTCAATATCCCCACAAATAGGCTATAACCACCCTGCCCAAGTGACCAGGTGTACCAGGGTGATAGGCTATTTCCTGCCACGTCCCGACTGTGACCTAATGACATTCAAAAAGCACCAATGAAATCCCTTCCCAGGTTTTCTTGTGTACTCTGCTCTGACCCCCAGTAAAGGCACTTGCCCATGGGTCCTCACTCTCTCTAAGCTCGAGCATGCTCCCTTGGCGTTCAAACCTTATATGTAGCCCCCATGTGGCATGTCATGCCTCCCTTTTCTAGAACAAATGAGTATAATGACGTCTTTAATTTTATATGCCTCTCTGGAATTTCCATGGCCAAACTGGAATGATCTTTAAATATCCCACAAAGGGGACTTACAACACAGTGTTTTTTTAAGGAATTTGTCCATTTCATCTGAGTTGTCAAAGTAATTGGCATAGTTATTTATAGTATTCCCTTAGTATCCTTTTAATGTCTGTAGAGTCTATAGTGATGTCACCACTCTCATTCCTAACATGGATAATTTGTGCCTTCTCTCTCTATCTCTCTCTTTCTCTCCCTCTCTCTCGTATTAGTCAGGCTAGAGGTTTATAAATTTTATTGGTTTTATTGATTTTCTCTCTTGCTTTTGTTTTCTATTTCAATTTATACTCTGGTCTTATTTTCCCTTTTCTATCTATTATAGTTTCATTTTCTCTTATTTTTCTAGTTACTTAAGGTAAGGGCTGATTTGAGATTTTTCTTCATTACTGATGAAGGCATTTTGGTGCTATAAATTTTCCTCTACATACTGCTTTAGCTGCATCCCACAAATATGATGTTGTGTTTTCATTGCCTTTCAATTACAAGTGCTTTTATTCCCATTTTGACTTTTTTTCTTTGGCCCATGGATCATTTACATGTGTTATATAATTTTCAAACATTTGAGATTTTTCCATGTATCTTTGTTATAGATTTATAATTTAATTCCACTGTGGTCAGGGGATATACTTTAAGATCTAAATCATCTTAAGAATATTGAGCCTTGTTTTATGGCCTAAAATATGGTCAATCTTAGTAAATGTTCCATTTGCACTAAAAAAAAAAAAGAATGTGTTTTCTGCTGTTCTTGGTTAGTGTGTTCTATAAATGTCAATTAGGTGAAGTTGGTTAATACTGTTGTTCAAGTCTTCTATATCCTTACTGACTTTATGTCGACATGACCCATTGGTCAAGGGAAGCATCTAGGTCATTAAGTCTGTCCTACAGCATCTAAGAAGCCCTGGGACAAGAAGCAAGAGCCATCAGTGTAGGTCCAAGGGCTCTGTCAGCCTCAAAGTATGTCTATCTCAATTATGTATATATAGGGAGAGTAGAAGTAAAGAGTGGGACCAGACCCATTTTACCTTCTGTGAGATTAACTTTGGCCAGGACGCCATTTGTCACTGAGCTTCCCTACTCTAACCAGTGAACCACAATGGTATTTTGGGTCTTCTGGAATCCATGTCAGGTCAGGCACTGTATCCAACAGTCATTGGTTGAAAAAAAAAATCTGACTATTCCTTTTTATCCATTGCACAGTTACCTTGGTAAATGATGGTACGTGACTGCCCCTTGGAGAAAGGATTAGGGGGATATTTACCAAATATATTGGATGATCCTTCCTCGAGGGGATCTGGGCCTTCCCTTGCATCATGAGCTTTAGATCTGGAAACTGGATGGGGAACTATGGTTTTTCATTACCAAGATTGATGTCAGCCTTCTCCTTGCCAATTCTCAATTTTCTTTTTTGAGGGGTGAGAGGAGTCAAATAATACAAGTCAATCAACATCATTATATAACAAGTCAATTATACAACTCAAATAACATCCTAATCAGCTGTCCTTCTGTCTTGCCCCTTGGAACATCATGAACTTTACCTTGTTCACAGATTCATGCCTAGGTGCCCATTAAGTTAATTAGGTCCACTGGGCCCCTGACAGTTAAGTTCTGCAACTTGGCCTTCAAAATTTCAGCATCCCATCATCTATCTACATTGATACCACAGAGCCCATTGTCATGACAGCATCTTCCATCATCAGTTCTAGCCTGTAGAGGTCAATCAACCATTGCCAAGCTTTTCAAAGTTTCCAGTATGCTCTTCACCATTACATTTCTCTTTGTTGTTGTTTGAGACAGGATCTCACTCTGTCACCCAGGCTAGTGTATTGGCATGATCAAGGATCACTGCAGCCTCAACCTCCTGGCTCAAGCAGTCCTCCCACCTCAGCCTCCCAAGAAGCTAGGACTACAGGCATGCACCACCATGCCCACCGTGTGTGTGTGTGTGTGTGTCTGTATAGACGAGCTCTCACTATGTTGCCCAGGCTGGTCTTGAACTCCTGGGCTCAAGCAATCCTCTCACTTCAGCCTCCCAAAGTGCTGGGATTACAGGTGTGATCCACTGCACCTGACTACCATTATATATTTTTTTGCCTTAGTTATGAATATCATCTGGACCCTCCCAGGGAAAAGTCGGGTGATAACTTCTCCAGTTTCAAACAACAAATACATCCCTGAGCTTTCTGACCGCTTCCTCAATACTATGTCAGATAACTGCTAGCATGCCTATCATATCTTCTATATGCCATCCTTGCATTGTGTTAGGAGCAACTCCAGAGATTCTTGCCAGGGAATTAAATCATGCATCATGAGTGAGCGCTCCCATGTCACTCTCTCCTATCAAGCCTTATATTCCACCTCCACCCCACCCCTTGACTCAATATCCTCAAGATCTACTCTCAGACATGTTTCCTGGGTTCCTCCCAATACATTTTAACCAGAATCTGCAGTTGATTCAGAGTGAAACCTATCCTCCTAGAGGAAGGACTGTATTCCCCAACTTAGGGTTTGCTAAGACCTGATCCTAGTTATTACTTTGGAGTCAATGAGAGGAAACAAGGGTGGATCTTGAGGAGGATAAGTGTTACCTTGTGATGCAACTGCCTCAGATAAAGCCTTTACAGAATCTCAAGGTAAGGGCAGGCTATTCTCCACTAGAAAATTGGAGGACACGGCTTGTGCCAGCTCAGAGTTCATGGAAACCTGAGGATTCAAGATTCTCAGGCTCACCAACACAAATGTCCCATCCTGTGATTTAGGGTTCCACTGTTTTTGTGTCAGCACTGACTTTGCTGGGGACTAGCAAGGCTGTGCATTCTGTCTCCTCTGCAGCCCTGCCACCTTTACTATTAGATTTGGGCCTCATTGGCAGCACAGTCTGCCCTGCATCTGCAGATGAGTTTCCTGAAAGTGCTACAGAGGGACTCTGGCTTTCACAGCATTCCTTGAGTTAAATGGCTATCATGAGCCTGTGTCATTTTCTTTTTCAAAGCTCCTAAAGCATTTCACAGTAGCAAGTGAATACTTAATCTTTATAATTTCCACTAGTCCCATTTCACTGTAGTGGCACAGCGACTGCATAACCTAGCACTTCACCTGCCACCTGCACTTCATCCAAATCCACTGCAGTAACTGATCCAGTCACAGGATACTATCCTGAGTCTTTGCTGTCAAAGGCCATTCCTGGTACTAACCATCTTAGCCTGAGTTTATCCCTTGCCCAAAAGCAAAGCCTAAGACAAATGTTCTTATACCTGTAAGTGTTGTTATACAAGTAGTTTATTTGGGAAGTGATCTGAGGGAACTAGAGGGAGGGGTAGAGGAGTGGAAAAGGAAAAAAGAAAGATAAGGATATATTATTATTGAGTTGGCCACTGCTATGGGTGACTGGAGCTCAACGATAGGACTTTCTGAGGAAGTTTATGAAATGCATTTCAGAATTGTCTTCCCAACAGACGGGAGAGCACTTATGTATTGGGCTTCCACCTCCCATTAATCAAGAGTGGCCCCAAAGTCACTAGCTCCCCAACATCTTTGGGCTGCATATGTATCATACAGTGGGGTTCTAGTGGGCATCCCAAGCCACAGTGTCAGAAGATCCCTGCAGAAGGAAGCAAGAGAGCCATGACATGCGCCCAAGACAAGGTGCCATCAAATGGCTTCCGCTATCAGAAGCCTGCTGGAAAGTGTTCCACAGCAGTAATGGAGTAAGAAACGGGGCCAAGAGGATTTGCAGTGGCACACAAGATGTGTCCAGTACAGTCATAGACAATGGGTGGTTGACAACACAACGTAAAAATCAGTAGATATCTTCAGCCTGAGAAAGATTGAAAAAAAAAATCAGTAATATCACTAGAAAATGGTTGTAAAATTTTGAGATAGTTTTTATTTGAAAACATAACATTACAAAGTTTGAAAAATAAAAAAATTAATGATTTTAACTATTTTTTTCTTTTGTTCTCTTGTTTTTAACTTACTATTTTGAATGACAAAAAAATGGCTCATATGTTTGTCCAAAACCCTTGATAATATCTTTAATTTTTTAAATACCTGAAACAGTTAAATTATTATGTACTAAAAACATTTACTGTACTCTCAGACAGACTCATATAAAATAACCTCATTTGTCAGGAGAAAGAAAGGTACATACAAAGTAGTAAATTATGAGTTTTGACAAAAGTAATAGGCATTTTTAGTTATTTAAATAAATTAAGGAAACATCCCAAAAGACATTTATACAGTAAAAAAAAAAAGTAAATAATTTCAGGAAAAATAAACTGTATTATTACATTTAAATAAACATGAAAAAGATACTTGGATGATGGTTTTAATTTCTCCAATAGTCTTCATGAAGGTTTTGTAGCTGATGGCAATGGAGCTTTTCCTTTCCACTTAGCAGCCTTTTCCATTTTCATCTGTAAATTTAACATATTTATTGATATAATAACTTGTAAACCATTCTAAAGAAAAAAAACTTGCAGAAAACTCATTCAGATTCATGTCACAGCCATTCCACAGTTATTAAGCTGCTAAATACTAAAGCCAAAATCTGTTAAAGGGACATAATTACACATTTTCAGATGGTTTTATTTTAATTTTACAGAAGCATTTTAATAAAAGTAATATATGAATATTGCTTTAGAGAAAACAATTTCAATTGCCACTAAAATTACAAGTGCTTAAAATGACTAAACTTACATCCAGCCTATGCACATTCCCTACAGAGTTACATAATGCACCTAATCCAGCTGGATTCTCTCTGGAACGTGGACTGCTTTAAGGATAGTTTTCTATAATTCTGGTTTCTATATTCCCACAGTTACCTTTCTGAAAGTCTTTTCCTCCTCCATTGTAGTTAAAGCAAAAAAGCAGCCACTGTGCCCAGATGTGTATTGGGTAATTTTAACGAGTCTGGATACACCTAAAAGCCTCTAAGAAGAATAAATAATACATATTAAGAATTCAAAATAGGCACCAGGCGCGGTGGCTCATGCCTGTAATCCCAGCACTTTGCGAGGCCGAGGCGGGTGGATCACGAGGTCAGGAGATCCAGACCATCCTGGCTAACACAGTGAAACCCCGTCTCTACTAAAAATACAAAAAATTAGCTGGGCATGGTGGTGGGCGCCTGTGGTCCCAGCTACTCGGGAGGCTGAAGCAGGAGAATGGCGTGAACCCGGGAGGCGGAGCTTGCAGTGAGCCGAGATCGCGCCACTGCACTCCAGCCTGGGCGACAGACCAAGACTCCGTCTCAAAAAAAAAAAAAAAAAAAGAGAATTCAAAATATATTCAATCTTTATTTGGCAAATATTTTTAAATAAAAAATAAAGGTACATGTATAAAAAAAGAATTCAAGATACATATAATTTACAAATCTGCTGATATTGATGTTTATTACTGACAATTTTATCTGCGTATTTATCCAATCTTTATGGCCTTCATAAATCAACCAGTGTATTAAATATCATGTTATTCTTTAGCCCTGTTTCTGTGTATTCTAATAAGCCTCAAGGCCTAACACCAACTGTAAGTAAAGACTTTATAAATTATTTTCAAGGATGTTCCACATTCAATGTATAATCATTCTAGTGCTTTTGCTACAAGTAAATGCTTAGTGCAACTGAATTTCCTCAAAAACCTACCCTTTCCTGGTATCGTCTTTCAAAGAAAGCCATATCATCCTCTTCAGGTCTCCTTAATGAAGAAACTTGACTACTTGTACCTACTAACAAGGAAAAAAAATCTAAGTAATGTATTTATATCATTACATATTCCCCTGAAATAAAAGAAAGAAAAGTTTTCTCCTGCTCGGTGATAATGTTTTATTTTTCAAACCAAAAATGGCCTAAATGAATAATTGGTCCTACTACCTCATTCTCTTTTAGAGAGAATGGCATCACAGGACAAAAGTGTTTTTCACTAGCAAACATTCTCCAAATATTCCACAGTTCATATTAAATAGCACCATATAGCTATTCCGTATAAGAGTACACTTAGTTTTGTCCAACTACTTTTTACATTTTATAACTAGAAATCCATGTTACACTTTGAGATAATGCACAAAAGTAATTATTGAGGCTTGGTATAGGCAACCATAAGTAATGATAGTACCTGCTTCAAAATCTTTCAAAACTGAACTATTTTATCCATTTTTTACGGTAATCACTTTGTCAAATGGATCAAGCACTAATTTATATGCTGAAAGGAACTTTTGAAATTGCTTCAGTAGGAAAACATCTGGTTTTCTTGGCAGGTAGCCAAGAGCCTAATTGCATAGAAAAGTACACCTTCATTGCGAGTGAAGGTCTTCACTGGGTCCCTTCATTTCCAAAGCAGACTAGCAACCTGAACACTTGCGCTTCTAGTTTCTAAAGCATATGAATTCACCCTCAATCAGCAACATGTAACTCCAGACAATCACCACAGAGTATAGCTACAGTCTGTCGATTATCTTTGACAAAAGTTTTATTGAGAAGAGTAAGAAGGGATTCTTATTTGAATAAGTGTTATCCACCCATTCCTCTGGAAACTCTGGGTCTATCCCTGGATCATGTGGGACCATTTGAGCCCAGCCTCTTCCAGACTCATCTACATTGAGTTGCATTATAATGGCATATTACCATTTATCTAGTAAAATGGTATATCACAACTCTTCAAAGGTGACTATCAGGCCAGGTGCACTGATTCACGCCTGTAGTCCCAGCACTTTGGGAGGTGGAGGCAGGTGGATTGCTTGAACTCAAGAGTTCGAGACCAGCCTGGGCAACATGGCAAAACCCTGTCTCTACAAAAAATTCAAAATTTAGCTGGACATGGTGGTGCATCCCTATAGTCCCAGCTACTCAGGTGGCTGAGGTGGGAGATCACTTGAGCCAGGTAGGTGGAGGTTGCAGTAAGCCAAGATCACACCACTATACTCCAGCCTGGGTAACAGATCAAGACTCTGTCTCAAAAAAAAAAAAAAAAAAAAAAAAAGGAAAAGGTGACTATCAGAAACAAGCAACTGTCTGCTGTATTTGCTGAAAAAAAGCTTTTACCTTGGTCACTAATCACTGAGGGTCACTATACTGACTTAAAATCCAGCATGCCAGGCCAGGAGCAGTGACACATAGCTATAATCCTAGTGCTTTGGGAAGCTGAGGCAGGAGGCTAGCTTGAGGCCAGGAGTTTGAGACCAGCCTAGTCAACATAGCAAGACCCTGCTGCTGCAAAAAAAAAGTTTTTTTAATTACCCAGGTGTGGGGGCACACCTGTACTCCTAGCTATGTGGAAGGCTGAGGCAGGAAGATCACTTGAGCCCTGGAGTTCAAGGTAACAGTGAGCCATGATCACACCACTGCACACCAGCTTGGACAACAGAGAGAGAACTTGTCTCAAAAAAAAAAAAAAAAAAAATTCCAGCATTGGTGTAACATTCATTAGCACTGAGGAACTCGGGCTTCCTCCTGTCTAATAAAGAAAGCATTTAATTGACTGCACTTTCCTCTGTGTCTTGGCTGCCACTAAACTCAGTCAAAACTGAAGTTTAAACAAAGCAATTACATCAACCTTGAAAGCTGCCACAGCTGTGTCCTTTTCTTGGCTTCTTACTTGTATATATATTTTATCATTATGTACTAAGTTGTATGTTTTAAGGCAAGCAGCCTTAAAATTCCTTGTGGGGAACGTCTAGGTGTATGAAAATACAGATAAAGAAAATTCTCATTTTAAAATATTCTAAAATACTAAATTTTAAATACCTAATAAGTCATACAAATTCATTCTTCCTGTTTTCAGTAAGGAAAATACAGAATACTGGTGCTTAAAAATGAATTCTACTTGCTCTTAATTTATAAATGATAAAACCCTGCTAACCTATGGTTATCACTGGATTACGCCTCTTTGGGAAAACCCAAAGGCAATTAGGCCGCCAGAAGGCCCTCTTATTCAAACACCAGAGCAACAGCATGTACCAGAACAAGGTTTAAAACTTCAAATTATAGTAGTATCAGAATCCTCGACATTCTCGGAGTTAGCTATTTTTCCCAATACAAAATGAAGTTGCTTGCTTTTTCTCAGTGTGTGGCTTACATAAAAGAAAGTAAAATGATAGCTTAACTTGAAGTTAAATTATCGTAATAATGAAAAAAAGAGAGATGCCTAGAAAACAAATCAAAGCTCCATATTCCAATTTACTACATCCAAAAACAGTTCTAAACTTCATTTCATTACCATCTGTTAACGTTTCTGGAGAAGAACTAGATGATGCTTGAAATGCTTTTAGGAATGGGCTGTCTACTGCCGTAATGGGAGATTCTAAAAATTCAACTGAAGGTACACCTGAGAAAACAATACATGGAGAATAAAAATTAAATATTTACAGGGATACAAACAAGTTATTACTTCTAATGTAAAATAAATTGGAACCTCAGCAGAATTATTAGAAATTCTTTCTATAAAAAAAAAATTTTAGACTGGGTGTAATGGCTCATGCCTGTAATGCCAACACTTTGGAAAGCCAAAGCAAGAGGATTACTTGAGGCCAGGAGTTCAAGACCAGTCTTGGTAACATAGGGAGACCCCATCTCTACCAAAAAAAAAAAAATACATAAATTAGTTGGACATGGTGGTGTGTGCCTGTAGCCCTACCTACTTGGAAGGGTAAAGCAGGAAGATCATTTGAGCCCAGGAATTTGAGGCTGCAGTGAGCTATGATCACATCACTTCACTGGATCCGGCCTGGGCAACACTGTGAGACTCTTTTTATTTAGATTTTTGTCTGACATATAAAGTAAAAGCAAATGGGTAAAAGTATTCTTCTGCACATTTCTGAGAACTTTTTCACAGAAAAAAAGAATATTATGTACCTATGTTAGCATAGAAGTTCAAAACCCTAATATATAATAGTTATAAAACACTATCAAAAGCAAGACATTCACAATAAGGAACCTCTGGCTGAAAAGGGTAGAATAAGTGTATTTTTACTCTATTCCTTACTAGGAAACCATCTAAAAACAAAGTATGAAAAATAAAGAAGAAAGCACCCTCTTCAATGAAATGAGGAAACATCCACAACTCCAAACCATAAACTACAAAGACTAATTGCTAAATATATTGACTTTTGGACCAAAAGGAAGGAAGCTGCAGAGAAAATGTGTAGCTGCTCTATCTTCTTCACAAACCACCACCTTTCCCCTACACTGCTATCTCTACACCACAGGTGGTCCTAATTGGGTTAGAAGTTAGCCCCATCTTATAACATAAACAGTGTGGGACGATTGCTCAGTCTCTCCCCGCTCCTGGCCCCAGTGGCTTCCATGGGGCATGTGGGAACATGGGAGAAGGGGCTCTGGCCCACGCACGTCCTTGTGCTGCCCTCTGGCGGCTGCATGTGCTACTGATCTCAAATGCTCAACTTGTATTTAATAAGTTGGTCTCTCAGCTTGATAGGGCCTGGTAGCCTCATGCTTGCTCCGACTATAAGTACAGACTCCCTCAATACCTGTCACTTCCTCTATTGAGTCCCCGAGCTTAGGGAACCCACCTCCAGCTCTGCCCCCTGCTATGATAGATGCATGACTGGCCCACTGACTCACAGGTCAGCTGCCTTCCCACACCCCCAGAGAGCTGGGAATTATGGGCTCCTTCCACATCAAAAAGGAACCAAATTCCAGCAAGAGGTTTCCTCGGTCTAGGTATCCACATGGCTAAAAATCTGGAGTCCCTCTGTCCCTAGGTTCCTCTATACCTGAAATCAGAACAAAAACATCTTATATTTCCTCTCCTTACTCTCACCTTTCTTCACTCCACCTTCTTTCATTGACCAAAAGGAAGAGGCTTTCTTTCCCTATGAAATCATGTGTTACATAAGGCATTTTGGTCAACAATGGACTGCATATACAATGGTGGCCACATAAGATTGTAACAGAGCTGCCCTATAAAAGTGTAACATTTTATTTATTTACTTTGAGGCAGGGTGTTACTCTGTCACCCAGGCTGGAGGGCAATGGTGCCATCACAGCTCATTGCAACCTCTGCATCCAAAGCTCAGGTGATCCTCTCACCTCAGCCCTCACCAAGTAGCTGGGATTACAGGCACACACACAATACCAGGCCCAGCTAATTTTTTGTATTTTTGTAGAGACAGGGTTTCGCCATGTTGCCTAGGCTGGTCTCAAACTCCTGGGCTCAAGCGATCTGCCTGCCTCAGCCTCCCAAATGCTGGGATTACAGGCATAAGCCACTGCACACGGCCCATTTTATTTTTTATGCCATATTTTTACTGTACCTTTTCTATATTTAGAAAAATTTAGATATACAAATGCTCACTATTGTGTTACAATTGTCTACAGCATTCAGTACAGTAGCATGATGAACAAGTTTGTTGCCTAGGAACAAAAGGCTATACCATGTAGCTAGGTGTGTAGTATGCTCTACCATCTAGGTTTATGTAAGTACACTCTATGATGTTCACATAACGAACATCAACTAACAATGCATTTTCCAGAATGTATCCCCATCATTTAGTGGCACATGACTATACCTTGAAGATACTTAGTGTTAAAATACTAGACGTCACTAAAGGGCAAAGATGCCAGCTACCACCATTATTTAGCATTGTTCTGGAAGTACTAGCCATTTTGACTAGTCAAGAATAAGAAGAGTCACAAATATTGGAAAGGAAGAGGAAAAAACATTATTTTTATAAAATAAACTAAAAATTGAGTAAAAACTCTAAGTAATAAGAATGGTAACAAAAGCAATGAAACACTTTTGCTTTTTTATAAACAAATAATAATCAGTAAGAAGATATAATAGAAGAAAAAATATCTCATGTATGATACCAATGAAAAAAAATTGGCCAGGAATAGTGGCTTACACCTGTAATCCCAGCTCTTTGGGAGGCCGAGGCGGGCAGATCACCTGAGGTCAGGAGTTCAAGACCAGCCTGGCCAACATGGTGAAACCATGCCTCTACTAAAAATACAAAAATTAGCCAGGCATGGTGGCATGCGCCTGTAATCCCAGCTACTCAGGAGGCTGAGGCAGGAGAATCACTTGAACCCAGGAGGCAGAGATTGCAGTGAGCCAAGGCACTCCAGCCTGGGAGACAGAGCAAGATTCCATCTCAAAAAAAGTTAAATACCTAGAAATAAACTTAATAAGATTGTGCAAGACTTCTGGGAAAACAACTTCAGAATTCCACTTAGTTGCACAGATGACAAATAAATGAAAAGACAATACTGAAAAATATCAATTCTACATGGTGGCTCACACCTGTAGTCCCAGCTACTCAGGAGTCTGAGGTGGGAGGATTACTTGACCTTCGGAGTTTGACACCAACCTGAGCAACATAGTAAGACTCTGTCTCTAAAAAAAATATAAAATGTAAAATATTAGCCAGGCATACTGGCATGCGCCCACAGGCACAGCTACTCGGGAGGTTGGGTGGGAGGACTGCTTAAGCCCAGGAGTTCAAGGCTGCGGTGAGCTATAATCATACTACCGCAGTCCAGCCTGGAAAACAAAGCAAAACCCCATCTTTAAAAAAAAAATTATTTCTACATTCATCTACATATTCAATGTGATCTCAATTAAAATAACAGAGTTTATAATACCTTAACAAAATGATGCCAAAGTTCTGAAAGAATTAAAACATAAGAACAGGTCAGGAAAATTCTGAAGCAATAAAATGAAGTCATAAATATTAACTAATTTATTTATGATAAAGCTGCAGTAATGAAAACAACATAGTGGCTGTACACAAATAGCCAACAATGTGGCAGACTAGAGAGCCCACAGAAATCTTCAGGTTGAACCCAACCCTGCTACTTCCTAGTTGAATAACACTGAGCAACTTATTTTACTTCTCTGTGCTGCGTATCCTCATCTGTAAAATAGGAATAATAATCTAACTCACAGAGTTGTTGTGAGGATTAAGTGATGTGGTTCAAACAACTGCTGGTAGTACAAAGCTGCCGTCATCAAACATGATCATCATCATCATTATGTTTTGACACTGGTAGTTGGGTTTTCTTTAGCTGTTGCTTGAGCCTAACACAATTATGCACCCATAAAACTGCAGAAGAATTTACTTATGAAATTTAACAAGCTAGTTATAAAATTACCTAGAAGAGAAAATGCACAAAAATATCAAGACAATCTTGAAAACAATCACAAACAGGAGGAATTTACCATATCAAATATCATGACACACCAGGAAGCTATCATAAAAAATATATATTACATAAATATATAATATTGGCACAGGATAGACAAATGGGCCAGTGGTACAAAATGGAGAATATGACAGAATATGGTAGTTTCCACAGAATACTATGCAGCCATAAAAAAGAATGAGTTCATGTATTTTGCAGGGACATGGATGAGGCTGGAAGCCATCATTCTCAGCAAACTAATGCAGGAACAGAAAACTAAACACTGCATGTTCTCACTCACAAGTGGGAGTTGAACAGTGAGAACACATGGACACAAGGAGGGCAACATCACACACAGGGGCCTGTCAGAGGGTGGGAGGCGAGTGGAGGGAGGGCATTAGGACAAATAGCTAATGCATGCAGGGCTTAAAACCTAGATGATGGGTTGATAGGTGCAACAGATCACCATGGCACATGTATACCTATGTAACAAACCTGCATGTTCTGCACATGTATCCCAGAACTTAAAGTAAAATAAAAATAAAGAATATGGTAGAGTTTCAAATGATTTGGGCAAGAATGGTGCTTGAATAACTGGCCATCAATTTAGACAAAAACTGAAGTTAGAAACATCTACCTCACACTTTCACAAAAAATAAATTACAGATATATGAAAAAGCTAAACATAAAAAAGTATTAAAATAAAACGCAGGAGAATATATTTATAAAACTGAAATAGGAAAGGACTGTCTCCAAAATTTCTAAACTGTAAAGAAAAAAAAAATTAAGAGACAAATGATAGCTTGGGAGAAAATGTTTGCAAAATAAATAACAAAAAAATATACAGAATATATAAAAAGACTTCCTATAAGTCAATGACAAAAGATAAAAACAAAAAAAAAATGAGCAAGGGATATGAATAGGCAATTCACAGAAAGTGAAATGGCCAATAAATATGAAAAGATCCCTATCTCACTAATAACCAGGGAAATCAAATTGAAACAACAATAACAATTTTACATGTCAGACTGGCAAAAAAAATCAAGTTTAATAATATCAATGATTAGCCTAAATGTGAGGAAACAGGCAAGCTAAAGCATCAGTAGAGGATGTAAAAACAAGCAGAGCATTTTTGGAGGACATTCTGGCAGAATGTATTAGAATTTTACAGGTTAACACGCTCCAATAGTTTTACTTCTCTGTATCTACCTTAGAGTCAAATTCATGCAAGGATACAGGCAGACAAATTCAAAGATGGAAATCTAAATGCCATGAACAAGGAAATGGTTAGATAAACTGCTTTATCTACAGTGTGGAATACCATACAGCAGTTAAAAAGAATGAAGTAGACTTGTGTGTCCTGACACAATAGGCCTTCACATTTTTCTAAGTTGAAAAAAAAGTAAAGCCAGGTATGGTGATGCATGCCTGTAATCCCAGCTACTAGGAAGACTGAGACTGGAGGATCGCTTGAACCCAGGAGTTCAAACCTAGCCTACCACCATAGCAAGACCCTATCTCTTAAACAATAAATACAAATAATTTTTAAAAATTAAAAAGTAAATAGTAAAATTGTATGTTAAAGAGAAAAATTAATTGATGATAGCAAATTACCCTCGGGGAAAGAATTAGACAAAGAGAAGTATTCAAGGGTGTTTTGCACTTAATTTCTTTCTTTTTCCACTTAATTTCTATTGTTTGAATCTTTTACAAGAAAATATATACTCGTATGGGCCTGGCGTGGTGGCTGAAGCCTGTAATCCCAGCACTTTGGGAGGCTGAGGCAGGCAGATCACCTGAGGTCAGGAGTTCGAGACCAGCCTGACCAACATGGAGAAACCCCCATCTCTACTAAAAATACAAAATTAGCCGGGCGTGGTGGTGCATGCCTGTAATCCCAGCTAGTCGGGAGGCTGAGGCAGGAGAATTGCTTGAACCCGGGAGGCGGAGGTTGCGGTGAGCCGAGATCGCGCCATTGCACTCCAGCCTGGGCAAGAAGAGCAAAACTCCGTCTCAAAAAAAAAAAAAGAAAAGAAAAGAAAATATACACTTGTATTTATGTAATTTTTAAATGAAAAAATACATGCTTGTTGTAAAAAAGAAAAAAAAAACTTACACACCTGTGTTTCAAGTAGACAGGGAACACATTCTGCTCCCCAGTCCCGCTCAGCTCTCAGAAGGATCCATCTACCTTTAATAGTTTAGAATAGATCCTATTAAACTTTCCCTACATTATTTACAACATATATGTATGCAAGAAGATATATGTGTGTGCACATACATATATACATATTTTACTACAGAAGTGATTACATGTATATACACGTATGTTCATATACACACATGAACATAAACCTATTGTTTCCAAAATGAAATGGATATAATAGCTTAAGTTACATACAGTAGAGTAACAGGTAAACTATATCATATCAAATAAAATAAATATTATTCAGCTATTACAAACAGTGGAGATGCAGATTCAAATTTGAGTACAAGTATTGGGATGGAAATGATCTCTGCCACTTGCTTTCTAAATTCTATAATGACAATACATTGTATAGTAGCAATAAAACCTCTTTTATGGATACTAAATAGGTCTGAAAAAATAAAAAATAAAATAAAAATTTTAAAAACCTCTTTTAAAAAATAAAAATCAAACGAGAGAATGTTTTCTGAAAGAAAAATACTATAAATTGCTTAACAAATATAAGGCTTCACTATTGTTAGCACACATAAAAACAATACAATGGGCTCACATTTCATATAGTATCACTTACCAATCCCACTGTCATCTAACCGCATGTAGCCTTCCGCCAGCGAGCTGAAACCAGTTAATCCTCCCATGGCTGCATAAGGAATGTCCTGTCCCACTGGTTTTTCCTGAGCCAATCTTTCTTGCTTAGTTTCCACTACTGTGTCATGGGCATATGCAGGCTGACCACAAGCACAAGTGAAGCAGCTATGGAATCCTGAACACTTGGAACCTGAATCAAGATGTAAAGGGAGTTAAATTCTTAAAGGTACTATGTTGTCTACCCTAAAGACACTTAGCCTGGCAAAAGCCAGCTGAACCTAGATCCTCTGGCCCCTGTAACTCTTACCTCCAGCCACCGAACTCCTTCCTAGCCACTGTTCTTACTTCTAAAACATGCCGAAGTAGTAACCAGATACAACACAGAAAAAAAAAAAACTGCAAAACACAACAAGGACTAAAAGAAATTGAAGAGCCAGGTAATGCAGACCCTCTCCTCAAAAACTGAATTATAAGCAGGCATGGCGGGGAGAGCCCAGTGGCCAGGACCAGGTGAAGAGATAATGTAGAAATCTTCCTACAGATCAACTCCCCATAAAAGCCAAATTAGAAGGCCAACCTGTAGACACAGAAAGGGTGTAGTGTAATCTTGCTCAGCAATAAAAAGGAAAGAAGTATTGATATAGGCTACATGGATGAATCATGAAAACATCATGCTAAATGAAAGAAGCCAGTCACAAAAGACCACATATTCTATGATTCTATTTATATAAAATGTCCAGAATAGGCAAATCCAGAAACAGAAAGTAGATTATGGGTTGCCTAGGGCTGGGGAGAGAGAAAAGTAAGGAAGGACTCCTAGTGAATATGGAGTTTCTTTTTGGGGTGAGAAAAATGTTCTGAAATGTATTGTGCTGGTGGTTACACAACATTCATGCTGATTATATATTAAAAATCATTAAACTGCACATTTTAAATAGGTTAATTGTATGACATGTGAATTGCATCTTAGAAAAGTCGTTGTATAAAAAAATCAAGCCACATTGTAATGGAGGCCAGAATATACTATTAACAAAATCTTTACCCATTCACACCTCTGACAAACATATATGGGAACAGCTAGGCACAGTGGCTCACGCCTGGAATCCCAGCACTTTGGGAGGCCAAGGTGGGCAGATCACTTGAGGTCAGGGGTTTGAGAACAGCCTGACCAACATGGCAAAACCCCGTCTCTACTAAAAATACAAAAATTAGCCGGGCGTGGTGGCGGGCACCTATAATCTCAGCTACTTGGGAGGCTGAGGCAGGAGCATCACTTGAACCCTGGAGGCAGAGGCTGCAGTGAGCCAAGATCATACCACTGCACTCCTGGTGACAAGAGCCTGGGTGACAAGAGCAAAACTCTATTAAAAAAAAAAAAAATATATATATATATATATATATATATATATGAACCAAGGCATATAAATAAATCAGTTTTCTCCAACTACTTCCATATTCAGCCAATGAAAGATTTATTCCTGCCACTGTCATTAAAAATGTTTTATTACACACTTCACCATAAGATTTCAACTCAAACTACTATAACAACAACTGGATTGACTATCTCCTGAAGGAAACTAATGGACTAGCACTCTACCTAGTTGAATGGATGATCCAGTGTAAGGGCAAAGGGGGTAGAGGTTGGAATTTGGGTACAGGTATTAAGGTAAGGGTATTACTGCATACAAAGCATTAAAATGATCATGCTATGTTAATCTATCAGCAAACCATAAAAGTTTTTTGACTTATAAAATGCTTTTTTAAAATCTATGAATAGAATTTAGTTGATTCAACTCCCATATTCAAAAATTTGAATCAGATCACATCTGGCAATTCTTTAAAATCCATTACTATTACTTAAATTATCTGAACTATATGAGATGAGGGTTTATGATTATCAAGCATACCATTAACTCTGAGTTCTTCCACAAAAATGAAATCTTAGAGTATCTATCCAATGAATTCTACTTAGTTGTTTAATATTAACGCCATAACTGAATATTAACTCTACAACTAATACAACTGAATATTAACTCTACAACCAGTAAAAAAGCACGTTAAATATTCAAGGAAGACATATAAACATTCTGAGTTTATGTGTTTATAATAATATAACTCACATGTATTGCATGTAAAGCCAGGCGCAGCACTGTGCTGATCAGCAAAGTGTTTGCACCTGCAGCGAATGGGCTGGCTACCATTCAAGGGGACATAAAGGTAAGCCCTGCACTGGCAGCCAGTCACTTGGCAGGGCAGATCAATGGGGCACTGCTGAGGAATCGCTTCCAAGTCAGTTTTATGTTGTTTATACCTAAAAAAGGAGAAAGAGAGAGAAATATAAACACAATACAGGTATTATCAAAAATTACAATTTCTATTATATTAAAGGCAGATATGATTTTTTAATTATTATTGCTTTATTATTCTTCATAGTAAGGTGAAAATAAACTCTCCTACATATAGTACTTGTATCACCTATGTTGCTTTGGTCAGAGGAAATCTTTACTCTTTTAGATTTCTATTTTTAGTTATTTAAGAAGCTGTTTCACAGCAATACAAAGAATAATTATATAATTTCCTTAAAACACTTACCTCTACAGATTCCTTAATAGAGAAGCACAGCCTAAGAGTATGAAAAAGTTCAGGCCGGGCGCAGTGGCTCATGCCTGTAATCCCAGCACTTTGGGAGGCTGAGGCGGGCGGATCACCTGAGGTCGGGAGTTCGAGACCAGCCTGACCAATATAGAGAAACCCCGTCTCTACTAAAAATAAAAAATTAGCTGGCCGTTGTGGCACATGCCTGTAACCCCAGCTACTCAGGAGGCTGAGGCAGGAGAACTGCTTGAACCCAGGAGGCAGAGGTTGCGGTGAGCCCAGATCGTACCATTGCACTCCACCCTGGGCAACAAGAGCGAAACTCCATCTCAAAAAAAAAAAAAAGAAAAGAAAAAGTTCTTTACCAATGTTATTTTTGTCACAGTGCATTACTTAAATTTATTTGCATGTTTGCTACTTAAAATAGAAATATATTCAATAAACATGTGTTGATGTAATTTATTTTAATATGACTTTTGACTTCAAAATAAATTATCAATATTTTTGAAAGCCAAAGCTCCTTCTTATAGTATTGTAATTTTCTTAAATAGATCACTCACTTTCTTCTCATAGGTGATATTCAGTAAAATAATACTAAATTTATTATTCTCAATATTAATCAAAGAAATGCAAATTAAAGGCCGGTTGCGGTGGCTCACACCTGTAATCCCAGCACTTTGGGAGGCTGAGGCGGGCAGATCACAAGGTCAGGAGATCCAGACCATCCTGGCTAACACGGTGAAACCCTCCGTCTCTACTAAAAATACAAAAAATTAGCCGAGCGTGGTGGTGGGCACCTGTAGTCCCAGCTACTTGGGAGGCTGAAGCAGGAGAATGGTGTGAACCCGGGAGGCGGAGCTTGCAGTGAGCCGAGATCACGCCACTGCACTCCAGCCTGGGCAACAGAGAAAGACTCCGTCTCAAAAGAAAAAAAAAAGAAATGCAAATTAAAATGAGATACCATTTTAACTTAGCAAAAAGAGTCAAAGTTTTTAAAAACTATATGTAATACACAATGCTATCAAGAGTGTTACGAAAGGGCCAGGAGCCTGTGGCACATGCCTGTAATCCCAGCACTTTGGGAGGCCAAGGCAGGTGGATCACTTGAGCTCAGGAGTTCAAGACCAACCTGGGCAACATGATGAAAACCCCATCTCTACTAAAAATACAAAAATTAGCCCAGCATGGTGGTGTATGCCTGTAGTCCCAGCTACTCGGGAGGCTGAGGCAGGAGAATCCCTTGAACCCAGGAGGCAGAGGTTGCAGTGAGCTGAGATGGCACCACTGTACTCCAGCCTGGGCAACAGGCGAGGCTCTGTCTCAAAAAAAAAAAAAAAAAAAAGAGTGTTACAAAAGAACAAATTCTATTTAATAATGTTTCAAGAAACTTGAAAAGGTCCATTCTTTGAACCAGAAATTTCATTTTTGGAAAATATACCCTAAGAAAATAATTCCATATATAGAAAAAGCTTTATGCATACCAATAATATTAGCAATAGTACTTACATCAGCTACATTATACACACACCCACACGACATAAGAGAACCAGTAAGTAAATTACTAGACAACAGTTTTCAAACATTTTAGCAGTGAAACCCTTTTGTCAAATAAAATCTTTTATAGAACCAGAATACATAAAACAAATGCAGAATTGGTTAAAGCGAAAGGAAGAACAGAATAGAGTTTCCCCTTCTAACCTGCCCTTCCACCTGGCACACCCCCAAGGCTCCCTCACAGCTCCGGAGAACACAGATAAACACCACTGGACTAGCTGGACTAGCTGGCAGGTATTAAAAATCTTGTTTTTGATCAGCACATAACAATGTGGAAACATATTTCTATGATTCTGTCATTAAAAAGTGGCTCAGTATTTTATGCACACACATACTTCACAACAGTTAAATGGCACAGTGGCTCATGCCTGTAATCCCAGCACTGTGGGAGGCCAAGGCAGGTGGATCACCTGAGGCTGGGAGTTCGAGCCCAGCCTGACCAACATGGAGAAATCCCGTCTCTGCTAAAAATACAAAATTAGCAGGGCATGGTGGTGCATGCCTGTAATCCCAGCTACTCAGGAGGCTGAGGCAGGAGAATCGCTTGAACCCACGAGGCAGAGGTTGTAGTGAGCTGAGGTCGCGCCACTGCACTCCAGCCTGGGCAACAAGAGTGAAACTCCGTCTCAAAAAAAAAAGAAAAAGTCATACAGATATTGTAAAAAAAAAAAACTAGCAGCTGGCTTTGGGTAGTGAGCTGCTTCTATATATTGTATATAGAATATATTCTATGTTTCTATATATCCCCCATTTTCCTTGATAATCATATACCACTTTAATAGTGGGGTGAAAAAGTTTGGAAGAAATCTCACTGAGTGGATCAGTACTAAATATAATAACTTCTCCATCAAAGTTGAGTTGGGTCAGCTGAGCATGGTGGCGCACACGTGTAATCTGAGTACTTTGGAAAGCCCGAGGTAGACAGATAACTTAAGCCCAGGAGTTCCAGACCAGTCTGGGTAACAAAGCCAAACCACTTCTCTACAAAAAAATACAAAAATTAGCTGGATGTGGTGGCAGACGCCTGTGGTCCCAGCTACTTGGGAGGCTGAGGTCGAAGGATCGCTTGAGCCCAGGAGGTCGAGGCTGCAATGAGCCAAGATCGTGCCACTGCACTCCAACCTGAGTGACAGAGTAAGACCCTGTCTCAAAAAAAAAAAAAAGTTGAGTTGGATCAATTCTGACGTTCAAGTCCATGCTGTATAAGTTATACAGAGATTAGAAAGTGGCACTAAATTTGTGTAAGAATAAATTATAAAACTATCACAAACTTACCAAACCCCTCTTTAATTCTGAAAGATATCAACACATCCCTTATCCTCCATTCCTCCTCAGTGTTTTTAGTTGGAGTTGCTAAATAAATTTATAATCAATCTATATACAACATTACTCATCCTAGCAACTGCCTAACAAACTTTGGCAAACTGCAACTCTGTAAATAGCAACTATACAAAGAGTCTCTGTGAAAGAGCCCCAGAAATTGCTATCAGAATAGGGTGGTTCCTCTTGGAACCGAAAGTTAAAGTTGCTGCCTGAAAACATGGAACAGGTTCAGAGACTTTTCTGTGAAGCAGCTTAGGTATTCTGAACTTTATTTACAACTGTGAGACGGTAGCAAAATTTAAAGTAGAGCATACACACAGCAAAACGCAAACTTCAGATACAGACAACTCAAGCCAAAAACTGAAGCCTCACTTATTTCCTTTCCTTTAGGCACTTTTCTTGGAACATGACCATTTGTAATGCAAAGCAGTGTGCTTGTTTGTTTAAAGAAAGGTATCGACACAGCAGATCCTTAAGGTATAAAAGGCAATTAGTAAATTTGAGGAGAAATGTTTATACTTATAGATGGACAGCATGATCAGTGTGGGTCAATTCAAGCAACGCTTAAAGTAGTTCCTCAATCTGATGACCCATTCTCTACTTTCTCCAATGATGTGAGATGTAGGTAGACTGCTCCCCAGTCAAACTGAAAGACCCCTGGCAAAGCCACAGGGCCACCAAACATTTTTACCAATGGCAAGAGAACTGCTTAAGGTGACAGACTCCATGATGAGCACTAATAAGATATGATGGAAAATTTTTAATTATAGCTTTAAAAACCTTTAGATAATTTTTGTGGGGTTTTGTTTTGTTTTGTTTTGTTTTGTTTTGTTTTGTTTTGTTTTGTTTTGCTTTGTTTTGAGACAGAGTCTCACACTGCCACTCAGGCTGGTGTGCAGTGGCGTGATCTCAGCTCACTGCAACCTCACCTCCCAGGTTCAAGCGATTCTCCTGCCTCAGCCTCCCAAGTAGCTAGGATTACAGGCGTGTGCCACCACGCCCGGCTAATTTTTTGTATTTTTAGTAGAGACAGGGTTTCACTATGTTGGCCAGACTGGTCTCAAACTCCTGACCTCGTGATCCACCCACCTCGGCCTCCCAAAGTGCTGGAATTACAGGCGTCAGCCACTGAGCTCGGCCAATTTTTGTTTTTTAAGAGACAAGGTTTCACTCTCTGTCACCCAGGCTTGAATGCAGTTGCACAATCATAGCTCACTGCAGACTAAACTCCTGGGCTCAAGCAGTCCTCCGGCCTCGGCCTCCCAAAGTTCTGGGATAACACAGATGTGAGCCACCATCCCCAGCTGATAATTTCTACTCTACTATATAAAGGACAATTGTTAAATGTTTCTCAATCATTACGATTTGTAGAAGTAAGATATGCTTAGCTTTTTATTTTCTAATTATCAAAAAACTTTGCAATAAAGTATCTTACCTATGTGTACAAAAACACAGTGTCTCTGGGCCCACAAGTTTACAATCCATCCCTGTTGGTGACCGCCAGCTCACAAATAATCTGTTTTGTAAGCGCAGAGGTAAAACTTTTCTTTTGTATTCTTCATATTCTTCAGGAGTAAAAAGTTTCCCTCCATCATCCTCACCAACAATTCTACAACAAAAATATATATTTCTCTTAAGCTTTGAGTATTTATTTTCTGGGTGAGCTATGACCAGGCCACTGCAAATATTAAATAAATTTGTAAGCTTTTATTTTGTAAATCTGTCTTTTCTTACAGATGTGGCAGGCCGGGTCTCTGTAACAACTGTTTCAGCACTGACTGAGTGGTTAAGTTAAATATTAAAAGCTAATAGAACCAGGGTCCTTATACAAAGGCTGGAATGTAACAAAAGCCCACCGAGCGTTTGCCCAGGCCTTTCCTGGGCCTCGAAGCATGACAACATAACGAAGGAATTCTTAAAGGACCCGTTTGGGACTAAACAAGTTTTACTGGGGGTCTGAAGAAACTCCCCAGACCTCCACAAACAAGTTTACTGGGGGTCTGAAGGAACTCCCCAAACCTCCATGATTCAGCAGGAGACAAGACCAGAGTAATCACCCCAGCACCTGGACCCATTTAGATTAACTAAATTTACTGAGGCTCCAGAGGAAGGTCTTCAGGACTCAGATCTTAGTTATAGATTAGAAGTTAATCATTTATGTCTTTAGATAAATGCACACTTACACATAAACATATATATACTTATAAACATATGTAATTTTGAATTGGTCTGGCGATATCTTCCAGGCCTTCTCCCTATAACCAGTTACAGAAATAATCTCCCTTCTTTCCCAGTTCATCTGAATCACATTACTGGGCCACGAGAATAGGCAGCCCAACTATCGGTTTGATCCAGAAACATAGGTGTCTCAGCCATGAACCTAGTGATGGGTGAGAAAAGAAATCTTTTCTCCCCTCCACTTCCTATATAAGAGGGTTATAAATAGGAAAGACAATGAATTCATAATGCAACTTTACTGATCCAGGTTTATCAACAGAGGATTACCACATATTCGTCTCAGCTTTTCCTTTGATATTGAAGCAAAGATGTTCATTCCTCTCATTAAAGGTAGAGCCTTAACTGCTCAAAATTCTAACATTTACCTCCTTTGAAAATGTATCCCAAAAGAGTACAAAAAACATCAAAGCAGAAGCCAACATGACTAATTTCCATACCTGTCTCCAAACCCTGGCCAGGGGTTTAAACTAATGCGGAACCTAAATACACACTTGGCTCAGCACAAGCTCCAACCACATCTGTGTGTTAGGTAATCAAGTTTATCATGGGTTAATTTCAGAAGTAAGAACCCAAAATATTATGGGAAAACATAAAGCCCCCACTATTTCTATGAAAAGAAATTAAGAGTTGGCCTCCCTGGAGGAAAAGAAAGCACGACTAAAAGAAGTTTTTCCAAAACTGAAGACATTTCTCCCTGAAAATACTCCCCTTGAAAAGTCACAAAAAGTGATGTTTGTGGAATGCTACATACTTTTTTGTGCAATACATGCTTTTTTCCATACTTTGAAGCCTTTAGCTGCGGTAGAAAATAAAAACCATTGCTCTATGTACTTGCCATTAGAAAAAAAGAAAAACCAATTTATAAGCTATGAAATAATCAAAACCGCCTTCTTTACATAAACAATCTAGATACATAATAGTAAAGAAACAAAGGGCATTTAATTCTGAGATAAATTTTGGGCCATTTCATTTTCTTGTAGCTATCAAGAATACCAACAGGTATTAAGATCTTAAGATAAATACGGATCTTTAAAAGATCTTTTAAAAGTAAGATGTCATTGGTATTTAAGTTCTAGACCAGTGCAACTCAAATTTTATTGTACTTACAGAATCCCCAGGGGATCTTGCTCAAATGCAGATTAAGACTCACAGCACAGTGGCTCATGCCTGTAATCCCAGGACTTTGGGAGGCGGAAGCAGGAGGATCACTTGAGGTCAGGAGTTCGAGCCCAGCCTGGCCAATATAGCAAAACCCTGTCTCTACCAATAATACAAAAATTAGTATTTTGGTGGGCACCTATAATCCCAACTACTCTGGAAACTGAGGCACTGAGAATCACTTCCACGGAGGCAGAGGTTACAGTGAGCTGAGATAGCGCCACTGCACTCCAGCCTGGGCAGCAGAGCAAGACTCTATCTAAAAAAAAAAATAATAATAATAATAATAATAATAATAAATATATATATACATACACACACACACACACACACACACACATGATAAAGCCAGATGTGGTGGCTCACACCTGTAATACCAGCACTTTGGGAGGCTGAGGTGGGAGGATTGCTTGAGGCCAGGATCTCAAGATGAGCCTGGGCATCCTAGTGAGATCCCATCTCTACAAAAAATTTTAAAATTAGCTGGGTGCGGAGATGCATGCCTGTAGTCCTAGCTAGTTAGGAGGCTGAGAAGAGAGAGTCGCTTCAGCTCAGGAGGTCAAGGTTGCAGTCAGCCATTATAGTGCCACTGCACTCCAGCCTGGGTGACAGAGCGAGACTCTAAATAATAATAATAATAATAGGTCTGCAGTGGGCCTGAGATTCTGCTTTTCTAACAAGCTAACAGGTGATGCCAGGACACTGGTCAGGGCCTCCCACAGTGTGAGTAACAAGGCTGCATGCTTCCCCTCCCAACCGACTCCCACCGAAGTACCTAGGCAAGAGCAAATCCAGGAAAACTCTTCGGAAGGAAAGTTTGTTTCCTTCTAAACTCATATTTTGACTCATCTTCCCACCCCACCTTCCCAGCCCACCTTTTCATATCTAGGTACTCAAGTCCTGTTTTCCCCACTTTTCTAAAATTCTGACGTCAGTAAAGGACCTGATAATCTCTTTCAGAGGGAAGTGTTGCAAGTTATTTACGATTGCAAAAATAATTTCCCAGCCGGGCGCGGTGGCCCAGGCCTGTAATCCCAACACTTTAGGAGGCCGAGGCAGGTGGATAGCTTGAGTCCAGGAGTTCAAGACCAGCCTGGGCAACGTGGTGAAATCCCGTCTCTACAGAAAATACAAAAATTAGCTGGCCGCCTGTAGTCCCAGCTACTCGGGAGGCTGAGGCAGGAGAATCACTTGAACCCAGGAAGCGGAGATTGCGGTGAGCCGAGATCGCGCCACTGCACTCCAGCCTGGGAAAGAGTCAGACCCCGTCTCAATAAAATAAATAACTAAATAATTTCTCAATAAAATAAATAACTACATACATAGGTCTGCCCTAACATGTTCGGAGCTAGGCAAGAGTCAACTGGAGGCCCACAATTCACATATCTAAATATCCAAGTTATCAGTCAACACCAGCTCCAGCAACTTGCTCCCAGGCAAAAGCTCTGGAGAACTGGAGGCTAAAGGAGCCGGCTCTGCTCTGGGAGAGGACGGGATGGTGGTTGTTCTGACCCTGAACCGGGCGTGGGAACTGACCCCATCAAGCTCCTAGCCCTTATTCTTCTGGCTCAGAATATCCAGGCAGTTCTAAGGGTTACCCAAAACTACACAAACAGGGCAGTCAGAGCAGGGGAGAACAGTCAGCTGGGGGGCCGTCTGCGCGCACACCTCTGGGTCATCTGGGCCACCCACGATGCCGCAGAGGAGCCCCTGTCGCTCGCTCCGGCCTCCCTGGCGGAGCCTGGAGCGTCTCCCCTCCGCTTGTACACACACATCCTCCCGCCCCAACTCCGCGTCCTCAGGCGGTCCTCTCCAGGACTTCCCATCCGCCCAGATTCCGGACGATCAAAAACCCCAGGAAGCGGAAAAAGAGCGCGTCGCTGCAGGTGCACCAGCCTCGGTCAGGATCCAGGACAATGAACCGCGTCCTCAGGCCAAAGGAGCGACTCCGTTTCCAGTTTCGGAAGGGGTTTCTCCAGAATACCAAACACCAGTCGGTGCCTTTCTCCTAAAACCAGCACCTCGGGGTGGGGAGCGCGTTCAGAAGTTCACGGTTGACTCAATTACTGGGTTAATTTGATGTATGCTAACTTCTATAGCCCCGAGTACTCGATGTGCCTGTTTTCAATGGCCATTTAAAAAACAGCTGGACCTCTGTATCAATCTAGAGTTAGTCATCCTTCTTGGAAGGGAGCAGAGGGGCCTCTTAAATGTTATTGGAAGACTCATCACTGCATAGAACCGCGTGGCCCTACAATATTTAATTAGGCAAAGACTAAACTGGAATTCATCTAGGCCTCCCCCAACAGCCCAGGCACAGATTCCGGGAACCCCCGCGGACGCCCGCCGGGCCCCTGCTCGCGCCCCCAGCCCAGGGATCCTGGCCCCTCGGAGCGGCGGGGGGGCAGGCCCGGAGCCACAGCCTCACCTCCGGTACTCCAGGTACTCGTCCACCGCCGCCGCGCCGCCGAGAGGCAACGTCAACCGCTCCATTGCCGGTGGGGAAGCCAAAGGCTTCCCTGCGGACCAGCTGACCTCGAAGCCCGACCCGCCCCGTTCCCTCCCGGTACCGCGCCCCCTCCCGCCCGCCTCCTGATTGGCCCGGCCTGAAGCCCGAGGAGGCCGCGCGCGGCAACTGCGCAGGACGCGCGCCCCTACTGGCTGCCGGCGCCAGGCACCAGAACCCGGATCTCCGCAAGCGCAGCCTCGCGCCACATGGAGTGCAGTTTGCCGCCCTCCACAAACCTTGCACCTATTCCCCTCTCCCTTCCCTGGACCGGCGAGTCTTCTTGTAAATTAACAAGTGACAAGGGAGTGCAGTGCCTTGCATATAACAGGCGCATAGAAAATGGCTTATTTCTTTGTACAGCTCTTTTCGCTTAATCCATCTCTTGAAATATAAGTAGTTTTGAGAAGGTTCTGCTTTAGTTTGAGGCCTGCCTCTCCTTAACTGTCGGCCTGTTTCCAGTATTGGCGTTTTCAAAAACTCTGATGTAACAATCAGTAGTCCTGGGTATCTGGGTTCACTTTGGGGGTTGCTAAAGCTACATGTTCTTCAAAGGAACCGAATAACTGATTTAAGGTGAAGCAAGTAAAAACAATTTAGGTGAAGTTTTGTTGTTGTTTTTTAACTTTTGGAAACACTCTGCAAAATATATTTAGAAGCTGAATTACCATGCGATTGGTAATTTGGCCATAATTTGACTTAGCACGTTGTGGAAAAGAATAGGAAATCTTCAGGCGAAGTCATTAAACTCTGAAGCTCCCAGGGGATCAGCTTTAGCGCCCTCTGTAAAGTATCTGGGAGGGAGAATATGCAAACAATAAGAAAAATAATTAAACTTCAGTACAGTACTTTAGTTTCAAAGTACTGTTCTACATATTTCAGGTCCATAAAACATTATGTAAACAAATTGTTTGGGTACCACCCACCTCCCTTCTCGGTACCCTTTCAACAAACCCCACCCTCTCCCCAAAGTCTTCCTCCTGTTCAGAGGCGTTCTTGACAGTCAGATAAATGAGTGATCCTGAAATCGGATTCATATTTTAGGAAACTGATCTCAGCTCAGTATTCTCTCCTATCACACGTGTGGTTTGCTGCTGTCCATTTTACCTCTTCCACCCGACACCTCCCAGATGGGGTCTTGCTCCGTCTCCAAGGCTGGAGTGCAGTGGCGGGATCTCGACTCACTGCAATCTCTGCCTCCTAGGTTCAAGCAATTCTCCTGCCTCAGCCTCCTGAGTAGCTGGGATTACAGGCACTAGCCACCACGCCTGGCTTTTGTGTGTGTGTGTGTGTGTGTATTTTTAGTAGAGACAGGGTTTCACCATGTTGGCCAGGCTGGTCTTGATCTCCTGACCTCGTGATTTGCCCGCCTCAGCCTCCCAAAGTGCTGGGATTACAGGCGTGAGCCACCACGCCCAGCCCCATTCTACCTCTATGAGAGCCTAGTCTTGCTTTTAGGCAGCAACTGAACTAACAAAGAAAAATAGAAGAAAATGCCAGGCTCTGCAGGCTTACAGAAAAGTGGCAGGGGAATGTCTGTGTAGGCAAGTACAATTTAAAAATCTAGAGGGAAATGGTTAAAATAGATTTAGCCCAATTGTGGACTCTTCCAGGAAGATGCTGGAGCAGTAAACTCTTCTGGCCAAAGAAGTCAACAAAAATATTGAGCGTGACGAATAAGAGTATGGAACAAACTAGAAAATGTTATCCTGACCTTACATAAAGCTGACAGATTTGCAAATTAAAATACTGTATATGGTACTCACCTCTGCTTTAATAAAAAGGTATAATCAAACTATAACTTCCTCCCAATGTGTAGCTAAATTGATCTAGGAAGTAGGGTGGACAGAGGAACATGTAAATTGCCTAGGCAAGTGTTAGGCATTTTATTTATTCAATCCTCATGAAAGTTTATGAGATAGGATTTGCCAGCATTTTGCTGTGATGTATAGGTTAAGAATGCTTTCTTCTGAAAATAACAGAATAATTCAACTAACAGTGGCTTAATTAAACATAAATTTTATTTTTTATTGCTTTAAAGAAGAGTGGGGGTAGGTAGTTGCTCACATTGGTTTAGAGCATTTTCCTCATGGTTGCAAGAGCTGTTACAACTCCAGAAATCATACCCAAATTCAAGAAAGGAAAAAGGAGGGCCACCAACATCATTTGTTTCTTTTATCAAAGAGTTTTCCTAGAGGCCTCTGCAAAAAAATTTTCATTTATGTCTCACATGGCCACACCTTGGTATAGAGAAAACTGGGAAAGCCAATCCAGTA
This sequence comes from Homo sapiens, assembly GCF_000001405.40. Taxonomy (NCBI): domain Eukaryota; kingdom Metazoa; phylum Chordata; class Mammalia; order Primates; family Hominidae; genus Homo; species Homo sapiens. The sequence goes on along the minus strand of NC_000007.14, from coordinate 23,677,929 downwards.
CTTAGTTTTCCAGGCTCTATGATGGCAATTGTCAAGGAGAGGGTTAGAAATGTGTGTTGGGGCAGGGCACGGTGGCTCATGTCTGTAATCCCAGCACTTTGGGAGGCCAAGGCAGGTGGGTCACCTGAGGTCAGGAGTACATGACCAGCCTGGCCAACATGGTGAAACACCATCTCCACTAAAAATACAAAAATTAGCCAGGTGTGGTGGCTCATGCCTGTAATTCCCGCTACTGGGGTGGCTGAGGCAGGAGAATTGCTTGAACCCAGGAGGCAGAGGTTCCAGTGAGCTGAGATGGCGCCATTGCACTCCAGCCTGGGTGATAAGAGTGAAACTCCATCTCAAAAAAAAGAAAAAAAGAAATGTGTGTTGGGTTAAAAATGTGTTTAGTTCACCAAGAAACATGGTTGGTGACAGCTTATCCTTAAACTGATTAATATCCATGCATGCCCTTCTTCCCATGCAGGCATTGCACACTAAAGGCATTCATCAGACCTCTAAGTAAGGCAGTCCCAAAATCTCAACCAGCTACTGCACCCAGCTTAAAGTCTAAGTCTCTGCAATCTTCTCTCAGTCATTCTTAATCCTGATCAGCCTGATTCTTATTGTCTTAATGGTTTGACAGTTGATAGCTACAAGACAAGAAAGATAATTATTCAGTATGTATCTCCAACAGATAACTTGTTTTTTCGTTTTTTGTTTTTTGGGTTTTTTTTTTTTTTGAGATGGAGTCTCGCTCTGTCACCAGGCTGGAGTGCAGTGGCATGATCTCAGCTCACTGCAGACTCCACCTCCTGAGTTCAAGCGATTCTCCTGCCTCAGCCTCCTGAGTAGCTGGGACTACAGACGCGCACCACCACGCCCAGCTAATTTTTGTATTTTTGGCAGAGACGGGGTTTCACCATGTCGGCCAGGATGGTCTCAATCTCTTGACCTCATGATCTGCCCGCTTCGGTCTCCCAAAGTGTTAGGATTACAGGCATGAGCTACCACGCCCGGCCAATAACTTGTTTTAAAATCCACAATGCCATTATCACACCTAACAAATTAAACAATAATTCCTTGATATCATCTAAGAATACCCAGCCTAGATATCATCTATTAGATATCATCTAATAAACCTAATTTATTAGATGATAATTAGTGTCATCTAATTTTATACTAATTAGAATTCAACCAAGGCCTATACTACCTTTGGTTTATATGCGTTTAATATATTACGAGTCTTTTGTAATTTTAGACAGTTCCCTTTCTCCTATCCCAATTTTTTGTGCCATTAATTTGTTGAAGAATTTGGATCACTTTTCCTGTAGAATATCTTTCTGAATTTGGTTGTTTACAGAAAGACATCACTTACTATGTTCTTTATCCCCTGTATTTCCTGTAAATTTGTACATCAGTCTTGAGACTTGAGTAGGTATTTAGAGTCAGGAGCAGGTCTTCTCAGAAGAGCACTTTATTGATAGTGCTATGTCCTGAATTCATAAATTGAAATTTTGTGAACAGCCCAGGTGAAATGAATTGGGGCTGCAAATTCCCATAAGGGCCGTGTATTAGTCCATTTTCATGCTGCCGATAAAGACATACCCGAGACTGAGCAATTTACAAAAGAAAGAGGTTTGATTGGACTTACAGTTATCCCTTGGTGATAAAAACTTTCAACAAATTAGGCACAGAAGGAACATACCTGAACTTAATAAAGAGTGTTTATGAAAAACCCACAGCTAACATCATACTAAATGGGGAAAAGATGACAGACAGCCTTTCATCTAGGAACTGGAACAAGACATGGATGCCCACTTACACCACTCTTATTCAACATAGTGCTGAAAGTCCTAGCCAGAGCAATCAGACAAGAGAAATAAACAAAAGGTACTCAAATTGGAAATAAAGGAAGTCAAATTGTCCTTCTGTGCAAAGGACATGATCTTATATAGGGAAAAACCTAGACTCCATCATAAAAACTGTTAGAACTGATAAACAAATTCAGTAAAGTTGCAGTATACAAAATCAACATACAAAAACAAATAAAGTTTCTATACACCAATAATGAACTAGCTGAAAAAGAAATCAAGAAAGCAATCTCATTTACAATAGCTACCAAAAACACATTAAATACCTAGTAATAAATTTAACCAAGGAGGAGAAAGAATTCCCTGAGGAAAGCTACAAAACACTGACAAAAAACATTGAAGAGAACACAAACAAATGGAAAGACATCCCATGTTAATGGATTAATTAATATTGTTAAAATGACCACACTACCCAAAGCAATCTACAGAGTCAATGCAATATCTGTCAAAATGCCAATGACATTCTTTATGTAAATAGAAAAACAATCCTAAAATTTATGTGGGCCCACAAAAAACCCTGAATAGCCAAAGCAATACTGAATAAAAAGAACAAAGGTGGAAGCATCACACTACCTGACTTCAAAACGTACTACAAAGCTATGGTAACCAAAACAGCATGGTACTGGTATAAAAACAGGCATATAGACCAATGGAAGAGAATAGAGAACCCAGAAGCAAACCTACATATTTACAGCCAACTGATTTTTGACAAAGGTGCCAAGAATATACATTGGATAAAGGACAGTGTCTTCAACAAATGATATATTGGGAAAACTGTATAACCATAGGCAGAAGAATGAAATTAGACTCCTATTGCTCACCACATACAAAAACGAACTTGTAGATTAAAGACTTAAAGTAAGACCTGAAGCTATGAAACTACTAGAAGAAAACATAGGGAAATGCTTCAGGACATTGGTCCAGGCAAAGATTTTATAGCTAAGACTTCAAAAGCACAGGCAACGAAACCAAAAATAGACAAATAGGACTAAACTAAAAAGCTTCTGCACTGCCAAGGAAACAATCAACAAATTGAAGAGACAGCCTGTAGAATGAGGGAAAATATTTGCAAACTATTCATCCAATATACAGAAAATACAAGGAACTCAACCCAACAATAAAAATCCACATAATCCCATTGAAAAGTGGGCAGACAAAAGACATGAATAGACATTTCTCAAAAGAAGACATACAAGTGGCCAAGAGGTATATGACAAAATGTAAACCATGGCATACCATCTTACCCCTGTTAGACTGGCTATCATTAAAAAGACTAAAAATAACAAATGCTGGCAAGGATGCAGAGAACAGAGGAACTCTTATACACTGTTGGTGGGAATGTACATTAGTACAGTCATTATGCAAAACAATATGAAGGTGTCTCAAAAAACTAAAAATAGAACTACCGTAGGATCCAGCAATCCCTTTACTGGGTATTTATCCAAAGGAAAAGAAATCACTATATCAAAATGATACCTATACTTGCATGTTTATTGTAGCATTATTCACAATAGCCAAGATTTGAAATCAACCTAAATGTTCATCAATAGACAAATGAATAAAGAAAAATATGGTATATGTACACAATATTGTTCAGCTGTAAAAAAAAAATGAAATCCTGTCATTTGCAGCAACATGATGGAACTGTAGGTCACTATTTTATGTGAAATAAGCCAGGCACAGAAAGAGAAATATCAAATGTTCTGTCTCATATGTGAAAGCTAAAAAAGTTGATCTCATAGAGGTAGAGAGTAGAATGATGGTTACCAGAGGCTGGGAAGAAGAGGGTCGGGAGAAAGAAAAGTTGGTTAATGGGTACAAAAATACAATTAGACAGAAGGAGTAAGTTCTAGTGTTCAGTAACATGGTAGGGTAACTTTACTTGACAGTAATTTATTGTATATTTTGAAATAGCTGGAAGGGAAGATTTGAAATCTTCCCAACACAAAGAAATTATAAATGTTTGAGTTGATGGATATCCTAAATAACCTTATTTGACCAATACACCTGTATGTATGCCTCGAAATATCACATGTACCTCATAAATATGTACAATTAATACGTATCAATTAAAAAAAATTTTAGGCCAGGCACAGTGGCTCATGCCTGCAATCGCAGCGGTTTGCGAAGCCAAAGCAAGAGGATCACTTGAGACTTGAGGCCAGGAGTTCAAGACCAGCCTGGGCAACATTACAACACCCTACCTCTACAAAAAAATTTTTACATTAGCCTAGCATGGAGGTACTTGCCTGTAGTCCTAGCTACTCAGGAGGCTGAGGCAGGAGGATCACTTAAGCCCAGGAGTTCTAGGTTGCAGTGAGCTATGGTAGCACCACTTCACTCCAGCTTGGGTGACAGAATAAGACCCTGTCTCTAAAATAATAAATAATTAAATAATTTTTTAAAAGATTGGTCACTGAGATGAGTTGTTGCCAGCCCAATCCATATGTCCTCTAATTTCTCTTTTCATCTAGTTACTTCCTTCAGTTTTTGCTTTATATATTTTGAAGACTAAACTTGTATTTGGCCAGGCATGGTGTCTCACGCCTATAATCCCAGCACTTTGGGAGGCCGAGGCGGGTGGATCATTTGAAGTCAGGAGTTCGAGACCAGCCTGGCCACTGTGGCAAAACACATTCTGTACTAAAAATACAAAAATTAGCCAGGCATGGTGGCAGGTGCCTGTAATCCCAGCTACTCAGAAGGCTGAGGCACGAGAATTGCTTGAACCCAGGAGGCAGACATTGCAGTTAGTTGAGATCACATCACTGCACTCTAGCCTAGGGAATAGAATGAGTCTCCATTTCAAAAAATAAATAAATAAGTAAACTTGTATTTAAATACAAGTATTCAAAACTTGTATTAGACAGTGTTAAGTTTAGAATTGTTAAAATGCTACATTTTCTTGGTGCATTAAGCTGTATATCAACAAGAAATAAAACTTTCTGGTAATTTTTTTTGTTTTGAAGTCTATGTTACTTTATATTAATAAAATGACCCCCAACTTTATTTTGATTATGTATCTTTTCCTATCTCTTCAACCGCAAGTAATAGGTAACACACATTGAAAACCTGAGATTTTTCCAAACATTTTCCCTAAAACTATAGCCGTGCTGTTACTACATAGTCTTGGTCCCAAGATACAGTAGATAATAATTTGACCAATTTTTCCACTGTTACCACTAGCCTATAAAAGTTGTAGATCCTCAAACCCTGTGATCGTAACCCCTCTAGTCAGCCAGTTTCATATTTCAGAGTCTCTTACCTTTAGCGCTCCACTTATCATACTGAATTCTCCATAGCTAGGAATTCATTTTATAAAAATAACAGAAAACTCAACTTAAGTGTCCTAAACAAAATGTAGCCGGTTCAGTAGCTGGAAGACGTCATTGCTGACATCGCTGCAGTGTCCTCAGCCTTTCCTTCATTATCACAGAATGGTGGATGCAGCATCAGCCCTCCTCCATCACATTCTATTTATCAAACTCCTGTCCTCAACACTCAGCTCAAACTTCCTCTTTTCTGGAAAGAGAATAACTTTCTTTCCCAGCCCTGCAGTATTAGGCCCTTTCAAAACATATTGAAATTGCTAAGAGTATAATGTGAAATGTTTTGACTAAGATTCAGATGATTTCAGATTTCTGAATCTTTGGTTATGCAGGCTGTATTCCTGCAACACTCGTCTTTCTGCTCCCTTGTCCACTATGCAAGCTCCTCCTCAACTTTAAAATTCAGTACAAGCAACTTGTCTTCTTTGAGACCTTCCTTGATTCCCACTTCCCAACAACAATTTTTTCTCTAAACTCTCTTTTTTAGAACTTGGCACTTTACTTTGTATGACTCATCTCTCCCCTCTAGACAGCAGATAAAAAGTCCTTCGAGATCCCAGAGATAGCCCCAGCAGTTCTTCATGAGAATAAAAGAAGATGAACTTTGTGTCTATGGCCACAGTAGAAGTCTCAAACTGGTCCATCCGTGAGTTATTGGATGCCACTGATCTCTGGCCTTCTGAACCAGCTCCCTGGAACAGGAGGGTCTTTACTAAATAAGAGCTCCAGTGTGCCTATAAACTTACCTTCATTCCAGAAAGAATCAAGTAGAAAAACTTCCAGACAAGGCTTGATCAGTGTGAACACATTGTGCTATTATTTGGATTATATATTGCCTTCACTTGTTCCAGCATTTATGGCCAGTGTCTTGGAGGACTTAAGGCTGACATGGTTATTGGTCACATAAACTCTATCCCACTACAGTCTTTTCAACCCAACGTGTCATGAATCTCTGATGGTTTATGGAAGCATCATCTCCAAGCCAAACCTAAAAAAACATGTTTTTGAGACCCACAAGGTAAAGTTCCTGAGCCACCTCTACTTAGTAGAGGGTTCCAAAGAATGTAACAACAGTTCTATAGTAGGCCAGGCACGGTGGCTCAGGCCTGTAATCCCAGCACTTTGGAAAGCCAACATGGGCAGATTGCTTGAGCCCAGGAGTTCGAGACAAGCCTGGGCAACATGGCAAAACCTCGTCTCTACAAAAAATACAAACATTATCCAGGTGTGGTGATGTGTGCCTGTAGTCCCAGCTACTCAGGAGGCTGAGGTGGGAGGATTGCTTGAGGCTGGGAGTTTGAGGCTGCAGTGAGCCAAGATGGCACCACTGCACTCCCGCGTGGGTAACAGAATGAGACACTGTCTTAAAAAAAGAAAAGAAAAGAAAAAGAGTTCTAATTCTATGGTGAAACCTTCCTTCTCTCTAGTCTATCAGGGACATTTAGCAATTCTTAGAGTTCCTTGACTATTCCAAAGTCCTTCCACAGCTTAGGAACCCAAGTCACATTCTACCCAAGGGAGTTAGTGGAGTAGAGCATAGTAGTTCTTCAAACAGGTCACCCTGAGTATATTATCAAAAAGATCTTAGCTTAATGTCTAGCACTTCTGGGATTCTTTCCCGATTCTATCTTCTCCCCACCCTGAACCACTAGCTGTAAGCTGTACATGGGCAGGAAGAAACTCAGGAGTAAGATAATGATTGTGGGAGACAGAAGTAACCTAATCAATAGTGAATATGTCTTTATTATGGTGTAGGAATATCTCACTGGCCTTTACCAGAGCTTGGAATAAATACTCTGTGCCTATTTCCTCCAAACAACTTTCTGAATCAAAATTTATCTTAGGTATCTTAACATTTAAAAAGTACTATGCTAGGAGACTGGGGCATCATTAGAAAGGAACAAAGTTTATTCTGAATGAACAAAATAGCTTTCTGTTTAAATACCAGTCTCAAGTAATACTAGTAACTAACACTTATGTAGAGTTTCCTAGGTACCAGGCTCTGTTCTCAGAGCTTTATCTATATTGACTCCTTTTATTCTTGTAATAGTCTTATGATAAATTAGATTCTGTTGCTGTTCTCATTTTGTGAATGAAGATACTAAATCATAAAAATGTTAGGTAATTTTTTAAAAGTCACATTCACTGGTAATTAATGACAGAGCTGAGATTTAAACTCAGGCAGTTTGGCACAGAATCTATTTTCCTAACCTCTGTGCTATTCGGTATGGAATCTGCCTGACTGACCTGCAAAGGTAAGGCCCGAGCCTAGGACATGAAGTTCTAACCAATATACTGATCCTAACAAGACCTGACAGCACTACAGGCCCCCAGCAATAACTCAAGCAGATGATCCTTCATTGCCCAAAATGTGTGTTACATAATGAATAACTCAAAGACTGATGGAAAAGTTTTCATTAATGCTCAAATCATTTCAGATTTTAGTGCCTTTGCATGTGGTAGCAATAATTTCCACTCTTTTTCTCCACTCTGCAAACACCTACCCCTGTCAAATTCAGGACAAGCATCTTGTCCTCTGGAAGGCCTTCCCTCATTGCCACCCCTAAAGGCAATCCTTCTGCACTCTCTATTGTAGCATTTGGCACCTTCTATTAAGTTTATGCTTGTTCTCATCTCTCGAGGTGGTGAACTCTTTGAAAGCAAAACTCTTTGAAAAGTCTTTGTCTCCTCATTTGTGTATTGAGAATAATAAAATTACCTCTCCTATGAGAATTGACTGAGAAAATCCTTGCAAAGAATTTACTTGACATTGTTAGCTCTCGGTAAAGGATAGCTACTATAAAAGTATAATTTTTTATCCTTGGGTAGTTGGCACAGTGTTAGCATACAAGATACATTTAATAAATGTTTTTTAAATGAGTACAAAATAATATATCCAAAAAGCCCACTGGAGATATACTTTAAAAGTATTAGTTAAAAGTCTTTAATGTACTGCTAGCCTTGATTTGTCAATTTCATCTATTTACATGTCACAGTCTGGCCAGGCATAGTGGCTTACACCTGTAATCTCAGTACTTTGGGAGGCTGAGGTGAGAGGATCGCTTGGACCCAGGAGTTTGAGACCAGCCTGGGCAACCTAGGGAAACCCTGTCTCTACAAAAACTTTAAAGATTAGCTGGGCATGGTGGTGCACACCTGTGGTCCCAGCTGCTTGGGAGGCTGAGGTGGGAGGATCACTTGAGCCCAGGAGGTAGAGGCTGCAATCAGCTGTGTTCATGCCATGGCACTCCAGCCTGGGCAACAGAGCAAGACCTTGACTCAAAAATAAATTTCGCAGTCCAAATTGTTATATATCATGTCGGTGTCATTTCATTTTTCCAGTTACATTTGAAGGGGATGCTGTGCTCAAGACTGAAATTGAAATAGAAAAGCATTAGTTTGGTGCAAAAGTAATTGCGTTTTTTGCCATAAAAGTAATAAAAAAGCAATTACTTTTGTACCAACCTAATAAATATATTCAGGACAAGATCCCTTTGCTTTTATTTCATTAAGACCTTTAGTCATCTTACCATTTATTTATTTATTCATTTGGAGACAGAGTCTTGCTCTGTTGCCCAGGCTCTAATGCAGTGGTGTAATCTCGGCTCACTGCAACATCTGTCTACCGGATTCAAGCAATTCTCCTGCCTCAGCCTCCCAAGTAGCAGGGACTACAGGCATGTGCCACCACGCCCGGCTAATTTTTTGTATTTTAGTAGCGACAGGGTTTCACCATGTTGCCCAGGCTGGTTTCAAACTCTTGAGCTCAGGCAGTCCACGCACCTCAGCCTCCCAAAGTGCTGGGATTACAGGTGTGAGCCACCGCACCTAGTCATAGTCATCTTACATTTAAAAAATTAGGACAAAGTTAAAAATAGTCCTCATTTTTCCCTTTTTTGTTCCTTTTCCTGCCTCATCATTTAAGCTTTGAATAAAGAATAATGACTGCTTTCAAAAATTTATTTTATAACCAGATTGTTTTGTTAATAATTACCAGCACAACAAAAATTTCAGTGTATCCCAAAAATTTCTAAGCTCCTTAACATTGTCCAATTTACTGGATTACTATTAATACAATAAAAAATGCCAGAGCAACAAAAGAATTTGAAAAATTCCTTTGAGAAATGGGATTTTACCTATGGGGAAAAAGTCGTTTCTGACTCTTACGTATCTCTTGATCTGTATTTCATTTACTTTCTTGAATTCCTCACCAGTATCTCTAAAACTCTCCATGCTACTAATTACAAATACATATAAAGATTGAGTAGTACTAAGTTGTTTATTTTACCTTAATTCCTTTGAAAGGAATAAAACAGGCATTCATTCCATCTTATTTTACAAAGCTTTTTTTTTTTTTTTTTTTTTTTTTGGAGACAGGGTCTAACTCTGTCACTCAGGATGGAATGCAGTGGCATAATCACAGTTTACTGCACCTTCAACTTCCCAGGCACGGGTGAGTGATCCTCCCACCTCAGTCTCCCAAATAGCTGGGACTACAGGCATGCACTACCAAACTCAGCTAAATTTTTATTTTATTTTTTTGGTAGAGATGGGGTTTCACCATGTTGCCCAGGCTGGTCTCAGACTCCTGGGCTCAAGCGATCCTCCAGCCTCAGCCTCCTAAAGTGCTCAGATTACAGATGTGAGCCACCATGCCTGGCCTGTTTTCTTATTTAGGGAATTTCATGTAGTTATAAGTAATTTAGAGTTTATTTTACTCTTTATATATTTAGGGAACCTGAACTTTATTGCAGAAGAAGTCAATATTGAACTTGAGATAAAATCTTCACAATCTATAGCTATTCATTTCACAATTTGTTAGTAAATGCCTATTCTGTATCAAGCATTATACTAAGTAGTCAGGATACAGGACTACAGATAAAAGCATCATGACCGAGCACGGTGATTCACGCCTGTAATCCCAACACCTTGGAAGGCCAAGGCAGGCAGATCACTTGAGGTCAAGAGTTTGAGACCAGCCTGGCCAGCATGGTGGAACACTGTACCTACTAAAATACAAAAATATTAGCCAGACATGGTGGCGCATGGCTGTAATCCCAGCTACTCGGGAGACTGAGGAGGGAGGGTTGCTTGAACCCAGGAGGTGGAGGTTGCAGTGAGTCAAAATCGCGCCACTGCACTCCAACCTGGACGAAAGGGTGAGACCCCATCTCAAAAAAAAAAAAAAAAAAAGCATCAGTGGTGATAAGTATTATAAAGAAAAAGGGCCAGGTGCGGTGGCTCACACAGCACTTTGGGAGGCTAAGGCGGGCAGATCATGAGGACAGGAGATCGAGACCATCCTGGTCAACATGGTGAAACCCCGTCCCTACCAAAAATACAAGAATCAGCTGGGTGTGGTGGCACGTGCCTGTAATCCCAGCTACTCGGGAGGCTGAGGCATGAGAATCACTTGAACCCGGGAGACGGAGGTTGCAGTGAACTGAGATCACACCACTGCACTCCAGCCTGGCGACAGAGCGAGACTTCGTCTGAAAAAAAAAAAAAAGGAAAGAAAAGAAAAGAAAAAGAAAAAGAACGCAGATTAAGGACAGTAGAGAGTGAAGGTGATGGGATGTTCTAGAGATCAGGTAAGTATCTCTCAAAAGGTAGGTGACTTGAGCAGAATCCTGAAGGAAGCGAGGGAGTGAGTCACACAGACACCGAGAAAGAGCTCCAGGCAGACACATTAGCAAGTGCAAAGGACATGAGGCAGAAATGTATTTTGCCTGTTCTAAGCAATGAAATTAGTGTGGTTGAAATGGTGTGAATAAAGATGAGAAAAATGGTAGGAGATGCAGTCAGAGAGGAAGCAGGGTCCGGAACACAGAGGGCCTGATAGATCCAACGGAAAGATGACATGAGCCACATAGGTAATTTTTAATTTTCTAGTAGCCATATTTAAAAAGTGAAAAGAAGCAAGTGAAATTAATTTTAATAACACATTTTAATTGACCTTATATAACCAAAATATTATCATCTCCGCATGTAATCAATATAACAAAATATTAATGAGATCTTTTACTTTTTTCTTTCTTACTAAGTCTTTAAAGTCCAGCATGTATCTTATACTCACAGCACATCTCAATACAGACTAGTCACGTTTCAAGTACTCAATAGCTACATATGGTAGCTACCATATTGGACTATGCAGGCATAGAAAATTGTAAAGCATTGAAAATTGTAAAGGGAAAAATACACAAAAATAAAGAGAACAGCATAATGAACTCAATGTTGCCCTCACCAAATTTCAGTAATTAGCAATACATGGCCAATCTTTTTCTTTTTCTTTCCTTTTTTTTTTTTTTTTTTTTGAGACAGAGTCTTGCTATGTTGCCCTGGCTAGAGTGCAGTGGCATGATCTCAGCTCACTGCAACCTCCATCTCCCGGGTTCAAGAGATTCTCCTGCCTCAGCCTCCTGAGTAGCTGGGATTACAGGCACATGCCACCACACCTGGCTGTTTTTTGTATTTTTAGTAGAGACAGGGTTTTGCCATGTTGGCCAGGCTGATCTCGAACACGTGACCCCAAGTGATCTGCCTGCCCCTCAGCCTCCCAAAGTGCTAAGATTACAGGCATGAGCCGCTGTGCCCAGCCAATACATGGCCAATCTTAATTCACCTGTACCTCCACCCACTCTCCCCAAACCCTGAATATTTTGAAGGAGAAGCATGGATGGAAACCCGAAGACCTGTTACAAGGCTATCACAATAATCCAGGCAAACCAGTGGCAACTTAGACTGGGGTGATGGCAGTGGAGTTGGTGAGAAATGGAAGGTTGATTGGATCCTTGGCATATTTCAAAGGTAGAAGCTGACAAGATATACTGATGGATATATGCGATTTGAGAGAGAAGAATCAGGAATAACTTCAAGGTATTATGCCTGAACAAAATAATGCAGTTGCCTTTTACTGAAACAGGGGACGCTGCCAAAGGAACAGTTGGGTGGCAATCAAGAGTTCATTTTTGGACACGTTAAATTTAAACAACCTAGTAGACACCCAAGTGGAGATGATAAATAAAGAGCTGGCTATCTAGGTCTGCAATTCAGGAAAGAAGTCCAGGCAGGAGACATAAACTGAAAGCCAGAAAGTCAGAAAATCATTGGTATTTAAAACCATGAAACAAGATGAGTTTAGTAGGAGGTGAATGCGAATAGAGTAGAACAGAGGTCCTCGGACACTTCCAAGTTTAGAGCAGGAAAAGGAGGAGCCAGGAAAAGAGACTGAGTAGAAGCATCCAGCAAGATAAAAAAGAGAATGAAACACAAGAAAAAGTAATGCCACAGAAGATAAGCAAAAGACGTGTTTCAAGGAGGTGTTTCAAGCCTGTCCTCACAGGAGTTTCAGGTTTAATTCATCATAACTACCTAATCTTGTAACCACCAAAATAAAAAGATAAAAATTAATCCTAGAGGGATGGCAACACTCCCAGGATACCTGGTAGAAAGCAAATGCAAAATGACTATCAGGATACAAACCTCAGCCCAGGCCTAGCAGGATTCCCACTACAAAAGACATTGAACATGAGATCACAATCCAAAATTACAAAGAAATAAGAAACAAACTGTCATGAATTAATATGCGTAGTCACAACAAACAGCAGGTTTTAACCACCAAGAACTTTAAATAATGAAACTACCTTTGCAAAAATTACAACAATGAGAAAATTATGACAGTAAAAGAGATCTGATCTATCCCACTCCATCTTGCTTCTGAACTCCTAAACTGCCCCTGTTCATTCTTGGGTGTAGGCCAAGCTAACTTTGGGAGAAATTTAGTTTATATTTTGAATGATAATAGCCCTTCCCAAAAACTAAACTGCCTTTGTAAAACTAACAAAAGTCCAAGAGGTTAGGAAGATGAGAGGGGCCTGAATTCTGCTAAGATGTAAGCATAGTTAAATGATTACCAGCCATTATTCCAGAGGTCACAAGATGTGCAACTTCCCCAGTTCACTATTGTAGAACCTAAGATTGGCCTTCTGAGATCTCCTTTCAGGCTTTTGCATTTCTGATGACTGGATGGCCCCACCGAGACCCATGACTCTTGGCTCAACTGGTCCTGTGGCCCTCACCCAGAAGCAGACTCAGTATACTAGGACCGTTTTCCACACCCCTATGATTGTATCCCTAACCAACCAGCATCACTCATTCCCTTGACTGCCAAACTATCCTTGGAAAACCCCTGCCTCCAAATTTTCAGGGAAACTGATTTGAGTAATAACTCTGTGTCCTGTGTGGTGTGGCTGGCCATGTGTAAAACTCTTTCTTTATTGCAAAATCATGGTCTCAGTGAATTAGTTTTGCCTGTGCAGTGGGCAGGAAGAACCCATCAGGCAATTATAATAATAGAATTTTATAGATTGAGACTATGAAACAGAGATAGGAATAGCACTGGGTATAAAACAGGAAGTAGGCAATGAAACCATAGATAACAGAAAACCCAAAATGAGGGAGAGAAAACAGTCAAAACCCTGGTCAGGGTGACATGTCTGTGACTCTCCAGGCAACCCCAAATAAGGGATAAATGGGGGTGGTAATGAGGATGGGGGGGTCCCTGAAATCCCCTCCATTTCCAGAATAACTGGTGATTATTCCACCACCTAATTTTTAAAAACCCATAAAATTAGAAACCCAAACACCATTGTGCACAACTCATTCTCACAAGCATGCCCATGCTTCTCTCTTAAGTGTGTACTTTTACTTGGCAATAAAAGCTTATTGCCTTTTGCTTCATTCCAACTCATCCCTGAATTCTTTCTCGAGAGAGTGTCAAGAACCTGGAAACTGGCTGGGGCTGAGGTCTCACCAGCTTCTGGAAACCCACCTAAGCCCTCCAGCAACAAAATAAGTACATTGTCAACAAAAATAGTCAAACTCGAAAATATTTGAAGAGATTTATTCTGAGCCAAATAAGAGTGACCAATGGCCCAAGGCACAGCCCTCAGGAGATCCTGAGAACATGTGCCCAAGATGGTTGGGGAAGAGCTTGGTTTTAAACATTTTAGAGAGACATGAGACATTAATCAAATACATGTAAGATGTACATTGGTTCAGTCTGGAAATGTGGGACAACTGGAAGCACGGCATGCTTCCAGGTGATAGGTAGATTCAAAGATTTTCTGATTGGCCATTGGTTGAAAAAGTTATTGTCTAAAGACTTAAGAATATCTGGGTTAAAATAAGGGTGTGGAGACCAAGATTTTATCATGCAGGTGAAGCCTCCAGGTAACAGGCCTCAGAGAGAATAGATTGTTAATGTTTCTTATCAGACTTAACGAGTCTGTTCTATCATTAATTCTAAAAGGGAGAAGAATATAATGAGGCATGTCCAACCACCCCCCTTCCCATCATGGCCTGAAACAGTTTTTCAGGTTAGTTTTGGAGTCCTTTGTGAGAGGAGGGGTCCTTTCAGGTGGTCATGAGGCTTAGAATTTTATTTTTGGTTTACAACATTTATTATTATTTTTGAAAAAATCCAAAGCATGAGGGAAAAAAGCACATTTAAAAAAAACAGGCACATTCAAAAAAAGAACTTCCACTTCCAGCTGTGAGGGAGAAATAGGAACCGGATTCACCCTCTGTGGTAGGCTGAATAATGACCCCGCAAAATATCCAAGCCCAAATCCCTAGAACCTGTGAATGTTACCTTATATGGCAAAAGAGGCTTTGAAGATTAAACTAAGGATCTTGCAATAAGGAGATTATCTAATGGACACTAAATGTAGTCACAAATGTCCTTATAAGAGGGAGGCAGAGAGAGATTTGACAACAGAAACAGAGGCAATGTGATGGCTGAAGCAAGATGCTACGCTGCTGGCTTTGGAAATGGGAAAAGGGGCCTAAAGCCAAGGAATGCAAGGAATGAAGCTCTCGAAGCTGAAAAGGCAAGGAAATATTCTCCCCTAGAGCTTCCAGGGGAGCTCAGCCCTGCCAACACCTTGATTTCAGTCAGTGTAACTCATTTCAGATTTCTGACTTCTGGAACTCTAAGAAAATAAATGTATTGTTTTTGAGAAAGAAAGGGAACTCTTTATGTGAGAAATTGAGCCTCTTCTAAATTACCAGGCCAGAGAGGCATGGGAAATGTGACAGCAGTCACATCACGTCACCCTTCCCCCCTTTGAGCTAAGTAATCATCTCTAGAAGCTGCTTGCTATGTGGACTCTAGACCAGTGGTCCCCAACTTTTTGGCACCAGGGACCAAAATTTGTCATGGAAGACAAATTTTCCACGGACTGGGGAGGTGGGGTAGGATGGTTTGGGGATGAAACTGTTCCACCTCAGATCATCAGGCATTAGTTAGATTCTCATAAGGAGCGTGCAACCTAGATCCCTCACATGTGCAATACTGTCTGTGCTCCTTTGAGAATCTAATGCTGCTGCTGATCCGACAGGAGGCAGAGCTCAGGTGATAATGCTTGCTTGCTGCTGCTCACCTCCTGCTGTGCTCCCAGTTTCTAATAGGCCACAGACCGGTGCAGGTTCATGGCCTGAGAGTTGGGGAGCCCCGCTTTAGACTGTCACCATGGACACCACAACCCACACCCTGAAGTTCAACAATGTATAGCCAATTACTAATCAGTGTTATTTTCTGGAAAGCCATGAGAATTCCTGACAAATAGCTTTGTAGCAGCCCACTCCTCCTCTCCGTTTTTGCCTTTAAAAACCTGCTTGTAACAAAGGTCTAATGGAGTTCAACATATCCAAGGTTACTTGAGTCTGTCTTCCAGGCAACTGTCCTCATTCTGGCTCAAGTCAACTCTTTAAAATTATATTTTGTGCCTCAGTTTCTTCCTTTAGGCCGACATTTTAATCCACCAAATTTGTGGTGATTTTGTTAATACACCCTTCCTCCACTTCAAAAAAATCCAGGAAAAAACACATAAAACAATTTTAGATTGAACAACAGGAACCACAGAACAGTGACCCCTAAGAGAAGGAAAACAAATGAAGTAAGCCCTGTAATGGCCGCCAGCATGCTGCACGAGAGTTTCCAGGCCACAGCACAGGGAAAGGGAACCCAAACAGGGCCATTCTCTCCAAATTGAAAAGGAAAGGTTGAGAATTCAGCAAAGCCAGTGCAGCTAGAATTTGCAAGGCAGGGAAGTCTTCCACTGAGTACTGATCAGAATGCTTTATGACAGTGATTTAGTCATAGTGATTAGAATTGCTAAAATTTTCAAACTGACCATATCAAATGTTGATGAAGAAGCAGAACTAGAACTCTTCATACACTGCTGTTGGGAATACAAAATTGTACAGCCACTCTGGAAAACAGTTTCATGGTTTCTTATACAGTTAAACACGCACTTATCATATGTCCCAAAAATGCCAACACTCCTGGGTATTTACTCAAGAGAAATAGAAATATATATAAACACGTAAAGGCCTACACATAAATGTTTATATTAATTTTAGTCATAATCACAAGGAACTATAATAAAATAGCCCAAATGTCCATCAACTGGTGAACGGATAAACAAATTATGGTACATTTATACAATGGAATACTGTAACCACCCAAAGTGTTCATTTTGCCCACTGCCCAGATAAAGCCAATTTATCAAGACAGGAGAAGTGCAAAAGATTAAAAGTTTGATGCACCTATATCCAGCTAAATGGGAGACTGGAGCTTTATAATTACTCAAATCAGCCTCCTTGAAAATTCGGAGGCTAGGGTTTTTCAAAGATAGTTTGGGGAGAGGGGAGTGGCTAGGGAATACGTGCTGCTGATTGGTTGGGGGTGCAATCATAGTGGTGTGGGAAAGGTCCTCTTCTGAGAAGCACTGAATCTGCTTCTGGTCGGGTCCCAGGACCAGTTGGCGGGTTGTGGGTGAGGCCATCAGTAGTCAGAAATGCAAAAGCCTGGAAATACATCTCAAAAGGCCAATCTTAGATTGTACAATAATGATGTTATCTGCAGGAGGAATTGGGGAAGTTGCAAATCTTGCGACCCCTGGAATAATAGCTGGTAACTGTTAATGTCTACACTTTAGCAGAATTCAGACTCCTCTCATCCTTCTAATCTGGCGGTCTTTCATTAGCTTTACAAAGGCAGTATAGTCTTGGGGAATGGCTATTACCCCATCATTTAAATTACAAACTAAATTTCTCCCAAAATTAACTTGGCTCACGCCTAGGAAGATTAAGGACAATTTGGGAGTTAAAGGCAAGATGGGGGTTGGTTAGATCAGATCTCCTTCACTGTCATAAATTTCTCACTATTCTAAGTTTTGCAAAGGCAGTTTCAATACCACTCAGCAATACAATAAATGAACTACTGATTAATGCTACAACATCCTATAAACTTTTTTTTCTTTCTTTTTTTTTTTTAGATGGAGTTTCGCTCTTGTTGCCCAGGCTGGAGTGCAATGGCATGATCTCGGCTCACTGCAACCTCCACTTCCTGGGATCAAGTGATTCTCCTGCCTCAGCCTCCCAAGTAGCTGGGATTACAGGAATACGCCACCACGCCCAGCTAATTTTGTATTTTTATTAGAGACGGGGTTTCTCCATGTTGGTGAGGCTGGTCTCAAACTCCTGACCTCAGGAGATCTACCCGCCGCAGACTCCCAAAGTGCTGGGATTACAAGTGTGAGCCACCACGCCCGGCAACATCCTCCAATCTTAAAAACATCATGCTAAGTAAAAAAGACAGACACAGGCTGAGCACAGTGGCTCACACCTGTAATCCCAGCACTTTGGGAGGCCGAGGCGGGCGGATCACGAGGTCAGGAGATCGAGACCATCTTGGCTAACACGGTGAAACCCCATCTCTACTAAAAATACAAAAAAAAAATTAGCCAGGCGTGGTGGCAGGCACCTGTAGTCCCAGCCACTGGGGACGCTGGAGCAGAAGAATGGCATGAACCCGGGAGGCGGAGCTTGCGGTGAGCAGGGATCACGCCACTGCACTCCAGCCTGGGCAACAGAGTGAGACTCTCTCTCAAAAAAAAAAAAAAAAAAAAAACCCCACATAATGTACAATTCCACTTATAGGACATTCTGGAAAGGGCAAAACTTTAGAAAAAGAAATTGGATCAATGAATGCATCAGGGCTTGGGCAAAGGGACAAAATACAAAGGAACAAAGATAACATTCTGGAATGGTGGGAATATTCTATATATCTTGATTATGGTAGTGGTTATATGTATGTATATATTGGTCAACACTTTTAAAAAAGTAAATTAACCTAAAATGTATAAATTTATACCACAATAAAACTGGCTTCAAAACTTTTAAGCAAAAGGCAGGAGGGAAATAGTTAGCATTAACACATTCTCAGATTCTATTGTTCTAGGAGAAGGTCAAGGTTTTTATTAACTTTAAAGTCAAGTAAGCATAAAATATTTAAAGAAAAGTAGTATATTATTAGAAATATAATGTATCATTTCCAAAACCATAGAGGGGAAAGGAGATGTTGGATATAAAAATGCTGTAGGAATAAATGCTCAGTGCCGCAAAGTGAAACCAGCACTCAGACAAAAGTTGTCTCAGCAAGGCCATTTACTTCTGCAGAAGGGTGCCACTCACGTCAATCAAGATTGCTAGAGCACACCAAACAAAGGAGAGCAGCAGGTTTTTATTCCTGACGCATAGTCCCTGTTTCTGGGTCACTCCCCCATGGGCTGGGGCCGGACCGCACAATCTGAGCTGACCCGATTGGCTACATGCAAATATTTTTCTAAATATGGAAGAGAAGGGGGAGGTGAGGTACAGGAGTGAAGCATGTGAGACGTGCAGTTTCAGGGGAACAGTGGGTGCAGGTAACCAAGGGAACAGATGTGAGTTATTGATTAGAGCTGATGGGAAGGGGGTAGGCTGCTTACAGTAACTAGGGGTGAGTAGGAACAAGAAAGTTGAGTTTGAAAACAAAGGACAAGGAAGTTAGCAGGCTAAATCTTTGAAGAGAAGCTCAGGGAAATTCATTGTATCTTAACAATTCCTCCCTTTTAATTTTCTTACTATTCTTTCTAATTTTTTTTTTAACAAGTCTTGACTTTGCCGTTCGATTTGATCTTATAAAAGGAAAAGCTTACTTGAATAAGGTGGAGAAGAACTAAGGGAGGCTTTAGAAAGTGCTGTTTGTACAATCCTTTGTACTAGCCTACTGATGCATGGTATGACACAACACCCAACAAGAATGAGTACACCTATTACGATTGCAAGAGAAATAAGAATTGAGGCTATGTTTTTTTTCCATTTACCGAACTACTTTCTTAGCCATCCTGAAATAAGGTCATTGACTATAGAATTTTTAGCTAATTTATTGGATAAAGCGGTAAGTCCTTGTAAGGCCTTTGTTATGCTCCCCTTGAGGGCAGTGTTGTTTGGGATGAAGGTACAACGTTGGGTTTTAATCATAACACAAAACCCACCTTTTTTGGCTAATAACATGTCTAGAGCTATTCTGCTTTCCCAAGCCATTTGGCTAGTAGGCCCTAATTGGTTGGCTATTCCTTTGATAGCATCCCTGGTATAATTAATAAACTGCTGCTGATCATAATAGATGTAATTTATCCAAGCTACATTTTTATTAATACATGCCTGTGGAAATATGGATTCAAATCCTGCAGCTATTTGGTCACGGGATTTGAACCTGTCAGGCACTCCCCATGGGACTCCAGTGGCATCTATGTAAACTTGAGAGTCAAAAGACCCATAAGGGGCTTCTCTTATTTTTCAGTGTTGTGGTTTTTCTTTCTCTGGTTGATGAAATGCCAGGATGAAAGGGATAGTCAATTGGACAAAAGCAGAAGTGCCGCTCAGTTACTTGGCAGAGTGTCCAGTAAGGGTCCACTGTAAAACCACCATACATCCACTCAAGGATGACTAAGGGCAGACTGATGGGTAAGCTACTGGAAGGGCTTGAGCTCACTACATCCTGTTAAGCTTCCAAGGAACGCCAAGTTCTCCCCCTGTCGTGTGAGACACGAGGTGAAATTGACGTTGGGAGACGGAAGCTGGTTGGCCCTTGGGGGCTGACCTGCAGGGTGTTGAACTTCAGGATATAACAGAAAGAGAGCTTGACACAACTTGTTGCCCCAGGCTGTGGAATTCTGGAAAAGACTACCATACAGTCCATACCTGGTCAACTGAAGGACCATCCTGGAAAGGGGACAATCTGGGCCTCTGGTCTGCCATGTGCACAAGTATAACAATTGCTTTTGTTCTTTATATCCTGTTTTAGTTGCTAGAGTTTGTCTTAGATCCTTCACTTCTACAATATTTACCTTTACATTGTTGTTGGGCAGGATAGAAGGTTTAGAAGGAGAAGGAGTAGGGGGTCAATAAAGCGTATTTTAAAGAAGCCTATAGGGTAGGGTCATACCCATTGGCCTCTGCTCCTAAGCCATAAAAGTGTTCTAAAGGGGGCACAGAATTGGTGAAGGTAGGGGCATTAATAGAGATAGTTACTGGGTTACAATGGTAAAGTTCACAATTAGAGGGTGTGGTTCATTTGGTAAGGCGGAGGTAAGATTTTAGGTTCGTACAGCCCTCTGGGGAGGTCTCACCATGTTCACTGGTAGTCAGGATGACATCTGCCCATTGAGAACATATCTCCCAACTTGGGGTGCCTTCATACCCCTGCCACGAGCAGGGCGTAGGGTCAGTGGCTTCTCTGAAGGGCAGAGGTATTTTTCTAAAGTAGAGACATACCTTTGCCATTGTTCATCCTCTTTACAAGGTATAACAAGGCATCAAAGGTAATGATTTGGGGTGAGTCTGACTCAGTTACATTGATAACAAGGTCAGCAATAGAATGAGGAAAGAAGAAAGGGCAATAGAAGAGATAAAAGAGAGTTAAACTTTTCTTAACCTTAGTTTGAGGGGGTTTTCTCTTGGATAATGGGCCATGACTTCGGGGATGGCAGTGCTTTCTTGACTTGGGTGGGATGGGTCCATCTTTTCTTGCTGTTTGGACTCAGTTTTAGTGGTTAGAAGCATCAGGCCGGCTCCTTAGGTTGGTGTTGATGTACTGGGAACTCTAGGGGTGGCGCCTGTACTGGAAAATTTTCAGTTTTGAGGGAAGAGAAAGCGGAAGATAAACCAAGTATGTAGGAATGTTGGCAGTGGATTGTTTTGAAAAGTAGTTTGGATTTTTACTAGGGTAATAGGAAGACAGAAGACATTTGATCTATGGCAACCAAGTCTCTAGATTTGTTTGGCTAAGGGTATAAATTCCTATACACGAATAAACTTTGACTGTGCTATACGTAGCTTGGGGTCTTTAATGGGTAACATTTTTTTGAGTTCCCTTTAGCGCCTACAGGAGAAACAGCAGCCTATCTGGCTTATCTGATTTGCTAGGTTATTTTAAAAGACAGGTTTTCTGGTGCTTGGAGACATGGACAATAGACACTTGGGTGATTAACTCCTCATGAACAAGGCTTTGACTTTTACTATTAATTTAGTCTGAAATTTTCTAAATGTATGAGTCACTGTAAAGGTGTATTTAGAATTAGTATAGCTGGTTCTTTCCTGGTCCTGCAGGTACTTTAAAGCTTGACTAAGTGCATACAACTTATACATTTGAATAGACTTTTATTAAACACTTAGACTTTATTTTTCTAGTAACTTCTTTATTAATTACTGAACACCTGTTGCATTCTTTTTCCCTTAATCATTCCTGAAGAGGGTTTCTCCCAAGTTTGGCCGGACGTTTATAATTAGTTAAATCTAAACATGTGTGCTTTCTTTTTAGATTTGGATCTCTTGTTAAGAAACTTGCCACGTTAGGTGAATTATCAGTAGTTAATGTTAAACCATCCTTTTTAACAGAATAGCCTTATATACATGTAATACTTTTCTGGTGGTACATTTTAATATAAGTGACTTTAAAGAATTAAAAGTTCTTTTCTGGTGGATATTTTCACTTTAACATTGGCCTGACCACAATAAATGCTAGTGGATATATCAGCTGAAAGATTATCTACTACTTACTTAGGAAACTTAGCTGCGGGGATGCCTAGCTGCTTGGAGCCACGGCTGAGGCCCCGTATTACTTGGCCCCGGCAAAAGTAAGGTAGATGTTCCGTAATGTAGTCTGCTCGGGGCATAGGTTGCGGCCTGGCGCGCGTGTCCTGCATAGCCGCCGTCAATATGATGCCGAGACCCTGGACCAGCCGCGGGGCAGGAACATGAGCTTTGCCTGCCGCGGGGGCGCATTATAGGCTGGACGACACCGACAACATGTTGCGGCAGATCCTTGATGTTGGTAGCCCGGCAAAAACCACCTGGTGAATTAGGAACTTGGAGTCCTTTCAGAGAGGGGGACTTAGGCTGGGCCTGATAGGAAGGGTTGGGGGTATTAGGTGGGGGACTAGGGGTATTAGGTGGTGGATGATCTAGGGGATCCTGTGTGCTGTTTTCTTTGCCAGATCCCCTGAGCCCCTTCCTTCACTGTCTTTACAGTAGGGGCAGGTGCATAAGGGAAAAGGAAGGACAGGTCTTTGCTTCCAACAAAGAGCATAGTCCAGTTCTTCTTGAGAAACTGGGCTTTTATTATTTACATGTTGAATTAAAAGTTGACATAGCATCCCCTCAGTCGACCCAAACTTTGGCCAGAAGATTGAGGGATTGAGGATAGGTCTTTGAATCCAAATAGAACAGCAGTATTTTATCATTTGTTGCCTTTTCTTATGGTCTTTCATTATCTTCCCAACATTTTAGCATGAGATCTAGGGGCTATCAGGTGGCATATTTTTGTTACTATTCTTATCTTTTTTCATGGGATCTAGGGGGCTATCAGGTGGTATATCTTTGTCACTATTCTTATCCTTTTTGCTTGTAATATTTCCCATATTGGGTCTTGGCTAGCCGCAATCCCTCATATTAGGAATTTCTTGCCTAGCGGGGGGCTTGCTGTGGCTCAACCCCTCATATTAGGGATTTCTTACCTATTTGGGGGGTTCCTTGTGGCTCAACCCCTCATATTAGGGGATCTCTTGCCTATCCTTCACTGGAAGCTTTACTAAGGCTCAATTCTAACATATTAGAAATGTCTTGCCTATCCTTTAGCCCCACCTGCTGGATGCTCCTTGCATCCTTCTTTCACTTCATCTGCTCTGGCCAGGAACTTCCCTCAAGGGAATATTTCAGGTCCCTCTCAGCATTAATGGCAGGTCAGTATAAACCCCTGACAGGACTCCCTAAGCTGTATGAGGTGACCATGGAACCAGAGATTGGACTCACTCTGCACAGTAGTGCTTGTTACCATTCACACACTTTCATCCTCCAGAATGCCCTGACAACCATCCCGACCACCAAGGAAGTACTTTGTTGCCCCTGCAACGTTTCCTACCTTGGTCTGTGCACAGTTTACCTGGTCACTGTGGAATTGCAAGCCTCTCCTCCCCGCGTTGCTGGGAGTCCAGGTTTATTCATCACAATGGGTGGCTCTTGATCTCCCATCCCTGAGGCCACTGCAACAGGGCAGTGGAATGCATCTCCCCTGGGTAGGGTGACCAAAGACCCCTTCCCAAAGATGAATGGGGATCCTGGACGAGCCCCTAGAATTGCTGGATATAAAAATGCTCTAGGAATAAATGCTTGGTGCCGCAAAGTGAAACCAGCACTCAGACAAAAGTTGTCTCAGCAAGGCAATTTACTTCTGCAGAAGGGTGCCACTCACATCAATCAAGATCGCAAGAGCACACCAATGGAGAGCAGCAGGTTTTATTCCTGACACATAGTCCCTACTTCTGAGCCACTCCCCCATGGGCTGGGGCTGGACCGCATAATCTGAGCTGACCCGATTGGCTACTTGCAAATATTTTTCTAAATACACAAGAGAAGGGGGATGTGAGGTACAGTGGTGGAGCGTGTGAGACGTGCAGTTTTGGGGCAACAATGAGTACAGGTAACCAAGGGAACAGATGTGAGGTATTGATTAGAGCTGACGGGAAGGGGGTAGGCTGCTTATAGTAACTAGGGGCAAGGAAGAACAAGAAAGGTGAGTTTGAAAACAAAGGACAAGGAATTTAGCAGGCTAAATCTTTGAAGAGAAACTCAGAAATTCACTGTATCTTACAGAGAAATACAGAAAATAGAATTTAATAGAAAGCAAGAAAGGGAAAAAATGAAAGCATAAACAAGGATTGTGATATTGTGATTTATAATAAGAAATATATATTTGGTTTTCACCCCATCCTGTTTCTTGACACACAGCTCCAAAAACCCTTGCAATCTCTGAAGTAGTGTCTTTTTCTATGGTAAAGTTAATAGATGGGGGGTTTGGTTGCCAGGCAAGCCAACTATGTGATTAGAGGGTTGGGACTTTCAGCCTCACCTTCCCCACCTCCAGAGAGATGAGAGGGGATGAGGGTTGAGTTGATTACCAATGGCCAACGACATAATTAATCATGCCTACTTAATGAGGCCCTCACAAAAACCCAAAAGGACGGGGTTTGGAGAGCTTCAAAATTGCTGAACAAGTGGAGGTTCCTGGAGTGTGGTGCACCTGGAGAGGGCATGGAAGCTCTCTACCCCTTCCCACATACCATTGCCCTGTGTATCTCTTCCATCTGGCTGTTCATTTGTATATTTTTAAATATCCTTTTAGGAAATGGGTAAATGTAAGTGAAGTGTTACCTTCTGTTCTGGGGGCAACCCCAGCAAATTAAACCCAAAAAGACGGTCATGGGAACCCCCAGTTTATAGCCAATTGGTCACTGATTGGCACCTGAAATGGCACTGTATGGGATGAAGCCTTTAACCTGTGGGACCTGACATTATGTCCTGGTAGATCATGTCAGAACTGAACTGAATTACAGACACCCAACTGGTGTCTGCTGAAGAACTGCTTGGTGTGGGGAGAAATCACCCTCCCACATTTTGGTCACAGAATTGTTCTGTGTTGTATATGTGTAGTAACAGAAAAAGCTGTTTGTTTTCCTACATCAAACAAGGATAGGCCAGGCTCAGTGACTCACGCCTGTAATCCTAGCACTTTGGGAGGCCAAGGTGGGTGGATCACCTGAGGTCAGGAGTTCAAGACCAGCCTGGCCAACATGGCAACACCCCGTCTCTACTAAAAATACAAAAATTAGCCAGGCGTGGTGGCGGGCAACTATAATCCCAGCTACTTGGGAGGCTGAGGCAGGAGAATCACTTGAACCTGGGGGATGGAGGCTGCAGTAAGCCAAGATCAGGCCACTTCACTCCAGCCTGGGCAAAAGAGCAAAACACCATCTCAAAAAAAAAAAAACAAGAATAAAGAGCACAAAATAAGACAAGTAAATGAAAACGTATCAGTAATCACAACAAAGGTAAATAGATTAAGCTCACCAATTAAAAGAAAAAGAGTCTCAGATTGAAGAAATTAAAACATCTGAACATAGGCTATTGACACATCTAAAACACACAGGGGGAAAAAATTCAAAGGAAAAGGATGGGAAAAAAAAAAACAAGCAAATATTAACCAAAAGAAATAACAATTGTATTTTGAGATAGTATAATGGTATTCTGAGACAATTATTTTAGTATCAGACAAAATACACTTTTAAGAAAAAAAATCCTTATTATGGACAAAAAAAGTTACAACATGAGGATAAAAATCATTCATTAGAAAGATAAAACAACCTTAATATAATTTTTTTCCTTTTTACATTTTATAAAACTTATGAACATGTAAAAGAAAAAAAAAGTACAATGAACACCTAAAAATCAACAACTTAGGTAGGAGAATGCACCTTTTTCCAGATGTGTGAAGTATCTTGGAGTGAAATGTTATAATGTGTGAAACTTACTTTGAAACAGTTCAACCACAATTATAAAAAACAAAATATAGATAAATCAGGAAGATATTATGACAAACTGTTAACAATGGATGACTCGCATTATCACCTCAACACATAAAAATAGCTCCATAATTTCATCTCATGCTCATTCTATAAATTTCCCCATTGTCACCAAAAATATAATTTATAGCACCTATTTTTTCATAGCAATATCCAAGGATCATCTGTTGCATTCTATTGTTATATCTTTTATAAGGAAGAAAAATCGCAGATTATTTTCTTCTCATTACATGTAGATTTTTAAATTTCCTATGACAAAATAATAGCAAATTAACTGTAGTAAAATATAAAAAGAATAATACAAACCTTTTGTACCAAGTTGGGTTTTTTCCAGGAATGCAAAATTGGCGTAACATCAATCAATGCAATTCACCGTATTAACAGAGTAAAGAAGAAAACAATGCAAACTGACAGTAACATGGAATAGGAATCAAAAGCCCATTATAACCAGATGCCTCAGAGTCCAATAAGTCTACAACACAAGCAAAAACAAAAACAAGACAAAAGCCACATAATTATTTACAGAGAAACAGATAGCAATTTGGTTTTGAATTTTGCCAAAGGATGAGTCACCTCTAGGCTAGACCTTACTTTTTTTTTTTTTTTTTGAGATGGAGTTTTGCTTTTGTTGCCCAGGCTGGAGTGCAATGGTGTGATCTCAGCTCACTGCAACTTCCACCTCCCAGGTTCAAGCGATTCTCCTGCCTCAGCCTCCTGAATAGCTGGGATTACAGGTACCCGCCACCACACCCTGCTAATTTTTTGTATTTTTAAGTAGAGACAGGGTTTCACCATGTTGGTCAGGCTGGTCTTGAACTCCTGACCTCAGGTGATCCACCCACCTCGGCCTCCCAAAGTGCTAGGATTACAGGCGTGAGCCACCACACCCAGCCACTTTCTTTATATTACAATTAACAAACAAGTTTGGGGACACCAAAAGACAGTGACTGATCAAAAAGTCATTCTACTAGTACCTTTATTCTCTGTTTTAAAGACAATATTTTGCATTTCCCTGATGGAAGGAGGTATTATGACCCTTCTATTACCTTTTACCTACCCTGGGAATGAGGGAATATGGAGACATCCAATCATTGGGAATGTAAAATGGCACAAACACTTTGGGGAAAGATCATTTGGAAAAGGTGCATTTCTTAATGCAATTATCCTATGATCCAGTAATTTGACCCCTAGATATTTATCCAAAAGACATGAAAGCTTAAATTCACAGGAAGGCTTCTATTAGAATGTTCATATCAG
The DNA here is from genome assembly GCF_000001405.40 of Homo sapiens. Taxonomy (NCBI): domain Eukaryota; kingdom Metazoa; phylum Chordata; class Mammalia; order Primates; family Hominidae; genus Homo; species Homo sapiens. The sequence goes on along the minus strand of NC_000007.14, from coordinate 23,650,683 downwards.
CTTTATTCATGATAGCCAAACATTAGAAATAGCCCAGGTGTTCATCAATAGGAGAATGGATATACAAACTATGTCAGATTCATACGACGAAACACAACTCAGCAATAAATTACTGACACATGAAACAATGTGAATGAATACCAAAAACTGATGAGTGAAAGCTGCCAGACATGATAATACATGTTTTATGATAGCATTTACGTGAAATTCTAAAATAGGCAAAACAAATCTACAGCGGAAAATTTTGCCTTGTGGGAAGAGAGGTGAGAATTGACTAGGAAGAGTATGAGGGGCCTTTTCGGTGTAACGGTAATGGTCTATATCTATAGGAGTCTGAGTAGCAGGTCAATGCATTTGTCAAAACTCAGCTAGTGCATACTTAAAATTTGTGCTTTTTACTTTTACATCGAAAGAAGAAAACCTTAAACAAATACCAAATTTGCTAATGATTTACATGCTAAATTATTTATGGGGAAGTGTACTGATGTCTGTAATTTGTTTTGAAAAGCATAAAAAAAATGGATTAGTAGCTGTGGTGGAGTATAATTTAAAAACTAGCACTTTGGGAGGATAAGGCAGGCAGATCACATAAAGGTCAGGAGTTTGAGACCAGCCTGGCCAACATGGTGAAACCCCATCTCTGCCAAAAATACAAAAATTAGCCAGGCATGGTGGCATGCACAGGTAATCTCAGCTACTCAGGGGATTATATATATATTATACATAATCTGATGTGTGTTCACTGACATTTTTTTCAATTTTGCTGCATGCCTGAAATATTTCATAAAATGTTGAAAAAAATTTGAGCGCTATTGCCTCATTTGAAGCAAGTTAGTAAGGAAGCTTTCTCTAAGTTGATATATTAAGTAGCAAGTAAGCATAATTTGAAGAGGAACTTGACACAGGGATTTTTTAAAACATTACAAATTTTCATTCCTGTTAAGCAACACATATAATTTGTCTTCAGGGTAGGGTGTTCACAATTCTTAGTGTGACTTTTAGAATGTTAGTTGAGGCCGGGCGTCGTGGCTCACGCCTGTAATCCCAGCACTTTGTGAGGCCGAGGCGGGCAGATTACCTGAGGTTGGGAGTTGGAGACCAGCCTGACCAACATGGAGAAACCCCGTCCCTACTAAAAATATAAAACTAGCTGGGCGTGGTGGCGCATGCCTGTAATCCCAGCTACTCAGGAGGCTGACACAGGAGAATCCCTTGAACCCAGGAGGCGGAGGTTGCGGTGCGCCAAGATTGCACCATTGCACTACAGCCTGGGCAACAAGAGTGAAACTCTATCTCAAAAAATAAACAAACAAACAAACACATGTCAGTTGACAGTTAAAAATTTGACAATTCCATTTTTTTCTCATAAGAAATGAGAGAAATCATTAATTGCATAGTATGAGCGAAGGGGGAAAGTCTTCAAAAATATTTGACCAAGAGTCGCCCAGAACATGACCTGAGCTTATTAGTAAAGCAGGTGTATTTTAGTTTCTTCTAATTACCTCCTCCACTAGAAAAATAGTCCCTTCTACATCCATTATTTTGTTTTCTTAAATCAAGCAAAATGAGAACAGCACTGTGTAAATTATAATCTGTATAACTATACTGGGTCAATGGCTTATAAAACTTTAACTTATCTAAGGAATACATTTTATTTCATGACCCAGTACACACACACACACACACACACACACACACACACACAGTTGAACTGAAACTTCAGGAAACATTTACCCTTTTTACTTATAATTGAATTTTTCTGTTTTTCTTACTGGCCCCAATTTAAAGCTCATGATATTTCACATTCCATTGCTTTAAAATGCTAATCACAACCCACTAAATTGATAACATCTAACGGATTGTAACATACCTTTGAAACACGGTACTATGCAGTCCTTAAGGTTTTTTAGAAATACTGGATTTGGACTGTGTTGTGATACAGTCTAAGAACTGTAGGACCATGAAATATCTTTATATTGCTTTATATTTGCTATTCCAAAGATGCCTTTTCTCATATAACAAATACATATTGAACACTATTTGTGCAAGTCCTCATAAACTTGAGGTGAACAATCTGATAATTCTTTTATATATTTTCTCCTTAAGAATTCAAAGGGTTTTAAACACATATGCTTATGTTACCAAAACTCCATGTAGTCACATAGGATAGACATTACCAATGATTTGGAGCCGGAGACACCAAATCAGAAAGTACACACATGGCCAGGTGTGGTGGTTCATACCTGTAATCCCAACACTTTGGGAAGCAGAGGTGGGAGGAGGGAGGATGGCTTGAGCCCAGGAGTTCGAAACCAACCTGAGCAAAACAGCGAGACCCCATCTCTACAAAACATAAACAATCGGCTGGCACGATGGCTCACGCCTGTAATCCCAGCACTTTCGGAGGCCAAGGGAGGCAGATCACGAGGTCAGGAGATCGAGACCATCCTGGCTAATGCGGTGAAACCCTGTCTCTACTAAAAACACAAAAAATTAGCCAGGCGTGGTGGCGGGCGCCTGTAGTCCCAGCTACTCGGGAGGCTGAGGCAGGAGAATGGTGTGAACCCAGGTGGTGGGGCTTGCAGTGAGCAAAGATTGCGCCACTGCACTCCAGCCTGGGCGACAGAGCAAGACTCCATCTCAAAAAAAAAGGCCGGGCGCGGTGGCTCACGCCTGTCATCCCAACACTTTGGGAGGCTGAGGCGGGTGGATCACGAGGTCAGGAGATCGAGACCATCCTGGCTAACATAGTGAAACCCTGTCTCTACTAAAAATATAAAAAATTAGCCAGGTGTGGTGGCATGTGCCTGTAATTCCAGCTACTTGGGAGGCTGAGGCAGGAGAATTGTTTGAACCCGGGAGGCAGAGGTTGCAGTGAGCCAAGATTGCGCCACTGCACTCTAGCCTGGGCAACAGAGCAAGACTCCGTCTCAAAAAAAAAAAAGAAACATAAAAAATTATTAAATATCTGGCCATGGTGACGCATGCCTGTAGTCCCAGCTACTCTGGGGGCTGAGGTGGGAGAACTGCTTGAGCCCAGGAGGTCCAGGCTGCAGTGAGCCAATTGCGCCACTCTACTCTAGCCTGGGCAATTGAGCAAGAACCTATCTCAGAAAAAACAAAGAAAAGAAAGCACATACATACTTGCCCACAGTCATACCATTAAATTGCTGGAAGAACCAAATTTTCCCAACCTCCATTCTAAAAATCTAAGGTATTTTAAAACAACTTCTAAACAATATTTTCTATATTAAAATAATGCCGTTTTTGCATAGAAACAATCACAAAAATGTTTCCTCTCCCCAAGCCTTGATATCACATCAACTGTATCACCCTCTCCCCTCCATAGATTCCTCAGAAAGTTTATTTCTTTGCCTGAATAATTAGTAAAGAAAGGGTGGGAGAGTGGGTGGATGAATTAAGCACCAAAGAAGGTTAAGTTAAAAACAGTGATTTATTCAAATAGATTATGCTGCTAACCAACACTTAAAAGCAGTGTGAAGTTACACTTGCCCTATGAAGGACTCAATGGAGGTCCAAAACTCATCTGAAAAGATATGTGAAACGTACTGATACTGGTAACATCTGAAGAACAATAATTTTTTTTTAAATCTTCATGTCCTAACTTCCTTACTTAAATGCACACTAATATTATTGATTCATTTAAGCCAAAAGCGACAAACTCAATCTGATTTCAAGCAAAAGTCTGACCACTACTCAATCTCCTCCCCACTCTCAAACAAAATTATGAACTAGCCATTGCACATTTTATTCCCAGTCTTCTCCCTATGCTGCAAAATGCTTCTAGCCTGCTGCTCTTGATATAAAACAAAGTCTGAGGATGAACACCTATTTTGGATTTTCTATGTCCTTATATATCGATACAAGTGGAGATATTTCACCGCTTTGTCTCCCCCATATGGGTATTAATCATATTTTGTTATGTTACCTCCAACATCTAAAATAACAGTAACAGCATGAAGCATAAAAAGAGTGTGAATGTGAGTCTAATTTCCCCTCCCCACACTCTATTGACTTCCCACTTCTCTTTAGACCTGTCTCACACCTCAGGCTAAATCTTTTCTCTGCAACCAAAATGCTTAATAATTAAGAGAAAGATATACCAATGTGATATAGCCACACAATGGAATAACTATGAAAGTTATTTACCTTCTGACTTAGAAAGAAATTCATCCTACATGGTACAAAAAAAGTATACTATTTTTAAAACATACGTATATATGCACAAAGCAAAAAAAGTATAGAATGGGTTTAGTAACTCATTGTTTTAACAAATATTAATTGGGTACCTATTATGAGCTAGACACAGTTGTAAATGCCCAGGTTACATAAATGAACAAAATGAACTCCTTGCCTCCATGGAGTTTATATTCTAAGAAACATGAGAGAAAACAAAATAAGTTAATATACCATTTAAAGTAGAGTATATCAGAACTACAAAGAAAAGTAAAATGGCTAAGCGTGCTGAGGCCTAGTATTTTAGGAAGGTGGTCAAAGATGACTTCCCTTAAGAAGTAACATTTGAATGAACACCTGAATGCTGTTTGGGAGGGAACCATGAAGTTATCTGGGGTTAAGAGTGGTGGCAGGTAGAGGAATATCATGTTTGAAGTTACTGAGGCAAAAGAATGCTTGGTATGTCCTAGGAAGGACAAGACAGTATGACTGAACAGGAATTGGGAAGGAGGAGGGTGGTAAGAAATGAGGTCTGGAGGCATCCAGGAGCACATTAGGGCTTTGAAGGCCACAGTGGGAACTTTGGATTTTAAGTAGAAATAGGAAGTCAATAGAGAGTGTGGGGAGGGGAGATCAGATTCACATTTATCTACTAAAATATCAACAGTAGTTATCCCTGGGTAGAAACATTTCAGACTTTTTCCCATTGTGCTTCTCTATATTCTCATTGTTTCTCCTGGTTTGTTGTTGTTGTTACTGTTTTGAGACAGCATCTTGCTCTGTCGCCCAGGCTGGAGTGCAGTAGTGCAATCATGGCTCACTGCAGCCTCCACTTCCCAGGCTCAAGCAGTCCTCCTGCCTCAGCCCCTGAGTAGCTGAGACTACATGAGCAATACCAGTCCCCTAAACAAAAAGTTCTTAAGAATCATTCAGCACTTTCAATTATGGGAGAAAAATGGTTTCAATTAACTACATATTTTTTGGTCTGTTTCATTACATCATGCTCCCTTTTCAGGTAGATACTTCTATAAGAGAAAGGGGAAAAAATGGTAACTATATTAATAAGCTACTCAGCTCAAAGTGTTTGGTTAAAAACAGAACATTGTTTACATTTAAACCAAAACTGTGACTGAGGTTCCTGTGTAAGCTGCTAACACTTTAGGTTTCCAAGGCATAACTGAGATGAGACAAATTTCTATAAATTCAAAAAAAGTAATATGGTCATTAAAAAGCAAACTTGAGTCTCTACAGTCTGTGTAACTCCAGAGTCAAAATCATAAGTGTTTCTTGAAAACTGAGACCTAAGTTATCATTAACTACCTGAAATAATGTTTAAATTACTTTTTAATTCATATATTTGCTTAAAGTAAACCCAAAGACACCCTGATAAAAGTTTGCAAGTTTTTAGTACCTTTAGTGATGCCCTCCGTGCTAATGTCCAAATTAAGATTAACTGAAGATATAAATACTAAGGCTTGACTTCTTAAAAATCAACAGTCTACTGTTGATTTTTAAATGAAGCTCATACCCATTTCAGATTATCAGTTTACTGTTGATTTTTAAGAAGTCAAGCCTTAGTTCTCCAATCTATCTCTGCACTCAGACTCTCCTACCCTAGTATCAAATGAGAGGCACTATTGGGTAACCTTCAATTTTTCTCTTTTGGAAAAGTTATCTGGAATTGAAACAAAACCGAATTTTTCTTAAGATTCCTTTTAACCATTTATCATTTATTAAATGCACAACCAACATTAAAGAAAAAAGACTGTAATACTTTGTAGGTAGAAATAATATATTTTATTTCATCCCTGAAAACAAAAACAAAAACAAAAATGTCCACATCTAATAGGAGAGACTAAACAATTATTCCAAACTTCTACCTGGCAATGGCATATAATTAATTTCTTCACATAAAGGTAGACAGTACAGAGAAGAGAAGAGAGATTTGGAAATCTGTCTTTCATGAAACAATATTTCACATATTTATTTTAATAAAATATTGTAATTATTGCTACATGTGGTAGCATATTATAATGACGAACAATACAATATCTAAATTCTATATAGTCTAAATCTAGAAGCTAGCTGCACTTAAGCAGTTACTATAGAGAATAAATACTATGAAATATAGGGCACCATGTGGCAATTAGATTTGCTACAAGGGAAATTTAAATAAAAGTATAATTTGTTTTATACTAGAATTACCCAAGATTAGGGTTCCCTGTGCTATATACAGCTTTTTTCCTGAAAAGATAGTCAATCTTCATAGTTTATATTTTAAATGTTCTTATTTTAAGTGGCCATTATATAAAATGAATATCTAATGCATCTGTTATACAAATTCAAAATTTCATAAAGGATACTCTTATATAATATAATGTTAACATTTTCCAAGCAATTTAATGCAGCACAAAAGTACCTTTATTATATACACCTGGCTAAAGTCCTCAAGAGTTCCATTCTCCAAAGTCCCTTCCTCCTAGACCAATATAATAAAAGCAAAATTAACCCAAATATGGAAATAATGTGCTTTCCTGATAGCATAGACACTCAAAGGATTAAACTTTTAAATGAACATTCATGTATGTGAAAAATCATGAATACTTTATTGTTACTCTCATCATAAAAATATCTTTTATTCTTCAATAAGTATAAGATTAGAGTTTACAACTATTTTAATGCTGTTATTAAATTGCCCCAATGTTTACGATAGGTAATGGACAGTGGCTGCTACCCATTTCAAGATTATACTCTTATAAGTGTAATTTTTAAAAATATACAATAATTAACCTTCAGTTATTCTGAAGGATAGTGCAAATCAATACATTCTTTGGGTCATGATTTCAAAACATTATTTTCAACATTATATTTCCTTTCTCTGCTCATAATTGGAATAACAAAATATAGTACAATAAGCACATTTTTTCAAATAGCCGTAGTCTAACAGTTACATCTATTGAGAACAAATGACAGAATGATTAAACATTCTTCACTTGTCCAAAAAACGTGTTATATACTTAAATAAATGTGTTATAGAAATGAATCCATGTTTTTCAGTGTTTTCATTTCAGCTTGATCTCAAACACAAAAGATTTATACAAAACTCACCTATCTGCTTACCACATCAACCAAATTACCAAATTCTCTTTAAGGACATAGTACAGCATTGAACAGACTTGCCTGAAAGCAAACAAATAACTTTAAAATTTTTATGTACAGAATTAGAGTTCCATGAATCCAGCATACTCCTTGAAAATGTGTAGAGCTTTTATTGTAAAGTATTGCTCTGTCCTAAGCCAGCAATTATAAAGCTTTTCTGCCATAGGATATAATCCACAGTGGATGGAGCAGCACAAGGTGATTTTCAACTGCTATCTGATACTGCCCGAGACATTCGTTCTTTTATTTGTGGTTACTGGCACCAAATTCCCACTAGTACCATTGGTGGTGTTGGCTGCTGAGCCATTCACAACAATATAGTCAACTTTGTTCTCCAGCTTCACCAATCGTTGCAAAATGTCATCCAGAAGGACAGCAATTGTTCTTTTCAGATCCGCTAGGGGAATAAATCAGAATAAAATTAACATTAATAGAGCTCTTCATTTTTGTGTTTTTACAGTTTGAAGGAAAAAGGTGAACAACTACTGGGTCATCTGAGGGAAAATGTACTAGAGAGAATGCACTCATACTACAAATAGGAAAAGCCTAATTTTTTTTTTTTTTTGAGATGGAGTTTCCCTCTGTCTCCCAGGCTGGAGTGCAGTGGCATGATCTCGGCTCGCTGCAGCCTCCACCTCCTGGGTTCCAGCGATTCTCGTGCCTCAGCCTCCTGATTAGCTGGGATTACAGGCGCCCACCACCACGCCCAGCTAATTTTTGTATTTTTAGTGGAGACAGGATTTTACCACGTTGGCCGGGCTGCTCTTGAACTCCTGACCTCAGGTGATCCGCACTCCTCGGCCTCCCAAAGTGCTAGGATTACAGGTGTCAGCCACTGCTCCTGGCCCTAATTTTTAAATCAACAACATCATTTACAGAGTTTCCAAAAGGAATTTCAGAGTTGTAAATGTGGGGGAAACTCTCGCTTTTCTAGTGCGATATAATGGATTTTAAAGTCTGGTTCAAAATGTTAGTCCCGCTGTGAGTAACTCATTTACCTTGAGTTTCTTAAGCATTTTGTAAAAACTACCACAGACCTGTAATCCCAGCATTTTGGGAGGCTGAGGCGGGCGGGATCACGAGGTCAGGAGATTGAGACCATCCTGTCTAACACGGTGAAACCCCGTCTCTACTAAAAATATAAAAAAATTAGCCGGGCCTGGTGGCATGCGCCCGTGGTCCCAGCTACTTGGGAGGCTGAGGCAGGAGAATCCCTTGAACCGGGGAGGCAGAGCTTGCAGTGAGCAGAGATAGCGCCACTGCACTCCAGCCTGGGCGACAGAGCAAGACTCCCTCTCAAAAAACAAAAAACCAAAAAAACACAGACTAAGCTGGTAAACTAAAAAGCTAGCTAAGAAAGAGAGTCCATGAAATACAGAAATCGAGAACCTCCACAGGGGTGGAGTTGTGGGGGAGCCTAGGGTCCAGTGCAAATGCCAGGAACCTGTTCAGTGCAGTAGGACACTAGCAGTAGTTCTGACTTAAATTTCCTGCAGAAAAATGGTGGGGAAGACTATCTTCTAACCTCTTTGTAATGTTATGGAGTTTCAGTAAACTTTACTTGACAAGAATAAAATTATGAGGCTTTTCTGCCTTAGAATTCTCTTTCTCAGGTTTCCCAGAATCACCTAGCATATATTAGGTACTCAGTTAGTGACAACGAATACTGTTATTTTTGTTGATCCTGGACCAAAAAATGAGCCCAAGCCCTAATCCGGGATCACCAGGAGAGAAATCATCTAACAACTGATAAATGTGCTGATGGTTCTATCAGAAAAGCACAAGCAACAAAAGAGAAAATAGATAAACTGGACTTCATCGATATTTAAAACTTTTGTGCATAAAAGGACATTAATCAAGAAAATGAAAAGACAACCTATAGAATGGGAGAAAACATTTGCAAACCATAAATTTGATAAAGATCTACTACCTAGAATATATAAAGATCTCTTACAATTCACGAACAAAAAGATAAATCAATTTTTAAAATGGGCAAAGGACTTGAATAGATACTCTCTAAAGAAGATGTGCAAATGGCCAGTAAGTACATGAAAAGATGTTCAATATCACTGGCCACTATGGAAATACAAACCAAAACTCAATGAGATACCATTTCACACTTACTAGGATAGCTATCATCAAAGAAATGGAAAATAAGTGTTGGCAAGGATGCAGAGAAACTGAAACCCTCATACATTAGTGGTGGGAATATAAAATGGTGCAGCTGCTGTGGAAAAGAGTTTGCCAGTTCCTCAAAAACTTAAACATAAAATTGCCATGTGACCTAGGAATTCCACTCCTAGGTATATACCAAAAAAAAAAAAAAAAAAAAAAACCAAAAGGATTCAGAGCTCAGAGGGATACTTATACACCAATGTTCATTTCAGGTTTATTCACAACAGTCAAAAGGTAGAAACAACTCAAGTGTCCATCAACAGATAAACAGATAAACAAAATGTGGTATATATGTAAATACAATGGAATATTATTCAGCCAGAAAAAGGAATGACATTCTGATACATGCTACAACACAGATGAACCTTGAAAACGTTATGCTAAGTGAAATAAGCCAGACATCAATCAAATCAAATATTGTACAATTCCACTTATATAGAATATGTAGAATAGGCATATGTATACAGACAGAAAGTAGACTACAGGTTATTAAGGATCAGGGAAGGAAGGAATAAAGATTTACTGCTCAAATTTTATAGATTTCTTGTTTGGAGTGGTACAAGTTTTGGAAAGATACAGTAGTGATGGCTGCACAACACTGTGAATATAATGAATATTGATGAATTGCATATTTAAAAAAAAAATTTTTTTTTTTGAGACAGAGTTTCACTCTTGCTGCCCAGGCTGGAGTGCAATGGCGCGATCTCGGCTCATCGCAACCTCCACCTCCCAGGTACAAGTGATTCGCCTGCGTCAGTCTCCCGAGTAGCTGGGATTACAGGCATGCAACACCATGCCTGGCTAATTTTGTATTTTTAGTAGATGTGGGGTTTCTCCATGTTGGTCAGGCTGGTCTCGAACTCCCGATCTCAGGTGATCTGCCTGCCTCGGCCTCCCAAAGTGCTGGGATTACAGACATAAGCCACCATGCCCAGCCCCCAGATTTTATTTTATTATTATTATTTTTTTTGAGACGGAGTCTCACTCTGTCACCCAGGCTGGAGTGCACTGGAGCAATTTCGGATCACTGCAACCTCCACCTCCCAGGTTCAAGCGATTCTCCTGCCTCAGCCTCCCGAGTAGCTGGGATTACAAGCATGCACCACCACACCCAGCTAATTTTTGTATTTTTAGTAGAGACAGGGTTTCACCATGTTGGCCAGGCTGGTCTCTGGTCTCGAACTCCTGACTTCAGGTGATCTACCCACCTCGGCCTCCCAAAGTGCTGGGATTACAGGCGTGAGCCACCGCAGCCAGCCTTAAAAATTATTTTAATGGCAAATGTTGTTATCGATATTTTACAATTGTTTAGAAGTGGGGAAAAAAGGTATCAGAAAGGAGTAGTACTACCGTAGTGGTCGTGATAGAGGGTGATCAAAAAATACTTATCAAAAAAAGAGAAATGTAATATAAAGTGAGGAGGAAACTATTTGGAGCAAGTCTTATGGTAAAATGAGATTTTCCAAGAGTGCATCTCTGGCATCATTCATCATGAACACCTCAACATTCTAGTTTAAAGGGAATATACAAGAAAAACATTTACAAAAATCTTTCAGCAAGAAGTACCCAGGAATGAAATATCATGATATATACTTCTTTCAGATGGTACCAAAAAGAAATAAACATAGATATTTGTATATATAAAGAGGACTGGGTGCGATGGCTCACGCCTGTAATCCCAGCACTTTGGGCGGCCGAGGCAGGATGGATCACTTGAGGTCAGGCATTCAAGACCAGCCTGGCCACCATGGCCAACATGGTGAAACCCCGTCTCCACTAAAAATACAAAAAAATTAGCCCAGGCGTGATGGCACATGTCTGTAGTCCCAGCTACTCGGGAGGCTGAAGCAGAAGAACTGCTTGAACTTGGGAGGTAGAAGTTGCAGTGAGCTGAGATCGTGCCACTGCACTCCAGCCTGGGTGACAGAGCGAGACTCCATCTCAAAAAAAAAAAAAAAAAGACATAAAAAAAATGTTAGCCAATTGTGAGTTTAGATGAAAGATATATGATGTTTACCACACAATTTTTAAATTTTTTCTGTAGAGTTGAAAATTTTCAAAATAAAACATTGGGAGAGGGGACATTTATTTATTAATACCTTTCAATCAAGAGTTGCAATAGTATTTGGTAAACAGGAGATAATCATATTTTTTAAAACCCTTCAGCAGTAAGACTAAATCATAAATACTGGATCTCCTTTTCCATGGCAATCACCTCCTTTATAATATTAAAAGAAGTAGCAACCTAAAATGGGCAGGGGACAGTCTTTTTTTTTTTTTTTTTTTTTTGTTAATTTATTATTGTATTACATCATAATCAAACAACATATCACCTATATGAAATCAAACATTTTTTAACTTGTTGAGATTTTTTTTCTGGCAGACTACTGCTATAGATCTTTTTGGTTTTTTTTTTTTTTTTTTTAATTTTTTTTTTTTTATTGATCATTCTTGGGTGTTTCTCGCAGAGGGGGATTTGGCAGGGTCATAGGACAATAGTGGAGGGAAGGTCAGCAGATAAACAAGTGAACAAAGGTCTCTGGTTTTCCTAGGCAGAGGACCCTGCGGCCTTCCGCAGTGTTTGTGTCCCTGGGTACTTAAGATTAGGGAGTGGTGATGACTCTTAACGAGCATGCTGCCTTCAAGCATCTGTTTAACAAAGCACATCTTGCACCGCCCTTAATCCATTTAACCCTGAGTGGACACAGCACATGTTTCAGAGAGCACAGGGTTGGAGATAAGGTCACAGATCAACAGGATCCCAAGGCAGAAGAATTTTTCTTAGTACAGAACAAAATGAAAAGTCTCCCATGCCCACTTCTATCCACACAGACCCGGCAACCATCCGATTTCTCAATTTTTTCCCCACCCTTCCCGCCTTTCTATTCCACAAAACCGCCATTGTCATCATGGCCCATCCCCAATGAGTCGCTAGGCACACCTCCCAGACGGGGTCGTGGCCGGGCAGAGGGGCTCCTCACTTCCCAGTAGGGGCGGCCGGGCAGAAGCGCCCCTCTCCTCCCGGATGGGGCGGCTGGCCGGGCGGGGGGCTGACCCCCCCACCACCCTCCCGGACGGGGCGGCTGGCCAGGCAGAGGGGCTCCTCACTTCCCAGTAGGGGCGGCCGGGCAGAGGCGCTCCTCACCTCCTGGATAGGGCGGCTGGCCGGGCGGGGGGCTGACCCCCCCACCTCCCTCCCGGACGGGGCGGCTGGCCGGGCAGAGGGGTCCTCACTTCCCAGTAGGGGCGGCCGGGCAGAGGCGCCCCTCACCTCCCGGACGGGGCGGCCGGCCGGGCGGGGGGCTGACCCCCCCACCTCCCTCCCGGACAGGGCGGCTGGCCGACCCCCCCCTCCCCGCCTCCCTCCCGGACTGGGCGGCTGGCCGGGCAGAGGCGCCCCTCACCTCCCGGACGGGGCGGCTGGCCGGGCGGGGGGCTGACCCCCCCCACCTCCCTCCTGGACGGGGCGGCTGGTCGGGCGGGGGGCTGACCCCCCCACCTCCCTCCCGGACGGGGCGGCTGGCCGGGCAGAGGAGCTCCTCACTTCCCAGTAGGGGCGGCCGGGCAGAGGCGCCCCTCACCTCCCGGAAGGGGCGGCTGGCCAGGCGGGGGGCTGATCCCCCCACCTCCCTCCCGGACGGGGCGGCTGGCCGGGCGGGGGGCTGACCCCCCCACCTCCCTCCCGGATGGGGCGGCTGGCCGGGCGGGGGGCTGACCCCCCCACCTCCCTCCCGGACGGGGCGGCTGGCCGGGCAGAGGAGCTCCTCACTTCCCAGTAGGGGCGGCCGGGCAGAGGCGCCCCTCACCTCCCGGAAGGGGCGGCTGGCCAGGCGGGGGGCTGATCCCCCCACCTCCCTCCCGGACGGGGCGGCTGGCCGGGGCGGGGGGCTGACCCCCCCCACCTCCCTCCCGAACGGGGCGGCCGGCCGGGCGGGGGGCTGACCCCCCCACCTCCCTCCCGGACGGGGCGGCTGGCCGGGCAGAGGGGCTCCTCACTTCCCAGTAGGGGCGGCCGGGCAGAGGCGCCCCTCACCTCCCGGACGGGGCGGCTGGCCGGGCGGGGGGCTGACCCCCACCACCTCCCTCCCGGACGGGGCGGCTGGCCGGGCGGGGGGCTGACCCCCCCTCCCCCTTCCCGGACGGGGCGGCTGGCCGGGCAGAGGGGCTCCTCACTTCCCAGTAGGGGCGGCCGGGCAGAGGCGCCCCTCACCTCCCGGACTGGGCAGCTGGCCGGGCGGGGGGCTGACCCCCCCACCTCCCTCCTGGACGGGGCGACTGGCCGGGCAGAGGGGCTCCTCACTTTCCAGTAGGGGCGGCCGGGCAGAGGAGCCCCTCACCTCCCGGACGGGGCGGCTGGCCGGGCGGGGGGCTGACCCCCCCCCCACCTCCCTCCCGGACGGGGTGGCTGCCGGGCGGAGACGCTCCTCACTTTCCAGACGGGGTGGCTGCCAGGCGGAGGGGCTCCTCACTTCCCAGACGGGATGGCTGCCGGACGGAGGGGCTCCTCACTTCTCAGACGGGGCGGTTGCCAGGCAGAGAGTTTCCTCACTTCTCAGACGGGGCGGCCGGGCAGAGACGCTCCTCACCTCCCAGACAGGGTTGCGGCCCAGCAGAGGCGCTCCTCACATCCCAGACAGGGCGGCGGGGCAGAGGTGCTCCCCACATCTCAGACGATGGGCGGCCGGGCAGAGACGCTCCTCACTTCCTAGATGGGATGGCGGCGGCGAAGAGGCGCTCCTCGCTTCCTAGATGGGATGGCGGCCGGGCAGAGACGCTCCTCACTTTCCAGACTGGGCAGCCAGGCAGAGAGGCTCCTCATATCCCAGACGATGGGGGGCCAGGCAGAGACGCTCCTCACTTCCCAGACGGGGTGGCGGCTGGGCAGAGGCTGCAATCTCGGCACTTTGGGGGGCCAAGGCAGGCGGCTGGGAGGTGGTTGTAGCGAGCCGAGATCACGCCACTGCACTCCAGCCTGGGCACCATTGAGCACTGAGTGAACGAGACTCCGTCTGCAATCCCGGCACCTAGGGAGGCCGAGGCTGGCGGATCACTCGCGGTTAGGAGCTGGAGACCAGCCCGGCCAACACAGCAAAACCCCGTCTCCACCAAAAAAAAAACGAAAACCAGTCAGGCGTGGCGGCACTCGGCAGGCTGAGGCAGGAGAATCAGGCAGGGAGGTTGCAGTGAGCCGAGATGGCAGCAGTACCGTCCAGCTTTGGCTCGGCATCAGAGGGAGACCGTGGAAGGAGACCGTGGGGAGAGGGAGAGGGAGAGGGAGAGGGAGAGCAGGGGACAGTCTTAACTCATTAACAAAATGAAGCTAAAAGCCTAGAAGGTTTGACATTAAACTGAGGTGTGAGAATTATAAAGGTGCAGTCTAATCACTTATTTCAGTCAGGGTTAGAAATTGGCAATTAAAGAAAAAGTCAGGATAAATGAGAAACAACTATATGATAACTTTACAATGTTCTAAATTATTATTAAATACAGAGCTTTTAAATTTTCTAAAATCAACTGTTTTAATATTACAAAAAAAGAGACTAAGAGATTATATCTATCTTTCTCCATGACATAAAATCACTTCATTGAATATCAGAACAAAACTCTTATTTCTTGGAGTTCTTTCAAATACACCAAACATCCTCCTTTCTCTATATTCACAATACAATTTTATGTTTACATGTCATGAGATGACATCTTTAAGGGAATTCTATGCTTGTATTAATATTATATGTGCATCCATAATACTTTCCCCCATAAAGCTCTGTCACTGAAGGTGCTAGCAGTAAGAACCCCTTCCCTATCTTAGACCTTGAACCCCTAAAAGCAACTTGGAAACAGAGATCCTATCCTATCTATCCTTTTACTCTCAGCTCACCCAGCTTGGTGCTTCATCACACAGTAGACACTCGACAAATGTTTGAAATGAACATTTGCTGAAGGTCTAATTCACATGTTTGGTAGGTGGCATCATCACTGAGATAGAAATGAAGGATCCAATTTAGAAAATAAACCACTTTAAGGTTGCTCTGTTTCTACTTTAACTTCCTTATTCTGGGAGAAGATCAAATAGTTTAAGAAGGGAAAAGAATCACATAAAAACATAGACCTAGCCTGATTATTTCATAGCACACAAAAATCAAAAGAAGGGTATATGATGCTATTAAGTATGCTAAAGATATTGGGTATAAAAAGATTCTAACTATGCTAAACATAATCAGTGATTATAAGGCACAGCAGGAAGCTACTATCATCCCTTTAACTGTGGAAGAGAGGGAGAATGTAGTGATTTACCAGAGGCCAAGTCCAAGGTCACCTCGTGGAAAAACAGAACCAAGGCAGGCTGTCTGGCAGAAGGTAACACTACAAAACAATCATGGGTACCGCCAGAGACCCCACCTGAAGAAGAGACGGAGGGGAAAAAATACCTTCCCTTCCTCCTACTTTCCAAATTCCTCCCATACCTCCCACTGGCTGAACCCAGGCAGAAGCCAGCTGATTTGGGAACTTGGAAAATGCCACCTACTGGAATCGCTCACTCTTCCTTGAGAAATAGAACAGAGAAAGGGTAAGGAATAAATCTGAGGGCAACCAGCCACAGTACTGGCACAAACATAAGCACACATGCTCTTGCAGACCCCCTACTTATGTCACATGTCTTTTATGTTTTGTTTGTTTGTTTGTTTTTTGAGACATGGTCTTGCTCTACTTGCTCTATCGCCCAGGCTGGAGTGCAATAGCACAATCATGGCTCACTGCAGCCTCGACCTCCTGGATTCAAGTGATTTCCTCCCACCTCAGTGCCCCCTCCCCACCCCCTGCCAAATAGCTGGGACTACAGGCACACACCACCATGCTGGGCTAATTTTTGTAGAGACAGGGTTTCACCATGTTGCCTGGACTACTCTTGAACTCCTGGGCTCAGGCAATCCATCCACCTCAGCCTCCCAAAGGGCTGGGATTACAGGCGTGAGCCATCAGGCCTGGCCGTACTTTATCTTTTTATACCTAAATATTGTTTCCTGGTTTGTACTCTTAATGTCAGCTGCCTCAAATCTATTTTGTAGAGAGGCAGGTCTAAATAGATAAACCTGTATGTACACACAGAAGGAATAAAACTGTTGTAAAATGTAAAATGACACAGAAGTGTTTCATATACATTGAACAAGTCAAACACTTTTCCTTATTAATATTTTTCAAATTCAAATCAATACTTTACCACCACTAAATATCAGCTTAATGGTGCAAGCAAGAAAATTTAGAAATCACTTCTTTTCTTTTTTCTTTCTTTTTTTTGGATACAGGGTCTCACTCTGTCCCTGCCCAGGCTGGAGTGCTGTGGTACAATCTCGGCTCATTGCAGCCTCGACCTCGGGGCTCAGGAGGTCCTCCCACCTCAGCCTACCAAGTGCTGGGATTACAGGTGCCCACCACCACACTCAGCTACTTTTCTGTAGAGACAAGGTTTCGCCATGTTGCCAGGCTGGTATCGAACTCCCGATCTTAAGTGATCCTCCCTCCTTGGCCTCCCAAAGTGCTAGGATTACAGGCATGAGTCACCACACCCAGCCAGAAGTCGCTTCTTGGTTATCAAAGTGAGTTACCCAGTGTAAAGTTTTACTATGAAGCTACTAGCAGTAAAGGAAGAATGCTTCCAAAGAAATACAAACTAAATATCATAGCAAAGAGAACACCATAGGTAAAAGTGCTTTCAAAGACCTCATCAATTCTATGATTAAGTGTACATTCATTGTTTAATCTTTTGTATTTTTAATATAGCTACCTTCTCCCACTCAGTGCTTAATAAATTATGTCACTCAAGAATTACTTTATTACTTCTCTTCTTAAGATTGCAAGGCAGGGCCGGGCACAGTGGCTCACGCCTGTAATCCCAGCACTTTGGGAGGCCGAGGCAGGCGGATCACCTGAGGTTGGGAGTTCCAGACCAGCCCGATCAACATGGAGAAACCCCTTCCCTACTAAAAATACAAAATTAGCTGAGTGTGGTGACCCATGCCTGTAATCCCAGCTACTCAGGAGGCTGAGTCAGGAAAATCGCTTGAACTCAGGAAGTGGAGGTTATGGTGAGCCGAGATCGCGCCATTGCACTCCAGCCTGGGCAACAAGAGCGAAACTCCGTCTCAAAAAAAAAGGACTGCAAGGCAGTTTAGATCACATGAGTGAACTAAGGTAAGTTCTCATCAGACATTAAATACAAATACCTCAGTTCCTAAAATAAGCCTAATTTTTCCTAAGAAATGCTATATAATGGCTTTGCCTAAATGATACAAATCACCATAAATAGACTACGTCTTAAATATCTACATCAAAATCATATCTAATAGGAATTCTGAGATTGACTTTCCTTTAACGTATCTGGAATACAAGGACCACGCATTTTACAGGTTTGGCTTTGGGTTTTTTCCTTAATTGTTAAATTAACTTTTTGTTTTGAGATAACCGTAGATTTACAAAGAGTTGTAAGAAATAATAAATACAAAAATTCCAATTCCCTTTGCCCAGTTTCCCTACAATGGTAACATCTTGCAAAACTGTATACAATATCACAACAAGAATGCTGACATTGATAAGAGTTAAGACGCAGAATATTTCTATCACCACTAGGATCCCTATGTTGCCCTTTTACAGTAAAACCCACTTGCCTCCCATTAATCTGTTTATTTGGTATATGGTATTACAATGATTGATCTTCAAATACTGAACAGCTTTGCATCTTTGGAATAAATGCCACTTTGTGGCCAGGCGTGGTGGCTCATGCCTGTAATCCCAGCACTTTGGAAGGCCAAGGCGGGCGGATCACTTGAGGTCAGGAGTTCCAAGACCAGCCTGGCCAACATGGTGAAACCCTGTCTTTACTAAAAATACAAAAATTAGCCAGGCATGGTGGCAGGCACCTTGTAATCCAAGCTACTTGGAAGGCTGAGGTGGGAGAATCACTTGAACCTGGGAGGCAGAGGTTTCAGTGAGCTGAGATCACACCACTGCAGTCCAGCCTGGGCAACAGAGTGAAACTCCATCTCAAAAAAAAAAAAAAAAAACCCACTTGGTGTTTAATTTTCTTATATGCTGCTGAATTGTTTGCTAATATTTTCTTAAGAATGTTCACATCTATATTTGGGGGAATTTTGATCTGCAGTTTTTATTTTTTATACTGTATTTGCCTAGCTGGGTGTAAGGATAAAACTAGCTTTATAAAATGAACTAGGAATTGCTCCTTCCCCTTCTATTTTCTGGAAAAGATTGCATTAAAGTATGCTAATTCTTCTTTAAACTGCAGAGAAAATTCTCCAGCAAAACCATCTGGGCCTACAGATTTTTTTTCAGGGTGGGGGGGGACTTTTAAATTATAAATTAAATTTCTTTTTTTTTTTGAGACAGGGTCTCCCTCTGTCACCCAGGCTGAGGTGCAGTGGCTCCATCTCTGCTCACTGCAACCTCTGCCTCTAGGGTTCAAGCAATTCTCCTGCCTCAGCCTCCTGAGTAGCTGGGATTACAGGTGCACACCACCACGCCCGGCTAATTTTTTTGTTTTTAGTAGAGACAGGGTTTCAGCATGTTGGTAAGGCTGGTCTTGAACTCCTGACCTCATGATCCACCTCGGCCTCCCAAAGTGCTGGGATTACAGACGTGAGCCACCGCACTTGGCCAAATTTCCTTAACAGTAATAGGGCTATTCAAATTATCTATTTCATATTGGGTGGATTGCGGCAATTTGTTTTTTGAGAAATTGATCCATTTCATCCAAGTTATCAAATTTATGTGTCTTAGAGCTGTTCACTGTTCATTATCCTTTTGATATCTGCAGGGTCTGCCCTGATATTCATTTTTTCATTCCTGATGTTGGTAATTTATGTCTTTTTTCTTTTTCAGTCTTATCATAAGTTTGTCCCTTTTTTTTGACCCTATTAAAGGACAAGTTCTTTGTTTCATTGATATTCTCTACTGTTTTTGTTTTCAATTTCATTGATTTCTGCTTTTATCTTCACCATTTCCCTTTTTCTGCTTGCTTTGGATTTAGTTTGCTTTTCTTTTTCTAGGTTCTCTAATAGCTTAGATTACGGATTTGAGACTTTTCCTCTTTTCTGATTTATGCACTTAGTGCATAAATCTAAATTTCCCTCTCAGCACTGCTTTAGCTGTGTCCCACAATTTTTTATGTTGCATTTTCATTTGTATTCATTTCCCTTGAGATTTCCTCTTTGACTCATTATTTAGAAGTATGTTGTCCAGTTTCCAACTATTAGAGATTTTCCTATCATCTTTCCATTATTGATTTCTACACTGTGGTCAGAGAATATACTCAGAATGATTTCAATTCTTTTAAGTTTGTGAGGCTTGTTTTATGGCCCAGAACAAGGTCTACTTTGGTAAATATTCTATGGACTTTTTTTTTTTTTTTTTTTTTTTTTTTTTGAGATAGGGTCTTGCTCTGTCACCTAGGCTAGAGTGCAGCAGCATGCTCATGGCTCATTGCAGCCTCAACCTCCTGGGCTCAAGGGATCCTCCCACCTCAGACTCCCTAGTTAAGAGCTCCTGTTCTCAAGCAATCTGCCCACCTTGGCCTCCCAAAGTGCTGGGGTTACAGGTGTGAGCCACCACACCCAGCCTTCATGGATGATTGATTGATTGATTGACTGAAACAGTCTCACTTTGTCACCCAGGCTGGAATGCAGTGGCACAATCTCGGCTCACTGCAACCTCTGTCTCCCGGTTCAAGCAATTCTCATACCTCAGCCTCCTGAGTAGCTGGAATTACAGGCGTGCACAACCACAAGCAGCTAATTTTTGTATTTTTAGTAGAGATGGGGTTTCACCTTTTTGGCCAGGCTGGTCTTGAACTCCTGACCTCAAATGATCTGCCTGCCTTGGCCTCCCAAAGTGCTGGGATTACAGGCGAGAGCCACCACACCCTGCCTCCATGGACTCTTGAAAAATGTGCATTCCACTATTGTTGGAATGTCATATATATATATGTAAATTGGATAAACAGAGCATTCTGCATATGTCAATATGTAAACTTTTTATGTACAAATTTTAAAACTTGTCTTTCATAGGTAAGGCTGGTCTCTTTCCTTTTTTCTTTTTTCCAAATTTTAATTATTATGTTGTCTTGGCATGAAATTCTTAGCATGGGTTTATCCCGATTGGGGTTTGCTCAGCTTCTTAAATCTGAGGACTCTGTCTTTTGCCAAATATGGAAATTTTACAGCATTTCTTCAATTGCTTTTCCAGCTCTGCTCTCATTCTCTTCTCCTGAAATTCTGATGACACAAATGTTAGATTTTTAGTTATGGTCCCAGAGGTTCTGGAAGCTCTATTCTTTTTATTTATTTTTGTCTGTTTTTCTCCCTGTTATTTGGATTGTGTAATTACATTGTTCTATCTTCCAGTTTACCGATTCTTTCCTGTCCCCTCCATTCTGTTGTTGAGTCCATTTGCTGAACTTGTTAATTTAATTGTATTTTTCACTTCTAACATTTCCATTTGGTTTTTGTTCATATGATCTATTTTTCTCCTGAGACTTTCTATTTTTTTTTTTGAAGGTGTCTTTTTCATTTGCTTCATATTCATTAAATGCTCTTTGGAGAAATTTTATCATAGCAGCTTTAAAATCTTTTTCAGATAATTCTAATATATCATTGTCTTAGCCTATTCAGGCTGCCATCACAAAACACCACAGACTAGGTAATTAATAGAAATTGATTTCTCACAGTTCTGGAGGCTGGAAAGTATACACTATCAAGGGGCCGGCAGATTTGGTATCTGCTGAGAGCCTGTTCCTCACAGATGGTGTCTTCTAGGTGTCCTGACATGGCAGAGGGGTGGAAGAGACAAGGTAGCTCTCTGAAGCCTCTGTTTATAAAGGGCATTAATCCCATTCATAAGGGTAGAGTCCTCGTGACATGATCACCTCCCAAAGACGCCACCTTCTAATACTACCAAATTAGGTTTCAACATATGAATTTTGGAGGGACACATACATTCAAACCATAGCAGTCACTGTCATTTTTCATTCAGTCTGAGACCTTCCTGGTTCTTGGTATAAGTGATTTGTGTTTGAAATTTGGACATTTTCATATTATGAGACTCTGGATCTTATTTAAACCTCCTGTTTTAGGTGGTTTTCTCTAACACCACTCTGGCAGGGGAGGGGTGCCACCTTGTTACTGCCAGGCAGAGGCAGAAGTCCAAGTGCCCCATTCAGCTTCCACAATACTCAAGGGTGGTGGGCTCCTCACTCTGCTGGGTGGAGAAGGGAGTTCCAGGTCCCCATGTACTCTCCACTGACAGTGTGGTGGGGATGGCCTCATACTCACTGGGGATGATGAATGTCCTGACTCTCCACAGGCTTCCCCTGACATCACACCAGAGGGAAGGGAGATGAACAGTTCGTTACTGCCATGTGGAGGTAAAGTCCTGATTCTCCATGTGGTCTCCACTGGTCCCATGAGTACAGTGGGGGCAGTTCTCACTCCTGGCTGGCTGGCAGGGGTGACATTTCCGGCTCCTACTGCCTTCTCTAACACCTCCATGGCAGGAATGTTGTATGCCTCACTGTAGCCTTGAAAGGATAAAAGTCTAGGCTTACCACTTGGCCTTTGATCAGGTAGCTGGTAGTGCAGCAACAGTTTTTTTCTGTGATGTTTGGCTAGAGGAGAGCTGTTATTGACTACAAGTTTTCTAGCTTGCTAGGCTGCCTTTTCTTGGCTAGAGAGAACAGGCTTTTGTTGGGGCTTTTTCTGTCTTTGCCTGTTGGCAGTATCTAGGTTGCTGACTTCTTCAGCTCCAACTCTGAAATACACACAGGGAACATACCACTGTGTCACTCCTGGTCTCCTGAGGTCCCTAGACTGTCTGACTTTTTCTCCTCCAGAGTCTTATATAAAATGTCCAAGGCTTTTGGTTGTATTTGGATGGAAAGAACAGGGGAGAGATGCATAACATAGATGAGGATAGATCTCCATTTTCCTAGAAGTCCCCGGTGTGAGAAATTTTTAAAACTGGTTTTCTTCAAACTATAAAAGATAATCTCCAATAGCCTGCTTCTGAAAATGCTTATAACACTGTTTTCCATTCATTACTTATACAATAATTTATATATTTTTAAAATGAATTAAAGAAATTTTAATCTTGGTCATTTTACTAAGGAAAATTTTTGCTGGATTTGTGTGCAAGAGCAATAATTTTTAAACTATTATTTTCTGAAGAACATTTAAATATTAACATTAAATTATTCTCCTGGCTGGGAGTGGTAGCTCATACCTGCAATCCCAGAACTTTGGGAGTCCGAAACAGGACTGCTTGAGCCCAGGAGTTTGAGATCAGCCTGGGCAACAGAGCAAGACCCCATCTCTTAAAAAAAAAATTGGCTGTGTGTTTTGGTGCACACCTGCAGTCCCAGCTTCTAGGGAGGGTGAAGCAGGAGGATCACTTGAGCCCAGGAGGTCGAGGCTGCAGTGAGCCATGATCGTGCCACTGTACTCCAGCCTGGGTGACAGAGCAAGACCCTATCAAAAATTATTCTCCTAAAATATTTATACAGTCTTTCTTTTTTTTTTTTTCTGAGACAGAGTCTCACTCTCGTCACCCAGGCTGGAGTGCAGTGGTGCGATCTCAGCTCACTGTAACCTCTACCTCCTCGGTTCAAGCAATTCTTGTGCTTCAGCCTCCCGAGTAGCTGGGACTACGGGTGCCTGCTGCCTACCTCAAGTGATCCACCCACCTGGGCCTCCTAAAGTGCTGGGATTACAGGTGAGCCACCGCAACTGGCCTTTTTTTTTTAGAGCCAGGGTCTCACTATGTTGCCCAAGTTGGTCTCAACTCCTGGCCTCAAGTGATCTTCCTGCCTCAGTCCCCCAGAGTGGTGGGATTACAGGTGTGAGCCACTGCACCTGGCTGGCATCTATTTTTTATTTAAAGTGTTCAGCTACACTGATAAAGAGGAAAGCCAAAACCCTTAAAAGAAAGCAGGGTCAGTCGGAAAGCCTGATGTGGTTAAGGACTGGTGTTGCTGGAGATTCAGAACCAGGTGTAGGAAACCATGCACCAACTGCAAAGTGTTCCAGAGCAGTCAGTGTGAAGCTGGAGCAAGTATTCCCAATTCATTGTTCTAGGCAAATCACAGAATCCAACAGAGATAATATTACATAGGAAGAAAACAAAATTCCATCACAGAGGACTAAGAATGTGGAGGAAAAGATATAAGGTGGATGGAAATGATTATAGATTAAAGAGAAAGCACACATTAACTGTTCAAAATGTACAGGTCATTATAAAGTTGAATTAATCTGTCCACAGTCTTCAAAACAGTAACAATTTATTATAGACTAGCATTTTTAAAAAATATTAGCTAATGCAGAAACAGAAAACCAAATACTGCACGTTCTCACTTCTAAGTGGGAGCTAAATGATAAGAACTTACGAACACAAAGAAGTAAACAACAGACACTGGGTCTACTTGAGTGGGGAGGGTGGGAGGAGGGAGAGGAGCAGAAAAGATAACTATTGGGTACCAAGCTCAGTACCTGGATGATATAATAATATGTACAATGAACCCCCCAAGACACGTGTTTATCTATATAACAAATCTTCACATGTACCCCCAAACCTAAAATAAATATTTTTTTTAATTTCCATTAAAAAATATATTAGCTTATGTTTATTTTACCAACTGGAAAAAATAGGATAAACAGCTCAAAAGAGGTCCATTCAATAAATATTTTTGATTGACTAGCTTATTTGTATAGTAATGAAAGGCTATGGATAAATGGTTTCTATAGATGGCTAAATGTTTAAGTTATTGTAGAATTCTAATCTTATTATAATTTGTACTCCTATTTCAAATTAATGGAGCCAAGGAAGAAATTCAAATAATGAAACTAGAATAACTGGCTAACTCATCTGGAGAAAAGAAGCTGCATCTTACTGCTTACACCAGAAGTCCCAACTGTATTACAACTATAAATGTAAAACAAACAAAAAACAACAAAAAGCATAATACATTAGAATATAAGTTATGGAGAAAAAAATTTTCAGCACAAAACTAAATCATAAAAAATGTATTTTACTACATAAAATTTTAAAACAGCACACCCAGTTATTAGGCAACTGAAAATCAAAAGAAAAACCTCTGTAACACATGACAGCATTAGCATCTTTATAAAGAATCAGTCAAGGCCAGGAGCGGTGGCTCAAGCCTGTAACCCCAGCACTTTGGGAGGCCAAGGCGGGTGGATCACGAGGTCAGGAGATCGAGACCATCCTGGCTAACACAGTGAAACCCCGTCTCTACTAAAAATACAAAAAAAATTAGCTGGGCGTGGTGGCGGGCGCCTGTAGTCCCAGCTACTCGGGAGGCTGAGGCAGGAGAATGGCATGAACCTGGGAGGCAGAGCTTGCAGTGAGCTGAGAGAGCGCCATTGCACTCCAGCCTGGGCAACAGAGCAAGACTCTGCCTCAAAAAAAAAAAAAAAAAAAAAAAATCAGTCAAATAAGAAATAAACAAATTTCCCAGCAGAAAAATTGTCGTGACTCAAATAATTCACATTCTCATATGTACAAGAAATACAAACAGCCAACAAACATTTAAAAAAATCTTTTAACCTCCCCTGAAAGCAAATAAATCCAAAAGCAAACAACTAAATGCCATTTAAAATTAAATAGAATTGGTCAAAGTCTGCATATAAATGGTCACCTTCCCACTGACGGGAAAGTGGTATAGTAAGAATGTAAATTGGTAGAACCATTCTGGAGGGCAATCTGACAAATGTCTATTAAATTTAACGTGTGCACATCCTTGACCCCAAAATTCCACAATTAGGTAATCTATTCTTAAACATTCACACAAATATGAAATACATATACACACACATATATTTCATACACACAAATACACCACAGCACTAAATAAAACACACAAAAAAAGTTCAGCACCAAATTATTGATCATTAGGGAAGTAAACGAAAGACATTTATAAAATGAGATAATAGGCCAGGCATAGTAGCTCACATCTGTAATCCGAGCACTTTGGGAAGCCAAGGTGGGAGGATCGCTTGATTCCAGAAGTTTGAGAATATGCCGGGCAACACAGTGAGACCCTGACTCAACAACAACAACAAAAAATTAGCCCGGCAGGGTGGAGCACACCTGTAGTCTCAGCTACTTGGGTGGCTAAGGTGGGGGGATCACCTGAGCCCAGGAATTTGAGGTTATACTGAGCTATGATCACTCCACTACACTCCTGCCTGGGCAAGAGCATGAGATCCTGTCTCAAAAATTAAAATAAAATGAAATAATATTGTCATTAAAAAGGATAAAATAGACCTATGTGTATAAAATGGAAGTATATTTACAGTAACTTAGTGAAAATAAATAAGTTGCAAAACCAACATGTACAGTACGATGCCATTTTTGTTCAAAATAAAGCAATGTGTTGGAATATGCGTGCATAGGTACCACAGGTTGGAAAACTACAGCTGAATGGCCACCTATCTTTGAAAATACAGTTTTATTAGGAAATAGGCATGCTCATTTATTATAACAGACACCATATACAACCCACAAAACTGAAAATAGTTATGACATAGCCCTTTAAGAAAATATATAGCCAAATGCTGATATATACCAAATTAACTGAAATTACCTCTGCTCTGCTTTTGCTTATTTATGTTATCTATTTCTATAATATCTGGCTGGCCAGGGTGGCTCATGCCTGTAATCCCAGCACTTTGAGAGGCCGAGGTGGAAGGACGACATGAGGCCAGGAGTTTGAGACCAGACTAACCATCATTATTTCAGGAAAATCATCATGAAGGGAAGAAGGAAAAATATGTGTCCAGGGCATTCCCAGGTAAAGATGGTGAAGTGAACACAGGCATTTAGAATAAGCTTAGTCTAGGTACCCACAGAAACAGTAAACTGTTTTTCTCTTTATGTTTTTAAGCACAAATCCACAAGGCTAAAGATAACAAACAAGAAAGGAGACCACAGTAACAAAACTCCAGGGCTGAATGGTAACTGACTTAGCAGACCTGAGAAAGCTAAATCTTTAATGAGAAGTAAGAAAAGCCAGGAAGCAATCCTGTTTTCTCCACAGAATCCTACCCCGAAAGGTCCC
This sequence comes from Homo sapiens, assembly GCF_000001405.40. Classification (NCBI taxonomy): domain Eukaryota; kingdom Metazoa; phylum Chordata; class Mammalia; order Primates; family Hominidae; genus Homo; species Homo sapiens. The sequence continues at coordinate 23,624,015 of NC_000007.14, read as the reverse complement.
AGAAATTTTACACCATGTACTACTGAAAACAGAGGTAAAGAAAGGACTAAAAACCTAGAAGGACTAGGTGCAAAGTTCTGGGATATATGTGCAGGATGTGCAGGGGGTTTTTATTCCTAAAAAGATACAACAAAAATTTTTTACTACAAAGCGACAATTTATAATTGTATAAATTTATGGGTTACGAAGTGATGTCATAAATTGTGGATACAATATGGAATAATTAAATCAAGCTAGTTAACATATCCAATACTTCAAATATATTTCTGTGATGAGAACATCAATTTTGAAATGTATAATACCCCATTATTAAGTATATGCACCACACTGTACAACAGAACTCAATAAAGTATAAAACATATTCTTCCTGTCTGAGATTTTGTACCCTTTGACCATCACTAAATTTTTTTTTTTTTTTTTTTGAGACAGTCTCACTCTGTCACCTAGGCTGGAATGCAGTGGCACAACTTCGGCCCACCACAACCTCTGCCTTCTGGGTTCAAGTGACTCTCCTGCCTCAGCCTCCACAGCAGCAGGGACTATAGGCAAGCAACGCCACACCTGGCCAACTTTGTATTCTTAGTACAGATGGGGTTTCGCCATGTTGTCGTGGCTGGTCTCAAACTCCTGACCTCAGGTGATCCGCCCACCTCGGCCTCTCAAAGTGCTGTACCACAGGCATGAGCCACCATGCCTGGTCTAAAATTTTTATGAGACAAAATATCAATTCCAAAACAGCATCAAAAAGTGAGCAGGCCAGGCACAGTGGCTCATGCCTGCAATCCCAGCACCTTGGGAGGCTGAGGCATATTTTTCTGTAGTAAAAATACAAAAGTTTTTGTCTCTACTAAAAATACCAAAAAAAAAAAAAAAAATCAGCTGGGCATAGTGGCGCGAGCCTGCAATCCCAGCCAGTTGGGAGGCTAAGGCAGGAGAACCGCCTGAACCCGGGAGGCAGAGGCTGCAGTGAGCTGAGATTGTGCCATTGCACTCCAGCCTGGGCAACAAGAGCAAAACTTCATCTCAAAAAAAAAAAAAAAAAAAAAAGAGTGAGCATATTTAACCATCCTCAGCTCACAGCAGAGCAAACAGGTCAACAGAATAATAATTCATGTTACTGCATGTGTAATGAACTCGCAACAAGAGAACATTGGTTGCAGAAAGGCAGAGGAATTGTGTCTTGTAAGATTTAGAATGGAGGGGCTCTGTAATCATCTGGCAACCATTCAATGTTGTATCTATGGTTAGAAATGTACATGACAGGAACTCCAGGAATCTTAAGGGTCAACTGTGGCCACAATGTAACATTTATGCTGAGCTACTCTCTGTACTAAGCAGTCATCTGCATAGGTTCCTTTGTGTGTACACAGTACAAACCTTGGATCCTTGGCTATCCTTAGAGCCACTCAATACTTCTGCCCCAATTTCTCAATTTCAGCCATTACACAATCAGTTACACAAGGGATACACCTGGCATACAGACAGTCCATCGTTGACTGCACTAAATCCAGTTTCGCTTTTAAGGAAAAGTTGATAAAGTTGGTATCAGAGAAGAGTCAAATAGACGCAATAAAAAATGATAAAGGAGAGATCACCACTGATCCCACAGAAATACAAACTACCACCAGAGAATACTATAAACACCTCTACACAAATAAACTAGAAAATCTAGAAGAAATGGATAAATTCCTTGACACATACACCCTCCCAAGACTAACCAGGAAGAAGCTGAATCTCTGAATACACCAATAACAGGCTCTGAAATTGAGGCAATAATTAATAGCTTACCAACCAAAAACAGTCCAGGACCAGATGGAGTCACAGCCGAATTCTACCAGAGGTACAAGGAGGAGCTGGTACCATTCCTTCTGAAACTATTCCAATCAACTGAAAAAGGGGGAATCCTCCCTAATTCATTTTATGAGGCCAGCATCATCCTGATACCAAAGCCTGGCAGAGACACAACAAAAAAAGAGAATTTTAGACCAATATCCCTGATGAACAACAATGCAAAAATCCTCAGTAAAACACTGGCAAACCGAATCCAGCAGCACACCAAAAAGCTTATCCACCTTGATCAAGTGGGCTTCATCCCTGGGATGCAAGCCTGGTTCAACATACACAAATCAATGAACATAATCCAGCATATAAACAGAACCAAAGACAAAAACCACATGATTATCTCAATAGATGCAGAAAAGGCCCTTGACAAAATTCAACAGGCCTTCATGCTAAAAACTCTCAATAAACTAGGTACTGATGGAACGTTATCTCAAAATAATGAGAGCTATTTATGACAAACCCACAGCCAATATCATACTGAATGGGCAAAAACTGGAAGCATTCCCTTTGAAAACTGGCACAAGACAGGGATGACCTCTCTCACCACTCCTATTCAACATAGTGTTGGAAGTTCTGGCCAGGGCAATCAGGCAGGAGAAAGAAATAAAGAGTATTCAATTAGGAAAAGAGGAAGTCCAATTGTCCCTGTTTGCAGATGACATGATTGTATATCTAGAAAACCCCATCATCTCAGCCCAAAATCTCCTTAAGGTGATAAGCAACTTCAGCAAAGTCTCAGGATACAATATCAATGTGCAAAAATCACAAGCATTCTTATACACCAATAACACACAAACAGAGAGCCAAATCATGAGTGAACTCCCATTCACAATTGCTTCAAAGAGAATAAAATACTTAGGAATCCAACTTACAAGGGATGTGAAGGACCTCTTCAAGGAGAACTACAAACCACTGCTCAACGAAATAAAAGAGGATACAAACAAATGGAAGAACATTCCATGCTCATGGATAGGAAGAATCAATATCGTGAAAATGGCCATACTGGCCAAGGTAATTTATAGATTGAATGCCATCCCCATCAAGCTACCAATGACTTTCTTCACAGAATTGGAAAAAACTACTTTAAAGTTCATATGGAACCAAAAAAGAGCCCGCATTGCCAAGTCAGTCCTAAGCCAAAAGAACAAAGCTGGAGGCATCACACTACCTGACTTCAAACTATACTACAAGGCTACAGTAACCAAAACAGCATGGGACTGGTACCAAAACAGAGATACATACCAATAGAACAGAACAGAGCCCTCAGAAATAATACCACACATCTACAACTACCTGATCTTTGACAAACCTGACAAAAACAAGCAATGGGGAAAGGATTCCCTATTTAATAAATGGTGCTGGGAAAACTGGCTAGCCATATGTAGAAAGCTGAAACTGGATCCCTTCCTTACACTTTATACAAAAATTAATTCAAGATGGATTAAAGACTTAGATGTTAGACCTAAAACCATAAAAACCCTAGAAGAAAACCTAGGCAATACCATTCAGGACATAGGCATGGGCAAGGACTTCATGTCTAAAACACCAAAAGCAATGGCAACAAAAGCCAAAATTGACAAATGGGATCTAATTAAACTAAAGAGCTTCTGCACAGCAAAAGAAACTACCATCAGAGTGAACAGGCAACCTACAAAATGGGAGAAAATTTTTGCAATCTACTCATCTGACAAAGGGCTAATATCCAGAATCCACAAAGAACTCAAACAAATTTACAAGAAAAAAACAACCCCATCAACAAGTGGGTGAAGGATATGAACAGACACTTCTCAAAAGAAGACATTTATGCAGCCAACAGACACATGAAAAAATGCTCATCATCACTGGCCATCAGAGAAATGCAAATCAAAACCACAATGAGATACCATCTCACGCCAGTTAGAATGGCGATCATTAAAAAGTCAGGAAACAACAGGTGCTGGAGAGGATGTGGAGAAATAGGAACACTTTTACACTGTTGGTGGGACTGTAAACTAGTTCAACCATTGTGGAAGGCAGTGTGGCGATTCCTCAGGGATCTAGAACTAGAAATACCATTTGACCCAACCATCCCATTACTGGGTATGTACCCAAAGGATTATAAATCATGCTGCTATAAAGACACACGCACACGTATGTTTATTGCAGCACTATTCACAATAGCAAAGACTTGGAACCAACCCAAATATCCAACAATGATAGACTGGATTAAGAAAATGTGGCACATAGACACCATGGAATACTATGCAGCCATAAAAAAGGATGAGTTCATGTCCTTTGTAGGGACATGGATGAAGCTGGAAACCATCATTCTCAGCAAACTATCGCAAGGACAGAAAACCAAACACCGCATGTTCTCACTCATAGGTGAGAACTGAACAATGAGAACACTAGGACACAGGAAGGGGAACATCACACACCAGGGCCTATTGTGGGGTGGGGGGAGGGGGGAGGGATAGCATTAGGAGATATACCTAATGTAAATGACAAGTTAATGGGTGCAGCACACCAACATGGTACATATATACATATGTAACAAACCTGCACATTGTGCACGTGTACCCTAGAACTTAAAGTATAATAAAAATATATTTTTCTTAAAAAAAAGAAAAAATAAATAAAGTTGGTATCAACAAGGATGTAGTAAGGTGGGCCCAGCTGTGCATTACATTGGAAAAATAGGCAGGAAGGGTGTTGGGGAACTTCTCTTTCCTTTAATGCGCTGGGATCCTTTTCTTCTTTCTTTGTAGGTTTTAATCTATCCTTTTCTTTAAGCCTCTGATCTCTGAGTTTAAGCATGCGCTTCATGGTTGCATACTTCCTTGTGTTCTTTTGCTTCCCTATGGTCACGCCACACTCCTGTTTCTTCAGATGTGCAGGTTTGTTACATAGGTAAACCTGCGCCATGGTGATTTGCTGCACCTGTCAACCCATCACCTAGGTAGGTATTAAGCCCAGCATGCATTAACTATTTTCTATGAAGCAATTCATCCTTAAATTCTGTGCACCACTCCAAAACCTCCCCCACTGCAGAAGATCTGAGATGTATTTTCTTAAGGGGATAGAGCAGTTGAGGGCCTGGGTTTACACTGGAAACTGGAAGAGTAAATGAAGGTAGTGAGTGCTGAGATCACTCTTCCTTGCCCAGCCTTTTTCTCTCGCTCAGATCCCAGAACACTTACAGGCCTATACTCTCCAGCAACAGACAGGAAGTGCTTCTCCAGGGTATCTGACCAGCTCAACAGGAGAGACCTAAATATACTGATATTAGAGATCATCTCAAAGGAATAAAATACATTGATACTGTGTAATAAAAAATTTAGGCCAAGCGCGGTGGCTCACCCCTGTAATCCCAGCACTCTGGGAGGTGGAGGCAGGTGGATCACATGAGGTCAGGAGTTCAAGGCCAACCTGGCCTTGAACATGGTAAAACCTCATCTCTACTAAAAAACATAAAAATTAGCTGGGCGCGGTGGTGCATGCCTGTAGTCCCAGGTTCTCGGGAGGCTGAGGCAGGAGAGTCACTTGAACCCAGGAGGTGGATGTTGCAGTGAGCCAAGATTGCACCACTGCACTCCGGCCTGAACAACAGAGCAAGACTCTGTCTCAAATTTAAAAAAAAAAAAAAAAAAAAAAAATTTAGCTGATCTTTGTCTCCAGTTGTTGGGAGGTAGCCACTAAGTGCCTGGAATTTCCTGAGTGACGAATGTCTTTATTAGTCATGGTAGGCCCCTGGGACCACATCTGTTAGTTTACCTTAAGGAGGCAACTCAGAGTGGGGCTCTAGATATTTTGTGCTAATGGGAAGACCCAGAATGGGGGGTTGGGGAGCTGGCCATGTCAGAAAGGACAACCATGTGATTAGAGAGTTGGGGATTTTCAGCTGACTTCCAGGGAGGGGAGGAGGGGTGGAGATTAAGTTCAACCACGTGGGCAATGATTCAATCATGCCTACATAATGAGACCCCAATACAACTGTACATTGAAGTTCAGGTGAGATTCCCTAGTTGGCAATATTCTGCATATTATCACACACTGATGTGTGTTGGATATGCCAGGAGGGTAATGTGTCCTGGTTCTATGAAGAGAGGACAACAGAAACTGCATCTCGTACCCTCCCAGACCTTGTCCTATGCGTATCTCCCTTTGGCTGGCTCTAGCATCTATCCTTCTTCTACACTAAAACTGTAATAGTAAGTATACTTGGCTCTCTGTATCTGTAGGGAATTGGTTCTAGGACCCACCACGGATACCAAAATCCATGGATTTTCATGTCCCTTAGTTAGATCTCTGTATCTGTGGGTTCTGCATCCACAAATTCAATTACAGATTGAAAATAAAGTATTTATATCAAAAGTGACGCACAGTACTTTTCAGTGAGTTTTACAGGTCAATCTAGTGAATTGTCAAACATAAGGAGGTAATAACCCACAAATTTGTAGCCACTTGATCAGAAGTGAAAGTGGCCTGGGAATACCCTAACTAGTGGCTGGTGTCTGAAGTGAGGGCAGTCTTGTGGAGCACTGTGCCCTTACTGCAGGCTTAACTGCAGGTAGTTGGTATGAGAAGTCATTATAAATATTAAGGATATACCCAAAGAAATGTCCCAGCCAGATCATCCTATAGTGAATACCACACAAAAGCTCAGCATTTGCCATCAACCTTTTAGTGCCTCATTTCTCAAATACAGACAAAGAATAAGGATCACCAGATATATTTGGAAGAAACATAAAAACGCTTCAGAAAAGCTACCATTGATAACCTCAGAGATGTAACAAAAGACAGCTTTTTTTTTCCTTTTCTTTTTTTTTTTTTTTTTTTTTTTTTTGGAGACAGCATCTCACTCTGTTCCCCAGATTAGAGAGCAGTGGTGCAATCTTGGCTCACTGCAACCTCCGTCTCCTGGATTCAAGTGATTCTCCTGCCTCAGCCTCCCGAGTAGCTAGGATTACAGGTGTGTGCCACCACGTCCAGATAATTTTCGTATTTTTAGTAGAGATGGGGTTTCACCATGTCGGCCAGGCTGGTCTCGAACTCCTAACGTCAAGTGACCCACCTGCCCAGCCTCCCAAAGTGCTAGGATTACAGGGGTGAGCCACCGCGCCCAGCCCAAAAGATAGCTCTTAGAAATTAAAAATATTAGATGAGATTAAAAACTCCGTAAAGATCTGGAAATTAAGCTAAGGAAATCGTCTCAAAAAATGAAGTAAAAAGACAGAAATGGAAAATAAATAAGGGAAAACTGGAGGACAACAGTCCAGAGAGCCCAAATGCTGGAATTAACAGAATGCCAGAAAGAGTGAATGAAAAACATAGAAATCAAATTAATAAATTAAGAAAATATCCCAGAATTGAATGACATAAATTGCAGGATGTCCCACTGAGGGCCCAACACATGTACGAAAGAGACCCATACCCAGTCACATCACTGAGAAATTTTAGAATGGTGTGGGACACAGACCTTACAAGATTCCAAAAATTAAGTCACATAAAAAGGATAAAGAAGAGCATCAGCTTCTCAAAAAGAACACTGGAACCTAGGGGGATGAGGAGTAAAACAGAACAGAGCAGAGCCTTTAAAATCTCAAGGAAAATTATTTCCATCTCAAGGAAAATTATTTCTACACCCAGCCAAACTTACAATGAAGCATGAGGGTTGAGGGGAAAAAGATCTTTTCAAGATATACAAGAATTCAAAACTTTTACCTATCTGCATCTTTCTCAGGAACCTACCAGAAGATCTGTTCCCTTAAAATCAGGGGATAACCAATAAAGAGGAAGCTTAAAAATTCTAGAAAATAGGAGATCCAATATAATAGAGGAGTAAAAGAAATCTACAAGATGATGACAAATTGTGATCTTAAAACAATTCACTGCTGCAATCCTAGAGAGCAAACAGTCCAGGCCAGAGATGACTGGAAGGCATCAGGAAAGATTTCTTCAATATAAAGAAAGTGCTAAAATACCTAATGTGTCTGAATATGCTAGGAGAATATTTAAACAACTGTAGGGGGATGCAGTAGAAAACTAGGCAAAGAAGCAAAAATCGATACTTATTAAACTCTAGGGTGAAAAAGTTTATAGGAAAGTAACCATAATGTAATAGAGGAATACATTGTTTTATTGCACTTCACTTTACAGATATTGTGTTTTTACAATTGAATGTTTGCAGCAACTCTGCATGGAGCAAGTCTATTGGTGCCATCTTTCTAACAATATCTGCTCACTTTGTGTCTCTGTCACATTTGGGTAATTCTCATCATATTTCAGACTTTTTCATTATTCTTGTATCTGCCATGGTGAGCTGATCAGCAATTGCTGATGCTACCATTGGAACTGTTTTGGGACACCTTGAATTCTATCTATATAAGACAGCAGACTTAATTCATAAATGTTACATGTGTTCTGACTGCTGCATCCAATGGCCTTTCCTCTGTCTCTCTCCCTCTCTTCAGGCCTCCCTATTCCCTTAGACATAACAATATTGAAATTAGGCCAATTAATAACCCTACAATGGCTTCTAAGTGTTCAAGTGTAAGGAAGAGTCCCTCTTCTCTCACTTTAAACTAAAAGCCAGAAATGATTAAATTTAGTGAGGAAGGCATGTTGAAAGCTGAGATAGGCTGAAAGCTAGGCCTTGTGCCAAACAGCCAAGTTGTGACTGCAAAGGAAAAGTTCTTGAAGAGAATTAAAAGTGCTACTCCAGGGAACACATGAACAATAAGAAAGAAAAACAGCTTTACTGCTGAAATGAAGAAAGTTTGAGTGGTCTGGATAAAACATCAAACCAGCCACAACATTCTCTTAAGCCAAAGCCTAATCCAGAGCAAGACCCCAACTCTCTTCAATTCTATGAAGGCTAAGAGAGGTTAGGAACCTGCAGAAGAAGAGTTGGAAGCTAGCAGAGGTTGCTTTTGAGGTTTAAGGAAAAAGCCATTTCCATAAGATTCAAGTGCAAGGTGAAGCAGCAAGTGCTAATGGAGAACCTGCAGCAAGTTATCTAGAAGACCTAGCTAAGATCATTGATGAAGGTGGCTATACTAAGTAACAAATTTTCAGTGTAGACAAAACATTCTTCTCTAGGAAGAAGATGCCATCTAGGATTTTCATAGCTAGTGAGAAGTCAATGCCTGACTTCAAAGCTTCAAATGACAGGCTGACTTTCTTCTTAGGGGGTAATGCATCTGGTGACTTAAAGTTGAAACCAATGCTCATTTATCATGCTGAAAATCCTAGAGCCCTTATGAATTATGCTGAATCTATTCTGCCTGTGCTCTATAAATGGAACAAGAAAGCCTGGGTGACAACATATGTTTACAGAATGAGTTACTGAACATTTTAAGCCCACTAAGACCTACTGTTGAGACCCACTGTTCAGAAAAAACAATTCCTTTCAAAATATTACTGCTCCTTGACAATGTGCCCAGTCACCCAACAGCTCTGAAGATGTACAAGGAGATTCATGTTTTCATGGCTGCTAACACAACATCCATTCTCCTGCCCATCGATAAAGGAGTCATTTGGACTTTTAAGTCTTATTATTTAAGAAATACATTCCATAAGGCCAGAGCTGATGGGTCTAGACAAAGTAAACTGAAAGCCTTCTGGAAAGGATTCACTATTCTAGATGCCATTAATAATATTCATGATTCATGAAAGGAGGTAAAAATGTCAACATTTATAAGAATGAATGAATGAATTAGAAGGTGATTCCAACCCTCATGGATGACTTTGAGGGGTTCAAGACTTCAGTGGAAGAAGTAACTGCAGAATGAGAAGTAGAGCCTGAAAACGAGACTGAATTGCTGCAATCTCATGATAAGACTTGAACAGATGAGGAGCTGCTCTTACGGAAGAGCAAAGAAAGTAGTTTTTTGAGATGGAATCTACTGGTGAAGATGTTGTGGACACTGTTGAAATGACAACAAAGGATTTAGAATATTATGTAAACTTTATTGACAAGGCAGCAGTAGGATTTGTGTGGACTGACTCCAATTTTGAAAGAAGTTCTACCGTAGGTAAAATCCTATCAAATAATCCATGCTACAAAAAAAATCTTTCATGAAGAGTCCATCAATGTGGCAAACTTCATTATTGTCTCATTTTATGAAATTGCCACAGCCACCCCAACCTTCAGTAACCACCACACTGATCAGTCAGTAACCTTTGACATCAAGGCAAGATCCTCCACCAGCAAAAGGATTATGACTTGCTGAAGGCTCAGATGATTTTTGGCATATTTTAGCAATAAAGTATTTTCAATTAAGGTATGTACATTGTTTTTTAAGACATAATGCTACTGCACACTTAAGAGATTACAGTATAGTGTAAACTTAACTTTTATATGCACTGGGAAACCAAAAGATCTGTGTGACTTGCTTATTGTGACATTCACTTTATTGTGTGGTTTGGAACAGAATCCACAGTATCTCTGAGGTATGCCTTTATATGGCTCAATAATGAATACCATCAACATGGTCATAATAGTATAAATACTGAATATTATTCTAAACAAAATTATGAAGGGAAAATGAAAGGATAAGAAGGATATGGATGTGACAACAGCCTGGGGGGTGGATGGAATGCATTTTTAAGTGAGAAAGAAAGCTAAACTCTCACCTTGCTTAATGAGAAGTTAACAGATAACACCTATAACTGAAAAATCGGAAAGGAGCTCACAGAGCATATTATTTAGATGCAGAAATAATCACCAAAAAAATGAGATGAAAGAATTTAAAATGGGTGGCTCTAAAGAACAGGAAATTTGAGGACTTTTGGGAGTAGAAAAAACTGCCCTTTTTCATTACAGGAATCATAACACACTTTGATTATTTAAATACATGCATGTACCACTTTTTTTTTTTGAGACAGGGTCTCACTCTGTCACCCAGGCTTAAGTGCAGTGGCGTGTGATCACACCTTGCTGCAGCCTCAACCTCCCAGGCTCAAGCAGTTGTCCCACCTGAACCTCCCAAGTAGCTGGAACTACAAGTGCGCGCCACCACGCCCCACTAACTTTTGTATTTTCTGTAGAGAAATGGTTTCACTATGTTGCCCAGGCTGGTCTCAAACTCCTGGACTCAAGCAATCCACCTACCTCAGCCTCCCAAAATGCTGGGGTTACAGATGTGAGCCACTGTGCCCAGCCATAACTTTTAATTAAACAAACAAAACTGAAATAGAGAAAATGTCCACACATTCATGTATATACATTGTTCCAGACAGAACCATACTATCTGTTCTCTCTCCTTTTTAAGTCTTAAAGGAAAGAAAGAACATGTCATGATAAGAAACTTAAAACACAACAGGACCCAGTAATGTGAAAGGGAGAACAGCAATAAACAATACTGGAGATATATAGGCAAAACCTGCTTCTTAGGAAATAATAAATGCTATACAATTGATGGCTTATATTAGGATAATCAGGAAAATTTAAATATAAACTAGGTGTGATAATGGTATTGTATTATGTCCAAGAAGGTCATTTTTTTAGACTTTTCTTAAGAGATGAGGTCTCACTCTCTTGCCTAGGCTGGAGTACAGTGGTGCAGACATGGCTCACTGTATCCTTGACCTCTTGGGCTCAAGCCATCTTCCCACCTCAGCCTCCCGACTAGCTAAGACTACAGGTGTGTATCACCATGCCTGGCTAATTTTTTTTTTCTTTTTTCTTTGTTTTTTTTTTTTTTTTTTTTTTTTTTTGAGATGGAGTCTAACTCTGTCACCCAAGCTAGAATTCAGTGGCACAATCTCGACTCACCACAACCTCCACCTCCTGGGTTCAAGCGATTCTCCTGCCTCATCCTGCCTCAGTCTCCCGAGTAGCTGGGATTACAGGCACCTGCCACCACGCCCAGCTGATTTTTTGTTTGTATTTTTAGTAGCGGTCTCACTATGTTGCCTAGGCTACTAGGCTAGTCTCAAACTCCTGGGCTCCAGCAATCTTCCCACCTTGGCCCCCCAAAGTACTAAGATTACAGATGTGAGCCATCAACACCAGCCCAAGATACATTTTTTTTTTTTTTTTTTTTGAGACGGAGTCTTGCTCTACCACCCAGGATGGAGTGCAGCGGCGCGATCTCAGCTCACTGCAACCTCCGCCTCCCAGGTTCAAATGATTCTCCTGCCTCAACCTCCCAAGTAGCTGGGACTACAAGCACGTGCCACCATGTCTGGCTAATTTGTTTTTGTATTTTCAGTAGAGACGGGGTTTTACCGTGTTAGCCAGGATGGTCTCGATTTCCTGACCTCGTGATCCATCCGCCTCGGCCTCCCAAAGTGCTGGGATTACAGGCGTGAGCCATCACGCCCGGCCTCCAACATACATTTTTTTCAGCGATATATATCTAGCAGCGAAATGTCATAATTTCTATAGTTTAAATATTCTTCAACAATTAGATAAAACAAATGTTGCCAAATGTTAATAACTGTTAAGTCTGGATGATGAATATGTACGTATTTATCATAGTATCTCTATTTTTCAGTACATTTGAAATTTTCATAATAAAAAGTCAAGAAAAAATTACTTTGCAAAGACCTATGCATGAAGTAATAAGTTCAATTTCCAAAACCATCTTTAAACAGGGATTGGAGGAAACTAGAAATATTCTACGGTTATCTTACCATATCCTGCCATAGAAGCACCGTTCTCGACATCCACTGTGTTCTTATTTTCCTCTGCTAGAGCTTTAACATATCTTTTGCTTAAGTCTAGTATTTGCTCACGTAACTTGACACTGCTTTGATGTCTTGGTTGTTGAAAAGTATAGTGCAGTAACATCAATCCCCAAATGAGTCCAAATACAAGCAACAGTAAACTCAATTTCTGGGACATATTTTTTCTTGAGATTGTAAAAAACATTTCTGAAGAAGCAAACAAACAGACTTGACTGAAAAATGGTAACTTGAGGTAAGCCACAAATCAAGACTTGAAAAAAAAAAGAAAAAAATATCCTCAATATTGTATATTCTTCATCTTCAGCAAGGTTGTATCCACTCTATTAACTCTGTAAAATTAAGAAGAAAAACAGTATTAGTCTTAATCTGTATCAGTAACAGAACAGACGACTATAAAGAAAATATTCTATAATTTTTATTTGGAACTGTGTCATATATTTGACAACTTTCTCCACCACTAAGTAAGCTTTCTAGTCTTTTATCAGTCTCACTTACGTATCTTTTCAAAGTTTAAACTAGAAACAAATGTCAATTCATTGAAAATAACTGAAAAAATGCAACCATGGTCATAAAACTCTTCAAATTGTTTCTCATTTGTAACTAAAACCATGGATATTATAATGAGATATATAGGAGATCTCAGTCTATTCAAATACGTGTCACCAACCTAAATGCCTAAAAGCTATTCTTCCTCAAAAAAAAAAGAAAAAACATCAAAATGAAAGTTAGGAAGAAGGAAAGAAAAAGGATCGGAAAATCAAAATGCCTGTCTAAAAAGAATTCCCACAATATAAACAGAGTGTGCCAACATTTGAAAATGTCACCAGAAATTATTACTAATGGGCATAAGGTAACCTTAGGAAGCATCCAATCCAAGATGCAATCTAAGATAAAAAATAAGTTATAATTTCTAAGTTTATATCATACAAAAATATGCCAGACATAAAGAATGATGATCATTTAACGGCAAGTACTAAAACACTTGAGACCAGGGGCAGTGGCTTACACTTGTAAGCCCAACACTTTGGGAGGCAAAGGTGGGAGTATCCCTAGAGCCCAGGAGTTTGAGACCAGTCTGATCAACATAGGAAGACCTCATCTCTATACAAAAATTTTAAAAATTAGCCAGGCATGGTGGCATGCGCCTGTAGTCCCAGCTACCCAGGAAGGTGGGGCGGCAGGGCTGCTTGAGCCTGAGAGGTTAAGGGTACAGTGAGCCATGATCATTCCACTGTACTCCAGCCTGGGTGACAGAGCAAGACCTTGTCTCAAAAACAAATAAATAAACAAACAAACAGGTTGGAACATTTTTCTATATTTCCAAATTTACAATTCCAAATTTTAAATGAGAAAGGTATGCATTTATGTAATTTAAGAAAAAATTAAAAGGTTATACTTCAAGTTTTTAAAACACAGAAAGGTGTTAATCACAGAATCTAGAAAAACCAGGAGAGTAAAAAAGGTGTGAATCACCAGTGTCCAGTAAAAAAAACTCTTTGACTACATCAAATGGAGCAAAATTCTTTAGATAGAAATGTATCTCGAGTCAGAACAGTGCATTTCACAAAGATATTTCACAGCTTACTGAAAATAATCCTTAAGAACTTTTTTAAAATTGTATTTATTTATTTATTTTTTAAGACAGGGTCTCGCTCTGTCACTCAGGCTGGAGTACAGTGGTGCAATCTCAGCTCACTGCAGCCTCCACCTCCCAGGCTCAAGCTATCCTCTGGCCTCAGCCTCCCGAGTAGCTGGGACCACAGGCATGCACCACCACACCTGGCTAATTTTTTTTTGTAGAGAAGGGCTTTTGCCATGTTGCCAGGCTAGTCTCGAACTCCTGAACTCAAGCTATCCACCTGCCTCAGCCTCCCAAAGTGCTGGGATTAGAGGCATAAGCCACAGCACTGGCAGGAACTCAGCTTATAGTTTAACTTAGTTTTTAGTTTACCTTTCCCAAAACCCCCCTCCTGTCTGGGGACTAGAGTACCTTTGCAGGACTAATAAATTAGCTACAAAATTAGAAATTGTCCAGGCATGGTGGCTCACACCTGTAATCCCAGCACTTTGGGAGGCCGAGGTTGGTGGATCACCTGAGGTCAGGAGTTCACCAAAATGGTGAAAGCCCATCTCTACTAAAAATACAAAATTAGCCGGACGTGGTGGCGCATGCTTGTAATCCCAGCTACTAGGGAGGCTGAGGCAGGAGAATCACTTGAACCCAGGAGGCAGAAGTTGCAGTGAGCTGAGATTGCAACATTGCACTCCAGCCTGGGCAACAAGAGTGAAACTCCATCCCAAAAAAAAAAAATTAGAAATTAAGGTTTAGAAGTCACACAGCTGGAGGCTGCAAAATTTGGAACCTCCCCAAATTGTTCCTGGAGGTAATACCATTATTGTCAAACTGAAGATCAATGCTTGAGATATTCTGCAAACCCTGAACTAGATGGATCAGCTGACACCACCCAGATCAACGAACTGGCTCATCTGGTCTTGTGGCTCCCACCTAGGAAGTGACTCGGTGCAAGAGGACAGCTTTGAAGAGTCATGATTCTATGATTTTGCCTCCAACCTGAACAATCAGCACTCCCCACCTTCTGGCCCCCTACCTACCAAATTATCCTTAAAAACCCCAATCCCTGAGTTTTCAGTAAGATGGGTTTGAGTAATAATAAAATTCTGGTTTCCCATACAGCTGGCTCTGCATGAATTAAACTCTTTCTCTATTGCAATTCCCATCTTGATAAATTGGTTCTGTCTAGGCATCGGGCAAGGAGAACCCATTAGAACCACCATTAGGCAGTTCTAACAGGATGGGCAGTCAGATACACTTCATTATACTTCCCTCCCTTGACAACTGCCATTATCATCATGCCATTAGGCATTATTCTCTAAGGGCTAACTTAGGGGTGTCCAATCTCTTGGCTTCCCTGGGCCACACTGGAAGAAGAATCGTTCTGACCACACATAAAATATACTAACACTAACGACAGCTGATGAGCTAAAAAAAATTAAAAATTAAAAATCACAAAAAAAATCATAGTGTTTTAAGAAAGTTTATGAATTTGTGTTGGGCCACATTCAAAGCCGTCCCATGCAGCCCATGGGTTGCAGGTTGAACAAGCTTGGGCTAAACAGAAACCAGGCCTTTCAAAAGACTCCACCACTGATCTCAACCAACTGCCTGACTGCTGCCTCTCCATTCTGCAGTTCCAACGAAACAACCTACAAGCATTTCTTCCTGATAAGAGACCACCAGCCACAGAGTAGTTCTGGCCAGTCTACAGAGGATGCACAGTAAGGGTTTTCGTGTCCTCCGCTTCACCTTTTGACATCAGAGGGCTGAAAACTCCACCCTGGAATCATGCTAACGCCACAATTTTTTTATATGCAGGACCTAGGAATGGGTATGAAGCTCAATTGTGCATGCACGTTTCTCCTTTCATAAATATTCATGACGCCTTAAACTTATTAAATATGTATATTCGGCCACCCTGCTCAGCATAAATTCCTGTTCCCTTTGTCCCTCTCTCCAAGTGTCTGTTTCTGGCTTCTGGACGGAGGCTATGCTTCCCAGCCTGTCAGAAAGACCACCGTGCAGGTTGCAACCCTTTATAAGAAATAAAGCTCTCCTTTCCAAATTTATGAACCTTGTCATTCTTCAGATGACACCATGACGACCTTGAAGGGGAAGGGGTGAAGGGGATTGAAAATAGGTGACCTCTGCTGGAACCTGAGTCGTTACCCCCAGGGTAGGCTAGGCCCTGTATTTATAAGGCAAAAGTAGAAGTAAAGTGAAGAGGAAACAATTTCCACTGGTATTACTTTATTCTCCGGGGCCAATATGAATACACTCACTGTTCTATTCTCAGAGAACTGTCTGTGATTTCACATAAGAAAAATAAAAAAAGATAAGAAGTTTTGACTTCTTTAGCAACTGAAGGTATTTACTTATGTACTTTTAATTTAGTGATTAGAAAGGAAAATGATTATTAGCCTCCATCCTTAGGAAAGAAAAAAAAGGAAAGGAAAGATTCAATGTCCTTTCTTTCTGTGCAATGTTCAAAGCTGCAAATAACAGAAGAACTTGCACTTTGAACCTCCTCAATTTTTCTTTATGTTTCAAGTACTGATCCAGCCCCCAGAAGGCCACTTAGATAAGGACAGAGTCACTAAGCAGAAACCTGATAGGCCAACATTGAGGCCAAGGGCTTATGGCTACCATCTGGCATAGTTCTTATTGGAGTACTTCTTCCATCAAAACAGTCTACAATCTAAAAACTTTTAAATCTTAATTTCTAGGCCACTATATTAATTTTCTATTAATCACTTAAAAAAAACACAAAACTTGAAATTCACCAAATTAACAACTAGAGAGTTGTTTTTTGTTTTTTGCTTTTGAGACAGGGTCTCGCTCTGTTGCCCCGGCTTGCAGTACAGTAGCACGATCTCAGCTCACTGCAGCCTCGGCCTTCCGGGCTCAAGCAATCCTCCCACCTTAGCTTTCTGAATAGCCTGGAACTACAAGTGCACACCACCAGGCCTAGCTAATTTTTGTACTTTTTTTTTTTTAGAGGGGTCTCATTACGTTGCCCAGTCTGGTCTCACGTGATCCTCCTGCCTCATCACGTGATCACCTGGCCTCACGTGATCCTCCTGCCTCAGCCTTTCCAAAGGGATGGCAGGTGTGAGCCACTGTGCCTGGTCTGGAGTTTTAAAGGCAAAAAATAAAATAATCATCATCATTGTTATTTTGGCCTAAGATAAACCTTGAATATTTTTAAGATTCCCAGGAGAAAGTGCTCAACCAACTGCAGAAGTCACAAAAGTAATTAGTCTATATGGCACAAAAGTAGAATAACTAAGGAGAGGGGACACACTTAAAATGAAGTATCAGTAAAGTACTAGACCTGAAGAAGGGCAACAGAGTGTGATCCAACTATCACCACCTCCAAGTGGATTCCTATAGCTGCTTGTCAAGTGGTTTGCCAGACTCCTCTCCAACCCTACTTCAATCCATTCTTCTCAGAGCAGTCAAATATTCTTCCAAAAACAAAACTCATAATTCGAAGACATTTTGCCAATAAAAAAAAATGCTCAACCTCATTAATCATAGGGAAATGTATATTAAAACCACTATGAGGCCAGGCACAGTGGCTCACACCTGTAATCCCAGCACTTTGGGAGGCCAAGGCAGGCAGATCACGAGGTCAGGAGATCGAGACCATCCTGGCTAACATGATGAAACCCCGTCTCTACTAAAAATACAAAAAATTAGCTGGGTGTGGTGGCGGGCACCTGTAGTCCCAGCTACTTGGGAGGCTGAGGCAGGAGAATGGCGTGAACCCAGGAGGCGGAGCTTGCAGTAAGCAGAGATCACGCGACTGCACTCCAGCCTGGGCGACAGAGCAAGACTCGGTCTCAAAAACATAAATAAATAAATAAATAAAACCACTATGAAATACCACTTCATACCCATTAGGATAGTTATCACACACACACACACACAAAAAAAAACAGAAAACAAGTGTTGGCAAGGATGTGAACAAATCGAAACTCTTCTGCTCTGCTGGTGGGCACATAAAATGGTGTGGCTGCTGGGGAAGACAGTATGGCATTTCCTCAAAAACTTAAACATAGGATTATCATACAATCTGTAATTGAACTTCTGGATATATACACAAAAGAAATGAAAGCAGAAACCCAAAGGGATATGTGTATGCCAGTGTTCATTGCAGCATTATTCATAACAGCCAAAAGGTGGAAACAACCCAAGTGTCCATCAACAGATAAACAGATAAATAAAATGTGGTATCTACATACAATGGAATATTATTCAGCCCTAAGGAAGTAAGATGTTCTGATACATGCTACCACATGGAAGAAGAGAATGGAAAGTTATGATTTAATGGGTACAGAGTTTCAGATGGAGATGATGAAGAAGCTCTGGAGATGGATGGTAGTGATGGTTGCATGATGATGTGAACGTACTTAATGTCACTGAACTGTACACTTAAATGTTAAAATGATAAATTTTAGATTATGTATTTTTTTACCACACACACACACACACACACACACACACACACACACACACACAAGCATATCACATTCTCCTGCTTAAAAACCTTTCAACAGTTTCACACTGCACTTAGAATCTAACATGCAAACTCAGTACCAACCTTTACAACATGCAATCCACAAGCCCTACATAATCTGACTTCTACCCATTTCTCTTTGTCCTAATCTCATACCACTTCCCTCTTGCTCACCATGCTAAACCCATGCTAGGGAAAACACATTAAATTCTTTCTGACCTCAGGGTCTATACAATTGCTATTCCCTAGCTTGGAGTACTTTCCCTACAACCTGTTCCTTTTCATCCTTTAGTACTTAGTTCAAATGTCATCGCTTCAAAATGTTTTCAAAAAGTTGCACTCCAATTCCTATCCCACTCTAGCCACAAGGTACTCTCTATCATTTTCTTTTTTTTTTTTTTTTTGAGACGAAGTCTTGCTCTGTCGCCCAGGCTGGAGTGCAGTGGCTCAATCTCGGCTCACTGCAAGCTCCACCTCCTGGGTTCACACCATTCTCCTGCCTCAGCGTCCCAAGTAGCTGGGACTACAGGCGCCCGCCACCACACCCGGCTAATTTTTTGTATTTTTTTAGTAGAGACGGGGTTTCACCATGTTAGCCAGGATGGTCTCGATCTCCTGACCTTGTGATCCACCCGCCTCAGCCTCCCAAAGTGCTGGGATTACAGGTGTGAGCCACCGCACCTGGCCCTATCATTTTCTATATGAAATTATAGTATATCTTTAAAACCTTGTAAAAGTTATTTTATCTCCCTAAGGCCTGATATCCTCACTTATATAATGGGGACAACAATACCTATTTAATACTGGTAAAGAATAACTGACATACTACTCAATAAATATTAATCTTTATCATTAGTGTCAGGCATTTATGCAACAATGCTACTAATTCTTGGTAATCTGAGTAACATTAGGTAATACAGGAAATGTCTTAACAGACTCAAATAAAACTCCTGATTAGCTCTCATGGGCCTCCACAACCCAGTCTCCAAAGACCAAGTTTATTTCTCATTAGTCACAAAAATATCTCCTCCAATCCAGCCAGTCTTCTCTCTGCTTCATACAATAGTAATAATTATATCTTACATTTATATGATAATTTTATTTACCCAGCATGTGTCTTACCTGTTTGCTGACATCCTCTCATTCAGTTAATAACAGTCAGCTCTCAGAGAGGCTACAGGCTTGAAAAGGTTTCTACTCAGAATTTGTGGACAACATGAAAATGTCATTGGTATTAAGTCACTGGAGCATTACCTAGTCCTAAAAGATGACATAATAGCATGTTGCTGATGAGAACAGTTCATCTTCCAAGTAGTCTGAAAGGAGACGAGGTAAAATACCTGTTTAAATCTTACCTCGGATAGAATGATTTCAAAACCTCCTTACCTTATTCTACCCCACACTGATCTTCTTCTAACTCCCACAGCATGTTACTTCATACCAATTAATTTTATATATCACACATCCAAGCATGTGTGTAAGCCATGTCTCCCTGATTAAGTCCCAGGTCCCTTATGGGCAAGAACAACAAGCCTTACACTGCTGCCACATCCCCCACAGAGCCTAGTGAACAATCAGCCGTCACTGAGAAATGCCTTATGTTTACTTTAAAACACATCCCTGAACCTAACCCCACCTTCTCCCACGCAGCAATGTGACCTCTCTGCAATGAGTTTTGGGGTAGAGGACCAGAGGATAGAAATTTGGGGGTAAAGTACCTTCAATTATCCTTTTCTAGACTGGAAGAACCTGAGAAGAAACCTAATCCATTTCCCTCGCATTTCAGATAAAGAAACTGAAGCCCAGAGATGTTAAGTGTCTTGCCTAAAAATGAAACCCAGTTAATGGCAGAAATCCTACTGGTCCAGAATACAGGTCCTGACTCACTGTCTAGGGTTTTCTCTACACCACACTACCTTCCTTACTTCCCCTAGAAAGATTGTGTTTGTAAATACGGAATAAACTGTATTAAATGAAGTTTTGTTCTTTTTTGCTTTAAAAGAATGTAACCAGAAAATAGTAATGGCAGTTTAGGACAATGATCCTGAAGATGCCTAATTTGAACTATTCACTAAATTATTAAGCTGGCTCTTAAAGTTTCAAGTAAACTGTATTCACATAAATCAAAGTATTATAAAGTTGCTACAAGAAGGATTTCGGAAGTCTTATATGTTAGTTTTTATACAGGCAAAAAACTAGAAGATAAAAACATATGAAGTAAAACAAAGATAAACACAAAGTCTTCTAAAGGTAGAGACCTTCACCATGATCAGTAAACATAGTGATAACACACTTCCAGAAAAAAGAATTGGAGGTGGAGGGTGGGGGGCAGTGCATAAAGGCCTAGGCTCAAACACAACCTTTACTACATGCAGTTCTATTTAAGGCATGAAAGAACTTGGTTTACTCATTCATTTGTTCACTAATTCATTCACAATAGCAAAGTACCTACCATGTGCCAGGAACCATAGATGTGAAAGGTAAAGCAAGATATGAAAGACAGGATTCCTGTTTTTCTGGATACTATTTTAATAGGAACGGGACAACAAACAAGCAAACAAACAAGTTATCTCAGTTTGTGATAAACTGCTATGAAGAAAAAAAAAAAATGGTGATGTGTCTTGGAACATCTGCCTGAGGTGTGAGGTCAAAGAATAATGAGGGGGTAATATCTGATTTCAGAAAGAGGAGGAAGTACAAAGTCTGGTTCCAATTTCCTTCCAACAAAACCTTTAGAATTCTTCTTTTACCAGAATCTCGGGAGCAGTCAACAAATTCCTTATTCCTATTTTCCTCAGTACAAACAAATGAGAATGAGAAGGCTCCCAAAGCACAGCATGAAATGGCCTGGTCTGGAGAAATCATACAAACTGAACAGAAGGAAACCCACAAGCAAAGAAAGCTTTGTGTTCCCCTGTCTTAAGAAAATGGCAGTTCCACTATTTGGTAATATACAGGAATAGTAATGATCTGATATGGTGGTGTTTACAAAGAAAAATATATTCTTATTGGTGTTCTCTAATCTGAAAGGGGCAGTGGCAAGATCAGATACGAAATAAGGTCTAGGTAGCAATCTGTCAGTGCATTTACTTAAAACTTGTATTAAGCATTTTAAATATAATTTTTCAAACTCCAAAATATTCCCTGTTAAGAAACACAAAAGTAGAAAAACATGGATAAATTTTTTTTCTAAATTTGTATATTTATTACAGGCATTAACATGTCCACTCCACTTTACAAGATCTTCGGAGAAAAGTGCTATTCCAAGCTCCATTATGCTACTTGACAAACAGCACACTATGTATATGTAAACAACCAAATATTTAAGCCATTTTTCAGTGGTTTCTCCCTAGCCACAGACATAAAGATATGTGCTTGTCTTTAGTCCAACATTATTTCCAGAGAAAAGTAAAACAGGCTGGGCATGGTGGTTCACACTTGTAATCCCAGCACTTTACAAGGTTGAGGTGGGAGGACTTCTTGAAGCCAGAAGTACAAGACCATCCTGGGCAACACTGCAAGACGCAGTCACTACAAAAAAAAAATAAAAATTAGCCGGGCATGGTGGTGCGCACCTGTAGTCCCAGCTACTCTGGAGGGTGAGGCAGGAGGACTACTACACAAGCCCAGGAGTGCCAGGTTTCAATGAGCTATGGGTGACAGAGACTCTATCTCAAAATTTAATTAATTAATTAAATCAAACAAAGAATCAGCAAATATTTAAACTAGAACAACTTCATTATAAAGATAAGGAAAATGAAGCACAAAGAGAATTAATGACTACTCAAAGTCAAACATACAGAGAAACGTTAGGCATCCAAACTTTCAGCACAGGACTCCACTGTTTTTCAAAAGCAGGGAACAAAATCAACAGTTTGCAATGAGCAATTTTCAAAACACAAGATAAAATAGAAACCATCAGAGTAGACCGTACACACTACCAATTTTGTTTTGTTAAATTTCCAGTTTATTTTTACATATACAGACATATGCATGCATACACAGTTGTTGCTGTTTGAGATAAGGTCTGGCTCTGTTGCCCAGGCTAGAATGCAGTGGCCATAGCTCACTGAGCCTTGATCTCCCAGACTGAAGAGGCCCCCACCCTTGCCCCTGCCTCAGCCTCCTAAGCAGCTGGGACTACAGGTGTGTGCCACTACACTTGACAAATTTTATTTTTAGCAGCGACAAGGTCTCACTATGTTGCCCAGGCTGGTCTCAAACTCTTGAGCTCAGGCGATCTTCCTGCCTCAGCTTCCCAAAGCGCTGGGATTACAGGCATGAGCCACTGAGTCCAGCCTATGCACACACAGTTACACGTGTATGGAGTCTTTTTTTTTTTTTTTAATTATTGATATGAGATCTAACTATGTTGCCCAGGCCAGTCTCAAACTCCTGGGCCCACATGATTCTCCCACCTCTACCTCCCTAGTAGCTAGGACTGACTGCAGGTGCACACAACCATACTCAGCCATCAATGGAGTCTTGCTATAAAAAGATCTCTTACTACGGATTGTAACAAAAAAGTTTAAAAAATACTGCATTTCACACTCCCTGTCATCTGTCATGAAGTACTTCCTTGTATTTTATGCAAACATAGCAACAGCAATATTAAAAACACAAATAGATGGCTAATCATACCTTAAAATCTCTCATTCAAATCTCATTTTTGCATCTATTCAGTGCTCTACATTTTGTGCCATTATAACTATAGCTAAAGTAACTATCAACAGCAATAGCAGCAACTAGCAGGCAGAGAAGCTTTCACTCAGCCAAAGGTACTAGAAGAACTACTGCCTATTAGTCTCCAAAGGAATTTCAGCTAGAGAGGCATAGATTTACTACAAAAAGACACAGTATGTTCACCACAGCTCAGAGGTTCAAATAGTTCTCTCCAAAAACGACCCAAAAAAAAGTCCTCCACAGACTTGACCCCGGAATGTAATTTCAGGGAAAAAGGGGCATTCCTAAAATATTTTCTCTATGTAACACTGCCTGAGGCTAATATGGTGGTGGGGGGGGGGGGGTTAACACAGAACACAGCCATTCGCTCCATAATAAGGTCTAAGATTTAAAATGCACTGCCTTGAGAGAAGCTACACTAAAATTCCAGCTAAGATACGGAAATAATGAGTGTCAAGATATCAGATCATTTTTAGATGGCACATTTGGGAGACAGAATAGAAGACAATAGCACTGAATATTACAAAAACAGATAAAAGAAAAATGGTAAAGTGAGGCAGGGATAAAAACAGAAAATGTTAAGGCAAAAAGAAAACTAACCATTATGCTACAGTAAAAGTTTAATTTAAAATATGGCCTGGCGTGGTGGCTCATGCCTGTGATCCCAGCACCTTGGGAGGCTGAAGAGGGCGGATCACTTGAGGTCAGGCATTCAAGACCAGTCTGGTCAACATGGTGAAACCCCATCTCTACTAAAAATACAAAAATTAGCCAGGCATGGTGGTGCATGCCTGTAAACCCAGTTACTTGGATGGCTGAGGTACAAGAATCGCTTGAACCTGGGAGGTAGAGGATGCAGTGTGCAGAGATCGCACCACTGCACTCCAAGCTGAGTGAAAGAGCAAGGCTGTCTCAAACTAAACTAACTAAACTAAAATATGCAATAAAATAAACTATGCAGGCCGGGCTCCAGGGCTCACACCTATAATCCCACCATTTGGGAAGCTGACATAGGCAGATCACTTGAGGTCAGAAGTTCAAGACCAGCCTGACCAACATGGTGAGACCCTGTCTCTACTAAAACTACAAAAATTAGCCAGGCATGAGGTACAAGAATTGCTTGAACCCAAAAGGTAGAAGTTGCAGTGAGCCAGCACCACTGCACTACAGCCTGGGTGACAGAGTAAGACTCTGTCTCAAAAAAAAAAAACAACAAAACCTATATATATACATATACATAGACACACACTATGCAGCACTAGATACTTCAATCACAGAGCTTCACCTGTCACAGCCGTGGCCAATCATGTTTTGTGCCACATGTCCCCACCTCCCCTTCCAAAGCCAACTAGGCTAGCATCTCTGGCCTCAAACAAAGAGGCCCCAGGGAAAACCAGGCAGTTGGCAGAAGGAGCTGAAGGAGAAGTCATGAAAATAAATAATAAAGTTGGATGAGGGGATTGACAAGCTAAAGTTATGAAGAATCAGGCACAACAGGTATAGGGGCTATGAGCAAAAGATACAGAGTAGGGAGAAAGAGAACAAAGCATGTCAAAAATGCAGAGAAACTGTGCAGCTCATGAGAGAGTGATAACTGGCTGGTAGAGATTCTTATTTCTGGCAGCTTTCTTGTTCTCTTAAATGTATTCCTTCTTTCAAGGTAGTTTGAAAGAATTATATGACCTGAAGCAGGAAGAAACACTAAGAACACAAATGACTAAAAGGGTTTACACAAATTTTGTTTCCACATTTAAAAAAAAACCTCTAAAAACCTTTATCATTGAAAGTCTGAGCTAGAAGAGTCCTTGGAATCAGACCAATTCACTATTTTAGAGATGAGGACATTGAGGACCACAAAGTAATCTCAGGTTACACAGATAGTGACAGAGCAAGGACAAAACTAAGGACTCCTATTTCCGTAGCCATTACTCTCTGTCCTACACTGCACTAAATAACACCAACATAGAAACATTTTCCTCAAAACAAGTATTTTTGCAACACATTTTAGAGTGAGAAATTATTAATCAGTGAGAAGATGCAGACAGATGTAGAAAAAAGTTGACCCAGGTTAAATATGGTGAAGCCCAGAGGCAGGACTGTAAAATACCTGGATGCCTACTCTGACGAAACAAACACTTAGCGCCTCTAAGGATTCCCAAAGGACACACCTGAGGGGGAGGGGAGAGGTGAATACTTGTACCTCTGAAGCTGATCCACAGAAAAGCAGAGTCATCAATTTCCTAAGAACATTCTCAGCCATCTTAAAACAGCAAAAATTAGGAAGACGGCATATTTTAATGAATCCTTTGGTTAGGTTTAAGATAAAGTGAAGAACACACAACCCAGGATGATTAAACAAACAAAAGCACAAAACTCAAGTCCAGAGGCCACTTCGGTCACTTCAGTCATAGCTAATGAAAGTATCACAAAGGATCTTTTCATCAAATGAAGAACTAATGACGTTATAGGTCTATATTCCTAATTCTAACCACTTACAGGTGTGTGTTTTGATGGATGAGAAAACTCAAGCTTAGAGCCTTTAAGTAACCAAGATCACCAAGGCAGGCAGTGAGAGAAACCCAGGCAGGATTCGAACCCTAGCTGGCTGAGCCATTCTCATTACCGTCACAGTCAACAATCAACACGGCAGTTTAAGTTCATCCTTACCAGTCACCCAGGAGATGAGTTTTGAAGAGGGAGTTTAAAAGGGGCATCTGACTTTCTCTCTCTCCCAAAGTAGAAGAGAACTGAGCTGTCAAAAACAGAAAAAGAAGTGAGTGCGGTGCCGCCCGGGATCTACATCCCGCAGCTCCGGACCAAGCCCGCCCCGCTCGACTCGCGCAGCCCCAGCCACGCTCGGCTCTCCGCCCGAGCCGAGGCGCCGCGGCTGTCAGACGCGGAGGGGCAGAGACGCGGCCCAAAGGAAGGGACAAAGAGCCTTCCCGGCCGCGGCCGGAGGCTGCCGGCCCGTTCCTAAGCCGGGTTTCCGCAGCAGCGGCCCTAGCGGGGCGGGGACCGGGGACGGGGGCGCGGCGGGGGAGGAGCGGCCGGCTAGGCTGAGGGGCGCGCGAGAGGTGCGGGCCCGGCTGGCGGACTCGCCCCTTACTCATTACCTGGCCGTGGGCTTCTCGTCACGGTCGCCGCCGCCACGGAGCTTCTGAGCCGGGGCGACGCAGCGAGAGCTAATAAGCGGGCGTCAGCTGCGTCCCACACTGGCGAAGCAGCCTCCAGATCGAGCTGGAGAAACGCCGGTGGGTGGGAGTTGGGACGAGGTTTGTTCCCAGCTTGTGGAGATTTTACTCCGCTCGTCCCTCGCACTCGGCTTCCGCTCCGCCTCCCTGCCGGCCCTTCCCGCACTCGGGGGCCAGCCGCCCGCGGCGCGCGGCATTGTGGGGGATGTAGTCCCAGAATGAGGAAGCGGCGGCACGTGCTTCCAGCCGCCCTGCACCTACCCTGGGTCAGAACGACGCAGCTGCGCGGCAACCAGAGAGGGCGGCGGGGTCTTCTGTGTTGGAAGATGAGCCCGCCAGAGGCATACCCTCGGCCTTAACTCGCTGCAGGCGCTGGAAGAAGGGCTCTGGCGTCTTGTTCCCGACCCTCCGGTGAGGAACCAACCTCCTAATACTATTGACCTGAGGCTGGGAAAGCTTAGTGATGATTAAGTGTGCTACAGATGAGACTACCCATTATTGAAGCCAAAGGTCCTTAGCCAGTGGAGTGAGGCAAGAAAAATAAAAGGATTGAAGATTAAATAGGAAGAAACAAAATTATTTTTTCATAGATTATGTAATTATGTACGTGGAGGCCGGGCGCCGTTGGCTCATGCCTGTAATCCCAGCAGTTTGTGAGGCCAAGACGGGAGGATCACCTGAGGTCGGGAATTCGAGACCAGCCTGGCCAACATGGTGAAACCCCGTCTCTACTACAGATACGAACTTAGCAGGGCGAGGTGGCGGACGCCTGTAATTCCAGCCTCTCGGGGAGCTGAGGCGGGAGAATTGCTTGAACCCAGGAGGCGGAGGTTGCAGTGAGCTGATATCGCGCCACTGCACTCCAGCCTGGGCAACAAGAGCAGAACTCCGTCTCAAAAAAAAAAAAAAATTGTTTGTGGCACTTCAAAACAATCTGCAGATAAACTGTTAACAATAAAAGTTTTTAACAAGGTTAATAGATACAAAAATCATATTTTAAAAAATCAATATTTATTTATATATGCTAGTAAAAAAGATAATTTTTTTAAAGATACCATTTCCAACAGCTCCAAACAAATATCAAGTACCTAGGAATAAATCGATCAAAGAAATGCAAAACCTGCCTGAAGAAAACATTGGAAGACACTGAAGAAGACCTAAATAAAGATGTAACATGTTCATAAATTGGAAGAGTCAATACTGAAAAATGCCAAGTCTCTCCAAACCTACCTACAGAGCCAGTGCAATTCCCAACAAAATCTCAATAAATTTCTGTGTATGTGTGAGAAACTTGACAAGCTAATTCAAAATGTTATGGAAGAGCAAAGACAAGCATTCATGAGGAAGAGGAGGAAGAAAAAAAAAGAAGAGGAGAAGGAGTGGGAGGAGGAAAACTTGTGCTACCGGATAACAAGCTTTATTATAGACTAGGCACGGTGGCCCATGCCTATGATCTCAGCACTTCGGGAGGCTGAGGCAAGTGGATTGCTTGAGCCTGGAGTTCAAGACCAGCCTGGGCAACATGGCAAAACCCCATCTGTACCCCCCAAAAAAATACCAAAGTCAGCCAGTTGTGGTGGCATGCACCTATAGTCCCTGCTACTCAAGAGGCTGGGGGCAGGAGGATCACTTTGAGCCCAGGAGGTGGAGTCTGCAGTGAGCCATAATTGTGCCACTGCACTCCAGCCTGGGCGACAGCAAGCCTCTTCCTCAAAAACAAAACAAAACAAAACAAAAACAAGCTTTATTTTAAAGCTGTCAACCTAAATAATAGGACCTCTAAAAGAAAAAGACACTCACTTAAGAATAGGGCATTGCAATGGGAATATACATGCCACAGTAAACTCTGTGTGTATTCAGGGAGGTAAAGGAAGACAAAGAAAAAATGAGGAGGATTAAATAATTGCTTTGAAATTATTATGCTTGGCTACAAGGATCAATAATAAGGGTGACTCCAGTTCTAGGTTCAACAGGCAGTTGCTGGGCAGATGTCCACACAGAAGTACTTGTTGTGTAAGGTTGCAGTGGTCTTTATGTAAGGTTGTGGTTTTTGCAGAGTCTTTTGCAATAGTTTAGTTATCAGGTATACACATGTGAAAGCCTTCCCTTCTTAGCCTTCCCCAGCTCTGTCAGGGTGTTTTGTTTTTAACACAAGTGACTCCATTTTGATTCTGACAATTTTCACATTTCCCTTTTTTGATCAAGAGCTTTCTCAGAATGCATCACTGATCAGTCATTTTGTAGTTACATTCTGATGTCCCTGGAGGCCAGGTTGAACCTGTCCTGGTTGCTGGTTTCTTCCCTCATTGTGGGGAGTGATTGGTGATGAGTCAGTGTCAAAAACCATTAAGCCATATTTGGGCAATAAGGGAGGTTTGAAGAAAATGGCTCTCAGGCTAAGTCTACCTGGAGTTTATTATTGAGGTCTATAGTCTTTGGCTGTCATCTCAAAGTGCTGGCCCAGCATTATTTTGTTAAGACCTATACTTCTGCAAAAATTTAACAAGTAACAGATACAAAGTTTAAAAAAGGAAAAATATAAAGTAAAATGATAATCTCAGTTTGCTTAATAGTTTTGAGCCATGAACCTAGGCTTAACCAGCTGAATAAATGAAATGACCATGAAGGATTAAGTGAGACCTGTTGTAACGTTTCATAAACCCATCAGTTTTTTAAGTGTGCATGAGAATGGGCCATCAAATATAGCTGGTTGGAGTCCCAGAAAACTTGGCATGCCTTAATGTTTGAAAATCCCAGGCAGAGTACAGTGGCTTACATTTATAATCTTGACACTTTGGGAGGCTAAGGCAGGAGGATCTCTTGAGGCCAGGAGTTTGAGACAGCCTGAGCAACATAGTGAAACACCGTCTCTTCAAAACAAAACAAAACAAAAAAAGTAGCTGGGCATGGTGGCGTGTACCTGTAGTCCTAGCTACTTGAGCCTAGGGGTTCAAGGCTGCAATGATCTATGATTGCATCACTGAACTCCAGCCAGGGAGACAGAGTGAGACTCTGTTTCTTAAAAAAAAAAAGAAAGAAAGAAAAATTAAGAAAACCCCATTACATTACTTATCAATCTCTCAAGAGCAAAGAAAATTATCAATCTTGTCAGAATGTCATAAGTTTGGACCAATGTATTTGATGGTAGCAACCACTCTAGTGGCTTTTACTTAGCCATCCTGTGTCCATCATTTAGAATGTGTCCATTCTAAAAGAATGTTTATTTTTGCTCTCAGAAGATTTTCAGAAACAAGCAAGGGAAAAGAGCAACATAAAGGGAAAAGAACAACAAAAAAGTTGCATGTAACCAAAATAAAACCAAGAAAGTTCATAAAAATTTTAACCCAGGCATGTGGATCAGACAAAATATTAAAGTAGGCACACAGACCAAAAGTAAATTCATCAGAAAAGATATGCCTCACAGACAGAATGGAAATTCTGTAGAAATCAGAAAAGACTTCCCAGAAAATACAAAAAGTCTTTGTTTAATCCCAGGAGGGATGTAAAGTCCTTTATTTAGGGCTGCCTTATTCAAATCAGACCCCAAATAAAGTCAAGAGCTTCTACCATAAAGAAGGGGGCGTGGTCTTAGAGAAGACTCATCAGGGCAGAAAAAGTGAGCCATGGAAGCAGAGAACTGAAATGAGTACTGCACCAGATTCAAGAACTGTCAGTTCCTTGTGATAGTGATCTTTTTTCAGGTCCTGTTTCTGGCACCATTTGTGTCAACCTAAACAACAGAGAGAGGCTCTCTAAAAGAAAAATATGTTTATTTGGGAATAGGGCATTGCAATGGGAATACACATGCCACAGTAAACTATGTGTGTATTCAAGGAGGTAAAGGAAGACAAAGGTTTTTACAGGAAAAATTAGGGGCATTACATAATTGTTTTGAAATTATCCTTGGCTACAAGAATCTATAATAACAAGGGTGGCTCGAGTCTGAGGTTAGACAGACAATTGCTGAGCAGATATCCTCATAGAAGTACGTTTTGTGTAAGGTTACAATGACCATTGTTAATGTTGTGATTTTCCAGAGTCTTCTGTGGTAATTTTGTTATCAGGCATGCAAGTGTGAGAATGCTCTCTTCTTAGGTTTCCTGGCTGTATTTGTCAGGGTCTTTGGGGAATTTTTACACAAATGATTCCATTTTGATACTGTCAACTTTCATAGTAATTAAGGCAGTGTGGAAGGAGATCAAAAATAGACAAATCTACCAGTAATACAGAATAGAGAGCCCAGTGACCTGGGTGTGGTGGTGCACACCTGTAGCCCCAGCTATTTGGGAGGCTGAGACAGGAGGATCACTTGGGCCCAGGAGTTTGAGACTGCCTGGCAATGCAAAGCAACACCTAAAGAACACTTTTCAATGATTGAATGGCACTGGAACAAATAGTGCTCTATTTGGAAAAGAAATGAAATTGGACTCTTCACATTATACACAAAAGTCAATTTCAGGTAACTAACAGACACTTTTTTTATTTTTAAGAGACAGGGTCTCGCTTTGTTGCCCAGACTGAAGTGTAGTGCTGTGATCATAGCTTACTGCAGCCTCAAACTCCCGGGCTCAAGCAACCCTCCCAAGCAGCTAGGACTACCAGCATGTGCCACCAAGCCCAAGTAATTTTTTTTAAGAGACGGGATCTTGCTGTGTTGTCCAGGCTGGTCTCAAACTCCTGCCTCGGCCTCCCAAAGTGCTGGATTACAGGAGTGAGTCATGATGCCCAGCTGAAACATAAATTTTAAAGGCAGAAGAATGAAGCTATCTATCTGCAGACTTTAAAGTGAGAAGGAAAAAAAAGAAATAATGCTTTTATTGTTTTTAAAGATAATAAAACAGTATATTGATCTCAAGGGTAAGGGGACAGACTTTTTAAACGAATCCAAAAAGCACTACCTATAATAGGAAAATAGGTAAATTTGACCACATTAACATTAAGACAGCCAGGCTCAATGGCTCACGCCTGTAATCCCAGCATTTAGGGAGGCTGAGGCAGGCGGATCACCTGAGGTCAGGAGTTCAAGACCAGCTGGCCAACATGGTGAAACCCCATCTCTACAAAAATACAAAAATTAGCTGGGCAAGGTGGTGCATGCCTGTAATCCCAGCTACTCAGGAGGCTAAGGCAGGAGAATTGCTTGAACCCGGGAGGCAGAGGTTGCAGTGAGCTGAGATCGCGCCATTGCACTCCAACCTGGTGACTGAGCGAGATTCTGTCTCAAAACAAAACAAAACAAAACAAAACAAAACAAAAACAAAAAAAAACATTAAGACTTGGTTTTATCAAATTACACCATTAAAAGAGTTAAAAGGCAAGCCTCACAGATGATTAAGAAATTTACAATATGGGCCAGATGCAGTGGCTCACTCCTATAACCCCAGCATTTTGGGAGGCCAAAGCGGGTGGATCACCTGAGGCCAGGAGTTTGAGACCAGCCTGGACAACATAGTGAAAGCCTGTCTCTACTAAAAATACAGAAATTAACCGGGTGTGGTGGCGGGCACCTGTAATCCCAGCTACTCAGAAGGCTGAGGCAGGAGAATTGCTTGAACCCGGGAGGCGAAGGTTGCAGTAAGCCGAGGTCGCGCCATTGTACTCCAGCCTGGGTGATAAGAGCGAAACTCCATCAAAAAGAAAGAGAGAGAGAAAGAAAGAAATTTGCAACATGTATAACCAAGAAAGGTCTTGTATCTAGAATATATAAAGAACTATAATCATTAAGAAAAAGAGTTCAGGCCGAGCACGGTGGCTCACACCTGTAATCCCAGCATTTTGGGAGGCCGAGGTGGGCAAATCACTTGAGGCCGGGAGTTCAAGACCAGCCTGGGCAACATGGCGAAACCCTGTCTCTACTAAAAATACAAAAACTAGCCCAATGTGCTGATGCATGCCTGAAGCCAAGGTTGCAGTAAGCAGAGATCACGCCACTGCACTCCAGCCTGTACGACAGAGCAAGACACTGTCTCAAAAAAGAAAGAAAGAAAAGAAAAGAAAAAGAAAAAGAGCTGGCCGGGCGCGGTGGCTCACACCTGTAATCCCAGCACTTTGGGAGGCCGAGGCGGGCGGATCACGAGGTCAGGAGATTGAGACCATCCTGGCTAACATGGTGAAACCCCGTCTCTACTAAAAATAAAAAAAATCAGCCGGGTGTGGTGGCACGCACCTGTAGTCCCAGCTACTCGGGAGGGCGAGACAGGAGAATCACTTGAACCCTGGAGGCGGAGGTTGTAGTGAGCTGAGATCACACCACTGAGCTCCAACTCCAGCTTGGGCGACAGAGTGAGACTTGGTCTCAAAAAAAAAAAAAGAAAAAGAGCTGAACAGGCTCTTAACTAAGGAAGAAATCCAAATAACCGATAAACATATGAAAAAGCATCAACCTCATATGAGGATAAGAAAATTTAAATCACAATGAGAGAATAACACGCCACCCACCAGAATGGCTAAAACAGAAAAAGATTGACGATTACAAATGTTGATCACAGTGGAGCAATGGTAATTCTCATACTTTGCCATAGGTAAAGTAAACTAATACAGCAGTTCGGAAAAAGGAACAAGCTACATTCGACAATAGAGATGAATCTTAAAAACTTAATATTAAGAAAAGGAAACTATTCACAAAATAATATATACTGTGTTATTCCATTTTTGTAAGGTTCAAAAACAGGAAAAAAGGATGTATACTTAGGTGTTAAAACTGTAAAGAAAAGCAAGGAATTGATCATCATAAAAGGGAGGTTAGTGGCTACCTCTGAGACCAAAGGAGCCCTGTGAGGAGGGATTTGAGACTGCAAAGAGGAAGTGGGGTTGTAATTCTACAAATCTTCTATTCCTTGGTATGGGTGGTAGTTACACTGCTGTGGGCTTTGTAATAATTCATTAGAGTATGTATTTATTGTTTATGCATTTTTCCACATATGTGTTACGTTTCCCAGTTTAAAAAATAAAATAGTAGGGGTCTGGAGTCAGATTGCCTTCATTCAATTCTAAGACCTACAACTGTGTAACCTTGGGCAAGCTCCATAGCCTCTCTAAGCCTCCGTTTCCCATCTGCAAAGTGTCAGTAATAAGAGTACATCAAAAGGATATTGTGAGGATTACAATGAGAATGTGAGCTGATGTGTATAAAGTAGTTTTCACAGTACCGCCGTCCCTTGGTATCCATGGGGGATTGATTCCAGGACCCCATAGGATAACAGAATCTGCGGATGCTCAAGTCTCGCAGTTGGCTGTCCGTATCCACAGGTTCTGCATCCACTATTATCATTGTAAGCACACTAAAGCATTAAAGAAAGACACTGAAACAAGTAACTTATGCAATGGTCCTTTATGCTAAAGTATGTATGTTAAGCCAATGGCCTATATTTGATTCTAAACACCTCACTATTCACTGTTTCCAAACACTTGTAGTGGCACTCAATAAATACATTGGGCCGGGCGCGGCGGCTCACGCCTGTAATCCCAGCACTTTGGGAGGCCAAGGCGGGCAGATCACGAGGTCAGAAGATTGAGACCATCCTGGCTAACACGGTGAAACCCCGTCTCTACTAAAAATACAAAAAATTAGCCAGGCATGGCAGCGTGCGCCTGTAATCCCAGCTACTCGGGAGGCTGAGGCAGGAGAATGGCGTGAACCCGGGAGGCGGAGCTTGCAGTGAGCCGAGATCGCGCCACTGCACTCCAGCCTGGGTGACAGAGACTCCGTCTCAATAAATAAATAAATAAATAAATAAATAAATAAATAAATAAATAGTGAATGGCCAGGCATGATAGTTCACACCTTTAATCCCAGCACTTTGGGAGGCCGAGGCCGGTGGATCACCTGAGATCAGGAGTTCAAGACCAGCCTCGTCAACATAGCGAAACCCAGTCTCTACTAAAATACAAAAATTAGCTGGGCGTGGTGGCAGTGCCTGTAATGCCAACTATTCAGGAGGCTGAGGCAGGAGAATTGCTTGAACCCAGGAGGCAGAGGTTGCAGTGAGCCGAGATCACGCCACTGCACTCCAGCCTGGGCAATAGAAACAAAACAAAAACAAAAACAAATTGTGAATAAATGAATTATCACTTCTCAGCCTTTTGGCTAAGATTAAGTGTGAATGAATGAATTTTTCTGCTAACCCCAGTACATAAATCTCTGGACACTGTATCTATTTGATACATGTTGATTGGCTCTCTGACAGAGGTTTTCCTGGCCTCTGTCTAACGATTCATGTAACGCTACTTTCAAGTTTCCTGTCACTTCCATTCTATTCCACACCTTGGTAGACAAGAGTATATTAATTTGGAAGGTTCAAGAGATTAAAATAAGAATAATAAAAATAATTGTTGTCTTTTATAGCACTTTTCACTTTAGAAACCATTTTCCTAGAAGTAATGGGATGTATTGCCAAACTCTGCCCACTCATCTGTCAAAGAAAGACCTAGAATCAGAAGAACATAATTAGCTGCTCAAATTAATTCAATCAGAGTTGAAGCCATTCCTTTCTGGAATCAAGGAGAAAAACCACAGCCAACTCGTATCAGGCCCCAGATAGGAAAGTGCCACCTTCCTCAATGCCATAATAGGGGAGAAACTAGTCTATCCCTAAAAGGCAAGCTCAGAATATCATGGTAACAAGAAAAAATAGCCTTTCCAGAGGTTAATGGCTGTCTCTGAGGAAAAGAGTTAGAAACTGAACTGGGAGAAAAAATTGGAATTGGAGTACCTACTTCCATATATATTTTTTTCTTTTTCTTTTTCTTTTTTTTCTTTTTTTTTTTGAGACAGGGTCTCATTCTGTCACCAGGCTAGAGTGCAGTGGCGTGATCTCGGCTCACTCGCAGTCTCAACTTGCCAGAGCCAAGCCATCCTCCCTCCTCAGCCTCCTGATCAGCTGGGACCACAAGTGAACACCATCATGCTCAGCTAATTTTTTGTATTTTTTTAGTAAAGATGGGGTTTCACCATGTTTCCCGGGCTGGTCTTGAACTCCTGGTTTAAAGTGATCCACCCACCTCAGCCTCTGAAAGTTCTGGGATTACACACGTGAGCCACCATGTTCAGCCTACATTCTTATTTATAAGGCAGAATATGACACAGCTCAGTCCTGAAGTATTCCTCAGATTTCCTGAGCCCATGAAAAGAACTCCGGACTAACCTCGTGGGGAAACAGTGGCTCTTTACTGAAGGCAGAGGAGGCTCTTTTCTGAGAATTTGAAGTTTGGAGCAGAACAGTAGGAAAGAGAGACAAGGACAAGTAAGAAGTTAAGTAAGGGAGGTGGGCTGATCACCTGAGGTCAGGAGTTCAAGGCCAGCCTGGCCAACATGGTGAAACCCCGTTTCCATTAAAAATACAAAAAATTAGCTGGGCATGCTGTCAGATACCTGTAATCCCCAGCTACTCAGGAGGCTGAGGCAGGAGAATCATTTGAACCTGGGAGGCAGAGGTTGCAGTGAGCTGAGAATCATGCCAGTGCACTCTAGACTGGGTGATGGAGCAAGACTCTGTCTCAAAATAAATAAATAAATAAATAAGGGCTGGGCATGGTGACTCACGCTTTTAATCCTCATACTTTGGGAGACCCAGGCAGGAGGATCACTTGAGGCCAGAAGTTCGAGACCAGCCTGGACAATATGGTGAAATCTCATCTCTACTAAAAATACCAAAATTAGGCCAGGCACAGTGGCTCAAGCCTGTAATCCCAGCACTTTGAGAAGCTGAGGTGGGTGGATCACAAAGTCAGGAGCTCAAGACCAGCCAGGCCAAGATGGTGAAACCCCATCTCTACTAAAAATACAAAAAAAAAAAAAAAATCCAGGAGTGGTGGTGGGTGCCTGTAATCCCAGCTACTCAAGAGGCTAAGGCAGAGAATTGCTTGAACCCAGGAGGAAGAGATTGCAGTGAGCCAAGATGGCGCCACTGCACTCCAGCCTGGAAGACAGAGTGAGACTCCATCTCAAAAAAAAATAATAATACAAAAATTAGTTGTTAGTTTAGTTGCTGCCTAAAAGCAAGACTAGGCTCTCATGGAGGTACAATGGGGCTGGACGCGGTGGCTCACGCCTGTAATTCCAGCACTTTGGGAGGCCAAGGCAGGCAAATCACGAGGTCAGGAGATCGAGACCAGCCTGGCCAACATGGTGAAACCCCGTCTCTACTGAAAAAAAAAAAAAAAATAGCCGGGCGTGGTGGCTCATGCCTGTAATCCCAGCTACTCAGGAGGCTGAGGCAGGAGAATTGCTTGAACCTAGAAGGCAGAGGTTGCAGTGAGTCGAGATTCAGCCACTGCACTCCAGCTTTGGCGACAGAGCAAGACTACATCTAGGCGGTGTCGGGGGGAAGAAGTAAAATGGACAGCAGCAAACCACAGGTGTGATAGGAGAGAATACTGAGCTGAGATCAGTCTCCTAAAATTTGAATCCGATTTCAGGATCATTCATTTATCTGACTGTCAAGAATGCCTCTGAACAGGAGGAAGACTTTGGGGAGAGGGTGGGGTTTGTTGAAAGAGCACTGAGAAGGGAGGGGGGTGGTACCCAAACAATTTGTTTACATAATGTTTTTTGGACCTGAAATATGTAGAAAAGTACTTTGAAACTAAAGTACTGTACTGAAGTTTAATATTTTTCTTATTGTTTGCATATTCTCCCTCCCAGATAATTTACAGAGGGCACTAAAGCTGATCCCCTGGGAGCTTCAGAATTTAATGACTTCGCCTGACGATTTCCTATTCTTTTCCACAATGTGCTAAGTCAAATTATGGCCAAATTACCAATCGCATGGTAATTCAGCTTCTAAATATATTTTGCAGAGTGTTTCCAAAAGTTAAAAAAAAAAAAAAAACTTCACCTAAATTGTTTTTACTTGCTTCACCTTAAATCAGTTATTCGGTTCCTTTGAAGAACATGTTGCTTTAGCAACCCCCAAAGTGAATCCAGATACCCAGGACTACTGATTGTTACATCAGAGTTTTTGAAAACGCCAATACTGGAAACAGGCCGACAGTTAAGGAGAGGCGGGCGGGACTGAAGCAGAGCCCGAGAACGGGGCTGGAGGTCCCAGGGTCCCGGGTTGGTGGGGGTGGAGCAGCACTTCATCGCCGCGGGGGTGCTGGGACTCCGGCCGCAGTGCCGCCGCCATCATGGACTTCCTGTGGGACAAGCGCACGGGCCTGGCCGCCAGAAAGATGCCTCATCCTCGAAGGTACCATTCCTCAGAGCGAGGCAGCCGGGGGAGTTACTGTGAACACTATCGGAGCCGAAAACAAGCAACGAAGAAGCCGTTCCTGGTCAAGTAGTAGTGACCGGACACGACGGCGCCGGCGAGAGGACAGCTACCATGTCCGGAGGAGGTGCAGCCGGACATTTAGCCGCTCGTCTTCGCAGCACAGCAGCCGGAAAGCCAAGAGTGTAGAGGACGACACTGAGGGCCACCTCATCTACCATGTCGGGGACTGGCTACAAGAGCGATATGAAATCGTCAGCACCTTAGGAAAGGGGACCTTCGGCCGAGTTGTACAATGTGTTGACCATCGCAGGCGTGGGGCTCGAGTTGCCCTGAAGATCATTAAGAATGTGGAGAAGTATAAGGAAGCAGCTCGACTTGAGATCAAAGTGCTGGAGAAAATCAACGAGAAAGACCCTGGCAAGAACCTCTGTGTCCAGATGTTTGACTGGTTCGACTACCATGGCCACATGTGTATCTCCTTGGAGCTTCTGGGCCTTAGCACCTTCGATTTCCTCAAAGACAACAACCACCTGCCCTACCCCATCCACCAAGTGCACCACATGGCCTCCCAGCTGTGCCAGGCTGTCAAGTTCCTCCATGATAACAAGCTGACACATACAGACCTCAAGCCTGAAAATATTCTGTTTGTGAATTCAGACTATGAGCTCACCTACAACCTAGAGAAGAAGCGACATGAGCGCAGTGTGAAGAGCACAGCTGTGCGGGTGGGAGACTTTGGCAGTGCCACCTTTGACCATGAGCACCATAGCACCATTGTCTCCACTCGCCATTACCGAGCACCAGAAGTCATCCTTGAGTTGGGTTGGTCACAGCCTTGTGATGTGTGGAGTATAGGCTGCATCATCTTTGAGTACTATGTGGGCTTCACCCTCTTCCAGACCCATGACAACAGACAGCATCTAGCCACGATGGAAAGGATCTTGGGTCCTATCCCTTCCCGGATGATCCGAAAGACAAGAAAACAGAAATATTTTTACCGGGGTCGCCTGGATTGGGATGAGAACACATCAGCTGGACGCTATGTTCGTGAGAACTGCAAACCGCTGCGGCAGTATCTGACCTCAGAGGCAGAGGAAGACCACCAGCTCTTCGATCTGATTGAAAGCATGCTAGAGTATGAACCAGCTCAGCGGCTGACCTTGGGTGAAG
This sequence comes from Homo sapiens, assembly GCF_000001405.40. Taxonomy (NCBI): domain Eukaryota; kingdom Metazoa; phylum Chordata; class Mammalia; order Primates; family Hominidae; genus Homo; species Homo sapiens. The sequence continues at coordinate 23,585,144 of NC_000007.14, read as the reverse complement.
CCCTTCAGCATCCTTTCTTCTCCCGCCTTTGGGCTGAGCCACCCAACAAGTTGTGGGACTCCAGTCAGGATATCAGTCCGTGACCACCAGGCCCTGGGCCTCCCTGCATCTTTTATAGCAGTGAGTGTCCAGTCCAGGACATTGGTGCTTTTTTATAAAAGAGAACAGAGCCAGAGTTCACTCCTTCCTGCTGCTTCTCTATATACCTGTGAATATGTGAAACAGTAAATATGAAAGAACTTGTACCTATCACTTCAACCCCTGCGTTGTACATAATGCTATTCCATCTACACACTTTCCACCCTCACCTGCCCCCTCATACAGAGTTGGATGGGGGCCGAGTGAGGTAACCAGGTGGCATCTACCCCATGTTTTATAAGGAATTTTGTACAGTCTTTGTGAAATGAAATAACATGCTTCATTTGACCCGCCCCCCAAAAAATTAGTTGGGCGTAGTGGTGCACACCTGTGGTTCCAGCTCCTCAGGAAGCTTACACAAAAAGATTGCTTGAGCCTGGGAGGCAGAGGTTACAGTGAGCCAAGATTATGCCACTGCACACTAGCCTGGGTGATAGAGCGAGACCCTGTCTCAAAAATTTAAAAAAAAAAAAAAAAAAAGTGAAGTGAGCCTCCCTAAAGGGCACCATTGTTGGGAAGGCCTAAATCTGGAAGTGCCTTCCACTGATCCTTCAGTGAGGAGTGCCTGACCCTTCATGGAAGTTCTCTTTTTCCACATAATAATAGTCCAAAAGGTTTCATATGGAGGAGTCTTGACAGGTCAGGGGAGGGAGAGGCCCAACCTGCCTCTTAGGGTTTGGTAGGGTTTGGGAATGTGAGAGAGGCCTGTTAACCATGAGAAAAACTCCTAATCCAAAGTAAAATAAAGAAAAGAGTTTGGGCCAAGACAAACATTTTAATTCTCTATGCCTTGTGCTGGGAACTCATCTTGCCCCAATTCAAATGTAAGCCTTCCTTATAGAAAGTAATTTTTTTTTTTTGAGACAGAGTTTTGCTCTTGTTGCCCAGGCTGGAGTGCAATGGCATGATCTCGGCTCACCGCAACCTCCACCTCCCAGGTTCAAGTGATTCTCCTGCCTCAGCCTCCCAAGTAGGTGGGATTACAGGCATGCACCACCACTCCCAGCTAATTTTGTATTTTCAGTAGAGACGGGGTTTCTCCATGTTGGTCAGGCTCGCCTCGGACGCCCGACCTCAGGTGATCTGCCCTGCCTCAACCTCCCAAAGTGCTAGAATTACAGGCATGAGCCACCACACCTGGCCTAGAAAGTAAATCTTAATCTTTAAAACTCCCAGATATAAAGGGCAAAAAGGCAAAGGTGAACATTCAAGTAAGATCATAATGACTATTATTTTTCCTAGCAGACTCAATGTCATGCTCACACACATTCAGTGAGATGGATTTTAACCAAACAGAAGGCACAAATATGTATCTTTTCTCACTAATTTGCCTGACGGCAAAAATTACCTACGTTGTGTTCATTATTATAAAATTCAAAATAATTACCCCATGTAAAGTAAATGAAATGATGAATGCTATTTTATTTAAAACTCATTACTATAACTTTTTTCCATATAAGGAGCTAGGTTTAGAAATTAAAGTCTCCGAATAGGCCGGGCATGGTGGCTCATGCCTGTAATTCCAACACTTTGGGAGACTGGGGCAGAAGGATGGCTTTTGGCCAGGAGTTCAAGGCTGCAGTGAGCTATCATAGTGCCATAACACACCAGCCTGGGCAACAGAATGAGACCCTGTCTCTTAAAATATATATATAAATATATATATTTATATATAGTTATATAAATATTTATAAATGTATAAATATCTATATATTTAATATTTATATATGTATAAATATTTATATATAATATATAAATATATTATATATACATATATATATTTTATATATTTATATATTATATATATATTATATATATATATATAATATATATATATATATGGCTGGGCACCGTTGCTTATGCCTGTAATACCAACACTCTGGGAGGCTGAGGCAGGTGGATCAGGAGTTCCAGACCAGCCTGGCCAACATGGTGAAACCCCGTTTCTACTAAAAATACAAAAAATTAGCTGGGCATGGTGTCAGGCACCTGTAATCCCCAGCTACTCAGGAGGCTGAGGCAGGAGATTCGCTTGAACTCGGGAGGCAGAGGTTGCAGTGAGCTGAGCTTGTGCCATTGCACTCCATCCTGGTCAACAAGAGTGAAACTCTGTATCAAAAAAAAAAAAAAGTATATATATGTGTGTTTGATAAATCCCAAGGATAAAGTAATTTTACTTGGCTAATTGCAATTTTATAAACTAAAAGGACAAAAAGGAATAGCTGTGACAGACGTTTCTAATGAATCATCTTTATTGCTGTAAACTCATAGAAAACTGTTAAAATTGTTACTATAGTGAATAATAAAAGGAAAGTATTTTCAAAACTTCCAGGCCAAATTGATGTGCAGAGTTTTCTTAGGTTCCAAAAACTGTAAGGGTAAAGGGACCCATACAAGACTTGAATTCATTCATTCTACACCATCCCTGACATTTGAAGGTCATCCAGCTTAAAACAAAACAAAACAAAACACTCAAGTGATAGTAAACTCACTACTTTCAAAGGAACTTTATTTAATCTTCAGGAAACTTCATTTTTAAAGTTCTTCTGTATATTGAAAAGAAATCTTTCTTCCATCTACCTCTTGGCCTGAGTCCTATCCTTTAGGACCGTACTTTCAGGAACAATTGCTCTTCATGCACCCTCTGCATCTGCTCTTTTCCAAGGTCTATCAGGTTCTTTTTTTTTTTTTTTTTTTTAAGAGACAGGGTCTCCCTATGTTGCCCAGACTGGTCTTGAACTCCTGGGCTCAAGGGATCCTCCTGCCTCAGCCTCCCAAAGTGCTAGGATTACAGGCATGAGCCACCACACCTGGCTCCAAGGCCTTTCAGTTCTGAGGATCAGTGATTTGGGTTGAGTTTGACTGTGTGGTTCTCCTGCCAGTCTTACTTGGAATCACTTATGCCGCTGCAATCATCAGGCAGTCTGACTGGGGCTAGATGGTCTAAGATGACCTCATTCCTTGTATCAAACACTGTTCTGAGCATTTTACTTGCATTATCTCTGTTACTTTCTCAACAACCTAGGAGATAAACCCTATTATTATGTTGTATTAGAAATGAATATAGGTGAAAAAGAAATTTAAAAAAATAAAAAAGAAATGAATATAGTTGATACACTGAACAGGCGGGACTCACAGTTGTATTTGGAAAAACAACTGGCTTTCTTTTCTCCGCTTTTCATTCAAAGCTGCTCTAGAGGGATGGCTTGCTTTAGAAGCAAGCCCTGTGACTTATCTGGTCACTCTTAGATAATAAAAAGTCTGATTTTTGCTGGGCACAGTGGCACACACTTGTAGTCCCAGCTACTCAGGAGGCTGAGACAGGAGGATTATTTGAGCCCAAGAGTTCAGATCCAAGATCCAACCTGGGCAACATTGTGAGACCCCCTCTCTCTTTTTTTTTTTTTTTTTTAAGAGACAGAGTCTCACTCTGTCACTCAGGCTGGAGTGCAGTGATGCCATCACAGCTCATCGCAGCCTCTATCTCCCAGGTTTAAGTGATTCTCCCACTTCAGCCTCCCCAGTAGCAGGGACTACATGCATATGCCACCATGCCTGGCTAATTCTTTTTAATTTTTTGTAGAGATAGGGGTCTCACTGTCTTGCCCAGGCTATTCTTGAATTCCTGGGCTCAAGCAATCCTCCCATCTTGGCCTGCCAAAGTGTTGGGATTACAGGCATGAGCCACCGCGCCTGGGCTTTTTTTTCCTCTCGAGACAGGGTCTGACCAGGCATGGTGGCTCATGCCTGTAATCCTAGCACTTTGGGAGGCCAAGGTGGGAGGATAGCTTGAGCTCAGGAGTTCGAGACCAGGCTGGGCAACATGGTGAGACCTCATCGAAAAAAAAAAAAGAGGGAGGGAGGGAGAGAGACACGGTCTCACACTGTCACCCAGGCCACAGGCCCTCACCACAATGCTCAACTAATTTTTTAATTTTTTGTAGACAGGTTCTCTCCATAGTGCCCAGGCTGGTCTTGTACTCCTGGGCTCAGGGAATCCTCCTGCCTTCACCTCCAAAAATGTTGGGATTACAGGCATCAGCCACCACACCCAGCTATATTTATTTTATTTTTTTTCTTAAATGTTTTTACGTACCCAGGAAAGATCTGAGAGAAGAGTCCTATTTTAACATTCCGTTACATGAGGAAAGTAAGGCTTTAAAATTTTAAATAACTTGTTCTAGGTCACAGATAATAAAAAGAAAAATTGGATTCAAAAATTACTGTCATGGGTACTATGTTCAGAACCTGGGTGATGGGATCAATCATACCACAAACCTCAGCATCATGCAATATAACCAAGTAACAAACCTGCACATGTATCTTCAAATCTAAGATAAAAGTTAAAAAGAATGAAAGAAAGATATTCTTATTTTTCCTTGCAAAAAAATTAGCGTCTTAAATATGCTTACGAATTTCATCTTGGGAGATTTAACCTATTGTTCTGGGATTTATTTTATTTTATTTTATTTTTTGAGACAGTCTTGCTCTGTTGCCCAGGCTGCAGTGCAGTGGTGCCATCATAGCTCACTGCTGCCTTGAACTCCCAGGCTCAAGTGATCCACCCACCCCCACCTGCCCCTGCCTCAGCGTCTTGAGTAGCTAGAACTATAGGCACGCCCCTCCACACCCAGCTAGTTTTTTAAAATTTTTGTAGAGACAGGCTCCTGCTATGTTGCCCAGGCTGGTCTCAAATTCCTGGCCTCAAGTAATCCTCCTGCCTCAGCCTCTCAAAGTGCTGGGAGGCATGAGCCACTGCCCAGCTGGATACAGTGTTTTTTATCACAAAGGTAATACCTATTAATCTTTTTTCAAAAATTCAAACATATAGAAATATAGAAACTGAACATCTCCCATAATCCCATTCTTCAAGACAACTGGTTTATCAAGCGAATAAGTTTTAAAAAGTCACTCAGGGGCATAGAAATGAGATGCTCATACCCCTCAGTTCATGCCCTGCTACTACCATTGATCAGCGCAAGGTTCCTCTTTGTTATTTGTATTATTTATTCCTTCATCCCCATTCTCTTCTCCTTACAGAAACCCACTCCAGTATACTTAATTAAAGCTTCTTCCAATACTCTTTCCTACGTTTATTTAAGTAAATAGTATAGAGTACTGGTTAGGACTCTGAAGACAGTCTTCCTGAGTTCTATTCTGGCTCTGCTACTTACCAGCTACGTGACCACAGGCAACTTGCTTAGTCTCTATATGCCTCAGTTTTTTCATTAAAAAAAATAAAAAAAAATACTAGTACTTACCTCATAGGATTGTTGTAAAGAGTTAATATTTAGTTTAATGAGCTAATACTTATTAAGTGCTTAGAACAGAGTCTGGCACATAGTAGACGCTATATGGTATTAAATAAATGTCAGCCAGGCAAGATAGGTCACACCTGTAATCCCAGCACATTGGGAGACCTAGGCAGGTAGATTGCTTGAGCCCAGGAGTTGGAGACCAGCCTGGCTTACATGGAGAGACCCCATCTCTACTAAAACATACAAAAAATAGTTAGGTGCTATGGCACGCGTCTATAATCCCTGCCTCTCAGAAGGCTGAAGTGGGAGGATTGCTTGAGCTTGGGAGGTCGAGGCTGCAGTGGGCCATGATTGCACCATTGCACTCCAACCTGGGCCACAGAGACACTGTCTCAAAAAAAAAAAAAAAAAAAAGAAAGAAAGAAAAAGTCAAATAAATGTTTATTATTGAAAAACATAAATAATATTCAGTTTCTTCTTTATCTCTTTCAATATTATTTTTTGAGATCTACCCATATTATGATACATAAATCTAACTCCATGCCACAGTTCACCTGTCCATTCCCTTAATCAGGCCCACCCTTAACATTTGTGGGGTCTGAGGCAAGAAACCAAAGGCAGCCTATATATCATAAGTTTAAATATTTAAAAGTCATAAGTGATGCCGGGCGTGGTGGCTCACACCTGTAATCCCAGCACTTTTGGAGGCCGAGGCAGGTGGATCACGAGGTCAGGAGTTCAAGACCAGCCTGGCCAACGTGGAGAAACTCTGTCACTACCAAAAACACAAAAATTAGCCAGGAGTGGTAGCGCACGCCCGTAGTCCCAGCTACATGGGAAGCTGAGGCAGAAGAATCGCTTGACCCGGGAGGTGAAGGTTGCAGTGAGCCGAGATAGCACCACTGCACTCCAGCCTAGGCAACAGAGTGAGGCTCTGTCTCAAAAAAAAAAAAAAAAAGTCATAAGTGATAATAACATGCTGTAAAATTAGATATTTATTCTTCTTCCTTGCCAAATATTCCTTTGTAAAGACAAATTTAACCTTTTCATTCAGCCTTAATTTTTTAAAAAGAAAAATTGAAATGTATCTGTAAAACTCTGAGTTTTATATGACTTAGAGTTGGCATAACATCCAAGAAGGCTAAAATTAATTATTTTTACCCACATCTTCTGTTGATGGATGATGACATCTGGATGAGTTTTAAAGACCTATGTAATTCAAAAATTAGATATTTATTCTAAAACTTTATTTTTCTTGCCTTTCTTTTTCAGCAAAATCACTATAACAATCAAAACCTTCCCCTATTTTCTTTTCTACTGGCAGCAAGACCAATGCAGACACACGTTTTCGAGTGGTTATAGATATATAATTTTTTTTCTGAGACAGAGTCTTGCTAAAACACCCAGGCTGCAGTGCAGTAGTACCATCTCAGCTCACTGCAACCTCCACCTCCCGGGTTCAAGTGATTCTCCTGCCTCAGCCTCCTGAGTAGCTCAGATTACAGGCATGCACCACCACGCCCAGCTAATTTTTGTGTTTTTAATAGAGATGGGGGTTTCACTATGTTGGCCAGGCTGGTCTCGAACTCCTGACCTCAGGTGATCCACCCGCCTCGACCTCCCAAAGTGCTGGGATTACAGGCATGAGCTACTGCACCCGGCCAATTTTTGTATTAATTTGGAGAAATTTCACTCATCTGATGCCATACTTATATTAAAAAATTAACCATGGTCTGGGTACAGTGGCTCACGCCTGTAATCCACTTTGGGAGCCCGAGGCGGGTGGATCACCTGACATCAGGAGTTGGAGACCAGCCTGGCCAACATGGTGAAATCCCGTTTCTACTAAAAATACAAAAATTAGCCGGGCGTGGTGGCACATGCATGTAATCCCAGCTACTCGGGAGGCTGAGGCAGAAGAATCGCTTGAACCCGGGAGGCAGAGGTTGCAGTGAGCTGAGATTGTGCCATTGCACTCCAGCGTGGGCGACAAAGCAAGACTCCATCTCAAAAAAAAAAAAAAAAGAACCATGAATTTTTAAACATTCACATTGAGGTGTACAACCTGTATACAGTAAAGTGCACAAAGCTTAAGTGTATAACTCAATACCTTTGTGCATGTTTATGCCCATGAAACCCACCACCCAGATCAAGAAATAGATCAGCTCCCCAGTAAGATCTCTCAGGCCCCTTTCTATTCTTTCTGTACCCCACAAAGTAAGCAGTATTCTTTTTTTTTTTTTTTTGGAGACAGGGTCTCTGTAGTCCACGTTGGAGTGCAATGGTGCTTTCTGAGCTCACTGCAACCTCTGCCTCCTGGACTCAAGTCGTCCTCCCACTTCAGCTTTGTATTTTTTGTAGAAACAACGTTTGGCCATATTGCCCAGGCTGATCTCAAACTCGTGGATTCAAGTAATTCACCCACCTCGGTCTCCCAAAGTGCTGGGATTACAGATGTGAGCCACTGTACCCGGCCCTAAAGTAAGCACTAGTCTTACCTCTAGCATCATATACCATGACAATAAAATGATGCCATTAATTGTTTATTGTAATGCATATAATAAATTATTATAATAAAAATATTGCAAATATTTTAATTTTACTATACAAATTGCTTTCAGTTATATTGCAATTTTCTTTTTCTTATTTTTTAAAAAAATTAGAGACGGAGGTCTGGCTATTTTGCCGAGGCTGGTCTCGAACTCCTGGCCTCAAGCAATCTTCCCACCTTGGGCCTTCAAAGTGCTGGGATTACAGGCGTGAAGCACCATGCCTGGCCTATTATCTCTTTAAAAACAATATATCCATAGAATATTAAATTCTGGCCGGGCATGATGGCTCACACCTGTAATCCCAACACTTTGGGGGGCTGAGGCGGGTGGATCACCTGAGGTCAGTTCAAGACCAGCCTGGCCAACATGGTGAAACCCCATCTCTACCAAAAATACAAAAATTAGCCAGGAATGGTGGCTTGTTCCTGTAGTCCCAGCTACTCAGGAGGCTGAGGCAGGAGAATCATTTGAACCCAGAAGGTGGAGGTTGCTGTGAGCTAAGACCGCATCACTGTACTACAGCCTGGGCAACAGAGTGAGACTCTGTCTCAGAAAAAAAAAAAAGAAGGAGAATATTTATTAAGTTGTTTCAAAGTTTTTAATGCTGGGGCATTACAAAAAAAACTAAAATTGGGAGTATGCTAATCAATTTGTTTAAATGTCTCTTCAATCTATCATATCTAGAAAGCATGCTTTATGGAAATGTTTGATGGTTATTTGTACATGAATCATCTCATTTATGAAATTTATATAAACTTTTCTGTTTCTTTGCTCTAATTTCTGCATATTTTATTTGAATGTCATCTTGTTCAGTATACTTTGTTTTAGAACTATTTTCTCTTCCCTAGAAACAGACTCAGAAAAAAAAGAACTATTTTCTCTAAAATTTAAAAAATATTTTCTCAAAAGTGAAACTTGGATATGTAAGGTTTTTTGCTAAAGCTTTGCTAACATTAGTAATAGCAATGAATAGGAATTAATGACATTAGAAATAGTAATACCAAATAACTGTGACTAGTGCAACTTCAAAATAAATTTCATTCTCCCACAAAGCTCACAAATTGCTCTTTGCTTAAAGATCTTCTTTTGTTTTGTTTAACTTTTCTAGTGCATTGTATATCTTGTCTAAATTAAATCCAATTACGTTAACAACATTTAATAAACATTTTCCTCCTGTGTTCAAAAGTGATTTTGTTTATACTTCATCAGGGTGTTCAGTGTTTGGGCAGATCAAGAATACTATATTTAGGCCAGGCACGGTGGCCTGTAATCCCAGCACTTTGGGAGGCCAAGGCAGGTGGATCACTTGAAGCCAGGAGTTCGAGACCAGCCTGGCCAACATGGCGAAACCCTGTCTCTACTAAAAATACAAAAATTAGCTGGGCATTCTGGCATGCACCTGTAATCCCTGCTACTGGGGAGGCTGAGGCATGAGAATCGCCTGAACCTGGCGGTGGAGACTGTAGTGAGCTAAAACCGTGCCACTGCATTCCAGTCTGGGTGACAGAGCGAGACCCTGTGTCAAGAAAAGAAAAAAAAAAAAAGAATAGTGTATTTAGTCTTTGATTTGATCCAGAGAATATCATTGCTATTGGCTGATTAACATCCAACTAATTCGAAGTGGCATAAGTGATTTCAAGAATGTTTCTGGATTTTTGGCTAAAATTATAGCATGTATACTTTATTTTAGCAAGGCCTTTATTGTAGGCTTTATTGTGCTTGGGGTGGAGGATATCACAAAGTTACAGACACACACTACTAGTGCCATATGTGCATCTATAACAGGATTTACTGGTAGAGCACACACAGTCCCCTGAACTCTTGCTATTTCATAACACAGGCCTGGCCTAGATGTTTTTGTTTTATTTTGAGACAGAGTCTCACTCTGTCACCCAGGCTAGAGTGCAGTGGCACGATCTCGGCTCACTGCAACCTCTACCTCCTGGGTTCAAGCAATTCTCCTGACTCAGCCTCCCAGGTAGCTGGGATTACAGGCATGCACCACCATGCCCACCTAATTCTTGTATGCTTAGTAGAGATGAGGTTTCACCATGTTGGCCAGGCTGGTCTCGAACCCCTGACCTCCAGTGATCCACCCACCTGGGTCTCCCAAAGTGCTGGGATTACAGGCATGAATCACCATGCCTGGCCCTGGCCTACATGTTCTGAATGCAACTTGGCCAAAGTCTCTGGGGCCAGCCTAAGGCAAAAGACTAGACATGCCATGAACAGCAGTCGAGAAGACAGGACCTTGCCTCCTCACTGTTACATACTTAAAAATTTTTGAACTAAACGGGAGTGGGGGTGGCTCACGCCTGTAATCCCAGCACTTCGGGAGGCCGAGACGGGCGGATCACGAGGTCAGGAGATCGAGACCATCCTGGCTAACACGGTGAAACCCGGTCTCTAATAAAAATACAAAAAAAAAAAAAAAAAATTAGCCAGGTGTGGTGGCAGGCGCCTGTAGTCCCAGCTACTCGGGAGGCTGAGGCAGGAGAATGGCGTGAACCCAGGGGCAGAGCTTGCAGTGAGCCAAGATCGCGCCACTGCCCTCCAGCCTGGGCGACAGAGCGAGACTCCGTCTCAAAAAAAAGAAAAAAAAGAAAAAAAAAGACAGTGGGGACGACCTAGTTTCTCCAAGAAAGAAAAAAATATATGTATCAAGGGATCTCAGGTCCAGGAAGAACACCAAGTGTAGAGTGACACATCAAGGGTCTTGGGAACAGCCCTGAAGAATCTCTACCTCCTGGGAACATTAGCATCAGCCAGTGGCCTAGCTGTCCCTCTGCAGACAGGCTCAGTCCTGATGAGCCAGCTCCCTGCTAAGCTACCAAAGGAGGGAAAGAAATGTGCTTCCAGGGCCATCCAGACTTCTTCGCTGGCTTGCTTTGGGCAATCTTTTGAATCAATGCTTAAAACTGAGAAATGTTTTCTCACTTTGTGACTTAAGCCAAAAGCCTGAACTTTTTTTTTATAGCAGGTATAAAATCAGTGAAGCATTCCTTAATTTTCTACTTCTTTGTGGGTTTTTTGGTAGTTCAAATATGTGTGTATATATAATTATTCAACATGACTTTCTGCAATCTAGTTGAAGTGAATAATGTAAATATTTCGATTTCTATTTTGTGTATGATTTCTTTTCTCACTTTATTAACCATTATTATTATTTTGAATTATTTTGAATTTTCATCCTGGACAGTGATTGTTATTTATCTGTTTTAAATGTTTAGCCATTCAAAATAATTATTATTTTGTATTATTTTGAATTTTTATCCTGGACCGTGATTGCTATTTATCTGTCTTAAATGTTTAGCTTCTATTTTCAAAATAATTTATTCTAAACCTAGAAAGGTCACACTGTTTTCTGTAATCATTGTGCGGTTAAAATAATATTGGGCAGGCATGGCGGCTCCCACTTACTATCTGGCATTTTGAGAGTTCAAGGCAGAAGGATTGCTTGAGCCCAGAAGTTTGACATCAGCCTGGGAAACATAGGAAAATCCCAGCTCTACAAAAAATAAAGAATTTGCCAGGTGTAGCAGAATGCACCTGTGGTCCCAGCTACTTGGGGGGCTGAGGCAGAAGGATCATTTGAGCCTGAGAGGTTGCAGCTGCGGTGAGGTATAATCAAGCCTCTGCACTCCAGCCTGGGCAACAGAGCAAAAAGCTATCTCAAAATAAATAAAGGCAATCATTCATCTCACTAAACAAACAAACAAACAAACAAACAAAAAAACAAATATTTGGTCAAAATAGTTGAAATGAAGTGGAATTTTAAATCTAGTTTTCTGGCCGGGTGCAGTGGCTCACGCCTGTAATCCTAGCACTTTGGGAGCCAAGGTGGGCAGATCACTTGAGGTCAGGAGTTAGACAGCAACCTGGCCAACATGGTGAAACTCCGTCTCTACTAAAAATACAAAAATTAGCCGGGCGTGGTGGCACGTGCCTGTAATCCCAGCTACTTGGGAGGCTGAGGCATGAGAATTGCTTGAACCCGGTAGGCGGAGGTTGCAGTGAGCCAAGATCACGCCACTGTACTCCAGCTTGGGTGACAGAGCGAGACTCAGTCTCAATAAATAAATAAATAAGTAAATTTAGTTTTTTGAAAATTTGACTAAACTTTCATGTACATATATAATACATATTTCATATGTATTTTTATATATATATATATATATATTTTTTTTTTTCCTTGAGACAGGGTCTTGCTCTGTCATCCAGGCTGGAGTGCAGTGGTGTAATATTGGCTCACTGTAGCCTTGACCTCCCAGGCTTAAACAATTCTCCTAATTGTGTGTGTGTGGATGGGGTCTCACTATGTTGCCTGGGCTGGTCCCAAATTCCTGGGCTCAAGTGATCTTCCTGTCTCAGACTCCCAAAGTGCTGGGATTACAAGCTTAATATATTTTTACAAAAATAAAACTATTTACAATTCTAGCACTGTGTCCATTTAGTTGCCAATGTAAATAATCAGTTATTCATTTTAAGCCCCTTTGTCTAAACCACATATATATATATTTAGTAATATGAATTGCTCATTATTGCAAATGCACCTCAGCTGCTAGGTTTGTGTGTTGCAAACACAGTGTTAATTTGTGAGTAACCTGAATTGGAACATCGAGAGAAGCAAAGAAATGGATCCCCAGCACTACTGAGAAACGATGCTTCATTATGTGAGATTCTAATGTATTTGTAGCATCTGAGAGGAAGGATTTGTCAAGTTCTGTAATTAATTTATTTTATCCCTTACCTGAGTTTTTTTTGCCACTCAAGTGTTTTCTATGCTCCGAAGCAGTGCCCATCTCCAAGGCTGGCAACAGTACAATCTAAAGACCTTTGCAACATTCTAATTCAGCCCCCTTTTTTAAGGACGTAGAGCAAGATATATGGATGCATTGCCCTGGAGCCTGAATAACATCAGTCACAACAAAGAATATGCAGGGTCACAGGTCAGGCTGTGCCAGCCCTAAATATGAAGTCAGTGGCCAGGGTGCCCATGTGTACTTTTTATGTCATTGTGATACACGAAGAATTCTGAAGTGCAGATCTAGAGCAGAGGCCCCTCTTGTCCAGGTCTAAGGTACTGCTTTTATGTTGCTTCTTGTTTGCTACAAACAAAAATATGATGAACATCCTTATTTCTGTCTCCCTGATTGTCAATGAAGGGTTCCTCTAGGATATATTCTCAGGAGTCAAATTGTTGTAGAGAGTCACAGAGTACACATATTCTTAACATCACTGAGTATTGCTCTGTTGGACAGCTGTGCTACCTTACACTGCTGATAATACATAAATATTTCCTTGTTCTCTTTTGTTTTTTGTTTTTTGTTTGTTTGTTTTGTCAGAGACAGGGTCTCACTCTGTCACTCAGGCTGGAGTGCAACAGTGTGATCATAGTTCACTGTAACCTCAAACTCCTGGGCTCAAGTGATCCTCCCACCTCAGCCTCCCTAGCAGGTACACACCACCATCTCCAGCTATTATTTTCATTTTTTATAGAGACAGGGTCTCACTACGCTGCCTAGGCTTATATTTTGAATTCAAATATATCATTTTCAAAACCAAAATGGTATTGTTCTCAACCTACTCTTTCACAATTTGAATTTTTCATTTGTCTAGTTTGATATTGATCCATTGGCTAAACACTTTATAAGCAAAGTTATCTAACCAGTAACCACTCATTTGTACTAGCATCTGATCTATATTTCTGCCTCCTTCATCCAAGTAGTATATTTGCTTGCCAGAGCACAGACTTCAGCAAACTAATAGGAACTGTCTCAAGGGAGGTGGAGCAAGATGGCTGAAAAGAACCCTCCAGCAATCGTCCCTGCACAGGAACCTCCAATTGGACAAATCTCCACGTAAGAAAGCACCTTCACAAGAATTACAAAATCAGAGGAGCAATCACAGTACCTGGTTTTAGCATAATAAGAAGAAAAGACACATTAAAAAGGGTAGAAGGGACAGTCTCACATTGCCGACACAACTCCTCCCTTAACCCCAAGCAACTAAAGCAGCTTGTAGGAAGAATCTGTGTGCTGGAGGGGTGGGTGGGGAAGGAAAGGGTGGTAAAGCCTGAATAAGTGTTAGTGGCAGCCAGGCCATAGTGACCTCGGTCTTTGTGTGACCCCTAGTGCTGCACTGGTCAGGAAGCTATGTTCTTGGGGTGTAACCTAGCATAATACCAGCTGTGATGGCCACAGAGGTGCCCATATAACCCCTCCCCCAACTTCAGGCAGCTCAGTGCTGAGAGAGACTCCTTCTATTTGGGCATTTGGGTGACAAAGAGGAAAATGAATGAGTGACTTTCCCTTGCAACTCAGGGATTTCTCCCTGATCATCCCCACGTCCATCTGGGCTGGGTATCTAGGAGGCTGGAAGAGAGTCACAGCATAACTGGGCTTAGGGTGCCCTCTGGTGCTGAAATGGCTGCAGTGACCATAGACAAGAACCCAAGAGTTCCTTTTGAATCTTTTGAAGGCCCTCTGAAGGACAGGAACAAACTAAGTCAGACTGTGAGAACTGGAATAAATACCCACCTCTCCAATGCCTGGACATCGATGAATGTCCACAAGCATTAAGAACATTAAGAACAAAGCCGGGCGCAGTGGCTCATGCACTCCCAGCACTTTGGGAGGCCAAGGCGGGCAAATCACAAAGTCAGGAGTTCAAGACCATCCTGGCCAACATGGTGAAACCCCATCTCTACTAAAAATACAAAAATTAGCTGGATGTGGTGGTGCATGCCTGTAATCCCAGCTACTCAGGAGGCTGAGGCAGGAGAATTGCTTGAACCTAGGAGGCAGAGGTTGCAGTGAGCCAAGATCGTGCCACTGAACTCCAGCCTGGACAACAGAGTGAGACTCCATCTCAAAAAAAAAAAAAGAACAGAACATTAAGAACAAATATCACCTCACCAAACTGACTAAATACAACACCAATAACTGACCATGGAGAGATAGAGACATATGACCTCTCAGACAGGGAATTCAAAACAGCTATTTTGAGGAAGCTCAAAGAACTTCAATAAAACAGAGAAGTAATTCTAAAATTTATCAGAGTTAACAGAGATTGAAATAATTTTTAAGCACAGAAAACTTGGAGCTGAAAGATGCAATTGACAAGTTTAAAAATGCGTCAAGTGTGTCAGCAGAAGAACTGATCAAGCAAAAGAAAGAATTTGTGAGCTCAAAGCTATTTGAAAATATGCAGAAGAGAAAAAAGGAAAAAAGAATGAAAAAACACTTAAAGATATAGAAAATAGCCTCAAAATAGCAAATCTAAGAGTCACTGACCTAAAAGAGAAAGTAGAGAAAGAGATAGGGATAGAAGATTTATTCAAATAAATAATAATAGAGAAGTATGCAAATCTTGAGAGCAATATTAATATCCAGGTATAAAAAGGTCAAAAATCACCATGGGGATTCAATTAAAATAAGACTCTCCAAAGCATATAATACTCAAACTCTCAAAGGACAAGGACAAGGAAAGGATCCTAAAAGCAGCAAGAAAAAAAAAACGAGTAACACATAAAGGAGATCCAATATGTCTAGTAGCAGACTTTTCAGTGGAACACTTATAGGACAGGAAGGAATGATATGACATATTCAAAGTGAAGGAAAAAAACTTTTGACTGAAAATACTGTTTCCAGCAAAGCTATCCTTCCCATATGAAGGAGAAATACTTTCCCAGACAAACAAAAGCTGAGATAATTTATCACCATCAGATCTGTCTTACAAGAAATCCTAAAGGAAGTTCTTCAATCTGAAAGAAAAGGATGCTAACAAGCAACAAGAAAGTATCTGAAGGTATAAAACTCACTGGTAAAAGCAAGTACATGGACAAATTCACAATACTCTAAAACTGTAATTGTAGTGTAGAAACCACTTATGTTTTAAGTATAAAGATTAAAAAATACATGAAAAATAATACAGCATTTTATTAAGTGGAAGACACTATAAAAAGATATAAAGTGATGCATCACACAGACCAATGGGAAAGAGAAATTATTTTAAAATTTAAAAATTAAGATAAAGGCTGGGCGCGGTGGCTCATGCCTGTAATCCCAGCACTTTGGGAGGCTGAGGCAGGTGATCACCTGAGGTTAGGAGTTCCAGACCAGCCTGATCAACATGGTGAAACCCCAACTCCACTAAAAACACAAAAATTAGCAGGCACGGTGGCTCACGCCTGTAATCCCAGCACTTTGGGAGGCCCAGGCGGGCCCATCACTAGGTCAGGAGATTGAGACCATCCTGGCTAACAAGGTGAAACCCCGCCTCTACCAAAAAATACAAAAATTTAGCCAGGCATGGTGGCGAGCACCTGTAGTCCCAGCTACTCGGGAGGCTGAGGCAGGAGAATGGTGTGAATCTGGGAGGCAGAGCTTGCAGTGAGCCGAGATCGTGCCACTGCAGTCCAGCCTGGGCAACACAGCGAAGACTGTCTCAAAAAAAAAAAAAAAAGAAACCCGTCTCTACTGAAAATACAAAAAAATAGCTGGGCATGGTGGTGCACGCCTGTAGTCCCAGCTATTCGGGAGGCTGAGGCAGGACAATCGCTTGAACCTAGGAGGCGGAGGTTGTAATGACCCGAGATTGCACCACTACACTCCAGCCTGGGTGATAGAGCGAGACTCTGTCTCAAAAAAAAGAAAAAATCAGCTGGGTGTGGTGGCAGGTGCCTGTAATCCCAACTACTCAGGAGGCTGAGGCAGGAAAATCGCTTGAACCTGAAGGCAGAGGTTGCAGTGAGCTGAGATTGCCCCATTGCACTCCAGCCTGGGCGACAGAGCAAGACTCTATCTCAGAAAAAAAAAAATTTAAGATAAAAAATATATAAATTGAGACCACAAAAAAATGAAAATGTGAGAGGAATGCAGTAACAGTATAGAATTTTTTAGTTTTGTTTTAGCTATTTCTTTTCTTTACAACGTTGTCATCAGTTTTAAATGACTTCTTATAATTATAGGATTTTTTTTGTAACCCCCATGGTAACCACAAAACAAAAACCTATAATAGACACACAAAAAATAAAAGCAAGAAAGTGAACCACACTACCAGAGAAAATAACCACAAAGGAAGACAGTAAGAAAGAAAGAAGAGTTAGAAAACAACCAGAAAACAGGTAACAAAACGGCAATAAGAAGTCCTTACCTATCAATAATAGCATTGGATGTAAATGGACTAAACTCTCCAATTTAAAAACATAGAATGGCTGAATGGATAAAAATAAAAAGACTAAACTACATACTGCCTACAAGAAACTCACCTCACCAGCCGGGTGCAGTGGCTCACGCCTGTAATCCCAGCACTTTGGGAGGCCGAGGTGGACGGATCACGAAGTCAGGAGATCGAGACCATCCTGGTTAACACGGTGAAACCCCGTCTCTACTAAAAATACAAAAAATTAGCCAGGCGTGGTGGCGGGCGCCTGTAGTCCCAGCTACTTGGAAGGCTGAGGCAGGAGAAAGGGGTGAACCCAGGAGGCGGAGCTTGCAGTGAGCCGAGATTGTGCCACTGCACTCCAGCCTGGGCGACAGAGCGAGACTCCGTCTCAAAAAAATAAATAAATAATAAATAAAATAAATAAAATAAAAAAGAAACTCACCTCACCTATAAAGACACACATAGACTGAAAGAGAAGGGTGGAAAAAAAATGTTTCATGCAAATGAAAACCAAAAAAGAGCAGGAGTAGCTATACTTACATCCGATAAAATAGACAAAGTCAAAAACTGTAAAAAGAGACAAAGAAGGTCATTATATAATGATAAAGGAGTCAGTTCAGCAAGAGGATATAACGGTTGCAAATATATATGCATCCAACACTAAGGCACCCAGACATATAAAGCAAATATTATTCTAGCTAGAGAGAGAGAGAGACTTCAACACAAGAATAGTAGAACATTTCAACACCCCACTTTCAAAACTAGATAGATTTTTCGGACGGAAAAATCAACATAGAAACCAAAATTAAGCCGGGCGTGGTGGCTCATGTCTGTAATCCAGCACTTTTGGAGGCCAAGGCGGGTGGATCACTTGAGGTCAGGAGTTCGAGACCAGCCTGTCCAATATGGCGAAACCCTGTCTCTAAAAATACAAAAATTAGCCGGATGTGGTAGCAGGTGCCTGGAATCCCAGCTACTCGGGAGGCTGAGGCAGGAGAATCACTTGAACCCAGGAGGCGGAGGTTGCAGTAAGCCGAGATCATGCAATTGCATTCCAGCCTGGGCAACAAGAGCAAGACTCCGTCTCAAAACAACAACAACAACAACAAAATAAAAATAAAAATAAACTTTAATGAAATAAATGGAAGAGGACATTTAAAAATAGAAAAATATTTTATGCTCATAGATTAGAATATTGTTAAAATGACAATACTTCCCAAAGCAATTTACAGATCAATGTAATCCCTATCAAATTACCAATGACATTCTTCACAAAAATAGAAAGAGCAATCCTAAAATTTATATGGAACCACAAAGACCCTAAATAACCAAAGGAATCCTGAGCAAAAAGAACAAAGCTACAGGCATCACACTACATGACTTCAAAATTTATTACAAACTATAGTCACCAAAACAGCATGGTACTGGCATAGAAACAAACACACAGACCAATAAAACAGAATAGAGAACCCAGAAATAAATCCACACATTTACAACAACTCATTATTGAGAAAGGCACCAAAAACATACAATTGGAAAAGGACAGTCTTTTCAATAAATGGTATTGGAAAAACTACATAACTCTATGCAAAAGAATGAAACTAGCAGCCATAAAAAATGATGAGTTCATGTCCTTTGTAGGGACATGGATGAAGCTGGAAACCATCATTCTCAGCAAACTATCACAAGGACAAAAAACCAAACACCACATGTTCTCACTCATAGGTAGGAATTGAACAATGAGAACACATGGACACAGGAAGGGGAACATCACACACCAGGGACTGTTGTGGGGTGGGGGGAGGGGGGAGGGATAGCATTAGGAGATATACCTAATGCTAAATGAAGAGTTAATGGGTGCAGCACACCAACATGGCACATGTATACATATGTAACAAACCTGCACGTTGTGCACATGTACCCTAAAACTTAAAGTATAGTAATAATAAAATTTTAAAAAAAAGAATGAAACTAGACCTATATCTCTCACCATTCATTAAAATAAATTCAAAATGGATTAAATAGTTGATTCTAAGACCTGAAACTATGAAACTACTGGAAGAAAACATTGGGGAATTGCTCCAGTACATGCATCTGGGCAAAGATTTTTTTTCTGTAAGACCTGAAAAGCACAGGTGACCAAAGCAAAACAGAAAACTGGATTATGTCAAGCTAAAAAGCTTCTATAAAACAAAGGAAACAATTAACAATGTGAAGAGATAACTCACAGAGGCCAGGAACAGTGGCTCACGCCTGTAATCCCTGCACTCTGGGAAGCTGAGGCGGGCAGATCGCTTGATCCTAGGATTTTGAAATTAGCCTGGGTAACATAGCAAAACCTTGTCTCTACAAAAAATTAACCAGGCATGCTGGCACACACCTGTAGTCCCAGCTACCTGGGAGGCTGAGGTGGGAGGATCACCTGAGCCCAGAAGGCTGAGACTACAATGAGCTGTGATTGCACCACTGCCCTCCAGCCTGGGTGACAGAGTGAGACCCTGTCTCAAAAAAAAACAGAGAGGGAGATCATCCATGGAATGGAGGAAAATATCTGCAAACTATCCATCTGCCAAGGGACTAATAATCAGAATATGTAAGGAACTCAAATAGCTCAATAGCAAAAAGTAATAATCATCTGATTTTAAAATGGTCAAAGGATTTGAACAGACATTTTTCAAAAGAAGACATACACATGGCAAACAGGTATATGAAAAAAATGCTTAACATCACTAGTCATCAGAGATACGCACATCAAAACCACAATGCAATATCATTTCACCATAATGAGACCCCATCTCTATAAAAAATAAAAAATTGGCCAAGCACATAGGCTCACGCCTGTAATCCCAGCACTTTGGGAGGCTGAGGTGGGCGGATCATGAAGTCAAGAGATTGAGA
Organism: Homo sapiens; assembly: GCF_000001405.40. Lineage (NCBI taxonomy): Eukaryota > Metazoa > Chordata > Mammalia > Primates > Hominidae > Homo > Homo sapiens. The sequence goes on along the minus strand of NC_000007.14, from coordinate 23,565,130 downwards.
CCATCCTGGCCAACATGGTGAAACCCCATCTCTACTAAAAACACAAAAATTAGCTGGGCATGGTGGCACGTGCCTGGAGTCCCAGCTATTCGGGAGGCTGAGGCAGAGGAATCACTTGAACCTGGGAGGCGGAGGTTGCAGTGTGCTGAGATCACGCCACTGCACTCCAGCCTGGCGACAGAGCAAGACACCTTCTCAAAAATAAATTAATTAAATAAATATATATATATATATAAAATAAATAAAACAAAAAATTAGCTGGGCATGGTTGTGGGTGCCTGTAGTCCCAGCTACTGAGAAGGCTGAAGCAGGAGGATTGTTGAGCCCAGAAGTTTGAGGCTGCAGTGAGTTGTGATTGCACCACTGCACTCCAGCCTGGGTGAGTGCAGAATGAGACCCTGCCTCTATTTTAATTTTTCTTTTATTAATAAAAAAAGAATAGGCCGGGCACAGTGATGCCTGTAATCTTAGCACTTTGGGAGGCCGAGGCGGGTGGATCACCTGAGGTCAATAGTTCAAGACCAGCCTGGCCAACATGGTGAAACCCCGTCTCCACTAAAAATACAAAAAATTAGCTAAGCGTGGTGGCGGTGGCCTGTAATCCCAGCTACTCGGGAGGCTGAGGCAGGAGAATAGCTTGAACCCAGGAGGCGGAGGTTGCAGTTAGCCAAGATTGTACCATTGCAGTACAGCCTGGGCAACAAGAGTGAGACTCCATCTCAAAAAAAAAAAAAAAAGCCATTTTGGCCAGTGGCCACGAGAACATGCTGTGTGACTGAAAAGTAAAGACAAGAGCTGCTTTGGCCTCTGTGCTCCCCTCCTCAAGGGGATCATTTTCTCCAGAAGAGCTGGATATTCTTTCGCACAGTTCTAGCAGACAAATTAATGAGAATTGCTATTGTCAATCATGACAAATGTAAACCTAAGAAATGTCAACAGGAATGCAAAAAGAGTTGTCCTGTAGTTCAAATGGGAGAATTATGCATAGAAGTTACACCCCAGAGCAAAATAGCATGGATTTCTGAAACTCTTTGTATTGGTTGTGGTATCTGTATTAAGAAATGCCCCTTTGGCGCCCTATCAATTGACAATTTACCAAGCAACTTGGAAAAAGAAACCACACATTGATATTGTGCCAATGTCATCTAAATTAACAGGTTGCCTATCCCTCGTCCAGGTAAAGTTTTGGGATTAGTTGGAACTAATGGTATTGGAAAGTCAACTGCTTTAAAAATTTTTAGCAGGAAAACAAAAGCCAAACCTTGGAAAGTACGATGATCCTCCTGACTGGCAAGACATTTTGACTTATTTCCGTGAATCTGAATTACAGAATTACTTTACCAAGATTCTAGAAGAGAACCTAAAAGCCATCATCAAATCTCAATATGTAGACCAGATTCCTAAGCCTGCAAAGGGGACAGTGGGATCTATTTTGGACTGAAAAGATGAAACAAAGACACAGGCAATTGTATGTCAGCAGCTTGAATTAACCCACCTAACAGAACGAAATGTTGAAGATCTTTCAGGAGGAGAGTTGCAGAGATTTGCCTGTGCTGTCATTTGCATACAGAAAGCTGATATTTTCATGTTTGGTGAGACTTCTCGTTACCTAGATGTCAAACAGCATTTAAAGCCTGCTATTACTATACAATCTCTGATAAATCCAGATAGATATATCGTTGTAGTGGAATATGATCTAGGTGTATTAGACTATCTCTCTGATTTCATCTGCTGTTTATATGGTGTACCAAGCACCTATGGAGTTGTCACTGTGCCTTTTAGTGTAAGAAAGGGCATAAACATTTTTTTGGATGGCTATGTTCCAACAGAAAACCTGAGATTCCAAGATGCATCACTTGTTTTTAAAGTGGCTGAGACAGCAAATGAAGAAGAAGTCAAAATGATGTGTATGTATAAATATTCAGGAATGAATTAAAAATGGGAGAGTTTGAGCTAGCAATTGTAGCTGGAGAGTTTACAGATTCTGAAATCATGGTGATGATGCTAGGGGAAAATGGAATGGGTAAAACGACATTTATCAGAATGCTTGCTGGAAGACTTGAACCTGATGAAGAAGGAGAAGTACCAGTTCTAAATGTCAGTTATAAGTTACAGAAAATTAGTCCTAAATCAACTGGAAGTGTTCGCCAGTTACTACGTGAAAAGATAAGAGATGCTTATACACATCCACAATTTGTGACTAATGTAATGAAGCCTCTGCAAATTGAAAACATCATCGATCAAGAGGTGCAGACATTATCGGGTGGTGAACTACAGCGAGTAGCTTTAGCCCTTTGTTTGGGCAAACCTGCTGATGTCTATTTAATTGATGAACCATCTGCATATTTGGATTCTGAGCAAAGACTGATGGCAGCTCGAGTTGTCAAACGTTTCATACTTCATGCAAAAAAGACAGCCTTTGTTGTGGAACATGACTTCATCATGGCCACCTATCTAGCGGATCATGTCATCATTTTCGATGGTGTTCCATCTACTAAGAACACAGTTGCAAACAGTCCTCAAACCCTTTTGGCTGGCATGAATACATTTTAGTCTCAGCTTGAAACTACATTCAGAAGAGATCCAAACCACTATAGACCACAAATAAATTAATTTAATTTAATTAAGGATGTAGAACAAAAGAAGAGTGGAAACTACTTTTTCTTGATTAGATTGAGTCTGAGAATATTGATAAGCCACTTAGTAAAAGGAATATTTACTAGAATTTTTGTCATATAAAACTCGAATCAGGATTTTATGCCCCACATACTCTGGAGCTTGAAGTATAATTTACTTAATATAACATCAAAGCCAGTTGGGTTCTAAATTGTAGTTGAAACACAGAAAATGCCACTTTACTGTTCCTGATGAGGCCCTTTTGTGCCTAATATTCTAAAGACATTTCAAGCTATACAAATTACCTTCAAGTTTTCATGATGTATGGGAAGATTTTCAGTAGATGTATTATATTCACATACCAAATGCTGACCAGTGTTGCTCCATTTTTTAAATCTTGAAAAGGGTTTCTGTATTTACCTGGTTTGCCAAGTATGCCAGTGTAACGAAACTGCCCTCATTTTAAAAGCCAGTCAAAGATTCCACTGATTGACATTTGATAAATAAACATCAGGATTATGTTTATTATTTGTTTTCAGTCTTTGCACTATATTATCAGTATATGGTTTCCGAGAAAGATTATCTACTGCAAAACACCACTGTTGGAAAAATAAGTATTTTTTAATTGTTTTTAATCTTTTTGGTGCTTTTGAACATGTTTAGCAGAAACCAATTCTGTTCCCTTCCTCCCAAAAAAAACCTAACTTTACTCTGAATTTTTTAGTTTTTGCATTCCGTAAGGTTCTGTATTCAGTCATTCTCTGGGTAATGTCATTTTTTTACACATATATTTATATAATCACTGATCGAGATTTAGGAAAAAGCATTTCTTTTTTTCTTATTCTTCTTCTTCTTCTTAGGAAAAAGCATTTCTAAAGAATATTTGCTTCCCTTACAACCACAGACTCAAAATCTTTAAAGATGGAACCTAAGCATCTATGTATTTTTTTAAAGTTCCACAGATTTTTCCAGTGGGCACCCAAGAATTATAAACCACTTCCCTAAAGGCAACATTAATGCAAAAGTCCCCAAATAGCAATACGAAGTATTCCTTGATACCACATACATTCATTTATGAGTTTGGATATAGAACACATTATCTAAACATTTTTTTAGTTCCAAAAACCCATCCAAATTTCTTTAGTTCCTGAATTTTGAACAGGATTACCTGTAGCCTGGAGCCACTTTAAGTTGTACTTCTGACAAAACTGGAATTAACTTATGAGTGAGGAAGAGGGTTTACTAAATAAATGACTAGAGCAAGCAAAATTGAGGGGGAAATTAGAAAGCATTTCACAAACTTTAAGAGCTACTTGAAATAATAGAAGTCTTGATTAATATGCAAATAATGGCTAGAAAGTGTGGTTTAATTGGATCTCATTATACCTCTTTAAAAAAATTTATGTGAGTAATCCATAAATACACGTTGTAAAAATTCAAATATATAGAATGGGATAAAAAATGATCTCCCTTTATTACCCTCCCAAAGGTTCCCAGTGTTTGAATTTAATAATGTATATTCTTTCATGTTTTTTTCTGTGTACTTCCTAAGTGTGAATATGTAAAGGGTTTGTTTTCTATGCAAATTGGATTATACTAAAATAAGTAATGCCTACTTTTAAGGATAGGTTAAATTTGTGAATGATTAAGTTCAAATAATATTGAATAAAATAAGCAAAAGCTATAAAAAATAGCAGAATTAAATGAAATAGAGACTTAAAAACAATACAAAGGATCAATGAAAGAAAACGTTGGTTTTTTGAAAAGATATACAAAATTGATAAACCTGGCTAGACTAATCAAGAAAAAAAAGGAAGAAGACCTAAATAATCAAAATTGGGGGAAAAAAGGAGACATTACAACTGATTCCACACATACACAAAAGATTATTAGAGACTATAACAAGCCACTATATGCTAAGAAATGGAAGGAGATGGAAAATTTTTGGACACACAACCACGAAGATTGAACTACAAAGAAATAGAAAACCTAAACAGACTAATAATGAGGAATGAGATTGAATCAGTAATTTAAAAAAACTCCCGACAAAGAAAAGTCCAGGACCAGATGGCATTGCTGCTGAATCGTATCAATCGTATACAGAACAATGTACGCCAATTCTTCCCAAACTATTCCAAAGAAACTAAGAGAAGGAGGTACTTTTTAACTCATCCTGTCAGATCAGCATAACCCTGATACCAAAACCAGACAAGGACATCACAAAAAAAGACTATGGGCTGAGATCTCTGATAAACATAGAGTCAACAATCCTCAACAAAATATTATCATATTGAATCCAAAAACACGTTAAAAAGATATTTAGACAGATACCATGATCACATGGGATTCATCCAGCTGATGCAACAATGGTTCAACATATGCAAATCAATGTAAACATTATAAGACCAGGTGTGGTGGCTCACACCTGTAATCCCAGCACTTTGGGAGGCTGAGTTGGGAGGACTGCTTGAGGCTGGGAGCTTGAGATAAGCCTGGGCAGCATGGTGAGACCCATCTCTACAAAAAATTTAAAAATTAGCTGGATGTAATGATGCATGCCTGTAGTCCCAGCCAGTTAGGAGGCTGAGGTGGGAGGTCGAGGTTGCAGTAAGCTTTCATCGCACCACTGCAGTCCAGCCTGGGTGAGATCCTGCCTCAAAAAAAAAAAAAAAAAAAAAAGTCAACATCACTTATCATCAGGAAAATACAAATCAAAACCATAATAAGACAACATCTTACCCCAGTTATAATGGTTATTATTGAAAAGAAAAAAAAATAACACACCAGGCATGGTGGCTCACACCTGTAATCCCAGCACTTTGGGAGGCCGAGGTGGGTGGATCACTTGAGGTCAGGAGTTCTAGACCAGCCGGGCCAACATGGTGAAACCCCATCTCTACTAAAAATACAAAAATTAGCTGGGTGTGGTGGCAGGCGACTGTAATCTCAGCTACTCAGAGGCTGAGGCAGGAGAATCGCTTGAATCCAGGAGGCAGGGTTTGGAGTGAGCCAAGATGGTACCACTGCACTCCAGCCTGGGGGACAGAGTGAGAATCCATCTCAAAAAGGAAAAAAATAAGTTATGGTACAAACATACAGTTAGGTAGTAGGTAGTGTTCAATAGCCCAGTAGGGTGACTATGTTTAACAACAATATATTGTATATTTCAAAATTGCAAGAAGGGAAGATTTGAAATGTTCCCAACACAAAGAAATGATCAATGTTTGATGTGAAGGATATCTTAAGTACCCTAACTTGATCATTACACATTCTATGCATATATCAAAATATCAGTTACATCATAAATATGTACAAATATTAGTATCAATTAAAGAAAAATAGCCAGATGTGGTGGTGCATGCATCCCATCTACTTGGTAGGCTGATGCAGGAGGATCACTTGAGCCCATAAGTTCAAGGCCAGCCTGGGCAGCATAGCAAGACCCCATCTCTAAAAAATAATAATAAAATAAACAAATAAATAAAAATAAAATGAATGAAATCTGAGGTGAGAAAGAATACATTACAACTGATGCCACAGAAACATAAAGGATTATTAAAGACTGTTATAAACAACAGCATGCTAACAAATTGGACAACTTAGGAATATATATATATATTCCTGGACACATACAAACTACCAGGATCAAATCATGAAGAAATAGAAAACTTAAACAGACCAATAACAAGTAACAAGATTAAAGCCATAATAAAAAGTCTGCCAATAAAGAAAAGCCCAGGACCAGATGCCTTCACTGCTATATTCTACCAAGCTTGTAAAGAAATAATACCAATTCTATTCAGACCTATTCCAGAAAATTAATAAGAAGGTACTGCTTCTTCTGTGAGGCCAGCTTTACCCTGATACCAAAACCTAATGAAGACACAATAACAAAAGAAAACTATATTCTAGTACCCCTGAGAAACATAGTCAACAATCCTCAACAAAATACTAACAAACTAAATTAAATTAAAAATAAATATTAAATTTATTAATATTAATATTATTAGACAGTCTCTTCAATAATAATTACTTATTAAATTAATAATTAATATGTAAAAGATCAAGTGAGATTGATCCCAGGGAAGCAAAGATGGTTCAATATATGCAAACCAATAAACATGATATACCACATTGACAGAATCAAAGACAAAAACCATAGTTCAGTTCAATAGATACTGAAAAAGCACTGAATAAAATTCAACATCCCTTCATGATAAAGACTCTTAACAAACTGGGTATAGAAGGAACACACCTCAAACAATAAAGGCAATGTATGACAAACCCACAGCTAACATCATACTGAATGGACAAAAATTGAAAGTCTTTCCTTGAATATCTGGAACAAGACAAGGGTGCCCATTTTTGCCAGTTTTATTCAACTGGAGGTCCTAGCCAGAGCAGTTAGACCAGAGAAAGAAATAAGGAACACTCACATTGGAAAAGAAGAAGTCACACTGTCCTTCCTTGCAGATAACATTACCTTATTTCGAGAAAAAACTAAAGATATCACAAAAAACTTTTAGGACTGATAAGTTTCATAAAGTTTGCAGATACAAAAAGCAACATATAAAAATCAGTAGCATTTCTATATGCCAGCGGTGAACAATCTGAAAAAGAAATCAAGAGAGCAATCCCATTTTACAATAGCTACAAAAATAAAATAAAATACCTAAGAATCAATTTAACCAAAGAAATCAAAGATCTCTACAATGATAACTATAAAATATTAATGAAAGAAATTGAAGAGGACACCAAAAAAATGGAAAGATAATTGATGTTCACGAATTGGAAGAGTTAATATTGTTGAAATGTCCATACCGCCCAAAGTAACCTACAGGCTTAATGCAATCCCTATCAAAATACCAATGACATTTTTACATAAAAAGAAACAGTTACTTTTTTTTTTTGAGACAGAATTTTCCTCTGTCACCCAGGTTGCAGTGCAGTGGTGCCACATCAGCTCACCGGAATCTCCGCCTCCAGGTTCAAGCGATTCTCCTGCTCAGCCTCCTGAGTAGCTGGGACTATATGCGTGCACTACCATGCCTGACTAATTTTTGTATTTTTAGTAGAGACGGGGTTTCACCATGTTGGTCAGGCTGGTCTCAAACACCTGATGTCAAGTGATCCTCTGGCCTTGGCCTCCCAAAGTGCTGGGATTACAGGCGTGAGCCACCATGCCAGACCAGATTGTTACAAATTTTAATCTTAAAATTTGTACAGAACCATAGTAGATTCTGAATAGCCAAAGTAATTCTGAGCAAAAAGAACAAAGCCAGAGACATTACAGTACCTGACTTCAGTAGTATACTACATATACTAAAAGGTTATAGTACCCAAATCAGCATGGTACTGGCATAAAAACATACACATAGACGAATGGAACAGAATAGAGAACCCAGAAATAAAGCCACACATTTGCAGCCATCTCATTTTCAACAAAGCTGCCAAAAATTTACACTGGGGAAAGGGCAGTCTCTTCAATAAATGGTGCTCAGAAAATTGATATCCATTGTGCCTAAGAATAAAACTAGACCCCTATATCTCACTATACACAAAAATAAACTCAAAATGGCTTTGAGAGCTGATTCTAAGACCTGAAACTACAAAACTACTAGAACACATTGGGGAAATGCTCCAGAACACTGGTCTGAGCAAGATTTTTTTTGTGTAAGACCTCAAAAGTGCAAGCAACAAAAACAAAAATAGACACATAGGACTATATTAAACTAAAAAGCTTTGGCACAGCAAAGGAAACAATTAACAAAGTGAAGAGACAACCTACAGAAAGGGAAAAATATTTGCAAACTGGCTGGGTGCAGTGACTCACATCTGTAATCCCAGCACTTTCAGAGGCCAAGGAAAGAGGATGGCTTGTGGCCAGGTGTTCAAGGCCAGCATGGGCAACACAGTGAGACCCTGTCTCTACAAAATAATTAACTAATTTAAAAAATTACAAGAACATTTGTAAACTATCCATCTATCAAGGAATTAATAATCAGAATATACAAGGAGTTCATGCAACTCAATAGCAAAAATAAATAATTCAATTTAAAATAGGCAAAAGATCTGAATAGACATTTCTCAAAGGAAGATGTACAAGGGTATGGTGGTGCATGCCTGTAGTTCCAGCTACTCATCAGGCTGAGGTAGGAGGATCTCTTAAGCCCGAAGTTCAAGTCCAACCTGTGCAATATAGCAAGATCTTGTCTCTAAAAATAAATAAATGACATACAAATGGCCAACAGGTATATAAAAAAAAACCAACTCAACATCACTAATCATATCAGGCAAACACAAATCAAACCACAATGAGATATCTTACCCCAGTAAAATGGCTATTATCAAAAAGATAAAAAATAACAAATACTCAGCACCATAGGAAAGGTTAAAAAAAAGAAGAAGCCAGGCACGGTGGCTCATGCCCGTAATCCCAACACTGTGGGAGGCCAAGGCAGGCAGATCATGAGATCAGGAGTTCGAGATCAGCCTGGCCAAGATGGTCTCTACTAAAAATACAAAAATTAGCCAGGCCTTGTGGCGGGTGCCTGTAATCCCAGTTAGTCGGGAGGCTGAGGCAGAGAATTGCTTGAACCCAGGAGGCAGAGGTTACAGTGAGCCCATATGCCATTGCACTCCAGCCTGGGCGACAGAGCAAGATTCTGTCTCAAAAAAAAAAAAAAAAGAAAGAAAGAAAAGAAAAGGAAAGGAAAGGAAAGGATAGATGCTAACAAGGAGAAGAGGAGCACTTCTACACTATTGGTGGGAATGTAAAATAGTACAGCCACTGTGGAAAACAGTACAGAGGATGTGCCTCAAAAAACTAAAAAGGGAACCACCAGATGATCTAGCAATTCCACTGCTGGTTATATACCCAAAACAAAGGAAATCAGCATTCCAAAGAGATATCTGCACTTGCATGTTTATTGCGGCATATTCACGATAGCCAACGAATGGAATCTTAACCTAAGAGAGTCCATCAGTGGGTGAACGAATGGATAAAGAAAATGTGGTATAAAAAAAAGACAGAGAGAAATGAAAATGTGATATTTATATATGAATATTAGTCAGCCATAATAAAGAATAAACTCCTGCCAGTTGCAGCAACATGGATGGAACTAGAGGATGTTATGTTAAGGTAAATAAGCCAGGCACAGAAAGACAAATATTGCACGTTCTCATTCATATGTGAGGGCTAAAAATTTGATCTCATGGAGGTAGAGAATAGAATGGTGGTTACAGAGGCCAGGAAGGGTAGGAGGAAGGGGGGATGAAGAGAGGTTAGGTAATGGGTACGAAAATACAGTTAGATAGAAGGAATAATTTCTAGTGTTCAATAGAACAGTAGGGTGACTATAGTTAATAATAATTTATCATATATTTCAAAATAGCTAGAAGATAAGATTTGGAATGTTTTAAACACAGAGAAATGATAAATATGTGAGGTTATAGACATTCCAATTACCCTGATTTGATCATTACACATTGTATGCATGTGTCAAAATACCATATGTACCACATAAATATGTACAACTATTGTGTATAAATAAATAAAAGCTAAATCTCAGGATGTTTCTTCAAAAAAGAAAAATCTGTTTCAGGCAGGCATTGGAGGACACAATGACAAATGAGGCACAATCGTTTACACTCAAGGACCTTGCAGTCTGGAAGGTACCCTGAGAAACCTATTCTATAGCCTTATGGAAGTCAAGATTTCCTGTTGGCCGGGTGCGGTGGCTCACACCTGTAATCCCAGCACTTTGGGAGGCTGAGGTGGGCGGATCACAAGGTCAGGAGTTCAAGACCCTCCTGGGCAATATGGTGAAACCCCGTCTCTACTAAAAAATACAAAAATTAGCTGGGCATGGTGGTGTGCACCTGTAATCCCAGCTACTCAGGAGGCTGAGGCAGGAGAATCACCTGAACCCAGGAGGCGGAGGTTGCAGTGAGCTGATATTGCACCACTGCACTCCAGCCTGGGTAACAGAGTGAGACTCTGTCTCAAAAAAAAAAAAAAAAAAAAAAAAAAATTTCCTGTCTATTGCATTCCTTCTTTTACAAATTCATTAATCATGTCAAAGGAAAGAAAGTAAAGTTAGCCATGCACAGTGGCTCACACCTGTAATCCTAGCACTTTGAAAAACCAAGGAGTTGGAAAACAGCCTGGGCAACATGTGGAAATCCCGTCTCTACCAAAAAAAAAAAAAAAAAAATTGCAAAACTAGCCAAGCATGGTGGCGTGCACCTGTAGTCCCAGCTACTCAAGAGGCTGAGGTGGGAGGATGGCTTGAGCCCAGGAGATGGAGGTTGCGGTGAGCAGTAATCGTGCCACTGCACTCCAGCCTGGGTGACAGAGCCACACCTTGTCTCAAAAAAATAAATAAATAAAAATAAAGTGAATTTGAAAATACACGTCTTTATCAAACTCTCACTTCTAAGAATGTGTTTCCTTTATATGACCACATAAATGATACTTTGAAGAATTATTTCTTGAATCTTGCCCAGAATCAAAACCAATTTCATCAGCATATAATTTGAGAGCTCTACCTTCTCCTATTAGAAATTGCCACTGTATTTGTTAATATCCGATCTTGATTTCATTCTCCTTGATTTTCAAATAACAGAATATCTGTTAATCTACTCATTCAGGGTTCTCTGAGTAAGCTGAGATATAATTCACGTAGGCCTGATAATTGAAAATTATTTAGATCACTGTACAATTTATATATTCTCACACTTCTCACCCATCTTGGGCTCCAGTTCCTTCTGACCCACTTTTGTTTTACCTTCATCAGTATCCAGACCATTTTCGTAGACACTGAAGACAGACTCAAAGAGTTCTGCTTCCTCTGTCACTTGTTCACACTACACAGCCCAAGCATCAGACCTAGGTCTTCTTTTATCTTCTGGAGGTAAATGTGATCTTTTTTTTTTTTTAGTTAGAGTCTCACTCTGTCGCCCAGGCTGGAGTGCAGTGGTGTGATCTTGGCTCGCTGCAATTGCCACCTCCTGGGTTCCAGCGATTCGGCCTCAGCCTCCCGAGTAGCTGGCACTACAGGCACACGACACCACCCCCGGCTAATTTTTGTATTTTTGGTAGAGACAGAGTTTCACCATGTTGGCCAGGCTGGTCTCAAACTCCTGACCTAAGGTGATCCACCCACCTTGGCCTCCCAAAGCGGTGGGATTACAGGCATGAGTCACCGTGCCTGGCCTAAAAAACTGTTTTATTTGTTGTTAGTGGCTTTGCAATTCTTCTCTCATTTGAGCTTTAGTATTCCTCATGCCATTTTCACAGATTTGTGGAACTCTATTCATCTTTAGTCACATTTCCTTATTTCTGTCATGCATATATTTTCTATTAATATCTGAACTAATTAGAAAATGCCGCATACTATCACAATGGCTTTTTCAGACATCTCCTTTTTCTCTTCTTCACTGAGGTCATTTTAAATTATGTGATCAGAATTGACTATTTCAGGACAACCCAATCCTCTTGATCATGGCACATCTAACACAGTGCAGAGCAAATAATAGGAACTTACTAAATATTTAATGAATGAATTACAATAAATGAAAGAAAATCTCATTCCAATGAATTTTTTTTTTCTTGAGACCAAGTCTCACTCTGTTGCCCAGGCTGGAGTGCAATGATGCGATCTTGGCTCACTGCAGTCACTGCCTCCCAGGTTCAAGCAATTCTGCCTCAGCCTCCTGAGTAGCTGGGACTACAGGTGCCCGCCACCACACTCGGCTAATTATTGTATTTTTAGTAGAGATGGGGTTTCACCATGTTGGCCAGGGTGGTCTTGAACTCCTAACCTCAGGTGATCCACCTGCCCTTGGCCTCCCAAAGTGCTGGGATTACAGGTGTGAACCGTTGTACTAGGCCATCATTCCAAAGAATTATGCCTCTCCTTTCTTTGAATTTATTTTTTCTTTTTTTGAGACAGGGTCTCACTCTGTCATCCAGGCTGCAGTGCAGTAGCATGATCATAGTTCACTGAAGCCTTGAACTCCTGGACTCAAGTGATCCTCCCATCTCAGTCTCCTGAGTAGATGGGACTACAGGTGTGTGCCACCAAGCCCAGATAATTGTTTAAAACTTTTTTAAGAAATGAGGATCTTGCTATGTTGTCCAGGCTGGCCTGGGACACCTGGCCTAAAGTGATCCTCTCATCTCAGCCTCCCAAATAGCTGGGATTACAGGTGCAAGTCACCCACACCGAGCTCTCTGAATTTTTAAAAATCTGAATGTTTTTGTAATCCTCAAGACATAGCTGGCTATTCCTATTATAAAAAATTATATACAAAAATGAGCCAGGCATGGTGGCACGCGCCTATAGTCCCAGCTACTTGGGAGGCTGAGGCAGGAGAATCGCTTGAACCCGGGAGGCAGAGGTTGCAGTAAGCCAGGATCATGCCACTGGCCTGGGTGACAGACCAAGACTCTGTCTCGAAAAAAAAAAATTATGACGGCTGTAGAATAATTTTCTCCCTATGTTCCTGTCACTTTTACTTCAGTAAATTTCAGTTTTTGGTTTTGGGATTTTTTGGTTTGGTTTTTTGTTTTTTGTTTTTTTTTGAGACGGAGTCTTGCCCTGTCACCCAGGCTGGAGTGCATTGGTAGGATCTCGGCTCACTGCAACCTCCGCCTCCTGGGTTCAAGCAATTCTCCTGCCTCAGCCTCCCAAGTAGCTGGGACTACAGGCACACACCACCACATCTGGCTAATTTTTGTATTTTTAGTAGAGATGGGGTTTCACCCTTCTGGTCAGGCTGGTCTCGAACTCCTGACCTCAGGCGATCCACCCACCTCAGCCTCCCAAAATGCTGGGATTATAGGTGTGAGCCACCACGCCCAGCCACGAATTTCAATTTTAAAGTACATTCATCTTTCTGTGTTTCTCACTAGTGAAGACGTCATTCAGTGCTGTGGGAGCCCCTCAGAAAAACCCTTTGGAGGCTGCGCATTGTGGCTCATGCCTGTAACCCCAGCACTTTGGGAGGCCGAGGTGGGCGGATCACGAGGTCAGGAGTTCAAGACCAGCCTGGCCAACATGGTGAAACCCTGTCTCTACTAAAGATACAAAAAATTAGCCGGGCATGGTGGTGGATGCCTGTAATCCCAGCTACTTGGGAGGCTGAGGCAGGAGAATCGCTTGAACCTGAGAGGCAGAGGTTGCAGTGAGCTGAGATCCCACCAATGCATTCCAGCCAAGGCAACAGGGCGAGACTCCATCGCGAAAAAAAAAAAAATTATGACGGCTGTAGAATCATTTTCTCCCTATGTTCCTGTCCCTTTTACTTCAGTGAATTTCAGTTTTAAAGAATATGCATCTTTCTGTGTTTGCCACTAATGAAGACGTTAATTCAGTGCTGTGGGAGTCCCTCAGAAAAACCCTTTGGAGGCCAGGCACCCTGGCTCACGCCTGTAATCCCAGAACTTTGGGATGCCAACCAAGAGGATCACTTGAGCCCAGGAGTACAAGACCAGCCCTGGCAATATAATGAGACCTAGTCTCTATAAAAGACTTAACAATTGGCTGGGCACGTTGGCTCATGCCTGTAATCCCAGCACTTTAGCAGGCCAAGGCAGGTAGATCACCTGAGGTCAGGAGTTCAACACTAGCCTGACCAACATGGTGAAACCCTGTCTCTACTAAAAATACAAAATTAGCCAGGTGTGGTGGCTGGTGCCTGTAATCCCAGCTACTCGGGAGGCTGAAGTAGGAGAATCACTTGAACCCGGGAGGCAGAGGTTGCAGTGAGCTGAGATTGCTCCATTGCACTTAGCCTGGGTGACAGAGCAAAACCCCATCTTAAAAAAAAAAAAAGGAAAGACTTAAAAATTATCCAAGTGTGGCAGGGTGTGGTGGGAGGATTGCTTGAGGCCAGAAGTTTGAAACCATCCTGGGCAACAAAGTAAGACACCATCTCTATTAAAAAAGAGAAATTTTGGCTGGGTGCAGTGGCTCACACCTGTAATCCCAACACTTTGGGAGGCTGTGAAGGGCGGATTACCTGAGGCCAGGAGTTCAAGACCAGCCTGGCCAACATGGTGAAACCCCGTCTCTACTAAAATACAAAAATTAGCCGGGCGTAGTGGCGGGCACCTGTAAATCCCAGCTACTTGGGAGGCTGAGGCAGGAGAATTGCGAGGCAGAGGCTGCAGTGAGCCGAGATCGTGCCACTGCACTCCTCTTGTTGCCTGGGCAACAGAGCAAGACTACGTCTCAAAACATGAGAGAGAGAGAGAAATTTCGAAGAAGAAGAAGGAGGAGGAGGAGGAGGAGGCAGAGGAGGAGGAGGAGGCTGGGCACAGTGGCTCACGCCTGTAATCCCAGCACTTTGGCAGGCCGAGACCAGTGGATCACGAGGTCAGGAAATCGAGACCATCCTGGCCAACATGGTGAAACCCTGTCTGTACTAAAAATACAAAAATTAGCCACGCGTGGTGGCATGTGCCTGTAGTCCCAACTACTCAGGAGGCTGAGGCAGGAGAATAGCTTGAACCCGGGAGGCAGAGGTTGCAGTGAGCTGAGATCATGCCACTCCACTCCAGCCTGGGTGACAGATCAAGACTCCATCTAAAAAATAATAATAATAAAGAAAAAGAAGGAGGCCGGGTATGGTGGCTCACACCTGTAATCCCAGCACTTTGGGAGGGCAAGGTGGGAGTATCCCTTGAGCCCAGGAGTTCAAGACCAGCCTGGGCAACATGGCAAAACCCTGTCTCTACCAAAAATTCAAAAGAAATTAGCTGGGTATGGTGGTGCGCACCTGTAAGTCCCAGCTACTTGAAAGAATGAGGCAGGAGGATTCTTTGAGCCCAGGTGTTCAAGGCTACAGTGAGCTATGATCACACCACTGCATGCCAGTCCAGGTGAAAGAGTGGGACCCTGTCTCTATTTACAAAATTAAGTTGTGACTAAATGTTGCCATGAACTCACAAGTTCTATTTTTGGAAAAGTTATGAAAGGAAGACAAACCCCTCTCCCTGCTTCTGCCAACCTTTGCTGAACATTAGCCCAGCTGTCTCCAGAGGTGCCGTGCCTGTGCCGTGGGCAAAACCCATCAGGGACCACTTGCAGCCAGCTCTGAGCTCAGAGCCATGAAGACTACGTAGGAGCTTGAAAACGTGATGGGTAATGTCTGGATATTGCTTTGCATTTTATTTGCTAGGGAATTAAGGGAACATGAATCCTGCTAATCATTCTCCATCACTTCCATTCTTCAGTCTCTATCTCATTGCAATTAAGACAATCAAAGTGCGTCCCTGCCCAAGAAGGCAGGCAAACACAATTTAGGTAGCCCTTAAATTTTTATTATGTAATATTAAAGGAAGTTAGGGTTACTAATTGTTCCAAAATGTATATTTTTCCACCTTGTATATAACTTTGATATTTTAGATGAAATTCCTAAAAACATAGCCTTATTTCGATGCCATAGATAAGTCCTTTATAACATTTTTTAATTTCAATAGCTTTAGGGGTACAAGTGGTTTCTGGTTACATGGATTAATTGTGGAATGGTGAAGTCTAGATGTTTAGTGCACAGGTCACCTGAATAGTGTACATTGTACCGAACAGATAGTTTTTCATCCCTCACGTGCCTTCAACGTCCCCCATCTGTCTCCAGTGTCCATCTGTATGATGCCATAGATAAATATTGCGATTAAAAATATGTGCTGCTGGCCGGGTGCAGTGGCTCATGCCTGTAATCCCAGCACTTTGGGAGGCTGAGATGGGTGGATCACCTAAGTTAAGGAGTTCAAGACCAGCCTGGCTAACATGGTGAAACCCAGTCTTTACTAAAAATACAAAAATTAGCCAGGCATGGTGGCAGGCACCTGTAATCCCAGCTACTCTGGAGGCTGAAGCAGGAGAATCGCTTGAACCCAGGAGGCAGAGGTTGCAGTGAGCTGAGATTGCACCAGTGCACTCCAGCCTGGGCAACAGAACAAGACTCTGTTTCAAAAAAAAAAAAAAAATGTTGCTATATTGTATGATTCCATTTACCTGAAATCCCCAGAACAGGCAATCCATAGAGACATTAAGTAGATTAGTACTTGTCAGAAGATGGGGGGAGGCTGGCAAGTGACTGAATGGGTATAAGGTTTCCTTTTGGTTTAATGTAAATATTCCAGAATTAGGTCATGGTGATGGTAGCACAACATTGTGAATATATTATACTAAAACGCACTGTATTTTACACTTTAAAATGGTTTAAGGTAACCCACTGATTTTTACACTTTAAAATGGTTTAAGGGCTGGCACAGTGACTCCAGCCTGCAATCCCAGCAGTTTGGGAGGCCAAGGCAGGCAGATTGCTTGGGCTCAGGAGTTGGAGACCAGCCTTGGCAACATGGCAAGGCCCCATCACTACAGAAAATACAAAAATTAGCCAGGCATGGTAGCACACACCTGTAGTCCCAGATAATCAGGAGGCTGAGGTGGGAGGATTGCTTGAACCCAGGAGGCGGAGGTTGCGGTGAGCCGAGATCGTGCCACTGTACTCCAGCCTGGGTGATGGAGTCAGATCATGTCAAAAAAGAAAGAAAAGAAAAGAAAAGGCAAGAAGGAAGGAAGGAAGGAAGGAAAGGAGGGAGGGAGGGAGGAAGGAAGGGAGGGAAGGAGGGAAAGACAAAGAAAAGAAAGAAAGAAAGAAAGAGAGAAAGAGAGAGAGAGAAAGAAAGAAAAGGAAGCAAGCAAGCAGGCAGAAAGCAAGGAAGCAGACAGGCTTAAAAGTGATTTGTATGTTATATGAGTTTTTTGTTTTGTTTTGCTTTTTGTCTTTTTGTTTGTTGTTTTGTTTTGTTTTTGTTTTTTGTTTTTTTGAGACATGGTCTCGCTCTCGCCCAGGCTGGAATGCAGTGGCACAGCTCACTGCAGCCTCGACCTCCTGAGCTCAAGTGATCCTCCCACCTCAGCCTCCCAAGTAGCTGGGACCATAGGTGCTCACCACCACGCGTAGATTTTTTTTTTTTTGAGACAAGGTCTCCCCATGTTGCCCAGGCTCCAGGGCTCAAGCGATTCTCCTCTCTCAGGCTTCCAAGGTGCTGGGATTACAGGCGTGAGCCACTGCCCCCTGCCTTGTGATTTTTATTATCTGTTATGCGCCAATATTTTAAATTTAGTATTGTCAAATGTAAGGGAAAATAGAAAGTATCAACTTATATAAATCTGCATAATAATGATGTTAAAAAATGACAAGTTGGCCAAAAGGAGAAATAAAGTGGAAAATGTGTAAGTTTGGGGCACCCATCTGCATCTGGAGACCTCTGTAGCCTGGATCACCGACCTTAAATTTCCAGCATGCTCATACTGCCACCTGGTGGCTGTAGACATTCAAAACAGGCAGCGTCCTGCATTTAGGACTTGTTTCCGTTTCTCACCAATTTCTTTTTCTCTCCAAGCTTGCCCTCTTCTGGTTACAAATGATATGCAAAATAAATTCCTTGACAAGGTTTGAAAACCCAAGTGGTTCAGTGTAGTAAGATCTACTAAGCTACCAAACAGCAACATAGGCTACTCCGCGCACACCGCGTATGGGGTAGCCCTGCTCCGCAAGGGACAGCAAAAAAATAAAAACCAAAAACAGAAACAAAAAGAAAAATAACCTAGCAATATTTTAAATTAAATAAGTGGCAAAGGTAGAATTTCAGGCACACCATTCATTTCTTTTTCTTTCTTTCTTTCTTTTTTTATTTTGAGACGGAGTGTCACTCTGTTGCCCAGGTTGGCGTGCAGTGGCACAATTTCTGCTCACTGCAACCCCCACCTCCGAGGTTCAGGTGATTCTCCTGCCTCAGCCTCCCAAGCATCTGGGATTACAGGTGTGAGCCACCACACCCAGCTAATTTTTGTATTTTTATTAGAGATGGGGTTTCCCCATGTTGGCCAGGCTGGTCTCAAACCCCTGACCTCAAGTGATCCGCCCACCTCGGCCTCCCAAAGTGCTGGGATTACAGGTGTGAGCCACTGTCCTGGGCCTGTTTTTTCAAATAAATATGAGCCTGCTTTGTGCCAGGCACTGTTCCAAATCCTAGGAATATAGCAGAAAATAAAACCAATAAAAATCTTTGCCTTCATGGAGCTTACATTCTTGCCGTGTAGGGCAGAACAGTAAAAATGAATGAACCAGCCAACACCTTGGCTCATACCTGTAGTCCTAGCACTTTGAGAGGCCAAGGCGGGCGGATCACCTGAGGTCAGGAGTTCCAGACCAGCCTGGCCAACATGGCGAAACTGCTTCTCTACTAAAAATACAAAAATTAGCCAGGCATGGTGGTGCAGGCCTATAGTCCCAGCCACTCAGGAGGCTGAGGTGGGAAGATCACTTGAATCTGGGAGGCAGAGGCTGCAATGAACTGAGATCATGCCACTGCACTCCAGCCTGGGCAACAGAGTGAGACTCTGTCTCAAAAACAAAACAAAACAAAACAAAAAAACAGTAATCCAGAGTTACACATATCAACATGAATGCATCTCATAACCTAAATGCTGTGGAGGGAAAGTTATATCAGAAAACATACTATAGTAAACCAGGTATATAAAATGTTTAAATGTGCAAAGCAACATTTTATATATGTGTACATATATACATACATATATATACATACACACACATACATAGATTGCTTAAGGTATATCCCATGAATACACAAGAGTTAAATGTTTAACAACTAGCTTTCTGAAAGAAAGAGGAAAAGAACACTAATTTGTAGATTTGTTGATTTTCATAGTATAAATACTATGCAGTTGATTGATGGATTGGTTGTCCTAATGACATCATCAGACATTATCACTCACTACCTAATGAGATCAAAAATTTGTTGAAATAAACCTACTATAGGGAGTGGGCTAAAATGATAGGATGTAGTGCTCAGAAAGTGGAATTCAGATGATGGCAATTATGGCAATGTAGGTGAGGAAGTGACTGTGGTGGAGAGTCGTACTCCCTGCAGGAGTGGAATACAAGGAACTGAGAGTCCAAGATGTTGGAAGGATCATCTGTGTGGATGATGAAGTCACCAAGGTTTAAGATGGTTTTAGTGTTGGAGAGAATGACAATGAAAGGAGTGAAAATCTGTAGATGACTGCAGTAAGGAGAGGTAGTGGGTGATAATGTCTGATGATGTAAAATTCAAAGTTAAGCTGGGCTTTTTTAAGGATTTGGGGAGGGAGAATTGTTTGCAAGCAGCAATAAGAAAGGAAAAAGACTCCCACTCCGCCTCCAAACCCAGTGGTATGAGAAAACACAGATGATCTGAGAGGGCTAAAGAGGAAGTAGTGCCTACAGAAAAGAGTCAGGGTTTCTCAATTTGGCCATTGCCATCTGGGTCTGATAATCCTTTGCTGTGAGGGGCCATCCTGTACATTGTCCTTGTAAGGTGTTTAACAGCATCCCTGGCCTCTACCCACTAGATGTCAGTAGCACCATCTCCAGTTGTGACAGCTAAAAATACCTCCAAACGTTGCCAAATGTCCTCTGGGGAGGTAGGAAAAATTGCTTCCAGGTGAGAATCTCTGAGCTACAGCAAGGTGAATGAACTATTTAAAGAGGAGATAGAGGACACCAGGGGGGTTTGCTGATGATTAACCACGAGTCTCAGTAAAGTGGAAAAGTTGAGAATAAATTAAGCAGAGAGGTCTTTTCTACACTCCCCAGATGGTATCATTTTGGCGACTGACAGACCAAAGTCAGTCCTACCAAGGTGTTTAAAGATACTGTGAATTTTCTCTCTGCTCTGCAAGGGTACCTCTGCTCCTGAAGTTGCTTTTTTTTTCTTTCCTTTTTTTAGATTCCACATATAAGTAGTGAGATCATGCAGTACTTTTCTTTATGTATCTGGCTTATTTCACTTAATATAGTGCCCTCTAGTTTCATCTGTGTTGTGGCAAATGGCAGGATCTCCTTTTCTATAGCTGAATAGTATTCCACTGTGTGTGTGTGTGTGTGTGTGTGTGTGTGTGTGTGTCTATCTCACAGTTTCAGTTTCTTTATCCATTCATCTATTGATGGACACCTAGGTGGTTTCCAAATCTTGGCTTTTTTTTTTTTTTGAGATGGAGTTTTTTATTGTCACTCAGGCTGGAGTGCAATGGCACTATCTCAGTTCACTGCAACCTCCACCTCCCAGGTTCAACCAATTCTCCTGCCTCAGCCTCCTGAGTAGCTGGGATTACAGGCGCCCACCACCACACCTGGCTGTTTTTTTTTTTTTTTTTTATATTTTTAATAGAGACAGGGTTTCACCATGTTGTCCAGGCTGGTCTCGAACTCCTGATCTCAGGTGATCCACCCGCCTTAACCTCCCAAAGTGCTGGAATTACAGGCGTGAGCCACCACACCGGGCCTGGCTATTGTTAATAGTACTGCAGTGAACATGGCAATGAACATGGGAATGCAGATATCTTTACTAGGTGGTGATTTCATTTCCTTTGGCTATGTATACCCAGCAAAGGGATTGCTGGGCTATCTGGTAATTCTATTTTTAATTTCTTTAGAAGTTTCCATACTGGCTGGGTGCAGTGGCTCATGCCTGTAATCCCAGCACTTTGGGAGGCCAAGGCAGGCGGATCACCTGAGGTCAGGAGGTCAAAACCAGTCTGGCCAACATGGTGAAATCCTGTCTCTACTAAAAAACACAAAAATTAGCAGGGCGTGGTGGCAGGTGCCTGTAATCCCAGCTACTCCGGAGGCTGAGGCAGGAGAATCGCTTGAACCCAGGAGGCGGAGGTTGCAGTGAGCTGAGAGTGCACCACTGCACTCCAGCCTGGGCAACTGAGTAAGACCCAAAAGGCCATGCATTGGAAGCTTCTGGATAGCGTGTGAAGGTTCCTGGAGGGTGGTGCACCTGGAGAGGGCATAGAAGCTTCTAGCCCCTTCCCACATGTCCTATCCTATGTATCTTGTCATCTGTATCCTTTGTAATATCCTTTATAATAAACTGGTAAATGGGACCAGCTGCTAAGGTTGCAGTGAGCCGAGATCACGCCACTGCACTCCAGCCTGGACTACAAAGCGAGACCCTGTCTCAAAACAAAAACAAAATGTGGCCTTTTTTTTTTTTAACTTGAAGTTCTTGGCTCAAGCTTCATTGCTCCTTCAATTGTTCCTAATTTTTTAGAACTCCATCCTCCTAGATAGGGCCAGAGTCCTAGTTGTACAGGTGGGAGGAGCAGGTGCTACGCCCATCGTACTAACTGGTGGTGAGGCAGCACAATATGAAGTGGCCCACATTGTGTTTGGAGATGAAACTAGAGGGCCCTTGCTTATCCAGCTGGTCCCATTTACCAGCTTATTATAAAGGATATTACAGAGGATACAGATGACAAGATACATAGGATAAGACATGTGAGAAGGAGCTGGAAGCTTCTATGCCCTCTCCAGGTGCACCACCCTCCAGGAACCTTCACGCACTATCCAGAAGCTCCCAATGTATAGCCTTTTGTGTCTGGCTTCCTTCGCTTGGCATAATGTTTTCAAGGTTCATCCATGATGGACCATGTAACAGTATTTCATTCCTTTTTATGACTAAATAGTATTTCATTGTATGGACATACCACAGTTTTTTATCCATGCATCAACTGATAAACATTTGAAATATTTCAACTTTTTGGCTATCATGAACAATGCTGCTATATACATTTGCATACAAGTTTTCATGTGAACAAACATATGTTTCCCTTCGGTATATACCTAGGAATGGGATTGCTGGGTCATACAGTAATTCTCTGTTTAAGTTTTTGAGGAACTGCCCATCTGCTTTCCAGAGAAGGTGCACCAGTTTACATTCCCACTAGCAGTGTATGAAGATTCCAATTTCTCCATATCCTTTTCAATACCTGTCATTGATTGTTCTTTTTTCAACGTTATAGTAGCCATCTTAGTAGGTGTAAAGTGGTATCTCATTGTGGTTTTAATTTGCATTTCTCTAAGACTCATGGTGTTGAGCATCTTTTCATATGTTCATTTGCCATTTATATATCATCTTGCTTTTTTTTTTTTTTTAGAGACAGGGTCTCCTTCTGTCACCCAGGCTGGAGTGCAGTGCTGCCACTGTAGCTCACTGCAGCCTCCAATTCCTGGGCCCAAGCCATCCCCCTACCTCAGCCTCCCACAGTAGCTAGGATTATAGACCCACACCAACATACCCAGCTAATTACAAAAATATATATATATATAATTCTAGCACTTTGGGAGGCTGAGGTGGGAGGATTGCTTGAGGCCAGGAGTTGTAGGCTGCAGTGGGCTATGAGGTGACAGAGCAAGCCCCTGTGCCCCCAAAACACCAAAAAACAAAAACAAAACAAGAAACTAAGAAAAAAAAATTTTACAGCAACAAAAGCTAACAATTTTTTAAAATTAAATAAAAAATGAAAAAAAAAACCAACAATTAGAAAATGAACAAAGGACTTCAGTAGATTTCTCCCTACGGAAGAGATATAGCCTGGGTATGGTGGCTCATGACTGTAATCACAGCACTTTGGGAGGCGAAGATAGGAGGATCACTTCAGGCCAGAAGTTTGAGATTAGCCTGAGAAATATAGTAAGACCCTGTCTCTATAAAAAATAAAATAAATAATAATATAATAAATAATTAATAAGTAAATTTTTTAATAGAGAAGGGGTCTCACTATGTTGCCCAGGCTTGTTTTTGCTTTTCTTTTTTTGAGACGGAATCTTGCTCTGTCGCCCAGGCTGGAGTGCAGTGGCGCGATCAAGGCTCACTGCAGTCTCCGCCTCCCGGGTTCACGCCATTCTCCTGCTTCAGCCTCCTGAGTAGCTGGGACTACAGGTGCCCGCCACCATGCCCGGCTAATTTTTGTGTATTTTTAGTAGAGACAGGGTTTCACCATGTTAGCCAGGATGGTCTCGATCTCCTGACGTTGTGATCTGCCCGCCTCAGCCTCCCAAAGTGCTGGGATTACAGGCGTGAGCCACTGCGCCAAGCCGCTTGTTTTTTCTTAAACTGTAAGCGTTATTTATTTACTCTAAATACTAGACCCTTATTAGACATATGATTTCTAAATATTTCTCCTTTTCAGTGGATTGTTTTTTCTCTCTGTTGATATTATCCTTTAATGCACAAAAGTTGTAAATTTTGATGTTCTAATTTACCTATCTTCTCTTTGAATGTGGTTGATCTTTCTCTCTTTCAGTGTTGAGATCTAGTTCCTAAGAACTGGCTAAATGCTATGGGTTAATTTTGTTGTGTTCTACTCTGAGTGCTTGAGGTGATAAAATGTTTGTTGGTTGGTTGTTTTTTTTCTTTTAAGACAGTGTCTTGCTCTGTCACCCAGGCTGAAGTGCAGTGGCACAAATACTGCTCACTGCAGCCTTGACCTCCTGTGCTCAAGTGATCCTTCTGCCTCAGCCTCCTGTGTAGTGGGGACACAGGCATGCACCACCACACCTAGCTAATTTTTTAAATTTTTTAGAGACAGGGTCCCACTTTGTTGCCCAGGTCTCAAACTCCTGGGCTCAAGCAGTCCTCCCACCTCAGCTTTGCAAAGTGCTGAGATTACAGGCTTGAGGTACTGGGGAGGCCACAAAATATATTTTTGGCCGAGCACAACAGCTCATGCCTGTAATCTCAGCACTTTGAGAGGCCGAGGCCAGGGGTGGGTCACTAGAGGTCAGGAGTTTGACACCAGCCTGGCCAACATGGCGAAACCCTGTCTCTACCAAAAATACAAACATTAGTTGGGCATGGTGGCAGGCGCCTGTAATCCCAGCTACTCGGGAGGCTGAGGCACGAGAATAACTTGAACCCAGGAGGAGAAGTTGCAGTTAGCAGAGACTGTGCCACTGCACTCCAGCCTGGGAGACAGAGCCAGACTCTGTCTCAAAAAATAACAGTAATAATATTAAAAAGAAGAGATAGCTCATGCCTATAACCCTAGTGCTTTGGGCATTCCCACATCCACCACTTTGGGTTTAATAAATTTGCTGGAGCAGCTCACAAAACTCAAAGAAACATTACAAAATATATGGTATGGGGGAAGGGGTGTGGAGCTTCCATGCCCTCCCTGGGCAAGCCACCCTCCAGGAACCTCCAAGTATTAGCTATCTGAAAACTCTGTGAACCCAGTCCTCCTGGGTTTTTATGGACAATTATTTGGAAATGTGATTGGCCTCTCTGGAATGAGGGTCTTATGACCCACAATCAGAAAGGCAGGGGAATAGTATTGAGTCCTGCCTTGGGTCAAGTGAAAGGAGTAGAGGAGAAGGTCAAAGAGGCCTGAGGCCTGCAAGAAGCCTAACACACCTAACATTATAACAAAAGACTGTAACAAGGCCTATGGGGAGTTATCAGCCAGGAACCTGGACGAAAATGGGTACAAGAATATCATAACACCACAGTATGTAAGTGGAAAGGGACTCTAAGTGAAAATCCCTTTCAGTTATATCATCGAAAAGCTTCATATTCCACCTTTGGAGCTGTTTTACAAACACCTTATTCTGAAATTGGCAATTAAAGGAAATAATTAAGCATTTATCATTTCCAGTAGGAACTATATTTTGCATGTGATCCTAGCTAAAAGGCTGAGAAGCGATGGAACTGTATTTCAAAATAGTCAAATAACCTGTAGTTGATGGAGAAAGCTCTTTAAAAAGAAAAGAAAAGAAAAAAAAACACTATTGAGCAGAGAGAGGAAGTGGGCAAGAAACAAAACAAAGAAAAACGAAACTATTTACTAGAAGATTGCCAGCTGGTGAATATAGGGACAAGATAGAGTTGGAAAGTCCACATTTTGAATAGCATGGCTGATTCAGGCAAAGATTTTTCAATGGATGCCGAACCCACTGAATGGTTGATGGGCAAATGGATATTCAGGTGGTGTGGAGGTATCTCTCTGCTTGCTGGTCAAAAGGAAGAAATGCACATGTGCAGATGTGCACATGTTTAAAGCAAAAGCTCAAGCTGTATACGTTGAAAAAAAAAAAACTACCACTGTGAGACAATTACCTTCTTGGCTTGGCCTGGTGCATCGTGAAATCATTAATATAAACTGTTCAGTGTATCTGTTTTTACTTTCATGCAAGAGTTTGTACAATATCAGCACTTCAGTTCTTGGTTAAAACAAGTAATTTTTGAGTGACTGGAGACTAAACTTAGGTCTGCTCATTTGAGCTCTTTATCTGTAATGCCAGTGGCTTGCTGGGAGGCACAGGAGCCTAATGGTTAAGAGTGTTAATCTACCCAAGTTTAATCCCCAGTTCTGCTTTGTGCCAGCTGTCTGACTCACCTGGGCAAGTTGCTTTACTACTCTCCGCCTCAGCTTTAAAAATCTATAAAATGGCTGGGTGCGGTAGCTCATGCCTGTAATTCCAGCACTTTGGGAGGCTGAGGCGGGCAGATCACGAGATCAGGAGATCGAGACCATCCTGACTAGCACGGTGAAACCCCATCTCTCCTAAAAATACAAAACATTAGCCGGGCGTGGCCAGGCGTGGTGGCTCACGCCTGTAATCCCAGCACTTTGGGAGGCCAAGGCGGGCGGATCACGAGGTCAAGAGATCAAGACCATCCTGGCTAACACGGTGAAACCCCGTCTCTACTAAAAATACAAAAAATTAGCTGGGCGTGGTGGCGGGCGCCTGTAGTCCCAGCTACTCGGGAAGCTGAGGCAGGAGAATGGCATGAACCTAGGAGGCAGAGCTTTTGGTGAGCCGAGATCATGCCACTGCATTCCATCCTGGGCGACAGTGCAAGACTCTGTCTAAAAAAAAAAAAAAATAGCCAGGCGTGGTGGCAGGCACCTGTAGTCCCAGCTACTCGGGAGGCTGAGGCAGGAGCATGGTGTGAACCCGGGTGTCGGAGCTTGCAGTGAGCCATGATCACAGTGAACCACTGCACTCCAGCCTGGGCAACAGAGCAAGACTCCAACTCAAAAAAAAAAAAATCTATAAAATGGAGGCAATTGTGCCACTTGGTACACACCTGTAGTCCCAGCTACTTGGGAGGCTGAAGCAAGAGGATCAGTTGAGCCCAGGAGTTCCATGCTTCAGTTTGCTATGATTGCACCTGTGAATAGCCACCACACTCCAGACTGGGCAACATAGAAAGACCCCATCTCTAAATAAATAAATAAATGGAAAAAAAATGGAGGCAATAATATTATCTAATCTTTAGGTTGTTGTAATACATAAGACAAACTATTTAGAATACGTAGCCCAGGCCAGGGGCAGTGGCTCATGCCTGCAATCCCAGCACTTTGGGAGGCAGAGGCGGGTGGATCACCTGAGGTCAGGAGTTCAAGACCAGCCTGGCCAACATGGCGAAACCCCGTCTATACTAAAAATACAAAAATTAGCCAGGCGTGGTGGTGGGTGCCTGTAATCTGAGGCAGGAGAACCACCTGAACCCAGTAGGCCAAGGTTGCAGTGAGCTGAGATGGCGCCACTACACTCCACCCTCGGTGACAGAGCAAGACTCTGTCTCAAAATAAATAAATAAACAAACAAATAAAATAGCCCAGTGCCTGAAGCATGGTGAGGACTCAATGGTATTATTACTGCCACATGACTTTGGGTGGGCAACTTGTGACTTCTGCTTCTGTAAAACCAAGTAATTACATTATCTATAAGCTTGTTTCCATCTCTCTCTCTTTTTCTAATAGTTTTTTCAAATTTTTTATTTATATAGTTTTTGGGGAACAGGTGGTTTTTGGTTACTTGGATAAGTTCTTTAGTGGTGATTTCTGATATTTTTATGCATCCAATACCCGAGCAGTGTACACCGTACCCAATGTCCATCTCTCTCTCTGCATTGCATAAAGGTTTATGTCTTTATGTCATTGCATAAAGGTGCAAATGACTTTCTGTTTCTGAGTCTTTCTTTCTGCATATAAAATGAGGGAACTGGAGACACCTCCTATTTCTAATATTGCTCCTCATGCAGGATCCTCTCCTAAACTCCCAGTAAGACATGAATAAGGAGAGTTAGCCTCAAATACCCAAACACTCCTCACATGCCAAAAGTGAGAGATTGGGTTTTGGGAGAGGAAAGATACTTCACACACTCACATTTTCAATTTCTCCCAAGGAGCCAGGCACGGTTGCTCACACCTGTAATCCCAGCACTTTGGGAAGCCAAGGCAGGAGGATCACTTGAGCTCAGGAATTCAAGACCCAGCATGAGTAACATGGTGAGACCTCATCTCTGCTTAAAAAATTTTAAAAAAAAGCTGGGCATGGTGGCTCACACCTGTAATCCCAGCACTTTGGGAAGCCAAGGCAGGAGGATCACTTGAGCTCAGGAATTCAAGACCCGGCCTGAGTAACATGGTGAGACCTCATCTCTGCTTAAAAAATAAAAAAAAAAGTTGGGCATGGTGGCTCACGCCTGTAATCCCAGCACTTTGGGAGGCTGAGGTGGGCAGATCACCTGAGGTCAGGAGGTCGAGACCAGCCTGACCAACATAGAGAAACCCCGTTTCTACTAAAAGTACCAAAAAAATTAGCTGGGAGTTGTGGCGCATGCCTATAATTCCAGCTACTCAGGAGGCTGAGGCAGGAGAATTGCTTGAACCTGGGAGGTAGAGGTTGCAGTAAGCCGAGATCACCCCATTTCACTCCAGCCTGGGCAACAAGAGCAAAACTCCCTCTCAAAAAAAAAAAGAAAAAGAGAAAGAAAAAAAAATTAGGTGGGTGTGGTGGCACATGCCTGTAGTCTCAGCTACTCTGGAAGCTAAGGTGGGAGAATCAGCCTGGGCAACGGAGTGAGAACTTGTCTCGAAAATAAATAAAACAAAATAAAAAAGATTTTTAAAATGAATTGTGGCTATTAAGCAATGAGACTTACTTAAAAATATATAGGAAGGGGGACTTGCCCAATCAGACATAAAAATTTGAAAGCCTGGCTGGGCGTGGTGGCTCACGCCTGTAATCCCAGAACTTTGGGAGGCCGAGGTGGGTGGATCATGAAGTCAAGAGATCAAGACCAGCCTGACCAACATGGTGAAACCCTGTCTCTACTAAAAATACAAAAAATTAGCTGGGCATGGTGGTGAGTGCCTGTAGTCTCAGCTACTTGGGAGGCTAAGGCAGGAGGATCGCTTGAACCAGGGAGGCAGAGGTTGCAGTGAGTCAAGATTGTGCCACTGCACTCCAGCCTGCTGACAGAGCGAGACTCCATCTCAAACAATAAAAAAACAAACAAAAATTTGAAAGCCTCTATATTAAAACAGTGTGGCACTGGTGTATGACCAGGGAAACAGAAAACCCAGAAATAGACTCAACTCCGTAAGAAAATGTAGTGTATAACAAAGGTGACATCTAAAAAGCAAAGATGGGCTTTTTAATGCTGGGATCACTGGGTAGCCATTTGGAAAAGGTAAAATTAGATCTATAGTCCACATCATACATAAGAACAAATGCCAAATGGATCACGAATCTAAATGTAAAATATGAAGCTACATAACTACTAGAAGAAAACATAGTGAATTCCTCTTTAATCTCAGTATGGGAAAAGGCTAACTATGACTTAAAATCCAGGGGCAGCCGGGTGCACTGGCTCACACCTGTAATCCCAACACTTTGGGAGGCCGAGGCATGCGGATCACGAGGTCAGGAGTTTGAGACCAGCCTGACCAATACGGTGAAACCCCATCTCTACTAAAAATACAAAAATTAGCCGGACGTGGTGGTCCTCACCTGTAATCCCAGCTCAGGAGGCTGAGGCAGGAGAATCGCTTGAACCTGGAGGTGGAGGTTGCAGTGAGGCGAGATTGCGCCATTACACTCCAGCCTGGGCGACAGGGCAAGATTCCATTTCAAAAAAAAAAAAAAAATAGTGGCCAGGCACAGTGGCTCACGCCTGTAATCCCAGCACTTTGGGAGGCCAAGGTGGGTGGATCACCTGAAGTCAGGAGTTCAAGACCAGCCTGGCCAACATGGTGAAAACCCATCTCTACTAAAAAATACAAAAATTAGCTGGGTGTGGTGGTGCATGCCTGTAAGCCCAGCTACTTGGGAGGCGGAGGTTGCAGTGAGCCGAGAATGAGCCATTGCACTCCAGCCTGGGCAACAAGAGCAAAATTCAGTCTCAAAAAAAAAAAGTATGCTAATTTGGGAATCTTTTATTGCCATAGTAAAATTAATTAATTAAATTAAAAAATCAAAAAATAGTATGCAAAATATACCATAAGCAAAGTCAAATACAATTTACAAACTAGGAGAAAATATTTGCAACATAAAGCACAAATAAAAGGCTAATATTCCTAATATACAAGGAACTCATAAAACTTGAGGGACAAAGGATAAAAATCCAATAGAAAAATGGAAAATAGGCCGGGCACAGTGGCTCACACCTGTAATCCCAGCACTTTGGGAGGCCGAGGTGGGCGGATCACCTGAGGTCGGGAGTTCGAGACCAGCCGGACCAACCTGGAGAAACCCCGTCTCTACTAAAAATACAAAATTAGCCAGACGTGCTGGCGCATGCCTGTAATCCCAGCTACTCGAGAGGCTGAGGCAGGAGAATCGCTTTAACCCGGGAGGCGGAGGTTGCAGTGAGCTGAGATCGTGCCATTGCACTCCAGCCTGGGCAACAAGAGTGAAACTCCGTCTCGGAAAAAAAAAAAAAGAAAAATGGAAAATAGACAATTCCGAAAAAAGGACATTATATATATGTTTAAACATATCAAAAGTTTATAACTGAAATCTGGGACAATTCAAGCAACAAAATAAATAATGATAGCAATGGATTATAACTCATAAAGCAAATATCTCCTATCATCCCGGCACTTTGGGAGGCCGAGGTGGGTGGATCACTCGAGGCCAGGAGTTAGAGACTAGCCTGGCCAACATCAAAACCCCGTCTCTACAAAAAAATACAAAAATTAGCCGAGCACAGTGGCATGCACCTGTGGTCTCAGCTACTGGGGAGGCTAAGGCAGAATAATCTCTAGAGCCCGAGAGACAGAGGTTGCAGTGAGCCAAGACTGTGCCACTGTACTCCAGCCTGGGCACGGGAGTGAAACTCTGTCTCAAAAAAAAAGGCAAAGAAAAAAGAAACTACTCTTCTAGGCCCGGCCTGGTTCCTCAACACTTTGGGAGGCCTAGGCGGCAGGATCACTTGAGCCCAGGAGTTTGAGAGCAGCCTGGGCAACATGGCAAAACCTGGTCTCTACAATAATTTAAAAATTAGCTGGGCATGGTGTTGGGGGCCTGTAGTCCCAGCTATGTGAGAGGGTGTGGTGGGAGGATCGTTGGAGCCATGATTGTGCCACTGCACTCCAGCCTGGGTGACAGAGTCAGATTATGTCTCCAAAAAATAAATAAAAGGAAAAAAGGGTAGGGGGGAAGACTCTTAGTCCATAATAGTCTACCTTTCTCCCATCCTTGATTGTGAATTTAATCTGTTGGGGAATGTGGTTATTTGTCCTGTGGAAGTTGATTACTTCATCTCGGTGTTTTTATTTTTCCCTTTCTTGTATTTCCTGTAAACTGTTGGCTAGATCTAAGGTTTAATTAGATTTGAGTTCAATTTGAGGGATCAGGAATACTTCACAGGAGGAACTGGGTATTTTCTATTGCATCACATCATGAGGTATCTCGTATCTGGTTATCTCACTTTTAATGGTACTAAGATTGATCAGTGGTTCAAATGGTATCAACCTGGCTGGGCGTGGCAGCTCACGTCTGTAATCCCAGCACTTTGGGAGGCTGAGGCGGGCAGATCATCTGAAGTCACAAGTTCCAGCCCACGCTGGCCAACATGGTGAAACCCCATCTCTACGAAAAATACAAAAATTAGCCGGGTGTGGTGGCACGCACTGTAATCCCAGCTACTCGGGAAGCTGAGCCAGGAGAATCACTTGAACCCGGAGGTGGAGGTTGCAGTGAGCCGAGATCGCGCCACTGCACTCCAGCCTGGGTGACAGAGCAAGTCTCCGTCTCAATAATAATAATAATAATTTCTTTTGTAGAGATGGGGGCTCACCATGTTGACCAGGCTGGTTTCGAACTTCTGGCCTCAAGCGATCTTCCGCCTAGGGTCTCCAAAGTACTGGGATTACAGGCGTCAGCCACCACACCCAGCCAAGTTCAACATCTTTTCTAAGAGCCAGATGTCATTTAAGTTTATCCCTATCAATAACTGACATTCAAATGCTGAAATCTTGCCCCCAGTGGTAGCAATCTTCATAATAATGCCAGATGAACTTTCCTACCATAGAACTATAGTTGAAAGTCTATGTCAATCTTTTTACTACAAAGCACTGTAGGAAAAAAATTTAAGATGAAACTAATTTTTAAAGTTGCATTACACAAGTAAAACTCATCTCAGAGATTATTACTATGATTGGGAACCAAGTTGACAGATTTGGGAGGTCTTCACTGTGAAGCTTTATGGAAATATCTAAGTCAAAAAAACTAGTAGGGAGCTAAGCATTATAAAAAAAAAACTACACGGCTGTCTCTAGGAGGGGGAACTGGAGCAGGGACACGAGGCAAGGAGCAGCGGCTTTGCATCATAACCTCATCTGTGCATGTACTACGTCGACATTACACAGGGCAAATATGGAAGAAAAGTAATACAGTCAGCTGACAACGTGCCCCCCAAAAGCCTGTTATATATACACGATTCCAGCCGGGCGCGGTGGCTCAGGCCTGTAATCTCAGCACTTTGGGAGGCCGAGGCGAGCAGATCGCTTGAGTCCACAAATTCGAGACCAGCCTGGGCAGCATGTCAAAACCCCATCTCTGCAAAACACACAAAAATTAGCCGGGTGGGCCGGGTACGGTGGTTCACCCTTGCAATCTCAGCACTTTGAGAGGCCCAGGCGGGCAAATCACCTGAGGTCAGGAGTTTGAGACCAGCCTGTCCAACATGGTGAAACCCCCGTCTCTGCTAAAAATACAAAAATTAGCCGGGCGTGGTGGTGCATGCCTGTAATCCCAGCTACTGGGGAGGCTGAGGCAGGAGAATTGCTTGAACCTGCGAGGTGGAGGTTGCAATGAACCTAGATAGCGCCACTGCACTTCAGCCTGGGCAACAGAGTGAGACTCCGTCCCAAAAAAGAAAAAAATTAGCCGGGCGTGGTGGCGCGCGCGGGAGCCTGAGGTGGGAGGATCGTCTGAGCCCGGGAGTTTGAGGCTGTGGTGAGCAGTGATCGCTTCACTGCACTTCAGCTTGGGTGACAGAGCGAGACCCTGACTCAAAAAATAAACAAACATAAAAAAACGCTTCCAATGTTTTGTTCCCTTACATCAGAATCCACTTGGACAATATTTAAAGGGGCTAAGGTCATATAAGGCTCATCTGGCGACTGAAAAGTCTTCAAAGAGGTTGACGCGTCCGAGGTGAGTCTGAAGTTTGGAGGACAGCACGGGACCGCGATTCCAAGGCGCCCAGGTTGAGAGCGCAGGCCGCCCGCCAACCTCCACCCTCGCTCCAGGCCCAGCCGACACAAAGCCTCGCGGGAGGTGGAGCCTCGTGACGTCACAGAGACGCCCGCCCCCTTTACGTCGTGCTCTGAGGAGGCCAGGAGATTTCTGGCGGCGCCGGCGCCATTTTGCTGGAGCCTGCGACCGAGTGGGAGTGGAGTGGAGCGGCTGTGGTTGCCGACTCTTTCCTCTTCCCCACGGTCCAGTCAGCGGGTTAATTAGGCCATCGGCCCTCGAGCCGAGACTTGTCTCTTATTTAGTTCTGGGGAGCGCCTCGTCGACATGAGTGATGTGGAGGAAAACAACTTCGAGGGCAGAGTGAGTACAAAGCCGCGGGAGCCGTCTAGGCGGCGGCCCAATGCTCGGGGTTTCACGGGAACAAGCGCGGTCGGGCGGGGTTGCGGGTAGTCCCGCGAGGAGCAACCTCTGGAGCCATCGCGATTGATTCCTCCCATCCCAAGATGGCTTCTGGGTTCCACTCCTTCCCCAAACACCACGGATAACACCCCTCCCCCTTTTTTGGAGGCTGACTGATACCTGGACTTCTGGGTCCTCTTCCCTCCCCGCCCCCGCATTGCTTCCTCCCTTCTCCCCACCCCTGAGGCTTCCTTATGTCTGCTCCGAGGTGTGGGTCCCCGTCGCGGTTGGGCGGGAGGAGGCGGCAGGGAGCTCCCCTCCGTCCGGATAGTGGTAGGTGCTTCCTGCGGTGGCATTTCTGGCGACCCCGAGCATCGTAGAGGGTCTCGGGATCGAAAGTGCGCGGGGCTGCTTTCCGGGCGGGGAGAAGCTGGCGTGGGACTAGCTGGGGCCTGTGTCTCCTTGGCTCTCTATTTCAGTGAGCGGCCGCGTCTCTGTTGGAACCGGCGGCGTTGCGTCTAAAAAGGCGAAAGCCTTGAGGTTGAAGGTGGGACGAGCCTAATGAAGTGGTTAGTCAACGACCGCACCGACCCTTAAGCGTTCTTAAGACGAGAGCTGTGAGGGGAAACTACGCAAGGAGCCCTTTTCCCTTAATGTCCCTTCGACTTTCCTTTCACTTCGAAATGAATGTGGAAATGCTGTCACGCCTTATTTTTCTAATTCCTCGATGTTGGGTTTTTTCTCTTCTTTATATCTCAACTTTTAATGCTCTTCTTCCTATGACCTTTCATCTAAAAACTGACCACTCCTTTACAGGTTTTTACGGTAAAAAAAAAAAAATCTGTCTTTCTTTAATCTTACATAGCTGAACGAATTCATTGGCTCAGTATTTTTAAGATAACTAGTCAGTATATACTGTTCTGTAACTTAAAAGATGACCTGAAAATTAACAGGCCCTCTCCCATTTCTCTTCTCACTCTATCCCCCACCGAAGAGGGCTCAGAAAAAAGTTTTTATTAATATATTTGGGGTCGGAGAAATACAAACATCACAAAGAATACGATATCCCCAGCTTAAATGTACTGGAACGTTTGTCAGTGAGTTTCATTTCCAAAGTTTACCCTACATAGGGAATTGTAGAAGTGAGTTAGTAGAAGTGAGTTCGTGTGAAACCCTGGAAAGAAAACAAAAGCCCCATGCAACACGTTCCGGGCTGTTGTGTAGATGTTTATTCTAGTCACTAGGGGAAGCACATAAAAACACCTGAGGTGTGTGTGCTGAAGGGCGAATTTTGTCCTTTTGGGGAGTTCATGATATAAACATCTAGAACCAAAAAGTCAAATCAGAAGGTCAGTTTAGGCTTTAGTTCTCTTTGAGGAAAGATTTAAAGCAATAGACTATAATAGTTACCCGGTAGACTAAAAAATTTGCCTTTAATTCTTTTGATTGGAATTTTTTTTTACAAAGTTTGGAGCATGGAAACAAATGAAAATTGAACCTGCTTATTTTTTAGGATGGTGTATTGATGGCCCCAACAGAACTTTCTAAAATCATGCGATAAACATATATGATAGTAGTTGTAAAATGCTTCTTGTTTTGAAAATGTTGAGTAATTATCGATAGAAATTTTGCTGTCCATTCATACATTCCTTCAATTAACTTTCATTGTTAAAAAATTGGGGGATTGATGTTTGGTTTGGTTTGTGGGGAGTGAAGAGGACTACTGGAGGGACCTTGTTTGCTTGCTTTTTTTCTTTTTTTAATTTATCATCAAGTCTAGGAAAGGAGTAAGTTGCCGACAATTGTCACTTTTCCCTCCTAAGAAAGTAACATGTTAAGATTCCCACCTACCAGCCTGGGTGACAGTGAGACTCCCGTCTCAAAAAAAAAAAAAAAGATTCCCACCCACTTTTAAGCTAAAGTATATGTAGGCATTAAAGATTTATTTAATAGAAATAAAGGGCCCTCTTACGGCCCTTTGTGGTCATAGGAAATATTTTTTTCACAAGTGGTACCCAAGTGTATTTTAGTGTAAATCAACTAGTGCTTGTAGGCTCACCTGTTGTATCTTTTTATTTTTCGTCTTTTAGTTTTTATAGGATGAGATAATTGTCTTTATTTGTAATTGGTTAAAGAATTAGAACAATGCGAGAAGCTTGTCTGGAGATGCCCTTTTTAAAATCGTTTCTGGCCGGGCGCAGTGGCTCACGCCTGTAATCCAACAATTTTTGGGAGGCTGAGGCGGGTGGATTACTTGAGGTTAGGAGTTCGAGACTAGCCTGCCCAACGTGGTGAAACCCTGTCTCTACTAAAAATACAAAATTAGCCGGGCGTGGTGGCGTGCGCCTGTGATCACAGCTACTTAGGAGGCTGAGGCAGGAGAATTACTTGAACCTGGGAGGCGGAATTGCGCCACGACACTCCAGTCTAGGCAACAGAATGAGACTCTTGTCTCAAAAATAAGTAAATACGTAGGTCCATAAAAGCAATTTTAAGTGGAGATGTCCTTTGGAGCTGGGAGTGAAGGTAGCACTTAAGCGGTGGCTTTGCATGTCTTGATAAAAGTAATGAGTTGTTTGCCTCAATACAGCTTCAACTAAAATTCGGATTTTGAGCTCAAAAAATGTTAATGCCCTTCATAGAAATTAAGGGGAATGGAAATCTTTTCTTAACATTTTACACCTCTACCCCTAAAATTTTAAGAACTGTACTTTATAAAAATGTGCAATTTTCATACAGCATCCCAGTGTTGATCATGGAGGTTAATGATTCTTTATTGTTAGGGACCTATCTTGTAATTCCAGAGTTATTTATGTTTTCTACAGTTGAAGAGGAAAAATACCGCTTCTTATTGCCTCCTTTTCAGGATTTCTTCTGGCTTCTTGAGTAGCTGGAGTATTTTTGAGAGACTCCTACAGGCCCTGCGGGGTGGCACATGCCTGTAATCCTAGCTACTTAGGAGGCTGAGGTGGGAGAATTGCTTAAACCCGGGAGGCAGAGGTTGCAGTGAGCCGAGATCGCATCACTGCACTCCAGCCTGGGCGACAGAGCAAGACTCTGTCTCGAAAAAAAAAAAGGCAAACAAATTTATCTGTATCAATTTGGAATTAAAAGATTTGTGTGTATAGATTTTTTGTTAAAAATAGAAGAAATAGGGGGAGGGTCCTTTTCTGAAATCTGAGAATGATAGGGATGATGACTATCAAAACCCAGGCCTGTGACTGGCTTGTTTAAAAACAAAACAAGGCCGGCCCGGTGGCTCACGCCTGTAATCCCAGCGCTTTGGGAGGCTGAGGCGGGCGGATCACAAGGTCAAGAGATGGAGACCATCCTGGCCAATATGGTGAAATACAGTCTCTACTAAAAATACAAAAATTAGCTGGGCGTGGTGGCGCGCGTCTGTAGTCCCAGCTACTCGGGAGGGTGAGGCAGAGAATCACTTGAACCCGGGAGGCGGAGGTTGCAGTGAGCCGAGGTCGGCCACTGCACTCCAGCCTGGCAATAGAGCGAGACTCGTCTCAAAAACAAAACAAAAAAAAACACAGAACTTTTAAATTGGGCTTAAAATTTTTTTGTGTATGAAGTTTTAAGATAAATGTGAGAGATGTCATAGCATTTTGCTTATTCAGCGTCTTTAGCAATTTAATTCCATATATCATCAAATTGACCTTACATAAGGGTAAAGCTTTCTTTCTTATAGTAGGGATAGTGTTAACCTAAGAGAGTCTTGGGTTTAATCTATTTTCCTAAATTTAAGTACTATCATTTATCTGATTTTAATGCTTTCAGTTGTTCTCCTCTCCCCTTCCATTTAAGCAAAGAATTTGTAAACTTAAAAAAAATTAAAATCTCAAATTTTTATATTTGAGGTTCTTTCACTGAAGGATGTTGATCTGCTCAATATAAGTAGAGGGCAAGATTTTGAAAAGGAGCAGTGCAAGTAATTATACCCACAGCGCATAACTAATTTTACAGATCTGTCATAGAGGCTTATACTTTGTACCACTCATTAAATGGAATATAGAACCTTGAGATCTGAAAGAATGTCCAGGGATTTAAATATTTAGGGATGTGTGGTTTGGAAAACACTTTGTCTGTGGGCTTAATTTTGTAAATCAACCAAACTCTAACCTACGATGTAGCATGTGTATTATAAGAAGTGTGAAATGTCATCAATAATCAGCATAGTAGTTTCCTAGAACTTGACTGGCAGAAAACTTTCTTTGATAGTATCAGTGGGTGCTCACCCATTAGATAACTAAAAGATGTGTATTCACGTGCTAATGAATTAAAACTGATTGCTATTTGTTCATATGTCCTCACAAATTTAGCAAGACAGGCATGGAGGTGAAAAAAATAGTAACAACTAGATGAGGGAAAGATTGTATACACTGAAGAAAAGTTGAGAGGAGAATACTAAAGGGAAATATGGTTTCCCTTCCCTCCTTTTAAGTTACTTATATATATAGTTATATATAATCCTTACTGTCCCATGACTTTCACCAAAGATGGAGTGACTAGGCCTGACTGATATGTAGAAGAAAAGTTGTGATCTTTCCTTGAAACCAGGACCCTATCATCTGACTTACCAAGATTCATAAATACTGTATAACTCCAGAAGATTAGAACATAATGTTAAATCACATTAGTCCTTACAAACTTGTTTTTTCTACCTTTGAAATTGCCACTTATACATTAGTTTTTTGAACATTACAATTGATCAGGATATATAAGCTATGAGACTTATGAACCACGTTTAAAATTTGTACAAAAGATTATAAATTTTACAGGTGATTTCACAATTATGGCATGAGTTTAAATTTGATTATATGTGGGTGTCAGTTACTAAATCATGTATTTATGATAAGACTTCTAAATTTTAGAGAATAAGGAAACATACAGAATTAGAATATGTTTGAGTCTTTGCAGATAAAGACCACATTGACTTCAGAATGCAGCATATAGGCATGCTGCATTTAAAAGAAGGGAAATTATTATTTCAATTTAATATGAGCAGTCGCTATCTTCTTTTTAAGGGATTTGTTCTAATAGCAGTTACGGTTTAAGAAGATAATGGAAGTGTTGCTTTAACTTCATAGGGGTCTGTAAGAGTATTCTCCCAT
Organism: Homo sapiens; assembly: GCF_000001405.40. NCBI lineage: Eukaryota > Metazoa > Chordata > Mammalia > Primates > Hominidae > Homo > Homo sapiens. Next base: position 23,526,626 of record NC_000007.14, on the reverse strand, counting down.
ACTCAAGGGGAAGGAAGCAGAACTGTTGTTCTTTCTATAGGCTGAGGTTGAGTAAATACAGGTTTTTTACAACTCCTAAAGAAGTTCTTTAGTAAGTAGTAAAATGAATATTGTAAGGTATTTGAATAATTTCGGTACATTTCCCTTCTTTTTGGGTACTTGTGATTTTCCTCAATGCACTAGTGTGTATCTATGGAAATAGAGCGCCAGTGTCATAAAGTAGCAGGAAAATACATTTTTAGTAAGTCTGTTTTACAAGCTTATACTCATAGACTTGGACTTGAGTAAATTTGGCCCTATTAAATGGCATAGAATTTGCCTGGCCTTAATGTTAGAGTAAGTTACAGTATAGCATTTAATAGTTTATTTATTTTAATGGATAGCACATATATATATTGTGTTGGAATTTCTTTTTATAGTATGACACAGGCTATATTAAAAGACTGCAGTTATTGCTTGCTGTAGGAATTGTTCATGTTCCGCAACATTGTGTACATGTATATAATAACCCTTTTCCTGATTAAAAGAATAGTACATGGTTATTGTGGTTATTCACAGTGTGTAAAATACAACTCTATTTTAACACAGAAAGACAATTCTTAACCAGCTTGTATTGGTTACACTATAACACTTTCTTAGTGTTTTAGTTAGTTCCCTCCTTTTAATTTTTGGCCATTTCCTTCAACCAACAGCAGGGTCATCTTGATAATAAAGAATAGTTTAAACAAGCAGGCCGGGTGCAGTGGCTCATGCCTGTAATCCCAGCACTTTGCGAGGCTGAGGCGGGTGGATCACTTGAGGTCAGGAGTTCGAGGCCAGCCTGGCCAATGTGGTGAAACCCCGTCTCTACTAAAATAAAATACAAAAGTTAGCCAGGTGCGATGGCGGGTGCCTGTAATCCCAGCTACCCAGGAAGCTGAGGCAGAATTGCTTGAACCCAGGAGTTGGAGGTTGCAATGAGAAGATTGTGCCACTGCACTCCAGCCTGGGTGACAGAAAAACCAAACAAGCAAATAAACATCAAAACAAAAACCTGTTAAAGCAGGTTGTGCTGTGAGAAGAACTTTTCTGCCTGGCTTCTGCTTTATAGCCTATAAGATAGACTGGAGGCCTATTTAAGACTTTTGTTAAAATTCATGATACGAGTTGAGTTATTAATCTGCCCATTTAAACCGGGCAGTGTATTTTTAATGGTTATTGGATGCAGGAGCCAGATTACTGAGGAAATGGTAGGATTCCTTGACTGGACAGCTTTAAGAACAAGTAGTCTAGTGAAACAGGGCAGATACCACCCATTCCCAGCAATCTTTTTTGTTTGCAATTTCAATTCATTTTCCAAATTGTGGATAGTTTTATGAATTTCTTTGAGAAAAAGTTGAAATTATTTCATAATGAAGACGAGTCAGAGAGAAAAGGATTAGCCTAGCATTTGTCCTCTTTATATAAAGGACTTCTTATAGCCTGATTCCTAATGCAGAGTTCAGTGAAAGTGACATTTATTTGGTAACAGCTTTTGAGAAATGTTACTTTATTTCTAAATAATTATATACTTGGCAGTTTATTCTTCCAGTTAAGTTTACTAATAGTTACTGATTTGTTAATATAAGTTTGTAAGTTGTTTTTGAAAGTTAAAATGAAGCTGGGTGTGGTGGCTCACACCTGTAATCCCAGCGCTTTGGGAGGCCAAGGCGGGCAGATCAAGGAGTCAGGAGATGGAGACCAGCCTGGCCAACATAGGGAAACCCTATCTCTACTAAAAACACAAAAATTAGCTGGGTGTGATGGCGTGCACCTGTAAGCTGAGCTACTCAGGAGGCTAAGGCAGGAGAATCGCTTGAATCCGGGAGGCGGAGGTTGCAGTGAGCTGAGATCAGGTGCCACTGTACTCCAGCCTGAGCTACAGAGCAAGACTCCATCTCAAAAAAAAAAAAAATAGTTAAAATCATAGTGACAACTTTGTAGCTAGGAGTTAGAGACAGCTAAGAGGACTGTTTTTAGCTTAGATGTTTCCATGAAGAAATTTGTGCAGACTGAGATTTCCTCTGAGATAAAAAGAAAGAAGGGCAGACAACAAAGGAGGTTAGGTATTTGTGACACCTTTGATAATAAAAAGCAAAGCTTCTTTTAAAATAAATCTGATGTTGGCCGGGCGCGGTGGCTCACACCTGTAATCCCAGCACTTTGGGAGGCTGAGGCGGGCAGATCACTAGAGGTCAGGAGTTTGAGACCAGCCTGGCCAACATGGGAAAACCCCATCTCTATTAAAAATACAAAAATTAGCCAGGCAAGGTGGTGCATGCCTGTAATCCCAGCTGCTCAGGAGGCTGAGGCAGGAGAATCACTTGAACCCAGGAGGTGGAGGTTGCAGTGAGCCTAGATCGCACCATTACACTCCAGCCTGGGTGACAGAATGAGACTCCTCCTTCTTAAAATAAATAAGCTAACATCTCTTAAAAAGACATTCTATCATACCATAATGCTTTGTTGCTACTCCAAAACTGGGATTTAAAATTGGAATTTTAAGATGTTACTGAATTATCTTGTTTACTTTAATAAAAGGTTTTTATTTCCATCCTAGTAAAATTAAAGAATTGTAGTGTTTTACAGAGCAAAGCCTCCTGTGTATGTTTGAGAAGGACTGTAGCAGCGTTCGTAGATAATAATCCAGCTATTGCTATTCAACAGTAGCATAAATGAATGTTATGTCACAGGGTCTGTTTTGTGGAAAGGAAAGCCAAAAGAGAAGAGGGGAAGATACTCTTATGAGTTTGATTAATGAACCAGTCTGTGAAACTTAAATTACAAGCAAATTAGCCATGCCTTTTTTTATAAGATACTGAATATGCTGCTTTCATAGTTTCAGTGAATGAAAAAGCCCAGATTGCTATGCCTGCTCCAGACATCTGTTGAGTGGTTTAGAGTATCTGAGATGCAGTGAAAGACTTGTAGGTAGCTAAATGGGAAAGGTTGGTATTGAGCTGAAAGGTAGCTGTGTATTTCAGTTTTGTTTTTATCTGAAAGAAAATGACCAGGTGGCATTTGTACAGTTCTTGATAAATAAGTCTTGACATTAAACTTGAAGCAAAGGAAAAGTTTTCAGAAAGCTGTTTGAGTTGTGTGATAGTCTTAAGGCATAAATAAATTGGTGTGAAATTACTTCTGTGAAATTGAGATAATTATTTACACTGATAATCAAGGCTTAACTGGACACAGAAACCAAGCTGTCCATCCTGTTTTGATCATAAGTGCCTCATATCTGTGCAGTTAAAAAAAACAAGCTTATGATCAGTAAGTTATTTTATTTGGAATGCTTTGATTTACACCCAATTTTTTCAGAAACCCATCACTTTTTGGATATAGAATATAGTCACTGAAGGGAGTACCAGTATACATAAATGCATAAATTATGTAAAAACTGAACATAATTCTAAAGAGATGGAATCAAAGATAAAGACTATGATATAAATTTTGTACCTTCTTGCACATTGTGGTATGTCGTGGATAATAGAGCATTTTAAAGTGATCTGGTTGCAAAAATGTGTATATCAGGAATTAATAAGCTAATGGGGAAATTTTAAGAATTTCATGCTTATTAGTTTTTTCGGTATGTTTGTCTTCAGAACATATTTTAAGTCAGAATGAGCAAAGATAGTAGTCAAAGTTGGGAGAAGGTGTAATTTTACTGATTTTTTTCTTTTTGACTTATTTGAACCTTGACATGTGCTATGGGTGAGTTTAGATAGGTGTGTACAAATATTTCAGCCTGGGATGCCTTGCTCTAACTATATCTTGATTTCTTAGCATGACTTAGTGAAAGCTTATTTTTAAGAATCTTCAGATTATAAAGTAGTGAAAATTTAACACTTAGGTGGGGGGAAATTATAGTTGTTAGATTTATATTTGAATTATATTAAAATTGCTCACATTTTAGGAACTAGAATGAAACATGGGAGGAGGGTGAAGAGTATGGTTTAAAAAGCATTTAGAGAAATTTAGTAAATTCTCTTTGTTAGAAACTAGAGTTTTGAACAATTTTAAAGACTATAAAATTGTTTTTTTTTTTTTTTTTTAAATAAACTAGTTACTTGCACTTTACCTGCTGGCTTTTCCATTTGGTAGATAACATTCTGAACTCCAGCAGAGTTTTATAATCCCCACGTGCTTAAATATACTAAATGTTCTTTTTCCATTAAGGTTAATGTTCGTGAAGAAATTGAAGAGTTTTTTCCAAGAATGTGGAAGATAAATCAAGATAAAAGAAGGCTAATGAAAAGTATTAAAGATCAGAAAATTAAAATTGAATGGGGGAAAAAATTGAACAGAAGATTGGTCAGATAGAAGCACTTGAATATTTTTTTAAGGCTATTTTGAATTGTTTGAATTGGGGAAGAATACACGAAGTATGAAAAATGAAAAACTCAATGAAGAATGAAGAGAAGTAGAAAGCAAGAGTGAAGTAGAATTAAAAGAATCTGGAAGAATGAATGGGTCCTAGGTTAAGTAAATGTATGGTTTATGTTCCAGTGTCTGTATGATCAAGTTGTAGATGAATTTGCATGATTACTTAGTTAATAGAGAATTGGTGATCTGGTTCAAGTAGGGAATTATTGAGGACAGTTAGCAGTATTAACAGTGGGTTATTATTGAGCTGAAATTTTTTCTGGAGGGTGTTGTCTAACCATTTGTTTTTCAGGAGCAATCAATATAAATAATTACGGTACTTTAAATGTTAGGTGTTAGGCATCTACATGACCAGTGCCATTTGTAATACTGTCTTCTTTGTTAGGAGTCTCGCTCTCAGTCAAAATCTCCAACGGGAACTCCTGCTCGTGTAAAATCGGAGAGCAGGTCAGGATCTCGTAGTCCATCAAGGGTTTCCAAACACTCTGAATCCCATTCTCGATCAAGATCAAAATCCAGGTAAGTGTGTTTAAGATAATACTTAAAATATTCTTCTGGGGTTTTTGAGGACAAAGCAGTTGTTGGCTGCATTTTGTGTAGAAATTTCACGAAAGACTCAAAATTATAGTTTTTCTCAGACTGCTCTTTGTAAATGAATACTATATCCCAGACAAAGACTTGGAAGTATGGCTTGAGCCCAGGAGTTCCAGGCTGCATTGATTGCACCACTGCACCACAGCCTGGGTGCCAGGGAGACCCTATCTCTGAAAAAATAAGAAATCAATACTAAAATCATCTCCCAGCCCAATTAATATATTGGATAGTTGCAACCAGTACAAATTATGTGTATATAGCCATCAATTTAAATGTGTTTGGCATTTGATAATTAGTGTCTGGTTTCTATGCCAACAATATTTGCACAACAAAAAGGCGGTTTTCTGCATTGGAGTCTCACATGTAATTTAATGCAGAGAAAGTTGATGTGTGTATGCTATGCTGGTTGGTCAGAACGATTGAGAAGCATTTTTAGGATTTACATTCCAGCTACATTTTTATCTGAAGATTCTGACTCTGTCCAGCGTAGAGCTCTGGTGAGATGTAATTGGGCGGAAAAGTCCTTAGCTGATTTGGAGTCCCACCACCATGGATAACAGAAACGCAATAGTGAACCAATGCAAAGTTCACTGTCAAATGCCCCAGGTGTACTGAGGTGGGATAAAAAGTTTTAAGACAGGCTGGGTGCAGTGGCTCACACCTGTAATACCAACACTTTGGGAAGCCGAGGTGGGTAGATAACTTGAGGTCAGGAGTTTTAGACCAGCCTGGGCAACATGGTGAAACCCTGCCTCTACTACAAATACAAAAATTAGCTGGGCGGGGTGGCGGGCACCTGTAGTCCCAGCTACCTGGGAGGCTTAGGCAGGAGAATCGCTTGAACCCAGGAGGCGGAGGTTGCAGTGAACCAAGAGATGGCGCCAGTGCACTCCACCCTGGGTGACAGAGAGACTCTTTCTTTTTAAAAAAAAAAAAAAAAAAAAAAAATTTAAAACAGCCTGACCAGTTAGCTTACGTCCTTGTCATTTCTTGGGTGGAGGGATAGATTTTATGTCTTTGAATAGTCTACTTGCAAAGGGGCATGAGACAGAAAAATCAGTTAAAAGGCTGTCCTTTTCTTGGGGTTAGCAACCATACTGTTTTCTGTTACAGCAAGGGTCTAGCCCGGTGCTTGATTACTTACTACTCAGTTATTAAATTTATTATGTGCAGAATAGCACTGGCTAGAATTTGAGCTTAGAAATAGAAAGGAGCATGTTTTTGCCTTAGGGCCTTTGCATTTGCCACCTTCAACCTAGAACGTTTTTCTCCTGTCTCATTTCATTTGTCACCTGAGAACATTGTTATTCACATATCCATTATTCCCTTACTCTTAATTTTTTTATGTTGTCACTGTCTGATTTAAAAAAAATAGAGACTCCTGAAGAGTTTCTTGTTTGTTTTTGTTTTTGTTTTGAGATGGAGTCTCGCTCTGTTGCCCAGCCTGCAGTGCAGTGGCACGATCTTGGCTCACTGCAACCTCCACCTCCCGGGTTCAAGCAGTTCTCCTGCCTCAGCCTCCCGAGTAGCTGGGATCACAGGCACCTGGCTAATTTTTTGTATTTTTAGTAGAAACGAGGTTTCACCATGTTGGCCAGGCTGGTCTTGTACTCCTGCCTCAGGTGATCCGCCCACCTCGGCCTCCCAAAGTGTTGGGATTACAGGCGTGAGCCACTGCGCCCAGCTGGAAGAATTTTATTGTCTCACTTTCATTGCTGTTTAAAAGTAATAATTGATGTTTTAAATTAAGGATTTTCTTACTTTTTTTTCTTCATTTTAAAAATTGGAACTGTAAATTGGTGCTAGCTAAAATGGGAAATATCAACTCTTCTAGCGTTATTGTTCACCTATTGTGTTTCATAAGGTCTTTCCTCATTAGTTTTATTCCTGTATTCCATATCCTCACTTTGTAAAATCGTGCAAAAAAATTTTGCTTGATTACTTAGTTAACAGAAAATGGGTGATCTGGTTCAAGTAGGGAATTACTGAGGACAGTTAGCAGTATCAACAATGGGTTATTATTGAGCTGAAAAAAAGTAGAGACTGTTGAAGAGTTTGTTTGTTTGTTTGTTTTTTGAGATGGAGTCTTGCTCTCTTGCCCAGGCTGGAGTGCAGTGGTGTGATCTTGGCTCACTGCAACCTCCACCTCCTGGGTTCATTGAGTACCGTATAGAAGGTATTTTATATGACTGTCATCACTGCTGGTCTGTGTCAGTTTAGTTAAGGGTGGGTCATTAGTCTTTTTTTTGAAGACGGAGTCTCACTCTGTCGCCAGGCTGGAGTACAGTGGCCTCACTGCAATGTCTGCCTCTCTGGTTCAAGTGATTCTCTTGCCTCAGCCTCCCGAGTAGCTGGGATTACAGGCACACGCCACCAACACCCAGCTAATTTTTTGTATTTTTAATAGAGACGGGGTTTTATCATGTTAGCCACGATGGTCTCGATCTCCTGACCTTGTGATCTGCCTGCCTCGGCCTCCCAAAGGGCTGGGATTACAGGCGTGAGCCACCGTGCCCGGCCTGTCGGATTAGTCTTACAGGCAAAGAAAGGACTGCAAGCAACTGGGAATTAGAGCAACTGGGAACTAGAAAAGCAGCAGTAGACAAGTGAAATGTTATAGAAAGCATCAATAAGTAAAGGCTTAGGCTGAGTGTGGTGGCTCATGCCTATAACCCCAGCACTTTGGGAGCACAAGGAGGGGTGGATCACTTGAGGTCAGGAGTTCTAGACCATCCTGGCCAACATGTTGAGACCCCGTCTCTACTAAAAATACAAAAAATTTGCCAGGTGTGGTGGCACAGGCCCGTAGTTCCCAGGAACTCGGGAGGCTGAGGCAGGAGAATCGCTTGAACCCAGGAAGTGGAGGTTGCAGTGAGCCAAGATCAGGCCACTGCACACTCCAGTCTGGGTGACAGAGTGAGATTCTGTCTCAAGAAGGGGGAAAAAAAAAAAAAAACAAGAAATGAAGACTCAGAAATGTTACCAGTTTTGGGCTGGGCACGGTGGCTCATGCCTGTAATCCCAGTGCTTTGGGAGGCTGAGGTGGGTGGATCACAAGGTCAGGAGTTCGAGACCAACCTGGCCAACATGGTGGAAACCCCGTCTCTACTAAAAACACAAAAATTAGCTGGGCATGCTGGCAAGTGCCTGTAATCCCAGCTACTTGGGAGGCTGAGGCAGGAGAATCACTTGAACCCAGAAGGCGGAGGTTGCAGTGAGCTGAGATTGTGCCATTGCACTCCAGCCTGGGTGAAGAAGTGAGACTCTGTCTCCAAAAAAAGAAATGTTACCAGTTTTGATGGGCATTTAGGTGGTTGTTGAATTAGTTTAGCAGATACTAGATTGCAGCAGGCTAAAGAAGAATTGGAAATGGAAATGATACTTAGCAGAGAGGGGAATGTAGAACTTTATGGGCCAGGCACACTGGCTTAATTGGGGAGGTCGAGGTGGGCAAATTGCTTGAACAGGACTTCAAGACCAGCCTGGGCAACATGGCGAAACCCTGTCACTACAGAAAATATAAAAATTAGCCAGGCATGGTGGTGCATGCCTGTAGTCCTAGCTGTCTGGGAAGCTGAGGTGGAAGAATTTCTTGAGCCTGGGAGAGAGAGGTTGCAGTGAGCTGAGATCATGCCACTGCACTCCAGCCTGGGCGACAAAGAACTATATGGAGAAAGTAGCAGAAAATCAAAAAGGATTTTGTTTGTTTGTTTGTTTGTTGAGACAGAGTTTTGTGCTTGTTCCCAGGCTGGAGTGCAGTGGCACGATCTCAGCTCACTGCAGCCTCCACCTCCCGGGTTCAAGTGATTCTCGTGCCTCAGCCTCCCAAGTAGCTGGGATGACAGGTGTGCGCCACCACGCCCAGCTAATTTTTGTATTTTTAGTAGAGACAGGGTTTTACCATGTTGGCGAGGATGGTCTCGATCTCTTGACCTCGTAATCTGCCTGCCTCGGCCTCCCAAAGTACTGGGATTACAGGCATGAGCCACTGCGCCCAGCCTGATTTTTTTTGTTTTGTTTTGTCTTTGTTTCTGTTTTTTTTTTTAAAATAGAAGTGTGGAGTCTTGCTATGTTGCCTGGGCTAGACTTGTCCTCCTGGGCCCAAGTGATTTTTCTTTCTTTCTCTCTTTTTTTTTTTTTTTTTTTTTTTTTTTGAGACGTAGTCTTGCTCTGTCGCCCAGGCTGGAGTACGGTGGCACAATCTCAGCCCACTGCAAGCTCCGCCTTCTGGGTTCGCGCCATTTCCTGCCTCAGCCTCCCAAGTAGCTGGGACTACAGGTGCCCGCCACCATGCCCAGCTAATTTTTTGTATTTTTAGTAGAGGGGTTTCACCATGTTAGCCAGGATGGTCTCGATCTCCTGACCTCGTGATCCGCCCGCCTCGGCCTCACAAGTTGCTGGGATTACAGGCATGAGCCACCGTGCCCGGCCCCAAGTGATTTTTCTTGCTTCATCTTTCCATGTAGCTGGGAACATAAGCACACATCACTGCACTTAGCTAAGAATCAAAGGATTTATTTATTTATTTGAGACAGAGTCTCGTTCTGTTACCATGCTGGAGTGCGGTGGCGCAATCTCGGCTTGCAACCTCTGCCTCCTGGGTTCAAGCGATTCTCCTGCCTCAGCCTCCCAAGTAGCTGGAATTACAGGTGCCTGCCACCACACCTGGCTAATTTTTGTATTTTTAGTAGAGACGAGGTTTCAACATGTTGGCCAGGATGGTCTTGATCTCTTGATCTCGCGATCTGCTCGCGTCGGCCTCCCAAAGTGCTGGGATTACAGGCATGAGCCACCGCACCCGGCCACGATTTTATTTTATAGCAATAGTGGGTTTTTGTTTTTTGTTTTTTTTTTGTTTTTTAAAAGAAGATGGGGCCTTAACATTTTTGTAAGGTTAGGTGAAAAGGGTGAATGTAGAGGGGCTTGACTGAGAAGAGTGGAAGATGTAGTGACTTAAGTGAACCAAAGGAAGAATACCCTTTCCTCAGAAGCAAGGAGGAAGGACCTGAGAATAGTTAGGGATATATGTATACCTTCTTGGAAGAGGGAAGGACTTTAGCCATTTTGTTTCAGTATTTTTACCTAAATGTATTTCTCTCAAAGGTCGAGGTCAAGGAGACATTCTCATAGACGTTACACTCGATCCAGATCCCACTCTCACTCTCATAGGAGACGATCTCGAAGTAGATCATATACACCAGAATACCGGCGGCGAAGGAGCCGAAGCCATTCTCCAATGTCTAACCGGAGAAGACATACTGGCAGCAGGGTACGTGGTTTATAAAAGTTAATGAAGACTTATTTTCTCTTTTATGTGTTTAGTCATGGCATATCTTGCTTTTAGGGGAGCTTGGCCATTGTTTAGAAGTGATACTCTGGAAACATCCTTAATAAGCTGCTTTAGCTTTCAAAGTAAAGGAAATGCCACCATCTTTCGTAAGCTTACCATGTTTTATGACAAAGAATGCAAAGGAAGTATATTTTCTTTTTTTTAGACAAAGTCTTACTCTGTCTCCCAGGCTGGAGTGCAGGGGTGCAATTTCGACTCACTGCGGCCTTAGCCTCCTGAATAGCTGGGGTTGCAGGTGTGCACCACCACACCCAGCTAATTTTTGTGTTTTTAGAAATGGGGTTTCACCATGTTGACCCCTCTGGTCTCAAACTCCTGACCTCAGGTGATCCACCTGCCTTGGCCTCCCAAAGTGCTGGGGTTACAGGCGTGAGCTACCATGCCTGGCCGGGAGTATATTTTTCTTTTCATGACGTTTGAGTAAAAAGGACATGAAGGCTGGGCGTGGTGGCTCACACCTGTAATCCCAGCACTTTGGGAGGCCAAAGGGTGTGGGTCACCTAAGGTCAGGAGTTCGAGACCAGCCTGGCCAACATGGTGAAACCCCATCTCTGCTAAAAATACAAAAATTAGCCAGGCGTGGTGGCTTACGCCTGTAATCTCAACTACTTGAGAGGCTGAGGCTGGAGAATCCCTTGAACCCAGGAGGTGGAGGTTGCAGTGAGCCGAGATTGTGCCACTGCATTCCAGACTGGCCTGGGAGACAGAGCGAGACTCTGTCTCAAAAAAAGAAAAGGAGATGAAATTTGGGAAGAAATATGTTCCGGCCGGGCGTGGTGGCTCACACTTGTAATCCCAGCACTTTGGGAGGCCGAGGTGGGCGGATCACGAGGTCAGGAGATCGAGACCACGGTGAAACCCTGTCTCTACTAAAAATACAAAAAATTAGCTGGGCACGGTTGCAGACGCCTGTAGTCCCAGCTACTCCGGAGGCTGAGGCAGGAGAATGGTGTGAACCCGGGAGGCAGAGCTTGCAGTGAGCCGAGATGGCGCCACTGCACTCCAGCCTGGGCGACAGAGCGAGACTCCGTCTCAAAAAAAAAAAAAAAAAAAAAAAAGAAATATGTTCCACGAATTCAAGTGAAAAGCATAAATTGAGTTGGGAATACTGGGTTATATTCAAAGTTTTTTGATGGGGTAAGGGGGTCAAAGAAATATTAAAAACTTTGTAGTAATCATAGCTAACACTTTTATTCAGTACACTTAAAGCTTTTAACATTTCTGTGAGGCAAGTTATGTTATATATAAAAAAAATTGAGTCTTGGATGTATGACATTGAAGGAGTTTTAGTTTTGGTTTTGGTTTAGTTTTTGCTAACTAGCAGTCTAGGTTTCAACCAGGCAGCCGGGCTCTAAAGTTCTTAGAACATGTTTGCATGCTGTACTATGCTTCTCCCACAGGATACTAACTTAAACTGTGGTGGAGCATGTCATTATTTAATGTTTTGAAATCTGTAAATTTATTTCTAAAATCTGGATTGTGGGAACACTGAAAGAATATCCTCGCTAAAGAATGAAAATGGGCCAGGCATATTGGCTCACGCTTGTAATCCCGACTACTTGGGAGGCTGAGATGGGAGGATTCCCTGAGCCCAAGGAGGCCAAGGCTGCAGTGAGCCATGATCAGGCCAGTAAACTCCAGCTTGGGCAAGAGAGTGAGGCCCTGTCTCAGAAAAAAAAAAGAAAGAAAATGGAGGAGAGGAGGTCTAAATCAACAATTACAGATGAAGTCAGATTAAGTACAAATCTGTAAGGGATGTAAAGCATTTGAATTAACTAGAAAGATGGTATTAAACTGAGGATACTTTTTTTTTATAAGTGAGACGGAGTTTCACTCTTATAAAAAGTAAAGGTTGTTCAAAGAGATTTTCCTCCCCATCTAATTAGAAATAGATAATAATTTCTCTTAGAAGCAAAATTTATTCAAAGAGCTGTGCTAACATTCTTAAATATCTGCTAGGCCGGGTGGGGTGGATCACCTGAGGTTGGGAGTTGGAGACCAGGCTGACCAACATGGAGAAACCCCATCTCTACTTAAAAATACAAAATTAGCTGGGGGTGGTGGTGCATGCCTGTAATCCCGTCTACTTGGGAGGCTGAAGCAGGAGAATGGCTGGACCTCGGGAGGTGGAGGTTGCGGTGAGCCAAGATCGCACCATTGCCCTCCAGCCTGGGCAACAAGAGTGAAACTCCGTCTCAAAAAAAAAAAAAAAAATCTACTAGCCGTAGTAAAAAAATCAATGTACTTTATGTTCTTAGCTCCCACAATTTAGCCTAAGTATTTGCCCTAACATGCTTATACTGGTCCAAACAAGCATTAGGTCATAGCCTGTTCCTCTTCCTTATTTAAAGGTGTTTTTACCTTTCTCAACATTCCACAAATTACTTCCTCCTTCCTTTGTTCTCCTCCGCCTTTGCCTCTTTTAAAAAGTTTGAAGTTACTAGCCAATCAAGACAAATCAGAATGTGAAGTCCCATTCCAGCCAATAAAAAACAGACACAACAGTAAGGTAGACACGTCAGATTATAAATGACCCTGTCTCCTTTGTTCAGTGTACTCTTGTGACAAAACTGCTGACAAGCGTACCCTTTCTACAGAAAATAAAAATGGCCTTACTAAAAAAATGTATGTTCAAGTGCTATTTCTTTACAACACCGAGAAACAAACATTTCTAACACTCTTGTCGCCTAGGCTGGAGTGCAATGGCTCGATCTTGGCTCACTGCAACCTCCACCTTCTGGATTCAAGCGATTCTCCTGCCTCAGCCTCTGGAGTAGCTGGGATTACAGGCGCCGGCCACCATGCCCAGCTAATTTTTGTATTTTTAGTAGAGATGGGGTTTCACCATGTTGGCCAGGCTGGTCTCGAACTCCTAACCTCAGGTGATCCACCCACCTCAGCCTCCCAAAATGCTGGGATTACAAGATTTTCAGGATACATTATGAACATTGCTGGGCTGGAGAGTAAGAACATTTTAATTCAGGCTATAGACAGAAAGCATATCCCAAAGAAGGCCTTGGGTGTACTGTGAATTGTAAAATATGGCTCATCTGCTCTAGTTCTCTTAAAATCTTATCTCCAAATTATTAGAAACAATATATTTATTGTGTATTAGATGAGGTGTTCTAAACAAAGTATTTCTGTGTTTCTTTGATTTTGATTTTAATTTGGAGTTTTAAATAATATTTCCATTCAATAGGCAAATCCAGATCCCAACACTTGCCTTGGAGTGTTTGGCCTCAGTTTGTACACAACAGAGAGGGATCTTCGTGAAGTATTTTCTCGATATGGACCATTGAGTGGTGTCAATGTGGTTTATGATCAGCGAACTGGGCGATCTCGAGGATTTGCTTTTGTGTATTTTGAGAGAATAGATGACTCAAAGGAGGTAAATTTGTCTTTTATATGCCTGATTATAGTACTGAATTAGTGTGAAAAGTTGATTAATAGACTTATTTCTGTAAACATTGCATCCTTTTTTCTTCCTTTTTTTCTTTTTTTTTTTTTTAAAGATAGGATCTTGCGTCCAGGCGCGGTGGCTCATGTCTGTAATCCCAGCACTTTGGGAGGCCGAGGCAGGTGGATCACGAGGTCAGGAGATCGAGACTATCCTGGCTAACACGGTGAAACCCCGTCTCTACTAAAAATACAAACAATTAGCCAGGCGTGGTGGCCGGCGCTTGTAGTCCCAGCTACTCGGGAGTCTGAGGCAGGAGAATGGCGCGAACCCGGGAGGCAGAGCTTACAGTGAGCCGAGATTGCGCCACTGTACTCCAGCCTGGGCGACACAGTGAGACTCCGTCTCAAAAAAAAAAGATAGGATCTTGCTGATTTTGCTCTGTTGCCCAGGCTGGAGTGCAGCCTCGACCTCCTGGGCTCAAGCAGTCCTCCTACCTCAGCCTCCTGAGTAGCAGACACTACAAGTGTGGGCCACCATGCCCAGATAATTTTTTGTTGTAGAGATGAGGTCTCACTATGTTGCCCAGGCTGATCTCGAACTCCTGGCCTCAAGTGATCCTCCCAGAATGCTGGGTTTACAGGCATGAGCCATCATACATGGCCTGTTGTGTCCTTTCTAATTTTGACCTGATTCAAACTCTGCCTCTCAGTGTTAACAATTGGAGTGACTACAGTTTCACTTTTTTTGGTTATGCTCTCTGCTATAGGCATATCCTAATTGAAATCTGGCTGTGTAAAGTGAGCTATATGTGTTTAAATTAATGGAAAAAGTATATGTGTAAGTGTTCTCTTTTGAATAAGCCATAATGATGCTCCAAACAGATGATTACATTAACTTTTAAAAAATAATTCTGATGTGTGGGTTTGATATGTTTAATTTTGTGTCTATAATGAGGAAGGAACTTGTTTTTCTATTCTCTAAATGTTCATTTATCAGTGTGTTCAATAATTGAAAAATAGTACATGGAAAGAATTGATAATTTTTTAGTGCTATTCTTAACTTGCCTAACACAATGAACTAATCAATGTCAATGACTTGAAATAGTGCTATTCTAACATGTTCGGTATTATAAAGGAAGTGGTAGGCTTGCTTTAAGTTTTTGCAGGGAGTCTTGCTGTGTTGCTTAGGCTGGTCTCGGAACAACTCCTGGCCTCAACTGTTCCTCCTGCCTTGGCTTCCCAAGGTGCTAGAATTACTGATGTGAACCACCATACCTGGCCTAGGCTCGCTTACTCTTTACTAAAAGTTGATAGTAATTGATTTAGAAAATTGCATTTTAAAGAATTTGAAGCTCAATACTTTTAGTTTTGTTAGACCTTCTGTCTTTTAAATTAATATATATATATTTGTATATATCTGGAAGTTTTATTAGACCTTAATAATCAGGGTGTTTTTCTTTTCTTTTCTTTTCTTTTTTTTTTTTTTTTTTTTTTTTTTTTTTTTTTTTTTTTGAGATGGAGTCTCGCTCTGTCGCCCAGGCTGGAGTGCAGTGGCGCGATCTCAGCTCACTGCAAGCTCTACCTCCCGGGTTCATGCCATTCTCCTGCCTCAGCCTCCCGAGTAGCTGGGACTACAGACGCCCGCCACCATGTCCAGCTAATTTTTTGTATTTTTAGTAGAGGCAGGGTTTCACTGTGTTAGCCAGGATGATCTCAATCTCCTGACCTCGTGATCCACCCGCCTCAGCCTCCCAAGGTGTTGGAATTACAGGTGTGAGCCACCGCGCCTGGCCAAATAAGGCTATCTTTTAAAAACAGTAAGTTCTTGGCATCTGGTGGGTAGAAGCCAGGAACACTGCTAAATAACCATACAGTACACAAGCTGGCACCCCATAACATAGAATCAGTCTCAAAATGTCAATAGTGCTAAGGTTGAGAAACCCCGGATAACTCTAACAAACTAGTACTTTAGTTTTTAAGTCATTTATGTCACAGGCAGTTTAATGCCTTAATTTGTCAGTCTTATGATTTTTTTTTTTACTGTTACGTATTTGTGATTTATATATTCCTTTTCTCAATTAAGAGATACATGTTATCAATTTAGAAATACTAGGATATCTGAGCTGAAGTAAAAGTTGCAAAATGCAAGCCAGAACAGTGTAATTTTTTTATTATTAATATTTTTTAATGTGAAACGTGTTTATCTCTTGATTCCACCTGTCCCCTTCCACTTCTGGATAAAACTAAAATGGCAGGCCGGGCACAGTGGCTCGCACCTTGTAATCCCAGCACTTCGGGAGGCTGAGGCGGGCAGATCACCTGAGGTCAGGAGTTCAAGACCAGCCTGGCCAACAGGGTGAAACCCCATCTGCTAAAATACAAAAATTAGCCGGGCATTGTGGCAAGCGCCTGTAACCCCAAGCTACTCGGGAGGCTGAGGCAGGAGAATTGCTTGAACCTAGGAGGCGGAGGTTGCAGTGAGCTAAGTTTGTGCCACTTCACTCCAGCCTGGGCAACAGAGTGAGACTCCACTTCATCTCAAAAAGAAAAGAAAAAAAAGCTTAACTGGCAACTTTAAAGACAGGAGCAGTTACTTAGTGGCAGGATTAGAAGTTCCTTTTAGTTCACTAGGTGACAATATGTTACTTAAGGAGCGGGGTGACGAGGCTTGTCAGCTAAATCACAGTTTCTCTTTTCAGTTGCCCAGGCTGAATTCTCAGCTAACACAGGCATGTTGTATGGTTTCTTCTGTATGGCTGAGACTGTCTCCAGTCTTTAGGGACAGGCAATCTGAAGTGATTTGATTTTTTTCTTTTTTTGTTGTTTGTTTGTTGTTTCTTTGTTTGTTTGGAGATGAGGTCTTGCTCTTTGCCCTGTCGCCTAGGCTGGAGTGTGGTGGCACGATCTCAGCTCACTGCAACTTCCGCCTCCCAGGCTCAAGTGATCTTCCCACCTTAGCCTCCCGAGTAGCTGGGACAACAGGTGCGCACCACCATGCCCGGCTAATTTTTGTATTTTTTGGTAGAGACGGGGTTTTGCCCCATTGCCCAGGCTAGCCTCAAACTCTGGACCTCAAGTGATTTGGCCTCCCCAAAGTGCCAGGATTACAGGCATGAGCCACTTCACTTGGCTAAAGTGATTTTTTTTTTTTGAGACGGAGTCTTGCTCTGTTGCCAGGCTGGAGGGCAGTGGCACAATCTCGGCTCACTGCAACCTCTGCCTCCCGGGTTCAAGCAATTCTGCCTCTGCCTCCCGAGTAGCTAGGACTATAGGTGCATGCCACCACACCCAGCTAATTTTTGTATTTTTAGTAGAGATGGGGTTTCACCATGTTGGCCAGGATGGTCTTGATCTCTTGATACCTCATGATCCCCCCATCTTGGCCTCCCAAAGTGCTGGGAGTACAGGTGTGAGCCATCGCGCCCAGCCTAAAGTGATTTTTAAAATCTTTTTAAAATTTGTATTCCTTTTTGACTAACTTCTCCCTGATTCTGAAAATTTCACTGAAGTTTCAAAGTTATTAGTGTGCATATGGTGAAGATAATAATATAAGCTCCTCACCCTGTTTTAGTAAGAAGTACTTAGAGATTTTGTGTGTGTTTTTTTGGGGGGTGCTTAGGATGGGGTGCAGGGAGATCAACTTAGAGAATTTTGATTTTTGGAACTTCAAATGGAAGATGTGTTAAATTTGTTGCAGCTTTGCTTTTGCAGACATTTATGTGATGTAAAGTTCTTTTTAAAAATTGGACCGGGTGTGGTGGCTCATGCCTCTAATCCCAGCACTTTGGCAAGAGGATTTACTTGAGCCCAGGAGTTTGAGACCAGCCTGGGGAAACATAGGGAGACTTGGTCTCTACAAATATATATATGTGTGTGAGAGAATAGGAAAAAAAAATTGTCCCAGAAACAAATAATACTCTCAGAGTTCTTTTCAAAGAGACCAAAGAGACAACTCTTATCTTCAAGAATTAGGCTGTGCAAGGCGGCTCATGCTATTTGGGAGGCTGAGGTGGGAAGGCCACTTGAGGCCACGAGTTAAGAGACCAGCCTGGGCAACAGATCTTGTCTCTACAAAAATAAATGCATGCAGGCCAGGCGTGGTGGCTTACGCCTGTAATCCCAGCACTTTGGGAGGCCAAGGCAGGAGGATCACAAGGTCAAGAGATCGAGACCATCCTGGCCAACATGGTGAAACCCCATCTCTACTAAAAATACAAAAAATTAGCTGGGCATGGTGGCGCATGCCTGTAGTCCCAGCTACTTGGGAGGCTGAGGCAGGAGAATCACTTGAACCTGGGAGGCAGAGGCTGCAGTGAACCGAGGTCACGCCATTGCACTCCAGCCTGTGCAACAAGAGCGAAACTTGGTCTCATAAATAAATAATAAAATGCATTCCATTGAATGGAATACTGTTTAGACCCCTTCTCTACCAAGAATTTTTGTTTTAATTAGCCGAGCATGGTGGCACAAACCTGTGGTCCTAGCTACTTAGGAGACTAAGGCTGGAGGATTGCATAAGCCAAGAAGTTTGAGGCCACAGTGAACTATGATCCACTGCCAGCCTGGGCAATGGAGTGAGACCTCCTTTTTTTTTTTTTTTTTTTTTTAATGACCTTTAGTTTATGGGACACTCTTACGGAGAAATATTTGTGGATACATAAAAATTGTGTAGTTTTTATTAGTTTATTATACTTTTATTAGTTCAGTCTCAATAAAAGGTTGAAAGGCATTACGATAAATTTGTTCTTGTCTGTTTATATCATTTCTTCTTGGCTGCTCACTGAGTCTTAATCAGTGTACTAGACTGCAAACTAAAGAATAAGATTGGGGGCAGGTTATAAAAAGAACATGTATAAAGCTTAGCAAACCCTTTTTAATGTTCTGAAGTCAGTCTTTGTAAGTGAAATCGCTGGAGACTAGAAAGTATGAAATGGCAGTCTACCTGGGCAACCTACAAAAAATTTAGCTTGAAAAGACTTCAGTCTCCGCTCCCCTGTTGATCTCATGGAGTGGGGAATGGGAATTGAACCAGAACTGGAAAATTATTTAGGAAAGTTTGTTAACTACTCTTTGTTGATCTCATGGAGTGGGGAATGGGAATTGAACCAGAACTGGAAAATTATTTGGGAAAGTTTATTAACTACTCTTTCTGCTGAGTAAATTTAAATGTGTTCTGGACATTGTTGAGGTCTAGAATTGTCTATACAATGCCCTGTACAAGCTACATTGCTGTCATTTTCAAAATCAGGAGTTTATTTGGATTACATATACTTTGTGCTTAATTTTAAGTAATGATTACTTCAAGACTGGTGAATTATACGTGACTTTTTGTGCCTGTTCTTTATAGGCTATGGAAAGGGCAAATGGAATGGAGCTGGATGGTAGAAGAATTCGGGTGGATTATTCTATAACCAAGAGAGCGCACACACCAACACCAGGCATCTACATGGGCAGACCAACTCAGTAAGAGTTCAAGTTTCCTAAGCTAAACTATGAAATCCACCAGAAATATGTGCAAAATTTTGATTACTCAGAAACTTTTTTCCTATAATTAGAATTGATTCTGGCAAGGGGCAACATGGCAAAACCCTGCTTCTACTAAAAAAAAATAAAAAATCAGCCAGGTGTGGTGGCACATGCCTGTAATCCCAGCTGCTCGGGAGCTGAGGCACAGGAATCACTTGAACTTGGGAGGCAGAGGTTGCAGTGAGCCTGGGCAACAGAGTGAGACTCTTTCTCAAAAAAGAAAAAAAACATAAGTAGGGGTTTTGATAATGTTTTTAAATATACAACCCTCCTGGCTGGCTCACGATGTTCATTTGCCGGGCGCAGTGGCTTACACCTGTAATCCCAGCACTTTGGGAGGCCGAGGCGGGTGGATCACGAGATCACGAGATCGGGACCACGGTGAAACCCCGTCTCTACTAAAAATACAAAAAATTGGCTGGGCATGGTGGCAGGCACCTGTAGTCCCAGCTACTCAGGAGGCTGAGGCAGGAGAATGGCATGAACCCCGGAGGCAGGGCTTGCAGTGAGCCGAGATCGCACCACTGCACTCCAGCCTGGGCGACAGAGCAAGACTCCGTCTCAAAAAATAAAAATAAAATATACAACCAAAGGCAGTATTCACAGAGGTATTTCTTGGGAATAAAAGAAGGAATATAGTCATTCCTTGGTATTCTCTTTGGTGTCCAGAGTTACTTAAAAATTCTTGGTGTTTATTGCCTTTTAGTCACAGGGATACACCTTTTATTCATTTATTTATTTATTTACCAGTCTCATTTAGCAGTAGGAATGCATCTTAGCATTTTTATACTGCTGCTCAACACAGTGCTTCATCGTTTCAATTTGTTGAAAAGATTTTAATTTGGGCAGTGCATTAGTAGAAAAGCAGTTAATAGTTTTGAGAGTTTTGTGAAGCCCTTCTTGATTATGTATGTAGGGAATAAGGCAAACCAGAATACCATGGGAGTCAGTAAAATGAGATACGGAGGCAATTTCTCATGAAAGGGATGTTCTTCCTCACTTTTCTCTTTTTTAAGCCATTCAATTTGTATTAAAGTGTCCTGGAAAATAGTCATTCACACTAATGGAGAATTTTTACATTTTTCTGCAGTAGTGGTGGGGGTGGTGGAGGAGGCGGCGGCGGTGGAGGTGGAGGTGGTGGCAGACGTCGAGATTCTTACTATGATAGAGGATATGATCGTGGGTATGACAGATATGAAGACTATGATTACCGATACAGGTAATGTTTTAACTTGAGCTTTCTGTTCTAAATTAGATGATAGTAGTGTTACTTGGCACTTTTATGTTGGATACATATGAATAAAAACTTGATTTTTAAAATAGATCATATATGACGCCTTTGGGAGCAGAAGTTAGCAGTCTGTATATGTCAGTATTTTGTTGTGCTATATACTTTTCTGGTCTCATTGGCAGAAAGAGAACTTAATATTAAGTAGTTATCACCTTAGGTACATTATTATTTTGAATGATGAGGAATTTTTATTTTCATCTGCCTCAGTGGAGTGATTATATAGTATGCTAAGTAATCTTTCATTTCTTACAGAAGACGATCACCTTCTCCTTATTATAGTCGATATAGATCACGATCAAGATCTCGTTCCTACAGCCCAAGTATGTGAACTTTACTTTTGTAGCATAAAAAACCTCATTTCTAATTAATGGCTTACTTTAGAATATTAGAGTATAAGGTGGAAGGTGGCAGTTAATAGTTGGAAAAATATGAGGCAAATTAAACTATAATTGTTAACTTTTTTTTTTTTTTTTTTTTTTTGCTTTTTCTCTTTTAGGACGCTATTGATAACGGAATGGTTGCAATTAAGGACATTTTTTTTCCTCTTTTTTTTTTTTTTTTTTTTAATTCTGAGATTTCCCCAAGCTGTGGATTCTTCCTACTCCTTAAGAAAAAAACTTTGGTTTATTTAGCATCTACACTTTTGTCAGTTGTGTTGCTGTTTTCCACCCATTTTATTATACTCTTAAAAGATGTAATTGTTGTCATTTTGAACAGTTAAACATCTTGAGTATAAAAAGAACCCCAATGTTATGTTATGCTTTGTAAATTTTTTTTTTTGCTTTTACCTAGATAAACTTCTAGCTAATCAAATAAGGAAAGAAACTGTCTTTTTAAAGCTTCTTTTGTGTTAGATACTGTATTAGAGATCTGCATTTATCATGAGTTCCTTTTTTTTTTTAACTTTATTTTTGGGAAAGTAACACATGAAGTAGTTCAGTCATGTCAGGTTTGTCTGGGGTGGAATGGAACAGTCAGGTAGTTGAAAGTTTTTTTTTAGAGATGAAAAGCTTGTGAACTCCTGTAAAACATGCTGTATTTGAAATACATCTGTTAAAACTTAAAAACTAAAGTGTGATTTTTTTTGTTGTTGTTAAGTTTATTGAAGTTTATTCCCTTAATCAGTGAAGGACAACCCTTATTTATTACCTAGAGCAGTTGTATAATTCGCTGTTAGAAATTTTGGTATTGGGACAGTGGATAAGCAGGTTATCACATAGCATAGAATTCTTAAAAGATACATGTGGGGAAAAGTAGTCTCAAATAAAAGCTAATTTCTTTGAAAATGGGATTGTCTCTTTATTGTGGTACCATGGAGAAATATGATTGAGGAACTGGTCCTTCCTTTTCCCTCACATCCCCCCAGTGTGTATTTATATGAAAGTTTACCCATCCTGAGTTTTAACTTCCCAATATTTCTCATTTTTAAAAATATTTTTTCTTACACTAGAATGTTATTCCTTGTCTTTTCTTTGGTTCTTTTAAAACCCTTGTTTTTCTTCTCTTTTGGGGGAGACCGAATTGTAAATATTGAGAATATTCAGTACCAGCACCATGCTGAAGGAAAGATAGGTAGCTAATACCTTTTTTTTTTTGAGACGGAGTCTTGCTCTGTCACCCAGGCTGGAGTGCAGTGGCGCGATCTCGGCTCACTGCAAGCTCCGCCTCCCGGGTTCACGCCATTCTCCTGCCTCAGCTTCCCGAGTAGCTGGGACTACAGGCGCCCACCACCACGCCCGGCTAATTTTTTGTGTATTTAGTAGAGACGGGGTTTCACGGTGTTAGCCAGGATGGTCTCGATCTCCTGACCTTGTGATCCACATGCCTTGGCCTCCCAGAGTGCTGGGATTACAGACGTGAGCCACTGCACCCGGCCTACTTTTTTTTTTTTTTTTTTTTTTTGGAGACAGAGTCTCGCTCTGTTGCCCAGGCTGGAGTGCAGTGGCGTGATCTCAGTTCACTGCAAGCTCCACCTCTCTGGTTGACGCCATTCTCCTGCCTCAGCCTCCCAAGTAGCTGGGACTACAGGCACCCACCACCACGCCCGGGTAATTTTTTGTATTTTTAGTAGAGGGTTTTCACCATGTTAGCCAGGATGGTCTCGATCTCCTGACCTCGTGATATGCCCGCCTCAGCCTCCCAAATTGCTGGGATTACAGGCGTGAGCCACTGCGACCGGCCTATAGGTAGATAATATCTTAAGAAGTCTAAATATATTCCAGTAGGAAACACACTTAAATAACTGTAATGTAAAAGAAGAAGAGGGTGTTTCAAGTGACCTTTAAAAAAAGGTGTTGGGCAGCTGGGCGTAGTGGCTCTCACACCTGTAATCCCAGCACTTTGGGAGGCTGAGGCGGGCGGATCACGAGGTCAGGAGATTGAGACCATCCTGGCTAACACGGTGAAACCCCGTCTCTACTAAAAATACAAAATAATTAGCCAGGCATGGTGGTGGGTTCCAGTAGTCCCACCTACTCAGGAGGCTGAGGCAGGAGAATCACTTGAACCTGGGAGGCAGAGGTTGCAGAGAGCACCACTGTACTCCAGCCTGGGCAACAAAGCAAGACTCCATCTCAAAAAAAAAAAAAAAATTTACTGTTTGAAAGTCCTGTCCTTTTTAAGTATATTTTGTGACTAGGGAGCTGAGCTCAGTAGTGTGCACCTGTAGTCACAACTAGGGATGCTGAGACAGAAAGTTATTTTGAGCATAACTACTCAAAATAGAAATAAAAGCTTAGATATTTCTGGACCTCCACTTTTTCTGTTTACTATTAAGATCTAAATGTGGCCGGGCACTGTGGCTCACACCTGTAATCCCAGCACTCTGGGAGGCTGAGGTGAGTGGATCACCTGAGGTCAGGAGTTCAAGACCAGCCTTGCCAACATGGTGAAACCCCATCTCTAATAAAAATACAAAAAAAATTAGCTGGGCATGGTGGTGGACACCTTTAATTCCAGCTACTTGGGAGGCTGAGGCAGGAGAATCTCTTAAGCCTGGGAAGCATAGGTTGCAATGAGCTGAGATGATGCCATTGCACTCCAGCCTGGGCAACAAGAGCAAAACTCCATCTCAAAGATATAAGTGTTTTCAACTGGCGGGTAAGAAAAACTGCTGCTGTTGGTTCTCTAACTTCTTACAACGGTGGTTCCCACTTAATCTTATTTAGGTCCTGGAGCCCTAAAAAAAAAATCTGAAAAACCTGCAGTCTGTCTTCCCAGAAACACTTGTGTGAAACGTTCTGGTGTTTTTGTGTTGAGACAGGGTCTCACTCTGTCACCCAGGCTGGAGTGCAGTGGTGGGATCACAGCTCACTGCAGCCTCGACTGCCAGACTCAAGCAATTCTCCCACTTCAGCCTCTCAAGTAGCTGGGACTACAGGCGCACGCCTTCATGCCTGGCTAATTTTTGTACTTTTTTGTAGAGAAGAGGCTTTGCCATGTTGCCCTGGCTGGTCTCAAACTCCTGGGCTCAAACAAATTGACCTCCCTCAGCCTCGAAAAGTGTTGGGATTACAGGTGTGAGCCACCACGTCCAGCAGAGTATTTGGCTTTTAAATTATAATCTTGTGCATAGAATAAGATCTATAAGAATATACACCAGGGGCCGGGCTCACGCCTATAATCCCAGCACTTTGGGAGGCTGAGGCAGGTGGATCACGAGGTCAGAAGATCGAGACCATCCTGGCTAACATGGTGAAACCCCGTCTCTACTAAAAAATACAAAAAATTAGCTGGGCGTGGTGGCGGGTGCCTGTAGTCCCAGCTACTCGGGAGGCTGAGGCAGGAGAATGGCATGAACCCGGGAGGCGGAGCTTGCAGTGAGCCGAGATCACGCCACTGCACTCCAGCCTGGGTGACAGAGCAAGACTCAGTCTCAAGAAAAAAAAAAAAAAGAATATACACCAGCCTGGGCGTGGTGGCTCACGCCTGTAATCTCAGCACTTTTGGGAGGCCGAAGGCAGGTGGATCCACCTGAGGTCAGGATTTTGAGACCAGCCTGACCAACATGGTGAAACCCCATCCCTACTAAAAAAAAAAAAAAAAAAAAAAAAATTAGGCATGGTGGTGGGCACCTGTAATCCCAGCTACTCAGAAGGGTGAGGCAGGAGAATCACTTGAACCCAGGAGGCGGAGGTTGCGGTGAGCCAAGATGGCACCACTGCACTTCAGCCTGCACAACAGACGGGGACTCCGTCTCAAAAAAAAAAAGAATATACACCAATCTCCTCATAGTAGTTACCCTGTGGAGTGGTAATCTGTGGAGAGAGGAGGTAAGATGAACATTCATAAAACCAATAAAACAGTTTTATGCTGGGCACTATGTTGCCTATGCTGGAGTTCAGTGTCTACTCACATGATCATAGGACTCCTGCACTCAAGCAACCCTATTGCTTTGCCCTCAAGAGTAGATCTGTGTGCCACCAAGCCTGGCCCTTGCTTGTTTAGGCTGTCATTGCTTATCAATGTTAGAACTTTTTTTTTCTTTTTTGAGACGGAGTCTTGCGCTATGGGTTGCCCAGGCTGGAGTGCAGTGGCACGATCTTGGCTCACTGCGACTTTCATCTCCCGGGTTCAAGTGATTCTCCTGCCTCAGCCTCCCGTAGCTGGAATCACAGGCATGTGCCACCACACCCAGCTAATTTTTGTGTTTTTAGTAGAGATGGGGTTTCACCATGTTGGCCAGACTGGTCTCGAACTTCTGACCTCAGGTGATCCACCCACCTTGGCCCCCCAAAGTGCTGGGATTACAGGCATGAGCCACCGAGAACAGTTTGAATTGCACAGCAACTTGAACTATTACACACAAATACATATTGCTTTGCTGTGGCAATTAAAAGCCCAGCATTTTAATGTATTCCTATCCCTGATGTCACACTTAATGCTTTGGGTTTTTAGTATGAATTTTCTTTTTCCCTCCCAATTAAGTTAAAATTAAATGAATCAAATGGTCAAAACTAGTGCATATTTTTATTCTATGAAACAATTCAGATACTTATTGACATTAAAAGATCAGGGGAGGAGTCTTTGAGCATACTCTGGCTAGGGAAGCTGCTCAATAATTGGAAAAAAAAAAAAAGAAGTGTAACATCCATAGGAGTAATGAATATAGAAAACAAGGCTGGGCACAGTGGCTCATGCCTGTAATCCCAGCGCTTTGGGATGTCAAGGTTGGCAGATCACCTGAGGTCAGGAGTTCAAGACCAGCCTGGCCAACATGGCGAGACCCCGTCTCTACTAAAAATACAAAAATTAGCTGGTCATGGTTGGGGATGCCTGTGATCCCAACTACTCAGGAGGCTGAGGCAGGAGAATCACCTGAACTCAGGAGGCAGAGGTTGCAGTGAGCTGAGATCATGCCACTGCATTCTAGCCTGGGCAATAGAGCAAGACTCTATCTGAAATAAATAAATAAATGTGGGGGAGGCCTTTTTTTATTTTTTAAAAAAAGATGGGAGTTACCAGGCGCAGTGGCTCATGTCTGTAATCCCAGCACTTTGGGAGGCCGAGGCTGGTGGACCTGGGGTCAGGAGTTCGAGACCAACCTGACCAACAAGGTGAAATCCCGTCTCTACTAAAAATACAAAAATTAGCCAGGCATGGTGGCAGGCGCCTGTAGTCCCAGCTACTTGGGAGGCTGAGACAGGAGAATTGCTTGAACCCAGGAGGTGGAGGTTGCAGTGAGCCAAGATGGTGCCACTACACTCCAGCCTGGGTGATGGAGCCAGGCTCTGTCTCAAAAAAAAAAAAAAAGATGGAGTTATACAAAGGAAAATAAGCTTATATACTCAATTATTTACAACACAAAATTATTTTAAAATGACTATCCTATTCACCCGTCAGAGGTGAGAGAATGGATACATGGGTAATTGAGGTACTAGTTTTAGACTGTTACGGAGTATGGCTGCAATCATTAGGAAAAATTCAAAGTATATACAGAGAGAGGAAATGGGGAGTTAGTGTTTAATGGGTATAGTTTCAAGTATGTATATCAAAAAAAAAAATCCACATATATGTAGTTTGTTGCTACATAACTGTTCCTGGTGTACTCTGCAATTTGAAAGTTGTAAAATGATTAAGTAACCAATGAGGTAACTTCCTTGCTTTGTGACTGCTGCACAGAATGGTGCCTGGCATGGAGTAGATGTCCAGTAAATATTTGCATAGATGAATGAGGATAGAGGAGTAATTTAAAGAGCTAAAGTGTAAGGGCAGTGTGACAGAAGGGATCTAGGCTGAAAATAATCGTGACAACCCTAACAAAGGTTAAAAATCACTTTTAGTAATCTGTGTAATGAGGGAAGAAAAATGGCAGTTTAATTATCATTAAAGTGTTGGTGCTTAAGTTGCCTTAAAAATTCATTTATGGTGGGGTGCGGTGGCTCACGCCTGTAATCCCAACTCTTTGAGAGGCCAAGGCAGGCGGATCACGAGGTCAGGAAATCGAGACCATTCTGGCTAACACGATGAAACCCCGTCTCTACTAAAAATACAAAAAATTAGCCGGGTGTGGTAGCATGCGCCTGTGGTCCCAACTACTTGGGAGGCTGAGGCAGGAGAATGGCTTGAACCTGGGAGGCGGAAGTTGCAGTAAGCCGAGATCATGCCACTGCACTCCAGCCTAGGCAACACAGCAAGACTCTGTCTCCAAATAAAAAAAGAAAATTCATTGATATGGAACACTGGGATCCCTGATAATGTCAGATAAGTTAACCATTCTATTTGACATTCACAAGAATATCAAGTGCAAACATGTCACAATAGGCTGGGCGTGGTGGCTCACGCCTGTAATCCCAGCACTTTGGGAGGCCGAGGCAGGCAGATCGCCCGGGCTCTGGAGTTCAAGACCAGCCTGACCAACATGGAGAAACCCCGTCTCTACTAAAAATACAGAATTAGCTGGGCATGGTGGCTGATGCCTGTAATCCCAGCTACTCGGGAGGCTGAGGCAGGAGAATTGCTTGAACCCGGGAGGTGGAGGTTGCAGTGAGCTGAGATCACGCCATTGCACTCCAGCCTGGGTAACAAGAGTGAAACTCTGTCCCAAAAAAAAAAAAAAAAGAAAAAGAAAAAAAAAGTCACAATGGAAAATGTTCTTTTTTAAAAACTTAAAAGGGATATGGATTTATATTCTTTTTTTGAGATGGAGTCTCACTCTGTCGCCAGGCCCAGGCTGGAGTGCAGTGGCGCAATCTCAGCTCATTGCAACCTCTGCCTTCCGGGTTCAAGCGATTCTCCTGCCTCAGCCTTCCGAGTAGCTCGGGACTACAGGCGCGCGCTACCACTCCCAGCTACTTTTTTCGTATTTTTAGTAGAGATGGGGTTTCACCAATTGGCCAGGATGGTCTCGATCTCTTGACCTCGTGATCCACCCACCTCAGCTTCCCAAATTGCTGGGATTACAGATGTGAGCCACCATGCCCAGCTGGATTTATTTTCAAATACTAACAAAGCTATTGATACATTATTTTCACAAACTTCCAGCTGAAATGTAGCATTTCCTTCAACAATGAATGTAGGCAAAGTTTCAAACCTTTGTAAAGGCATACACATATATTTGTAATCAAACTTTTAATAAAACTTTTTTTGTTTTTGTTTTTTGTGTTTGTTTTTGTTTTTGGAGACGGAGTCTCACTCAGTCGCCCCGGCTGGAGTGCAGTGGCGTGATCTTGGCTCACTGCAAGCTCTGCCTTCCAGGTTCATGCCATTCTTCTGCCTCAGCCTCCCAAGTAGCTGGGACTACAGGCACCCGCCACCAAGCCCAGCTAATTTTTTTGTATTTTTAGTAGAGACGAGGTTTCACCGTGTTAGCCAGGGTGGTCTCGATCTCCTGACCTCGTGATCTGCCCGCCTCGGCCTCCCAAAGTGCTGGGATTACAGGCATGAGCCACCGTGCCTGGCCAAAATTTAACATTTTAAAGTACGATTTGTATGCTTTGGTTGTTCTTAAGGTAATTTAGAGTTTATACTATTTTTTAATAACAAATTACTAAATTTGTTATTAAAGTGCAAAGCTCAAATGAAGAAAATGAAAAACATTTGTTGTCTTTTATGTATGTATCCTGAATTCATATTACTGTATGGGAAAACCTAGTACTATAAATATTTCAATCCTTACCTTCAAATGTATATTATTGTGCACTTCACGGAGTTAGAGTGAGAATGCTATGTTCAGCAGGGTGTCTTAAGTTAAACATTCAGACTTAGAAAACCGTTAGTCCACATTTGGCATATTCACTTAGAAAAATACAGGATAGGATGCAGCAAGTAGGGCAGTGCCAGGCATTCCACAGGGATCCTTGTAGCAGTTCACGCAGCAATACAACTTAGGTCTGAGATGTGAGATCCACATCACGCAAGTGCACAAGACACCTGGTTTTAAAAGTTTTATGACCTGTTACCCACAGGCATAGCTTCTAAGCTTCCTGAGACATATGCCTCTTATGTCATTGCACTTAAGATGTAGGGTCTCCATTGGATACTTTAGTTTCTCCCAGTGAAGACGCAATTTACCAGTCAAATCATTTTTACCACAAGCAATGTTGTAACACAGTTGACATACTAGCCTTATCAGGGTGCCAGAGAAACAACTAGAAATTTAATGAAAGGCCAAATTCCCACACAGAAGGGGAAAGTTCTTATTAAACAGTTTATAGTAGTCCCTACAAGATTTGGGGCTGGGGGCGGGGAGTTCAATGAAATAGTACCAAAGGTCACATGGAAGAATGTACTTAGAAATGAATAAACAATCAGGAATAGAGTCCAGACTAGATCCAAGTACCTATGAAAACTTACATGGGCTGGGCGTGGTGGCTCATGCCTGTAATCCCAGCACTTTGGGAGGCTAACGCAAGAGGATCACGTGAGCCCAGGAGTTCAAGACTAGCCTGGACAACATACTGAGATCCCCATCTCTACAAAAAATAAAAAATTACCTGGGTTTGGTGGTGCATACCTGTAGTCTTAGCTACTTAGGAGGATGAGGTGTAAGTTGAGCCTGGGAGATCCAGGCTGCAGTGAGCCATGGTTGTGCCACTGTACTCCAGCCTAGCTGACAGAATGAGACCTTGTCTCAAAAAAGGAAAGAAAACATACATACTTAAATGATAAAGGTAGCATTTTATTTTTATGGGAAAATGACAGATCAGTAAAGAATGGTATATGGCTATTTGGAAGAAAATAGATTTAGACTCTTGCTTCATACAATATTACAACAATACAAATTATAGGTGGGTTAATATATAAATGTAAAAAAACTATATGTTATTTGGCAACCATGATAATAATAGTTGATAAGGCAAGACTCTGATTGGTACTAAAACTAGTACATAAAAATTTCAGGAATAGGCCAGGCGTGGTGGCTCACACCTGTAATCCCAGCACTTTGGGAGGCCAAGGCCAGTGGATCACCTGAGGTGAGGAGTTCAAGACCAGCCTAGCCAACATGGTGAAACCCCGTCTCTACTAAAAATAAAAAATTAGCCGGGTGTGGTGGCACACACCTATAGTCCCAGCTACTTGGGAGGCTGAGGCAGGAGAATCGCTTGAACCTGGGAGGCGGAGGTTGCAGTGAGCCAAGATCGTGCCACTGCACTACAACCTGGGCAAGAGTGAGACTCCGTCTCAAAAAAAAAAAAAAAAAAAAAAAAAGGAATAACAAGGAATTTATATAATCTGAAAATATATCTTCACAAGCTATTACAAATAAGAAAAAACTTTGGGCCAGGCGTGGTGGCTTACGCCTGTAATCCTAGCACTTTGGGAGGCTGAGGCAGGCAGATTGCCTGAGTTCAGGAGTTCGAAACCAGCCTGGGCAACACAATGAAACCCTGCCTCTACTAAAAATATTTTTAAAAATTAGCCAGGCATGGCAGCATGCCCCTGTAGTCCCAGCTACTCGGGAGGCTGAGGCAGGAGAATTGTTTGAACCTGGGAGATGGGTTGCAGTAAGCCAAGATCACGCCACTGCACTCCAGCCTGGGTGACAGAGCCAGACTCCATCTCCAAAACAAAAACAAAAACAAAAACCAAACAAAAAAACTTTGTAATTTTACACTGGAGAAACCTGGCATATCAAACCATGTGATTAAAGTTAATATCATCAGTAATGGGAATAATGGATATCATGTGCTTCCTGATGCACTAAAGACATTGGTGATATTTCACAAAAAATAAGTATAATCACTGCTATAATCAGAAAAAATCAGATACCCCCCAAAAGAGAAGCAGTCTAAAATAACTGACTTGGGAGCTTAAAAAATTTCAATATTATAAAAGTTAAAGACAGGAATATTGCAGATTAAAGGAGACTGAAAAGACATGATAACTAAATACAAGCCATGATCTGGGGTTTTTCTTTTTAAATTCTTTTTTTGAGACAGAGTCTCGCTCTGTTGCCCAGGCTGGAGTACAGTGGTGTAATCTCGGCTCACTGCAACGTCTGCCTTCCAGGTTCAAGTGATTCTCCCACCTCAGCCTCCTGAGTAGCTGGAATTACAGGCACATGCCACCACGTCCGGCTAATTTTTGTATTTTTAGTAGAGATGGGGTTTCACCATGTTGGCCAGGCTGGTCTCGAACTCCTGAACTTAGGTGATCCTTCAGCCTCAGCCTCCCAAAGTGCTGGGATTATAGGCGTGAGCCACCACACCCAGCCATTTTTAAAACTCTTTTTAAAACATGATTTGAAAGATAATTTCATTTTCAATCGTAGGGAATTATACAATCATTTGTTAGCCATTCTTCTATCCCCCTCCCATTTTTTTTTTGAGAAGAGTCTTGCTCTGTTGCCCAGGCTGGAGTGCAGTGGTGCAATCTTGGTTCACCGCAACCTCCGCCTCTTGGGTTCAAGCAATTCTCCTGCCTCAGCCTCCCGAGTAGCTGGGATTATAGGCACGCACCACCACGCCCAGCTAATTTTTGTATTTTTGTAGAGACAGGGTTTCATCATGTTGGCCAGGCTTGTCTTGAACTCCTGACCTCAGGTGATCCACCGGCCTCGGCCTCCCAAAATCCTGGGATTACAGGCGTGAGCCACTGTGCCTGGCTATCCCCCTCCCTTTTTTCTTTTTTTGAGACTGTGTCTTTCTCTGCCCAGGCTGGAGTACAGTGGTGGGATCTCTGCTCACTGCAGCCTCCACCTCTCAGGCTTAATTGATCCTCCTGCCTCAGTCTCCCAAGTAGCTGGGACTATAGACGTGTGCCACCATGCCCAGCTCATTTTCGTATATTTTTTGTAGAGTCAGGGTTTCGCCATGTTGCCCAGGCTGGTTTCAAACTCCTGGACTCAAGTGATGCATCTGCCTCGGCCTTCCAAAGTGCTGAGATCACAGGCATGAGCCCCCGGACCCAGCTATGCGTCTCTTTAAAATCAGATTTATTGAGGTTTAGTTAATACACATAAAATTGACTTTTTTTAAACAAAATCTTCCTTTGAACACAAAAAATCCACCACTTTGAGAGTAATATTGTAATGTTTTGATTAAATGTACACAGGGTTTACATCATTTTTTTCTGTAGCACAAGTCCAATAAAGGATACATTAATTTGTAATCTACTTTGACAGCTACAAAGCAGAAATCTTTCCATATAAGTTATTCTTAGAACTTCTTTAGTACCGAGTATATTTAAGTCAATTGTATGAATTGACTTTCAAGACAGACTGAATTGGTGTAAAAAAAAGAATGTTAAATTCTATTTTAAGTAAAAGTTAACTAAATTAAGCCCTCCGTAAACTAAGGCTTACTCTACTTTTATTTATTTACTGGGAGACAAGGTCTCGCGCTGTTGCCCAGGCTGGAATGCAGTGGTGTGATCATAACACTGCAGCCTCGGCCGAGCATGGTGGCTCACACCTGTAATGCAAACACTCTGGGAGGCCGAGGTGGGTGGATCACCTGAGGTCACGAGTTTGAGACCAGCCTGGCCAACATGGTGAAACCCTGTTTCTACTAAAAATAACAAAAGTTAGCCGGGCATGGTGGTGCACCTCTGTAATTCCAGCTACTCGGGAGGCTGAGGTGGGAGAATTGCTTGAACCCAGGAGTTGGATGCTGCAGTGAGCCGAGATGGTGCCATTGCACTCCAGCCTGGGTGACAGAGCAAGATCCTGTCTCAAAACAAAAACAAAACAAAACACTGCAGCCTCTAATTCCTGGGCTCAATCCATCCCCCTTCTTCAGCCTTCGGAGTTGCTGGGACTACAGGTGCTGCCACCACTCTCAGCTAATTGTTCAATTTTTTGTAGTGACAGGGTCTTTCTATGTCGCCCAGACTGGTCCTGGTTTCAAGCCATCCTCCCGTTTTGGCCTCCCAAAGTGTTAGGATTATAGGTGTGAGCCACTGCACCCAGCCTACTGTACTTTTAGATGACAGATGTGTGTCATGAGAAAACAAAGTGCTAACCAAATTTTTATTTTTATTTATTTATTATTTTTTGAGATGGAGTCTTGCTCTGTCACCCAGGCTGGAGTGTAGTGGCATGATCTCAGCTCACTGCAATCTCTGCCTCCCAGGTTCAAGTGATTCTCCTGCCTCAGCCTCCCCAGTAGCTGGGACTACAGGCGCCCACCACTACGCCCGGCTAACTGTTGTATTTTTAGTACAGACAGGGTTTCACCATATTGGCCAGGCTGGTCTTGAACTCCTAACCTTGTGATCCGTCCACCTCGGACTCCCAAAGTGCTGGGATTACAGGAGTGAGCCACCGCACCTGGCCGTAACCAAAATTTTATTTAGTGAAACAATTTTCATTCTACGGCCTTTAGTGAAACAATTTTCGTTCTATGGCCTTTAGTCTATAGAGAGATTTAGAAAATGCTCTACAATTTCCACAGTAAAATGCAATTAGAGTTAATTTTAAGGTGTGGGAAGATTGCTAAAAGTTATTTATTGGGTTGGGTGAGGTGGTTTATGCCTGAAATCCCAGCACTCTGGGAGGCCGAGGCAGGTGAAACACCTGAGGTCAGGAGTTTGAGACCAGCCTAGCCAACATGGTGAAACCCATCTCTACAACAAACAAATTAGCCAGGCGTGGTGGTATGCCCCTGTAATCCCAGCTACTCAAGGTGGCTGAGGCAGAAGAACTGCTTGAACCCAGGAGGCAGAGGTTGAGGTGAGCTGAGATCACATCACTGCACTCCAGGATGGGCAACAGAGCAAGACTGTCTCAAAAACAAACAAAACAAAATTAAAAAGACGTAGTCAATCTTTCTGCTTTTTTTTTCTTTTTAGTAATGTAGCTATCTCTAGGTTGAGTAATGTCTTAAAATTGTCTAATCCAACTTTCTAATGATTGTATCCCCTCTAAAATAAGATATTCTTTAGAGTACCTAGTTTAAGGAAATGGGTTTTAACCTAGGGTCCATGGCTAGGAGGTAATGGATAAACTTTAAGAGATCATTACCCTTTGAACATATATTCAGAACTTGATGTGCTTGCATTTGTGATTTTGTTTTTTTTTTCCCTCTCTTTTCTTTTTTGAGACAGGGTCTCGCTCTGTCGTCTAGGCTGGAGTGCAGTGGCGCGATCTCGGCTCACTGCAACCTCTGCCTCCCGGGTTCAAGCGATTCTCCTGCCTCAGCCTCCAGAGTACCTGGGATTGTAGGCGCCCGCCACCACACCTGGCTAATTTTTGTATTTTCGGTACAGATGGAGTTTCTCCATGTTGGCCAGGCTGGTCTCAAGCTCCTGACCTCAAGTGATCCACCCGCCTCAGCCTCCCAAAGTGCTGGGATTACAGGTGTGAACCACCGCCCCCGGCCTTGTGTGTATTTTTTCTAAGGAAAGTTAAGTGGTTCCATCAGATTCTAAAAGGTGTTCCTGGCTGGGCATGGTGGCTGATGCCTGTAATCTCAACATTTTGGGAGGCCGAAGTGGGCGGATCACCTGAGGTCAGGAGTTCAAGACCAGCCTGGCCAACATGGAGAAACCCCATCTCTACTAAAGATACAAAAATTAGCCAAGTTTGGTGGTGGGCGCCTACAATCCCAAGTACTCTGGAGGCTGAGGCAGGAGAATCGCTTGAACCCGGGAGGCAGAGGCAGCAGTGAGCTGAGAGCGTGCCACTGCACTCCAGCCTGGGCGACAAGAGCAAGACTCTGTCTCAAAAAGGAAAAAAAAAAAAGATACATTCCTAAACAAAAGCTTTAAAATGAGACATTAAAGAAAACTAAGGGCCGGTCTGAGTGCAGTGGTGTTTACAACTAATTGATCACAACCAGTTATAGATTTCTTCGTTCCTTCTCCACTCCCACTGCTTCACTTGATTAGCCAGGAAGGAAGGAAGGCAGGGAGAGAAGGAGGGAGGGAGGGAGCCGGGGAGGGAGGGAAGTAGGGGAAGGAGGAGGAGGAGGAGGAGGAGGAGGAAGAAGAAAGCTAAGAGCAGCTTGGGTACTTTTCCACACTTTTAAGAATAACATGAATGGCATTTATAGGCTGCCTCTCAAGGGGCAGGCAAGGACCCACAGTATACATCC
This sequence comes from Homo sapiens, assembly GCF_000001405.40. Classification (NCBI taxonomy): domain Eukaryota; kingdom Metazoa; phylum Chordata; class Mammalia; order Primates; family Hominidae; genus Homo; species Homo sapiens. Next base: position 23,491,591 of record NC_000007.14, on the reverse strand, counting down.
ATCTCTATCCTCCACAAGACTCCCTTTGGGGTATAAATATGTGTTGAATAAATAAGTAAGTAAACATTATTTCACCCAGTGTTTTTTGATGACACTTATCAGAGAGAGAGACTTGTAGGCTTGAAACAAATCCAGTTCGAATCATACCCAGTACATTCATGTCTTTTTTTTTTTTTTTTTTGACAGTAATAGGCTTTAATTCACTTTATTTTTCTTGCATAAAAACCCTATGTTGTAGTCACAGCTGGAGCCTGGGTCCTCTGCACGGAGACTCTGGTGTGGGTCTTGGCGAGGTGGTCAGTGAATTCCTGATAGGGAGACTTGGTGAATACAGTCTCCTTCCAGAAGTCCTTCAGGGGATCAGGTAGCTGTAGATGTTAGAGACAGCATCCAAGGTGGCGTTGGCGAAGTTGCCCAGGGTGGCAGTGCAGCCCCTGGCTGAGGTGTAGCAGTCGTAGATACCAGCTATCATGAGCAGCTTCTTGGGCACAGGAGCTGAGACGATGCCAGTGCCCCTGGGCGCGGGGATGAAGGGCACCAGCACAGAGCCGCAGCGGCCTGTCACCTTGCAAGGGACGGTGTGGAGCTTGCCGATCTTGTTCCCCCAGTAGCCTCTGCGCACGGTGACAATGGAGAGCTTGGTCAGGATGATGGCCCCGCGGATGGCGGCGGCCACCTCCTTGGAGCACTTCAACCCGACCAGCGTAGCCATTGTAGTCCCTGATGGCAACAAACGCCTTGAACCTGGTGCGCTGGCCGGCGCGGGTCTCCTTCCGCACAGGCATAATCTTCAAAACCTCGTCCTTGAGAGAGGCCCCCAGGAAAAAGTCAATGATCTCAGATTCCTTGATGGGCAGCGAGAAGAGATAAATCTCCTCTAGGGACTTGATCTTCATGTCCTTGGCCAGGCCGTCCAGCTTGGTGACGGGCATCCGCTCCTTATCCTGGGCCTTGCCTCCGCGAACTCCGCGGTCTTGGCCCCGGCCCCATCCACGGCCGCGACCCCGGCCCCGGCCCCATCCACGGCCGTGACCCCGGACCCGGATGCCACTGCTGAAACCCTCAGCGGAAGTCACATCAGTTCCCCTTCCCAGGGCCCCCGGGGCCTCCGGCGCCCACACCACCCGCCCGCCCGCCCGCGCCCGCCCGCCCCCGCCCTCTGCACTGGCGTCATCCGCCATTTGGTGTTTTCTCGGAGAAGCAGCACATTCGTGTCTTTACAGAAAAATATATCTGCTATAGTCACAACTTTTACAATCTAGGGATTATATAAATCTTTTGTTGTTGTTGTTAGCTAATTAGCTAACAACACAATGAAACCTTATGACATTCACTACATTTTGAATAGTGTTAACTATTTCATGTAACCCATCATGAAATAAATGTAAGAATGAAAGATCCCAGCCTGATGTGGTGTTGTGTCTCTGTAATCCCAGCTACACAGGAGGCTGAAGTGGAAGGATTGCTTGAGCCCAGGAGTTTGAGGCCAGCCTGGGCAACACAGCCAGCCCCCATATAAAAACAAACAAACAAACAAAAGTATCCCATAATAACCAAAACATATATTTTTATAGCTCTTTTAAAATAGAAGGTGAAATAAGTTTACCGTAACTTCCTAGAATTTCATTTAATAATTAAATGAGATCACGCCTGTAATCCCGGCACTTTGGGAGGCCAAGGCGGGCGGATCATGAGGTCGGGAGATTGAGACCAACCTGGCTAACGCAGTGAAACCCCATCTGTACTAAAAATACAAAAAAATTAGCAGAGCGTAGTAGCGGGCGCCTGTAGTCCCAGCTACTGGGCAGGCTGAGGCAGGAGAATGGCCTGAACCCAGGAGGCAGAGCTTGCAGTGAGCTGAGATCGCGCCACTGCACTCCAGCCTGGGCAACACAGTGAGACTCCGTCTCCAAAAAAAAAAAAAAAAAAAAAAAAAAAAAAAGGGAGTTTCGTTCTTGTTGCCCGGCCTGGAGTGCAATGGCGTGATCTCAGCTCACTGCAACCTCCGCCTCCTGGGTTCAAGTGATTCTCCTGCCTCAGCCTCCCGAGTAGCTGGGATTACAGGAACACACCACCATGCCCAGCTAATTTTGTATTTTTAGTAGAGAGGGGGTTTCTGCAATGTTGGTCAGACTGGCCTCGAACTCCTGACCTCAGGTGATCCACTCGCCTCGGCCTCCCAAAGTGCTGGGATTACAGGAGCCACGGCACCCAGCCGAACTCTACTTTTCAACCCGAGAATTACTGTTCAATCAGTTTAGATTACAGATTGTTCTTTTGCAGACCAATTTTGCCATTTCTTCTCTTCAAATAGGACATCGTAAAAACCTCATGTTAATAATATGTATATGTATAATAATATGCATAATGATATGCATATACGTATATTACATATAATACACATACATGCATATACGTATATTACATATAATACACATACATGCATATACATATATTACATATAATACACATACATGCATATACGTATATTACATATAATACACATACATGCATATACGTATATTACATATAATACACATACATGCATATACGTATATTACATATAATACACATACATGCATATACGTATATTACATATAATACACATACATGCATATACGTATATACCTATAATACGTATATACGTATACGTATATACGTATTATAGGTATATACGTATATACGTATTATAGGTATATAAGTGTGTATATATATATATTTTTGAGACGGAGTCTCACTCTGTCACCCAGGCTACAGTGCAATAGCATGATCTCAGCTCAATTTCCGCCTCCTGGGTTGAAGGGATTCTCTTGTCTCAGCCTCCCAAGTAGCTGGGATTGCAGGTTTGTGCCACCACACCCAGCTAATTTTTGTATTTTTAGTAGAGACAGAGTTTCACCGTGTTGGCCAGGCTGGTCTCGAACTACTGACCTCAGGTGATTTGCCTGCCTTAGTCTCTCACAGTGCTGGGATTATAGGCGTGAGGCACGGCGCCCAGCCTTAACTCAGTATATGTTGCCAAAAGTGAAAATAATCATCCATAGTAAGCCTCAAAATCTCCTTTAAATAAAGTTCTGCTATTATTATTATTATTATTTTTTTTTTTTTTTTTGAGACAGAGCTTCCATCTGTCACCCAGACCAGAGTGCAGTGGCACAATCTTGGCTCACTGCAACCTGCGACTCCTGAGTTCAAGGAATTCTCCCTGCCTCTGCCTCCCAAGTAGCTGAGATTACAGGCACCCACCACCACACCTGGCTAAGTTTTGTATTTTTAGTACAGACAGGGTTTTGCCATGTTGGCCAGGCTGGTCTCGAACTCCTGACCTCAGGTGTTCCACCCGCCTCGGCCTCCCAAAGTGCTGGGATTACAGGCGTGAGCCACTGTGCCAGGCCTCTATTATTTCTTAAAGGGTAGTCCATATATGAAGTAATAAAAGTTCATGATGCTGTTTCTGACATGGATGTACTGATACTGAATTATGACCAAGCTTTTCATCACTCTTAGATAACTGAAACCATAAAGCTTGAAGATATTTTAGTTCTGAAAAATTGGTCTATATTCTCAATCCCAAAGTAACTGGGTTTTTGTTGTTGCTGCTGTTGTTTCAAACGAGGTCACCACATGCCTTTTAAGGGGTGGGGTGGAGAATGTATTTGCACAAAAAAACTCCAACATTTGTATGCTCAACGATGTGTACTGACGACTTGCAGCATGGAAGGCTGAATGTTAGACAGTATCATACATTCATTCGACAAATATTTACTGAGTATTTACTATGGGCCAAGCACAATTTAAGGTATTGGGAAAGTGGCAGTGAACAACATAAACCAAAAAAACTCTGCCTTCATGTAGTTTACTTATATACAAAGATAAATTAGACCTTGCTAATCAGTTTAGACTCCAATGGAAGAGACAAGTGTGAAAATCTTTTTAAATGATAAATATTTTGCAATAAACAAAGTGCTATATCAAATTCACACTTAAAAATTCTGAAATCTAGGTCGGGTGCAGTGGCTTGTGCCTGTAATCCCAGCACTTTGGGAGGCCGAGGCGGGAAGATCATGAGGTCAGGAGATCGAGACCAGCCTGGCCAACATAGTGAAACCCCGTCTCTACTAAAAACACAAAAATAAGCCAGGCGTGGTGGCATGCGCCTGTAGTCCCAGCTACTTGGGACGCAGAGGCAGGAGAATCCCTTGAACCCAGGAGACGGAGGTTGCAGTGAGCCAAGATTGCTCCACTGCACTCCAGCCTGGGCAACAGAGCAAGACTCCATCTCAAAAAAAAAAAAAAAAAATTGAAATCAGAGGAGGAAATGATTTTTTCTTTTTCTTTTTTTTTTTTTTTGAGAGAGTCTCACTCTGTCGCCCAGGCTGGAGTGCAGTGGCACCGTGTCGGTTCATTGCAACCTCTGCGTTGCCAGGCTGGAGTACAGTGGCACAATCTCAGCTCACTGCAACCTCTGTCTCCTGGGTTCAAGCGATTCTCCTGCCTCATCCTCCCGATTAGCTGGGATTACAGGCGCCCACTACCATGTCGGGCTAATTTATTTATTTATTTATTCTTTGAGATGGAGTCTCGCTCTGTCGCCCAGGCTGGAGTGCAGTGGCGTGATCTTGGCTCACTGCCAGCTCCGCCTCCCGGGTTCACGCCATTCTCCTGCCTCAGCCTCCTGAGTAACTGGGACTACAGGCGCCCACCACCACGCCCGGCTAATTTTTTGTATTTTTAGTAGAGATGGGGTTTCACCGTGTTAGCCAGGCTTGCCTCGATCTCCTGACCTCGTGATCCGCCCTCCTCGGCCTCCCGAAGTGCTGAGATTATAGGCGTGAGCCACTGCGCCCGGCCACTCCTGGCTAATTTTTGTATTTTTTTTTCTTTTTTTCTTTTTTTTTTTTTTCAGTAGAGACAAAGTTTCACCACGTTGGCCAAGCTGGTCTCAAACTCCTCACCTCAAATGATCCACCCACCTTGGCCTCCCAAAGTGCTGAGATTAGAGGCGTGAGCCACTGCGCCCGGCCAGTAAGGGATTCCTTTACAGGGGATAGATACTTTGTTTTTTTTCTGCTTTCCCCACAAACTGTTACCTAGCTGTGTTATTTGAATAAATTTTTCTTTCCTTCTCTCTGTCTCTGATCCTGGTTATATGGACACAAAATATCCCTCCCTGCATTATTTTCCAGTGTCAAGCAATTATCCCTTTCTCTCTCGCATTTTATAGAACTTTCTAAACTGGTCCAATCATTTTATCGATATTCCCAGTCTTAGTCCTTTTTCTGAAAACTAAATTCCACAAATACCTGTTGAAAACTACATTCCACAAATACCTGTTGAAAACTACTCAGTGCTCTCCTGGGATGAAAAAGATAAAGGGTGGTAGAAGTAGTTTTAACTCTTTTTACAGCTGTGGAAACAAAGGCCCGGGAGGTGAAGAAAACTGACCCGGGGCCACAGCAACATCAGCTACGCACACACAAAACAGGCACCAGGGCAGCATCCACAGTTTAGGAAGGAAGACAAACCGATTGACAGGTAAATGAAGTTATTGAAAAGCAGCTTCTAATTCAAAGGCACAGCTAAGGACTGTGACCGTCTTACTTTTCAGTTCATGTATCTAGTTAGGGGTGAGAGCTTGGGCTTGCAATTCCCTCAGTGGTTCTTCAACTCCTTAGGAGATAGGAGTTGGGGGAGTCCCAAGTAATAGTTTGTGGGGAAAGCAGAAAAAAAATAAATAATAAGAAAAGAAAAAACTATCCCCTGTAGAGGAATCCCTTATTAATGCCAGCCATTAACACGAGCCGACATCCTGGACAAATATAAGAAATTTGTCTCAACAATCCAAGTAAAACAATACATTTTCTTTCGTTTTTTTTTTTTTTTTGAAACGGAGTCTTGCTCTTGTCGTCCAGGCTGGAGTGCAGTGGCACCATCTCAGCTCACTGCAATCCCTGCCTCCTGGGTTCAAGTGATTCTCCTGCCTCAGCCTCCTGGGTAGCTGGGATTACAGGCACCTGCCACGACGCCTGGCTAATTTTTGTACTGTTAGTAGAGACGGGGTTTCGCCAGTTGTTGCCAGGCTGGTCTTGAACTCCTGACCTCAGGTGATCCGCCCGCCTTAGCCTCCCAAAGTGCTGGGATTACAGGCGTGAGCCACCGTGCCCGGCCAACAATACGTTTTCATAAAAGATTTCCTTCTGCTAGAATCAGACGCTTGTGCTTCATGTGAACTTAGGTAAGAAATATTAAATAGTAATACACAGTCCCTCCACCCCCTGCTATTTATCTTTTTTTCCCCTTTTTAAAAATACATTTTTGAAATTTAAGGATGCCTGCTGCCTGTGAAGTCCCAGCCCCAGGAAGTCCTGATGACATGTGCCCTCTTTCCTTTTTTTTTTTTTCTTTTTGAGACAGGTTCTTGCTCTGTCCCCTAGGCTGGAGCACAGTGGCTCAATCTCAGCTCACTGCAGCCTCAAACTCCTGGGCTCACACGATCCTCCTACCTCAGCCTCCGGAGTAGCTGGGACTACAGATGCGCAGCACCATGCCCAGCTAATTTTTGTACTTTGGTAGAGATGGGGTTTCACCATGCTGGCCAGGCTGGTCTCCAACTCCTGAGCTCAAGTGATCCTCCTGTCTTGGCCTCTCAAAATGCTGGGACTACAGGAATGAGGCACCACGCCCAGCCTCCGATATTTCACTGAAGCAAAAATAAAATTCAACCCTGTCAATTGGTAATTTGGAGTAAACCAGAGCATAACATTTTTCAAGTTTGATATAAGGAAGAATTTACCTTACCACTAGGAGTGTGTGAGGTGACTGTTAAAGCAGATTTCTTGGCGAGGCACGGAGGCTCAGGACTGTAATTCCAGCACTTTGGGAGGCCAAGGCAGGAGGACTACCCGAGGCCAGGAGTTTGAGACCAGCCTGGGCAACATAGTGACATAGTGAGATCTTGTCTAAGAAAAAAAAAAAAAAAAGAAAGCAAGCAGATTCCTTGTCATCTAGCGATTCTGATATAGCTGGGCCTTGAATCAAGCTTTTGAGAGACAGGAGAGAGATCACAGGCTAAATAAATCATGGAATTTCTTCCCTAGCAGCATTTTAGTGAACTGATTTTACCTGTTTGCGACAGTTTAAATGAGATCCTGACTGAAGTTACTGAGGTGAAGCAGATGACTTTTTTCAAGGTCTCCTCCACCATAAAGACTTTCAACCTTATGCTTTCCATAACATGCAGAACCCCTGATAAGCATAAATGTAGGCGTTTTATTTAAAAAGGTAATGATTTTGTGTCTGGGCAAACCTCACCTTGGGTCTGTTTTCTTGTCACCAAAAATAGGAAAAACATACTATTCTTACTTCAACCTTGCGTTGTTCTATGATGTCCTTCGGTGATAAACACATCTTGGTCCTGCCACTGAACTAGCTGTGTGTCTGCCTGCATTGACCTTCCTTGGCCTCAATGGTAAAATGGGTATCTAGTAGATCCCTAATAATCTGTCTAGTCTTCAAATTATTATTATTATTATTATTATTATTATTATTTTGAGGCAGAATCTCACTCTGTCACCCAGGCTGGAGTGCAGTGGCCCGATCTCAGCTCACTGCAAGCTCCGCCTCCCGGGTTCACGCCATTCTCCTGCCTCAGCCTCCGGAGTAGCTGTGACCACAGGCGCCCACCACTATGCCCGGCTAATTTTTTATATTTTTAGTAGAGACGGGGTTTCACCTGTGTTAGCCAGGATGCTCTCGATTTCCTGACCTCGCAATCCGCCTGCCTCAGCCTCCCAAAGTGTTGGGATTACCGGTGTGAGCCACCGCGCCCTGCGCCTTCAAATTATAGAAACATCTTTATGAAACAAGTTCAATTGAAAGTCATGTAAAAGAGAAGGTACAATCCCCTAGTTATTAAACAGAAAACAAACAAACACCAAACTTCCTTATCCAAAGTATCTAAGAATTTGGAATATATATAAATAGGGCCAGGTGTGGTGACTCACACCTGTAATCCCAGCACTTTGGGAGGCTGAGGCAAGAGGATCGTTTGAGCCTAGGAGTTCAAGACCAGCCTGAGCAATATAATTATAGACACTGTATTAAAAAAAAAAAGTTAGCTGGGCATGGTGGTGCGTGCCTTGTAGTCCCAGCTACTCAGGAGGCTGAGGTGGGAGGATTGATTAAGTCAAGTAGTTCAAGGCTGCAGTGAGCTGTGTTCAAGTCACTGCATCCCAGCATGGGCTATGGAGGAAGGCTCTGTCTCAGAAACAAACAAAACGGGTAAATATTGTATCTTCCTACTGAGTCTTCTAGTACTAGGCTGTAACACACATTGCCTCAATCTCTCTTTTTATTAAATAAAAAGTGCTAAAAGCATACACTTCCAAAGATAAAATCTTAACTACCAAAATTATATTTTAGTGAAATTGTAACCTAATATTTACTATAATGGATGTACTATTTACTATAGTAGATGTAACTGGAAGATACCTTCCAGTTATGCGTTCTTTTCCAGTTACAAGTGCTTTAAACACTTTGACTTCCCTTTATGTCAGAGTCTGATTTCTTGACTACATGCACTCTAGACTGGCTTTTGAAAACAAGACTATATTTGCATATTTATATCGGTATGTCCATAGCAGGATTCAAAATCCAGAATCTATTACTTCATTTTACATTGCAGAATCACTTTGATAATGCCGAAGTGGCAATTTTCTTCAAAGGTATTGTTTTCAAAATGAATTTGTTTGAATACCCAACCTCTAATCAGCTACATACATATACAATCAAAATCTCCAATGTCCTTACATTACCTGTAAGATTTTTTTTAAAAAAAAATCAGCAAAACTTGTTTTATGAGCTTTTTGCAATGGTGTGATCTCGGCTCACTGCAACCTCCGCTTCCCAGGTTCAAGCAATTCTCCTGCCTCAGCCTCCTAAGTAGCTGGGACTACAGGTGCGTGCCACCACGCCCAGCTAATTTTTGTATTTTCAGTGGAGACAGAGTTCTTTTTTTTTTTTCTTTTTACCTAACAGCTTGCATATTTATTGAACAAATACTACTAAAATAGCTAAAATACATTGGGTACTTGTCATGAGTGCATCAGTAAAGATCACACTGTTACAAAAGCCTGCATTTTCAGCAGTACACAACTGCAACTCTACATAAATACCACGGATGCAGAATACTGTTTTCTTGCTCTATTTACACAGCTGATATACCTATTCTAACGAAGGAGGGAGAGGAGGAATGCACAAGAAACTCAGGCCAATGGGGGAGCAAGAAAACGAAGAAGTGCAGTGCATGCGTCATCAGTGTTTAACAGTCAGAAGCATAACAGTTCAGAACAAGGGCTGTCCTATCAAAAGAAGAGCTGAAAGACAGTTATATGAAAATTAAGGTGGGCGTTCAGACTGGCTAACACAACAACATTCCATGAGTAGATGGTATTTTATTTTTGTTTATCCATTTCGTTGGGAGCAAGGACAAAAATGTAAACCTATACCTTGCTTATCAAAATTGCCAAAAAAAGAATGCTCTGCCTTTTAAAAAAGTATTGTGATTTTGTAAAGACATTGTTTTCCAATGTAATATTTGGAAAAGGTGTCATTTCCATATTCCTACTCAGATGCCAGTGTTTTGGGTTTTTTTCAGGGGGAATTTATTTAAAAAGGTTTTGCTCTTTTTTTCCACAAATATCCTTTCAAACAGAAAGAACCCAAAGAGACACCTCAAAATGCCTGTAAAATTATTGCTTTTCTTTCTGTAAGTCAGGCAGGCGAGGCTATAGAAAGGAAGAGATTTGGTAAGTAAATTACAGTTTTGTGATTGCTCCCGCTACCGTGACTGCATGTCCGTGAGTGCCAGCCAATGAGACAATCGTCTCTCACACTTCGGTAGCATTCGCTCAACCTACAACACTGAGGAAGAAAGCCACACTGAAGACACAAGGAAAACAAGTCAATCCAGTCTAGAGAAAAACATTCAGCGAAACAGAGTACCAACACCTTCTTAGAACATGGAAATAAAAAATAACCCCATCAGAGCTACCTCGCCAAGGAGCATGATGAAAGTCCAAAATAGCACCATTCATCAGTGTCTCAGGTCCTGTGGCAGCATCTCGGTCACTTACCACAAGGAAACGAGTTTCAAACTATGTCTATACATCAAGAGTACATGGATAAAATATAGAGATATACAGACAATTGATAAACATAAACTACTAGGTTTGTTACATCTAAATGAAGAAAAAGGGGGGGACTCTCAGCCTCTGCAAGAAGCGGTCGGGAGCTGTGTGAGTGAAAAGGCAGGAGTGCACTGGTTGTGTGAACGCGGTGGGAATTTGAGTTGTGGAAGACATTGTTGTAGCGAACCAGGCCTGAAGGCCCACCTGTAAGGGTTGTAAACGTGGATTCACAGTGTGAAATTCTGAGCATTTTCACTTGGGTCAGAATGATTAAAAACTGGTTTGATGATACCTATTTGTCCACTGTAAATTCTCTAAAGCAAGGCTCAGAGTCCCATAGTTTCCTCTTATACTTAATGATTTACACAGAAAAAAATCCCATATATGGTACCATGACCTCATGAATACCCATACACCGTATGTAATACAAATGGAGGTGTTACGATTAAAAAAAGTGGAGGTAACTGATTCTTGGGGAGCGGAGTTCACTGCTGCCCAGTAGAGTCAGGGAGGCAGCGTTTGTCTCATCGTTCTTCTTGTAGTTCACTTCCTTTGGGACAGGAAGTCTTCCCTTAGGAAGCCTTCCCTCCATGTCCTTGTTTGGAAATGGTTCTTGACTGACCCAGAGAAAGAGTTCTGGGTAATAAACCATTTTGAGAATCTTAGTCTTGGCTTCTATTCTCCCTCTCTTCAGTCCAGGGAGACCAACAGACAAAAGCCCCGCTCCCTGTTCACTCTCCTCTCTACACCTGAAACACAAATGTGGTTGAAAAAGGGCAACATGCTAGAAAAACAGCTTGGGGGGGAGGGCGAGACGGGGTTTCAACATGTTGGCCAGGCTGGTCTCGAACTCCTGACCTCAGGCGATCTGACTGCCTCGGCCTCCCACAGTGCTGGGATTACAGGCGTGAGCCACTGCGCCTGGCTGTCAGTTAGCTTTTAATAGGTTATATTCCAAGCTTTCATGGAAAAGTTAGAAAAGGACCATGTTTTAATCCACAGATATCTGATTTTTATAAAACAACTTTAACAGTCTTCAGTTTAACTTTCTTTTTTTCTTTTTTGGAGATGGAGTCTCGCTCTGTTGCCCAGGCTGGAGTGCAGTGGCACCAACATGGCTCACTGCAACTTCTGCTTCCCAGGTTCAAGCAATTCTCCTGCCTCAGCCTCCCAAGTAGCTGGGACTACAGGTGCGTGCCACCACACCCAGCTGATTTTTATATTTTTAGTAGAGACGGGGTTTCACCATATTGGCCAGGCTGGTCTCGATCTCCTGACCTTGTGATCCGCCTGCCTCAGCCTCCCAAAGTGCTTGGATTACAGGCATGAGTCACTGCGCCCGGCTCAGTTTAACTTTCAAGTTTTTGAATTTACTCAAAAGAAACATGGGAAAAAACCTTTAAAAACAAAATAATTGTATTTTATATTATATAGTTACATTAAACAAAACCACAAATAGATTTTTATCATAATTAGTAATAACTGCATATTAACAATACTTTCAAGTTTTTACTTTGTTACAGGTTTTAAAGACTATAAGCTTGATCACTGGATTTGGTTGTAAGAAGATACTCTAAATTTTAGCTTAATCCAGAGTTCCATAAATCTGATGTTTTTATTTTTTTTGCTTATATATCCTCTCTGTGCTTCACTGTAATATATTTATTTCTATTAATTGCCACATCCAGAGAGTAACTCAGCTTATTACTATGTTAGCAGAACATTGCCATAGGTAAAGAAAGAAGATAAATGCATCACTTATTTTAACAAAGATAAACTTTTTTTTGTTTTTGTTTTGGTTTGTTTAAAAAGCAATGGGCATTCTTCATCCATTTAGAGGCTCAAAGTGTTAAAATGTTTGGTTATCCTAATACAATATGACTTCCCCTCACTTTGCAATGAAATAATTTAAGGATATTTAATAAACAAGGAAATAATTATTTTAAAGAATAACAGGAAGGGGCTATCATTTGACTGAAATAATATTCTTCATTTATAGCAACTTAAAACTTTGTTGGTAGTCATTCCTGAAGCAACATTACAGTTTAATCTCAGCTCTCCTAACCCCCAATAAAGACAGTAAATAACAGGACCCACACTTCACTTAAATCTGAGTTTTCTCTCCTTATTTAAGTTTCAAAAACCATTGTTGTTTTCACGACAAGAACAGACCAGTATCTATCTTTAGCTCTTTTTTTATAGAGACATTTTTTCAAATAACACTGCTTATTTTGATTAATGTATCTATTATGGATAATGTACACAAATAGAAGTGGTAGAACAATCCAACAGAAAGGATTTGTGATAACTTCATATTTTCGAGATAAATTTAACTTCAAAATATGTGACCCGTATTATTTCTACCAATTTTTAAACTGCTTACGTTCATGTTTTAATAATGTTGATGGATGTTTTATATGTATAATACTAACTACATATATTTTAAATAGAAAACGAGTTATAGAAAGACATAAAATGGAAAACACATTTATATGATGTAAGTTCTAATGGTGATATACTAGTAGCATCGTAATTTCAGTTCAATCTATACTGTTTTGTTAGTCTTATCTCCCCAGCTTTAAAGACATCATACTGAAGTATTCTGATGGTTAAGAAAACACTTTAAAAGTAGTGCTTGCCTTGCTTGTTTTAACCTGCAACCTCAGAATTTGAACACAAGTTCTATCTTGCTTTTCTCCTTCACTAATCTCTCTAAAGGGCTTCTCAGCAGAAATATGTGCATATATTCATATGTCCAAGTGCACACACTGAGTTCATTCCATATCCGACAAAACTGCCCTCAACTGGAAGATCTGTTGTTGTTGAGGGAACAGAGTAATGTTACCTTTCGCCCTATTGTCTATTTCATTGAATTAAAACATCTACTCGACTTTTTTTTTGCTTAATTAATATTTAAAACAAAATTCAATTTAATCTTTTTAAAAAAGTCACTATATTGACGAGATTAAAATAAAACTTGAATATATCACTATGGTTGCAGAAATAAGCACTTACAGTGTACTACACTACAACTTTTGATGCTTCAGTTTATTTTCTATTTGGCTTTTTACAGATATTTATTTAAATGAAAAGCAAAGATATTATTTGAATCTTGGTAGCAAAGAAATACAAAAGCAAAGAAATTACCATCAGATATATGGTAACAGAGTCAAGGGACAAAATTCTAGGCAATTTTGAACAAACGAAAACAAAACATGGTAATGTCATTCTGTACTTAATTGTCTAATAACAAAATGTTCACCAGATGACAGAAACAGTATCTATTTCTGTTATAACAAAAACTGATTTTTTTGGCTTTTATGAATTGTTACTTCGTTGGTATCTTTTTTATGAATTAGATTTCTAATAGCTGGATTAGATTTAGGCTACTTATAAAAAAGGGACCATGCAGTTATTTCAGCTTAATGGATGATTAAAACACAAAATATTTCATATTTATTTATATTAAGTTGTACACAATTTAAAAAGTCTTTATTCAAATCTTATAAGTAAGATTTAGTTACTTTTAAATTATTCTTCAAGTCTTGGAAAGTGCTAGGAAAAAGATTTTAAGTTACAAATAATATATGAGTAGTTTACCCTACAAATAAAAAAGTATTAAAAAACAGAAAAACTGCTTCAATGAATGACACAAGACCCCTCCCCCACCCACCAAAACAAAATCAATCAAGAATTGGAAATTATCAATCAGATCCAATTATTGGTATTAAATTAAACCTCAGTTCAAACAAAATTTTGCCTTTAAGAAGGCACTAGTATTGTCAACTTAGAAATAATTGATCATGAAATTTAAGTCAGTTGAGAAAAAGCAAGAAAAACTCTCTCTCTCTCTGTGTATTCTTAATCCCCAATGTGATAGTGCCAACAATCACATTGGGGATTAAGAATATACACAGATTAAGAATATACATGTGTTTATATTTAAACAATCCTCTATATATATAAAAAAAGAAGTCAATGTTTCAGTAGAAGTATGTTAGGCATGAATTTCAGGACAAATTTTTTATAGTGTAGATTGTGAGAAAGATGATTAAGTTTTGTTTTTCTCTACTTTATCTTATGCGCTCAGATTCTTTATGAACTTCAGCTGAGATTTTTGAACTAGAACCAAAAAACAAAAACCCCTTACTTAGCCTGCTGTTTCCCTCTTTAAAGCTAGGATCATCATGCTAGAGAGCAGCTTAGGACCAAAATGTAAACTAAAATAAAGAAGGAATGAATTTTAATCAGTCCAAATGGAAATGGTTATGATCTATTATCATCTTGCAAGTAAGGAATTGTAAAATTGATTCTGCCTTAGTACATCTAAAAATTAACTTTACATTTATAGATAGCATGAGGCATTCATCAATTTACCTTAAAGACTGCCTAGAAAGAGTTAATGTGTATGTAAATATATGTCATGAGATCTGCTGTTTTATTAAAGAATCTTTAATTCCTGAGATTTTTGGAATTAGTTTCTGGAATAGAAATGGTCAAGAAAACAAAGGGTCCAAATATGAACACAGCAACCTAGCATGTGTCTTTTAAATGTAGGTGTTAGAGAGTGCTGAAAACTAGCCATAACCTCAGCATGTGCTTTGTTTTCAGATTATTTTAGTGGGGAGAGTGGGTTCTTACTGTTCTTTCCAGTAGGATTTCATGCATGGATTACTTTCCCATTTTACACCATTAGTTAATACATTCTCTCTCTACCCTCTTCCTTCCACACTGAGCAAGGAAACCTGCAGGATAAATGAGTTGCAACCAAGAAACAAGATTAAATACCCTAATCTTTCCAGTTTCCCCAGACCCCTCCCCCTATTACCCCTATTAAACAAATGCCTACCCTCTGTTTTCTATGGCTGGTCTGCAAATACATATGTACACACTAATCACCAAAGAGTCTTTATTGAAGGTCTCATCCTTCCCACCCCCTCTCCAGAAGAATGAGTATTTTAAAGTTTTCACCTAAGTGAAGTAGTATTAATACAGGATATAATTCCAATAAAAGTACTCATGCTTATCTACTACTTTAACAACTATGCATGTTTACCAGATAAAAATTCCAATTCCTGACTTAGTAGTTGAAAATTTAAAAAATGAGTTTCTCTCAAACAGAACAGTTTTTTGTTTGTTTTTTTAAAATATTGATTGTATAAATCTTTGATTTTGAGAAAACATTAAAAAATATACCAGGTTTTAGAGTCTTGGCTTGTCTAAATGATTAATTTTGACTTTTTTTTTACAATCACAATTTTCTCTAATAAATTCCTCAATAGTTTTCTACTGTATCATTTCCAAAATATAAAAATAATTGAATATATAAATTGCAACCTAGAATCATTTCACAAATAATCATATCTTCACAATTTAAATTTCTTAGGTGATAAAGGATTATTTAAATTATTAACTCTATAATCTTTAGCATACTACAAATTCAGTCCTTAAGTTTTAATTAATTTACTCAACTCAAACCATTTCTAAGTTATTCTAATGTTTCTGATGAATAATTTTACATGACAAGTTCAAAAATACTATCAACCACATTAGTGAAATGTAGTTGAAATATACAAATGTAAATAAAATATGTTTAATGATTACTTCTACTTTAAAGTAGTTTTTCTTTACTAACCAATTCAGTTGTTAAAATTTGTTTTAAAATTTTGGTACATGGCAATTTATGTTACTTTAGTTTTTAGAGACTAACACAGAACTAATAATTTTTTCAAAAGCACTCAGAAGAAGATGTAACATCACAAGATGTAACATCACTAAGAGTAAACAACACAGAGAAAATCTTTGAACTCCCTGATTTAAACCAATTCTCTCAAAGTTTTAAATATTTACTGAATTATCATTTTACCGTTTTTAACCAAACAGAGTATTTTGTCAAGACAAAAAATGAACAATTATCTGCAAACAAATTAACTTATATTGTTAACTGGTACATTTCCTTTTCTCCAGATAATGAAAGGTTGGTAAAGTCTGTTATAAAATTAGATATACCAAACAAATTTATACTTCCTTCCTTTTTTGTCACGGCCAGAGTTCTGATCTGTATTTTTGATGAAACCAACAGCAATTTATTTATATAATTACAAACTCACCAAAGACACCAGTACCTAGAATACACCACTGTGGCTGTTTGCCTTCTCAGTTAATCAAATTAAATATTATTATTTCGTTTGTTTTGTGCTTTTCCAAGTCAAATTCATATTTATTTTTTCTCACCGTCTCCACCAAACGTCAGTGAAATTAGAACATTTCAGCTACAGAAATCGTTAATCCTTGAAGGTCGGTCTCAGCTTCATTGGTCTTAGGGCAGCTTCAACGAAAACGTGGTCTCAGCATAGTTGATTTTACCCGGAATTTTTCGTTTGCTTTTTTTGGAGGGGTTGTTTGATTTTGCTTAAAACAACCCTGTGGACCACAAAGGGGTTTAGGAAGGGAGCGGGCAGGGCGAGTCGATTTCTCTAGAAGCCCAGAAAAGTTCTGGTACCTGAGAACATGGTTGGTTGTAGTTGTTTTAAGTAAAAAAGGACGCATCAACTCTAAGATGTTGGAAATGGGCAGGGAAACGAAGATGTGACTCCAGCTGCTGAGCATGGCGCAAATCCAGAACCTCCGGGCGCTGGACGCTGGGGGAAGGGAAGGGACCGTGCGGGCACCATGCGGTCAGCCAAGGGGCGGGCTCCACCCACGGACGCAGAACTGCTTTCCACCCTTCCTCAGCGTTACCTCCCTCTTTCTTCCTTGGGGGTTGGGGCTGGGGGCGAGCTGTTAAAGGGCAGGAAAAACGAGAGCGAGCAGAGGGGAACACAGTCCCACCCCTCAACCTCAACAAAACCAACGAGGGAGCAAAGGGTTATTTTCGCGCCACAAAAGATGGAAATCCAGGGGCGGCTCCGGGGCCAATGAATGAAAACCAGCAAACCGCTCTGGCGGAGGCGGCCGACGGCGATAGGTTCCCCCCGTCAGCCAATCGGAAGCGAGGAGAGGCCCCCGCCCGCAGCAGGGGCGGTGTCTCTCTCGACGCCGGTTGCTCAACTTGGACTCGGCAAGCCGGCCCCGGGGAGCGCGGGAGCCCCGCCTTGGAGCCGCTTTTGCGCGCCAGTCTCGCGGCCCGCCCCGCAGACCCGCAGGGTTCGGCGAGGGATTCTCCCCCGTGGGTACCAAGCATCCCTGGGCCCTATGGAACCCCTCGTGCACACACGCAACTGAGACCAGAGGTGCGGGAGGGTCGCCAAACACACGCTGCCCGGTGCGTCCCCGCGCTGGCCGGCGGACTCAGGTGGGGTGGCGCGGCGACGGCCCGGCCACACGCTCCGCGCATACGGACGCAGCCCCAGGAGGAGCCAGAAGCCCGCGGTCCCGCGGCAGGGCCCCGGGGAAGGGCGGTCCAGTGGTCCAGGCCCTCCGAGGCGAGCCGGCGGCCGACGAAAGACCCTCCCCACTGTGAGCCGTGAGGATCCCGCCCTCTTTCTCGGGGCAGAGCCAGAGGAAAAAGGAAACAACCCCATCTTCTCTCCCGGGGCACCATTTTTATTTATTTTAAACAATAAAATAT
Source organism: Homo sapiens (assembly GCF_000001405.40). Classification (NCBI taxonomy): domain Eukaryota; kingdom Metazoa; phylum Chordata; class Mammalia; order Primates; family Hominidae; genus Homo; species Homo sapiens. Next base: position 23,473,834 of record NC_000007.14, on the reverse strand, counting down.
AGGCAGGCAGCTTCCAAGGAGGGCAGATCCAGGTTATCACTTATTAACGCCTCTAGTTTAAACAGATCAGAGTCCAGGAGGGCCGTTCAAAAGCGCAAGAGCCTGTTAAAGCACCTCCGAGGAGGCCCAGGCGACACGCCGGGCATTGTGTGCCCACCCGCGTGAGGGGTTTCGGCTTGAGACTCCAGGCTGGTCCCAAGCCGGGCGTGAGGAGGGGTGGCAGCCCCCCATCTGCCCACTCAGCCTTTGCCCCTGACGTGTGGGTACAGCAACGGTAACTGGCCTTCTAAACATAGCTATTCTTTAATATTACACTGACCCACAAGAAACATTTGTACAGTCCTCAGTTCAGCAGATAAGGAGGAGATGCAGCTGTCCAAAGAGTAAACAGACTGCAATTGGAAAGACTCAGCCGCATCCCAGAGCACATAAAATGGTGGGAGTTCTTTCTTCGTGGAGTTCACATTAATTAGGAGCTACAACTGCTTCAGGAAGAAGCTGAAGTAGCCTATAACCAGTTGATTTGTGTGAGAGTCATTAAAAAAAAAAAACTGGAACTTAAATTGATTTTATATTCATTCTTGAAAATTCACCAAAGGTATCTTTGTACTTGAAGTGCTAGTGCAAGACAACTACCTAAGATCTTTTGACTCAACCCTTAAATGCTTGGAAGACTGGAAGTGGAGTGGACTGTATCCACCTCTCTCTTTGATGTCTGAGCTTGTATTACTCATGTATGTTTTTAAGGTCCTAGATGGACTATCCAGTTTGTTACAATAATACACAGATTAGGTTAACAGGAGTCCCAGGAACATATTTCATCAAAACACACACTTGTTTTAAATTCCAGCTGTTAGATTTGTTTGATAGTGCCAGACAAGCATGGACTAGTATTTATGGAAAATAAACAATTTATTCCATGCTTTAGAAGTAGATATTTCCTTAGGTCTCAGTTTTAATAAGAGCAAATACAGTCAACCCAGAAGCCATAGTTGAATTGATTTTGGAAGCAAGCTGAACACACACAATTTGTTTTTATGAAAAATTACTAAAAGTGTTAAATGATCAACAGGTTGTAAAATTTACAGTGGTATTGAGAAGTGCAAATATTACCAAATGAATGAATGTAGAACATTTCTCCAAATGGCTTTTGTTCTACAACAGGTACATTTAAAATAAATCCATAATTTTTGATATTTACATTTTGCATACCACAGAGGCCAAAAGAAAGAATACATTTCTTCTTTAGAACTAAAGTTATTTTTAAAAAAAGAAAAAAATGCTTTTAAAAAGTTCAACCTAACCATAAACTTAAAGAAAAATTTTACCAAAACGTTCTTTCAAGGCTGAGCTCTTAATTCAGTTACAAATACTGTAACAGAAAAACACGTCTGTCCCCCTATTTTATAAAGTAACAACATTTTATTAAATTAAACGTGAATGAAATTATTGTGAAAGTGTGTTTACGTTTAAAATGTTGGATTCGCTTGGCAGGAAAGAAAAACCTGTAAGAAAGAACAGTTGCATTTAAAATGGATGATCTGACACCTTCCGGTTCCTTAACACAAAATTACAAAGTAAGTTCCCTTTAAAAGACAAAATGTAAATACTCTTTATATCATGCAACAATTCCCATGTTTAAGTCTACCATTCATCTTTTAAATGAAAAATACACATTTTAAAATGCTAACAACGGTTTTGACAGAGAAGCAAGGCTGTATCAATTACCGAAGATGTTTCCAGTGTAAATCATAATATTTCCTCTATTCAGGATACCTTTTTTCTACCAGTAAGAGTACCAAGTCATTAAAGATTCTTGTCTATATTTTCATGTTATATAGAATTTCTTTCACTTAAAAAATTAGAATTTTCTATCTTTTCAATAGAATACCTGTTAAAAATATACCTGTTAAAAACACACAAGTATCTGGTGCAAATGAAACCTTTGAGTGGAGTACACAATCTTTAAACGACAGTTGGAGATTCCACTAGAACCCCAGCACTGCCTTCGTTTCCGTATTGCTCGTCTCCAGTTCACATTTTGTTGGCCCACAAGGCTCCACCGGGCCCAAATCCTCCCCCGACAACCACCATTGTACTCATTACATATAGAGAAAATTATGTATGGCTCTCATGGCCAAATCCAGGCAGAAAAGAGGCAGAAAGAGACTCGAACAATTTTTCAAATGCGAATACCACCTAGGGGTAATGCACGACGGTCTTCCAGTTTTAAGTCTCAAGTTCTCCAACTAAAATTACTTAAATAAAAGTACCAGCCTACTCCACTCCTCCCCCTTTAAAAACTACAGGAAGAGAGGGTTTCCCTTTACCGACTTTTCCCACTTTGACTTCTCTCCTCCAGCGGCCCAGGCCCCCGACGACCCCAGCCCCTAGCCAGAAACCTCCGCCCCTGCACTCCCCTCCCCCACCAGTGGCCAAGCCCGCCCCCGGCCTCATTTATCCTGGAGCCTTTTCTGAATCGCGCAACCAATGGCAAACGCGAAGCCGAGAGCCACCGCGAGCGCAGGCGGAGGCGGAGGAGGTGTCGCCCAGACACCCGCCCAGGACGCTGCGGGATCCCATCCCCCACCACTCCGGGGCCGGGCCGCCCCCACTCGCGCGGTGCCCAGGGCCCGAGAAGGGCGCACGGGGTGGGGCGCGTCGCCCGCCTGTCTTGCCCCCACCCCCTGCCCCCCTCACCCACTCCCCCACCCCTCCTCGCAGCATTTCCGTCCATGCCAGCCTTAGAAACGTGCCTGCGGCTTTGCTGGGGTTACACTTCTAATGCCATTAAAGCCACCAGGCGAGTTCGGGATTGTGACTCTGGTTTTGTTGTTAATAACCTATTTTGAAAAATCGAATGATTAAAACTACGGTAACTAGCGCTGAGGAACTGCCTGTTAGTACCTCTGCCCATTTCCTCATTAAAAAAAAAAAAATCAATATTCCAGCCCTCCCTCCCAGGATCCGCCCAGACCAGATAACCCTTTACAAACTCGAGTTGTGACCGTCAGCGCCCCGCTTGGTGCCGGCTGCGGTTCCTTTAGCATTTTCCTTCTTCCTCCTCCCCCTTCTCAGAGTCCCTCTCCCAATCTCGTTTCCCCTCCCCCTCTTCCTCTCGCTCGCTTTTTTCTCCGAAACCCACTCTAATTGAGGCTCTGGGATTCCTCACGTGAGACGTTGATTTGTAGTTTGAACACGTGGCTCATTCAAAAAGCCGGACACTCGGAGCGGATTTTTTCCGCCTCCTGCGCCTTCCTCCCTCCTCCTCCTCCTCCTCTCCCCTCCCTCCTGCCAGTCACCCTTCTGGGTTTTTTATGGGGAGGCGGCGCCTGCCTCACGTAGTGTGATATTTTCACAGTCCGCTGGCCGAAGCCAAAGGGGTTGGGAAGGAAGAGACAAAAAGTAGTTTTTTCCCCTCCTCCTCCTCCTTTCTCTTGCTAATCCCGCCTCCTCCTAAGACTTAGGAAGACTGGTGGATGCGTTTGGGTTGTAGCTAGGCTTTTTCTTTTCTTTCTCTTTTAAAACACATCTAGACAAGGAAAAAACAAGCCTCGGATCTGATTTTTCACTCCTCGTTCTTGTGCTTGGTTCTTACTGTGTTTGTGTATTTTAAAGGCGAGAAGACGAGGGGAACAAAACCAGCTGGATCCATCCATCACCGTGGGTGGTTTTAATTTTTCGTTTTTTCTCGTTATTTTTTTTTAAACAACCACTCTTCACAATGAACAAACTGTATATCGGAAACCTCAGCGAGAACGCCGCCCCCTCGGACCTAGAAAGTATCTTCAAGGACGCCAAGATCCCGGTGTCGGGACCCTTCCTGGTGAAGACTGGCTACGCGTTCGTGGACTGCCCGGACGAGAGCTGGGCCCTCAAGGCCATCGAGGCGCTTTCAGGTGGGCCCGGGCCTGGCCCCACCCGGGCTCTCGCCCCAGCCCTGCACCGCCCGCCCAGGCCCACCGGGTGGCTCCGCGGGCCCCAGGCCCGGCGCGCTGGGGGAGCGGGGGTGAGGCCTGAGCGCCCACACCCACGCGCGTGGGGGCCGGGGCTCTCCTCAGCTCCGGCTCCCACTCCGGCCCGCGGCTCTGCTTCCCCGGCCGGGGTTTGCTGGGTGAGGGCGAACGCGCTGTCAAGAAAGCCCCGGCGCTGGCTAAGGGGGGCGCGGGGCTGGGGGAGGCGCGCTCCCCCGGCGCCCCGCCCGGGCCCAGGCGCGTGCTCCAGGCCCCGGCACGCTGGGCCTCGGGGGCCGAGCTAGAATGCCCGCCTGTGCCTCGTTCCTTCCTGCTTTCCTCGGTCGTTATTTACGGCGCTGTCTGTGCTGCGCCCCGAAACCCCCGGCCGTGGAGAACGGAAAGTGGCCTCGACCGTGCTGCCGAGTGAGACCGCGAGGCTGGTGCCTCGCACAGGCGGCCCCGCGCTTCCTCCCCACCCTGTGGGAGGAGAGAGTGTGTGCCCGGTTTCCCCGTTCCACCTCCCCTGGTCCGACGAGCGATAGGGGCAGGTGGGCGGGGGCGGCTGGTCGCCTGGAAGGGAGTCGCCGCCACGCACCGGCCGCCCGCCGCTCTCCGGGCCCTGGCGCGGGGCTGCGGCCTCCGGGTATGGCTCCGCCAGGGCGAGGGACGGTGCCGGGCGGAGCAGGACGCCCAGGGGGAAGGCTGCGTTGGGGTCCCCATGGGAGCCCCGTGCCTTTCGGCTTCCCTTTTAATCAATTCAGACGTGGTGCGGGCGCCTCGCCGTCCTTCGCGCCTGGTTCAGCCTGTGCCGAGCTGCGCCTCTGCCAGTTCTCCCGTTCGTGGTCTCCCCTGCCGTCCCCGACCCTTTCTCGCCACTCCCTGTCTTCCTCAAGCCCACCGCTGAGTGTTCCCGGCGGGTCTGGGCTGAAGCAGAGGGCAGGGCCAGGGCGCCCCCTCCTGAAGAAAGCCAGGGGAGCCCCCTGCCCCGAGTCTGCCCTGTGGAGCGTGTCCAGGGCGGTGAGAGGGTGGGCCGCGTCCCTCTTGCGGGCCTCGTGGTGTTGGTGGCCCCCAGGGGTGGGTGGGGGAGGCTTGGAGACTGGACTGATACCCAAGTAGTGGGCCCGCCAGCGGACCCTGCTCCCCAACCATCTGCGAGTTAAATGCCCACGCCGCTCGAGGGGGTCGGCTTCTCCCTCCGCCTGGAGCCGCGTCCGGGCCTCGGGGGCCCTTCGAGGGCCTCAGGAGGCCATTTGTGTCGCCGCTTGGGCTGTGCGGGTCTTCGGGCAGGGAGAGCCGCTGAACTCGGCCGACCGTCTCACTTCTTGTGTGTCCGCAGGTAAAATAGAACTGCACGGGAAACCCATAGAAGTTGAGCACTCGGTCCCAAAAAGGCAAAGGTGAGCTGCTGCTTCTGTTTGCCCCGATTCTGTTCTCACTCCGTTATTGGGTGGAGAGACTCAGCTGAGAACTTCTTGTCCTCTGGTGCTTACCCCCTGCCGTGTGGCGTGGTGTTCCGGTCTTTAATCCTTGCTTTTAAGTTTATGGCGGGGGTGTGTGTGTTGATGATGCTGGGCAGGAATTGAAAGCTTTTCTGTGGCCTCTGCCGCGGGATTATGGTTATTGGTTACAAAATCTCTCGAAAGCTCACAGCTGAATGTCCTCGGTCCGAGCGGGTCAAATTGCTCCTACGGGAAATGGGTCCCAACAAGCAGTTTGGGGGGTTTGCAGGGCTTGGGAAGCAGCGGATGATTCCCCCACCCCTCCAGGAGCAGGAGAGGCGAAAGCAGCTGCGGACACGCGGGGGTCCCTCCTTTCCTTCTCTGTCCGGGGTTGGGAGGCCGTGGGCGCGGCCGAGTGGAGAGGAATTTGCCTCTGCCCTGTGAGCTCGCCAGGGGTATTGGAACGCGTGCGTAAACGCTGGGGCCTCTCTGGCCCAGAAGTGCCTTTGAGTCACTCCGAAGTTCTACAGGTTCCTGCAGTCAGCACCTTTGTCTCCCCGCTTTCCACCCCACTCCTCCTGGGTACATTTTTGCTTACAACCACCAAAAGATGAAGACAGGAAGATTCGTACTACTTAAGGACGGGGATTTCTCGTCTCCGAGATCATGTGTGTAGTATGTCGCTTTACAGAATGTTTATAGACTGTTTTAGCCTCTGAAGCATTTTGGAGACATGGCTCTTTCCCTTTTTCTTTTTCTTATGAAGCCTTATGGAGCAGTGGAGACTCCTTTCCTTTCGCTAGAGCAGGCCGGATTCCGGCTCTATTTTTTTGTTTTGTTTTGTTTTTTAAAACCTTCAGCCAACTCACACCATAGATTCCGGCTCTAACTGCAATTGGAAAGGCACTGCTCCCTCCCAGTCGCACCGGGGTGGGCCTCTAAGCCTTTCTGGATTTTGCATGGTGGGGTTAGGGTTTCTGCCTGCCCCTCTCCCATCCCCCCAACTCCCAACCTGAGCCAAATAATAAGCTGAAAGTTAATTTAAATCAGGGCTGCGTGTATCTGGTTAGATATTGGTGAGAGAGTGTGTGCTGGAGAGCAGGAGGGTTTGCTATGCATTTCTCTGGTGCTGTGCAGAAATAGATGGCTACAAAACATCTCATCTGTATGCCTGTGTAGATTTCAGCTCTCTTCCCAGGCAAAGCATTTTCACAAATCTTGTTTTTAAGGATGAGTTGGTTTGGATTTTTCTTGTTCTCATACTTAAATTTCATTAAGATAATTGAAAGGGATTTGAGTGACCTGATAGATTTAGTTCTAGTTGGGAATTTTGGTAGGGGTCACATGATTTTCATATAAATTGAGCTTGGTTTAACAAGAATTGAAAATCGAGGGAGAAGTCATATTCCCGTAAAAAGAAGCTTAAAGCCATAGCCTGAATTGGTTAGGAAAAAAACATAAGCCCATTTTACAAATTCTAATTGTTATTATGTTTGGTCAGTATGTCTTAATTTTGTTAAAATGTTGAATAAATAAGCAAATGGTTGTGCCTCAAGGACTGGCATTTTAACATTTGAGAGAGTTTCTAAATTTAAAAATGAAATGTTTTGGATTTTTACAATTCATCGAGCTACATGTAAATACAGATTACTGTGCCTTCCCCTGCTGCTTTTCTTTTGCTAACCGATGGGAATTTCTCCCCAGGTGTAGGGGATTAATTTAAAAACATTACCTGTTAACAACTGCCTGTTTTATTCTTAAAGGCTTTTGCTTAGTCCAAAAGCATATATATACTTAGTTACTTGTTACTTTATAATAAACAGGAGTTCCTCTTTAGGAAAGCACATAAGGTAAGATGTCACCAGTGACAGCAAGTATTTATCAATGTATCTTCAGTTTATTAACAATGTAGATTTAAATTTTCAAGTTCATTTTTCAAGTTCATTTTTAACAATGTAAATTGAATTTTCAAGTTCATTAAAATGCTCAGGATTTTAAATGATACAGTACTATCTTACTAACAAAGTAAACAGGGATGAGAACATTGGAGGTTGTTTTTACTGATAGAACAATCATGTTCCTTGCTTGTGTTGAAATGTCTTAAAAGTAGAGCCTTTGGCTGGGCGCAGTGGCTCACGCCTGTAATCCCAGCACTTTGGGAGGCCAAGGTGGGTGGATCGCCTGAGGTCAGGAGTTCGAGACCAGCCTGGTCAACATGGTGAAACCCCATCTCTACTAAAAATACAAAAATTAGCTGGGCATGGTAGCAGGTGCCTGTAATCCCACCCAGCTACTCGGGAGGCTGAGGCAGGAGAATTGCTTGAACTGGGGAGCTGGAGGTTGCAGTGAGCCATCGTGCCACTTCACTCCAGCCTGAACAAGAGCGTGAAACTCTACCTCAAAAAAAAAAAAAAACCTTTTTTCTCTGCCTCTGGAAATCTATATTACAGTTATTTTAACTGACCCTTGGAGCTGTGATGCAGTTTCCTATATCTGGACTGTTCCACCATTTTCATAGGCTCTGGAAGCGGGCAGAGAAGGCATCAGGGTGACCACATGCCCAGCACCTAAGGGAAGGTCAAGAGGTTGTACTGACTGATGGGGGTTGCTCTGATAGTTGAATGCCACAAACCAATCCTTGCCAAGCCTGCTGGACTTTAGGGTGGAGTTCTTTCTGCTTAGCAGTCATTTCATTCCATCCCATCATCATGTGGGCATCTGAGGCAGGCACACCCACATGTGCAGCAGTGACCTTTGTACTTGATATACAAGGCATGTCAGGAACCTGGTGCTGGAGAATGCACGCTGAGATGGATGAATGGGCTTGCACTGACTAAACAGGGGAGCAGGCCCAGGAGGTGATTGGAGGCTTGGCAGGCTGGCCTGGCTTTGACTTCCAGTGGAGCTTGGGGGGGGACCCTTTCAGGAAGTAGTAAGGTTGAATTTGGTTCAGACCAAGCTTAGCTCCCAATTACTGAGGTCTCAAGGGAATGTGGAAGGAATGTGGCTTTTCTGCATTCAGATACCCCTCAGTTGGGGAAGATTATAGCAGTTACTTTACAGACATTGAAGTCTCCTGCAGCTGGACTAAAGAGAAGATTGCATTGGATATCTGTGATAGTGTTGCACTCTCTATTCTAAATATAAAAGATACAGAACATGAAGACTTTGACTCCGAAGTATAGGCTCAACTTTTTTCCCTCCACCTTGGAAGTAAGGGTAGGTGTGGAAAATAGTTGGTACTTGGAAATGTTGTAGCTGTGTTTGGTTGGAAGAGCTGCTGGTATCCTGTGGGGCCTTGTTTGTGCCCCTATGTGATTATGTAAATAGCACTGATGTCCTTTTTTGTTATGTTGTGGGCTGTTGGGCATGGGAGAGGGAAGAGGAAAATTGCTGACACTGGGGAACTGAGAGGATGGTGGTTTTAGTTCAATTTCCATTACTTTTTAAAATTACGAAAATAATTTTTCATATGTTCAGTTTTTTAGAACCTAACCTTTTTGTTGTTGTTGCTGCCTCCTATGTGATGAAGAACCTAAGCATATTTTTATTAAACTTCCTCATGATTTAGCGGTTGGCATTGTTTAGGATTATGTGTAGGAAAAATACATTTGAAGAAAGGAGAAAAAAATAATAGGATATTATAGTTAATATTTTTCTAGGCAGGATCCTTTACCTTTTTCTTCCTTTCAGGGTAGGATTTTTTCTATTTTTATTTTTATTTTTATTTTTATTTTTATTTATTTATTTTTTTTTAAGATGGAGTCTCTCTCTGTTGCCCAGGCTGGAGTGCAGTGGCACGATCTCGGCTCACTGCAACCTCTGCCTCCCAGGTTCAAGCGATCCTTCTGCCTCAGCCCTCCTAGTAGCTGGGATTACAGGCATGCGCCACCATGCCTGGCTAATTTAGAGTAAGATCTTTTAAAACAGACTGTGGTGCCTAAGCTCAAACGTTGTTTTTTGTTTGTTTCCTTAAAAAAGAAAACAGTGATAGTTGCCCAACACTATGAATGTATTTAACACCATTGAATTGTACTCTTAAAAGTGATTAAGATGGTAAATTTTATGTGTATTTACCACAGTAAAAGTGGGGGAAAATGCAAAAAAGAAAGTGAAGAACTTATTTCCATATTAGTCTTGTGTTTAAAATGTAAATTGGATAGAACTTATAAAAGTCATCGGGGTTTTAAATGTAACTTACTTTAAGTGGCTATTTAAAAGCTAGTGTTGCATTTTAATAGGTGTTAAGGATAGAATAGGCTAGTGTCATGACCAGCAACGTGCCCATTAGCCAGGGCACATGATCCTTCAATGCTGCCTCCGACTTCAAAGTCTTAGGACAGCAAAAGCTGTTTTTAATGTAGAACGTTTAAACACAGGTACGAATAGCAGTGGTACTCCTTCCTTATCAGTGTATGGCTTAGGTGAATCTTGCGATTCGGGAAAGTTTCTCACACATGCAGAGACTTGAGGTTCTGAATGTTAGGAAACTTTCTTGGCTGGTTAAATAATTATAAACTAGGTTATCTTTCAAGTGCTCAGTTTAAGATCAGCGTGGGATTGCCTAAGTGGTTGTAGCTAAAAAGATTTTTTTTCCTAATTTCATATTTTCTCAAAACAAATTCAGAGATCTTGAAAGATTTCTTACTTTGGTTTTAATAAGAGTTTAAAAAAATTAGATGCATGTTGATAAGTGGCTTCTACTGTATGGCTGTCCACAGTAACTCTGAGGAAGATGTTACGGAAACATGACATGTGCCAGGAGCCAGTGGAAATCGAGAATCTTGGCTTCTGTTTCTGGCTTTCCTTTTGATTTGTGTGATCAGTTACATTCTCTTTTCAGGCCAGATGCCATTATGATAAACTACAAGGGGTATATAGTATTTTGTTCTGAGGTTTTGCCATTGTGCTCAAAATAAATAGGTTATCAGCTAAGGCTTAAAAATATCTTTTGGAATTACAGAGATCTGGGGTTTTTCCTGTAAGGAGCTTGACTTAAATTTTTTTTCTGTAGCTCTGTTGTTTTTGCCTGTGTACCTCTTTCATGCAGTTAGCAAGGGGGAAATGATCTTTGCCACGCTTTGAAACTATTATGAGCGACACAAGTTTAGTTAATGTGTGGTTATAGGATTGGGATTTTGTATTAAAGTGAAGCTGTCAAACTACCTTCATGTATTTGAAGTGACTCCATTATAATTGTTTTTAGCAGCAGCATCCAGGCAGCAACTTTTCTAGCAATAACTAATTTTTGGAAGGTGTGAGTTATCCATTCAGTAACTCTGGTGGTTGGTTTGGTCTGGGAGGAAGGAGAGGCGGAAAGACGAGATGGTTAGCTGTGCTATTCTTAGCTGAGTTTCCTTTATCAACTGTTGCCTCTGATTCAAGCTTCCAGAGTCATAAGACAGGAGGTGGCAGTGTGGTAGCAATGACCAAGGGGTAGGATTGGTATTCTTAGTTAAGATCTCAGCCCCATAAATCTGATGTTACAAATTGGCTTGGATTGCCAGAATTTTGCTTGAAGGCTGATGGCAAGCATACATAGTTTTGAGTGTTCCATTAAAATTAAGGGTGTAATGTATCATGGTCTGAAATTGCTGTTTGGCAAGTATTCAGTATTGGTAAATAAACACAGTTCTAAATATTGACATATTCTGTGAATTTTGTTGCCCTGAAGGGGACTACTTTGTAGTACATAAACTATAGATATTTTAGAGAATTATCCTGAGACCATATAACTTGATTAGGAAATAGTTTAAAGTTATTGTAGAAATATCCTTGGGCCAGGCGAGGTGGCTCACACCTGTAATCCCAGCACTTTGGGAGGCCGAGGTGGGTGGATCACGAGGTCAGGAGATCGAGACCATCCTGGCTAACACGGTGAAACCCCGTCTCTACTAAAAATACAAAAAAATTAACCGGGCGTGGTGGCGGTCGCCTTTAGTCCCAGCTACGCGGTAGGCTGAGGCAGGAGAATGGCGTGAACCTGGGAGGCGGAGCTTACAGTGAGCTGAGATCGCGCTACTGCACTCCAGCCTGGGTGACAGAGCAAGACTCCGTCTCAAAAAAAAAAAAAAAGAAATATTCTTAGAGGAATCTATTGAACTATAAGCTGAAAGGAGCCTAAGTCTTTAGAATGTCTGGCATTATTGCATTATTATTAGTTGTTGAGGGAGCTGATTCTATTGTGGTTATGGTATATCAGTTATCTATTGCTGCATAAGCAAACCACCCCAAAACTTAGTGGCTCAGAGCAATTTATTCTTTCTCATTCTGTGTCTGTTAGGTGGTGGTTTCTGATCCACATGTGCCACTCAGGTCCATTACTAAACTGGGCTAAAAGGACCAGGGAATCTTTGCTGATGTAACTGGCCGTCCTTGTAACCTTTCTCCAAATGATACCTTATTGTTCAGAAGAAGCTGGAGTTTTTTTTTCCTGGCAGAGTTGACTGATCTTACCCTAAGTGAAAATGGAAGCTGCTAGTCTTCTTAAAGGCTGGGCTCAGAATTGGCACATTACTTCTGTCACATTCTATTGATTAAGGCAAGTCATCAGGCTAGCTCAGATTCAGGGGAGATATGGAAATAGACTCCATCTTTAGTTGGTAGAGTGGCATGCATGTACCGAGAGAGGAATTGATGGTGGCTATCTTTGTATGTCATCTTCCACAAATTGAAGGAAGGGTGGAGTAGTGGTTTCAAAATGCTTGCAACAGAAAATACCTGAAAATTGCATTTAGCACAGTTGTAATATTCCGGCAGGAGATGATATGTTACTAGCTTTGGAGGTAATGAGTAGTGGCTATTCTCTGTATAGCTGTAAGGAACAGCCAACAGGATTTGCTGATGGATTAGCTGAGGAGTATCAGAAAAGTGAAGAATTGCAAGATTTTTTGGCCAGAGCAACTGGGTGGAAGATGGTGCCATTTACCAAAATGGAGAATATTGGGAGAGGAGCAGATTCTTGGGTAGAAAATAGGAACTTTGGTTTTGATATGGTGTTTCTAATACTTACTAGAAATTTAAGTGAAGAAGGTTAGTAGGCAGATATATCAATTTGGAGCTCAGGGGGAGATGGGACATAGAAGTGACATTTGGAGACTTCATTAGCTTGTGGCATTTGAAACCATGGAATTGGACATGATCATCAAGGGACTGAGCCTATGGCTGTAGGATGAAGGAAAGACCAGCAAAGGAGGGTGAGGAAGGACAGTAAAGTAGAAGAAAGCAAGCAGGGCAAACTGTTTCTGGGAGATAAATGAAGAAAGCCTGTGGAGAAGGAGGGTGTAATCAGCTGTGTAGAATACCACCGAGAGTGATGTAGATGGATGAATAAGTGAGTGAGGGTGGTGTTAAATCTCGGCCTGGCTCTGCTGTAAATAGAAGGAGAACGATTTACAAATTTTGGAGCAACCTGGGATGTAACCTTTCTTTCAGAATTCATTTATTCAATTTTTGTTCACTTTCTTAGTTTTTTATTTATTTATTTATTTGAGATAGAATCTTGCTCTGTTGACAGGCTGGAGTACAGTGGTGCGATCTTGGCTCACTGCAGCCTCCGCCTCCCGGGTTCAAGAGGTCCTCCTGCCACAGCCTCCCAAGTAGCTGGGACTACAGGTGCGCACCACCATGCCCAGTTGATTTTTGTAGTTTTTAGTAGAGGCAGGGTTTCACCATGTTGGCCAGAATGGTCTTGAACCCCTGACCTCAGGTGATCCACCTGTCTCGGCCTCCCAAAGTGTTGGGATTACAGGCGTGAGCCACTGTGCCTGGCATTTTCTTAGTTTCTAGAAATATCTGAGTACTTATGTATATGTTAGAGATGGAAGAATCTCCTCAGTAGATCCTCTGACTCAATGGACAAGGCTTGTCTGTGACAAATGACGATTGATCTACTCTTTTTTTTTTTTTGAGATGGAGTTTCACTCTTGTCACCCAGGCTGGAGTGCAGTGGCGATCTTGGCTCACTTGCAACCTCTGCCTCCTGAGTTCAAGTGATTCTCCTGCTTCAGCCTCTTGAATAGCTGGGATTACAGGCACCCGCCACCATGCCTGGCTGATTTTTTTTTGTATATTTAGTAGAGACAGGGTTTCACCATGTTAGCCAGGTTGGTCTTGAACTCATAACTTCAGGTAATCTGCCCACCTCAGCCTCCCAAAGTGCTGGGACTACCGCTCCTGGCCAGTTGATCTACTCTTGCACTTTTTTAACATTTCTGGTGAGTGTGAGCTCACTTTCGTTTTTGTTTTTTTTTTTTTTTTTTGAGGCAGGGTCTCGCACGGTTGCCCAGGCTGGAGTGCAGTGATCACAGGTGTAGACTACAGGCACCTACAGGCACATGCCTCCTCGTCTGGCTAATTTTTTTTTTAATTTTTAGTAGAGACGATGTCTTGCTGTGTTACTTAGGTTAGTCTTGAACTCCTTGGCTCAAGCGGTCCTCCCACTTTGGCCTCCCAAAGTGCTGGGATTACAGACGTGAACTACTGTGCCTGGCCTTCACTTTCTTACAAATTCATTCTGCTTTCTTATTAACATAACATTGGGAAAATTGTCTGAACCTATCTTAGGTTCCAAAAGAGTGTAGACCAAGTCCAGTTCTTCTTCTTTTTTCGAGTCAGAATCTCACTTTGTTGCCCAGGCTGAAGTGCAATGGTATGATCTCAGCTCACTGCAACCTCCTCCTCTCAGGTTCAAGTGATTCTCCTGCCTCAGCCTCCCGAGTAACTGAGATTACAGGCGCACACCACCACACCCAGCTAATTTTTGTATTTTTAGTAGAGATGGGGTTTCACCATGTTGGCCAGGCTGGTCTCGAACTCCTGACCTTGTGATTTGCCCACCTCGGCCTCCCAAAGTGCTGGAATTACAGGCTTGAGTCACCGCACCTGGCCCCAAGTCCAGTTCTTCCAAATGGTGGTCTAAATGCGTGATTTGACAAGCAGAGGTTGAAACTGTTGGCCAAAACGTTTATGGATATCATGAGCCAGGTTTAAAATACCTTTACCTGGTTATTTTAGGGCACTGGCATAAATTAAGTATTCCTTCCATTTTGTTCATTAAACTTTTGCTAAAAGAAATAGAAGAAATCTTTTGGGAGGAGCTAAATTCCCTCATTTTTACATTTAAAAAAATCTGGTCCTTGGTAAAGTAGCATGTTTCCCCAATTATGAATCCTGTCTTTGGTCACAATAGTGACCAAAACTATTAATCAAAAACTGGGTGATATGTTAGATCAGTTGATTTTGAGATAGGGGACTTGTTCTGAATAACTCCTTTCGAGACTTTTCTGCTGTCTATGCAAGTCCTTTGATCAATAGAGTACTACTTCCAGGATGTATTTAAATATTATAAGAAAGGAAAACTAATAAAAATGAGATAGCACAGTAGATGCTTTACCAAAGGATTCTCCATAGAACCCTGGGAGAAGCAACCTGCCTAAGGCCCTCCAGATAATCATGGGAACCCATTGCCACCTGCTGCAACTCTGCCTGACTTCATCCCTCCCATTTAAGTTGTCCAAATCCTCAAAGTAGCTTGCACAGGAGCCCAATCATGTTTGCAGTGGCAAGTCAGAGCAGAGATGTCCTATTTCTTGCCTTCTCTAAGTACAGAAATCCTGTTTGGCTTTTTTGAAGGGTTGATTTATCTTCTTTATTTAGGAAAAAGACTAGTATACAGGTAGTCTGTGCCCCAGGGCTTATTGTAGAATAAAAACATGGATATCCTGTTTTAAGACAGAAAAATGAGACTTTTTTTGTTTCAATGTGTTTTTTAGTAGCTTCATCTTAATATAAGTGGCTTGCGGAGAAGTTGGAGAGGGGCCTAAAGAGATAGGAGGTTAGAGCAGAGGGCATGGGGAGGTAGATGTCACGGCTTTGTCTCAGGAGGCTGATTGTGGTTCCTGGGGATATGTTCTTAGATTGCAAGAGGTAGAGGTATCTGGAGTGGAGTCCACGGTGTCTGTCTGTCTCAGCTTGTTAGCAAGTTTTGTATGACCCTGACATGCAGAAAAAAATGTCTTGAATGTGAGATACTGCTGAGGAACAGGAGAGTAGGAAGGAGAAACTATGCTGAAACCTCTCGGTGAGGAGACTGGTTGCTTGCCACATGTGTCTTTGTTGAACTGAAGGGAAAAGCCAGGAGGATGTGGGATATGAGGTCTAGATCTGGGCTTGTTTTGTGGGATATGAGGTCTAGATCTGGGCTTGATTTCCAGCTCCACTTACTAAATGCATGCTGTAGCTTGAGGATGAGGAATTTGAGGTCTTGGGAAGTTAGAATGGACATGATGCTTCATAGGATCCTGTTGGACAATGTGTGTAAAGGATGAATACAACGTCACCCAGTAGTCATTCCAATGGAAGCCGTTGTATTTTTCTCCTTGAGATTCAGATGGGGAAGCTGGATGGATGTAAATAGATTTGATGGTGATAACAGAAACATGGAAGATCTTTGTTCTCTTTTGGGATGTGGACTCAAGTAATAATCTGCAGGTGGTGTGTTTTTAATTTACAATGAGCATGTATTACCTTTTTTGTTCAGATACAACATAGATACAACAGATTGTATAAATATTAAACAGGTTGATAATTTTTACATATGTGCACATTCAGATTAATTCAAAATACATAAAATGTGGAAAATGTTTTTCAATCCTCACTCTCTCTAGTAGTTCCCAGGGCTTGCTTACACTCGTTGCTGAATATATTTTCTAGAAGCTCTATGCATGTGTCCACAGACATCTTTGAATATAGTAATGAAATCATACTGTTTATAATTTGTGCTTTTACTAAATAATGTATCCTGAAGAATCTTCAATGTAGGTACAAATAGTTCTCTTTTGTAACCAACAGATGCATTGTTCAGCATAGGTGTGCAATAATTTAGCCATCCTTTTCATAGTAACTTTATTCAAGTGTACCTACGTGTATGCCATCAGACTTCTTGTTGAGAAGTTTAAAAAAAATTTTTTTTTTTTTGAAACAGGGTCTTGGTCTCGCCCAGGCTGGAGTGCAGTGGCGCGATCTCTGCTCACTGAAACCTCCACCTGCCGGGTTCAAGGGATTCTCATGCTTCAGCCTCCTGAGCAGCTGGGATTACAGGTGTGTGCCACCACACCCGGCTAATTTTTGTATTTTTTGGTAGAGACGGAGTTTTGCCATGTTGGCCAGGCTGGTCTCTGAACTCCTGACCTCAAGTGATCCTCCTGCCTTAGCCTCCCAAAGTGCTGGGAGTACTGAGTGAGTCATCGCACTCAGCCCCTGGTTGAGAATTTTTATAACGTAAATTCTTAAACTGGGAATTGTTATGTCAAAAGATGTGGACATTTAAATTTGAAAGCTCTCTGAAAAACCTAAAACTAAATTTCTTCTTTGTTTTTGTTTTTGTTTTTTGAGACAGAGTCTTGCTCTGTCGACTGGGCTGGAGTGCAGTGGCGCGATTTTGGCTCACTGCAACCTCCGCCTCCCGGTTTCAAGGGATTCTCCTGCCTCAGCCTCCCGAGTAGCTGCGACTATGGGCGCGTGCCACTACGCCCAGCTAATTTTTGTATTTTTAGTAGAGACGGGGTTCACCATATTGGTTGGCCAGGATGGTCTCGATCTCGACCTCGTGATCCCCTCGCCGCGGCCTCCCAAAGTGCTGGGATTACGGGCGTGAGCCACTGCGCCTGGCCTCAAAACTAAATTTCTTATGTTGACATAATTAGTTATAAGTTTGACAACAAAGAGCTTCTTTCAATGAAGTGTGCAGTGAGACCGTTTGAGTAAGAACTGTCTCATCAAACATGGAGGACTATATAATTGTAGGAACACACTCTTCTACCATGGATGTGCTAACTCTGACAAGTCTTTGCCCATTTCATTTGTGCCCCTTGTATATAAAAATTAAGTAAAAAGCTGTAAAGCTGAAGTTCTGATACCTTATAGCTAAGATGTCTAGGACTCATGCTCTCCCGTACTTAGCACCTTAAATTTTGCATCCTACTTCAGAAACTAACAGTAGTTTCTTGCGGAGGAAACTTCAAGAAGGTCCACATTTTGAGGAGGAATTTGATTAAGAATTAGCTTCCAAAAGAAGGTGCTACTCAGCTTTTGGTCCCAGCAGGGCAGATAATGAGAGAATCTAGTTAAGAGAACCTGTGGTAATAGTGGTTAAAAAAACAACAAAAAAAATGCTGGTTGAAAAGTGACTGAGCTCTCCCCAGATGTCTTTTTTTTTTTTCCAGCTGGTTTTGCAAAAAATGGAGAAGCTCTTGCTCTTTCTTTGGAGAGTTAAGTTGAAATTTTTAGTTTCTGTATTTCTTGTATGCGAGTTTACCTATTTTTGCATTTTTTTGAGTTTCTGAAATGACTTAATATCTTATGTAAATTTTTAGTTTAACAAGCATAGATTAAGTGCCTGTGCTCATAGTTGATTCTATGCTAGGTTTCAGGGGCTAGAAAGAAGAGTAAGACCCTGCCGGGCGCAGTGGCTCATGCCTGTAATCCCAGCACTTTCGGAGCCAGAGGCGGGTGGATCACGAGATCAGGAGATTGAGACCATCCTGGCTAATACAGTGAAACCCCGTCTCTACTAAAAATACAAAAAATTATCCGGGCGTTGTGGCGGGCGCCTGTAGTCCCAGTTACTCAGGAGGCTGAGGCAGGAGAGTGGCTCGAATCCGGGAGGCGGAGCTTGCAGTGAGTCGACATCGCGCCACCGCACTCCAGCCTGGGCAACAGAGGGAGACTCCGTCTCCAAAAAAAATAGTAAGACCCTTGTCCTGAAGAAAGACATGGAGTACAGTGGCTTTCACTTTGTTCTGTCTGATTTCCTGGGTGACAGTCTTTTTATTTTTCAACAGTAATGGTGGTTCACTGTGGTAGTGATCCTAAAGGTGGGTTAAAATCTCTCCAAGTAAAGAGAAGTTGTCAATATGTCATAGGGTATATGTGAGATGCCCCAGAACATAGGAGGAGGGAGCATTATTAGGCTTAGCCTGGTTGTTACCAGTGAGAAATACATTCAGAGAGGGATGTGAAAATAGGCAGAGGCTAATAACCGTGTGCACCCAGGAGGGAAGAGGCAGAAGGGACAGCAGGAGCCACCTCATGTAAGTGTGAAACATCCTGGGGTGTGTGTGGGAACTACAAGCTGTTTGAGATTAAAGAGGCTGGAGTGTGAGGCAGGATGGTGATTGAGGCTGAGCGGAGAGGGCAGCTGGAGCAGCCTGCGTGCGTGATGGAGTGACTGCATTATTCTCATTCTTCATGTGTTTGACTTTAGGAGCTAAGTAGTTTAGTTCATGCCATTTAGCAAATGCTGATTTGGGATTATCATGGAAGACTGATGCCTAGGTTAATTTTGGAAAATGCTCACCAGAGATCCCACTGAACTTTTGCGTCTTCAGTACTTTATAAGCATGGGTCTGGCTATGCTCCCAAAACATTTCATGGAGTTCACAGCTGTTCTTAGGGTATCCTCTGACAGGGTAATTAAGGCAAATTGTGATACAGGACTAGGAATCTTATAATAAGGTTGACTGAGCCCATGTAATTTTTTTAAGGTTAGCTGTGGCAAGACAATCAATGGTGCTGGTTAAAGCTCCTGGTATTATATGATTTTTGTTAAAGACATCCCAAGTGATGTAATGAACCTTTGGAGAAAAATGTGATAGACACTTCTGTGTGCACGTACTACTACCTAAAGTTGGGGACAGCAGTACAGCACAGTGGTAAGGGTGGGCCAGTGGCATCTTGCTTGGAGCTACACAGGCCTCAGTAGGAACCTTTGCTTAGCCCTGTGATCTTGTGCAAACTGATTAAACTCTGAGATTTCTGTTTTTAAAATCTGTAAATGAGGGTAATAAGACCTATGGCAGAGGGTTGTTGGGAATTAAATGATAATGTCTGTAAAGGACTTCTTGGATTATCTGGTACTAAAGTGATATTGTCTCACTAATAAGTTTGTGTGTTTACCATGTGGTAGTGGAAAATGGGGGATGGGTGTGCCTATTCCCGTATGACCCCGTGGTTTATGGTTTATGTTTCATATATACGGAGACATAGGAGTGTTTCACATTTCTTTGTAAAATATGGGTTATGCACTGTGAATAAGTTAAGAATTGGTGCTTTATATCTAGGTGCATGGATCTTAGAATCCCTAAAATGTGTTTAGTTATGGAATTATCTTAGGAGAGATCATACGTAAAGGAAATAATAGACCAGGAGATGAATTCCTAATTCCAAAGAGGTAGAAACAGTATAAAAATGAACGAAGGATGAGAAGTGGCAGTTCAGAAGGGCACAGCTGAAAAGTCAGTCTGTGTACAAAAAGATATCCAATCTAGGCTGGGCACGGTGGTTCATGCCTGTAATCCCAGCACTTGGATGAATCGCTTGAGCTCAGGAGTTTGAGACCAGGCTGGGCAACATGGCGAAACCCCGTCCCTGCAAAAAATAACAAAAATTAGCCAGGCATGGTGGTGCGTGCCTGTAGTCCCAGCTAACTGGGGGGCTGAGGCAGGGGGATGGCTTGAGCCCAGGTTTGCACCACTGCATTCCAAGCTGGGCGATAGAGTGAGATCCTATTTCAAAGAACAACAACAGCAAAACAAACAAAAAAAACACCCTTGTCTAACTAGTTATTAGGGAAGTGCCAACGATAATGACATTTTCTGCCTATGAGGTTGGAGAAAAATGAATAAGATTGGCCGTATCTGGTGTTGGCAAGGTTGTGGAGGCATGGCCACTCATATAGCTAAAGAGTAAATTGGCAAAGACTTCTTGGCACACTATTTGGCAGTATCTATTAGAACTTAAAATGAGAATACCTTTCAACTAAGTGTTATGGAAAACAACCCAGTCCTCATGGCTTTGTGTAATCTGTAAGCACAGTTTTAATCAGCAATATCGTACAATATTGTAAAAGAGCTCCATCCAAATCGCCAAGCAGGAATTGGTAAAAAGGGTCTCTAGTAGGTGGGAGTCTGTAAAACACAGAATTCTTAGGTTATACTATATTACACGTCACATTTTAACAGTATCGTACAGATAATCTGAAACTAACACTGTTGTCTACTTTTCGAGCAAAAAAGATCTCTAGCTCTAATTTTACTGTTTGGGACATTTTGCAATTGCCTATCTTTGAGTTGTAGAAGGGGAATTTTTGTAAAGGAAGACAATACTGAGAGTCCTTCCTTTTTTCTTCTTGTTTAAAAGTGCTTTAAGGCCAAGGTGCTTGGCTCATACTTGTAATTCCAGCACTTTGGGAGACCATCCTGGGTAACACAGCAAGAACCCATGTTTATTTGTATTTTGTTTGTTTGTTTGTTTGAGACGGAGTCTCGCTCTGTCACCCAGGCTGAAGTGCAGTGGCGCGATCTCGGCTCACTGCAACCTTTCTGCTCGCTACAACCTCCGCCTGCTGGGTAAGGGATTCTCGTGCCTCAGCCTCCAGAGTAGCTGGGACTACAGGTGTGCGCCATCATGCCCAGCTAATTTTTGTATTTTTAGTAGAGATGGGGTTTTACCATGTTGGCCAGGATGGTCTCGATCTCCTGACCTCGTTATCTGCCTGCCTCGGCCTCCCAAAGTGCTGGGATTATAGGTGTGAGCCACTGCGCCCAGCCCTGTGCGCCCCCCACTTTTTTTTTTTTTTTTGAGATGAGTCTCGCACTGTTGCCCAGGCTGGAGTGCAATGGCACGATCTCGGCTCACTGCAACCTCCGCCTCCTGGGTTCAAGCGATTCTCCTGCCTTAGCCTCCCGAGTAGCTGGGATTACAGGTGCCCACCACTTGCCCAGCTAATTTTTTGTATTTTTAATAGAGATGGGGTTTCACCATGTTGGCCAGGCTGGTCTTGAACTCCTGACCTCGTGATTCACCCGTCTCAGCCTCCCAAAGTGTTAGGATTACAGGCATGAGCCACCACGCCTGGGGGAACCCATGTTTTAAAGGGAAAGAATAAGCACTTTAATGTTCAACTATTTGTAACTTTGAGGCATGTTTAATTCCTTTCTCCATAACAGCAATTTCACTTGTAGTATTCTATTACAAAGACATACTTGGCAAAAAGACATGTGTTTTTTCCATATTGTTTAATAGTTAAAAATAGGAAATAACCTAAATGGCCATCAAAAGAAAACATACCCTATTCTGGCCAGGTGCGGTGGCTCACGCCTGTAATTCCAGCACTTGAGGAGGCTGAGGCAGGCGGATCACGAGGTTAGGAGATTGAGACCATCCTGGCTAACACGGTGAAACCCCATCTCTACTAAAAACACAAAAAATTAGCTGGGCGTGGTGGCGGGCGCCTGTAGTCCCAGCTACTCAGGAGGCTGAGGCAAGAGAATGGCGTGGACCCAGGAAGCGGAGCTTGCAGTGAGCTGATATCACGCCACTGTGCTCCAGCCTTGGTGACAGCGGGAGACTCCATCTCAAAAAATAAAAAATAAATAAAAAAAAAAAAGGAAAAAAGAAAACATACCCTATTCTAACCATATATTCCTTTTTTTTTTTTTTATCTTGCTCTGTCGCCCAGGCTGGAGTGCAGTGGTGTAATCTTGGCTCACTGCAGCCTCTGCCTCCCGTGTTCAAGTGATTCTCCTGCCTCAGCCTCCTGAGTAGCTGAGATTATAGGCGCCTGCCTCCATACTAGGCTAATTTTTGTATTTTCAGTAGGACAGGGTTTCACTACGTTGGCCAGGCTGGTCTCGAGCTCCTGACCTCAAATGATCTGCTTGCCTCGGCCTCCCAAGGTGTTGTGAATACAGGCGTGAGCCACCGTGCCCAGCCCTAACGATATATTCTGTGGCATATTTTGTAGCAGTTATAAGGAATGATAGAGGTCTGTTTTGTTTTGTTTTTGAGATGGAGGTTAGCTGTTGTTGCTCAAGGTGGAATTCAATGGTGCAATCTCATCTCACTGCAACCTCCACCTCCTGGGTTCAAGCGATTCTCCTGCCTCAGCCTCCTGGAATGATAGGGGTTTTATAAAAAACCCATTACATGTTATCATAAAATTTTAAATAAAAAACTCTTTTTTGAGACAGAGTCTTGCTCTGTTGCCCAGGCTGGAGTGCAGTGATGCAATCTCAGCTCACTGCAGCCTCCGCTTCTGGGTTCAAGCGATTCTCCTGCCTCAGCCTCCCGAGTAGCTGGGACTACAGGCATGCACCACCACACCTGACTAGTTTTTGTATTTTTAGTAGAGACCAGGTTTCACCATGTTGGCCAGGCTGTTCTCAAACCCCTGACCTCAAGTGATCCGCCCACCTCAGCCTCCCAAAGTACTGGGATTAGAGGTATGAGCCACTGCGTCTGGCCCTAAAACACTCTTATAAAAGAGAACTGTTTTTCATTTTTGTAAGTTTCTTTGGCCTAAGAGGCAACTGGAAACTGGTAACTACTACTGCATTCAGTTTGTCGTCATGTATTGTTTTGATTGAAGTATATGAGGAAAATCCAGCCACATATGGATATGTGTTTAGAAAAGGAAGGAGTATAAATAATTACAGATATTCTTTGGTGCTACATCAAAATATGACAAGTGGTAGTTAAAAAAAAATTCCTTTTTAAATTTAAATTGAGACAGGATCTCACTATGTTGTGCAGACTGGTCTTGATCTCCTGGGCTTCAAGTGATCCTTGTGCCTTGGCCTCCCCAAAGTGTTGGGATTACAGGCGTGAGCCACTGCACCCAGCTACAAGTGGTAGCTTTTTTGCGGAGGTGCGGGGGTGGGGGCTTACTGGTAAAGACCGGAAAACCACCTGCTGGACAAATTCTAAAAGAGCTGTAACACCAAGTGGTAGTTTTTTTAAAGTCTAGTTTCAATGTGGAATCTGAAATCATATCAGTGAATTTTTTTTGTACTTGTTACAAAAAGAATCCATTGATTGTCTTATACTCGGAAAGGATCTTTATCCACGAGGATTGGGAGGCTGTCAAAGCTCATTGGTAATAGATAGAAGTTTTTCAAAATACTAGTTTTTACTTAAAAGCTCAAATTTAGTCATTTGGCAACAGATACTTCAGGAAAATCGTTTTACCTGAAGTGACAGACTCATTTTATTCCTTTTTGAGAAAATATCTGCCAGATACTCAAGTTTTTAAGTAACTACATTTTGCTTCTAGTTCTTCAGGTAGAAACGGTGCTTGACTGGTTCGTCTTGCAACTCAAACAACTGCACAGTGCTTTTTGTGCAGACAACCAGGATAGGTAGCAGAAGTGCTTTATGCATGCTTCCCTTTTCTTCATACAGATCATAAAAGGATGTATACTGAAGGATTGAGATTAGGACATTTTTAAACAGTTTGCATAATTCTTCGCTGCAAATGCCAGAGAAGAATACAGTGACTACTAGTACAGTTCAGTGCCACTGCATTGCTTCATGCTAAGGACCAGCAGCTTTACTCATCATTGCCTTTGCTCTACCAGTGCAAATACAACACAGCAGAAAAGGCAAATAACATCTTAGTGTTATTAGGAAAATAGTCTTAACTTCTTGGACCTCCTGAAAGTGTGTCAGGGATTCCTTATACCATACTTTGAGAATGGCTGCTCTGCTCTAATGTGTGGTTTGAAATTAGATCAGGTGGCTGGGTGTGATGGCTCATGCCTTTCACATGAACTTTGGGAGGCTGAGGTAGCCACATGGATCACTTGAGGTCGGGAGTTCGAGACCAGCCTGGCCAATAGAGTTAAACCACCCCCGTCTCTACTAAAAACACAAAAAATGAGCGGGGTGTGGTAGCGCATACCTGTGGTCCCAGCTACTCAGGAGGCTGAGGCACGAGAATCCCTTCAGCCTGGGAGGCGGAGGTTTGCAGTGACCCAAGATTGCGCCACTGCACTCCAGCCAGGGCGACAGAGTGAGACTCTCTCAAAAAAAAAAAAAAAAAAAAAAGAAAAAGAAAAAGGAAAAAAAATTGTATCAGGTATTTTTTTAGACGGAGTCTCGCTGTGTCCCAGGCTGGAGTGCAGTGGCGCTATCTCGGCTCACTGCAAGCTCTGCCTCCCGGTTTCATGCCATTTTCCTGCCTCAGCCTTCCGAGTAGCTGGAACTACAGACGCCCACCACCACACCCGGCTAATTTTTTGTATTTTTAGTAGAGACGGGGTTTCACCGTGTTAGCCAGGATGGTCGCGATCTCTTGACTTCGTGATCTGCCCGCCTCGGTCTCCCAAAGTGCTGGGATTTCAGGCATGAGCCACCACGCCCGGCCTGTATCAGGTATTCTGGTGAATATGTATTTACATCATAACAAGAGCAAGTGAGGATTTTATGCAATTCCATGGCATATTAGCCTTGATAGGGAAGTCAGTTTGGAAAAAAAAAAAAGATAATAAATCGGTATAGGAAGATAAGCAAATGAAAAAATGTCAAATTCTAAACAAAAAGAAGAAAAATCTAAGTGCATGAAAGATAAAATATTGCCAGGTGTGATGTCTCACGCTTGTAATCCCAGCGCTTTGGGAAACTGCAGCCCAGAGGATTGCTTGAGCCCAGGAGTTCAAGACAGGGTGGGTGGCTGGATGCAGTGGCTCATGCCTGTAATTCCAGAACTTTGGGAGGCCAAGGCGGGCAGATCACTTTAGGTCAGGAGATCGAGACCAGCTTGACCAACATGGTGAAACCCCATCTCTACTAAAAATACAAAAAAATTAGCCAGGTGTGGTGTTGTGGCCTGTGGTCCCAGCTCCTCAGGAGGCTGAGGCATGAGAATCGTTTGAACCCAGGAGGTGGAGGCTGCACTGAGCTGAGATCAGGTTACTGCACTCCAGCCTGGGTGATAGAACGAGACTCTGCCTCAAAAAAACAAACAAACAAACAAACAAACAAACAGCCTGGGCAACATAGTGAGACCCTCATCTCTACAAAAAATAAAAAATTAGCTGAGTGTGATGGTGCATGCCTGTAGTCCCAGCTACTTGGGAGGCTGAGGTGG
The DNA here is from genome assembly GCF_000001405.40 of Homo sapiens. Taxonomy (NCBI): domain Eukaryota; kingdom Metazoa; phylum Chordata; class Mammalia; order Primates; family Hominidae; genus Homo; species Homo sapiens. Next base: position 23,448,512 of record NC_000007.14, on the reverse strand, counting down.
GAAGATTGCTTGAGCCCAGTGAGCTGCAGTGAGCTGTGGTTGTGCTACGCCCTCCAGCCTGAGCAACAGAGTGAGATCCTGTCTCTAAAATGTATTTTTGAAAAGATAAGTGTTTAGAATAAACAGTTAAGGACTGCTGAAAACAAGTACACATGAGGAGGATGAAATGAATTTGGACATCTGGGCATCTATCGATACACTTAAGTTCTTCAAACTGAAATGAACCCTACATGTTGATACCAGGTCGTGCCTAAGGAAATGAATAGCATTTGTTTCCTTCTGTTATTCCTAAAACTTTAACAAAATCTAATAATGATTTCAGGACCCCATCAACATTTCTTCTGACAGTTTACATTTTGAGGCTGGAACCTTGTGGTCACTCACTGTATTTTTAAGGATGACCAAATGGAGAGTCCGGCCTCTGACATGTTTCAGACAGCTTTCCTTGCCCTGGGTAAATATTAGTTAAATGTAAAAAATAACTGGCTGACTTTTATCACTGGATAGGTTCTTGTCTTTTTTTATTTTTATTTTTTAGCCAGTCTTGCTCTGTCACTCAGGCTGGAGAGCAGTGCTGTGACCATGGCTCACTGCAACTCGAACTCCTGGACTCAAGGGATCCTCCCACCTCAGTCTCCTGAGTAGCCAAAACTACAGGCACACACCATCATGCCTGGCTAATTTTTAAATTTTATTTGTAGAAACAGGATCTCACTGTTTTGCCCAGGCTGGTCTCGAACTCCTGAGCTCAGGTAGATCTGCCTGCCAAATTCCAGCCTCCCCAAGTGCTGAGATTGCTGGTGTGAGTCCCTATGCCCAGCCTGTTTGGTCTCTTTTAATCTGGGACAGTTCCTTGGTCTTCATTTTTTTGTTGTTGTTGTTTTTTTCTGAGACAGAGTCTTGCTCTGTTGTCTAGGCTGGACTGCAGTGGTGGGATCTCGGCTGGCTGCAACCTCCGCACCCAGGTTCAAGCAATTCTCATTCCTCAGCCTCCCGAGTAGCTGGGATTACAGGCACACACCCCATGCCTGGCTAATTTTTTTGTATTTTTAGTAGAGACGGGATTTTACCATGTTGGCCAGGCTGGTGTCAGACTCCTGGCCCCAAGTGATCTACCTGCCTTGGCCTCCTAAGTGCTGGGATTACAGGCATGAGCGACCTGTAATCCTTCATTTGATTTAATGACTTTCCTGTTTTTGAGGAGTATAAGCTAGTTTTTTGTTTGTTTGTTTATTTTGTGGAATGCCCCTCAATGTGGGTTTATCTGATGTCTCCCATGGTTAGCATCAGGTGAGGCTGTGTGTGTGTGTGTCAGTCAGAGTCTTACTCTGTCGACCAGGCTGGAGTGCAGTGGCGCGATCTCGGCTCACTGCATCCTCTGCCTCCCGGGTTCAAGTGATTCTCCCTCAGCCTCCCAAGTAGCTGGGATTACAGGTGCCCGCCACTGCACTTGACTAATTTTTTGTATTTTTAGTAGAGATGAGGTTTCACCATGTTGGGCAGGCTGGGCTTGAACTCCTGACCTCAAGTGATCCTCCTGCCTCAGCCTCCGAAAGTGCTAGGATTACAGGCATGAGCCACCGTGCCTGGCACCAGGTGAGGCATTTTTGATGGAATTCCTCAGAAGTGATATTGCTTTCAGTGCACCTCATCTAGAGGCACATGGTGTTTGTTGATTTTTGTTTCAGTAGTGGTGGTAACTTTGACCAATTGGTTAAGTAGTGTCTGCCAGGCTTCTTCAGGGTAAAGTTACTATTTTTTCTTTTGTAATAAGAACTTTGTGGGGAGATATTTTGAGACAATGTAGAGATTCTGTCTCTCAATACTTTCACTAATTTTAGCATCCATTGATGATTCTTGTCAGCAACTGTCACTGCTACTATAGTGGCTGTCAAATAGTGGCTTTCTACTTCTCTTTATTTTTTCTACATTTATTATTTGTTTTTTATTTTGTTCAAGATGGAGTCTTGCTCTGTCGCCCAGGCAGCAGTGCAGTGGTGCGATCTCGGCTCACTGCCACCTCTGCCTCCTGGGTTCAAGTGATTCTCCTGCCTCCCGAATAGCTGGGATTTCAGGTGCCCGCCACCATGCCCAGCTAATTTTTTGTATTTTTAGTAGAGATGAGGTTTCACCATGTTGGCCAGGCTGGTCTCAAACTCCTGACTTCGGGTAATCCACCCACCTTGGTCTCCCAAAGTGCTGGGATTACATAAAGGTATGAGCCACCACACTGGGCATCTACATTTATTATTTGGAATAAACTTTACTTTCCCCAATTTACTTTGTTTATATTAATATTAGACTCATGGAATCTTATTGCATAGATTATAACATGTTACAGTTGTTATTTTGTTGCTCAGACTATGGAAGTGAGGTTTTTTAAAGGCAAGTGTATTAACGTGGTGGTATTCTGAAGGCAATGATTCAGCACAGAGGGAAAGATGATTATGACCATCTAATGTCCAAAGATTATGATCATCTAATTTCAAAGATGAAATCTTTGCTTGTGCTTCATTTTATTTTTTCTTTTAATTTGTTTTGTGCTTCATTTTAGACGAGCAGCTTTATACTTACTACAGACTTATCTACCTAAATGTAATAAATCTAATACTTTTCTGGGGATATCTTACAACTAGTGGAAATAAGGTCATTCTTCATATACATGATGCATTGCCTTAAATTCAGATACTGCCCTCTACTTAAACATAACTATTGTATGTTGTGTATGTCACTTATGGTAATTGTTAATCACCTGCAGGTTATTTTTTCCATACCAGTCTAACTTTAGCTCATGATCATGCATTTTTCCCCAGTCTCTGGCATTTTGATGTGCTATCTATAACAATATTGGTAAAGCATTGTTACACGCTTCTTCAGTGTTCCTATTTATTCTTAGGTCTCTTGATGAATAATGTACATACCGAAACAAATCTAATGGAATCTTAAGCTATTTTCTGTGTACAAAACACCCACAGGAACTAAGTAAAAGTAGTTTTACTTAGTCATACTAAGTAATACTCTATAGTGTATACGAAACACCCGTAGGAACTAAGTAATACTTAGTTACACTGTATACAAAACACCCACAGGAACTAAGTAAAAGCAGTTTTACTTAGTCATACTAAATAATACTCTATAGTGTATACGAAACACCCATAGGAACTAAGTAATACTTAGTTACACTGTATACAAAACACCCACAGGAACTAAGTAAAAGTAGTTTTCTCTAAATTAATTAAAAAGCTTGGAAGGTTTTAGAAAAACAGTGCACATGGCAAAATTTAAATGATACTTTATTTTTCTCCTTCCTCAAATGCAACTACTGTGCAGTTTATTGTGTTCCTTTAGGGAAAATTTACATGTATATGTGAGCATCTGTGAATGTATGCTTTTTTAGAAAAAATACGACTTAGCACCATACCTTACTGTTTTGTTTTATTTATTGTTGTTTTTTAGAGACAGGGTCTCACTCTGCCGCCCAGGCTGGAATGCAGTGGTATAATCATAGCTCAGTGCAGCCTCTAAATTCTGGATGGAAGTAATCCTTCCACCTTAGCTTCCTGAGGAGCTGAGACCACACCTGATTAATGGCTTTCTTTTTAAATTTTTAGTAGAGATGGGAACTCTATGTTGCTCAAACTGGTCACCAACTCCTGGCTTTGAGTGTTCCTCCTCCTTCGGCCTCAGATTGCTGGGATTACTGGCATGAGCCACCGAACCCAACTACCTCACTGTTTTAAAAAGCAATTTTTTTTTTTTTTTTTTTTTTTGAGACAGAGTCTTGCTCTGTCACCCAGGCTGGAGTGCAGTGTTGCAATCTGAGCCCACTGCACCCTCCACCTCCCAGGTTCAAGCGATTCTCGTGCCTCAGCCTCCCAAGTAGCTGGGATTACCAGCACTTACCACCATGCTCAGCTAATTTTCGTATTTTTTAGTAGAGATGGGGGTTTCACCATGATGGCCAGGATGGTCTTGAACTCCTGGCCTCAAGTGATCCATTTGCTTTGGCCTCCCAAAGTGCTGGGATTACAGGTGTGAGCCCCCGCACCTGACCTAAAAAGCAATTTTAAAGGTTCTTTGGAAGGTGGGATAGGGAATAATTGCAGTAAAGTGATATGTTAAATACTATTAAAGTAGTGGACTTGATTTAGGAGTAAAGTATATTCACCCATATGTAGGTCAATAATACATTATAACCTATTTAAACATCTTGTCATTAATAGGATATTAATAATATCTTAGGTTTCATTATTGTACTTGTTAAAGATTTTTCTGATATTCAGGAAACTCCAGCATGTGGTTTACCCCAATTATGATGGAAAGAAGAAATGTGTTGTGCAATGTTTAACCAAAAATAAAAAAAGAACAAAACCCCCAAACCTCTGAAAACCTCAGAGCAGTCTTTTTAAATAGCATATGCACAACACATTGTATTAACTGGAACTTGTTCAGTGCTCTAAATTTAATTCTAATGGTGTTTTTTTTGTTTTGTATTTTGTTTTTTGAGACGAAGTCTCCCTCTGTTTCCCAGGCAGAAGTGCAGTGGCGCGATCTCAGCTCACTGCATCCTCCGCCTCCTGGGTTCAAGCGATTCTCCTGCCTCAGCCTCCTGAGTAGCTGGGATTACAGGCGTGTGCCACCATGCCTGGCTAATTTTCTGTATTTTTAGTAGAGACGGGGTTTCACCGTGTTAGCCAGGATGGTCTCAATCTCCTGACCTCGTGATCCACCCTCCTTGGCCTCCCAAAGTGCTGAGATTATAGGCATGAGCCACTGTGCCCAGCCCAGAAAATCTTGTATATTTTATTTTTTATTTTTGCTTATTATTATTATTATTTTTGAGATGGAATCTCACTCTGTAGCCCAGGCTGGAATGTGCAGTGGTGTGATCTCAGCTCACTGCAACCTCTGCCTTCCAGGTTCAAGAGATTCCCCTGCCTCAGCCTCCCATCCCAAGTAGCTGGGATTACAGGTGCATGCCACCACACCTGGCTAATTTTTGTGTTTTCAGTAGAGATGGGGTTTCCCAATGTTGGCCAGGCTGGTCAGCATGGCGAAACCCCGTCTCTACTAAAATATACAAAAATAGGCCAGTCGCGGTGGCTCATGCCTGTAATCCCAGCACTTTGGGAGGCCGAGGCAGGTGAATCACCTGAGGTCGGGAGTTCGAGACCAGCCTGATCAACATGAAGAAACCCTGTCTCTACTAAAAATACAAAATTAGCTGGGAGTGGTGGCGCATGCCTGTAATCTCAGCTACTCTGGAGGCTGAGGCAGGAGAATCGCTTGAACCTGGGAGGCGGAGTTTACAGTGAGCCGAGATCGCACCACTGCACTGGGTGTGGTGTCACCAGCCTGGGTGACAGAGCAAGACACAGTCTCAAAAAAAAAAAAAAAAAAAAAAAAAAAATCACTGTAATGTTTAAATATGTAGATCTGATTGATACGGTTTACTTTTGGTTGTGGACGATTTGTGTTTCAGTATTAATATTTAACTTTTTCAAAATAAGTTTAATAACAGTATAATTTAAGATACTGAAATTTCACTAAACTGCTTCCAAATGGTTTGATTAAACATAAAATTCTAGTTACCTGGTTTTATGGTACATTTTAATTTGGTTTACATACTGCCACCATAAATCTCTGAATTTATCAAAGGACTAGATGGACATTTTAGTAAAATAACATCAAAACATGTAAAATGAATATTTATAAATTAAAATTGAAACTGTAACTCCTTAAAATCTAGAGATTGGTATATGCAAAGTCTGATTATAATATGTTATTTCTTGTTATTTTAAAAATGAAAAAAACAGACTGGGCTCGGTAGCTCAAGCCTGTAATCCCAGCCCTTTGGGAGGCTGAGGTGGGTGGGTCACCTGAGGTCAGGAGTTCGAGACCAGCCTGACCAACATGGCGAAACCCTGTCTCTACTGAAAATACAAAAATTAGCTGGGCGTGGTAGTGGGTGCCTGTAATCCCAGCTACTCCAGAGGCTGAGGCAGGAGGATTGCTTGAACCCGGGCGACGGTGGTTGCACTGAGCTCAGATCAGGCCACTGTACTCCAGCCTGGGTGACAGAGCAAGTCTCCATCTAAAAAAAACAAAACAAAAATGGAATGTTATTCTATGTTATTGACCTTGCATAAAACCTAAGATGACATTAATCCGTTACACAACTGATAAATCTGCCTTAAGGGATTACATTTTAATGTTGTTGATGTTTGCAGTTTGATTTCCATTGCTTACTTGAAATTTCATTTTCTTTCAACTTATGTTTTGAGCCCTGCCAATGACAACCATTATGCCTAGGTGCTAGGGAGACAGAAAAGCATTAATTTACAATTTTGAAAGAGAAAAATTAACTTTTTAAAAAAATTTTCTTGAGACAGAGTTTCACTCTTGTTGCCCAGGCTGGAGTGCAATGGCATGATCTTGGCTGACTGCAGCCTCTGCCTCCCAGGTTCAAGTGATTCTCATGCCTCAGCCTCCCGAGTAGGTGGGATTACAGGCATGCACCACCACACCCGGCTAATTTTTTTGTATTTTTAGTAGAGACGGGGTTTCTCCTTGTTGGCCAGGCTGGTCTCAAACTCACGACCTCAGGTGATCCGCCCGCCTCTGCCTCCCAAAGTGCTGGGATTAAAGGCATGAGCCACCCCGCCCAGCCAGAATAATTAACATTTTATAGTAATCTTATTCAATTTATAAACAGATTTATGTGAATGATACAAGTATAATATTTTTAACCACTGTCATAATTGGCAGTCACTTTAAATGCTTAGCTGGACTGAGTTTTCACACTCTCTGAGTAGGTAATTTGCAATTTCTGGTAGAGGTGGGAGCAGTTAAGGTTCTGCAAGTCTTTTTTTTTTTCCCTAAATCTACAGAATTTTAACATATGTGTCTTTTTTTTTTTTTTTTTTTTTTTTTTTTTTAAGAGATGGAGTCTCACTCTTGTCCCCAGGCTGGAGTGCAGTGGCACGATCTCAGCTCACTGCAACCTCGGCCTCCCGGGTTCAAGCGATTCTCCTGCCTCAGCCTCCCAAGTAGCTGGAACTACAGGCGTGCACCACCAAGCCCAGCTAATTTTTGTATTTTTAGTAGAGATGGGGTTTCACCATGTTGGCCAGGATGGTCTCGATCTCTTGACCTCATGATCCGTCCACCTCGGCCTCCCAAAGTGCTGGGATTACAGGTGTGAACCACCGTGCCTGGTCTTAACATATGTGTCTTTATTTTTTGCAGAGATGTGATCTCACTATATTGCCCAGGCTGGTCTTGAACTCCTGGCCTCAAGCGATCCTTCCACCTTAAGATGTGTGTCTTGTTAGAAGTAAATCAGATCTGGTGGTTTTGATGCTATTTATTCAGTCTCATAACTGTCATGACTCTGAATATATAGGCTCTTGAAATGGTAGACCAAAAAATACTTCAAGTATATTATTTGCTATTCTTTTCTGCTTGTAGGATTCTGCAACTAATTTTTAAGTTATTTATGTGTGTAAAGCCTTCCCAAGTCCCAGGATACCTAAAGTTGTAAACATAGGGGTAAATAACTATTTAAATGATGTCTGATAGATAAATCTATAGAGAAGGGATTCAGAATCCCAAATGCTTGCAACTGATATTGTATTCTTATGTTCAAGGTTTAATCGTCAGTAGAGTAGGCTTAAATTTGTTTATGTATATGATGTGGGACCTCTTAGAAAAAAGCTAAAACTTTGACTTAGGTCCTTCTATAGCCCTAGTAGAGCCTGCGTAAAAATAAAAATGACCTGATATGTGGACAGGTGGCTGGTGGTTAGGGGTTGTTGGAGTCCTGGTGTGCCGCTCCCCCAATAGACAGTATGTCGGGATAGCTTATGTTTGCACTTGATTCTACTAGTCTGTTTCAGGCAGTTGTTAAAGTACTTGGCTGTGTAACACATTCTTAAAGCTTACGCATTTCCAAAACACTGATTTCAACATTTTTACAAGGTGTTAAGGCCCATCCCACTAAAGTGTAATACCCTATACAGATTGTTAATAACAGATTTAGTTTATGATGATTTTTCAAATTATAAAGCTTTGTTTTGAAACAGAGTCTCTCTCTGTTGCCCAGGCTGGAGTGCAGTGGCACGATCTCGGCTCACTGCAACCTCTGCCTCCTGGGTTGAAGTGATTCTCCTGTCTTGGCCTCTGCAGTAACTGGGATTAAGGGCACGTGCCACCATGCCCAGCTAATTTTTTTTTTTTTTTTTGAAATAACTAAACAATTTCTGCTCTGTTGTCCAGGCTGGAGTGCAGTGGCACGATCTTGGCTCACTGCAACCTCTGCCTCCTGGGTTCCAGTGATTCTCCTGCCTCAGCCTCCCGAGTAGCTGGGACTGCAGGCGCGTGCCACCACACCCAGCTAATTTTTTGTATTTTTAGTAGAGACGGGGTTTCACCGTATTAGCCAGGATGGTCTCGATCTCCTGACCTCGTGATCTGCCCACCTCGGCCTCCCAAAGTGCTGTGATTACAGGTGTGAGCCACCTCCCTCAACTAATTGTAAAGCTTTCAAAAAAGAGATAGAAGGTTTGGCAGAGAGGAAAGGGCCATTGTAAATTTTTGTGGTTCTGTTACAGAGAAAGCCCGAGGGCAGGTAGATGTGCTCTAGGTACTGTTGAGTGTGAGTACTATGCAAAGGTGAGAGCCATTTGTTTCTATCTTTGGTGCTTGGTGCTCCCACCCACCTCAGTTTCTTTGTTTATGTTAAATGTTTTGACCAATTATATCAACACTGGAAAGGAGACCAAGAGTTTTTCTTCCTTTGAGAGACTTGTATCCTCTGTGAGATTGGTTGGTTACGTGTTAAACTCATAGGGGTAGTGTGTGTTGTGTAATCACACTGATTATAAGCATGATATCACAACCTACATTATCATAAGGGACAGAGTTTAAACATGTCTTTTTTTTTTTTTTTTTTTTTTTGAGACGGAGTCTCGTTGTCTCCCAGGCTGGAGTGCAGTGGCACGATCTTGGCTCACTGCAAGCTCCGCCCCCTACTCACGCCATTCTCCTGCCTCAGCCTCCCAAGTAGCTGGGACTACAGGCGCCCGCCACCACACCCGGCTAATTTTTTTTTTTTTGTATTTTTAGTAGGTGGGGTTTCACCGTGTTAGCCAGGATGGTCTTGAGATCTCCTGACTTCATGATCTGCCCACCTCGGCGTCCCAAAGTGCTGGGATTACAGGCGTGAGCCACCGTGCCCGGCCAAACATGTCACTTTTTATTTTATTTTTTATTTTGAGGCAAGGTCTCTGTCCCCAGCCCGGAGTGCAATGGTGGTATCATAGCTCATTGCAGCCTCAAACTCCTGGGCTTAAGGGATTCTTTTGCCTCAGCCTTCGAGTAGCTAGGGCTTACAGGTACATGTCACTGTGCCCAGCTAGTTTTAAAAATTTTTGTTGAGATGAGGTCTCACTTCGTTGCCCAGGCTGGTCTTTAGCTCCTGGACTGAAGTGATTCTACTTCAGCCTCCCAAAATGTTAGGATTACAGGTGTCAGCCACCATGCCTGGCCTATAAACATGTAACTTTTTAAATTGAAATTGAAAAATATGTAACATTTTTAACAACTATAATGGTGGAAAGTAGAATCGTTAAATTTTTTTTAGCATCTCAGTCTTATGAGTTTATTAAGTAGATTTTACATTATTGCTACTGGAAATCTGTCATCTTTTCTGAGAAAGTAATTTAACTGGAAGTGTGACATAGTTACTGAAGTTTTAAAGGACCACAACTAGGGTTATTATAACTAAATTTATTTAACTAAATTTTTAAAGATTATTTTATCAGCCTAACAACCATTATAAGCGTGTGGGGTCCTTGAAATGACTTCCCAGTAGAAAGGAATTAAAAAATTTTTTAAAAATAGAGTCGGTCTCACTGTGTTGCCCAGGCTGGTCAAAGGGAACTTCTTGAAACATCATATGCATTGGATCTTTTGTCAGTTAGTGTACTTATTTGTCTCATTTACCTTAGATGGTGACTGAGGTTGGATATTTGCCTTGAAATGATCTATGTTGATGTGACCTTGAGTCTTCTTTATAAAATTTGTATGTGGCCCAGTGTAGTGGCTTGGTGGTTCATGCCTGTAATTCCAGCACTTTGGGAATGCCAAGGGGGGCAGATTACTTAAGCTCAGGAATTCAAGACCAGCCTGGCTAACATGGAGAAACCTCGTCTTTACGAAAAATACAAAAATTAGCCAGGCATGGTGGTGGGTGCCTGTAATCTCTTGGGAGACTGAGACAGGAGAATTACTTGAACCTGGGAGGTGGAGGTTGCAGTGAGCCGAGATCGTGGCACTGCACTTCAGCCTGGGCAACAGAGTGAGACTCCGTCTCAAAAAAATTAAAATTTGAAAGTAAGTTCGATAATTTCTAGTGTTTCCTCCAGGAGATTGGGATTCATGTTGTTATTATATTGAACAATTTTCCTGAATATCTGTGTAAGTGAGTTTTATTTACACAGAAGCCAAATAGTATTCATCTAAGATAAAGGTAGACGTAGCATGGACATTGGGAGGTATGAGTTTGAATTTGGCTTTTCGTTGACTTGCGTTTTGACTTTGGTTAAAATAATCCTTTGAGGCTGTTTCCTTAATCTGTAAAATGGGAGTCTTAAATTGACCTCACTTGTTTGGTGTAAGGGTACAGTGGAAATGTATTTCAAGTACTTGGTATGGCTTTACCCATAAGGAGTCACTGAATAGTTTTTTACTTTTGTTCTCAATATTGGTGAAATCTTAAAGTTTGTTGTTAAATTGCAGTTGTGGCAGAAATAATCTGGAAATGATTAAGCTTCCTATATGTTAATGACTTTGTTTTGCTGGCTAGAAGATGTAACTTTTCATGTACAGCAGCTTTTTTGCTTCTATCAGAATTGGCATAAATATGAATTGTGCAGAATTGTCTTAATGTAACAAAGGATTTCATTTAAGTGGACAGTCCAGATTGTTTTATTTATTTATTTATTTATTTATTTATTTATTTATTTTTGAAATGAAGTCTCGCTCTTGTCCCCCAGGCTGGAATGCAATGGTGCCATCTCGGCTCACTGCAACCTCCGCCTCCTGGGTTTAAGCGATTCTCCTGCCTCAGCCCCCTAAGTAGCTGGGATTACAGGTGCCTGCCACCATGCCTGGCTACTTTTGGTGTTTTTAGTAGAGATGGGGGTTTCACCATGTGGGCCAGACTGGTCTTGAACTGCTGACCTTAGGTGATCCACCCACCTCAGCCTCCCAAAGTGCTGAGATTACAGGCATGAGCCACCATGCCTGGCCGATAATTTTATTAATATACATTAAGTTATAGAACAAAGTTTAAAAAGTATCCTATATTTGCTTTTTTGTTTTGTTTTTTTTGAGACAGGGTCTGACTCTATCGCCCAGGCTGGAGTGCAGTCGCACGATCTCAGCTCACTGCAGCATCTGCCTCCAGGGTTCAAGCAATTCTCCTGCCTCAGCTTCCTAAATAGCTGGGACTACAGGCGCACACCACCACCATGCCTGGCTAATTTTTGTATTTTTAGTAGAGACAGGGTTTCACCCAGTTGGCCAGGCTGGTCTTGAACTGCTGACCTCAGGTAATCCACCCGCCTTGGCCTCCCAAAGTGCTAGGATTACAGGTGTGAGCCACCGGGCCCAGCCAATATCCTATATTTGAAGTTATACTATAGTTACTGCAGCAAAATAAATCCAAATGTACTTTCCTAGGCAAAGGAAGGACATCTAACACTGTCTAATGTAACAATCTTAGAAAATTCTAGTTTTTTTGTGGTATAGGAAATACTAATATCATCTCAGGTTATGTGCATGGAAAGTATTTAACATCTCTTTACTACCAGATAGTCATGTAAAGTTAAATTATATTTTTCTCTTAAAAATTCCTTCTTCTGGGTACTAACAAGCCCAGAGTTTGATTTTAATGGAATTTAACATTTGTGTCGATGGTGACTTCTAGATTTAAGAGAGTAGGGAAAAACAGTGGAAATTTTAAAAGTACCACAGAGGAGATAATGGTATAATAAATCCTCCTATACTGATCACCTAGCTTCAAGAATCACCAAATGATGACTGGCTTTGATTCATCTCTGTGCCTCAATGCCACACCTCCCCAAATTATTTCAAAACAAATTGAAGACAGCAAGCTTTTTACATTCCTAATTCTTCAGCATGTATCTCTAAAAGACAGACTTTTAAAAAGCATAGACATTATCATTACATATTAAAAAACATGACACTAACTCACTGGTATTAAATATTCCAATTTTCCTGATTAGTTTTTTCCATTGTATTTGAATTGGGATTTAAATAAGTTTCTTCCATTATGATTGGTTAATAGGTCTTAAGTTTGTTTTACTTAATGTCAAGGATTCCCTCCTCCTTTTTTCACTTTGAAATTTATTTGTTAAAAAATTTAGATGTTGGCCGGGCATGTGGCTCATGCCTGTTCTCCCAGTACTTTGGGAGGCCGAGGCAGGTGGATCACTTGCGGTCAGGAATTCCAGACCAGCCTGGCCAACATGGTAAAACCCCGTCTCTACTAAAAATACAGTATTAGCCAGGCATGGTGGCACACGCCTGTAATTCCAATGACTCAGGAGGCTGAGGCACAAGAATCACTTGAACCTGGGAAGTGGAGGTTGCAGTGACCTGAGATTGCACCACTGCCCTCCAGCCTGGGCTGCAGAGCGAGACTGTCTCAAAAAACAAACAAAGACAAAAAGGCCAGGCACAGTGGCTCACGCCTGTAATCCCAGCACTTTGGGAGGCCGAGGTGGGTGGATCATGAGGTCAGGAGATCGAGACCATCCTGGCCAACATGGTGAAACCTCATCTTTACTAAAAATACAAAAAAATTAGCCGGGCGTGGTGGTGGGCGCCTGTAATCCCAGCTACTCGGGAGGCTGAAGCAGGAGAATCGCTTGAACCCAGGAGGCGGAGGTTGTGGTGAGCTGTGAGATCATGCCCCTGCACTCCAGCCTGGGCGACAGAGCGAGACTCCGTCTCAAAGAAAAGAAAAAAAAAAAAACTTTAGATGTTTGTGCTGGAGAGTTTCCCAGGTCTGGATGTTGCTGACAGTGTTTCTGTGGTGTATTTTTATATGTAATTCTGTTCTCAGAAGACATGATAGGGCTAGAGACTTCATCATTTTCAGGATTTTTTTTTTTTTTTTTTTTTTTTTTTTTGAGACAGAGTCTTGCTCTGTCGCCTGGGCTGGAGTGCAATGGTGCGATCTTTGTTCACTGCAACCTCCGCCTCCCGGGTTCAAGCGATTCTCCTGCCTCAGCCTCCTGAGTAGCTGGGACTACACGTACCCGCCACCACACCTGGCTAATTTTTGTACTTTTAGTAGAGATGGGGTTTCACCATGTTAGCCAGGATGGTCTCATCTCCTGACCTCGTGATCCACCTGCCTCGGCCTCTCAAAGTGCTAGGATTACAGGCAGGAGCCACCACGCCTGGCCCATTTTCAGGATTTTTGTGTTTAATTGGCAAATATGTCATAGGTGAGAAAAGGGAAAATTTTAATACTTTGGCCAAGGTTTTATTCATTCAAGGAAATGATGGATTAATGTGACTGAGTTCAAATTTGGGAAAATACTGATGTAGTTGGGGAAGCATGTTGCACTTAAGTGAAAGTTTTTTTTTAACTTGTTTGTCCTTAAGTGTGGTAAACATACCTGTTCTATCTCACTAGAAGGAAAAAGAGCTTAGTAATCAGGAACAATTTGCTGCTATTGGAGACTGGTAACGTAGCATTGCATTTGCATTGTGTTTTCTGCTAGGAGAAGGGTTATCTACAAAGCCTAGTGAAATTATATCTTGGGAGAAAAGAAAGAGTTGAGTTACCTAGGATGAGGAATGTCAGGCAGAAATATTTAGATCAAACTTGTCAACCTTTTGTTTTGTTGATACATTGGAGTTCTCAGAGTGCGTGAAACTGAGAATTCTCATACTGAGTTTCTTGAACACAATTATTTGCTTATTTTCTTTGCCTACTTGTAGAAAACATTAAAAATGGAAATATAAACAAGTCTGGCTGTGTAAGTCTACCTCTGGGAAACAGTCTTCAAGCTTTGGGGTGGTGAGATTATTATAGTTTCTAAAGTTGATGAGAAGGTGGTATAATTTGATAATGATCAACTGCAACTTTCCCACGAACAAAAACAAACCCAAGGATCTGCCTTGTCTAAGAACCACATCCACTTAGCAGTAATACGAAATAAAAACTGTTAATGTAGACATACCCCGTATTCAAAATACAGTGGTTTTAAAAGTTTAGTAATCTTAAAACACCTCTTCTTGCAGGTACAGTTTTAGTGATGGTTACTTTTATGTGGAAAATACGTATTCCATATAAAACTTTTTCTTTTTTTTTTTTTTTTTAATTTTAATTTTTCCAGACAGAGTCTCACTCTGTCTCCCAGGCTGGAGTGCAGTGGCACAATCTTGTCTCACTGTAACCTCTGCCTTCCAGGTTTAAGCGATTCTCTTGCCCCAGCCTCCCAAGTAGCTGGGATTACAGGCACACGCCTCCGTGATGCCCGGCTAATTTTTGTATTTTTAGCAGAGATGGGCTTTCGCCATGTTGGCCAGACTGGTCTTGAACTCTTGATCTCAGATGATCCTCCCGCCTCGGCCTCCCAAAGTGCTGGGTTTATAGGCATAAGCCACTGTGCCCGGCCTAAAACTTTTTCTTGATTGTTCTTCAAATTCCCTTGACAAACAAATTAAATTTAATCAATTAGTTTTAGATAAGCTCTGTTCAATAGAAATACATGAACTAAATATATATGATTTTAACTTTTTAGTAGCCACATTAAGTAAAACAAAGGCCCAGTGTGGTGATGTGTGCCTGTATCCTAGCTGACTGGGAGGCTGAGGTGGGAGAATTGCTTGAGCCCAAGAGGTTGAGGCTGCAGTGAGCTATGGTCGTGCCACTACAGTTTGGGCGAGAGAGCAAAAACCCTGTCTCAAAAAAAAAAAAAAAATTAGTTATTATATACAACCTAATATATCTAAAATGTAACAGTATAATAAATTGTTGAGAAATTTTGCTTTTTTTGGTATTGAATCTTCAACATCTGTATGTATTTTATCCTTACAGAACGATTCAATTCAGACTAGCCACATTTCAAGTAGTTAGACACATGTGGCTAGTGGCTTCTTTATTGGACAGAGCAGCTTAAGATGTACGGTTTCTAAAAATCACTGTTTAAAAATATCTTGTTGCTGGGAAAAAAATATAATGATATTTATAAAACTAGTTTTAGCTATGGAAAAGTATGGGAATAATTAATTTTCAGTGCTACTCAAGCATGTTAGAGGTTTTATATCCAAGTTCTTTATTCCTTTCTTACCACTCTAATTTTTTAGGAAGATAAGTACAATTTACTATATTGTGTTAATATTAAGACTTTTGAAAGAGCTATGCTTTTAGGTCATACAGGCAGTGAGGCTTTTATTTAAATAGTAACTGTTCAACTGCGTGTGTTTCTGTGGTTGTAATACTGGTGGTGACTTTTTAGTTTAAAGGCACATATACAGGCTGGGCGCAGTGGCTCATGCCTGTAATCCTAGCAGTTTGGTAGGCCGAGGCAAGTGGATTGCTTGAGCCCAGGACCAGTCTGGGCAACGTGGTGAAACCACAGCTTATGAAAAATACAAAAATTAGCTGGGTGCGGTAGCGCATGCCTGTAGTCCCAGCTACTTGAGGGGCTGAGGCAGGAGGATCTCATGAACCTCGGAGGTTGAGGCTGCAATGGGCAGAGATCATGCCGTTTGCACTCCAGTCTGAGCAACAGAGCAAGACCCTCTCTCCACCAAAAAAAAAAAAAAATTAAAAAATGAAGCACATTTACTTAGTTAAAATCTCAGTATGAAGACTATAAAAATCTTTGGTTATTTAGGGATCAAGGATTAGTTTGTGCCCTGTTTTTTTTGTTTGTTTGTTTTTTTCCTGTTTGACATTCTACATTAAGATGTGCGTGCCCTTCTAGTAGTCACATTAAGAAGTAAAACAAAGGCCCAGTGTGATGATGTGTGCCTGTATCAATTGTCTTTCGAACAGTGTTAGGTTTTCCTAACTTGCACATGTCCTAAGGAAGTATAAAAACTTTGACTATGTTTCTTCAAGGAACATTTAATCTTCTAAAAGAAAGACATAGCAGTGTGTAAATGCAAGCAAACAATAGTAGTAAGAGAGTACGTAGAAAAACATTCAGTCTTTTTTGGACTCTTCTAGTGCATACTCATGGCGTCAGTCAAGTTTTCATCCATGCACGTCTGGCTGTCAGACTCTGTTCTACATAGATGGAGATAACGTGTGCAAATGTAAAAGATAAAATATACCTCTGTTTTAGTTAACGGGACTAAAACATAGCTGTTACCATGGAGATCTGGGAGCTGGGGATAATGGAAAAAACCATGTTTAGATTCTCACTTAGAACTGTGATGTAAAGAGACTTTGTTCCCTTGCTCATTGTTTAAGTAATATTGAATAATTGCCTGAGATGAGCTAAGCAATCTGTTAACCAGTGGAATGTGCAACAGTGAATAAAACAAGTAATTTTGCCTTTGAGACTCGCCCTGTTAACTATACCACAGTGGCCACCAATCCATAAGAGAGAGAGAGAATGTGTGTGTGTGGGTTGGCGGGGGAGGGGCCAAGTTCCCCTGCCCCACCCCCAGAAATTACGATTTAAGTCTGTTTTGGGGCCCTGGAATCTGCATTTTAGTTAGTCCCTTGTGGTGATTCTAACATAGGTGGTTCTCGGACCATAATTGAAGGACATCTCTTTATTTTACGGTGTAGGGGACCTTGTAATCTTTTTTTTTTCCCCCTTCCTTCCTCCTGTTCAGTTCACTAGAATCTGGCATTCTTTTTAACTGTTGCAGGAAGTATGCTTTTCTTTAGTGTACCTGTGACCCTCTGTTAATCCACTAGATGCAATGCCATCTTTCATAGGGATTTTTGACCTGGGTCTACCTGTGTTACTCCTAAGTTATGTTTCCTCCTTTCCACTTTTACAGATACTTATTTAAGACTGACCTAAAGTATCTAGTTTCTTCTGCTAAACTATAAAATCTATAGGAATTTTATAGGGGGATGGAGAACTGATGTCACAGAACTAGTTAGAACTGTTAGAATCTAGAATTGTTTTCCTCTTGGTTCATTCTGATATTATGCTGCTGGCTAGAAACAATAGCTTATTTTTCCCTCAACAACTAGTAAAGTTCATTTTATAAAACACAAAAGCTAGAAGAAATGGAAAACTGCAGATGATTCTACCAGCCAGTGCTCATCACGGTCAGTATCGTAATGCTCTCTCTTCCTTACTTCTGTTAATGTTCATGTGTATGTGTGTATGTACAGATATGTACATTTTGTTCCTGGTTGGAATGTTCTTTTTGTGATAAAACCACGTATTTTAAAATGAGATCATATTCCATGTTCTCTTTTAGTGATGCACTTTTTTCAGTGAACAGTGTCATAAGCGCATGTCTTCATTAAATATTCTTTCATATTTATAATATCTCCATGAGATTTCATTCTGTGTATTGTAATTGAATCCCTTTTTCCTGGACCTCTAAGTTCTTCCTAGTTCTCCCTATTTACAGACAGCTAAGCCTTTGAGCGTGTTACAACTTTACCTAAGGAAATGATGTAAGAAAGATAATTCTTGAGTTAGAGGATAAGACACTGCCAAGTCAGCAATGAGGCAGAGTTATGCCAGTTGACATATAGACCAGGAATGTAAGACTGATCATTTTCCCAAGTATTTGCTTGGAGTACAGTATTAAACTTCTTGAAAATTGAGGTTGACCTTTTAAAGAGCTGATTCTTAACTGTATAAACCAAGAAAGAATAGGTGTAATTACAGTATAGCCATATTGAAATTAGCCAGGCTGAATGAAGTCCTCTTTGGACATAGGTTTAGTTCGGCACAGCTGGAATGAAAATTTGCAGCCGGTACAGAGTGCCACCAAGTGGCGGGTTGGAAAGCCCATGCTAGACTGCTTTGAGCCATAAGGCTTGGCTTTTTACTTGAAAATACCAGTCCAAATCCGAACCTTGTGTTCCAGTTTTTTTGCATAAGAAATAAGGCAGCTGGGCGCGGTGGCTCCTGCCTGTAATCCCGCCGAGGCGGGCGGATCACGAGGTCAGGAGTTCGAGACCAGCCTGGCCAGCATGGTGAAACCCCGTCTCTACTAAAAATACAAAAAATTAACTGGGCATGGTGGCGCGCGCCTGTAATCCCAGCTACTGAGGAAGCTGAGGCAGGAGAATCGCTTGAACCCGGGAGGTGGAGGTTGCAGTGAGCCGAGATCGTGCCACTGCACTCCAGCCTGGGTGACAGCGAGATTCCATCTCAAAAAAAAAAAAAAAAAGAGGCAAAGAAGAACATGTTACAAGTTAGACTTGGTTTTCTCCTTCTGTCATCAGCTGGTGTTAGCAGCATTATGTCAGTATCTGTCTTATAAAGCAGGGAAGCAGTGATTCCCACTTGATTTGTATGTAAGCATTGGTAGAAGGAAGGGGCTGAGACAGAGCCTTTTCCAGAGGAATAAGTTAAAGGTGCATCCAGGACTTACAGGTAATTTGGATGAAAGGTTGCAGGTCTAATACAGTTTTGTGTCTTGCATTGGGACTTGACTTGATATGACTAGCTTCAGAAGTACCTGAGGTGCCTATGTATATAATCTTTGTAATGCTTGAGACAACTGAGTAGTTGTGTTTTCCTCATAGTTGCCTTTCCTCTCTTCCTTCTTTCTTGGTATTAATATGTAAGCTTGTCCACTTAATTTCAATATTGAGTCGCCATATGTAAGTTATTGTGGTTTAAAGCTAAGGTGTAAAGGGAAAATATTGCTTAGGATTAGCATATATTTTTATCTTTTGAATTTCATGTGCAATCTATACTTTTTTGTGAAGTTATTTGGTATGGTTATGCTGTTGGTTGGATTATAAGTGAAATCAGTAAGACCGACTAGAGTATGGTTAGGAGGATAGAATCTGTGGCCAGAATGCTCAAATACATATGCTGACCCTGCCACACAGTAGCTGTGTGTGTATTCAGACAAATTAAATTACTTCTGCCTTTGTTTCCTAATCTGTAAAATGCCAACTCTGAGGGTTAAATGAGAAAATAAACATAAAGCACTTTTTTGGGTTCTTATTTCTATCTTTTGTCAGATTTTTTAGTGGAAGAAAATATGCAAATATAAGAGACTTTCTGTGAAATTCCAGTCATCCAAAATCTGAGTTGGAAATAATCAGTATGAACCCATGGTTTATTTTCTTTCCAAGTGTATTTTCTAGCTCTGGCTTGGAAGCAATAACCAATCTAATGAGTGCCTCTAGTGACCAGATTGTAGTCTCTCTGTACTTTTTCTGACTAAAAGGGATCAAGGATCCATGCTGATAAGGCTGATTATAGATGGGGGCAAGAAACATACAAGCTAAACCTAGAATATCACGTCATAACAGAAAGCAGAAATGCTCACAAATATTATTGGAGTCACATCAAAAGATGAAGGAGCTAACATGAAGAAGCCGTTTTGCTGGCCAAAGATGGGACAATTTGAGCATCAAAAAAGATTGATACAAGCAAAATATGTATGACTCTGAATTAATAATGATACTGAAGGAATGAAATATTTGATTGTCTTTGGGCAATGTCAGGTCCCTAACATGTTATTCTGAAAAATTTGAAATAATATCTTTGGACTCCTTTTTTTTTTTTTCCCCCTAAAAAAAAGAAAAAAAGAAAAAGAGGCTTGCTCTGTTGCTGAGGCTGGAGTGCAGTAGCATAGTCATAGCTTACTGTAGCCTCTCAACTTCGTGGGCCCAAGCGGTTTTCCCACCTCAGCCTCCCAAGTAGCTGGGACTACAAGTATGTACCACCATACCCATTAATTTTTAAAAATATATATTATATATATATATTTTTTTTTTCTTTTATACAGCATCAAAGAGAAGCCAATAATATTTTTTTCTTTTTTTGAGACGGAGTCTCTCTCTGTCGCCCAGGCTGGAGTGCAGTGGTGCGATCTCAGCTCACTACAACCTCCGCCTCCCGAGTTCAAGCGATTCTCCTGCCTCAGCCTCCTGAGTAGCTGGGATTATAGGCGCATGCCACCATGCTCGGCTAATTTTTTGTACTTTTTAGTAGAGATGGGGTTTCACCGTGTTAGCCAGGATGTTCTCAATCTCCTGACCTCGTGATCTGCCTGCCTTGGCCTCCCAAAGTGCTGGGATTACAGGCATGAGCCATTGCTTCTGGCTTTTTTTGTTTTTTGAGATGGAGTCTCACTCTGTCTCTTAAGGCGGGAGTGCAGTGGCATGATCTTGGCTCACTGCAGCCTCCACCTCCTGGGTTCAAGTGATCCTCCTGCTTCAGCCTCCTAAGTAGCTGGGATTACAGGTGCGTGCCACCACACCCGGTTAATTATTTTATTTTATTTTTTTTGAGATGGTGTCTCGCCCTGTCACCCAGGCTGGAGTGCAGTGGTGCGATCTCAGCTCACTACAACCTCCGCCTCCTGGGTTCAAGCAATTCTCTGCCTCAGCCTCCTGAGTAGCTGGGATTACAGATGCCGGCCACCATGCCCAGCTAATTTTTTATATTTTTAGTAGAGATGGGATTTCACCATCTTGGCCAGGCTGGTCTTGAACTCCTGACCTCGTGAGCCACCCTCCTCAGCCTCCTGAAGTGCTGGGATTACAGGCGTGAGCCACTGTGCCTGGCCTAATTTTTCTATTTTTAGTAGAGATGGGGTTTCACCATGTTGGCCAGGCTGTTCTTGAACTCTGGACCTCAGGTGATCCACCCACCTCCGCCTTCCAAAGTGCTGGGATTACAGGCGTGAGCCATCACACCCAGCAAAATTTTTTAGTTTTTAATTTTTTTGTAGAGACGAGGTCTCGCTATATTGCCCTGGCATCAAGCGATCCTTCCACCTTGGTCTCCCAAAGTGCTGGGATTACAGATGTGAGCCACTGTGCCCAGCCTGGACTCCTCTTAAAGCAGAGATTGAAACAGGGATTTGCCAAAGTTGGTTTATTTTGGAGATGATTTCAAGAAGAAGTGAGGGAAGGGGAAGAATGAATTGGGGAGTGAGGAAAAGCCAATGATAGATACTTTATTGAGTTTCCTATAGGGAAACGGGACCTCCAAGAAATTCACGGAATGCCTCCCAGGTTTATCTATCTGAAAAATTGGAGCTTCCTGCCCGCACCCTCATACACCTATATTTATGCAAGTTCTTCTTAAGGATTTTGTCTGTCCAGTGTTTCTGGGCTGCTCCTGTACTCTAGAGACTTTGGAGAAAGCCCTGAGATAAAGAAGCAGCCTTGTGTAAGGTGTGTGCTTTTGGGTGGAAAGAAGCGAGACAACTGAAATGTGTGTGGGATTGATTGTCCACCACAGCGATGAGTCAGGTGATGTGATAAGGAGCACAAAACCATCTGCTGCAGAAGGGAAAGAATAAAGTATTTATCCTGTCTTTACTATACTTAGTATGCTTCAGAGCATCCAAATATTTGATGAGGGACACTTGTTCTTTATGGAATAACTCTGGCTAAAAAACACAGAAGGCATGATAGAATGAGAAAATCATGGTTTTCAACCTTGAATGAAATAGTGGGTTTAGGCAGTGATCACTAGTAGCTGCCAACATCATAGAAAGATATCAGAGGTAACAACTCCCATGGAAGTACAGAACACTCCCTATGGAATATTGCCTCTCTCAAATATGAAACAAGAGAAACCAAGTTGAGCCTTTGGATCTAACTACAACTTTATAGGGAACAGAGGAATGTATTAAACACTATTACAGGAGTGTCACTAGCAAACTCCAGGTAGTGAGAAACTCAAAGACAAATGACAGCATTTTAGGTTTTTGGTTTTTTATCCAAATAAGTTGCAAGAAAAAGGGTAACATTTAGGTTATAAGACTAGAGTCATAAGCAAATGCCACATATGGATCTTATCTGAATACTGATTTGAACATACCAGTTGTTAAGAAAGATATTTTTTAATCAGGAAAATTTGAGTACTGACTAGATAGTATTAAGTTTTGCTCATTAAATTTTTTCCCCCCAACCATTTCTGGCAATTTTGGCCCCACCCCCCTTTTTTTTTTTTTTTTTTTTGAGACAGAATTTTGCTCTTACTGCCCAGGCTGGAGTGCAATGGCACGGTCTCAGCTTGCTGCAGCCTCTGAGTTCAAGCGATTCTCCTGCCTCAGCCTCCCAATTAGCTGGGATTACAGGCCTGTGCCACCATGCCTGGCTAATTTTTGTATTTTCAGTACAGATGGGTTTTCACGATGTTGGCCAGGCTGGTCTCAAACTCCTGACCTCAGGTGATCTGCCTGCCTTGGCCTCTGAAAATGCTGGGATTACAGGCGCGAGCCACTGCACCCAGACAATTTTGGTCATTTTTAAGGACTGCTGGCACCATTTTGTCTACTTTTTAAAAGTCAGGGTTTTTTTGTTTGTTTTTTTTGAGATAGGATCTCACCCTGTTGCCCAGGCTGGAGTGCAGTGGTACCACCACCACTCACTGCAGCCTCGACCTCCCTAGGGCTCAGTTGATCCTCCTGCCTCAGCCTCCCGAGTAGCTGGGACTACAAGCATGCACCACTATGCCAGGCTAAAAAAGTCAGTTTTAGCAGATAACTGTTGTAAATCAAAGCATGAGAATAAAAAATTAGGGGTGATAATTATATTCTGGGAGGAGGAGGGTTGGGGGAGAAGCATGCAATTATCTTCAATTATCTTCTAATTATTGGAGGTGGGTTCATAGATGTCTTATATATATAAACAAATTATACATTATTGAGGCCAAGGCAGGAGGATTGCTTGAGGCCAGGAGTTCCAGACCAGCCTGGGGAATGTAGTGAGACCCCATCTCTACAAAAAATTTAGCTGGGCATGGTAGCATATGCCTGTGGTCCCAGCTACTCAGAAGGCTGTGATGGTAGGATCACTTGAGTCCCAGAGGTTTGAGTCTGCAGTGAGGTGATTGTACCACTGCTCTCCAGTCTGGGCAATAGAGCAAGATCCTATCTCTTAGAAAAAATACATTATTATATATCTAATTCTATGTAGTAAACAATTATTAAAATGATACAAAGGGGGTTGCAGTGAGTAAAATCCAGAATGAGTAATCATGTAGTATTTTATGACTTTGGACCACTACATAAATGTGAAGAAAACAGTGAGGGGAAACTCTTGTATTAAATAGACCTAAGATTATATATCAGCATATCAACTGTATGCATATGTATATCTTGTTGGCATCTTGATACGAACAAACCTCATGTAAAAAGATAGTTATTAGCAATTGGAAATAAACACTTAGTGGATATCTAATAATGAGGAATTTTTGCTAATCACTTCTAGGAGCAGTAATGCTGTTGTGGTTATGTTGAAATAAAGCTCCTTATTTTTCATTGTTGTTTACTGGAGTAGTTCAGCATGGCATGCTACGTAAGGGGGACTTGGTACAGGTGTGGGTATAGAATAAACAAGATCAGATTATCATACTCGTTAATTGAAACAGGTGATGGGTATTTGGAGGCTCACTTTCTCTAATTGGTGACAATTTGAACATTTCTATAAAATCAACTTAAATCAGTTTCATCGATTACTAAACATCTTGAAGATGCCCTTCAGAGTCTACATGAGCTGCTCTATTGGCTCTTAAAAATTAATTTTAATTTTGATTTTTTTGTAGATAGGCAGGGCCGGTGTGGGGGGTCTCATTTTGTTGCCCAGGGTTGTCTGGAACTCCTGGTTTCAGGCAGTTCTCCCAAAGTGCTGGGTTTACAGGCATGAGCTACCCTGCCGGGCCTATCATTGACTCTTTCTTTTGTGATTAAACATGCTTTTAATAAATAATGATTGAATTTTCATAGTAACTAATATTTCTAGCAGAGTGGGCAGTTTTTAAATTGTTTATTTTTATTTTTTGAGATGGAGTCTTGCTTTGTCGCCCAGGCTAGAGTGCAGTGGTGCGATCTCGGCTCACTGCAATGTCCGCCTCCTGGTTCAGGCGATTCTCCTGCCTCAGCCTCCCGAGTAGCTGAGATTACAGGTGCCTGCCACTACGCCCAGCTAATTTTTGTATTTTTAGTAGAGACGGGGTTTCACCATCTTGGCCAAGCTGGTCTTGAACTCCTGACCTAATGATTCCCCCGACCTCAGCCTCCCAAAGTGCTGGGATTACAGGCTTGAGCCACTGCGCCTGGCCTTTAAATTTTTAATCTATTAGCCTGAGAACTAAAATTTACCGTATTTCCCCTCTGGTGGGGAACCCTTAAACTGTGTTGAAAAAAAAATTTTTTTGTTTGAGATGGAGTCTCACTCTGTCGCCTAGGCTGGAGTGCAGTGGTGCAGTCTTGGCTAACTGCAACCTCCGTCTCCCGGGTTCAAGCAATTCTGCTGCCTCAGCCTCCTGAGTAGCTGGGATTGCAGGCGCATACCACCATGCCCAGCTAATTTTTATGTTTTTAGTAGAGACGAGGTTTCACCATGTTGATCAGGCTGGTCTCGAACTTCTGACCTCGTGATCTGCCTGCCTCGGCCTCCCAAAGTGCTGGGATTACAGGCTTAAGCCACTGTGCCTGGCCTGAATTTTTAAAATTAATGCAAATGCTTAAATAATTCAATATTTTGGGGTTTTTGTTTTTTTTTTCCATTCTCAAAAATGTGTGGCAGTTGTTTTTCTCGGTCCCTTTATAAGCTATAAGGAAATCATTTGAAATGTTAGTTTCTGGATAGTGGTTCTGTGAGTCTTTCCCCCCCTCCACCATATAGTGTAACATTTTAACTATCAATTGAATGCTTATCAGATGCCAAGCACTGTTCAGGCTCTGAATGCAGCAACAAACAAGATAACCTAATTAGTCCCTGTTGTTATGGAGTGTGCATCCTATGTATTTATGTATGTTTTAGGAGATGGTGAAATGCTAATTTATTTTCTGATAGTTATATTGAACTTTAATGACTTGGTAATTAATATGATAGAAACACTCTATTAAAATATGAATACCTTTTCTTGACTTGTAAGTATTTAGAATCAAACCCAAATATAAACTCATTCTCAAATCTCAGATGGAACATGACCAAAGAAGCAGTAGAGTATTTTAATTGTGTAGCTGACTGAGATAGATTTTTCTCCAGTTCTTTCCATGCCAGAAGTTTGTATTTATCTGTGCTGGATGATTATAATTCATGCCTTTGGTTCATTCTTGTTAATGTTGAGACTTTTGGCTCTTGTACTGATAAGAGCAGAGCACGGGGTTAGGAGCCAGAGGTAAACGTCACACAGTTTAAGATTAGTTACTGAGCAAATGGGAAAGAACAATTCTAGATATCAAACGCTAACTGCAGGGCTGGGCGCAGCGGCTCACGCCTGCAATCCCAGCACTTCGGGAGGCTGAGGCGGGCAGATCACTTGAGATCGGGTATTTGAGACCAGCCTGGCCAACGTGGTGAAACTCTATCTTTACTAAAGTTAGTGGGCATCTAATAATCCCACCTACTAGGAAGGCTGAGGCAGGAGAATTGCTTGAACCTGGGAGGCAGAGGTTGCAGTGAGCCGAGATTACGCTACTATACTCCAGCCTGGGTGAGAGAGCGAGACTCCCATCTGAAAAACAAAGCACAACACTGCATAAAAATAACTCAGATGTTTGTCTAAAATGAAACTTAAGAGTATCAGGTAAGGGAAACGAGAAAACCATTTAAGGGAAATAATTATTCTGGAGTAACATCCAAACTTCCAATAATTAAATGGGTGTTGGATGTAAATTTTGAAGAGTGGGTAGAAAATCCGTGGGATCCTTGAGTATGAGATTCTTAAAAAGTCTTTGGGAAAACATGGCAAATGGATTGCTTTGTGTGCGTGTGTGAGACAGGGTCGCAATCCCTTGCCCAGGCTGGAGTACAGTGGCATGATTATAGCTCATTGAAACTTTAAACTCCTGGGCTCATGTGATTCTCCCACCTCAGCATCCTGAGTATCTAGGACTACGGGCGTGTGCCACCACACCACGCTAATTTTACTCCTGGCCTTAAGCACTCCTCCCACCTTGGCCCCCCAAAAGGCTGGGATTACAGGCATGAGCCACTGTGTATTGCCTGGATTACTCTTAATAAACAAAAGATAGTATCCTCTTTGTGAAGTGGATATTTATTTTTGTAATATGTATGATCACATGCTAATTAACCTGAACTCTCTATGTATATTTACATGTGTACTTTTGGGAAAATTTTTTGGTAATATATACACCCTCCAAAATGAGGCCAGTGTAGGTGTGAATACTTAGTTTCTTAACTCTGCTGCTAATCCTTACTGTGTTAGATACTTGATTAAAACAGAATAGGGCCAGGCATGGTGGCTCACACCTGTAATCCCAGCACTTTGGGGAGGTCAAGATAGAAGGACTGCTTGAGCCCAGGAGTTCAAGATGAACCTGGACAACATAGCAAGACCACCATCTCTATAAAAAAACTAGCTGGATGTGGTGGCATGCATCTGTAGTCCCAGCTACTCCGGAGGAAGAGGCAGGAGAATCCCTTGAGCCCGGGAGGCGGAGGTTGCAGTGAGCTAAGACCACGCCACTGCACTCCAGCCTGGGCGACAGAGTGAGACTCCATCTCAAAACAGAACAAAAACAAACAAAAAACCAGATTAGTACTTGCATATATGTAGTAAATCATACCTTCATTAGTCAGGTAAATACAGTGTGAGCACCTTTTTTTTTTTTTTTTTGAGATGGAGTCTCGCTCTGTCACCCAGGGTAGAGTGCAGTGGCGCAATCTTGGCTCACCACAAACTCTGCCTCCCAGGTCAAGCAATTCTCCTGCCTCAGCCTCCCGAGTAGCCGGGATTACAGGCATGTGCCACCATGCCCAGCTAATTTTGTATTTTTAGTAGAGATGGGGTTTCTCCATGTTGGTCAGGCTGGTCTCGAACTTCTGACCTCAGGTGATCCGCCCACCTCAGCCTCCCAAAGTGCCGGGATCACAGGTGTGAGCCACTGTGTCCGGCCGCAACTTTCTTTTAATTGAAGCAACATATAACAGTTGTGAAATCTATGAATTATAAATCTTTTTATTAGGGTATATTTTTTAAACCTTTTATAGAAAATACTGCCAGGCACAGTGGCTCATGCCTGTAATCCCAGCACTCTGGGAGGCCGAGGCAGGCGGATCACTTGAGGTCAGGAGTTTGAGACCAGCCTGGTCGACATGGTGAAACCCCGTCTCTACTAAAAATACAATAATTAGCTGGGTGTGATGGCGCATGCCTGCAATCCCAGCTACGCAGGAGGCTGAGGTGGGAGAATTGCCTGAACCCGGGAGGCAGAGGCTGCAGTGAGCTGAGATTGTGCCACTGAGTTCCAGCATAGGCGACAGAGCGAGACTCTTGTCACACACACACAAAAGAAAAAGAAAATATAAAACTTACATAAAAGCAGAGAGGTACCTGTCCTGAAGCTTTAACAGTTATTACCACATGAGTTATTTTGAAACAAATCCCAAACTAGCATTTAGTCTGTAAACTTGTACTAGCTATAGTTTGGATTTTTGAATCTCTTAAACTGGCATTCTCTTTTATTTCTTTGGTATATTTTACCTTGATGACTGTGCTTTTACTTTGTCATGAAAATAATGTAAAAGTGCTTCTCTTCCTTCCCTCCTCCATTTTATGATTGTAGACAGGATGTACCTGAGTTTAGTTAATCTAGGTTTTCTTTGTTGTTCTCGAAGGGATCAATGGCAGCTGTGGTATTTGTTTGTTCTCACCCTTTTGGGGAAAGGGAAGAGGCAAAGGACTAAACTAGGTTATGAATCTAGACTAAACTGGTGTTTTCCTCAGATACTTCAAAATTGTGGATTATTTGACCTGGAAAGAGAAGTTCACTATAGTTCTTTGTTTTTTTTCTGTTTTTTATTTTTCTTTTTTCTTCTCTTTTCTTTTTGAGACAGGTTGTCACTCTGTTGCCCAGGCTGGATTGCAGTGGTGCAGTCACAGCTCACTGTAGCTTTGAACTCCTGGTCTCAAGCAATCCTTCCATCTCAGTCTCCTGAGTAGGTGGTACTACAAGCATGCAACACCATGCCCAGCTAGTTTAAAAAAATTTTAAAAAGATTTTTGTAGAGATGGGGTTTGGCTATGTTGTCCAGGCTGGTCTGGAACTCCTGGGCTCAGGTGATCCTCCTAAAGTGCTGGGATTACAGGCATAAGCCACAAGGCCTGTCCTATAGTTCTAATTGTGAAAGTTAAGTAATTTATTTCACTTGAGATGTCAAGCTCAATTGCTAGTTTTTGTTTTGTTTTTAATAGCTAGTTGACTATAAATTCTTCCTCCTTCAAAGGAGGTGACTGGCATGTGACTTCTATGGTATAGTCTCATACAGTTAACATGCAGTTGTGTTATATGTGTCGCCCTCTTCCTTCCCTTATACATACATATATACATGTGTAGGGAGGCATTTGGACTAAGGTGCTGATTCTTAACATTTTCTGTACTGTGCACTCCTTTAGCAGTCTGAAACCTATGGATCTCTTCTTATGTTTCAGTATGTCTTATTTTTTATTTTTTTGAGATGGAGTCTCGCTCTGTCGCCCAGGCTGCAGTGCCGTGATGCAATCTTGGCTTACCGCAACCTCCGCCTCCCAGGTTCAAGTGATTCTTCTGCCTCAGCATCTGGAGTAGCTGGGACTACAGGCACCTGCCACCATGCCCAGCTAATTTTTTGTAATTTTAGTAGAGGAGGAGTTTCACCATGTTGGCCAGTCTGGTCCTGACCTCCAGACCTCAAGTGATCCACCTGCCTTGGCCACCCAAAGTGTTGGGATTATAGGCCTGAGCCACTGTGCCTGGCCTCAGGATGTTTTAAAATGCATAAAATACGTAGGATTATAAAGGAAACCAATTATTTTAAAATGTAGTTAGCAGAATGTTAAAACTTGGTGATAGGTGCTTAGTATAATAAGCAACAAGTTCTAGCAACACATCTAAGTTTCACAGTAATGAGTATAGATGATAAAGATCTCCAACAGTCTAATGTGGTATGAAAATATCTGATTTATATTGATGTCAAAATTACAAGTACTGTAATTCTGTGGTTTAGTGCCAGCATTCATAATTGAAGGACGTGTTAAATTTCATTTAGGGGATAGTGAAGATAAATGTGTAATTTCCTGCCACCCACACCTCATTTTTATTTCCCTGAATTTTATCCATGGACTCCTTAGCTGTAACGGTCAGAGTAAGGTCACCTGGACTAAGGCCTTGTTTGTGTCCTGGGATGCCTAATTTGAAGCTAACGGATTTGAACTTAGAATGTAGTCATCAGATAAGTGTGTTTTAAACATTCTATCTGCCAATTTTAGTGGCTTTTAAAATAAGTCATAACAGTCCGATAAATGCTGGATCTCCAAATGGTCTCTATGCATTTTATGACTTTGCTTCTTTGCTTTTCCTTCTTGGGCTGTATTTTCTTAATAGATATTGGTTTGTAATTAATATAGAGTTAATATTTTAAGTAGTTTCTAAACTTCCATGTTGGCTATTATTGTTTTGCTTTTATGTTTTTTTCTTTTAAAAAACATTTTAATTCTTCTGCAGGATTCGGAAACTTCAGATACGAAATATCCCGCCTCATTTACAGTGGGAGGTAAGAATTTCTGTATTTAAAATTAAGATCTAAGTATGGAAGCCTATTGCTGTTAGTTTTTTCAAAGCTTTTTCTCCTTTCCTCAACTCTTGGGTGTGCTAGAACATAAAATTCTTCTCCTATGACCCGTGCCTTGGTGTGGGTTTTTCTTAGTAAGGGCACAGTGTATCTTTTAAAAATCTGCTCTTTGGGATAAGAAACCAAATATTGAAATATATTCTTGGGTAACTGGGTAATCTTTCTCATTCAGTCACTTCCCAACAGGATTTTGTTGATTTCAGTTCTTTCTGATGAGTTTGCCAATTGTATTTAAATATGAAGTTCCTATCTTGGCAAAGTTTTAAAAAGACAAATACCTGCTATTTTGTGCTGTTACTTTAAAATGTTATTCTGCTTCCTTTTGCTCAGATGGTGGCACTGCACTGATTGTGTAATATGCATAAACACAAACTATTTAGCACAATTGAATAGCCTGTGTCAGCAGTTTCCAAAGCATAATAATGATGTCATGGTGAGAATCTGAGACACCAGTAGTTGAAGGGATAAAAGAAAATGTCTTTTGACTCTTCAGACAATGGAACCTGAAAGTTCTTAAAACCCACCTTGGAGAGGGTGGTGCAGAGAAACTGCTTAGCTTTTATGTATCTCTAATATAAAAAAAATCAAGACTAACTAGTTTTGTGTGTTTTAGACTAGTCTTCTAAAATGACATTTGATGAGTCACTAAATCATAACCCCCATCAAAATGCAAAGTTTGGTTAAAAGGTTAGTTTGGTGGGAAGTTGATCTAAGTCTGATTCTCCAAGGTTTCTCAGTTGGTCACAGGTGATTTGTGCTGAGAATATTTATCTTCAGAACAGTATTATTGAGATTAAGCTTTGCAGGAAGGGGTTGGTTTTTGGTATATGCTGAATATATTGCAAGTTATATAATGCACTAAAAATATACTTTATAGATGGAAACGGTGGGTTATAAGATTAAACTTTTTACATGTTCCTGTTTTAGATTAACATTTATTTAGGGAATTCAGTAGCTTGTGGGATAGGTCCTCAAGTGTTGTAATAGCAAGATTACTAGTTCAATCCCCTTATTTTAAGATGAGCCATATTAAATATGATTTAAAATGTAATTTAATATGATTTTTTTTGTTCAGGAGCTACATCTGGTATGATGTAGCTTTCTATGAAACAGCCAAATGGTAGAAACCAAGTTTAAGTAAATTATTAGAGTACTAGCATATCTGCTATGGGCAGAGTTTCCTTTTAATTCATTCATAATCTCTTCAAATTTAGAGAATTTAGCTTTTAGTTTATTGCATTTTCCCTTATTCTGGGTATTTGCCGTATCTAACTTTTCTTAATTTTTGTATTTCACTTTACTCTCCTCATTGTCCTTTGAGGTAGTGTCAAGTTAGTGGATTATCTCTGTTTTCAAATGGGCAAATATGGGCACGCAAGATAAAGTTAATTAAGCAAGAGCACATACTGAATCGTAAGATGCTTGGAACTAGACTTTGGAATTCTTCACCTTTGACTCCCTTTAAAAATTTAATGATTATTTACATATTGATCAACAAAAACAATTTTATTGAGAGTTCGTTAGGAATAAGATGGGCTGCTGCTGTTAGGTGTTTCTTTCCTTAAAGGCTTGAGGGAACACTATTTCCTTTTTGAGAAGGGTCACTTTGTATGTTTTTGTTTGTTTGTTTGTTTGTTTTTTGAGATGGAGTTTCGCTCTCATTGCCCAGGCTGGAGTGGAATGGTGCAATCTTGGCTGACTGCAACCTCCGCCTCCCAGGTTCAAATGATTCTCCTGCCTCAGCCTCACTAGTAGTTGGGATTACAGGCATCCGCCAACCACGCCTGGCTAATTTTTTGTATTTTTAGTAGAGATGGGATTTTACCACGTTGGTTAGGCTAGTCTCAAACTCCTGACCTCAGGCGATCCACCAGCCTTGGTCTCCCAAAGTGCTGGGATTACAGGCGTGAGCCACTGCACCCAGCCTGTATATATTTTATTTATTCACGCTGGGTATGCCGCTTGTTTTGTGCCAAAGCCTTATCATAAACAGCGATAATTTTGCAGTTCTGGACAATTTTTATAATGGAAGATTAGGCATTGAGTCCCTGATTAATCTTAGAATCACTGAAAGTGGAATGACCGGACCTTATGTACCTTCTACTTTAATGCAGTAGAATATACATGTCACCACAGAGGAAATAGTCTTATCTCAATAGGTTCAACTGGCTTCAGTCTTAATCTAACTTTGAGTTTACAAGAAATACAGAAGATAGAGTGACAAATTAAATGATGCATCAAAGAAACAACTAGCCATGTCCTAAATATGGGATATTCCACAGGACATCCTGTTTTGCTAGAGGAGCAGTGGGATGAAAAAAGGAAGGGGCCTGTTACAGAGTAAGACTCAAGAGGATAACAAAAAAGCACTATAGTAAGTTCTCTGTGAGCAATGTAAATAGCCCTGTGAAGCAGCTTGGAGCACCTAAAAAAGCCTTATAGTTGTATTTTATTTATTTATTTTTATTTTTTTTGCAGGAAATGGGGCAGCCTTGAGGTCAGACTTGGAATTATGTCCTAGCTCCACTACTTTCTCATTGTGTGATCTAGTTATGGGATCTCTGAACAGGTTTTTAAAATTCTTTGAGCCTCATTTTCCTCTTTTCTAACCAGGGGTGATGATGGTGGCCCCCTCATTGGGTTGCTTTGAGCATTAAATAGGATTATGCATGATAAAGCCTTTAAAACAGTGCTTGGTACATATAAGTACACAATATGTTTTAGCTATGATATAATAAGAACAACAAATTCACCAGCTCTCAGCCTTAGGTTTTGTGCTTGTCTCAGTGAGATCCAGGCAGGAGCACAGATAACATACTCGGTATTTCACCAGGGAGAATCACACAGGTGCTGAAAGGCGAAAGAACAAAGAGAATCCAGAGTAGTGACTGTAAGGAGCAGCCACGGCCTGAGGGTTGGAAGGCCAAAGAGGAAGTTGAGGTTTTGGATCCTAGAGACTTGGAGGGAAGAGCCCTGAGCACCTGAGACTTAGATTTCTGAGCCATGGGAGCTCCTTGGCTATGGCTGGCGCCTGGGATGTGGGGAGGAGAGAGGAGTTATACATCTTGTTCAGAGTGTCCAGAGGAGCTAGAGGCTGTAACCAACTGCTGATTCAGTGACGCCGGCTGACAGACAGGGACCTGCGGATGCGGTGATGCCGACTGACGGACGGGACCTGCGGATGCAGTGATGCCGACTGACGGAGGGGGACCTGCGGATGCGGTGATGCCGACTGACGGAGGGGGACCTGCGGATGCGGTGATGCCGGCTGACGGAGGGGGACCTGCGGATGCGGTGATGCCGACTGATGGAGGGGGACCTGGCGATGCGGTGATGCCGACTGATGGACGGGACCTGCGGATGCGGTGAAGCCGATGAACGGGGACCTGCGGATGTGGTGATGCTGACTGACGTACAGGGACTTGGTGATGCGGTGATGCCGACTGATGGGTAGGGACCTGGTGATGCGTTGATGCCGACTGACGGACGGGACCTGGTGTTGCAGTGAAGCCGACTGACGGACGGGACCTGCTGATGTGGTGAAGCTGACTGACAGACAGGACCTGGTAATGCAGTGAAGCCGACTGACGGACGGGACCTGCTAATGTGGTAAAGCCGACTGACAGATGGGGACCTGCGGGTGGGGTGATGCTGACTGACGGATGGGACCTGGTGATGCGGTGATACCAACTGAAGGACGGGACCTGCAGATGCAGTGATGCTGACTGACGGATGGGGACCTATGGATGCAGTGATGCTGACTGACGGAGAGGGACTTGCAGATGTGGTGATGCCGACTGATGGACAGGGACCTGCGGATGTGGGGATGCCGACTGACGGACAGGGCCTGCTGATGTCGACTGATGGACGGGACCTGTGGGTGTGGGGATGCCGACTGACAGACGGGCAAGAGCATGTCATCTCTATCCCGACTCCTGCTTTCTAGTACCCCTCTGGTGCCTTCTATTGGCAGAAACTAACAGGTAACAGCTGGCAAAGGAGAGATTAGAGTCCATAGTCCTAGACCTGGCATCACAAAGCTGAGAAGTACATTTGGAACTGAGAGCTTATTTTTCTTTGTTTGCCCTAATGCCTCATATACCCTGTCAGTCTGATGGAACTGAGAGCTTAATATCAAGGCAAACCTCTAACCTTGAAGTAAGACAATCTCCTGCCCCAATTCTAGGAGTCATCTTGTAAGCCAGATTCTGTGAAGTCACTGAAGAGGTAACAGAATCTGGGACCACAGCAGAAACGCTTGTGACGTTTGGTGTTTTGTAAGATCTGTACCTGGAGTGTTACCTTTCTGTTACTGTTAGATCTTTATTATTTATGTTATCTGTATTCCACCATATACTACTAAATGATCAGAAGGGGATTCCTCAAGTTCTCTGGACCGCATATCTTACATGCTGTGTCAAGCAGCTTTAAACAGTTTCTAACCACTTAGTTTTAGATGATGATAAAGCACTTATGGGTGGGCACTGGATTCTGCTAAATGTTTATGGCAGATGAAGATACTGGGAGACTAACTTTTTTTTTTTTTTGGAGACAGAGTCTTGCTCTGTCACCCAGGTTGGAGTGCAGTGGCACAATCTCGGCTCACTGCAGCCTCTGCCTCCTGGGTTCAAGTGATTCTCCTGCTTCAGCCTCCTGAGTGGCTGGGACTACAGGTGCGCGCCACCATGCCCAGCTAATTTTTTGTATTTTTAGTAGAGACGGGGTTTCATTGTTAGCCGGGATGGTTTCAATCTCTTGACCTTGTGATCTGCCCGCCTTGGCCTCCCACAGTGCTGGGATTACAGACTAACTTTCTGAAGGACTCACTGCTAGAGAATTAGGTAGGTTTGTTTTCTCCCAAATATATGGAATATAGCAAAGAAATAAGGGAAAATGGTGGTTTCTCATCCATCCTGTTTTGCCTGAGGTACCTGAAGAGTAGACTCAGTGTGACCAGACTGGAAGGATTCCTCCACAGAAACAGTCCCAGCAGACAACGATGTGGATGTTCAGATGCCACAGGGGAAGTGTACATTAGAAGGAGGATTTGAGAGCCCTTCCTTAAATGGATAAGGGTAGGGCTTTGGGAGAAAGCCTTAGTGGAGTACTTGACATTAAACAC
Source organism: Homo sapiens (assembly GCF_000001405.40). NCBI lineage: Eukaryota > Metazoa > Chordata > Mammalia > Primates > Hominidae > Homo > Homo sapiens. The sequence goes on along the minus strand of NC_000007.14, from coordinate 23,413,575 downwards.
CTTTAGATATTTTTTCTTTTGCCTACTCAATTTCTCAAGTGGGCTCCATTTTCTAAATTTAAGGAATGTCTTTTTGTTGTTGTTTTGTTTTTGAGACGGAGTCTTGCTCTTTCATCGAGGCTGGAGTGCAGTGATGCGACGACCTCGGCTCACTGCAACCTCCGCCTCCTGGGTTCAAGCAATTCTCCTGCCTCAGCCTCCTGAGTAGCTGGGATTACAGGTGCCTGCCACCACACCCGGCTGAGTTTTGTATTTTTAGTAGAGACAGGGCTACACCATGTTGACCAGGCTGGTCTCGAACTCCTGACCTCAAGTGATCTGTACATCTCAGCCTCCCAAAGTGCTGGGATTACAGGCGGGAGCCACTGCGCCCGGCAGGAATGTCTTTTTGTATGTAAAAAATACACAGTAAGTGGGGCCAGTTGCGGTGACTCACGCCTGTAATCCCAGCACTTTGGGAGGCCAAGGCAGGTGGGTCACTTGAGGTCAGGAGATCGAGACCAGCCTGGCCAACATGGAGAAACCCCATCTTAACTAAAAATACAGAAATTAGCCGGGTGTGGTGGCACAGGCTTGTAATCCCAGCTACTCAGGAGGTTGAGTCAGGGGAACCTCTTGAACCCGGGAGGCGGAGGTTGCAGTGAGCCAAGATCGCACCACTGCACTCCAGCCTGGGTGACAAAGCAAGACTCTGTCTCAAAAAAAAAAAAAAAAAAAAAAAAAAAAAAAAAAAGGCCAGAGTCTTAAGGAAAGGATTTCTCAGTTTCTCCTAATGTTATTTCCTTGAAACTACTCTCCAGTCAAAAGAATCAAAACTCCTAATAAGTACTCAAAAAATGCCCAAAGCTGGGGGTACCTTCCCTGAAGTGAAGCATAAGACCTTATGTAAAGGAAGACATTAGGTAAATGAAGTGGTCCTAGAGGAAAGGGCAAGGAAGGTTGTCATTTTGGGGGCTGATGAGGAAGGTGAAACAATATTTCCCTGTGTTTACTGTGTGGGGAAACAGCCTATGCACCAGGTTCTCCATGCTGGTGGGGCCCCCACATCACTCATGACTGGAATGACTGTTTTCCGAGCAAAGATTTGAATACGTGATCTGACAGGTACTTATGGGGAATACATACTTAAAAATCACAGTCTTGCTAGAAAATTCAGAACGTTTCTTGGTTTTACTTCAACACTTGCATATTTGATTTTTTTCCTGGACTTAATTGATCTGGGAAGATGAGTATTAAGTGAGGCTCTGGTCAAAGAAGGGAAACCAAGTATTCCTTATTTAGAAGAAACAAGTAGGCCTGGTATGGTGGCTCAGGCCTGTAATCCCAGCACTTTGGGAGGCTGAGGCAGGCAAATCACTTGAGGCCAGGAGTTTGAGACCAGCCTGGCCAACATGGCAAAACCCAATCTCTACTATAAATACAAAAATTAGCCAGGCATGGTAGCGCATGCCTGTAATCTTAGCTACTCAGGAGGCTGAGGCACAAAAATTGCTTGAGCCTAGGATGCAGAGGTTGCAGTGAGCTGAAATTGTGCCACTGTACTCCTGGGCGGCAGGCGAGACTCTACTGAAAAAAAAAAAAAAAAAAAAAAGAGAAATAAGTGGGAAAGTAGTGAAGAAATAAGTAAATGGAAAAGTAGTGATGCCATGTTATCTAGTCTGGAGGAAAAACGAAACAATACCATAGTTAATATAAAATAGCTCAGAGAGACCCCACTGTAAGCCGTGGATGAACGTGTGCTGAGAAGTGGAAAGCTGTCTTGAGGTTTGTGGGGAGGTAGATGACTTCCTGGGGAAGAGAGTAGGCAGGGACCACGGAGTGAGTTAGGTGACATCCCTGCTGGATGTTGGCATCTTTAAAGGCAGGAACTGTCATTCATCTTCTGTCCAACTGCTGATTGTTTTTGATGCTGTGTTAGGTGCTACTTGGTCCATGTGGATACAGGAATTAATGTCAAATAGAAATTTGAGAAGCATTTTATTTACTTACTTTTTGAGACAGCATTTCACACTTGTTGCCCAGGCTGGAGTGCAGTGGCGTGATCTCTGCTCACTACAGTGTCCACCTCCTGGGTTCAAGCCATTCTCCGCCTCAGCCTCCTGAGTAGCTGGGATTACAGGTGTGTGCCACCACGCCCGGATAATTTTTGTATTTTTAGTAGAGACGGGGTTTCACCATGTTGACCAGGCTGGTCTCAAACTACTGACCTCAGGTGATCCACCCACTTTGGCCTCCCAAAGTGCTGGGATTACAGGCATGAGTCACTGTGCCTGGCTGAGAAGCATTTTAGGTGTAATTGGCAACATAAAGCTAACACCATGAGGTGCTTTAACTCAACAGAAGAAAACATCTGTAGAAACAGTGACGTTGAGACTGTCCATGAGCTGAGCGAGAAGTAGTAATGGGAGTCAGAGATGTTAAATATTAGAAATAACCAGTTTAAAGGTTGCCTTTATAGCAGACAGCTTGGAGTTCTAAATAAATAGCAGATAAACTGCATGTTCTCGGTAGGTGCCTTTCTTCTTCTCAGTGGCCTGACTTTGAGCAGGCCACTCGGCCAATAAGTAGCTGACACGTACTAGGCACTTATGTGCCGGGTACTGAATTAACACGTTTTAATCTTCACAGCAGTCCCATGTCCCCACTTTACAGATAAGGCAGTGGTGGTACAGAGAGGTGAAGTAGCTTGTCTGGGATCATGCAGCTGGAAAGTGTTAGTGTCTCCTCTTAATCAGGTTGCTCTAACAGAAAACTTCCTCCCAAAGGGTTGTTCCTGTTTCTTCTAGTTATTATGATTTGGTTTCAACATGCCTCTGAAAAGCTTGACAGTGAAGCCAATAGAAACTGGATCCTCCCCAGGTCTGGACGTAATGTATGGTTATGAGTGATGAATGAATTTCATTGGGGAAGTTATTAGTAAAGTTCTCTGTTTAAAGAACTGTAGACATAGAGTTCTTCATGCATGGCTGCTCTGGGATGGGCCAGACTTTACATCACTAGAGGTAATCTGGTGATGGGTGTGCAAGGGGAATACCAGAGTTCTCTACAACCGGTATATATGAATGGTGTATGAGGCAAGCATTTCTGACCCCACCCTGCTCCCTCCATGTTTACCCCATGTCCTTTGTGCTATGCTGCCTGGACTTTTGTCCTGTGCTTCTGTCATTTTTCTGGATATGATCATCTTAAAGGTCATCATGCCCTTTATCAGTTGATTGAGACAGAATCTTGACTCCTATCGCCCAGGCTGGAGTGCAGTGGCACAATCACAGCTCACTGCAGCCTTGACTTCCTGGGCTCAGGTGATTCTCCCATCTCAGCCTCCCCAGTAGCTGGGACTACAGGTGCATACCACCACACCTGGCTATTTTTTTTTCTTTTGTATCTTTATTTTTAAAAAAAATTTTAAGATGGAGTGTCGCTCTGTCACCCAGGCTGGAGTGCAATGGTGCGATCTCGGCTCACTGCAACCTCTGCCTCCTGGGTTCAAGCGATTCTCGTGTCTCAGCCTCCTGAGTAGCTGGGATTACAGGCGCCCACCAACATGCCTGGCTAATTTTTGTATTTTTGGTAGAGATGGGGTTTCACCATGTTGGCCAGGCTAGTCTCAAACTCCTGACCTCAGGTGATCAACCCATCTTGGCCTCCCAAAGTGCTGGGATTAGAGGCTTGAGCCATCGCACCTGGCCAAAAGTTTTAAATTTTAATGAAGTTCAGTGTATTCATTTGTGCCAATCTCATTTTATGAATAGTATTTTTGGTGTCCTGTCTAAAAACTTTTTGCCTAAATCAAAGTTATGAAGGTTTTCTCCTATTGTCTTAAGCCTATGGTGCATTTTGAGTTAATTTTTATGTAATGTATGCTTCACAGGCTGTGGTTTTATTTTTTGCATGTAAATGTCTCATTCTAACACCAAAAATTGAAAATATTGTTCCTTTTCCATTGAATTGCCCTCACACTTTTGTTACAAATCAATTGACCATATTTGTGTGGGTCTGTTTCTGGACTCTTTTATCCCATTGATTTATGTGTCTGTCCCTTTGCTACTACACTTTCTTGGTTACGGTATCTTTATAAGTCTTAAAATTGAATAGTATTATTCCTTCAACTTTATTGTTTTTCAGAATTGTGGCTATTGTCTTTACTTTGCTTTTCCACGTGTATTTTGGAACCAGCAAGTCTATACACAAAAATTCTGCTGGGATGTTTATTGGGATTGCAATAAGTTAACAACAAAAAAACCCTTTTGGAATAATTATCAACTTTACTAAGTTGTCTTTTTATGACTGGCTTATTTCACTTAGTATGCTGTTCAACCATGTTGTAGCACAGGGGTCCCTAACCCCCAGGCCTCAGACTGGTACCATCTGTGGCCTGTTAGGAACTGGGCTGTACCACAGGAGGTGAGTGGCAAGTGAGCGAGCATTACTGCCTAAGCTTCACCTCCTGACAGATCAGTGACAGCATTAGATTCTCATAGGAATGCATACCCTATTGTGAACTGCACACGTTGAGGGATCTAGGTTGCTCACTCCTTAGGAGAATCTAATGCCTGATGATCTGAGGTGGAACAGTTTCATCCTGAAGCCATCCCCCCCATCCCCACTCTCTGTCCGTGGAAAAATTGTCTTCCATGAAACCAGTCCCTGGTGCGAAAATAGTTGGGGACCGCTGTCGTAGTATGTGTCAGAATTTTCTTTTGAAAGTTAAGTGTAGTATTCCTCTGTCTGTGTATTCTACCTTTTGTTTATTCTTCTGTCCATGGGCATATGGATTGCTTCTACCTTTTGGCTATTGTGATCAATGCCACCGTGAATGTAGGTGAATAAATATCTCTTTGAGACTCTGCTTTCAATTCTTTTGGGTATGTACCTAGAAGTGGGATTGCTGGATGTTATAGCAGTTCTTCTTTTCCTCTCCTTGAATAAACCAGTGAAAAAGATGTTATAGCAATTATGTTTTTAATTATTTCAGGAATTGCCATTACTGTTTTCCATAGCAGCTGTACTGTTTTACATTTCTACCAACAGTGCCCAAGTGTGTTCTAACTTCTCCATGTCCACTTCAACACTTGTTATTTTGTTTTGTTTTTTTTTCTAAATAGTAGGTGAATATTATTTTTTAAGTTTGGACTTCCACTTGTTTTTAGTATGTAGAAGTATTTTAAATTTTTGTGTGTTGACCTTATATCCTTTGACATTGCTAAACTTACTAGTTCTGAAAGTTTGTTTTTTATTTTTTAATAGATTGCTTGGGATTTTCTACTTAGACAATTATGTATTCAAATGGGCATAGTTTTATTCCTTTATAGTCTGTATGCCTTTTCTTTTATTGCTGTAATGTACTGTCTAGGACCTCCAATGAGAGTTGACATCCTTACCCTTCCTCAATTTTTGTGAGAAAACATTGTCTTTCATCATCACATAAAATGTTAGCTGTGGGTTTTTTGTAGATACTCTTTATCAGGTTGAAGACATTGCCTTCTGTTTCTAGTTTGTTGACAATCTATATGATGAGTGAATGTTGGATTGTTTCAAATGCTTTTTCTGCATGAATTGATATTATCATGTAGTTTTTAGGCTGTAAATGAATTACATTGACTCCCCCCCCCCCCGCCCCCCGCCCCCTGCCCCCCACAAATGTTGAACCAACCCTGCATTCCTATGATAAACTCCACTTTATTGTGGTATTTTATTCTTTTTGCTTGGTTTAATTTGCTAACATTTTTGTTGAGGACTTACTGTGTCTCTGCTCATGAAGGATATTGGTCTGTAGTTTGATGTTTTTTGTATTGCCATTGATTTTGTTATCAGGGTAACACAGCCTTAAAATGTGTTGGGAAAACATGTTTACCTTTTCTGGAAGTGATTTGCTGAATTGGTGTTATTTCTTTAAGTATTTGATAGAATTCACCTGTGAAACCACTTGAATAATTTCTCTCAGAAGTTTTTTTTTTTTTTTTTTTGGAGACAGAGTTTTGCTTTTGTTGCCCAGGCCGGAGTGCGATGGCCCAATCTTGGCTCACCACAACCTCTGCCTCCTGGTTCAAGTGATTCTCCTGCCTCGGCCTCCCAGGTAGCTGGGATTACAGACATGCGCCACCATGCCCAGCTAATTTTTGCATTTTTAGTAGAGATGGGGTTTCTCCATGTTAGTCAGGCTGGTCTCGAACTCCCAACCTGAGGTGATCCATTTGCCTCGGCCTCCCAAAGTGCTGGGATTACAGGCATGAACCACCACACCCAGCCCTTTTTTTTTTTTTCTTATGCTCAAATTCAATATCTTCAGTAATTATAGTGTTCTTCAGGTTATTTCATCTTGGGTCGTTTGTAGTGTTCAAAGAATTGGTCAATTTCATCCAAGTTGTTTCTTTTTTTCTTTTTTTTTTTTTTTAATAACTACATCATCATGGACAAGTTGCATAAAGCTTTGTAGTATTCGCTTATCCTTTAATGTCTGTGGGGTCTCTAGTGATATCTCCACTTTTTAATTCTGATACTAGTAATTTTTGTGTTCTCTCTCTTAAAATCTTCATCAGCCTTGCAGAGCTTTATCTGTTTTATTGATTTCTAATAACTTCATGATGTTGAAGCTGAATGAGCTTCTCTGTCTCCATGATTTTGAGAGGTGAAGGTGGCTGGGCTTCTGGGTCAGGTGGGGACTTGAAGAACTTTTCTGTCTAGCTAAAGGATTGTAAACACACCAGTCAGCACTCAGTTTCTAGCTAAAGGTTTGTAAACACACCAATCAGCACTCTATAAAAACGCACCAATCAGTGCTCTGTGTCTAGCTAAGGGTTTGTAAATGGACCAATCAGCACTCTGTAAAATGGACCAATCAGCAGGATGTGGGTGGGGCCAAATAAGGGAATAAAAGTTGGCCACCTGAGCCAGCAGTGGCAACCCGCCAGGGTCCCCTTCCACACTGTGGAAGCTTTGTTCTTTTGCTCTTCACAGTAAATCTTGCTGCTGCTCACTCTTTGGGTCCACACTACCTTTAAGAGCTGTAACACTCACTGCAAAGGTCTGCGGCTTCACTCCTGAAGTCAGCAAGACCACGAACCCACTGGAAGGAAGAAACTCTGGACACATCTGAACATCTGAAGGAACAAACTCCAGACACACCATCTTTAAGAACTGTAACACTCACCGTGGGAGTCCACGGCTTCATTCTTGAAGTCAGCGAGACCGAGAACCCACTGGAAGAAACCAATTCCGGACACAATTTGATTAGTATTTTGTTTCCCTGAGGCTTCCCTTTTTGATTCTCCAATCAGAAAAGCAAGGACCTTAGATACCTTGCGTGGTTGTGCACTTCCTGTAACTGTATACATGTCCAGGGCTAACGAGAGGCAAACAGACGGAAAAGAAGCAAACAGGTTCAATCCATCCCCTTGGAACTATAGCTTCTTCCCTCCATCAGTGTTTTAGATCAGTGATCCCCAACCTTTTTGGCACCAGGGACTGGTTTCGTAGAAGACAATTTTTCTTTCTTTTTTTTTTTTTTTAATCAGAAAATTTTGATCATGGCTTTTATTTCTTTGCAACAGTCGTCCAGAGGTTCTGAAGAGAACTCACCGGTTGTAGAGTCTGTGTTAATCACCCAGCATTAATATTTCCATTGCTCCATCATCATGTGTAAGCCTGTCCACAGCATTCTTCTCCAGAAGCAAACTTGCTCAACCTTTAGTTTCACATCAGTGAAGGCGAATTCTTTCACCAAGATGGACTTGTTTGTTCTCAGGAAATCCATACAGCCCTGGTTGAAGAGTTCAGAAACTCTTTTTATGCATTAAAACAATTTTTTCATGGTTGGGGAAGGGGAGTGGTTTCGGGATAGAAACTGTTCTACCTCAGATCATCAGGCATTGGTTAGAATCTCATAAGGAGTATGCAACCTAGATCCCTCGCGTGCGCAGTTCACAATAGGGTACGCACTTCCATGAGAATCTAACGCTGCCATTGCTGATCTGACAGGAGGCGGGGCTCAGGCATTTAAGCCTGCTCACCTCCTCTCACCTTCTGCTGTGCGGCCCGGTTCCCCTTTCTTGCTTCTCCAGCCTAAACTACAAGGCTTCTCCTAAGATCTGTCTGTATCCACTAACAACTTGAAAGTTTTTTGCTGCTGAGTCTAGGCTGGGGCATAGCAGAGGGAAAAAAAGAAGCAAATCACTTCAGTTTCTGTAGTACTATAGAGTTCCTAGTCTGTCTGTTATCTTTACTTTGAGTCTTCAAATTATTGTTTGATACTTTCTGTCTAGATTTTTTAACTGCTTTCAGTGGGAGAAACAAGGTGGGTGTGCTTATTGAAATTTGTCTGGATCTAGAACCTGGAACTAAAGTTTAAGTTGTTTCTTTGAATATTGTTTTTTGATGCCTTTTAAATTTCAAAAGAGGTGAATTTGAATTTTTCATTTCTCAAGAACAGAGTAACTACTCATAAGTGATTTGCTTTTTTCTTGTAGATAACCTTTGGTTGAATTGAGACTGAACAGGACTTACCCTCTTAAAAGAAATGCGTGTTCAATTTTTCCATGTGACTCAGCACTAGAGATGTGTATGCAGTGCTCATCATTTTAAATTTAAGTATATAAAAACCTTCACTTGTTGCTCTTTTCCTGTCTTTCTACCTCCAGTTTTAATGAACAAAATATACAAGGTTAAGACTGGGGAGGGCAAAGGTCTCCTGGTAGGGTTTTAGAACAGTAAACCAATTGGGAGTGACAGGGCACTATTAATGCTGTGTCTAATTTTATTATCAGCAACCAGAAAAGCAAGAGTTTTCTCAGTACTAAGGCCATCCCCACCCCCACCCCCCACTTGCCGTATTTTGATTTCCTGAATGGCCTACTTTGTCTTACTCAAAACACAATATTACTATTCAGTAATTACTATTCAGTATTACTTTCCATGTGGGGATGAGAAAGGCTATAATTTACTGCGATCTTGCCTAGATGTCTATTGTATATATTCACAAATACCTTTCCTCAGTTTTTTATTCCAATCTGGTAGACAAAGGTGGTGCTCAGTAAGTTAAGTGTTGGTTGAATTGAGGGTGTATGATGCTTTTCAAAGCTTGACTATCAACCCAGATAGAGATTTCTGTGTTCATCTTGCTGGATTTTTTTTCTTGTTTTGTGTCCACTACTCCTAGACTCTCACATGTGTCCAGGTATATATACAAAGATTGAAATTGTTTAATTAGCTTACTCTGGCTAATGGTAATGACTGATATTTCAGATTTCTTTTTAAAAGAAGGCCTATATTTGATGTGTCTATCTTTCACTCATTTTTATGCCTACTCTCATATTCTTAGCTCATTTCCTTCTCTTTAGTACTCTGCCTTTGGGTTTTAGAGTAACTTAATATCACACATGTGGGTTGTGTCGATTATGAGCAGAGCAATATGCGAACCTCTTTTTTTTTTTTCCATTTGATTTTTTCAAGACTCTGTCACCCAGGCTGGAGTCAGGTGGCACGATCACGACTCACTGCAGCCTTAAACTCTTCCTGGGCTCAAGCAATCCTCCTGCCTTGGCCTCCTGAGTAGCTAGGACTACAGGCACATACCGCTGTGCCCCATTAATTTAAAAAAAAAAAAATTTTTTTTTTTGTTTTACAAACAGGGTCTTGCTACATTGCCCAGGCTGGTCTCAAACTCCTGAGCTTAAGCGATCCTCCTCCCTTGACCTCCCAAAGTGTTGGGATTACAGTCGTGAGTCACCGTGCCTGGCCAAGTACCTCTCTAGATGGATTCTCTTCTTGTTATATTCTTAGAGCCAACCCTAGATATAGAAGGGAATTGTGCTATTCTTATTTTTAAAAACAACAAAGTAATTGGGAAATGGAAAAACTTGCCAAGGTCTTGCAGCTACCATTGGCTGAATTAGGATTTAAACTAGGCAGAACCTCCTTTTTTAGCTGCTACTGTATCTAAACTGTATATTCTTCTGTCATCTCAAACGTGGAAATAAGGATGACTTCTAATATCTCCTGCAAGTTCACTTACGCATTTTTGACTTTTAGCACCAATTTCATCAGTGTTTTTATTGAGATCTATAATTTCCTCCTATGTAATGTTCCAATTACAATCCTGAAGTGAAATTCACAGAAAATATAGCCACTTATATATATCTATAATTTAAAAATCAATGTAATGTCCTAGTAATACCAGAAAGGAGACATAAAAATTATTTATACAAAAAAATTTAGTACATAAATACTTAGGCATGATCAGAGTTTAGGCATAATGAAATAGCTAAGTGCTTGTACCATATGTAGAATAATCCTCAGTGGACCAATACTGGTGTTGAGACAGGAATAATATACAGGCAATGCAAAGTTGTGTGCTCTCAGTTTAGTGGTTTTCTCTAGTGATAAGCAGACCAAAATATAATAGTATCTTGATTTACATGATACAGTTTTGGAAGATGCAGTATATATGAAAACTGAGCAATAAATATTTTGTCAGGTTATAGGGTCAGATAAATGGGTTTCCCCTGTATCTGAATATCAAGGACCTTCAAAGGCTGTGCAGGACATGAGGCCACCTCTCTTTATTGTGTGAAGCTGTACTGCACACTTCAGGATGTGTGACATACCTGGTCTGTGACTATCAAATATTAGTAAAAGACTCTTTTCCTAATCCCAAAAGATCCACAGATTTCTAAAACCACTTCCTTAAGGGGTGAAGCTTTCTCCATTGAGAATTACTGTTCTAAATCATTCCTTCCTTAGCTGTGTTGAAGGACCAGTTATTTTTAAATTTCTAATTGATTACTGACTTTTTTGTAAAACACAATGAAAATAAATTATTACAATGAAATTTTAAAGTCAGCCAAAAGACAAGCTGATTTTTATTATTAGATTCAACAGACATAAAATTCTTGTCAGTCTGCTATAAAAATTTGTAAATGCTTAATCTCCACTTATAAGTTTGTCTTGTCATGATATGGTCTCTATCTTCATCTCACTCTTTTTCTTCCCACAGTCACCCAAAATGACGGTATGTTCCTAAAATACTTTCCCGTGGAAGGTGTAAGTTCCCCTCTTCCTGGCCAAATGCTCAAATGTTTTACTCCCATCACCTCCTTTGTTTTGCATAAGTATCACTTTCTATAAAAATTATCATTTAATGATGGAAATGAACTTAACTGCCTTTACCATCAGCAGTCTCTTTTTATCCATGATAAAATTTGCAGAGTAGTTTAACAGGCATAACTCAAGCTGTTTATTTCTTCTTAGCTTTATATACTTACGGATAGGAAGTCATGCAGTACAAGTGTGCAAAAGTTCTGCAAAGTATATGTTACTTTTGCTGATCACATACAGGTAAATCCATCTTAGATGATCTGATTTCTAATACAACTCAACTCTAAAAGTCTAAAAATATCTCTGAGCTATGTATTAAGCAGGTGGTTTTGGACTTAGACTGCATTTCTTTGTTTGTTTTTGTTTTTGAGACAGAGTCTTGTTCTTTCACCCAGGCTGGAGCGCAGTGGTGCAATCTCGGCTCACTGCAGCCTCTGCCTCCTGGGTTCAAGTGATTCTCATGCCTCAGCCTCCCGAGTAGCTGGGACTTCAGGGACACGCCACCATGCCTGGCTAATTTTCGTAATTTTAGTAGAGATGGGGTTTTGCCATGTTGGCCAGGCTGGTCTTGAATTCCTGACCTCAAGACCTCAGGTGATTCACCTGTCTCAGCCAACCAAATTCCTGGGATTACAGGCTTTACAGGTTTCAGCCACCGTGCCCGGCCTAGACTGCATTTTGCTTCATGCCAATCCCTAGGGCAGCAGTGACTTTTTTTTTGGAGACGAGTCTCGTTCTGTAACCCAGGCTGGAGTGCAGTGGTGCAATCTTGGCTCACTGCAACCTTTACCTCCTGGGTTCAAGCCATTCTCCTGCCTCAGCCTGTCAAGTAGCTGGGATTACAGGTGACTGCCACCAAGCCCAGCTAATTTTTGTATTTTTAGTAGAGACAGGGTTTCACCGTGATGGCCAGGCTGGTCTCGAACTCCTGACCTCAGGTGATCCACCTGCCTTGGCCTCCTGAAGTACTGAAATTACAGGCGTGAGCCACCGTGCCTGGCATAGCAGTGACTTTTCAAATCTTAATTTCAGAAGACTTCCTGCTGTATTTTTTGTACTGTGAGTTTGAATGATGGAAGACAATTCCTAATACAAGGCAGGAAGGGTCCTGGATTATCAGACTCCCGGCAGTTCATGATGCTGCCTCCATGATGCTGGCAGCCATGATGTTGATGGTGAACCCCCTCAGCAGGGGGCCCGCAACTGTTCCTCTGGTGGGTCTGTGTGAAGGCAAGTACTGCTGGGAAGGGGTCCTACTACTCGGCCACAGTGACTGAATCTTAAATATGGATGGTGTCCTTACTTTTAGTTACTCTGTATCAGCAGAAAAGTTACAATTTTTAAAAGGAGACCATTTCTTCAATCATGGTTTAACAATTAGGGTTTTGGGCTGGGCGTGATAGCTCACACCTGTAATTCCAGCACTTTGGGGGAGGCAGGCAGGTCACTTGAGGTCAGGAGTTTGAGACCAACCTGGGCAACATGGTGAAACCCCCGTCTCTACTAAAAATACAAAAATTAGCCTTGTGTGGTGGCACGTGCTTGTAATCCCAGCTACTCGGGAGGCTGAGGCACGTGAATTACTTGAACCCAGGAGGTGGATACTGCAGTGGGCCAAGATCGTGCCTCTGCACTCCAGCCTAGGCCACAGAGCAAGGCTCCATCTCAGAAAAATAGGGTTTTGACAGCATCTTAAATACTTCTGCTCTTCCAGCTCACTCATTTTATACACAGTCATTACACTGCGATGCATATGGTTGGCTTTGGTGTGTGCTTGTGTAGGTATTTATGGTTGGATCCATGCACACAGTCATGAGGTGGCTTTTGAAGTTGTTCTCGTGTGAAATGGAAATTCTTGGGCATCTAAGTATTTCTTAATTTTCAGTGGGTGGAACAAGTACAGCCAGATTGAAGGATGTGCTTTTATCACGTGCCTTGCTTTCTGAGGCTGGGTCAGCCTTAGTCAGAATGGCCCCTTTTGGTTGTAATGTTGGTGTGGCAGACAGTACTTAGGCTGCCACACCAACACAGAGATATGAAGAACCTCTGATAGCATTGTCCTCAAAATGTTACCCTGGAGGAGCAGGACAAGGTCAGCTGTGGCTCTCTAAGTCCAAAACCACCTGCTTATTATATAGCTTAGAGATACTACTTCTTCTAATGGTGAAAACTCCAATTACTTTTGTACCAACCTAATACTTTGTTTTAGACTTTCACAGAATTGAATTGCATTAGAAATCAGATAATCTTAGATGCATTTGCCTATTTGTGATCAGCAAAAAGTAATATAATACTTTGGAGAACTTTTTCACATTGTTTTAATGCATGATTTACTATCCTGGAGAAACAAGATATTGGAAACACAAATGTTTCTTTAGTTGCTCAGCTCCTGTGTGCCTCTTAGATGTACTGAGAACATGTTTAAGGATGCAAACTTTTTATACCATGTATGCCTTATCCACTAGCCAAGGACCTGGTGTGGCATTGAAGTAAAGATATGACAACTTGTTCCAATGTTGGGGAAAAAAAAACTGGCTCATATGGCTCAGTGGGAGATGGTGTAGAAATGTGATTCCTTTCTTAGGAATTTTAAAGTGACTTTTTAAACTCTCTACTTTGGGAGTTTTCAAACATACACACATTGAGAAAATAGTATACTGAACCCCCCATCTACCGACCTTAATGATAGTCAACATTCTGCTTTTGTTTTACTGATCAATATTGCTTCACTGTTTTTAGGTGGAGGAGAGGTGTATTATTTTAGAGCAATTCAATATGAGTGATGGTATAGAAAATTTACATTGCTAACATAAAATAAGAATAGGTATATTAGTTTCCTATGCTGCTGTAACAAATTAATCACAAACTTGGTGGTTTAAAGCAACAGAAATTAATTTTTGTTCTAGAAGCCAGGAGTCTGAAATCAGTCTCTGTGGGTTAAAGTCAAGGTTGTCATGAGAACTGGCTCCCTCTAGAAGTCTTAGGGGAGAATCCGTTTGCTTGCCTTTCCCAGGTTCTAGTGCCTGGCTGTAGTCCTTGGCTTTCATGGTTTCCTCTTTCTTTTTTTTTTTTTAATTTAATTTAATTTTATTATTATTATACTTTAAGTTTTAGGGTACATGTGCACAATGTGCAGGTTACATATGTATACATGTGCCATGTTGGTGTGCTGCACCCATTAACTCGTCATTTAGCATTTGGTACCAAAACAGAGGTATAGATCAATGGAACAGAACAGAGCCCTCAGAAATAATGCCACATATCTACAACCATCTAATCTTTGACAAACCTGACAAAAACAAGAAATGGGGAAAGGATTCCCTATTTAATAAATGGTGCTGGGAAAACTGGCCAGCCGTATGTAGAAAGCTGAAACTGGATCCCTTCCTTACACCTTATACAAAAATTAATTCAAGATGGATTAAAGACTTAGATGTTAGACCTAAAACCATAAAAACCCTAGAAGAAAACGTAGGCAATACCATTCAGGACATAGGCATGGGCAAGGACTTCATGTCTAAAACACCAAAAGCAATGGCAACCAAAGCCAAAATTGACAAATGGGATCTAATTAAACTAAAGAGCTTCTGCACAACAAAAGAAACTACCATCAGAGTGAACAGGCAACCTACAAAATGGGAGAAAATTTTTGCAACCTACTCATCTGACAAAGGGCTAATATCCAGAATCTACAATGAACTCAAACAAATTTACAAGAAAAATACAACCCCATCAAAAAGTGGGCAAAGGATATGAACAGACACTTCTCAAAAGAAGACATTTATGCAGCCAAAAAGCACATGAAAAAATGCTCATCATCACTGGCCATCAGAGAAATGCAAATCAAAACCACAATGAGATACCATCTCATACCAGTTAAAATGGCAATCATTAAAAAGTCAGGAAGCAACAGGTCCTGGAGAGGATGTGGAGAAATAGGAACACTGTTACACTGTTGGTGGGACTGTAAACTAGTTCAACCATTGTGGATGTCAGTGTGGCGATTCCTCAGGGATCTAGAACTAGAAATACCATTTGACCCAGCCATCCCATTACTGGGTATATACCCAAAGGATTATAAATCATGCTGCTATAAAGACACATGCACACATATGTTTATTGTGGCACTATTAACAGTAGCAAAGACTTGGAACCAACCCAAATGTCCAACAATGACAGACTGGATTAAGAAAATGTGGCACATATACACCATGGAATACTATGCAGCCATAAAAAATGATGAGTTCATGTCCTTTGTAGGAACATGGATGAAACTGGAAACCATCATTCTCAGCAAACTATCGCAAGGACAAAAAACCAACCACTGCATGTTCTCACTCATAGGTGGGAACTGAACAATGAGAACACATGGACACAGGAAGGGGAACATCACACTCTGGGGACTGTTGTGGGGTGGGGCGGGGGGAGGGATAGCATTTGGAGATATACCTAATGGTTTCCTCTTTCAAAGTGTACCACTTCAGCCTCTGCTTCTGTCCTCAGATTGTCTTCTCTCTGACTTTGCCTCCTCTCTCGCCCCTTTTGTAAGGATCCATGATTACATAAGGCTCACCCGGGTAATCCCATATAATATCTCCACCTCAAGATACTTACTTATACCCTCAAAGTCCCTTTTGCCATATAAGGTAACACTCGCAGTTTTTAAGCATTAGGAGGTAGATATATTTGGGACCATTATTCAATTTACCACCAGTGTAATCAGCACTCAAGTGTCAAATAAATGCTAATAGGACCACAGCCTTGAGAGTGGGGACTCTAAATACTCAGTGGTGAAATACATTAAGATAAAGTTCTTCAGTACCTAGAGGGATTTCTATGCAGAATACATTTTGTCATTTCATGTAGGGGATGCAGCATTCCTATTATGAGATGACAAGATAGAAGGAGGCATGTGTTGGTGTAAGGCCAGTTAGGTGTTGAAGGAGGCATGGCGTATGGCTAGTTAGATGATAGAAGGAGGCATGTGTTGGTATAAGGCCAGTTTGAGACCTTAGAGGAGACGGCTGCAGTTCAACATCAGAGCTGAGATGGTGCTAGTTCATGGCTCCTGTCTCAGGCTTGACACTGACAGTTGACAACACGGTGCTCTCCTGGGCCTTAGGCCATTCTGTCACCCTCCCTGAGCTGTGGAGCTGAGCTCCTTCCCTGTCCTTGCTTCTGCCTCTTCTTAGAAGCCTTTTTGAATTTATCAGAGTGCCTACTATGTGCCGGAGGAGAATTTGCTGCACAAGACAACTTTGATGTCTTATCCAAGTCAGCTTCTCTGAACTCGCAAAAAAACAGATTCCTTCTAGCTCTGATTTTCACTAAATGTTTCTGAGGTCTTGGTTATTCTCCACATAAACCTGGAGACATACTTTTCATTAAAATATAAGGCAGAGGTATGGGGTTTCTGGGTCTGAACCTCAGAATAGTCGAATGGAAGACAGGGTAGGGACTTTGAGGGCAGCTTCTTACTGGCTATGAGACTTTGGATAAAAGTGACAACCATACAGAGTCCCTTTCCCATCTGTGAAAATGGGATTAACAAAAAAAAGTCCTTTCAGGGTCAATGTGAGAACCAGCGAATAAGACAAGTGCCTCGCCCTGCTGCACTGTGAATTAACTTTTTTTGGAGGCATTTGTCCTTTGGCTGAAATTCACATGCTGTGTGCTCCAGTACTGTGAAGTACTTTACTTCCTCAACCCCATCCTTCTCTTAGCTTCAGGACTTTTTGCATACATTTTCTTTGCCAAGAATCCATTTGCTCTTTTTTTTCCCCCCCAACAGTCTTATTTTGTTCTGGATCCTTTCCATCTTTCTTTATTCTCACCAATTATTTAGCCCTCAATTTAGACATCATTCCTACCACGCTTGGATTAGACATCTCTCCTGTATTTCTCCCATACTTAACACTATGGTAGCACTTAACATGTAGGCTTGCATTATCTCATGTATTTTTTTTTTCTTCAGAAAACTAGGTTTATTGCTACACAATCTGCCAGTAATTCCAGCTATTTTGGGTGATTTCATTATTTGACTTAGCATTGTGTGTGTGTGTGTGTGTGTAAGTACATATTTCAGAAGTCAGAGTCTTCTCTGTTGCCCAGTGCAGTGGTGAGATCATAGCTGACTGCTGCATCAAACTCCTAGGCTAAAGTGATCCTCCCTCCTTTGCCTCCCAAAGTGCTGGGGCTATAGGTGTGCACCCCTCCCTGCCCCCTACCCCCAAGCCAGCACTTTATATTTAATTGTCTTATGACTTGTGTCTGTTTCTCCCACCAGAGCTAAGGTGGGTAGGGCTCTGTCCTCCCATGTTATCAAAGACCCAGAACAATGGCTGGTGTGGACTTGCTGGTCAGTATTCACTCACTGAAAGTGTATTGGTTGGGAATTTTTTCAACTCTGTAATGGGTTATTGGGTTAAAAAAAAAAAAAAAAACTCACTGGATTTTTTTGTGTAGGGGTGGGGTAGGGGGATGGGTATAAGAAAATAGGATATAAATTTGTTGTCTCGGGTCATTGAGGTTTGTATTTTTGTTATTTTCTTCTTTTTTTGAGATGGAGTCTCGCTCTGTTGCCCAGGCTGGAGTGCAGTGATGTGATCTCAGCTCACTGCAACCTCTGCCTCCCAGGTTCAAGCAGTTCTCCTGCCTCAGCCTCCCGAGTAGCTGGGATTACAGGCACCTGTCACCACGCCCAGCTAATTGTTGTATTTTTAGTAAAGACAGGGTTTTACCATGTTGGCCAGGCTGGTCACGAACTCCTGACCTCAAGTGATTCACCTGCCTCAGCCTCCCAAAATGCTGGGATTACATGCGTGAAACACTGTGCCTGGCCTGTTGGTTTTTCAGTTAATTTTTTTCTTTTTTTGGGGGGGTGGGGGTAGAGATGGGGTCTCGCCATATTGCCCAGGCTGGTCTCAAATTCCTGGGCTCAAGCTGTCCTCCCACCTCAGCCTCCCAAAGTGCTGGGATTATAGGTGTCAGCCACTGCACTTGGCCCGAGGTCATTGAGTTTTATTGATGCAGAAATCACTGAAGTTCTTACAAATGTTTTCGTTTTTTTGTTTCTTTGTGTTGTTTTTTATTTTTTGGTGGTGGCAAATGGAAATCTTGGTGCCAGCTGTGTTGGCCCTTCACTAGCAGGGATCAGATGTTTTGGAAAGTATATTGCGGGTGTTTTATCTTGATCTGGTTACTTGCTTTAAATAGTTCAGGTTGTTTTGGTTAGGCTTTCTAATAGTAGTTGATCATAATACTCAGCTTTCTATTTTGGGGAAAGTTTAATTTCTTATTAAAAAAACTTTAAGGAAAACCTCAGACTTTAGTGTTGAAAAAATGAGTCACAAAGAAGTCAGAAACATCAGTGAGGGCTGCTCCTTATGGCTGTGAAATTGAGCAGGCTGTGCCTCCAGATGCCAGCCTCATTAGGGTGGATTAATGCTAAGCTCCTCTGAGCTTACACCCATCATTACTCCATGTTCTTCTTTCTCAGCAAATCTGATGCCCATCAATTCTGAGCATGTTCTGTGCACTTCCAGTATTCCATTATTGTTTACCACTACTTGAAGTTGCCCAGCTGAACAAACATTTCTGACTTCAGATAATTTACATGGTATCTTTCCCATAAAGGACATGGCTTCATTGTGTTAATTTCTTTCTTGCTTAACTAAACAAGCAAACCTTTCTTTTGTCACAGCTTTGTTTCTGTATGGTAGGAATTCTATTCTGACGTGCTGTTTAATTAATGTTTGAAAACAGGACCTTTGCTTATATGCTTCCCTTGGCTACCAGAGACAGCTTTGTAGCGCATGATGGAGCCTGCATAATTTCTCACTGACTGTGTTTGCCTTGGTGTTGTCTGCTACGGAGTTTAAGGGTCACCTCTACTATATATTGTTAGAATATTTAACTTCACCACTAACTTCATACCAATTTATTTTCAGTCTTAATTTTTCCTGGCTTTATTTTTCTCTCATGGTTTGTTGTTGTTTTGGGGGAGGGTAGGCGCAGGGGAGACAGAGTCTCCCTCTGTCACCCAGGCTGGAGTGCAGTGGCATGATCATAGCTCACTGCAGCCTCGACCTTCCAGGCTGAAGCGATCCTGCTACCTCAGCTTCCCGAGTAGCTGGGACTACAGGTACGTGCCACCACACCTGGCTAAATTTTGTAATTTTTATAGAGACAGGGTTTCGCCATGTTGTTCAGGCCGGTCTCCAACTCCTGGGCTTATACACTTAGCTTGCCCTGGCCTGCCAAAGTAGATGTGTTAAAAAGTCTTGCTGATTATAAATAGCGTTATCATTTTGGGAAGTAGATTTTTTAAGTTGTGCAGGTGTGTCTGTAGCTGAAAGACCTTGTTGTGTGAACTAGATTACCTTTAGAAACCTATAACACTAATAATTTTTTTTTTAATCACACAACCCCTATACCTGTCTGAAAGATTATGGTATACACAAGTGTAGGAATTACTGTTTATTTGCCTTATCAGAAAGTCTTGAAAGCATTATGGATTTGTGTACCCTCCTAATAACTCGACTGGCCTCTTAAGTATCCAGTCCATTGGTGAAGGTCACTGCTGGGAATCCATGGTACTTGTTCAGCCTCCTTCCTTCCGCAGCAGGAGGGACTCTCAAGGAGAGACTCTTCTCACTGATCCTAGATTAGGCCGCAGAATCCTTCTCACACAGGCTGTGGATAATCACAGCCAGTTGTTTGCAGTTGGCATGCAAAATGAACATGATTGCCCCCCTTGGGCTAGATGATCTTTTAAGAGCCTGTTCATTTCAACTTCCATGTTTATTTTAGCTCCTTTGAGAATATAAAAATTCTCCCAATGTGTGAAGAGAGCACATTCAAATGGTTCATCGTCTGAGAAACTCTCCAGACCACTCATCTGTCCCTCCCAGATTCCCCTCCACTGACCCCTCTCAGCCTGTTTCCCTTTGGGGGCACGGTTTCCGAGCCCCTTAGAGTAGGGTTCAGAATTGAGCATAGTACTTGCTACAGGTCTAAACTGTGCTTATTGCAGGGTGGGATCTTAGCTGTCCTTGACATTTGTTGACATTTGTTCAGTGAATAGAAGATCACATGCCCGTATTCCTTAGGCATGAGATGATCATCGGTTACGATTGAACTAGCTTTTAGTTATTAATAATAACTTGTTATTGATTTACATGTTACAAGGTATGTATGGGAGGGAGGCTTTTGTGAACGAGTTGTCTGATTTAACCACGTTGCCTGGTACTAGCATGAAGGACCATTCTGAGTGAACATTGGTGAGGTGATAGCACAGTTCTGTAGGTAAAGGGTCCTTCTGGAAGGCCACTCCAGCGGGCAGAAGACATCTTGAGTTGGATGAAAGCAAGTTCTCTTGATCACAGAAGCAAAGGTGGGTTAATTCCAAGGACGCTAATGAGACTTGCTGAGTGTCCCCTAAGGAAGTCAGATATCAGAGTGTCCTCTAGAAACTCCTAAGAAATTGATGAGTGGCCACCTTATAGCAATTGGGAGTTATATGCCACTCACTTTAATTTTTTAAATTAGAAATGTTTTTGGCACAGTGGCTCATGCCTGTAATCACAGTACTTTGAGAGGCCAAGGTGGGAGGATTTCTTGAGCCCAAGAGTTCAAGATCAGCCTGGGCAACATGATAAAACCCCATCTCTTAAAAAAAGTACAATAATTTGCCAGGCGTGGTGGCCCACGTCTGTAGTCCCAGCTACTTGGGAGGCTGAGGTGGGAGTATCCCTTGAGCCTGGGAAGTCGAGGCTGCAGTGAGCCGTGATCATGCAATCATACTGTGGCCTGGGTGTCAGAGCAGCAAGACCCTGTCTCCAAAAACAAACAAAAAAAAGTGTTTGTGTTCACTGTAGAAAACAGAAAAAAGGGCTTAAAATCCTACCATTCAGAGTTAACTATCATTAATAGTTGTATATTTGTGTGTGTGTGTGTATGTGTGTGTGTATATATATGTGCATATGTGTGTATGTGTGTATATATATATATACATATATATGTGTGTGTGTGTATATATATATATATATATGATGATAAGCTGTCCTTGTCTTTTTTTTTTTCTTCCAAATGGTTTTCCATTTGTGACAGCACTACTTACTGAATCAGCCTTTTCTTGAGGTCAGCCTTTGTGCTATCCAGCACTGTGACATGTTCGCAGAAAGTGTTGCCTTTCTCATTTGAGGCTTAGCTAAGCTTGAGGAAGTCTTGGTTCATTAGGGTTAGTGAAGAAGGGACTGATGGTTCTGCCCTCATTTTGGCCACATCTGCCATACTGTGGACAGTACTGGCCATCAGTTTACAACATTCATGAATGCAGAGAAGAGTAGTCTCTCCTTCTTTACTGCTTACCTTAAATACTTTCTGTAGGTTAGCTCTGTTGGTTAGGGTGTGTAGCGGGTGACACCAGTATTGTGTGTTTTAATCTGGGTGCATTATCTTTTATGTCATTAATATCCTAGAAGAGCTATTAATAACACTTGCTGGGTTGTTCGATTTTCAGTTTTGTTTCAGATGCTTAGCAATTTACTTATTGTTTCTTGAACTAAATACATTGAAGAGTAAGGCCTAAAAGTAGTGGTTCATGAACATTCACTTGTAAAAACAGAAACATTCCTTCTCCTTGCCTCAAGTTCTTACTCATTTTGATCTTGCCATTCTACCTTCTGTGTTACAAATTATTCAACTAGGGTGTGTACTGGGCCTGTCTACAGACAATGATCAGTGCTTTTTATCATTTTAAAAAGACTTTTTCATTTGCAATCTTTTGGATGAAACATTTCTCAGGTTATTCTGCCTTTGGTGATACTTGATTCTAAGTAGATGTCTTGTAGTACCTTAGTCATTGTAATATAAGTCCCAGTTTCATGTTTTGTTTGGGGCTCAGTTCCAAAGAAGTTAAAAATTAATCAGCACTGGCTTCCAGGAATAGATCAGAAAGTCTGAGTGTCTAAACCCATTACAGCTGTTAAAGCTGTCCTTGCACCCGTGGAAAGCGAGAGTGTCATGGATGGGTTGTGGCTATGTCAGTAACCTTACAACTGAGATTTTAAAAGGCAATGACAAGGCCGGGCACGGTGGCTCACACCTGTAATCCCAGCACTTTGGGAGGCTGAGGCAGGCAGATCATTTGAAGTCGGGAATTCGAGACCAGCCTGGCGAATGTGGCTAAACCATGTCTCTACTAAAAATATAAAAATTAGCTGGGTGTAGTGGCACACGCCTGTAATCCCAGCTACTCAGGAGGCTGAGGCACAAGAATCGCTTGAACCCAGGGGGTGGAGGTTGCAGTGAGCCAAGATCGTGCCACTGCACTCTAGCCTGGGTGACAGAGTAAGAATCTGTCTTAAAAAAAAAAAAAAAAAAAAGCCAGGCGCGATGGTTCACGCCTGTAATCCCAGCACTTTGGGAGGCCGAGACGGGCAGATCACTTGAGGCCAAGGGTTCAAGACTACCCTGGCTAACATGGCTAAACCCTGTCTCTACTAAAAATACAAAAAATTAGCTGGCGTAGTGGTGGGTGCTTGTGATCCCAGCCACTCAGGAGGCTGAGGCAGGAGAATTGCTTGAACCCAGGAGGCGGACGTTGCACTGAGCCGAGATCATGCCACTGCACTCCAGCCTGGGCAACAGAGCGAGACTCTGTCTCAAAAAAAAAAAAAAAAGGCAACAATAAATCCAAGGTGACAAAAACAGCTGTAAAGTTTTTAGCTGTCTTTTCAAAAACGAAAGTTGTATGCTGTACAGTTGTGGTCTTGGCATTCCTGTGCTGCCTATACACAAGCTATGAAGAGGGAGAAAAGGGGGTAAAGGTGGTTGTGCTGTTACAGGTTTTGTATTTAATTCTAGCTGGCATGTGAGGGATTTCATTCATGTGCCAGAGTGGGAGGTCCTGGAGTGGGGTTGCCCTGCTGTCTGAATCTTCCCACCAGCTACTCCTAACGAGCTCTGGTGGTTTACCCTAATCTAGCGGCACTCTTTGCTTTCCTGTAGCTCAGTGGCTTCATCTGTTTTCTTGTCTTGGTCAGTCAAGGGACAGATCTACGCTTGTTTAGTTGGTATTTTGGCTTCAAACTGATTTTTTTTTTTCTTTTCAGAAGCCTCAGTTAAAGAATGACTTAAATATACTTCTTCCCCATTATAGGTGATACAGGCTCGTTGAATAAAATTTGGAAAGTAAAGTTCAAAAATATCTTGGCATATTACCTTTCATACTTCTATGCAGGTATACACACAAATTGAATTAGATCAGAGTGAATTTTTAGGCTATTTGATATTAACAAAACTTTTATAGAAATTCTATGTTGCTTTATACTTTCCCCCACTAATGGACAAGACATTGTTTTTCCATATCCTCCCCAGCATACTTCATGCTAACATAATTCAAAATATTAGCCAATTTTGTCTGCAAAAACTAGCATCGTTATTTCACTTGGCATATTTGCCTATCTTTGACCAATAGTCAAAGGGGTGTGTGTGTGTGTATTTTAGAGACAGGGTCTCACTCTGTTGCCCAGGCTGGAGTGTACTGGCTCAGTCACGGCTCACTGCAGCCTTGACCTCCCAGTCTCCCAAGTAGCTGGGACTACAGATGCATACTACCACACCCAGCTAATTTTTTTTTTTTTTTTTTTTTTACAGAAGGGATCTCGCTATGTTGCCCAGGCTGGTCTTGAACTCTTGACCTCAAGGGATCCTCCTGACTTGGTCTCCCAAAGTGCTGGTATTATGAGCATGAGCTACCACACCCAGCCTGACCATTTATTTTTGACTCTCAGTTCTATTCATGGCTTCTTTTCTCCAACTGTATATGTCTGATATTCTTCACACTTTTTGGGCAAACAGTTACAGTGTGTTGATTAAAGATTTATCATCCAATTTCTTTTTCCCATCTGTGTAGTCTTGTAATTTAAAAAAAAAAACAGTACTGAATATATTGCATGTAATTTCCTGCTTTTTTCTCACTTAAACCTTAAGCCTTTTCACACATTAAACATTGGGAGTTAGTCGGGTATGGTGGCTCACCCCTGTAAATCCCAGCACTTTGGGAGGCTGAGGTGGGCAGATCACCAGGTCACGAGTTTGAGACCAGCTTGGCCAATATGGTGAAACCCCTTCTCTACTAAAAAATACAAAAATTAGGCGGGTGTAGTGGCGTGTGCCTGTAATCCCACCTACTCAGGAGGCTGAGGCAGGAGAATCACTTGAACCTGGGAGATGGAGGTTGCAGTGAGCCGAGATAGTGCCGCTGCACTCCAGCCTGGGCGACAGAGTGAGACTCTGTCTCAATTAAAAAAAAAAAAAAAAGGGAATAATTCTCACTTTTGTTCTGATTTATAACAACTTAAATCGTTGAATTAGTAGGTCTTTTTAAAAAACAGCTTTATTGAAGTATGATGGACATAAACACATCTTTAAAGTGCACGTTTTGATAAGTTTTAACATACATATACACATGTGAAACCATTAAGATTTACCTATGATGTGTGAGTCAAGAGCCTATTCCCTTTCATAGCTGAGTAGTGGTTTGTTGTGTAGATATACTACTATTTACTTGTTTACCTGTTGAACATTTGGGCTGTTTCCAGTTTTTAACTACTACAGGTAAAGGTGCTATGAACATTTATGTGTAGGTCTCTATGTGGATGTTTGCTTTTGTGAGGACCCACTTGTAACCCCCAGAGATAGTATGAAGATTATTTTAAACTAAAGACATTTGAGATTCAACAGATGCAGAAAGAAGCCTAATCAGAAATTCCTTACTTTAACTAAAGGCAGAAACTTCTGGGAATGAGGCTGCTAAAAATCTCCTCCCTTGGGGAATGTTCTTGGACTGGAAAAAAAAAAAAAAAAAAAAAGATGGAGAAGACCACTCATCTGCATAAACAAACATTACGACAAAATTTATCTCTGTTCCCCTTGAAACCGATTTATTTTCCCATAGAAGCCTTTTCTCCCGTATCCTTTTTCCTCGGTTAATTGAGTTTGTAAACTCCCTTTTTTAGCTGTTTAGAGTACTGCTTTTGTGCACTTCCATATGCGTATGAAAAAGTTTTGGTTTTTTCCTCCTGTTCATCTGTGCATTGTCAGTTGAATACGTAGGCCCTCAATTACTGAACCTAAGTTGATAAAGGAGAAAGTTTTTCTTCCTGGTATATTCATTTCTCTCAGGTAAATACACAGGGGTGGAATAACTGGATCATATATTTAATGTTTTTAAAAAATTCTAGGCCGGGCACAGTGGCTCAAGCCTGTAATCCCAGCACGTTGGGAGGCTGAGGCAGGTGGATCTTGAGGTCAGGAGATTGAGACCATCCTGGCTAACACGGTGAAACCCCGCCTCTACTAAAACAAAAAATTAGCCGGGCGTGGTGTCGGGCACCTGTAGTCCCAGCTACTCGGGAGGCTGAGGCAGGAGAATGGCGTGAACCCGGGAGGCGGAGCTTGCAGTGAGCTGAGATCACACCACTGCACTTCATCCAGCCTGGGCAACAGAGCGAGACTCCATCTCAAAAAAAAGAAAAAAAAAATTCTAAACTTTTCCATAGTAGTTGTGCCACTTTATGTTCTCACCAGCAGGTCCAGTCCTTGACAACACTTGGTGGTTTAATATTAGCCATTCTAAAATTGCTCTGCATCCTTGCCATAGGTGTGTAGTATCTCATTGTGTGAGTATGTGTGTGTGTTTATAATAACTTTATTGAGATATTCACATACCAAGTGGCTTCTTTCTCTTAGTATAATGCTCTCAGTGTTCATGGGTATTGTAGCAGGTTTTCAGTGCTTTGTTCCTTTTTTAAAATCAGATAATTTAAATCAGATAATTTAAAACAAATTGTAGAATAACCATAGGTTTACAGGGAAGTAGTACAGATAGTGTAGAGTTCCCACACACCCTAGACCCAGTCTTCTCTGTTATTAACATTAATACTTGAGTATGGCACATTTGTCACAATTAAAGAACCAAATTATTATTTCATGGTTTATAGTAAACCAAATTCCATATTGTTACTCAGATTTCCTTAGTTCTTACCTAATATCCTTTATCTGTTCCATGATCCTGTCTGGGACACTATTTCATTGTCATGTTTCCTTAGGCTTCTCTTGACTGACTGTGACAGTTTCCTAAACTCTCCTTCTTATTGATGATCTGGACAGTTTTCAGGAATATTGATCAGGTATTTTGTCAAATGACCCTCAGTTGGAACTTGTGTGAAGTTTTTCCCATTATTAGACTGGGTTTATGGACTTTCTAGGAGGAAGACTTCAGATAAAATGTCATTCTCATTATATCAAGGGCACATACAAGCAATATGACTTACCACTGATGTTGATGTTAACCAACCAACCTACCTACCTTCCTTCCTTCCTTTTTCTTTCTTTCTTTCTTTTTTTTTTTTTTGACAGAGTCTTGCCGTGTTGCTAGGCAGGAGTGCAGTGACGTGATCTCTGCTCACTGCAACCTCCACCTCCCAGGTTCAAGCAATTCTCCTGCCTCAGCCTCCCCAGTAGCTGGGATTACAGGTACTTGCCACCATGCCTGTTTAATTTTTGTATTTTTAGGAGAGATGGGGTTTCACCATATTGGCCAGGCTGGTCTCGAACTCCTGACCTCAGGTGATCCACCTGCCTTGGCCTCCAAAGTGCTGGGATTATGGGTGTGAGCCAGCATGCCCAGCCCACTGATGTTAACCTTGATCACCTGGATGAAATAGTATTTGTTAGTTTGCACCACCACCCCTCCCTGCCAATACTTTGCACAACCCGTACTTAAGTAGTGGAGAATTACGCTCTATCTCCTTGAGGGTGGACCGTCTACATAAATTATTTGGAATTTCTCTCCTTGGAGATCTGTTCAATCTTCCCTATTTGTTCAGTCATTTGGCTTGTGGATATTTATTTTGTACTCTGAGCTATAGTCTAATACTACTTTAACTATTTTGCTGTTCTGATGTTCCAGCTTTGGCTGTTGGGGGCTCCTGTGTCCCTTTGGTCACTCCATCATTGTGTGTTTCTGTGTGTGGTGGTTTTTTGTTGGTTGGTTGCGATTGGTTTTTTCTTTTTGAGTACGTACTTTCTGGCACTACAAGATATTTCAGGATTATCTTGTAGAATTGCTGCTTCAGTCCTTGAAATAGCTATTTGTCTAAGGAGCTTTGGTTCCTTTTATTGGAGAATGGCTCAGGCACTCCATCTGCCTTGGCCTCCCAAAGGGCTGGGATTAGAGGTGTGAGCCAGCACGCCTGGCCAATATTTCACATCTTAAAAACTTTATGAAATGGATAATTTTTAAGCATTTACAAATGTAGAGAGAATAGTATAATAAATCTCCCCATGTACCTATCCCCTAACTTCAATTATCAGCTTAAGGCCAATCTCATTTTCTCTATATCTATCCCACCTCTCTCTATCAGATAATTTGAAACAAATCTTAGATAAGTAATTTCATTAGAAATTATTTCAGCATGTATCTCTAAAAGATATGGGCTTAAAAAAATCAATATCATCACATATAAAAAATTCTCATAAACCATGAAGTCTGTTCAAATATCTTAGTTGGTTCACATTTGAAAAATTGTATTAGGATCCAAATAGGCTGGATGTGGTGGCTCATGCCTGTAATCCCAGCACTTTGGGAAGCAGAGGCAAGACAACTGCTTCATCCCAGGCATTTGAGACCAGCTTTGGGCAATGTGGTGAGACCCTGTCTCTCTTTCTAAAAAAAAAAATAATAAAAAAATAAAAATAGATGGGCGGTAGGGGGAATCCAAATGAGGTTTATATTTTGCAGTTAGTCGATTTAAGTCCCTTGACTTTTAGGTTCCCATTCCTTTTTTTATCTTCCCCCCACCCCCTACCCCATTGGTTGAAGAAACTCTTTTATCCTGTCATGTTTAGGTTGGCTGACTTCATCCTTGAAGTACAGTACATGTTCCTCAGTCTTCTGAATTCTTGTGAATCGGTGGTTAGATTTAGAGCAGTGATCTCAACCTTAAATTTTAAAAATTCTAATGTCCAGGCTATGTCTCATACTAATTTGAATTTCTAGTCTTAGGATCCAGGCATCAGTATTTTTAGCTCCTCAGGTGATTGTACTGTGCTGCCAAGATTGAGAACCACAGTAGATCTGGGCATATTCAGATTCACTTTCTTTCTCCCTCCCTTCCACTTCCCCTCTTTCTCTTTAAGCAAGAATACTTCATAGATGGTAGTACAGACTTCTGTCAGGAAGTACATACTTGGTTTTCTCTTTTTGTAATGTTAGCAGCCATAGATTTGAGAGCTCCATTATTTCATAAAGGGAGGCAAAAAGGTCATTTTCCAATTCTATTATTCTTTCATTTATTAATTGAAACACTTCTATAAAGAGAAACTCCCAGATACTATTTGGTTACTGCCAAAATTTAATTTCTATAAGAAAGGCATTAATGTTTGATTTTACAGATGGCTTATCAACTTATAATGGGGTTATGGTCCTGATAATCCCATTATAAGTTGAAAATATTGTAAGTTGAAAATTCATTTAATACACCTAACCTACCAGGTAGGATATTTTTGTTTTGTTTTGTTTTGTTTTGAGATAGTCTCACTCTGTCACCCAGGCCGGAGTACAGTGTTACGATCCTGGCTCACTACAACCTTTGCCTCTGAGGCTCAAGTGATCCTCCCACCTCACCCTCCTGAGTAGGTGGAACCACAGGCACGCACCACCACACCCAGCTAATTTTTGTATTTTTTGTAGAGACGGGGTTTTGCCATGTTGCCCAGGCTGGTCTTGAACTCCTGGGTTCAAGTAACCTGCCTGCCTCTGCCTCCCCAAAGTGCTGGGATTACAGTATGAGCCACCTCGCCCAGTGCCTACCAGGTTGTTTTATAAAGATCCATTTATGGCCATTCTTTTTAAAGGGCTGCATAATTGGAAAAGACTAATATATCTTTTGTTGGGGTTGTATAAATTGTTTCCAGTCTCATTCTTATAAATAGGACTTTGTTAAACTGCTTTGAGATACAATTTAAATACCATACAATTCACCCATTTAAAGTGTACAAATCAGTGGTTTTTAGTGTATTCACAAATACATACTACCACAATTAATTTTAGAATATTTTTGTCACCTCAAATTCTGCACCCTTCAGATATTGCTCTCTTGTTCTTTCCCCCCACTGAACCCCTATCACCCCACCCCACTTAGTCCTAAGCATCTGCTAATCTTTCTATATTTCCCTATTCTGTGCATTTCATATAAATGCAGTCATATAATATGTGGTCTTTTGTGTCTGGCTTCTTTCACTTAGGAAAGTGTTTACAAGGTTCTTCAATGTTGTTGCCTGTATCCAGACTTTTATTCTTTTTTTTTTTTTTTTTTTTTGAGATGGAGTCTTGCTCTGTCGCCCAGGCTGGAGTGCAGTGGCACAATCTCGGCTCACTGCAACCTCTTCCTCCCAGGTTCATGCCATTGTCCTGCCTCAGCCTCCCGAGTAGCTGGGACTACAGGCGCCCACCACCACGCCCGACTAAGTTTTTGTATTTTTAGTAGAGATGGGGTCTCACCGTGTTAGCCAGGATGGTCTCGATCTCCTGACCTCATGATCTGCCCGCCTCGGCCTCCCAAAGTGCTGGAATTACAGGTGTGAGCCACCGCGCCCGGCTCCAGACTTCACTCTTTTTATTGCTGAGTAATACTCCACTGCATAAATATACCACGTTGTTTATCCGTTCGTCAGTCCATGGACATTTTGGTTGTTTCCACTTTTTGGCTATAGTAATGCTTCTATGTACATTAATGTACGATTTCTTGTGTGAACATGTGTTTTCATTTTTCTTGGGTATGTTTCTAGGAGTTCACTTGCAGAGTCACATAGTAACTTTATGTTTTAACATTTTGAGAAATTGCCAGACTGTTATCCAAAGTGGCTGCACCATTTTACATTCTTGCCAGCGGTATAAGATGGTTCTAATCTCTTCATTTTCTTTGCAAACACTTGGTATGATCTGACTTTTTGATTATAGCCTACTGGGTGTAAAGTGGTATCCTCTTGTGGTTTTCGTCTGCATTTGCCTGATGACTAATGATATCAAGCATCTTTTCATGTGTTTATTGAGCATTTGTAGTATATCTTCTTAGACAAATAATCTGAGTAGACATTTTTCCAATCTGTTAATGGATTATTTGTCTTTATTACTGAGTTGTAAAAGTTACTCACATACTTGCTTGTTAGCCTGCATGTAAACATCTAAATCCATCAGCCTACGTGTCCTGATTTTTGCGCTACACTTCCATCACTATTCCCTGTATTTAATAAATAATTAGATTATTTTGATAAACTAGTCTTTAATACTATGTAGTTATATTGTTTCCACACATGGCTTTGCTTAGGTGTGTTTGTTTGTTTGTTTTGAGACAGAGTCTCGCTCTGTCACCCAGGCTGGAGTGCAATGGCGCCATCATAGCTCACCTCTATTTCCTGGGCTCAAATGATCCTCCTGCCTCAGCCTCCCAAGAAGCTGCATCTGTAGGTGCAAGCCACTGCACCTAGCTGATTGATTTTTTTTTTTTTTTTTTTTTTTTTGGTAGAGCTAGGTTTTTCTGTATTGCCCAGGATGGTCTCAAACTCCTAGGCTCCAGCAAATCTCTACCCTCCCTTACCCCTCCACCCCTGCGTTGGCCTCTCAAAGCACTGGGATTTACAGACATGAGCTACCACACCCAGCCTTGCTTAAGTATTGAGTTTGTTATGGGCTTCTAGAATTTTGATCTTTATACTTACTTGTCTGAGGTGTCACTAATGGGCAAGGCCATTTTTGTTTTACCATAAGGTGTATAGCAATTGGATAAAAATTAATGGTAGGAGGATAGTTATTGAGATGGCAGATGAGGCACTGATTGTGATATAAGTGAATTTGTATTTAGCTGAACTTTTGGTCATGATTAAAATCCTGACAGATGTAGTGCTTGAATTTGTTTTTAGCAATTTTACTGCTTCTGTCTATAAAATATGTTAAACAATGAGAGAATATTTCTCTTACGATACAGTTGAAATCCTAGGAAACTTTATCTTGGAAAAAAAAAAACCTGGTAAGATCAAATTTCATTTTACTCAAACTACAGTGTTTTCTGAAAGATGCAGGAGTTGCTATCCTGCCAACCTGTTTTGTTGTATTCAGAGATAATAACCTGTGTAGTGCCCATTACATAGTGAAGTTTTTTGTTTTTTGTTTTTTTAAAACAGCATCTCTGTTGCCCAGGCAGGAGTACAGTGCTGCAACCACGGCTCACTGCAGCCTCAACCTCCTGGGCTCAAGTGATCCTCCCACCTCGGCCTCCTGAATAGCTGGGACCACAGGGGTGTGTCACCACACCTGGCTAATTTATTTTTTGTAAAGATGGGGTCTTCCTATGTTGCCCAGGCTAGTCTCCTGAGCTTGAGTGATTCTCCCGCCTCAGCCTCCCAAGGTGCTGGGATTACAGGTGTGAGCCACTGCACCAGGTCACATAGTGGCATTTTAATGAACAGTGCAAATGTTACATCTTTGCCCAGTGATTACTGTTAATTTTAAACTTTGGACTTTGACGTTAAAAATTAAGTTTTAAGGCCGGGTGCATTGGCTCAAGCCTGTAATCCCAGCACTTTGGGAGGCCGACCGAGGTGGGTGGATCATTTGAAGTCTGGAGTTCGAGACCAGCCCTGCCAACATGGCAAAACCCCATCTCTACTAAAAATACAAAAATTAGCTGGGCGTGGTGGTACGTGCCTGTAATTCCAGCTACTCAGGAGACCGAGGCAGGAGAATTGCTTGAACCTGGGAGGTGGAGGTTGCAGTGAGATGAGGTCATGCCACTGCACTGCAGCCTGGGTGACACAGTGAGACTCCATCTAAAAAAAAAATTAAAATTTAACTTAAAATTTTAAAATCAGCCATCACTTTAATGAACATATAAGCATATACAAGTAGAGAGTATATAATAAATCCTCATGTACCTGTCAACCAGCTTCAAAATTTATCAACTTTCTGTGCTTGCTGGTATGAAGAGCTTTTGAAGAATCATTTTCCTTACAAGGTGGTGACTTTTTGAGAAACGGGTGTAGCCTATTGAGCACTGACTTTAGAGTCACGTAGTGTGGGTTCACATCCTGACTCTTCTCGTATTTCCTGTCCCGCTGGGCATGTGGCCTTTCCTCTTTGAAACTCAATTTTTGCATCTTGAAAACAGGGTTAATATCTGCCTTTGAAGATTGTTCAGATGACTAAGTGGAATAATGTGTGTGAAGAATCCAGTGTGTTTGGTGGCTGATTACTGTGTGGATATAGAGACTTCTGGGAGGAGGGATTTCTCCATTGCTGTGTGGGAGTCCCAAAGTCTATAGCTCTGTGCTAGGGCCTGTTCTAGATACAGCTGTGAAGTTGAGTCTGATTTAGACATGGACAAGTGAATGGCCTTCCACAGTAAAAACAAGCCCCTGGGTTAGGTTGGAGGTGGGTGCTTACTATGGAAGATGGGAGAGAGGTGTATTAATTTATCAGGGCTGCTGTAACTAATTTCCACAAACTGGGAAGCTTAAAACCTAGTTCTGGAAACCAGAAGTCTGCCATCGGGTGCTGGCAAGACTTCCTCCTAGCCTCTAGTGGCTGTGCCCAATCTTTGCTGTTCCTTGGCTTGTAGCTGCATCATCCCAGTCTCTGCCTTTGTAGTCACGTTGTGTTCTCCCTGTGTGTGTCCGTCCAAATTTCCCTCTTAAAAGGATATTAGTCATTGGATTAGAGCTATATTCAGAGGTACTGGTGAATTTTTAAAGGGCGCTATTCATCCCAGTACAGGGAGTTAACCAAGACTGGGGTGATCAGGGATTGTGTCCTAGAAGTAAGAAGACATAGTGTGTTCTAGTTTAAAGGTAGTTAGTAGGGAATCAGTTGGGAGTGGATGAGAGTAATGTATGACAGTCTTGAACCATATTAAATTGCATGGATGCCACTCATCGGCCAAGAAGCATGGTGGGCAGTAGGCCGGGCACGGTGGCTCATGCCTGTAACCCCAGCACTTTGGGAGGCCGAAGCGGATGGATCACGAGGTCAGGAGATCGAGACCATCCTGGCTAGCACAGTGAAACCCCGTCTCTACTAAAAAATACAAAAAATTAGCTGGGCACGGTGGCAGGCACTTGTAGTCCTAGTACTCGGGAGGCTGAGGCAGGAGAATGGCGTGAACCCGGGAGGCGGAGGTTGCAGTGAGCTGAGATCGTGCCACTGCTCTCCAGCCTGGGCAACAGAGCGAGACTCCATCTCAAAAAAAAAAAAAAAAAAAAAAAAGAGGCATAGTGGGCAGTCTCCACGGTTTTTACCTCAAAATTCACAGTGCAGTGGGTATTCTTTTGTATTCACGGCTGAACATTAATTTTGAAATAGCCTTTTTATATTTAAAGACATTACCAAGTTACGACTTTCCCAACCCATCTTAGAAGTTGACATTCAAATTCTCTGCATCCCCTGACCTCTCACCAGTTAGCTGACCATGGCTTGACCTCTCAAGTGCACCTGTGTAAGACTTCACTCGTTAACAATAAGAGATGCATGGAATTGCCCCGTGTATAGCCAGTGCATGGATGTATATTTTGTAGGGACCAAATATAAGCTATAAGAGCATATAGGTTCCAAACCAAGTATGGACTGGGAGTGGCGAGTTGCAGACACAACTCTGGAATCCTGCTGTTGAGGACAGAAGCAGGCACATGGGGAGGAGCAGTTTGAAGACTAGAAAATTGAGATTTTGTTTTGTAGTATCTTTAAACTCCAGGTGAACTTGGTTGGTGAATAGAGCTTCTGTGAGGGCAATTTACTGTTTTATAGAATTGATTTCCTAAAAGATTTGCCATTAACTGAACTGTCTTCTGCTAACCATAACTTCTCCTTGATTATTAATGGACCCCTGTTACTCATTAAAACCTTTAAAATTACTTGAGAATGCCTGCTTCTAGTCCCAGTTCATTCGCAATAGGTGCTATCCAAATTGGTACCCAAATATTTTCTAAACAACATGAAGTGGAATCACATCTGAGGGGTAGGATCTGAGTGAAAAGTTGGATTAATAGAATTCTGGACCAAAAGCAGTACTTGTGGACTTAAGCAGTTTTTTAACTACAGCAGATATAAGAGAACATGGCTGGGATCAAAAAATGCCTTTATCTTGAATACACACTAGCTGAGACAGAGCAACAGTGGGTGTGGGGAAACCTTGGTTTGCCTTGTAGAACTACCTGCTCCACCCCACCAATAAATTTCAAAAGGAAAAAATTTCAAAGACATTTGTAACACTGATAATTTGTCCACCCATTGTTCAAAAGCAGCTGAACTTATTATGAAACACATGTCCATCATAGGAAACAAATGCTAATGGAGGGAGGGACTCCACTAGTCCGCTTTCTTCCATAGAACTCTGACCTTGTCCTAGCAGTGTGTTCAATATGCCACAATGAGTTGGTGTGGTAAGCATCTTTTTTTCCTCTGCTTGGTCTCCAAATAATTCATACATTTGGTTCTGCTCATTCAATTGTGTTTCTCCAGTACTCTTCCGGGGGAGCCTTACGAATAGAAGAGAAGGCCAGGCACGGTGGCTCACACCTGTAATCCCAGCACTTTGGGAGGCCATGGTGGGTGAATCACGAGGTCAAGAGATTGAGACCATCCTGGCCAACATGGTGAAACCCCGTCTCTACTAAAAATACAAAAATTAGCTGGGCATGGTGGCGTGCACCTGTAGTCCCAGCTACTCGGGAGGCTGAGGCAGGAGAATGGCTTGAACCTGGGAGGCGGAGGTGGCAGTAAGCCAAGATCATGCCACTGCACTCCAGCCTGGCGACAGAGCGAGACTCTGTCTCAAAAAAAAAAAAAAAAAAAAAAACAAGCAAAAATTAGCCTGGCATGGTGGTGCACGCCCATAATCCCAGCTACTTAGGAGGCTGAAACAGGAGAATTGCTTGAACCTGGGAGGCAGAGGTTACAGTGAGCCAAGATCATACCACTACACTCCAGCCTGGGAGACAGAGCGAGACTCTGTCTCAAAAAAAAACCAAGAAGAGAAATGTCTATTTTCCTGGCATTTTTTTTTTTTTGAAAACTATCTAAAGGCCAGTGTAATTCAGATTTGATATTTGTTTTCATTTTCTTCCTGATTCTAAAATTATATACTCCTTGTAGAAAACTTGAAAAGTGAAAAGAAAAAGTCTTTCTCCCAATGGCAACATTATTCCGTGACTAATAGTTCAGTTTAATGATTAGGCATTTTTCAACATCGTTGGGTCTTGCATGTATAATTTTATATCCTGTTTTAAACATTTTTAATTTTTTTAAAAATCGAACTATATTTGATGTCATAAAATTCACCTTTCTGAAGCATACAATTCAGTGGTTTTTAGTATAGTCTAAAGGTTTGGAAGTATCACCACTAATCTTAAGACATTTTAATTACTCCCAAAAGTAACCCTATAGCCATTAACAGTCACTTGCCCCTCCTATCTTCCAGTCTCCTCCCAGGCCCTAGAAACCACTAATCTACTTTCTGAGTCTCTAGCTTTGCCTATTGTGGACATTTAATATAAAAGGAATCATATATATGTGGCCTTTTATGTCTGGCTTCCTTCACTTAGCATAATATTTTCAAGGTGCAGCCAGATTTTAGTAGGTACTTCATTCCTTTTTATGGCTGGGTAATAATTATTGTGTGAATATACCACTTACTGTTTATCCATCCAGCAGCTGATGGACATTTAGGTTGTTTCCATTGAATGATGCTGCTCTGAACACTGGTGTACATGTTTTTGTGTAAACATAGATTTTCAGTTCTTTTGGGTGTATACCCAGGAATGGAATTGCTAGATCATATGGTAACTTTTTGAAGAACAACCAGACAGTTTTCCAAAGAGGCTGTACCATTTTACATTCCCACCAACGATGTCTGAGGGTTCCAGTTTCCCTATATCCTTTGCCTAAACACTTGTTATTATTTGTCTTTTCAATTATAGCCATCCTAGTGGGTGTGAAGCGATAAGTCACTTTAGTTTGATTTCTGTTACCCTACTGACTAATGATGTCGAGCATTGTTTCATGTGCTTATTAGTCATCTGTATATCTTCTTTGAGGAAATGTCTATTCACTTCCTCTGCATAAAAAAATGGGTTATTTGGCCTTTTAGTGTTGAGTTTTAAGAGTTCTTTGTATATGCTAGATGTAAGTCCCTTATCAGATATATGATTTGCAAATATTTTCTCCCATTATCTATGTCTTTGCACTTTCTTGATAGTGTTCTTTGAAGCACAAAGGTTTTATTTTTTTGTTCTTTTCTTTTTAGCACAGTTTTTTTTTTAAATTTTGTCATAAACATTATGTAATTGGACTCCTTAAGTTTATAATGGATGTTTTTTCTGTTCTATGTGTAACTGGTAATTTACTTAACCATTCCTCATGTTTAACCATTACCACAGTTGTGAACATATCTGTGGATGAATTTACACCCACATTCCTGCTGATTTCTTTAGTGACAATTGAACAGAAATAAAATTAGCAGGTCAAAGATTAGCAATCTTTCAAGGTTTTTTTATTTAGTTAGTTAATTTTGGTCTTTGAGACAGGTTTCGCTGTGTTGCCCACGCTGATCTTGGCTCATTGCAGCCTCCGCCTTCTGGGCCAAGCCAACCTCCTGCCTCAGCCTGTCGTGTAGCTGGGACTACAGGCATGCACCACCATTCCCAGGTAATTTTTTGTATTTTTTGTAGAGATGGGGTCTTGCCATGTTGCCCAAAATGGTCTTGAATTGCTGGACTCAAGCGATCCGCCTGCCTCGGGCCTCCCAAAGTGTTGGGATTATAGGTGTGAGCCACCGTGCCCAGCCTCAAGGCTTTTTCTTTCTTTCTTTCTTTTTTTTTTTTTTTTTTCTTTGGGAGATGGAGCCTTACTCTGTTGCCCAGGCTAAAGTGCAGTGGTGTGATCTTGGCTCACTGCAAGTTTTGCTTTCCCGGTTCAAGCCATTCTCCTGCCTCAGCCACCCGAGTAGCTGGGATTACAGGTGCCCGCCACCATGCCCGGCTAATTTTTGTATTTTTAGTAGAGATAGGGTCTCCAAACTCCGGACCTCAGGTGATCCGCCTGCCTTGGCCTCTCAAAGTGCTGGGATTACAGGCGTGAGCCACCGCGCCTGGCCTCAAGGCTTTTTTTAATTGCTAAATTTATTTTGAGAAATATCTCAAGTAACACTCCTCCCAGCAGAGTTTAAGACTTCTTCCAGTGATCCCTTGTTAGTGCTGTATGTTGATGTTAGCATCTGTTAGCTGTGATTCCTTTGCCCTTTTGCAAGTGGAGCTGCTGTGTTTTCCCAAAATTATTTGTGTATTTTAAAGTCAGTTTTACCAAATCATGTGTTTTCATGTAGTGTGGTATTCTTAACTGCACCTATTGATGGGATGTTGAGAACTGCTCATGCTAAATTCAATTCTATAGCATAAGTCGGTAGTGAGAGATTGAGTTTTCTTTTTTCCCTTTATTGAACTAGTTTAGGAATTTTATTATAAGGCCCCATAGAGCCAGAAGGATAACTGCTGCACACCTGAAGGACTAATTCTTGTAGGAAACATTCCTATCATTATTGACTTTGGAATCTACCTCTTCTCCTCCTCCAGTTGCTTTTATTCTTACTTTTAAACTAAGCTTTAAATAGGGGTAGTGGGTAAAATGCCAGCATCTGGGATGGTCTGCTACTGCTTTTGGAGACCATACAATCGTGGACATTTATCACCTCATTTAGAAAATTCACTTCTTATTCTGTGATTTTACCAGAATTATGTTTGGAGTTGTAATCAGGCTTTGTTCTGAACTGCTGTCTTTCCCTTTTTCTCTAGTAATTTATAGCTGTTTGGAGTGGTATTCCTGCCTTTCTGCTAAAGGAGTAAGCTAGTTACTAAAACTGGTGTTTGCTTCTAGGATTCTCTAGCCTTTGCATTTTGTTTTAGCGGCGAAAAGCCTAGAAGGGGGCCTGGGCAGTCAGTGCTGTCCTAGTTCTTTGCTTGACTCCCCCAGACTGTGTGGCATGTTGGGGGACCCTATGCCTGAAGGGGGTGGAATGAAAGAAAGATAGCAGATCAATAGCTGGGACTCCCACCTATTGAATTCCATGTGGCAGTTCCAAAGGTTTGCATTTACCAACACGGATGGATCACCAAGATGACAGATTGGGGTGGTGGGGGAGGGTAGCAAGATAAGGAATGTCATACTTAAGCAAGTTACTTAAAATCGACCTCAGTTTATTCATATATGAAATGGGGATAATTGCTACATTCTGAGGCATAAATAAGATGGATTATATAAAATGTTTAAAACAGTATTTGACACTCTAGTGTGAAAATTTAAAACTCAACAAATATTGCTCTTTGGGTATATATGTGAATATATGAGCATATACACATACCTTTTTAAAAATTGAGAAATTCACATAATATAAAATTGTTGCGGGAAGTCAGGGACCCTGAACGGGGGGACCGGCTGAAGCCTTGGCAGAAGAACATAAACTGTGAAGATTTCATGGACATTTATCACGGAACCTGCCGACATGTGATGTCTCCCCCAGACACCTAGCTTTAAAATTTCTCTCTTTTGTACTCTGTCCCTTTATTTCTCAGACCGGCCGACACTTAGGGAATATAGAAAAGAACCTATGTGAAATATCGGGGGTGAATTTCCCCCGATATCAAATCATTTTCTTTTTATACTTTTACTTATTTATCATCATCATCATCGTCACTATTGGAGACAGAGTCTCACTCTGTCACCCAGGGTGGAGTGCAGTGGCGTCATCATAGCTCACTGCATCCTCCTAACTCTGGGTTCAAGCAGTCCTACCACCCCAGCCTCCCGAGTAGCTGGGAGTACAGGCACTCACCACCACATCTGGCTAATTATTTTTATTTTTGTAGAGATGGGGTCTTTCCTATGTTGCCCAGGCTGGTCTCAAACTCTTGGCCTCAATTGATCCCTTGCTTCAAGTGATAACTTGGCCTCCCAAAGAGCTGGGATTATGGATTTGAGCCACCATGCCCAGCCTCTACTATACTATTTTTATATAAGGGACTTGAGCATCTGTGAATTTTGGTATCCAAGGTAGGGGGTTGCTGAAACCAATCCCTCACAGATACCGAGGGATGACTGTTTATATGTACCATGTTTTGTTTTATCCATTCATTAGTCAGAGGATGCTTGGGTTGCTTTCACCTTTCAATTATTGGCTATTTTGAATAATGCTCCCATGAACATGGGTGTAGAAGTACTTCTTTGAGTCCCTGTGTTCAGTTCTTTTGGACGTATACTCGGTTAGTGCATTTGTGTTGCTGTAAAGGAATACCTGAGGCTGGGTACCTTGTAAAGAAAATAGGTTTATTTGGCTCACAGTTCCTCAGGCTATACCAGCATGGCTCCAGCATCTGCTCAGCTTCTGGCAAGGCCCAGAAAGCATTTACTCATGGTGAAAGGTAGAGGGGAGTGGGCATGTCACATGGCATGAGAGGGAGCAAGAGAGAAAAGGAAGTTCCAGCCTCTTTTAAAACAACCAGATCTCATGTGAGCTCACAGAGCAATAAATCACTTGTTACCTCAAGGATGGCACCAAGCCATTTATGAAGGGTCTGCCCCCATGACCCTAACACCTCCCACCTGGCCCCATCCCCAACACTGGGGATCGCATTTCAGCATGAGATTCGAAGAAGACACAATGTTCAAACCATATCAATACCCAGAAGTGGAATTGCTGGATCATATGGTAGGTCTATTTTTAATTTTTTTTGAGGAACTGCTGTACTGTTTTTCATAGCAGCTGCACCATTTTATCCAGCAATGTATGAGGGTTTTGATTTTTCCACATCTGTGTCAACACTCATTATTTTCCTTTGTTTTTCTTTTTATGATGCCCCTTGAATCATATTTTCCTTCTTTTTAAAAAATTATGGCCATTCTAATGGAGGTGAAGTGGTATCTCCTTGTGGTTTTGATTTACATTTCCCTAATGACTAATGGTGCAGAGCGTCTTTTCGTGTGACACACACACTTCTAAAAACACCTGGAGAGACCCCACCAAAGCGACAGTGGTTTCTTCTAGGGGTTGGGGGAAGTCCCTGTTTTGAAAGCAGGTGGTTCAAAAACCACCTAACATTGAACTATTTTGAATGTTTTTATGAGCATTTCTGTGAGTAAAATGTAGCACAAGTTAATGCTGGCTAGTACCTTCTTCTGACTAAGATGTATAGAAGTATCGTATTTAGTACTTGGAACATGAGCAAGGGGATACATGGGAGTTAATAAAGCTCTTAACCTGCCTATGGACAGATTTGATTTTCTAGTGCAGGTAATGGCCGAGTAAGGATTGAACTGGTTTCCGTCGGTGTATTTATATTTTATTTAAATTGCATAGGGAAATGAGGCAACTTATTAGACCAAGTGATTAAGAGTATGGGCTCTGGAATCTGTGAGCTGGAGTTTGAATCATTTCTCCAGCATTTATCTGTCCAAGTTCTGACACTGTGAACTTTTCTGTGCTGCAGCTTGCCCATCTATAACATGGAATAATGTTGCCTCATGGGATTGTGTGGATTTGAGTTAAAGTAGATAAAGCATTTGGGACAATGCTGCTGCCAGAAAGCACTCAAATGTTAGCAGCCCTGATTCATGACTGAACGAAGGCTGGTGTGGTTGGAGAGAAGAGAATGGCCTTAAAGGATGAGTGGAACACGGCCTTCAGGGCACTTGTTAGGGATCTCTTAGAGTTTATAGTAGGGTGTGACTTGTTCTGCTCGGCTTTTAAAATCAGTCTAGTTCCGTATTATTCTAAGTGAAGTAACTCAGGAATGGAAAAACCAAACGTCGTATGCTCTCACTCATAAGTGGGAGTTAAGTTATGAGGATGTGAAGGCATAAGAATGATACAATGGACTTTGGGTACTCGGCGGAAAGGGTGGGAGGAGGGTGAGGTATAAAAGAGTACATGTTGGGTACAGTATACACTACCTGGGTGATGGGTGCACCAAAATCTCAGAAATCACCACTAAAGAACTTATTCACGTAAGCCAGACACAGTGGCTCACACCTGTAATCCCAGCACTTTGGGAGGCCAGGGGGGGCAGATCACGAGGTCAGGAGTTTGAGGCCAGCCTGGCCAACATAGTGAAACCCCATCTCTACTAAAAATACAAAAATCAGCCGGGGGTGGAGGCACGTGCCTGTAGTCCCAGCTACTTGGGAGGCTGAGGCAGAAGAATCGCTTGAACCCCGGGTGGCGGAGGTTGCGGTGAGCCAAGATCGTGCCACTGCACTCCAGCCTGGGTGACAGAGTGAGACTCCATCTCAAAAAAGAAAAAAAAAAAACTTATTCATGTAACCAAATACCACCTATTCTCCAAAAACCTATTGAAATAAAAAATAAATTAAAAATAAAAATCAGTCTAGCTCAGCATTGCCAAAGAGAAACATAACGTAAGCCCCTTAAGCTCTGGATTCGGTTTTTCCACTGTGACTTCAGTGTGGCTGGATTGTTGGACTGTTCTCTCTCAGAGAGTCCAGTGTGGCCGGATAACTTGGACTGTTCTCTCTCAGAGGCTCTGATCACATGACTCCTAGGAGTCCTAAAGCATCATCTCCTCCCCATGTTAGAGGATCTAACTTGTGAACATTGAAAGTGGCTAGAAAGTTGGGACGCTTTGCTCCGTGTGGTATGATGGAGGCTGAGCTTCCCTCTGGGGCTTTTCGATGATAAAGGGGATATGCAGCATGGTTTACAATCTTATTAATGGTCTGGTCTGTGGTGCTGGCTTTCTTAACTTGACAGTCATTTTCACACCAGTGTGAGGAATGGTTTGAGTGTTATCCAAGTAATTACGGTGCTAACATTTTAGAGAAATATACATTAAGGTGGATATTTCTTTATTTTGTTTTAGAATTATATATCAATATTTAACTGGAAATGATTATTTGGAACCTGCAATACAGATTGTTCTTCATTTTGTAATATAGCCATTTCTCACAAATAGATGTAAAAGAACAGTTCCTGAGATGATCTTGCCCATGACAGATAAGTAGTTCCTGTTTGTATAAACTGTGCTGAGCTGTTTGAAGGATGTTCCCTTCATCTCCATATCCCTAGCGCTAAGGGTGATTCTGTGGAGACTTTTTGCCTCTCTTGTTGCAATGAGTAGTAGTCAAGGTGACTCCTTTCTAGAAACCCCTCCCCAATGACTGACATTGGCTTTGGTGCTTGGAAGGGTGTGTGTGTGTGTGTGTGTGTGTTGGCAAGGTGTTTGTTGGGGCAAGTAAGCATTAAATATCCCGCTTTGCATTTTATTAATACTTTAATCTCACTGTGATTTTTGTAATGCTTGTTCCACTTCTATATCTTTTGTATAAATTCCTGACAAATACCTGTTTGCTTATATTATTATGGACTTTTAAAGACACCTAGAACTGGCTGGGCGCAGTGACTCACGCCTGTAATCCCAGCATTTTGGGAGGCCGAGGTGGGCACATCACTTGAGGTCAGGAGTTCGAGACCAGCCTGGCCAACATGGCAAAACTCTGTCTCTACTAAAAATACAAAAAATTAGCTGGGCGTGGTGGCACACGCCTGTAATCCCAGCTTCTCGGGAGGCTGAGGTGGTAGAATGGCTTGAGCCCAGGAAGTGGAGGTTGCAGTGAGCTGAGATCACACTGCTGCACACCAGCCTGGGTGACAGAGCAAGACTCTGTCTTAAAAAAAAAAAACAAAAAAACCAAAAAACCTAGAACTAGCTTCCTTTGCCCTGTAGAACAAAAAAATAGTGTGACTCCTTTTTAACCTTTTATTGTTCATCACAGATCCTGAGCAGTGAGTTCAAAGGTAAGACATGGCCCCTTCCCTTATGAGGTTTATGGGATAGTGCAGCTCTGTGTTAGAGCCACATTGAAGGAGTAACCCATTTCCAGAGAGATTTTCAGGATATATATTGGTACACAGACTATAATGCCCGACATTGTTGTTCCATCTTCTGAAACACATAAGGCAAATGTAACAGTCAAATAAAAAAGATTTGGAATCTAAGATCGTATGTATGATAAATTACCTGCCAGCTTAAGCATGGAAGTCAGTGTGACTCTGAAAACTAGATTACTGTGACACACCTGACAATCACATCACTATGGTTAATAATCACTAGTCTAGTGGGAAAATAAAGATCAGGAAAGAGATTATAAAGTGACATTGCTTTCATTTCCAAGAATGGGTATTAGGGAGATGACGAGAGAGGTACTTTACCCAGTTTTGAGGGCGTGACTAGAGCATAGGTGTGGGAAGTATGTTGGATATATGGAAGAGAGAAGTAGTACCAGGTAACTGACAACCTCTTATGCCATGTTGAAGTTTGGACAAGTTATACTGGCAATTTGAAACCACAGAAGGGTAGTAACTGCTGGCAGGAGGATATAGTCATGGAGTGTTAGGCTACAGGCAAGCATGCTAATCAGACTTGGTTCAGATAGCCCAGGAGTGATGGGACTTGAGCAGTGGGTATGCAGAATAAGCAGTCAGCAGAAGGCTTATCTGCAGAACATAAATTATCTACCTCACGCCCATAGTGGTATCAACTAAAATACAGCCAGTTTT
The DNA here is from genome assembly GCF_000001405.40 of Homo sapiens. Classification (NCBI taxonomy): domain Eukaryota; kingdom Metazoa; phylum Chordata; class Mammalia; order Primates; family Hominidae; genus Homo; species Homo sapiens. The sequence continues at coordinate 23,369,806 of NC_000007.14, read as the reverse complement.
GTGAGGGAGGTGGGGATATATCTGGTATGTGGCTGAGAAAATCTGATCACGTTGCAGGTCAAAGACAGTTTTTTAAACTGTCTTTATTGCAGTGATCTCTATATGTGTCAATAAACTAGGCTACTAGATTGAAGAGAAGCATGAAGAAACTTGTCATGATGGTGATAGTTTAGTGAGTGTATACATAATGTCAAAGTGAATCAAATTTCTTGCAGTTTATTCTGTATTTCAATGATACTGTTACTGAACCAAACTGGTTCTGTTTGTCCATGTGCAATGGAAAGCAAACACCAAAGCATAGGTTCTTTTGTAAAGAGAAAAGTTCGTGGTAAGACTGTCAAGCAAGGAGACAGTCAGGTTCAAATCTGTCTCCCCCAGCTGGGGGCTGGGACATATTTTATAGACAGAGGGTAATGAGGTATGATCTGATTGAATCTTACAATGATGTGATGCCAGGAGGTGTGATCTGACTGGATCATACCAGGAGGTGACACCAGGGCTCAATCTGATTGGATCATGGATCATGTCATGTGGTGTCCACTTCTTAATTTGGTCCTGTCTCGGTCCAGGCACTTAGGTTCTGCTTGTGGTTGCATGCGTGGTTCATCTGGACAGGCTCAGGTTACAGAACTTGCAACCTGGGGATCCATGGCAACTGAAGAACAAATCACCATTTTGTCACACAAAGCTGAACCAGACTAGGCCGGTTCTGTGGATGATGCTTGGCCAAAAGGCCAAGAAGTGATCAATAATACTTCAGAGTTTAAAAGGCAAAACTAGGCCATTACCTGGTAAAGTTGCTTTTAGTATTTTTTTAACAGCTTTATTGAGATATAATTCACATACTATGCAATTCACCATTTAAAGTGTACAATTATTTTTTTTTAAGTTTTTTTTTCTTTTTTTTTTGAGACAAAGTTTTGCTCTCGTGGCCCAGGCTGGAGTGCAATGGCGCCATCTCAGCTCACCACAACCTCTGCCTCCTGGGTTCAAGTGATTCTCCTGCCTCAGCGTCCCGAGTAGCTGGGATTACAGGCAAGCGCGACCACGCCCGGCTAATTTTGTATTTTTAGTAGGTGCGAGGTTTCTCCATGTTGGTCAGGCTGGTCTCAAACTCCTGACCTCAGGTGATCCGCCCGCTTTGGCCTTCCAAAGTGCTGGGATTACAGGTGTGAGCCACCGCGCCCGGCCTAGTATGTTAATAGATACGTGCAACCATCACCACATTTTTAGGACACCTTCATCACCTCAAAAAGAAACATTTAACTGTCACCCTCCACTTTCACTTTCCTCAGCCCATAGAAACCACTAATCTACTTTCTGTCTATCGTAGAGTTCCCTATTCTGGACATTTCATACAAACAAAAATCATATAATAAGTAGTTTTTTGTGACTGTTTTCATTTAGCATAATGCCTTCTTTTCTTTCTTTCTTTCTTTCTTTCTTTCTTTCTTTCTTTCTTTTTTTCTTTCTTTCTTTTCTTTCTCTCTCTCTTTCTCTCTTTCTGTCTTCGCTATACTAACAAGGTAACCATAATACTTTCAAGGTCTGTCTGTTGCAGCATGTATAAGTACCTCCCTTTTATGGTTGAATAATATTCCATTGTACAAATATACCACATTTTGTTTCCATTCATCAGTCAGTAAGCATTCATTCGGGTTGTTTCTACTTCAGACTATTATGAGTGATCTTAATTTTGTACCATTACATTCAGGAAGTGATAATCTTTGCATTTTTCATGTGATTCTTTCTGTACTGTTTATACATTTGAATGAACTTTGTTTTTTTGTTTTTTTTTGTTTTTAAATAGATGGAGTCTCTATCTGTTGCCCAGGCTGGAGTGCAGTGGTGCAATCTCAGCTCACTGCAACCTCTGCCTCCCGGGTTCAAGGATTCTTCTGCCTCAGCCTCCCGAGTAGCTGGGACTACAGGTGCGTGCCACCATGTCCAGCTAATTTTTGTATATTTAGTAGAGATGGGGTTTCACCATGTTGGCCCGGCTGGTCTCAAACTCCTGACCTCAAGTGATCCACCCACCTCGGCCACCCAAAGTGCTGGGATTACAGGCGTGAGCCACCGCGCCCAGCCGTGGATGAACTTTTTTTTTTTAAAAAGGCTGAACATTTGAGGGTTTCACGTCCTAAATACATAACGGGGGAATTCTAGAAAGACATTTTCTATGAGGCTTTACTTTGCATTTATACCCCTTCCTCCCTCCCCTGTCGTTGGAATTTAAACTTACCTAAGCATAGAGAAATGTTTCCTTTCTGGTTTAAGATTTTATTTAGGTATGGGAACTTGTGAAAGTGTTGGAAATATAGAGTGGAAAGCTTTTTGTTTTTTTTCGTGGTTTTTTTTTTGGCCTTTAAGACTGTTTAAAAGAAGTATTTGTGGCTGACATAGAATGATTAGCAGTACTGAGAGGGGACAAGAATCTAGGAGACAAAAACAGGTGCATAAGTAGCTTATGTGACAGGTAACAGGAACACTGTCTTATCTTCCTGTTTAATGCAGAATTAAGCAAAATGCGGCCGGACACTGTGGCTCACACTTATAATCCCAGCATTTGGGAAGGCTGAGGCAGGCAGATCACTTGAGCTCAGGAATTCGGGACTAGCCTGGCCAACATGGCAAAACTTTGTCTCTACTATAATACAAAAAGTAGCCAGGCGTGGTGGCACATGCATGTAATCCCAGCTACTCAGGAAGCTGAGGCACAAGAATGGCTTGAGCCTGGGAGGCGGAGGTTGCAGTGAGCCAAGATCATGTCACTGCACTCCAGTAAGACTCTGTCTTTAAAAAAAAAAAAAAAAAAAAAGCAAAATGTGAGAACTTACCAAGTGTAAGTTGTATTTATTCTTTGAGAGTTCAGTGGGCTGGAGTGGCATGATACCATTTGATAGGCCTTGATATAAAAGAGCATATTCAAATAATGGCCTGCCTTAAGATTGATGGGATTACTATAGTACAGTTCAAGTCATTTGGGGGTTGGAAATCCTTTTGAGATTTGGGAATCTTATTAGGCTATTGACAGCCCTTTCCCTATTCTGTTGTCATTACTTCCAAGCCTTGTACATGAAACTTTGAGTAAGACATCAAAGATCCACTGAAATCCATCTATGGGGCTATGTAAAATCTCCTAAGTTGTGTTGTTAAATTTTTTCCACAGCTAGGTACCAAGATTGATTCTGCACCTATTTCTTCTAAGGATTAGAGGGGTTTTTTTGCTTGTGGTTTTTTTTTTTTTTTCTTTTTTACTTTGTTTTAAAGCCATGCTTGTTGAAGTATTATTCACAGACAATAAAACTCACCATTTAAAAAAAGTGCACAGGATTGTAGTTTCTAGTTATCTTTCTAAAGACTTTACATGGCCAGGTGTGGTGGCTCACACCTGTAATCCCATCACTATGGGAGACCAAGGTGGGTGGATCACTTGAGGTCAGGAGTTCGAGACCAGCCTGGGCAACATGGTGAAACCCCGTCTCTACTAAAAATACGAAAATTAGCTGGGTGTAGTGGTGTGTGCCTGTAATCCCAGCTACTTGGGAGGCTGAGGCAGGAGAATCGCTTGAACCTGGGAGGCAGACGTTGCAGTGAGCCAAGATTGCACCATTGTACTCCAGCCTGGGTGATAGAGTGAGACTCTGTCTAAAAAAAAAAAAAGATTTACACGGAAGTTGACAACCAATAGCATTTATCTATTCTTAGGAATAGAATATTTAACTATACAGGCAATTTTGTTTTGAATATATGCAGTGAAAATTTTAATGTATATTTCTACTTGTGTGTGTGTGTGGTTTTATAACTTTAACATATTTGATGATCGGTGGCTAGTTCTCATCCTCATTGACTGACTATAGATTTTTGAAAGTGGTAACAGGTACATAGGTAATCAAAATATGGAGCTCGTTTGGTGAATCTTCATTTTCATTACATTTCCTGGACAGCTGTTCACAGATTGTGGTATAGGACGTTCCTTATTCCTTTGGCCCAGACAACTTTGTTGAGCCTCATGTCAGTGAACACATCTCCTTCATAACAAATTTCCAGATCTCTTTGAATGCCCAGGGGCAGTCTTCTTGAAGCCCACTCCATGGATACCCTTGTAAATGATGATGCATTCTCAGGTCATCACCTTGTTGGTGGCAGAGCGGCCCTTCTTGTCACAACCCTTCTTCGTAGAAGCCATTCTACCAGGCCTAACTTGGAAAGGAAGAGCATGAAAGGATTGTCCCCCGATTTTTTTTAAGTTAAAAAATTTACCTGTATCATTTGTATGTGTGTGTATATAAATATTTATCACTTTGGCACTGTAGCTTTTGAAGAACATTTGTTGCCTTGACATTATTGTAGGTTTAGTCGGTATTGTTTATAGATCACAGGTGTTTAACTTTTGTAGTGTTATCTCTAAGAGTAATAAAAGTTAAGGTGGCATAAGGTAATCTGTGTGGAGACTAATATACTTAATTACTGAACAAATTGCTTTTCAGAAGAATTAAGAAGGATGTTTATTTAATTAAACTTATTAAATTGGCAATTACTTCCTACTCCCTGAACCCCTCCTCTACCCCTGCCTCCATCCAAGTTGCTATAAAGCTCTACTATCAGTGTGGCTTTCATTTAAAAACTAAATTTTATTTTGAGACAGAATCTTGCTCTTTTGCCCAGGCTGGAGTGCAGTGGTGCAATCTCTGCTCACTGCCACCTCCACCTCCCAGGTTCAAGCAATTCTCCTGCCTCAGCCTCCTGGGTAGCTGGGATTACAGGCATGCGCCACCACTGCAGGCTAATGTTTGTATGTTTAGTAGGTATGGGGTTTCACCATGTTGGCCAGGCTGGTCTCAAACTCCTGACCTCTAGTGATCCACCTGCCTCGGCCTCCCAAAGTGCTGGATTACAGGAGTGAGCCACCGTGTCTGGTCCTAAAAGCTATATTTTAAATAACATATTAAACTGTCAACTACCTCCTAGTCCCTGAACCCCTCCGCTACCCCCACCTCCATCCAAGTTGCTGTAAAGCTCTATTATTATTAGTGTGGCTTTCATTTAAAAGCTAAATTTTAATGGTAGACATACTTTTCCTCCTGACTTCATTACTGAAGGTGGAATGAATTTGTTAGAATTCTGACTTAAGTATGAAGTAAAACATTTTTCGTATTGAAAAAATTTCATTTTTGTTTAGAAAATAAGTAGGTTGCCCACTGCACCGCCACCCCCCACCCCCCAACCTCCCGCTTTTTTTTTTTTTTTTTTTTTTTTGACACAAAGTCTCGCTCTGTTTCCCAGGCTGGAATGCAGTGGCGTGCTCTCAGCTCACTGCAATCTCCACCTCCCAGGTTCAAGTAATTCTCTTGCCTCGGCCTCCCAAGTAGCTGGTATTACAGGCACCCGCCACCACTCCCAGCTAATTTTGTTGTTTTTTCTTTTTTTTTTTAGATGGAGTCTTGCTCTGTTGCCCAGGCTAGACTGCAGTGGCACGATCTCAGCCCACTGCAACCTCCGCCTCCTGGGTTCAAGCAGTTCTCCTGCCTCAGCCTCCTGAGTAGCTGGGACTACAAGCGCGCACCACCGTGCCCAACTAATTTTTCTATTTTTAGTAGAGACGGGGCTTCACCATGTTGATGAGGCTGCTCTCGATCTCCTCACCTCGTGATCCACCTGCCTCGGCCTCCCAAAGTGCTGGGATTACAGGCGTGAGCCACCGCGCCCTGCGAATATTTTTGTATTTTTAATAGAGACAAGGTTTTGCCATGTTGGCCAGGCTGGTCTCGAACTCCTGACCTCAGGTGATACACCCGCCATGGCTTCCCAAAGTGCTGGGATTACAGGCATGAGCCACTGTGCCCGGCCACCCTTGTTTTTAATTTAAGGAATTATGTGTTGTATATTTTATCTTTGAATGGCAACGTGAGAGGTTTCTTAATTTTTGGCGTTTATAAAATGTGTCTGTGATCAACATCACATGGCAAATTCACCTATAAAACAGACAAGCACTTTTACAGAGTACTCTTCCTATAAGATATACCAGGATTTCCTCCTATGAAGTATTCACTTCACTCATGAAATATTTGAATGTCTTTTTGTGATTTAAGAATAGCTATAATCAGAGACAAAGATTAATGTGCTTCTGTGTGTATACCTCATGCAAAAGAAATTTACCAAATAAAAATTAAATTTACCTCATGCAAAGGAAATTTACCAAATAAAAATAAAGGGCATTTCACTCATAAATAGGTATTAACCTTATTTAAAAGAAAAACCAGGCCAGGTGCTGGGTCACGCCTGTAATCTCAGCACTTGGGGAGGCCCAGCTGGGATGATCCCTTGAATCTGGGAGTTTGAGACCAGCCTGGGCAACATACCGAGACCCTCATCTCTACGAAAAACTTAAAAATTAGCCAGGTGTGGTGGCATGCACCTGTAGTGCCAGCTACTCAGAAAGCTGGGGTGGGAGGGTTGCTTGAGCCCAGTGGTTGAGGCTACAGTGATCTATGGTCGTGCCACTGCACTCCAGCATAGGTGACAGTGAGACCCTGTCCCAAAACTAAAAACAGAAGCTCACCCCAGACAAACCTTGTTATATGTTTCAAACTGGAAACAGTAGACAAAAGCCTAAAATATACCACATAAGATAAACCTTCCTTTAGAAGAAATTGCTTAAGTTTAGTAGTAAATTACCATAAAATTTGTTTTCTATTTCCTGGCACCTGAAAAACATTTTCAAGGAACCGCCCTTTTAACTTTGCAGTTAGGCTAGGGCTAAGTGGCTCACGTCTGTAATCCTGGCACTTTGGGAGGCCAGGGCAGGAGGATCCCTTGAGCTCAGGAGTTTGAGACCAGCCTGGGCAACGTAGTAAGACCTCATCTCTACAAAAAATTTTAAAAATTAGCTGAGGGTGGCGGCGTGCACCTGTAGTGCCAGCTGCTTGGATGGCTGAGGTGAGAAGATCACTTAAACTCAGAAGGTTGAGGCTGCAGTGAGCTGTGATCATGCCACTGCACTCCAGCCTGGGTGACATAGCAAGACCCTGTCTCATAAATAAATAAATAAATAAATAAGAAAATTTGTAGTTAAACTGATGAGTAAGTAATTTGCTATAATTTACAGAAACTTACTTTGTTTTGCTATAGCTCTTAGAAGCTAAGGACACCTGAATTTGGTTTATATTGATGAGACGTACATCTGCAGTTGATATTATAATAAACTTACAGTTACTGTTCTAACAGCCTCTCCATTTGGATAACATGCATAGTATAATAATACAGCTACAGGAAAGATGGTAAAAACATAGACAGCTTCAAATTGTACATTTCCCAACCCCGTGTAGACTTAGAAATGTTTGCTTCATTTCACACTTTTGCTGTCTATGTATTTATGTTGGGCTTTAAATTCCACTCCAGGTAGAGTATGCACTGTGCTGTCTTCATTTTTCTAGCCTGCCTTGAGCAATCTGTTTTGTAAGAACCATTCGAGCTGTAAAAGAAGTCCTTTGGAAAAGAACATCTTATAGATAAAACTTTAGTTTTTTTTTTCTCTTTTTATTTTACTTTATTTTTTAGAGATGGGGGGTCTCACTATGTTGACCAGGCTGGTCTCGAACTCCTGGCCTCAAGCTATGCTCCCATCTTGGCCTCCCAAAGTACTAGGATTACAGGTGCGAGCCACCGCGCCCTGTTAAACTTTAGTTTGTAACTTGGTTCCTTGTCTAGTGACTTTGTTTACAAGGAGAAAGTATGATGATGTGTTTGTGTATGTATGAGAAATATATGCTCTTTCTCCTTCAGCCTCAGGAACCAGGCGGCTGTGGCTTTGCATACTTTTCTGAGCCAGTTCTTGGTTAGCCATAGGAAATGAGATTAATGTCAGGGATCTAGGAGAGGGCAGAAGAGACAAGTCTGAGTGTGATATTTGTGGTATCCATCCCTTAGTTCTGCAGTCCAAAGCCCCAGATAATTTTTTGGCTCTTTTCCATCACAATTACTTAGTGATTTTAAGACATATTCCTGCCCTTGATAATAACTTGGGAAACTCAAAATTTATAATTTTCTCTCCCCCTCCTGATAGGTGCTGGATAGTTTACTAGTCCAGTATGGAGTGGTGGAGAGCTGTGAGCAAGGTACATGTCTTCTGAATTGCTTTCAAATTTGTAAAAGGAAGGAAGTAGAAAGAAAACTAACTTTTATTCTCTTCGTTTTTCTCTTCCTCTAGTGAACACTGACTCGGAAACTGCAGTTGTAAATGTAACCTATTCCAGTAAGGACCAAGCTAGACAGTAAGCAGCTTGAAGCTTTTAATCTATATATAATAACTAAGTTAAGTACAGTAACATATTTTGCGGATTTCTCAACTGAGAAGGGCTGGTAGGTGGCAGAGAGAAACTTTATTTTACAAAATTTGACCCTGTAATCGTGCCTTTCTTTTTAAGTTTGAATGTCTAGTAAAAATCTACATTGGTTAAAGTTGTATTACATTTTCAATATATCTTTAATGCCAATAATAGAGTGGTCTAGTATGAAACTGAATCACACCCTATTTGCAGAAGCTCTGGGCCTTGGTATTGTTGCCAAATAACATAAAGTCTCTCCCCGTCTCCCCCTCTTGTATGACACATATATTATGGCTATTTTATCTGAAGCTGGTAAGTTGGATCATGTGTTAAACAACAGTGTTAAATGATAAGTCTTCTTACTCACTGGTTACCTGATTACCATTGTCATTTAGGAGCGTGCAGACATTGGATTAATGTAATTTGCTCTTAGATTTATGGAAAAAAATATATTCCAGTGCAGTAAACAGGCAATACTTGACAGATCAAACAGTCTCCCCTAGGAAAAGATAATTCTATAGGCTGGAAAAGATCTAATAAACTGAGCACTAGAGAGAGAAATGGGGGTCCCACAAATATGGCCTTTAACAGATCTGCCCAGAATATGAACATGAAAGAATGGCATACAAAGTGCTCAGTAGCACAGCACTGGGTGTTAGCTAACTATGGAAGCCTGAACTACCTACCTCCAGATACCATACTGGCAGGAGCAGGCTGACTGTCCTCTGTGTCAGAAAGGTGAAAGAAAAGACCACACTGGCTGACTCTGAGCCCTGAAGGGGAAAAGTAAAACGAGCTGCAAGAGTAGGAGCTCAGCTAGGTTACTATAGGCAGTACTCACTCAGGAGGGACTATGAAAGAAAAGACTGAGAAGAAGATGGAAATGTGTATAAGGTAAATGGAACTTTATTTGTAAAATCAATAACACTCACATGGTTCAAAATATAAAAGATTTGAAGATGCACATAGTACAAATCTTCCTCCCAGTATTATTCCCTAACTACCTTATCTCTTGGGAGATAACCATGTGGAAAACAAATGCTACATGTATGTATTCCTCCTTTTACACAAATGATACCATAACATTTGAATGTTTTGTGTATATAAATATATTTTTTATAGTTACATAGTATTTGATTGTACAGATATGGCATGACTTTGATTAATCGCAGTTTGGATATTTAGGTTGTTTCCAGTCTCTTGCAGTTATGAACAATATTGTAGTGAATCTGTTTTTGCATGTCGTGTGTATGTAAGCATGTATCCACATGATAAATTCCCAGAAGTAGAACTGCACTTTAAATTGTGTTGTAGAGCTGGAGCTAGTTTAAATTTCCATCAGCATTGTGGGGGAGTCTTTCTCCAATTCTCCCTAACACAGGACTTTATCAAACTTTGCCAATCTAGTATGTGAAAGTGATATCTTGTGTTTTTCACTTCTCCCATAAGTGAGACTGGAGGCTTTTAATATGTTTAAACACATTCTGTATTTCTTCTGTTGGTATCCTTTGTTCATGTAAAATTTTTTGGCAATTTATATAAGGTCTCGGACATTATAGAAATTGTGGTATGAGTCATAAAACAAATTTATTTTTCTTTCTCTTCTTTTTTTGACTAATTTTGTTCTTTAGTTGTATCATGTAAGAAGACCAGGAAAATTTTACCTTTTATACCCTCAGTAGAACTGGGGATAAAAGTGAGGGCAGGGAGAAAGCAGAGGCTCCATATTGTTTTAATTTTTATTTATTTTGAGGCTGGGTTATGAGACTGGCAGTCTTTTTTTTTGTATTTTTTTTGTAGACATGGGGTTTCACCATGTTGCCCAGGCTGGTCTTGAACTCGTGGGCTCAAGCGATCTGCCCATCTCAGCCTCCCAAAATGCTGGGATTACAGGCATGAGCCGCTGCACCCGGCCATGTTTTACTTTACAAAGATTTATACTGAATACTTGGTAGAGCCAAGTCCCTGTTGGAAAATATAGGATGATGTGATAAACCCAAGGATATTTGGAGATTGTCAGAGACCTGTTGTTGTGGCCTTATTTGAAAACTTAAATTAGCTAAAGGGAAACAAAATGCTTATTTAATAGTTAATTAGTTGAATGGGAGAACATAAGTTGGAGACATAAGCTATGTAGATTTGAAGAGGCATAAGATGAACTTTGGTAGGGATAAAGTAATTGACATTTTAGCCTTCCTCCTTTAAAAACAAAAAAACAAAGCATTAAGACTGCAAGCACAGGAAAGGTAGACTGGCTAGTCAAGGCAGAATTATTGCTGAAAAGAATCCTAACCACGACAGCAAACTGAATGTAGACACACTGGTGTTCTCAAAATTCTTTAGCGTAGTTGTTAAGAGATTGGTAGGCTTCTGTTGATCCCAAGGAGGAAGGAAAAGGCTGTTAAGAATTGTATAATTTAGTAATTAGGTAACTTAAATAAATTAGGCATTTTGATTAGGGAAGTAGTCTTCATGTCCTTTGTTCTAATATTCAGTCAGTTAACATTTATTAAATACTAAATACTGACCAAAAGTTGCCAATAAGAATATTTGGAGAGGGACTACCTAATTTTAGTTCCTCCCTGTCAAGCGGCCTTATAAGAGTATTGTTCTCACTCCCTCTGCAAGAATTCAAAGATTGAGAAAATTAGAAAGCAATGAGGTATTTTTAAAAGTTAATCTAAGGAGTGGAAAACTCAGTTTTGTGTTACAGTGGTAAAAAAATTATCAGTTTTCTAATAAGCTTTTAAAAGGGATATGGAATATGTTTTCATTCTGTGAGGAGAATTAATTTTATTTGAGAGGCATTGGGTGTAGCAGAGAAAGCGTAAACACCAAAGTCAGGTAGCCCTGACTTAGTAACCTTGACTTCTGAGCTTTGGTTTTCTCAGCTACAAAGTGAAGATTAAAGAGAAACAAATATTTGTGCATATATGCATGTATTTATAGTTTAACCCACTGGTTCTGGGCTGCTTGGAGCAGTTTGAAGTGGCTTGAGCCTGGACTTCCAATGAACCCCATAGGCCTGCTCCATGGGTTCCAAACATGACAGCCTGCTGCCTAAACCAACCTGGTGTCATTTCTCCATGTTTCTCGGTAGCCACCCAAAGCTCAATCTTTAGGTGAAAGGGCTATGCTGGTAATTCTCAGTTTTCTCTTTGTAACATCTGTTGTTTGGAAGGCTATGTGACCTTGATGTACTTGTGAAAGTATGAGTGAGCTTGGAGGTTAAGAGTTCAATTCCAGAGCCCAGTTGCATGGAACAGACTGTGTGCCACCACTTTTCTAGCTGACTTTGGTCAAGTTAATCTGTTATGGTTCAGCCCCATTTCTAAAATGGGAATAACTGTAGTCTTTAGCTAATGAGGCTACTGAGAAAAACTAAGATAATGCCTCCAAAACATGTTTCATAATACCTGTAAGGTAGAGCTCAAAAGTTAGCAGCTATTATGTATTTTTCCAACATGTTTGATTGCTGCTTCTGCTCCCCTGTTATTGTTTGGTATACTTCATTTCCAGTGATGGCTGGTCACTGATGCTGAGGAGCCAGGCAGCTAGTTTTAACGTGGTTGTAGCTGCCTCTGTTAGTTAAAGCTCTATGAATGTCACTTAAGAAGAGTCCTCAAATACGGCTGTATCTTTAAGACAGAACTTAACGTGGAAATTCCTGCCACCTTGTGGCTAAAATAAATCAAAGGTTAATAGTACACATATTTTAGAAAATATTAATACATGTGTTCATTTTAGGCTTAAGTCTTGAATTATTAAAATAAAAATTTGACAAGTTTAAATTTCATTTCATTAGTTTCATTAAAAATGGAAGTATGTGTTTAGTGAATGCACCTTTTCTTGTTCCTCAGAGCGAGAGAGGCTCACCTATTTCCTTCCCTCTTCCAGAGATGTTGAGATAAGCCAGTCAAGGACAGACATTACTCATGAGAGGATTTGTCATGTGTGACAAAGAAATAACCCCCTAGAAAATGTGTAGACATTGAGTTCTTATACTTTCTTTTGTTTGGGGTTATCCTGATGTTTATTTTTGTTAGGGAATAGGAATGTTTATTCATACTTTGAAACTTCAATCATTCTGAGGCAGGAGAATTGCTTGAACCTGGGAGGTGGAGGTTGCAGTGAGCCAAGATTGCGCCATTGCACTCCAGCCTGGGCAACAAGAGCAAAACTCCGTCTCAAAAAAAAAAAAAAGAAAGAAACTATCATTGCAGTTCCTTTGTATCATTGTGAAGATCTGTATAAGGTAAATATGGTTATGTTTAGAAGTGTTTGAAGCAACTTGGCCAGTGGCTAAAGGTAAGAAAATTCCCATTTAAACTTTAACAATTATGTAAATAAAAGATTTATTTTGGAAAAAGAAATAAAGCAGTGAGACAAAGGGATTTTTTGCCATTCAGGGATAACCACTGTTAAATTTGCCATAGAGTTTTGTAGACTTTGTCCCATGCATTATAACTTTCAGAATTACAAAGATCATTCTGCAGAGTTTTGTGGGTTTTTCATTCAGTGTATTTATACTGATTCTAATCTCTGCATAGTGTTGGATCCTCACCACAGTTTCCTATCCCGTCTTCTGTTGTGTGTCATCTAGGGTATTTGCCCATACCGTTTTGTTTTGTTTTGTTTTTAGAACCAATTTAGTCATGAAGCCTTACATTTGGGCTTCATCCATATTTATTGCATTACGGTACATCCTTAAAATCATATTACCCAGGCTTTCAATAATGATTGCCAAATTGTCAACCTCTTATTCTTGATACAAGGAGATAATTGAATTTATGACTTTTCAATAATGGGTTAAACCTCATTTTGTGAGGACCCTGTATTATATACAGGGTGATATCTGGGAATAAAAAAGAAGAGATTTTTAGACATGGAATTTTATTTATTTTAGTATTATTTTTTGAGACAGGTTCTCATTCTGTTGCCCAGGCAGACTTGGGAGTGCAGTGGCACAATCATGGCTTAATGTAGCCTCAACCTCCTGGGCTCAACCAGTCCTCCCACCTCAGCCTCCCAAGTAGCTGGGACTACAGGCATGTGCCACTACACCCAGCTAATTTTTTTTTTTTTGTAGAGGCAGGGTCTCACTGTGTTGCCGAGGCTGATCTCAAACTGCGGGGCTCAAGTGATCCTCCCTCCTTGGCCTCCCAGAGTGCTAGAATTAGAGGTGTGAGCTCCTGCACCCAGCCAGGCATGAAATTTTAGAGCTGAAAGGGACCATGAATCTAATCTTTTAGTTTTATAGGGAGATGGCTAATGCCAAAAAGGAAAATGACCTTTGGAGGATAACGTGGTTATTTAATGTTCAAGCTGGACTAGAATTCTGGTCTCTAGTCCGTATTCTTTTTCCACTATTCAGATCTGTATGTGTGGACTCCTGGGTACGTTTAACTTGTCTGGGTCTCATTTCTTCTCCTTTTTTCTTTCTCTTTCCCCCTCTTCCTCAAGTTGAACTATTTATTGTCTCTATTGAGGCCCATTCAGCTCTAAATTGTGATCTACCCCAATGAACAATTTTTTTTTTTTTTTTTGGAGACAAAGTCTCATTTCATCACCTAGGCTGGGGTGCAGTGGGGCAATCTTGGCTCACTGCAACCTCCGCCTCCCAGATTCAAGCAATTCTCATGCCTCAGCCTTCCAAGTAGCTGGAATTATAGGCTCACGCCACCATGCCTGGCTAATTTTTGTACTTTTAGTAGAGACAGAGTTTTGTCATATTGTCCAAGCTGGTCTTGAACTCCTGACCTCAAGTGATCCACCCATCTTGGTCTCCCGAAGTGTTGGGATTACAGGCATGAGCCACTGCACCTGGCCCCAGTAAACTTCTTATCAATACATTTAAATTCTACCAACTGGCAAAATTACTCATCATCTTCTCAGCGACCCTTAAAATAGCACCAAGAGCAAAGAGTTAAGTAATGATGACAGGATCCTGGTCTGGCGCTGTGGCTCACACTTGTAATCCAAGCACTTTGGGAGGCTGAGGCAGGTAGATCACTTGAGGTCAGGAGTTCGAGACCAGCCTGACCAACATGGTGAAACCCCGTCTCTAGTTAAAAGAAAAAAAAATACAAAATTAGCTGGGTGTGGTGGTACACGCCTGTAATCCCAGCTACTTGGGAGGAGGAAGGAGAATTGCTCAAACCAAGGAGGTGGAGGTTGCAGCAGTGAGCCGAGATCGCGTCATTGCGCTCCAGCCTGGGCAAAAAAGTGAGACTCTGTCTCAAAAAAAAAAAAAATAAAAATAAAAAGACAAAACCAGGCTCCTGAGTAATATACATGTTGGATAAACATCTTTAAGTTCTGTTTAACTGAATACATATGTGTCAAATAATTATGACAGTCGTTCATCTCATGTCTTGCATCTACGGTGGGTTTGGTGAAAATACTAAAATTTTTTTTCCTCGTGAACTCAGCAGATCACCATATGACATAGATGAATAACAAACTTTGTGCCTAGAAAGATTCTAGTAGTTGACTTAAATTCAGTAATTTAGGAGCTGCAATCATGAGAAAGCCGCCATTCTGCATGTTAGGTTCCTCCTGTACCTTTTCAGCTGTGTCTGACTGTGGATGGAGCACTGTGGTTTGAGGGGTTAGGAACTCTGCTTAGATGGCAATTAGACAGTCAGGTACACACAGTAGTGGCTGTCTGCATTCTGCCTGGAACAGCCTGAGTTTGGAGCCATTGGGGCCCAGAAGGTACACTGGGGACTAGAGCCCCGGGCCACCTGACCTCTTCAGTGAGAGAATCTTTTCTTTTCCCCACAAAGAAAAATCTTTTTAAAGCAGCACAATAAAAGTTAGAAGTTAGTTTTTGCCAAGTTATAAAGTTGTTTCTTGTGATACATGTGACTATTTAGATGGTTCTAGAATATAGAAGCATCTGGTAACTGACGTGTGTACCTTTTACCCCAGGGAGAATGATATCTGTATGTGTCTATCTCACTCAAGAAGAGAGTTATCTACCATTTTTGTAACATTAATGACTTAATTTACTAGTCAAAATATACTTACTCTCTTCTGAAGCTGGCAATACGCCATTTATAATGAAAAAGCCTAGATTACCTTTTATGCCTAGATGTAATTGATGCCTTCAGTGGGTTCAAGTTTCCTGATTTTTTGAAAGAACCTTCAGTGATCTGTTTATTCCCGACTTTAAAAACATTTAAGGTCAGGTGTGGTGGCTCACTCCTGTAATCCCAGCACTTTGGGAGGCCGAGGTGGGTGGATCACCTGAGGTCAAGAGTTCAAGACCAGCCTGGCCAACATAGCAAAACCCATCTCTACTAAAAATACAAAAATTAGCTGAGGGTGGTGGCGTGCGCCTGTAATCCCAGCTACTCAGGAGGCCGAGGCAGGAGAATTGCTTGAAACCAGGAGGTGGAGGTTGCAGTGAGCCAAGATCGCACCACTGTGCTCCAGCCTGGGCAACAAGAACGAAAGTCCATTTCAAAAAAAATAAATAAATAAAGCTGTTTTGAAAGAATCTGTAGTTGGTTGACTCTTCTGCATCTCCAACTTTTTATAACAAATATACACCATAAATATTAAAATATATCAGCTGTCGTCTTCCTTTAGAAATAACCAAAATATTTTAGGTCCCTTAATCCACATTCCCTTAAGAAAAAAAGGGGACAGGAGGAAAGTACAGCGTTAACTTAACGTTCTGTCATCAAGGCATTGGCAAAATAAGTGTGGCATGTGTCAGCTATCATCCTCTGAAGCTTATGAAAAGAATGCCCTCTGACATAGAAATCACATGGAAATATCGCAAGACATTGTATTTAAAAACAAGCCACAGAGCAGTGTACATCACAACCCCAATTATGCTTTTAATGAAGGAACCGAATATGAATACATGTGTTTGTAAACATATAGAAAGGACTGGTCCATTTGTAGAAGTACTGCAGTGAGCAGCAGTTCTGGGAAGGGCCTTGGAGGGTTGGTGACGGTGCCAGAGCAACCTCTTGCTACTTTCTGCATGACTGATCTTTTACAATAAGAGTTCATTCATGTGCCAGAGAAGGTAGGACAGTGATAGAAGACTGAAGTGAGAAACCGAGAATCATTCTGGGCCGGAGAATGTCAGCGAGCCCTCTGTCTGCTTGCCCAGGTCTGCCTTCCAGGTCCTAGCCCTCAGTGACCTTTTTGGTACTAGAACTGTCACCCACTCCACCCCCTTTTTTCTATTTAAGAATTGAGAGTAGATTTGCAAATAAAGCAGTGTATAAGCCGGAAATGACCACACCAAGCAACTAGAAAGAGACCATTTTATGCCTGTTTTTCTTTCCCACCTGGGGTGAACTCAGGGCCATTGGAACAGAATCTGAGCAAAGAACCTGAGTGACACTGGGAAGTGTGGGGACTTCTTTCTTTTTGTTTTTCATTTTGTTGTGCACTGGGGAGTTAAAAAGGGATGTATTGTTAGGTGTATGTTTATGAAATCTGGGCTATTTCGTCTCTACTAGTTTATTATTTTCCCTTCTGAAAACATAACACACACACACAAAATGAATACAAAACAAAGCAAAACAAACAAACAAAAAACCCCAGAAAACAGAACACAACAATTTGGATGAATATTACAATAAATTAAAAGTTTCCAGATATGAGAAAATACATATCATGTATACTCATATATATTTACATAAAATTTTTAAATAGGCAGAATTAATCTATGGTATTAGAAGTCTGCAAGGGGTAGGGGGGCAGTGACTACCGGAAGCAGGTACTGTTGGGGCTTCCGGGGCCCTGGTGTGTTCTAGTTCTGGATCTGGATGTGTGTGTTCACCTTGTGAAAATTCACTGAAATTTATGCTCAAGATTTGGGCACTTTTCCTTGCATGTTAAAATAAAGATCAAGAATGAAAAAGAGGCTGGGTACAGTAGCTCATGCCTGTAATCCCAGCACTTTGGGAGGCCAATGCAGCAGATCACTTGAGGTCAGGAGTTGAAAACCAGCCTGGCCAACATGGTGAAACCCCATCTCTACTAAAAATACAAAAATTAGCCAAGCATGATGGTGCATGCCTATAATCCCAGTTACTTGGGAGGCTGAGGCACAAGAATCTCTTGAACCCCGGAGGCAGAGGTTGCAGTGAGCCAAGATGGCTCTATTGCGCTCCAGCCTGGGTAACAGAGCAAGACTCTGTCTCCAAAAAAAAAAAAAAAAAAAAAAAAAAATGAAAAAGAGAGAAACTCTCCCCCAAATAGTGTGGTAGAATGGGCACACTCTTTTTTTTGGTTTATCACCACCCCTGCCTCTTTGCTCCAAATCAGATCGTAAACCACAAAGTCAGGGACTGGCTCATAATAGGTACTGAGTGTGATTGGTAGAATTTAATACTCAGAATAGTCTCTTGTAAATGGTTTAGAGATATTTGTCCACTGGTTCTTAAAATGGTTTTAAATACTTCATATTTTAGAGGCTGAAGTGAAGGAAGTATATATTTCTGATGTCTCTTCCACTGTGGTTTGGAAACATTAGCCAAGGCAAGAAGCCCACTTGCTTCTCTCTTGCTGCTTAGCTATTCCTAAACCGTTAGTAACCTTATGGGTTAAACTTAACCAAGAGTTTGACAAAATGTTTTTTGTTTTTCTATTTTTCATTAGGAGATGGCACATAGGTTCCCTTTGGAAACTTGTGGTCTTTTTCCCCACTGTGCCTGTCTCAAAGGAAAATGTGTGTGGGTGGTGGTGGTGCGGGGTGGGAGAGGGGAGGATTATGTGTGTTGCGGGTTTGCTGCTTGTGCTGGGGCTTCACTCAGAAGTTTAGAGCTAGTAATGCTGAGTAGAAGAGATGGGTGTTGCTTTGCTAAAAGATGTGTCATATAGCCTGATTCCTTTTCCCACCCCTGCCCCTTTTCAACTTTCAGAGCACTAGACAAACTGAATGGATTTCAGTTAGAGAATTTCACCTTGAAAGTAGCCTATATCCCTGATGAAATGGCCGCCCAGCAAAACCCCTTGCAGCAGCCCCGAGGTCGCCGGGGGCTTGGGCAGAGGGGCTCCTCAAGGCAGGGGTCTCCAGGATCCGTATCCAAGCAGAAACCATGTGATTTGCCTCTGCGCCTGCTGGTTCCCACCCAATTTGTTGGAGCCATCATAGGAAAAGAAGGTGCCACCATTCGGAACATCACCAAACAGACCCAGTCTAAGTGAGTATGCTGAGTGTGTGGTGGGTGTTCATGAGAATTCCCCTTGGAATCTTAGTAACAGTGTGTCGTTCTGGTACTTGGTGCCCTTCTGAACACAGCCATGAGGACTCCTTGTACAGTACTTGGGAATGTGTAAAAATCTTGCAGTATCTTGGTGTTCATTTCATATAAATCTGGAGCTAATCCTCATTCTCAAAGGGAACGTCAGATTTTCACACATGAATGGAAAACAAATGATACCTAATCCTCTTCTGGTTGGGGAAGCTCTGGAAGACAGAAAGGCAGCTTCCAGGTTGTCCTCTGTCCCACCCCTTACCCCCCACCTGCCCTCATTGTTTTTGGAAGTAATTTTCTGGGTCCAATCCATTTTATTTGTGGCCTCAATACAGAGGTGGTTTTTCAGTCTTGCCTTACTCGAATAAAGAATCGCTCATCTTATTTGTCCGAATTTTTCCTCTGATTAAGCCATGTAATTAGAATGGCTTTTTCTTCTGGATATTTTTTGATGGTTTTAATTGGTGGGATTTAAGGGATTGGAATATTCCCATTCAAATGTTGGAGCTAATTATCAGGAGCAGAAAGCGGGAACTATTTGTTTTATTCACTACTGTAGCCCCAGGGCCAAGGCCAGGGCCCTGCTACATAGAAGGATCTTTTATTTGTCAAATGACTAAAATGACTGTATGTGAATTATGTTTGAAGCCTTTCATGTGTATCTAAGATACTTCTCAGTTCTCATGCATTATATGTTGTTTTGCTTTAGAAACCATACTGTTGTACAGTATGTGGATATTTTTTGACCCAAAGAAGCTTGGTGACAAACTCTTCCCCCCATACCTAGCTCCGTAACGTGCTACGAGGCACATCCTGTTACTACTGTATTTCCTGAAGAACCTGTGAGTGTGCTGGGAAGAAGAGGTTGTATCCAAAAATACCATTGTGCAAGCCTTGAGCCAGCTACAGAAGTGGCAAGATTATTTTTCCTTTTAAATTTAGAAAGGAGAATTCTTTTTTTTCAGTGTGATCCAACGAAATAAGCTTAATCTTTCTCTAAAAGTTAGAACTGCACTGCTGTGTATACTTTATGTGTTTGTTCCAGCAGGCCTAAGAGGACATGCATGTTCATCATAGGCACCATGCCTGCATTGGACTAGCTGACCCATTTCTCATGTAGAACCAAAAAGAACTGTACTGAGTGGTGGTCCATACCCACCTGCTCCCTGCAGTGGCATCTGATCCTGCCTTCCCCTGCTTTGAAGCAGGAGATGTTGGGTGCTGGTTACCTGAATGCAAAATTAATCGCCCTGACCTCATCATGTAGGAGTGGGAAAGACAACTGGACCATAACCTAGTCAGTCGGCCTGGCTTTAATCTTAAAATTTAAGGGCTTCTTGCTTCCCTTGATCCACCGTTACCTGCAGAAATTCATTATATGGCTTCCCTTCCTTCTCATGTAGCAGATTAGAATTGTTCCTTTTCGAGCTACTCATTTCCCTGTCAGATGAAAGAGCTGTGACTTAAATTGAACTGTTTGTTTTACTTAAGGCAGGAAGATGGGGATAGGGGAAGGGAAGCAATTTTTGTTATATCCGATGATTCATTTGCAGAGCTCTGCCAGTGGATTTAATTAACTCTTGACATTGAAATTAGTCATTATCAGAACCTCGTTTCTGGAATGGTCTCAGAGGGCCATTCTAATCTCCAAAGCCACATTCCTTTCTCTCAGGGGATCGGAGCTTAGTAATCCTTAGCACAGTGAAAGGGTGAAAATAAACTGCAAAGAGGGATGCTAATGTGTTGCTGGAAGACAGGCATCCCTGAAAGTGACTGGGGATTGAAACAGCAGCCGGGAAGATGACTCCTAAGATTGGGACTGTTATCTAAGACACTATTTTTTTATTAGTTATTTTTAGGTAGCCCTTAATTTGTTTCATGCCCTTATTTTTAGTTTTATCTTTTACTCTTGAGGTAAATCTTCAGATTTCAACCAAACATTTAGGAAAATGAAAGCCAAATCTTGATTTTATTGGCATGATCAAGTGGTCACTCTCATGGCCATGAGTTATTTAGCCCTTTAAGTGTTTGAATGGCCAAAGGAACTCAACAAATACTTAATTTTCCCAAAAACACATATTTTTGAGTAGCTAATTTTCTTTCTTGTACTTATTAAAAAATGGCAGGCTTATTTTATATTTAATTCAAAACATATAAATATGTAAATTAAAAAGTTACCATTCGTCTCACCTGGGTAGCTGTTGGTAAGTTGGGGATGTATCTCTATAGGATTTGTTGCCTGTATCTACTAACATGTGTGACTTTAAAAAAGAAATCATGTCATGATGTGAATTGCATTATTTCACTTAAGGACTTTTTACTGTGTTGGTACTTGTAATTTTACCACATTTTCAAAAACATCTGTATGATATGAATATACTGTTATTTAACCATCTCTTCCCGCAATTAGATAATTCTAATTTTCTATCTGTTAGAAACGGAACTTTCCCATGCCAGTGGTTCTCAACTACAAATGATCATCTCTCTGCCCCAACCCCCGTAGACATTTGGCAATGTCTGGAGACATTTTTAGCTGTTAGAGTTGAGAGAGAGGCATGCTACTAGCATCTAGTAGGTACAGGCCAGGGAAGTTAGTAAATTTCCTACAATGCACAAGACACCCCATCCACAACAAAGAATCTGGCCCAAAAAGTCAGTAGTGCCAAGGGTAAGAAACATCACTCTTGACCCATGTATGAGACTATATCTGTAGATGTTACCAGGAGTAGATGTTACAAGAAATACAGTTCTTGAGTCACAAGGTGCTCAGCATTTTGCTGACCAGTTTGCTCCTACCAAAAGTGTTGAGTGTGCCTTGTTACCCATCATCTTGCCCATATTTAATTTTTTCTATCTCAATTTTTGCAAGTCTAGAAGAAAATGACATTCTTTTAGCTGGCAGACATATAATTACTAGTGAAATTAAACATCATTTTGAGTTTATTGGCCACTTGCTTTTCTTGAAGTAGAATTGCCATCTGTCCAGGTTCCATTCCTATCACTGTTCGTTGCAGACTTTCCTCTATCAAGGAGGCAAAATGTGGGAAGAACCTTGCAAAGGGGAAGCAGATTGGTGAAATCTGCTCATCCAATGAATGAAGAATGATATACTGTGCAGAATAAGCAGTTCAACTTGGCTTATGGGATTCCAACTCCTCTCTTGGCATGCCCTCCAGTTCCTATTTGTTTTAGAGCAGATTGAATCCAGGCTCTTTGTCATGAGACATTTGTTCTGTGGCATCTGAAAGGAAGCTGTAAGCACAAACAGCTTGGGTAGAATGAAAAGATGTCCCCGCTTGGTTGGATTGAGGAAAGAGAAAGGGGAATGTTCCTAGAATTAAAATTTGCCTCTTAAGGCATTAATGTTGACAGCTTATTGAAAGTTTATGCTCTTGAGGGAAGTGAGTCATCTGCTTTGCCCTGAAGCCCTATGACTTTGCATTTGGTAATTACAGACTCCACTGTGAATACACGCTTACTGCTCTCGTTTTCCTCTCTGCTTGCGCCCACTATCAGAATCGATGTCCACCGTAAAGAAAATGCGGGGGCTGCTGAGAAGTCGATTACTATCCTCTCTACTCCTGAAGGCACCTCTGCGGCTTGTAAGTCTATTCTGGAGATTATGCATAAGGAAGCTCAAGATATAAAATTGTGAGTAAAGAAGATTGTCCTGTGAAAGAGGTTGATATTTGTGCTCTTGTATTTTTGACATCTCTGACACAATTCTTGGGAATTGCCAACAAACAGAGGGAAATGATATCCTGATGAGCTACAGTGGTTGGCACTGTTGATCTGGTTGTGAAGTGTATGTCTTTTAATATTTAAATATTTTCATTCACATTTGAACATAGGCGAGTGGTGATAACGGGGAAGAGAAATGCAGCTATAGAAGAAGGCAACTTGGGGAACCTAGGACCAGGAGGTATCCTGGATTAACCCAAAACAGGAGCCCCAAATCTTGACTCATCCTTTACTCGGAGCTCATTGGAGCTCTGTTCTTGTCCACTGCCTGGCCCCACCTTGGAGCAGCAGGGAGTGTGGAGGTGGGGAAGTGCCTAAGTCTCTTCTAAGGCAAACTGGAGATTTATCTGGGTAATGCAGGCGGGAACTCTATTTCTTCCACAGGAACTTTGAGTGAAGGTTGGGTTCTGTGCCACGTTTAGCGTACAGAACAGCGCTGCACTGAAAGTAGAATCGAGAGTAAGGCACTGGAGTTAGTGTGGGGACCTCATTACCAACCTTAATTTGTAGAGAACTTTAAATATGTTTTAGTAATATTATATGTGGGTGCCATATCATAAGAATGTAATTATTAAAGTAAAAATTTTAAAGAAGAATTATTTTAGTATAGAGAAAAATAGGCCTGGTGTGGCGACTCATGCCTGTAATCCCAGCACTTTGGGAGGCCGAGGCGGGTGGATCATGAGGTCAAGAGATCAAGACCATCCTGGCCAACATGGTGAAACCCCGTCTCTACTGAAAATACAAGAATTAGATGAGCGTGGTGGCATGTGCCTGTAGTCCCAGCCACTTGGGAGGCTGAGGCAGGAGAATGGCTTGAACCCGGGAGGCGGAGGTTGCAGTGAGCCGAGATCGCGCCACTGCACGCCTGCCTGGCGCCAGAGGGAGACTCTGTCTCAAAAAAAAAAAAAGAAAGAAAAAGGAAAAGCCCACCATCTATTAACCACAATGACATTTTAAACAGTTTTATATATATATGACTGGGAAATTCAGAAAGCTACAAAATGAAAAGTGAAAGCTCCCCTTCCTGTTCTTATGCCCTTCCCCCAAAGTGTAACCACTGTTGTTTCTTCTGTTTCCTTCTATAAATTATGCACATATCTCCAGGTGTATATTTGTACTGGATGGTACTGTTTTTTATTTGTACGTTGTGTTCTGGTAGTAGGGGTTTAGGAATATGGTTTTGAGTAAGAGACTCCATCACTGAAGATATTTCCTGAAGTGAATAAAATAAGAACTATTTTAGAAGTTAACTTCTGTATTTTTTCTCCCCTTCTATTCATGCATTGCTAGAATGCTGGCCAATTGTCAGCAAGTTTTAAGCTGTACCTAACACAGTGCTTCCCAGATGGTAGGTAGGAAGTAAATGTTTAATGAGTGAATATTGTCTTTTTACCCACGAATAGGTTTACTTATTCTAATTTTATGGCCACTTTTCTATTTACAGCACAGAAGAGATCCCCTTGAAGATTTTAGCTCATAATAACTTTGTTGGACGTCTTATTGGTAAAGAAGGAAGAAATCTTAAAAAAATTGAGCAAGACACAGACACTAAAATCACGATATCTCCGTGAGTGCTCCTTTGCTTTTGAATAAGAAAACTTTCCAACACTGTAAGCTGCATGTTGTGTATTGGGCTTAGCTTCCCACTTTACAGCTGCTTCAGCTAGCCTGTGCTGCCGTACTTACACATGGTTTCTCAAATACAGCTTGCTGCCTGTTAGGTTTCTGACCCGTATTGAAAGCATTATCTGCTTCTGGCAGGAGGAACCAAATGCTTTACATTCATGTTTTCTAAAGCAGTCTTAACTATGTTTTATGACATTTATTCCCAAAGTTGGAATATATAACCCAGTTTATTATCCATTGTCGTGTAACGCATTATCCCAACATTTGACAGCTTAACACAATGTGAACATTAATTGCTCAGCTAGTTTTTGTGGGTTAGGAATGCAGGAGCAGCTTAGCTGGGTGGTTCTGGCTTGGGGTCTCACAATGCTGCTGACAAGTTGATGCTGGCTGTTGGCAGAAGGCCTCAGTTCCTCCCACATGGGCTTCTCCACAGAGCTGCTTGAGTGTTCTCAAGACATGGCAGCTGTCAAGATGGAAACTGCAATGTCTTTTATGACATAGCCTCAGAAGTTATACTCTATCATTTTTCTAATGTTGTTTACACAAGTCAGCCCTATTTGGTATGTATGTGTGGGACTACAGATAACTGGGTGACAGGAATCACCTTGGAGGCAGGCTACCACACTTAGAATCTGTGGATGCTCTGAAATTACGTGGAAAGGTTTTTCTGAGGGTGGCCATTCTTAGTTTCACTCAGAGTACTCAAAAAGGTGGGAAAAGATTGATGAACTGAGGAAGAGTGGTAGGGGAAAGACTGCACGGTGTTTGTGTACAAGGAGTTTTCAAAGGAGGTAGTAAGGAAGCAGGAAACTTCTGTTTGGTTGTAAAGAAAGGGGGAAAAAAACCCCACAAAGTGGTAAATTCAATAAGTAATACTACTTTGTCTTAAATTTACCCCCAGAAAGGGGAGAGTTTTAAAAGAAAAAAATCTCAAAAGTTATTCTAGAAGCAGCTATTTTTAAAACTGTAATACAAAATGCTTGGCAGGGCCAGGTTGAGACTGAATTAGAATTATAGACTTCTTTTTAAAGTAGTCTAAGAGAAATAGTCTTCATTATACAAATGTTTACATTTTTAACAAGTTTGAGGAAAATGTTAAGGAATAACTTCCCATTCATCTGGCTCAAGGTTAGCCTGTGACATTATACTAGTAGTGAAAATGAGAACTTCAGGAAGATGAAGGAGATTTGTACCAATAATCCATATCCTCTCAATTTATGTACTTAGTTCTGTTTTCCATGGCACATGTCTCCCATTGCTTTTCCTCTCAAGGCTGTTGACCAGCATAGGCTTAGGTGTTTTCAGGTATGATATTCAGTGGCTTTTGAAGGTTCAGCAGGACCTAGGTCCCGCAGGGAGTTTCTGAATATTTCTGCCACTATCTAACGTTTTTGTTATCTAAATGGCATCGGTGAACCATTTTAAATTTTAGTCAAGATGGATTGATATTCCTCCAGCCTACTTCAATCTAAATTCTAAAGAAACTGGTAAAAACTAAGTTTAGACACAGGAATTCTGGCTTGTGTTTTTGGAATATTTCCATGCTTTCTCCTTGCTTGGTGACCCAGAAAATGCAATTGCACGAGAATGCCAATTATGCCTAGAATTGGTTAATACAGACTAGGAACATACTTATGAAAGGTTATGTACTTAGGGTATTTGGTTTCCTCAAAAACTATACATCTTTCCAGTCATTTTTTAATTCACTGTTCAATTGTGAAAATGGTTCAACTTTAAGCGGTTGAGAAGTAAGCTTTATTTAAAATATGGACTTGATTGAACTATATGTATCCAGTAATCGTTAGTTGAGAAAATGGGAGGGCAAATATTTTCTTCTCTCTTGCAGCTTTACAGTTTCGGATTTACGTCTTTTGGGGCTTACTCATTTCCCATCATGTTTTACCACCCACTTTTACATATTACCAGGCTCCACAGTTTGTTTTTAATTGCCGTCTGTGGCTGAATTATTAGCTGTCTTCCTCCAATTTTCATTCTTTTTCTTTCCCTTCTTTTTCATTCTGCAGATTGCAGGAATTGACGCTGTATAATCCAGAACGCACTATTACAGTTAAAGGCAATGTTGAGACATGTGCCAAAGCTGAGGAGGAGATCATGAAGAAAATCAGGGAGTCTTATGAAAATGATATTGCTTCTATGAATGTTAGTTTTGTTATGAAGGGCATGTCTTTATTTTAACAAATAGTTAAAACAATGTTTTTAACTGCATTAATATTGAATTCTTTTGTGGCATTATCACTAGAAGTAGTTCTAGTTGATTTTTAGCACCTCAGCAAGTACCCTGGGATAGTAGGGAAGATACTGGCTTTGACATTAAGCTTTGCTGTCTCTGTGACTTTAGCAAATTATTCAGTCTTTGAGCCTTAGCTTCCTTCTGTCTGAAGTAAGGCTAGTGTCTACCTACAAAGGTTAATATAGTACCTCTCTTACAATGTTAATTTGAGAGAGTTTAATATAGAAGAAATGTTACATGAACTGGATTTGAATCACAGCTGAACCATTTATGAGCTGCAGCTCTCTTCTCTTATATGATTTACTCAGTCTCTCTGAGGCTCAGTTTACTCATCTGTAAAATGGGACTACTGCCTACCTTGCATTCTTATTAGGATTACAATAGATATAATGCATATAAAAGTTAATGTTAAGATTACAGGTTTAAAACTTGGTTAGCCATATAAACCTTGGAGATACAAGAATTTCAATTGATAAAACAATCTGTGTAGTGCATCTGAGGCTATTAAAGCAAATTGCTGACATTCCTTAATCAGTGAAATGGTGCTGAAAATGGAATACTTCAAAAGCCTGTCTTAAATTTTAAAGTAAATGACTTTAAAAAATAATTTTTTTTCAATTGGGCCAGTCATCTGAAACACAAAACCTGAGACGAGGGAAATGTGCAAATACTGCGTTTGTGAGAAGAGCCTAGAATGCTAGCCATTTTACACCCCACGTGACTTCTTGCCAACCTGCTTCAATTCTCACTGCTTGGCTCCAAATGTTCTGGAATCAACTGGGATTAAATCTAACCCCCTTAGGCCTTTTAAAAAGATTTTCAAGTACACTCAAATCTCCCTTCCACCGTCTACATTACGTCCTCAACCCTTATAAAATTAAACAAATTAAAATACCCTTTCTGGCTCCTATTTCCATTCCAGTGATATGTTTACTTGCAGTAGTTACATGGGGATGGGTCCTGATTTCCAGAGGGCTCAACTTTGAGGCCTCTAGACCCATGGTTGCTAAGTTTTACCCAGCAAGTAAAGATCTCTTAATAGCTGGTTTGCTTTTCAATGAACCAATCTTACTTGATTACCTCTTCAACTCTGATACATTGCTTTTTGTCTATATTTAGTTTGCCCACAGCATGCAGAATACGGTTTTGTCTAAGTCCTGTGGGCTAGTCATAAGGGAAAGGAAAGCTTCCCTTGAGATATCTTAATGCAGCTGTGGACCAAGGAGGGGGCAAACCAGCACACAGATTTTAAAATACCAAGGGATATAAACAGATGTAAACGATGTACTCAAGTAGAGTCCCATGGAACATCTGCTTTGAGTTATACAATCATTTCTTTATTAGACAAGAGATCAGTTTGAATACTGTCACTTAAAAATGCTCACTTTCCCTTGATTCTTTTAATTGTCAAATTAAGGGGCCTTTTTACTGTTGCAGCTTCAAGCACATTTAATTCCTGGATTAAATCTGAACGCCTTGGGTCTGTTCCCACCCACTTCAGGGATGCCACCTCCCACCTCAGGGCCCCCTTCAGCCATGACTCCTCCCTACCCGCAGTTTGAGGTAAGATAACTGGCCTTGGCTTTCTTTGTGATTGGGCAAAATCTTAATGTAAACCTAGTCCCCGCGTGATCATCTGTTTAGATGCCAACATATGCTCTCCAGTTCTTGCTAATGGAGCCTTCTTATTTGGCCCTTTGTGGAGTAGACATGGGATTATTTTGCAGTTTTTGGATAGCGGGGTTGTCAACATGTGTTTTCAAATATCACAACAAAAGTTTGGGACTTTGAGGTGGCAGGGGAAGAAACTTAGTAATTGTTTTTCTTATTTAAAAAAATTTTTTTTCTTTTTTCTTTTTTCTTTTTTTTTTATTCTAAGTTCTCGGATACATGTGCAGAATGTGCAGGTTTGTTACATAGGTATACATGTGCCATGGTGGTTATTTAAAAGTTTTTGGAGACACAGTCCCACTCTTTCGCCCAGGCTGGAATGCAGTGGCACAATCTTGACTCACTGCAACCTTCACCTCCCGGGTTCAAATGATTCTCATGCCTCAGCCTCCTGAGTAACTGGGATTACAGGTGTGTGCCACACCACACCCGGCTACTTTTTTTGTATTTTTAGTAGAGACAGGGTTTCGCCATGTTGTTCAGGCTGATCTCAAACTCCTGGCCTCCAGTGGTCTGCCTGCCTCGGCCTCTCAAAGTGCTGGGGTTATAGGCGTGAGCTATTACCTGGCCAGTAATTATTAAATACTAAAGGAAAAGATTTTTTAAAGGCTTCTTTCATCTTTGTCACCTGAAGTCAATGGCTTTGAAAGGTCAGGAGTGACTCTGTGTGTTTTCCATGTTGAGTGTACTTTTTTAAACCAAAGAGATAAGATAGTTTTGTGCACAATTATATTGTGTGTGTGCGTGCATACATTAAGCAGATGTTTATTTTGTAAAGAGGTAGGTTATATAAGAAATAAATCTTAGGCCAAGTGCCATGGCTCACACCTGTAATCCCAGCACTTTGGGAGGCCGAGGCGGGAGGATCACCCGAGGTCAGGAGTTCAAGACCAGCCTGGCCAACATGGTGAAACCCCATCTCTACTAAAAATACAAAAAATTAGCCGGAGTGGTGGCAGGTGCCTGTAATCCCAGCTACTTGGGAGGCTGAGGCAGGAGAATCGCTTGAACCCAGGAGGCAGAGGTGGTAGTGAGCTGAGATTGCGCCATTGCACTCCAGCCTGGGCGACAGAGCGAAACTCTGTCTGGGAAAAAAAAAAAAAAAAGAAAAAGAAAAAGAAAGAAATATTTTATACTTGCTTTTTAAGAATAGCAGTTTCCTTGAGGTCAGAAATAGGAGACTAGTGATGGTATGAAAATAATCGCAGCACAGCAGACACCTGATGGAATAAATTATTTTGAAAGTAGTTAATAATTCAGTTGCATTATCGATAATCGGAGGTATTCATGTGACATTCTAGGATCTTCCTTCATGAATTTGTTTTGACATCTCTCCCTTTTTGTTTGGCTCACTTACTTAATATTAATATTTTGAGTGATACCTCTTACACCAATTTGGGGAAATGTCCAGGTGGAATAGGTTGGTGATTCCACTGTATTACTACCTAGAATAAATATGTAGAGTAAAATGACATTGAAATTGTACAGAAAATACAGATGGCTCAGATTGTCCCCCTTTTATCCTTTTAAAAATGAAAATTTCCTTTTCCTGTCCTTGAACCCACCAAACTGATTGGGGTTCTAAGCAGTTGCCCTCCTGCCGTGTGTGTTTCTGCCTTTACTGTCAGCAGCATCTTGTCTCCCCTGCAATTCACCTGCCGTTTCTAGTATGTTTTGGCCTGGAAATCATGTAACAGAATGATAGCCATCAAAATTTCAGCTACAAGTGAAGTGTGCATAGATTCATTACGTGCCCCCTGAAGTGGCTGGCATGTTTTTACTTTGATGCTAAAGGGGACTGGTAGAAAGAACCCTGGAGTCAGAGCCCAGGTCTGGCCCACTGCCTCTGACACAATTTTGTGTCACTGAAGGTCAGACTCCTTGGCTCTGGATTTGTTTTCTCACCTGTATAATAAAAAAAACCTGAACTATAAGAATTGTGTCTAAAGCCTTTAAGGTCACACATTTCTAGTTTCTACAGAATTAAATAATATGAAAGGTTTAAGGAGGAATAGGGGAGAATGAGCCTAAAATAGGAATCTGAGAGTACATCTAGGGACTTAACTTTGAACATGTCCACTAGTTTATGTGTGTGTCATAGGATTGGTTTAGGGCAGGTGTGTCCCCAACACTTCTGTATAAAATGACACTTACTAAAAGGTACAATGAGCTGATCATGTGACGTAACTCTGTGCTAGGAAAGCTCGCATCTAACCCACATTTCTGCTGGTTCCCCTAAATTAGCTTTCTCTCTGGGTGGGTTGCTTAACCTCTCTGTTTCATTCCCAGTTTGTAAACTGAGGTGTCCCTTTAACTCTTTTTTTCTCTCTATACTGGTGACATGTTCCAATCAACAAAGCTTTTCACATTACAAGTGATCACAGAATAGAACATTCTTGGACATCAGTCTTTTACACTTACATGGATGCTTCAGTAGCCAAAATTCCTAGAGTGAACTTGTAGGTAACTATTTTTAAAATATGTAGATAAGACTGCATATTCTCTGGATTTAGTCATTTTTCTGACTTATGGTATAGTTCTGTGTATCAGGTTCCTATGTTAGAAAAATTAAGAATGCTTTGAGAGAAGTGAGATCATATTAAGAACTTATATTTCTCCAGCACTTCTACAGTCTTAAATGTCTGAATGACTTAAATCAGTGGCAGTTTTGTTTTAAGAATGGGAGGAGGAGGTCGGTGATGTTTACTTAAATAAAAGTTGAGCCAAGAGTAAATGTAAGGAAGATGTCACTGGAATAGGTCATCTTGCTTCTCCTGTCATTTAAGCTAAATCAAATAGGTGCAATTAGAAGGAGCAAATGAGAACAGAAGTTGCAGAAGCTGCCAACAGTAAAAACACTGCCACAGGGCAAGAGCTGCAAAGATGTAACAGTCTGGTGGTTTCAAGGACAGGCAAAGGAAATTCGCATTCTTAAAGGAATACAACAACATGGACAGTCTTAACAATCTGTGTTCTTTGCAGAATTCCAGTGGATATTTTATTCTACATGTGTTCCAGGCAGTGATACAATGGAGTTCTCAACTTTATAACTGAATATTTTCCTAAATCATTTATCCAAATCATATATTTCCCTAAATCATATATTACTGTTTTTATTTCTTATTTTACATTGATTGACAATCTGTAAAGTTCAGCATTAATTATTCCCTGCCTTAAGGGGAAAAAAATGTTTTTCCCATACTTAAATTATAATTATCCCAGACAATTTGAATGAAAATCCCTGGGGGTAGGGGTGAGGCAAAGGTATCAATTTTGAAAGCTCCCGAGATGACTCCAATGTGTAGCCAAGGCTAACAACAACTGTTTGATTAGTTAAGAACTTGTGTCCCACTTAAATAAATAAAAATCTCAGTGGGAGCAGGTGGAAGCTCAAAAATGTGTAGTTTCATAAAGGTCATCAGGAGTTTTATGCTACCCGTTTATTGTCAGGAACTGTTCTTTTCAAGAGATGGGGACTCACTATGTTGCCCAGGCTGGAATTGAACTCCTGGGTGCAAGTGATCCTCCCACCTCTGACTCCCAAGTAGCTGGGACTACAGGCACACACCATCACGCCCAGCTAAGAACTTCTGTTCTACAAAGAATGTTTACTAGTCTTTGGAGGGGCGCTTCAATGTTGAAAAGAACAGTTTCTATCAGTACCAATTGCAAGGGAGAAAAAGTTCAGGATAAGCACAAATACATACTAGTTGTGTATATCCCTTTTTCTACCTTGTTCTATGCTTTGAAGAGTGAAAAAAAACTCACCTCTTTCTCTCTGGACCACCTGCCATCCCAACTCGTAGGAAATATCATGCCAAAAACCTCTGTGGGATGTTGCCGTTATGTCTGTTTTTACCCTTCTAACTCTATTTTGGCATACTACATGTATCAGGATTAGGTTTGGGTATGTATTGTTACTAGAAAAAAAAATGGCTTAAATTCGTTTTCCTTTTTCATGAGAAGAGTTCAAGGGTAGACAATCCAAGGCTGGAAGTGGTTCCACCATATCCTTCAGGACTGGTGCTTCTATCTGCCTTGTGTGCCATTCCCTGGCCCAGGATAACTGCTCAAGCTCCAACTATTGGGTCTGTTTCCAGCCAACAAGAAGGATAAAGGATTGCTGGATGTGGTGACAGACACCTGTAGTCCCAGCTACTGGGGAGGCGGAGGTGGGAGGATTGCTTGAGCCCAGGAATTTCAGTCCAGCCTGGGCAATGTGGTGAGACCTCATTTCAAACTGAAAAAAGGATAAAGGATCAAAATTGGCAGCATCCTTATTTAAGGACACTGCCTGAGGATAGCTTTTCATACTTCTGTTTGCCTCATGTTGGCCAGAACATACCACTGGCTGTGTCTAGCTGCAAGAGAAGCTGGGAGACAATCCCTGTGTGAGGGCAGCAATGTGCCCATTAAACACAGGATCTGTTACTAAAGGAAAATACATGTTGGGGACAGCTATTTGTCTGCTTCACTGGATTTGGCACTATTGCCTGTTAAAGGAGCCTCCCAGAGCCTGGAAGAGAGGAAGCAAGCTTTTAAGTTCTCTCAAAAAGCAGAATCTAAATTCTGGAGGAGAAAATTCCATATTCCAGATTCCCATTCCTGTGGTTATTTTCATCTAAATAAAGAGAAAACACCATTATTCAGAAAATCATATTGTCCCTGGATACAATTAGAGTAAATTCTACTTTCAAACAGCTGCTAGGCAATTTTCTGGCTTAATGTTCAGGGGAACAATTCTTTAACAAGTGTTGTTTGAGTATATAACTTCAAGTTGCAGGGGGTGGGGGGTGGTTGCAAGTACTCAGTTGGAATAGCTTTGCCTTCACTATTTTTAGACTTTGTTCTTTTTCTAAACCGAAATCACTAATACTTAACTATTTTGTGTACCTAGTGGTCACCACTTTTTGAAATACAAATAAACTATTGTTTTTAAAGGCAGTAAATTTCCCAAAGCTTTACCAGTTTCTTTGCTTATCATTGCTTCTTTTTTTTTTTTCTTTTGGAGACAGAGTCTTGCCCTGTCACCCAGGGTGGAGTGTGGTGGCGCAATCTCGGTTCACTGCAAACTCCGCATCCTGGGTTCAAGTGATTCTCATACCTCAGCCTCCCGAGTAGCTGGGATTACAAGTGCGCAGCACCATGCCTGGTTAATTTTTGTATTTTTATTAGAGACAGGGTTTTACCATGTTTGCCAGGCTGGTCTCGAATTCCTGACCTCAAGTGATCCACCCATCTCGGCCTCCCAAAGTGCTGGGATTACAGACGTGAGCCACTGCAGCCGGCCTATTCTTTAGCAAGAAAAATGAAGCCAAAAAGAAGCAATGATAACAACCAGGCGTTGCGATGAGCCGAGGAGGTGGAGGTTGCAATGAGCCGAGATCGTGCCACTGCACTCCCGCCTGGGTGACTAAGCAAGACTCTGTCTCAAAAAAAAAGAAGAGAAAAAAAGAACATACTGTTTTATGTTTGTGAGGGTCTATGATGTTATTTAAAAAAAAAAAAAAATGGTTTAGAAAGTTAAAGATGGACGGGCATTTTGCTCTCAGCACTTTTAAACTGTTCCTGAACTGCATTCTGGTATCTATACTTGCTGATGAGAAGCTTGCTGTTCCTTTGAAGCTATCACAGATTACGTACTAAGATCGTGTTTATCCTTGATGTCTTGTAGGTTAACAGTGAACTTCTGCTTTTATTTTAAATGTATATTGCCTGTCAAGAAGTAGGTTTTGATGGCTAAATGTTTCAAATAATTTTTTTTTTTTAATATATACTACTTCCTTTTTCTTTTAGAATTGTTGCATTTCTCTACTCATGTTTTCTCATTCCTGCTTTGTAGCATGAAAGTAGAAATGATGCATCTCTTCTTTGGATAAATCCCTTGCCTCTATTCCATTCTAGAACTTTGCCTACTAGTTCCCCCACAATATTCTCTTCTTCCCAGAACTTGCCAGGTTGAGTCTCCCCAGAGCCAAAGAGTTGGTTCTTCCAACAGACAAAAAGTCTCTAGTTCCTGCCTAGCAGCTGGCTCGTACAGTACTTAACTGGCAAACTTCGAGTTTATAAATGACAGGAAACGCGCCTTTCAGAAATGCTCAAACAGTAGGGAAGAAGGAATTGGCAGCTAGTGAAGCAGAGCAAGAGCTGGAATTGGCATAGTGCGTGTCGCCTTAGCTGGATGGTCTTGGCAGCATACAGTTGGATTGGCAGAAGTAATCCCAAGGGCTGCTGGCTTCAGTTTTGATAGCCTCTTTGGAGTCTTCTCAGAAGTCTCCAAAATGATAGTGTAATCTTAAAATGGCTAGCTTTCTGCTTATGAAAGAGGCAAGAGAGATTAGCACTTTTTTAGGCTTAAGGTACTCTTTAAGAAACAAAGGGCCAGGCGCGGTGGTTTATGCCTGTAATCCCAGCACTTTGGGAGGCCAAGGTAAGAGGATTGCTTGAGATCAGGCTGGGCAACATAGGGAGAACTCTGTCTCTACAAAAAAAAAAAAACTTTTTTAGATTAGCCGGGGGTGGTGGCCTTTGCCTATCCCAGCTACTTGGAAGGCTAAAGTAGGAAGATCACCTGAGCCCAGGGAGGTCAAGGCTGCAGTGATCCGTGATTGAGCCACTGCACTCCAGCCTGGGTGACAGAGTGAGACCTTGTCCAAAAAAAAAAAAATTATGAGTTGGAAGGAATTTTTTAAATCAGATGAGTGTTTCAGGGAGTCTCTTAGTCTTCCTCCTTAAGATTTCTCACAGTGGGTGCAACTCTTTTGTTGGTAAACAATTTCTAAGTAAGTAACTCACTGTGCACATTTATTATCTCTGAGAAGCCTTGGTTATCTAGTTATGGTGAAAAACTTTCTTTGCCTTTTTTTTTTTTTTTTTTTTTTTAATGTTAAAGACTTCAATATTTTGTTCAGGTCATGGAGTTGAGTAAACTTAGTTTCAGTTCCAGACCAAAATCCATTTAAAAACAACAACAAAAAAACCCAGGAGTATCTATTTTACAAGCCAAAGGGAAACCGTGGCATCCTTCCAGGTACCTGGAGGCTGATCATGTTGGCTGACATGCATGTCTCCATGCCTTTGTGATGTCTTAGATTTTGTCCCCCACAAAGTAAATACACTTAACCTTACTGTTTGCTCATACTTGTATGTCTTCACGATAGATGATTAGGAATTACTCATTGGCAGACTTCACCAGTTATGCAAACTTTCAGTTGAGCAGCTTTGTTCTTCTGTTATTTCAAGCCGTAGTTGAGAGTCTGCCAAGAAGTCCAAAGGAAGTTTTGCCGATAGGCATCTGGCACAAATCCATTGGGAAGCAGCTTATGTCCTGTGAACATCCTTCAGTCCCAAAGAATGTATCCAAGAAAAGGTTCAGACAATGCAACTAGACCTTAACTTAAATGGAAGGAATGTGTAACAAGACTGGGTAACGCTAATGGGCCTTTTCCAACCTAGGTCTCATAGACTTAAATTCAGGTGAAAAAGGCTTATAACTTTTGCTCTGCCTGCTGAGTTTTGCAAGTAAAAATTTAAATTATCTGCCTATTTGGGGTGTCCAAATCCTGACACAGGCTTGTTCTAGCATAGGCTTATTTTAGTCTCGATTTCTTTTCTTTTTTATTTTTTGAGACAGAGTCTCGCTCTGTTGCCCAGGCTCTGGAGTGCAGTGTCATGATCTTGGCTCACTGTAACCTCCACCTCCCAGATTCGAGCGATTCTCCTGCCTCAGCCTCCTGAGTAGCTGGAATTACAGTCACGTGCCCAGCTAATTTTTGTACTTTTAGTAGAGATGGGGTTTCATCATATCAGCCCAGCTGGTCTCGAACTCCTGACCTCAAGGGATCCGCCCGCCTCAGCCTTCCAAAGTGCTGGGAGTACAGGCGTGAACCACAGCACCCGGCTCATGGCTTATTCTGAATCCCATATAAGAATGAAGTGTACCAGAGAGCCAATTTAATGATTGGCAAAAGTTGACAGCATATTTATGTGAGCTGCCTTACATTCCCAGAGGAAAATTTTCTTGAAAAGTAATCTTTGGTTAAGAAGATGCTTCATGGATAGGAAATTGGAGCAAAGGGAATTGGACGACGTTCAGAAATGTCTTCACCAAGCCTCAGACATCTGATGAGTCAACTTTTCTTCAAGACATGATTGCCAACAGCACACATCATTGTCTGTCATTCTAGGGCAGCATCTCCTGGTGTGGAAAAACACTTAGTTTGCTTCTAACTCTGCTGCTTCTATTTGACAAGTTCTGTTGCTTCTGTTTTCATTCCAGGATAGGACATTTTAAAGTCTACACATTGATTCTTCATGTATGTGCCCTTTTTTTCTGTTACATTTTGGTCCTTTTGACCCTTATCTACTGGCCACTATTCCTTTTCCAAAGCTTCACACAACATTTCTCTTAAGTTTATGCTTAAGCTTCATTTTGGGTTTGTTATTTCTCATCAGCAAAACAAGAACATGGACAGCCCTTCATCACTATGTCAGAAAGATAACTTTGTTTTTGTTTCTCACAACAGCAGCCTTGGACGTGTTCCAGGCTAAGACACATGCATGTTCGGGCCAGGCTTTCACTCTGAGGAGGATGCTGCTACATTAGTGTTCTCTGGGGATATTTAGGAATTGCTCTCTGAAACCAGTACCAGGAATAGTCATTTTTTAATAAGTAAATGAATAGTTTTTCTCTCATAGTCATGGGAAATCATGCAACTAACTTTTTAAAAAATTAGCTGCGAGGAAGCTTAAAGCCAGATTTGTATAACAGCATTTTTGGCTTCATCTTATCTTGAGTGTTCAGTTCCCTATGCTCTTATTTCTTCACCTCCTTTGTTTTATCTTTACAGATTATGTGTATTTTATAAGCAGCATAAAATTCTTTTTGGAACAAAGCCCAGGAAACAAATAATTACACAGTCATGACAAAATACTGTGGGGTAAATCTGGGAAAGTTACACATTAGGTTTAGTTTGACCATTGAAAAGGTCTTTATCACCACCAGCTTCCCCCAAGTATATTGTTCAGAAGAACATAATACGGACATTCTTAGTGAGATAAAATATTTAGATCCCACCCTTAATTTTTTTTAAAATGGTCAAGATTAACTTAATGGTCTTGATACAAGGACCAGAATGATGAAGTAATGCTAACATTGAGCACAGTTGATAGTCAGTGTTGGCATTAATTCACTTGGTCTATCCAGTTATAAAATAAAAAAGGCCATAAAGGGATAAATGACACATGGTAATTGTGTGACACACTGGGGGCTGTGAGTTATATAGTATCTTCCAAAGAGAGATGCTGTTCTTCTGACTTAAATAGTGAAGAATGAAATAATTTTATTTTGTGTTCTTTGTTGGTGAAGAGAAACAGAAGTGATCTGGCCAAGCTGTGCAGGACAGGCCCCTAACACAAATCTCCACATAATAGTTTAGTAGGAAGGCAAGTCTTCTTCTGATGTATGTGTTCTAAAAATGCTGAATAGCCAGAAGGGAGATTTCATTTAGCTAACAGCTATATTAATACTTGCAGTGTGTTACATTATCCTAGAAAACATGGAGTATGCCAGAGAACTTTGCCAAGTTGTAAACAATATGGTACAAATTTAGTACATCTGTTTATACAGGTGCTGAAGAAACAAATGATTAGAGATGGGTGGGTGATTAGAGATGATGAATTGAATTTTGGGTTAACTCTTACATAAATAAGAGGTACATGATGGGGATTGAAGATATAAAGGAAGAGACAATAGAGTTTAAGTGATTTTCATTTGTAGGAAACTAGTTGATATGGTTTGGCTGTGTCCCCACCCAAATCTCATCTTGAATTGTAATTCCCACTTGTCAGTGGGAGGTGATTGGATCATGGGGGCGGATTTCCCCCTTGCTGTTCTTGTGATAGTGAGTTCTCATGAAATCTAAGGGTTTAAAGGTGTGACACTTGCCCCATCCCTTACTCTCTCTCTCTCCCTCCTGCCGCCAAGTAAGACGTACCTTGTTACCCATTTGTCTTCCGCCACGATTGTAAGTTTTTTGAGGCCTGCCCAGCCAACTGAGTCAATTAAACTCCTTTTTTTTTTCTTTTTTTTTTTTTTCTGAGACAGTTTCGCTCTGTCACCCAGGCTGGAGTGCAGTGGCACAATCTCAGCTCACTGCAACCTCTGCCTCCCAGGTTCAAGCAGTTCTCCTGCCTCAGCCTCCCGAGTAGCTGGGACTACAGGCACACGCCACCACGCCCAGCTAATTTTTGTATTTTCAGTAGAGACGGGGTTTCACCATGTTGCCCAGGTTGGTCTCGAACTCCTGACCTCAGGTGATCCACCCACCTTGGCCTTCCAAAGTGTTAGGATTACAGGGGTGAGTCTAAACTCCTTTTCTTTATAAATTACCCATTCTTGGGTAGTTCTTTTTTTGTTTGTTTTTTGTTTTTGTTTTTGAGACAGAGTCTCACTCTGTCTCATCTGTACACACCCATCTTATGCACGTTTAAGATACTTTGCAACTTAAAAGTTTCAATTCCTTTATCTTCACCTGACAGTTATTTAGCTATATCTGAAGGTGCTTTATAAAGATTTTCAGAAAGTTCAGTTTTCCATTTTTCACTAATTCATGTAATGATGCAATCAAATTTTTAAACATAAACTTCTGTGCCTTGGTACAAATACTTCTAAGAATTTATGTAATAGAACTTCTAAGTCAAAGAGCACAAACTTTTAAAATTGACAGACAGTTCCAAATCATCATGGTCCCAAATCATCATGGTAGTACATGTATTTTATGGTCAATAAATTTATTAAAGAAAGGAAGAAATCATCTTAGTATAAATCATGCCTTTCACTTTTATGAAAAATAAAGCAGCCGGGCGCAGTGGCTCATGCCTGTAATCCCAACACTTTGGGAGGCTGAGGTGGGCGGATCACTTGAGGTCAGGCATTTGAGACCAGCCTGGCCAACATGGTAAAACCCCATCTCTACTAAAAAATACAAAAATTAGCCGGGCATGGTGGTGTGCACCTGTAATTCCAGCTATTCGGGAGGCTGAGGCAGGAGAATAGCTTGAACTTGGAAGGCGGAGGTTGCAGTTGCAGTGAGCCGAGATTGTGCCACTGCACTCCAGCCTGGGCAAAAGAGCAAGACTCCGTCTCAGAAAAAACAAGAAAAAGCAATGTATGATTCTAGACCGTATGTCTAGTATATATTAGTCTGTTTTCACACCGCTATAAAGAACTACCTGAGTAATTCCAGCACTCTGGGAGGCCAAGGCGGGCGGATCACCTGAGGTCAGGAGTTCAAGACCAGCCCGGCCAACATTGCTTGCTTTCAGTTGTTGCTTTCAGTTCTTAATCTTCAGTCCACCCCTATTTTTCAAAATAAAAATAACTGACTGTCTCTGGATGCCCTTTTTAGCATTTTGATGATCATAGGTTTAAGCTTTTGCCAACTACGCAAAAGAAATTTCTTTTGACTCACAGGAAGTCATACCAAGGCCAATCAAGGGACTTGTGAGAGGAGAGGGGAAGGCAGCCCCTCGAGTGACAGTTCTAGTGGGCACTTTTCTTTAAAGCTTTCATGTATATTTTTGACAGCTCTAGAGAAATATATATATAATATAAATATTATATAAATATATATTGTATAAATATTATACATTATTTTATTTTATTTTTTTGAGACAGAGTCTTGTACTGTCACCCGGGCTGGAGTGCAATGGTGTGATCTCTGCTCACTGTAGCCTCCGCCTCCCAGGTTCAAGCCATTCTCCTGCCTCAGCCTCTCGAGTAGCTGGGATTACAGGTGCCTGCCACCATGCCTGGCTTATTTTTTGTATTTTCAGTGGAGATGGGGTTTTACTATGTTGGCCAGGCTGGTGTCGAACTCCTGACCTTGTGATCTGCCCACCTCGGCCTTCCCAAAGTGCTGGGATTACAGGCGTGAGCCACCGTGCCTGGCAGCTCTGGCTGTATTTTAAAGCATATCTATACCCATTGAGAGCTTCATACTGGTTTATGAATCTGGCTTAGGAGATAGAGAAACCCAGGTTTGAATCGTGGCTCCACCAGGTGGTGTGTGACTTCAGGCAAATAACTTAACCTCTCTGGCTCAGTTTTTTCAATTCTAAAATGAGAATGTTGTTAGTTTCTAGAAATTGGATCTGTTGTGGGGTACAAATGAGGTCATGCACAGCACCTCACACAGAGGAGA
The DNA here is from genome assembly GCF_000001405.40 of Homo sapiens. Lineage (NCBI taxonomy): Eukaryota > Metazoa > Chordata > Mammalia > Primates > Hominidae > Homo > Homo sapiens. The sequence goes on along the minus strand of NC_000007.14, from coordinate 23,329,752 downwards.
CCCAAACTGATCTTGCCACATGGCTGCTGCATACACTCACCCTTGTCAAAGTTATTTTTGCCTCAACCTGAATTTTTATCTCAGCATGCTTTTTACCCATCTCCACTACTCTTATGTGAAAACAAAGGCAGTATTCAAAGGTATCATAAATGTATTAACTGGAGTCCTACTGGAATGGAATAACTAGAATTCCATAGACTGAGCAGGGGCCTTTTTGTATGGGAATTTAATATTTACCAATTTTAAATGTTCAGGCCCTTTTGACTCAGCAGTTCTACTTCTAAGAACGTGTTGCAGTAGAGGTATTCAAACAGGGCACAAATTTTATGTACAAAGATTTTATTGAAACATTGAAGTTGGAAACTATGCACACACACTGTAGGTGAGGTAAATCAACTGTGGTATATCTATTTGAGGGAATACTCTTGTCAAAATGCAGTAGGGACGTTTGAGTGAAAAAAGATATCCAAGTTAAGGTAAAAAAGCAAATTAGGATGTTATTTATTGTATCCATTCCTTGTTTTAATTTTTTTTTTTTTTGAGACGGAGTCTTGCTCTGTCGCCCAGGCTGGAGTGCAATGGCGTGATCTCTGCTCACTGCAAGCTCCACCTTCCGGGTTCATGCCATTCTCCTGCCTCAGCCTCCCGAGTAGCTGGGACTACAGGTGCCCGCCACCACACCCAGCTAATTTTTGTATTTCTTTTTTAGCAGAGACGGGGTTTCACGGTGTTAGCCAGGATGGTCTCGATCTCCGGACCTCGTGATCCTCCTGCCTCAGCCTGCCAAAGTGCTGGGATTACAGGCATGAGCCACCGCGCCCGGCTCTTGTTTTAAATTTTTACTACATTTTTTTTACTCATAGAATATGTCTGCCTGACCTTTCTGGTTTTCCATGTCTGTCTTTTCACTGGGCTTCTGTCATTCTTCTTGAGCATTTGGCTTGAAAGAACGAAGTACTGAAGCTGTTTGGGTATAGCACTTACTTTAGGTTAGGTAGGTAGTTGATTGTAGAGGTCTAAATTACTTGGTCATGTATAAGTTTTTGTGATTAACCTTGGTAATTCCTAGACAAATTCTTGCTATTTTCAGATTTGTTAGCACATTGTTGTACTTTAATTTTTCTCTTGTCCAGTTATCCTTTCCCATTTCAATTTTATTGGAAAATAGGCAAAAGTTATTCCTTATATTCAAAGAACCAGCCCTTTTGTTATTTCTGGAGTGTTTTTGTTAAAAATATTTTCTTCAGAGGAAACCAAAGGCTTAAAGTTGTTTAAAAAAAGTAGTTAAGGGCCAGGCGCAGTGGATCACCTGAGGTCAGGAGTTGGAGACCAGCCTGACCAGTATGGTGAAACCCAATTTTACTAAAAAGACAAAAGTTAGCTGGGCATGGTGGCACACGCCTGTAATCCCAGCTACTCAGGAGGCTGAAGCAGAAGAATCGCTTGAACCCAGGAGGTGGAGGTTGCAGTGAGCCAAGATTGTGCCACTACACTCCAGCCTGGGAGACAGAGCAAGACTCTGTCTCAAAAAAAGAAAAAAAGGAAACAATTAACTGAATTTTTCCTTTAAAGATTTAAGATGATAGTAGTTGAGATTTTTCTTGAAAAATGTAAACAAATGAGGTAGCAGAAAGGATACAGCCCAACTACTTTTGAGTGGGATTGATTTTTCACCTGTGTCATAGGTGGGCGTCTAGAGAGACAAAGAGACTCTCAGATTTAAATAAACACGATTAAAATTCCTACCAAACAGGGTGAGTAAACTGTGACCTACGGAATGGCCTCCTGGTAAGTCTGCATTGGGGGACAAGCGAGTGGCACGGCCTGTGTGTCTGATGTGGGGTTCTGCCGTTGGTGATCAGTATCTCTCCATGGATTTATGGTGCTTAGTGCTCTGCTCTTTGCCTCTGCTCTGGGCTCACAGGAAAAAGGTGGAACCATTAGTGCCACTAGTGATCTCCATGTGGGAAGAGTGATGTCATTTGGTAGTCCGACATTAAATGGCACAAATTGGTTTCTACATCTAGTAAAGCTGTCAGAGCCCAGTGTTACTGTTTTCTTTGGCTGATTTTTGAAAACGGCTTAAAATTTTAAAGATTTCTACCTAGTTCCTGAGATTTTTGAAAGCAAAACTGTTGCTCTGCGGTTGTTTGAGACTTTTTAAGAATTTCAGGACGGGTGCGGTGGCTCACGCCTGTAATCCCAGCACTTTGGGAGGCCGAGGCGGGCGGATCACGAGGTCAGGAGATCGAGACCATCCTGGCTAACACGGTGAAACCCCGTCTCTACTAAAAATACAAAAAAATTAGCCGGGCGTGATGGTGGGCGCCTGTAGTCCCAGCTACTCGGGAGGCTGAGGCAGGAGAATGGCGTGAACCCGGGAGGCGGAGCTTGCAGTGAGCCGAGATTGCGCCACTGCACTCCAGCCTGGGCCACAGAGCGAGACTCCGTCTCAAAAAAAAAAAAAAAAAAAATTAGAAATTAGGATCTGTCTTATGGCTGTGTGTATACATACTACAGTACTGATGGGTTAACTTGAGTACTTGGGAGCTGAATTTATAGTATTATGCAATAGGAATCTAAGATTCAAGAGAATCCCATGAAAGTGTTTATCAAGTAGTTCATGTCTAAGTTGTGTAAGACAAAATATCTTCTTTTTTAATTAATTAATTAATTAATTTATTTATTATACTTTAAGTTTTAGGGTACATGTGCACAATGTGCAGGTTAGTTACATATGTATACATGTGCCATGCTGGTGCCCTGCACCCACTAACTCGTCATCTAGCATTAGGTATATCTCCCAGTGCTATCCCTCCCCCCTCCCCCCACCCCACAACAGTCCCCAGAGTGTGATGTTCCCCTTCCTGTGTCCATGTGTTCTCATTGTTCAATTCCCACCTATGAGTGAGAATATGCGGTGTTTGGTTTTTTGTTCTTGCGATAGTTTACTGAGAATGATGATTTCCAATTTCATCCATGTCCCTACAAAGGACATGAACTCATCATTTTTTATGGCTGCATAGTATTCCATGGTGTATATGTGCCACATTTTCTTAATCCAGTCTATCATTGTTGGACATTTGGGTTGGTTCCAAGTCTTTGCTATTGTGAATAATGCCGCAATAAACATACGTGTGCATGTGTCTTTATAGTAGCATGATTTATAGTCCTTTGGGTATATACCCAGTGATTGGATGGCTGGGTCAAATGGTATTTCTAGTTCCAGATCCCTGAGGAATTGCCACACTGACTTCCACAATGGTTGAACTAGTTTACAGTCCCACCAACAGTGTAAAAGTGTTCCTATTTCTCCACATCCTCTCCAGCACCTGTTGTTTCCTGACTTTTTAATGATTGCCATTCTAGCTGGTGTGAGATGGTATCTCACTGTGGTTTTGCTTTGTATTTCTCTGATGGCCAGTGATGGTGAGCATTTTTTCATGTGTGTTTTGGCTGCATAAATGTCTTCTTTTGAGAAGTGTCTGTTCATGTCCTTGGCCCACTTTTTGATGGGGTTATTTGTTTTTTTCCTGTAAATTTGTTTGAGTTCATTGTAGATTCTGGATATTAACCCTTTGTCAGATGAGTAGGTTGCGAAAATTTTCTCCCATTCTGTAGGTTGCCTGTTCACTCTGATGGTAGTTTCTTTTGCTGTGCAGAAGCTCTTTAGTTTAATTAGATCCCATTTGTCAATTTTGGCTTTTGTTGCCATTGCTTTTGGTGTTTTAGACATGAAGTCCTTGCCCATGCCTATGTCCTGAATGGTAATGCCTAGGGTTTTTATGGTTTTAGGTCTAACGTTTAAGTCTTTAGTCCATCTTGAATTGATTTTTGTATAAGGTGTAAGGAAGGGATCCAGTTTCAGCTTTCTACATATGGCTAGCCAGTTTTCCCAGCACCATTTATTAAATAGGGAATCCTTTCCCCATTGCTTGTTTTTCTCAGGTTTGTCAAAGATTAGATAGTTGTAGATACGCGGTGTTATTTCTGAGGGCTCTGTTCTGTTCTGTTCCATTGATCTATATCTCTGTTTTGGTACCAGTCCCATGCTGTTTTGGTTACTGTAGCCTTGTAGTATAGTTTGAAGTCAGGTAGTGTGATGCCTCCAGCTTTGTTCTTTTGGCTTAGGATTGACTTGGCAATGCGGGCTCTTTTTTGGTTCTGTATGAACTTTGAAGTAGTTTTTTCCAGTTCTGTGAAGAAAGTCATTGGTAGCTTGATGAGGATGGCATTGAATCTGTAAATTACCTTGGGCACTATGGCCATTTTCACGATATTGATTCTTCCTACCCATGAGCATGGAATGTTCTTCCATTTGTTTGTATCCTCTTTTATTTCATTGAGCAGTGGTTTGTAGTTCTCCTTGAAGAGGTCCGTCACATCCCTTGTAAGTTGGATTCCTAGGTATTTTATTCTCTTTGAAGCAATTGTGAATGGGAGTTCACTCATGATTTGGCTCTCTGTTTGTCTGTTATTGATGTATAAGAATGCTTGTGATTTTTGTACATTGATTTTGTATCCTGAGACTTTGCTGAAGTTGCTTATCAGCTTAAGGAGATTTTGGGCTGAGACAATGGGGCTTTCTAGATATACAATCATGTCATCTGCAAACAGGGACAATTGGACTTCCTCTTTTCCTAATTGAATACCCTTTATTTCCTTCTCCTGCCTGATTGCCCTGGCCAGAACTTCCAACACTATGTTGAGTAGGAGTGGTGAGAGAGGTCATCCCTGTCTTGTGCCAGTTTTCAAAGGGAATGCTTCCAGTTTTTGCCCATTCAGTATGATATTGGCTGTGGGTTTGTCATAGATAGCTCTTATTATTTTGAGATACGTCCCATCAATACCTAATTTATTGAGAGTTTTTAGCATGAAGGGTTGTTGAATTTTGTCAAAGGCCTTTTCTGCATCTATTGAGATAATCATGTGGTTTTTGTCTTTGGTTCTGTTTATATGCTGGATTACATTTATTGATTTGTGTATATTGAACCAGCCTTGCATCCCAGGGATGAAGCCCACTTGATCATGGTGGATAAGCTTTTTGATGTGCTGCTGGATTCGGTTTGCCAGTATTTTATTGAGGATTTTTGCATCAATGTTCATCAAGGATATTGGTCTAAAATTCTCTTTTTTGGTTGTGTCTCTGCCCGGCTTTGGTATCAGGATGATGCTGGCCTCATAAAATGAGTTAGGGAGGATTCCCTCTTTTTCTATTGATTGGAATAGTTTCAGAAGGAATGGTACCAGTTCCTCCTTGTACCTCTGGTAGAATTCGGCTGTGAATCCATCTGGTCCTGGACTCTTTTTGGTTGGTAAGCTATTGATTATTGCCACAATTTCAGCTCCTGTTATTGGTCTATTCAGAGATTCAACTTCTTCCTGGCTTAGTCTTGGGAGGGTGTATGTGTCGAGGAATTTATCCATTTCTTCTAGATTTTCTAGTTTATTTGCGTAGAGGTGTTTGTAGTATTCTCTGATGGTAGTTTGTATTTCTGTGGGATCGGTGGTGATATCCCCTTTATCATTTTTTATTGTGTCTATTTGATTCTTCTCTCTTTTTTTCTTGATTAGTCTTGCTAGCAGTCTATCAATTTTGTTGATCCTTTCAAAAAACCAGCTCCTGGATTCGTTAATTTTTTCAAGGGTTTTTTGTGTCTCTATTTCCTTCAGTTCTGCTCTGATTTTAGTTATTTCTTGCCTTCTGCTAGCTTTTGAATGTGTTTTCTCTTGCTTTTCTAGGTCTTTTAATTGTGATGTTAGGGTGTCAATTTTGGATCTTTCCTGCTTTCTCTTGTGGGCATTTAGTGCTATAAATTTCCCTCTACACACTGCTTTGAATGCATCCCAGAGATTCTGGTATGTTGTGTCTTTGTTCTCGTTGGTTTCAAAGAACATCTTTATTTCTGCCTTAATTTCGTTATGTACCCAGTAGTCATTCAGGAGCAGGTTGTTCAGTTTCCATGTAGTTGAGCAGTTTTGAGTGAGTTTCTTAATCCTGAGTTCTAGTTTGATTGCACTGTGGTCAGAGAGATAGTTTGTTTTAATTTCTGTTATTTTACATTTGCTGAGGAGAGCTTTACTTCCAAGTATGTGGTCAGTTTTGGAATAGGTGTGGTGTGGTGCTGAAAAAAATGTATATTCTGTTGATTTGGGGTAGAGAGTTCTGTAGATGTCTATTAGGTCTGCTTGGTGCAGAGCTGAGTTCAATTCCTGGGTATCCTTGTTGACTTTCTGTCTCGTTGATCTGTCTAATGTTGACAGTGGGGTGTTAAAGTCTCCCATTATTAATGTGTGGGAGTCTAAGTCTCTTTGTAGGTCACTCAGGACTTGCTTTATGAATCTGGGTGCTCCTGTATTGGGTGCATATATATTTAGGATAGTTAGCTCTTCTTGTTGAATTGATCCCTTTACCATTATGTAATGGCCTTCTTTGTCTCTTTTGATCTTTGTTGGTTTAAAGTCTGTTTTATCAGAGACTGGGATTGCAACCCCTGCCTTTTTTTGTTTTCCATTTGCTTGGTAGATCTTCCTCCATCCTTTTATTTTGAGCCTATGTGTGTGTCTGCACGTGATGGGTTTCCTGAATACAGCACACTGATGGGTCTTGACTCTTTATCCAATTTGCCAGTCTGTGTCTTTTAATTGGAGCATTTAGTCCATTTACATTTAAAGTTAATATTGTTATGTGTGAATTTGATCATGTCATTATGATGTTAGCTGGTTATTTTGCTCGTTAGTTCATGCAGTTTCTTCCTAGTCTTGATGGTCTTTACGTTTTGGCATGATTTTGCAGTGGCTGGTACCGGTTGTTCCTTTCCATGTTTAGCGCTTCCTTCAGGAGCTCTTTTAGGGCAGGCCTGGTGGTGACAAAATCTCTCGGCATTTGCTTGCCTGTAAAGGATTTTATTTCTCCTTTACTTATGAAGCTTAGTTTGGCTGGATATGAAATTCTGGGTTGAAAATTCTTTTCTTTAAGAATGTTGAATATCGGCCCCCACTCTCTTCTGGCTTGTAGAGTTTCTGCTGAGAGATCTGCTGTTAGTCTGATGGGCTTCCCTTTGTGGGTAACCCGACCTTTCTCTCTGGCTGCCCTTAACATTTTTTCCTTCATTTCAACTTTGGTGAATCTGACAATTATGTGTCTTGGAGTTGCTCTTCTCGAGGAGTATCTTTGTGGCGTTTTCTGTATTTCCTGAATCTGAATGTTGGCCTGCCTTGCTAGATTGGGGAAGTTCTCCTGCATAATATCCTGCAGAGTGTTTTCCAACTTGGTTCCATTCTCCCCGTCACTTTCAGGTACACCAGTCAGACGTAGATTTGGTCTTTTCACATAGTCCCATATTTCTTGGAGGCTTTGCTCGTTTCTTTTTATTCTTTTTTCTCTAAACTTCCCTTCTTGCTTCATTTCATTCACTTCATCTTCCATCGCTGATACCCTTTCTTCCAGTTGATCACATCGGCTCCTGAGGCTTCTGCATTCTTCACGTAGTTCTCGAGCCTTGGTTTTCAGCTCCATCAGCTCCTTTAAGCACTTCTGTGTATTGGTTATTCTAGTTATACATTCTTCTAAACTTTTTTCAAAGTTTTCAACTTCTTTGCCTTTGGTTTGAATTTCCTCCCGTAGCTCACAGTAATTGGATTGTCTGAAGCCTTCTCTCAGCTCATCAAAGTCACTCTCCGTCCAGCTTTGCTCTGTTGCTGGTGAGGAACTGTGTTCCTTTGGAGAAGGAGAGGCACTCTGCTTTTTAAGAGTTTCCAGTTTTTTTGCTCTGTTTTTTCCCCGTCTTTGTGGTTTTATCTACTTTTGGTCTTTGATGACGGTGATGTACAGATGGGTTTTTGGTGTGGATGTCCCTTCTGTTTGTTAGTTTTCCTTCTAACAGACAGGACCCTCAGCTGCAGGTCTGTTGGAGTACCCGGCCCTGTGAGGTGTCAGTGTGCCCCTGCTGGGGGGTGCCTCCCAGTTAGGCTGCTTGGGGGTCAGGGGTCAGGGACCCACTTGAGGAGGCAGTCTGCCCGTTCTCAGAGCTCTAGCTGTGTGCTGGGAGAACCACTGCTCTCTTCAAAGCTGTCACACAGGGACATTTAAGTCTGCAGAGGTTACTGCTGTCTTTTTGTCTGTCTGTGCCCTGCCCCCAGAGGTGGAGCCTACAGAGGCAGGCAGGCCTCCTTGAGCTGTGGTGGGCTCCACCCAGTTCGAGCGTCCTGGCTGCTTTGTTTACCTAAGCAAGCCTGGGCAATGGCGGGCACCCCTCCCCCAGCCTCGCTGCCGCCTTGCAGTTTGATCTCAGACTGCTGTGCTAGCAATCAGCGAGACTCCGTGGGCGTACGACCCTCCGAGCCAGGTGCGGGATATAATCTCCTGGTGTGCCGTTTTTTAAGCCCGTCGGAAAAGCGCAGTATTCATGTGGGAGTGACCCGATTTTCCAGGTGCCGTCTGTCACCCCTTTCTTTGACTAGGAAAGGGAACTCCCTGACCCCTTGCGCTTCCCGAGTGAGGCAATGCCTCGCCCTGCTTCGGCTCACCCATGGTGCATGCACCCACTGACCTGCGCCCACTGTCTGGCACTCCCTAGTGAGATGAACCCAGTACCTCAGATGGAAATGCAGAAATCACCCGTCTTCTGCATCGCTCACGCTGGGAGCTGTAGACTGGAGCTGTTCCTATTTGGCCATCTTGGCTCCTCCCTCCCGACAAAATATCTTCTAATATTTCTAGAAACATTTGCTGATTGGGTATACATACTGGGTTTTTCCTTTCTTTTCTTTTTTGTTTTTTCTTTTTTTTTTTTTTTTTTTTTTGAGACAGAGTTTCACTCTCACCCAGGTTGGAGAGCAGTGGTGTGATCTCAGCTCACTGCATCCTGAACCACCTGGGCTCAAGTGATCCTCCCATCTCAGCCTCCCCTGAGTATCTGGGACCACAGGCAAGCGCTACCATGCCTGGCTAATTTTTGTAATTTTTGAAGAGATGGGGTTTTGCCATGTTGCCCAGGCTGGTCTCAAACTCCTGGGCTCAAGCAGTCCACCCACCTTGGCCTCCCAAAGTGCTGGGATTACAGGCATGAACTACTGTGCCTGGCTTTTTTTTTTTTTTTTTTTTTTAAACAAAAGCATATTACTGGCTTCTTCAGTTGTGGCTCATTTCAATAACTATTTCTTGTAATATGTGTCTTGGAACTAGCTTATCCTTGGAAGTGTTTTTCTCACTATATTGTTAGAAGGTAAACAAAGTGGAAAATGCATAAATTATGTGCACTGCTTCTGTACTTTAGAACTGTTAGTTGACTGGTAGCATTACTGAACCTTGAACCTTGAATTGGCCTTTTTAGGAGCCCAGTCACTGTGAACTCTTGAGCAAATGTGTCCTTTATCCCTGCAAGGACTATTTGAAAAGAGACCCAGGAAGGGCACAACTGGCTTGAAGTGGGAAGTAGTGAAGGAATGAGGTACATAGATAAAATCTATTTATGAATGACCTTTCAGGAGTTAGCCTACAAAATATTTTCTAATTTTTTCATGTATAAAATGCAAAGGGGGCTGGGCGCAGTGGCTCACGCCTGTAATCCCAGCACTTTGGGAGGCCAAGGCGGGTGGATCATTTGAGGTCAGGAGTTCAAGACCAGCCTGGCCAACATGGTGAAACCCTATCTCTACAAAAAAAAAAAAAAATTAGCCGGGTGTGGTGACAAGTGCCTGTAATCTCAGCTCCTTGGGAAGCTGAGGCAGGAGAGTAGCTTGAATCCGGGAGGTGGAGGTTGCAGTGAGCCGAGATCGTGCCATTGCACTCTAGTCTGGGCAACAAGAGTGAGATTCCATCTCAAAAAAAAAGCAAAGGGAAGGCACAGATGGAAGGAATAAGGAATTCTGTGGGAAAGCATCTTAGGGCATCTTACCACTAAAGTGAATTAGCTCTCTCCTAATCCTGTCCTGTGCTTGGATGTGATAACTATTGAATGACAGTGGTAAGGTTTCATACAATTTAGTCATATGTAACAAAATTCAGCTTTTCTCTTAAACACTTCACTGTGTATGTGTTTAAGGAGTGAAACCTACATAGATAAGGTGTGGAGCTGGCGTCCTTGAGTTCTGTTGTGTTTGATATGTAGCCCAGAATTTCATTTACTTGTTAAGAATCTACCTTGAGAGTGGTAGGGGGCTCTTACTTAATTTTTAATGCAAGCATGTCCCGCTATTCTAATATGATTAAACTTTACAACATCTACATATCTTTTAAATCCATAACTCAGTGACATTTTAAAGTTTAAGGCAACAGTAGAGAAAAGTGAAATTTTAAATACCACTGTTTTCAGGATGACTGTATGAGATCTTCTTGACCTATTAGGTAAGGTCTGGTCAACTTCTTATGGTAGCTTTTCCTTAAACTTTCCTGGTATTCCTACTGCATGAGAAGGTGTCCTTCCTAAAGCTAATGTTAACAAAAGCCTGATTTGTAGCAAATAAACATGGGTGTCCTGGCTTTCTTTTCTAACAGCAATCAGAAACGGAGACTGTTCATCTGTTTATCCCAGCTCTATCAGTCGGTGCCATCATCGGCAAGCAGGGCCAGCACATCAAGCAGCTTTCTCGCTTTGCTGGAGCTTCAATTAAGGTACTGTTCTACCAGCTGTGGTTCTCTGGTTCTTTAAGTAAGTTACAGAAATATGAATCTTCTTGCCACTTTATAATTTGAATAGAATGTAAAAGACACTGTTAGGGTTACATAAGGATATGAAGAAACCCCCAAACAACAGTGGCTTACACCAAGGAGGCTAACTTCTCTGTGCAGAAAACACAGTTAGGAGGTGAACATCCGGGCTGGGTGTTGGCTCTGCCCCCACCAAGTCCTTGGACCTAAGTTCCTTCCAAGCCACCTTCCCCAGGTACGGCCTTGGTCCCTCTTGGTTCCAGATTGACACCATTCAGTGCTCCAGGAATCAGGTCTGTTGCCCAGCCAGTAGGAGAGGAGAACATAATAAAGAGCTTTTCTTCTAGGGAGGTTTCTTGTTAGCTACTGTGGGATATTTCTACCTATATTTCCATTGCCCAGAACTTGGCCAGACGAAGTTGAAGGGGCAAAATACAGGCTATGCACAGTCAGCTAAACATTTTGTAACTACAGAAGGTAACATACCAGAGGACAAATAATGGTGTCTGCCGTAATAGATAACTGTGTGTTCTGAAGATTCTGTATTTTGATGCCTTATTTAAGGAAAATAAAGGTTGGCCAGGTGCGGTGGCTCACACCTGTAATCCCAGCACTTTGGGAGGCCAAAGCAGGCAAATTGCTTGACCCCAGGAGCTGAAGACCAGACTGTGCAACATGGTGAGACCCCATCTCTACAAAAAAAAAAGTGTAATTAGCCAGGCATGGTGGCACACACCTGTAGTCCCAGCTGCTTGGGAGGCTGAGGTGGGAGGAACACTTGAGCTTGGGTGGTTGAGGCTGCAGTGAGCTATGATCACACCACTGCACTCCAGCCTAGGCCACACAGTAAGACCCTGCCTCAGACAAACAAAGGCATGTGGTGTGCAGTATCCTTGAAACTTAGGGTACAGAGATTCCTAGAGTGTGTTGCATACACAGGAAGCCCAAGGAGCCCTGATGCAAGTGGGCCAAGGACCATACTTTGAGCACCACTGGTGTAGTGAACACAGGCAATGGAGACAGACCCAGCTCTCCCTCTAGCTCTGTTAGCTGTGTGATCATGGTCCAGATAACTCAATTTCTCCAGCCTTCCATTTCCGCATTTGTGAAGTGGAGGTAATACTACTTCATCAGGACGTGGTGAGGATTAGCTGAGAGACAGCACGTGGAGGTCTCCATTAGGGCCCGGCACAGAATAAGCATATAGTATATGCAGGAGGGAGGCCTAAATTGTGAACCCACAGGAATTGCTGCCTCTCCCTAATTTCCTTCACGAAGGCTTTAATTCTGCATTTCAGCCAGTCACATGCAAATGTTAGGCTGGTTGGCCCAAGATGCCTATCAGTGATACCTGAAAGTATCATAACTTGTTGTTGGGTCTGTTACAGATTGCTCCAGCGGAAGCACCAGATGCTAAAGTGAGGATGGTGATTATCACTGGACCACCAGAGGCTCAGTTCAAGGTATGTGCTCTAGAGTATGTGCTATGTCCACAGGTAACAAATGCACAGGTAGTCCATAACCTGGCGTCTCCCTTAAATATGTCTAAATCTCAGAAAGAGTCAATGGAAATTCTTATCTAAGAGCTGAGTAGAATCACACTCAAAATTATATTTCGAAATTAACCAAAAGTCTTTAATTTTAAGAGTTCTGTACTGGTTGCTGGATTTACCTGTCTCTCAAAGGTTAATTTTGCTTAATGGTTTGTAATCCTATGCTAAGGTGAGACCTTAAAATTTACAAACCTGCCAGGTTAATATGCCTTGGAAACTTGTTTTCAGATGTTTTCCCTCCTGTCCCTGAGATTGCCTAGACTTGAATTAAAATGCCCCCTTTTTCCTTACCCTTGGATTATCTCTGTTAGACCCTGCCCATAGACTCTACAAATCTCTCTAATCCCTGGGATCTTAGAGATAGGAATGGCAGGAGCTCTTGTAGCATTTGTTCTGGTATGAACCATTGCACGTTTAGTGGGATTTGAGGTCTTTGGGGCTGCAGTGTGCCTTTCAATGTCTACTGAGAGATGGTAGAGCTGAGACTTGGCAGCCAGGCTGCTAGTTCAAATCCTAGCTCTGCCATTTGCCTTGTATGACATTGGGCAAGTTACTTAACCTTTTTCTGTAAAACCAGGGATAAGAGCACCTACATCCTAAGGTAGTTTAAGGTTTACACAATATATGAAATGTTTAGAAAAGTGCCTAACACATGGGCAGCACAAAATTAGCGTGCTGGGGGTATTCAACAGACTATGGATGAATCAGACTAAGACCATGCCAAATTCATAAATATATTCCTTTTAGTGTATGATTTCTCCCACAAAATTTAGTATGGGTGTCTTGTCTTAGAACATTTAGTGGCTGTGTAAGAAGACAACTATTTAACCTTAAGCTGTAGTTTTTTTTTTCTCTTTTTTTTTTTTTTTTTTTTGAGACAGAGTCTCACTCTGTCGCCCAGGCTGGACTGCAGTGGCGTGATCTCAGCTCACTGCAAACTCCACCTCCTGGGTTCAAGCGATTCTCCTGCCTCCGCCTCCCGAGTAGCTGGGATTACAGGCATGTGCCGCCACGCCCAGCCAATTTATTTTTAGTAGAGATGGGGTTTCACCATGTTGGCCACACACTCAAACTCCTGACCTCAAGTGATCCGCCCACCTTAGCCTCCCAAAGTGCTGGGATTACAGGCATCAGCCACTGTGCTCCTGGCCAAGCCTTAGTTTTTTTAGCCTTAAAGTGTAACAGTAACTAGTAACAGTGCATACAGTTCTCTCCCCACCCCACCTCTCTCCCTTAAATCAAACAAAAAAAATCACTTTCTTTGACTTCTATTTTCTCTGGGCCATTTTTTCACTAAAAACCCAAAGCTGCTTTCACTTATGTGAAGAATGGGAAACGAAGGAGGTGCTTTGAGATGTGGGTGGTTAGGTGAAGAAAGAAAATCATGTGAAGAAATTTATTCCTTCACAGCAGCCTTGTGATCCAGGCAGTTCAAATCTTAACTCAGAATTGTTGAAAACTGCTTCCTATCCCAAACTCTCAGGGTCACTTTTAGTTTGAAATCTTAAAAGATAAATACAAACATGTCTTTCCTTGGTGCTGAGCTTTTAGTCTTATAAGTAGAATTACTGTCCTGCAACTCCTATGATGTTTGTATGATAGGAACTTCAAAGTTCTTTCCCTGTATTCACTAATAAAACTCATGTTTTATAGTTAACTTAAATGTAACACTTAAGCCATAGTAGTTAAATTTTATTTATGTGATTGGTGACAATGCTAAATGAATGTTTTACTTTAGAGATCTAAGGAATGGTAAACCACCTACCCCGTATTTTTCCTTACAAATTCAAGAGCTTCAGTTTTGGAGGATAGTGTATATCCCTAGTGTCTTTTTGACTGTCTTAAGTAATAGTAATATCTACGTCATTGGCCTGAGGCATTAAGGATCATTGGAATATAGGGTATCAAGATGAATTTTGTTTTGTCGGTAGTGCCCTAAAATGAGCTCAGCTTTCTGAATCAGTGAACGCGTGTTGGGTACTATTGTTTTTTGTGGTTTACCCTGGCAGCTTGTCAAACCAACTCTCAGGCTCCTTTCTGCTTTGCTGTATGTAATAGGTTGTTTATATATAATAGGTTGTTTATATAGTTGCATGCAGTAGGTGATAGGATGTATTGACTCTAAATATCAGAAGTGTCTTGGCCAGGCGCGGTGGCCCACGCTTGCTATCCCAGCACTTTGAGAGGCCTAGGTGGGTAGATCACTTGAGTCCAGGAGTTCCAGACCAGCCTGGCCTACATGGCAAAACTCCATCTCTACTAAAAATACAAAAATTAGCCAGGCATGGTGGTGGATGCCTGTAATCCCAGCTACTTAGGAGGCTGAGGCAGGAGAGTCACTTGAACCCAGGAGACAGAGGTTGCAGTGTGCTGAGATCGCACCACAGAGAAAGAGACTCTGTCTCTAAAAAAAATAAAATAAAAAAATAAAAAAAAATAAAAGGCAGGGCACAGTGAGTGGCTCATGCCCATAATCCCAACACTTTGGGAAGCCAAGGTGGGTGGATCACCTGAGGTCAGGAGTTCAAGACCAGCCTGGCCAACATGGTGAATCCCCGTCTCAACTAAAATAACAACAAAAAATTAGCTGGGTGTGGTGGCGGGCACCTGTAATCCCAGCTAGTTTGGGAGGCTGAGGCAGGAGAATGGCTTGAACCCGGGGGTCGGAGGTTGCAGTAAGCCGAAACCATGCCATTGCACTTCAGCCTGCATGACAGGGTGAGACTCTGTCTCAAAAAAGAAAAAAGTGTCTTACCTTGATGTTGTAGCCTCTTTAAAATATTCAAAGGAAAAACCACCTTTCTAAGAGTATGAAACACATTTAAATTGAAAACATTTTTCTCAGCAGGTTTCTAACTGGCCCATGTAGATGTGAGCTTGACTTTTAGTGAGCTTGGCATAGCTGACTCTGCAGTTCTGTCTCTTTTGCTCAAAAAAAATGTGACCAGGTGTGGTGGCTTGCACTGGTAATACCAACACTTTGGGAGGCCAAGGCAGGACTCTTGAGCCCAGGAGTTTGTGATGAGCGTGGCAACATAGCAAGACCCCCATCTCTATAAAAATTAGTGGCGCAGTGGCTCACACCTGTAATTCTAGCACTTTTGGAAGGCTGAGGTGGGCACATCACTTGAAGTCAGGAGTTCGAGACCAGCCTGACCAACATGGTGAAACCCCATGCCTACTAAAAATGCAAAAATAATTAGCCAGGTGTGGTGGCTAGTGCCTGTAGTCCCAGCTACTCAGGAGGCTGAGGCAGGAGAATCACTTGAACCTGGGAGGCGGGGGTTGCAGTGACCCAAGATCGTGCCACTGCACTCCAGCCTGGGCAACAAAGTAAGACTCCGTCTCAAAAAAAAAAAAAAAATAAGTCAGGTGTGGTGTTGCATGCCTGTAGTCTGCTACTCAGGAGGCTGAGGTAGGAGGATCGCTTGAGCCCAGGAGGTTGAAGCTGCAGTGAGCTATGATTGTACCATTGCACTCCAGCCTGGACAACAGGAGGACCCTGACTCCAACAAAAAGGAAAGAAAAATGCAACTGATGTCTCATGGCCAGCATGAGAAGTTTTACCTATCACAATTTTAGTACGAATGGCCATTTGCCCACAAAAATTCGTTTTTATTAGGTTATTAATTGCCTTTAACTGTTTTCATCAGAAGAATATGGTTTATCCTTCTTTCACCAAGCATTCAGTTGCCTCTACTGTGATGGGCAGTAGTTATTGTCAACCTTTTAGGACTTCTAACTGCTCTCTTCTATGTTATTTTCAACAATCTATGAAATGTAGATGTATCACTGCAAAGGGCTATCCCACTTGGATTTGGGCCATCTTTCAAGTTAACTGACCTTTTCCATTTCATACATGAATGACACTAATAGGATGTGTTTTCATCTGCAGGCTCAGGGAAGAATTTATGGAAAAATTAAAGAAGAAAACTTTGTTAGTCCTAAAGAAGAGGTGAAACTTGAAGCTCATATCAGAGTGCCATCCTTTGCTGCTGGCAGAGTTATTGGAAAAGGAGGCAAAACGGCAAGTACTTCAGCAAAACCTGTGCAGTGGTATGAAAGGGAAAGCGTTGAAAGGTACTTAGGAGTTCCAAGTCCCCGAATTTTGGCTAATTTATAAAAAGCAGGACCATCTTGACCAAGGTTTGGAGAAGATTGCCTTTTGTTTCCTGTCTGAGTGTTGGTGCCAGCTATTAGTGAAAGTAATGCATCTCTTTCAGATCACTTTGTGTGAGAGGATTGTCCTATATTTATAAAGGGCATTTAACGTTCTCCTGATAAAACTTTAGCTTTTTATGGAACAGACACTTAACAGGAATTTTAAAAATTTCATCTACAGCTTGTTACATCTGTAATGGAAAAAAAGCAAACTGTTTCTAGTCTCTAATACATATAACTTGTAAGTGGGTTTCAAAGCTATTTATAATTTTGAAGTGATTGAGTACATACACTTTGGAATCAGACTCAGGATTTGAATCTGGTTTTGCCATTCACTTGTATAACTGGACAAATCAGTTTCTTTGGATGAGCCTTAATCATCTTGAAGTGGGGATAATTCTAATAACCTCATGGAATTACCACTGGATTAAATGAAATTTGTAAAGCCATACATAGCTCACTGTCTGGCGCACAGTAAGTGCTTAGGAAGTAAGGTTTTAAAACTGCCACTTAATGTGATTTATATTTATCTCTTTCAGGTGAATGAACTTCAGAATTTGTCAAGTGCAGAAGTTGTTGTCCCTCGTGACCAGACACCTGATGAGAATGACCAAGTGGTTGTCAAAATAACTGGTCACTTCTATGCTTGCCAGGCAAGTGGGCTCTAAAATAAGCTATTGTATCTTTCTCACGTGGAAGCAATTCTCCCACAGGTGCTCCTACCTGATAGAATTAGTTAAGGTTGTTTGATGCTTAAGACTTTTCATCTCCCTTTTAGCGGGTGATTTCAGAGACTACTAGCAAACTGACTAGTATGTATCTTTAATCATCAAATGGATTTCTATTTGAAATTGTTGAAATGAAGGAGTACAATAACTTTTAGTAGCTTTTGATCAAGTGGAATTTCAAAGCTCTGTCCTTTTCTAGGTTGCCCAGAGAAAAATTCAGGAAATTCTGACTCAGGTAAAGCAGCACCAACAACAGAAGGCTCTGCAAAGTGGACCACCTCAGTCAAGACGGAAGTAAAGGCTCAGGAAACAGCCCACCACAGAGGCAGATGCCAAACCAAAGACAGATTGCTTAACCAACAGATGGGCGCTGACCCCCTATCCAGAATCACATGCACAAGTTTTTACCTAGCCAGTTGTTTCTGAGGACCAGGCAACTTTTGAACTCCTGTCTCTGTGAGAATGTATACTTTATGCTCTCTGAAATGTATGACACCCAGCTTTAAAACAAACAAACAAACAAACAAAAAAAGGGTGGGGGAGGGAGGGAAAGAGAAGAGCTCTGCACTTCCCTTTGTTGTAGTCTCACAGTATAACAGATATTCTAATTCTTCTTAATATTCCCCCATAATGCCAGAAATTGGCTTAATGATGCTTTCACTAAATTCATCAAATAGATTGCTCCTAAATCCAATTGTTAAAATTGGATCAGAATAATTATCACAGGAACTTAAATGTTAAGCCATTAGCATAGAAAAACTGTTCTCAGTTTTATTTTTACCTAACACTAACATGAGTAACCTAAGGGAAGTGCTGAATGGTGTTGGCAGGGGTATTAAACGTGCATTTTTACTCAACTACCTCAGGTATTCAGTAATACAATGAAAAGCAAAATTGTTCCTTTTTTTTGAAAATTTTATATACTTTATAATGATAGAAGTCCAACCGTTTTTTAAAAAATAAATTTAAAATTTAACAGCAATCAGCTAACAGGCAAATTAAGATTTTTACTTCTGGCTGGTGACAGTAAAGCTGGAAAATTAATTTCAGGGTTTTTTGAGGCTTTTGACACAGTTATTAGTTAAATCAAATGTTCAAAAATACGGAGCAGTGCCTAGTATCTGGAGAGCAGCACTACCATTTATTCTTTCATTTATAGTTGGGAAAGTTTTTGACGGTACTAACAAAGTGGTCGCAGGAGATTTTGGAACGGCTGGTTTAAATGGCTTCAGGAGACTTCAGTTTTTTGTTTAGCTACATGATTGAATGCATAATAAATGCTTTGTGCTTCTGACTATCAATACCTAAAGAAAGTGCATCAGTGAAGAGATGCAAGACTTTCAACTGACTGGCAAAAAGCAAGCTTTAGCTTGTCTTATAGGATGCTTAGTTTGCCACTACACTTCAGACCAATGGGACAGTCATAGATGGTGTGACAGTGTTTAAACGCAACAAAAGGCTACATTTCCATGGGGCCAGCACTGTCATGAGCCTCACTAAGCTATTTTGAAGATTTTTAAGCACTGATAAATTAAAAAAAAAAAATTAGACTCCACCTTAAGTAGTAAAGTATAACAGGATTTCTGTATACTGTGCAATCAGTTCTTTGAAAAAAAAGTCAAAAGATAGAGAATACAAGAAAAGTTTTTGGGATATAATTTGAATGACTGTGAAAACATATGACCTTTGATAACGAACTCATTTGCTCACTCCTTGACAGCAAAGCCCAGTACGTACAATTGTGTTGGGTGTGGGTGGTCTCCAAGGCCACGCTGCTCTCTGAATTGATTTTTTGAGTTTTGTTTGTAAGATGATCACAGTCATGTTACACTGATCTAAAGGACATATATATAACCCTTTAAAAAAAAAATCACTGCCTCATTCTTATTTCAAGATGAATTTCTATACAGACTAGATGTTTTTCTGAAGATCAATTAGACATTTTGAAAATGATTTAAAGTGTTTTCCTTAATGTTCTCTGAAAACAAGTTTCTTTTGTAGTTTTAACCAAAAAAGTGCCCTTTTTGTCACTGGATTCTCCTAGCATTCATGATTTTTTTTTCATACAATGAATTAAAATTGCTAAAATCATGGACTGGCTTTCTGGTTGGATTTCAGGTAAGATGTGTTTAAGGCCAGAGCTTTTCTCAGTATTTGATTTTTTTCCCCAATATTTGATTTTTTAAAAATATACACATAGGTGCTGCATTTATATCTGCTGGTTTAAATTCTGTCATATTTCACTTCTAGCCTTTTAGTATGGCAAATCATATTTTACTTTTACTTAAGCATTTGTAATTTGGAGTATCTGGTACTAGCTAAGAAATAATTCTATAATTGAGTTTTGTACTCACCATATATGGATCATTCCTCATGTATAATGTGCCCCAAATGCAGCTTCATTTTCCAGATACCTTGACGCAGAATAAATTTTTTCATCATTTAGGTGCAGCTTGTTGTGTAGTATGTTTTATTTTTGGTTTTCAATTGAATGGGAATGTTCTGAATTTTTTTTCAAACTCTACGCAGATTTCTGTTATACCATGTCCAGCCATGGTACTTAATGTGAACCTTGATAATACTCTTGCATATGAACTAAGAACTAGAGCGTTCAGAGTTTTTCCTAACAAACACTTTGTTTACTTTCTTGTGTTACTGGAGTATTCTGGAAGGGTTACAGAAGTCCTCCTAGAAGAATATTATCACCTCAAAGTATAAAAATAAGACCAGTGGGCTATGTTTTATATTATTTTTTAAAATTTTTGCCATTCCATTAAACAAACAGGGTTAAGATTTACATTTAAGCTAAATTAAATTAATAAAAATCTGAGCAGAGAAGTCAAGCACAGGAGCCAGTGCTAACTCCAGGAAATTCTGATGACATTTCCAGGATAAAGGCAGCGTGTCATAAGTTTTGGGTAGAATGTACTGATTTTTGGTTGCAGGTATAGCTCACTTATCGACAGTCTCTGCATGCCAGTTAGCAGGAGTGCCCATGAGGTACACAAGCCTTGTCCTAAGAGCAGCCTAACCAAGGAGACGGACTTTAGGAGCTGTATTTTCCAATAAGTGACTCAATCCAAATCTGAAATGACTAACGCAGTGCATAAAATATTTTATTCACATTTTAACTCCACTGGAGTCACAGATGAAGTATCATCTTCTATTCCAAGAATGAAGTCTTCAGGTACTGTCTCAGGTGCTATCTGAGCTAACTGGTCATCATAAGAACGTAGGGTCCATAATTTCTCTAATTCATAGATTTCTCTGGTTTCTGGAAGCATCAAATGAATCACCATGCTGCCTGTCAGGGACAGATAAGAGATACAATGAAGGAATAGTTCATTTGCTTTTATTCTTACCTTACAACACACACTGGCTAACTCTAGGAATAAAGCAGTGGTTCTCAAGTGTGGTTCCCAGATTAGCATCACTGTGGACTCCATCCCAGCAAAAATACCACAGAAGTGATGCTATGCCTTTCTCAGTGTACCTACAGGAGGCATATGTCAATATATAACATTGCTGGTGATAGTAACTTTATCAAAGAGACTAATGGTGTCAGGATTCTCTTCGGTGACAATTCTCCATGGGTAACACACTTCTGCACATCTTTTGTGCAAAAACACTGACTGCCTTTTGTTTTGACTATCCAAGAATGTTTGTATCGTGAATATTCTTAACAGAAAGATACTGCCTCCCTCCAGGGCAAAGGGCAGCTTTGCTTACAGCAGCATTTCTCAATTAGGTAATAATGGTAATGTTTAGAGTCATTTTTGATTGTCACAATTGGAGAAGGGAGGATACTGCTAAACATCGTACCGTGCACAAGAGACACCCCTCCCCCACATGCAAAATTACCTGGTCCAAAACGTTAATAGCGACAAAAGTGAGAAACCATCAGAGCAAAAGTAGGCCTGCTTCCTGCCAGTTATAAAAAACCTAGACACCCTCATCTGAGTTCCAGTTTTACAACTGTGTGTGCTGGTGTCATCTGGCCCATGTTGCCCTATGGAATCCAGAGCTCAGGAAACCAGTGCAAAATGGATGCTGGCTACTGCTGTGAGTAATAAACTGTTCTTTGTCTCTAACCCTCTAATAGTCTTGTCTTTTACCAGTGTCCATGAAAACTGGCGGGACAATGTATTAGCTTACAAGCAGAATAAAATCTCAGACTCCTCAGTTCTTGACATACAGTTATGTTTCCCCTTTGTAAATATTATCTTGTTGGGAGGTGCTTTGAAACTATGTACACATTAATACCCAAAGTTGTTAGATCTTTTCAAAATTCTAGTCTTCTGCTCTTGTCCTTTTTTGTGCCTGGAATAACCTCATCCTCATCTCATTTATGCACCACAGCCCCCAAACCTTCCTCTACCACTACTAAGGAATCTCTCCCGCCTCTACTATGTTATCCTGTTGTCCACCACCTTCCTGATCTGTGTGGCTAGTAGATACACACCATGTAGTATATATCTTCCTCCAGGAGGGCATCATCTAGGGTACTTTGGTTTGGTTAGGTGAAAATTCTACATGTGAATAAGACCACCTGGATTATAACTAAAAAAACTTTTGTTACCTTAAACACACTTCAAAAATCTTACCTGGAAATACATTCATCAATTTGATCTCAATCCTTTTGCAACTGAAAACAATTCAAGATTAGCGTAGTACCAACAGTTACCTGTAAAATACGCCAGAATAACTTACCAAAATCCACGCACAGCCAGTCATCAGTGTCCTTCCCTTCTATCTTAACATGAGGGTCACGTTTACATTTCAGGTGTTTGTACTGCAAAAAGCCAGGTGGTTTATTAAAGGGAGAGGGGATGGGGGAAGCCTGTTCTTGCTGAAGGTCTTTTTTTTTTGTTTGTTTGTTTGTTTTTTTTAATCTTTCTTACTCATTTCTCATTGCTATACTTTGCCCTGTGATGAATAACTTAGGGAAACTATTTCTCCCTCTAAATCTTATTCACTTTCACCTCTCTCCTGAATTCTCCTGCCCCAGCCCTTCTGAGAGGGTCACCCCATTCATTCACCAAGGTGCCTCTGAGGCTGAAAAAGCTAAGCTCAGTCAGCATTTGGTACCCACCTACATCCATCACTTGTGTTCATCCCAGCTTTCCTTCACCTTTAGGGGCTGCAGATACTACCTTCTGTTTATAAAGCCAGGTTGTTTCAGTGCCACTGATTTCATCTCATCTGCCTTTATGACATGTTAATGGGACCCCGTCATCCTATAAATGTGCTCAGTTCTTTTGTTAAAACAGATATACTAATATCAAACAAGATGGCAATTAAGTAAAAACTGTTACAAGAGACAAAGGACATCTCATATACATCACCCCAAAATCAAAGGAAATGATAATTAGGGCAGGAAAAAGACAAAATCAATGAAACTAGGATTTGGTTCTTAGAATGACTAAGAAAAAAGACAACTAAAATCTGAAATGAAAGAAGTGACACTACTGATTTTAGAGAAATGGGATTGTAAGAGTATTATGAGCAACTGTACACCAAACAACTGGGTAACCTAGACGAAATAGCAAAATTTCTAGAAACACAATCTACTGACTGAATCATGCAGAAATATAAAGTTTCAATAGACCATAACTAGTATGGGGACTGGATCAGTAATCAAAAATCTCCCAACAAAAGTCCTAGACCAGATGGCTTCCCTGATGAGTTTTACCAAATATTTAAACAAGAATGCAATACTCAAATTCTCCCCAAAAAATTGAAGAACAGGGAACACTTCCTAACTCATTCCATAAGACCAATAACCCTGATGAACATTTGATGCAAAAATCCTCAACAAAAATACTAGCAAACCAAACTCAGCACCATATTAAAAGGATTATAGACCATGACCAAGTGGGATTTATCCCTGGAATGCAAGGTGGTTCAACATATAAAAACGGATCAATGCAATAACACCACATTAACAGAATGAAGAAAAAATCTATATGATAATCTGAACTGACGCAGAAAAAGCATTTAACAAAATTCAATACCCTTTCACAATAAAGCACTCAACAAAGTGGGCATAAAAGGAAATTACCTCAACATAATAAGGGCCATGTGAGAAAAGCACACAGCTAATATATTCAATGGTGAGACTGAAAGCTTTCCTGTAAGATCAGGAACAAGACTATGCCTGCTTTTGCTACTTCTATTCAACACAGTATTGGAAGTTCTAGTCAGAGCAATTCGTCAATAAAAAAAAAAAAGGTACCCAAATTGGAAAGGAGGAAGTAAAATTATCTCTGAAGACAATACAACTTCATATGTAGAAAACCCCAAAGATTCCACAAAAAAAACCCAGTTAGGGCTACTAAACAAATTCAGCACACAAAAATCCATCGTATTTCTATACACTAACAATGAGCAACCTGGAAACAAAGTTTTTAGAATTCCATTTACAATAGCAGAATAATACTTTTTTTTTTTTAATTGAGACGTTCTTGTTTTGAGTTTCGCTCTTGTTGCCCAGGCTGGACTATAATGGCGCAATCGCGGCTCACAGCAACCTCCACCTCCCAAGTTCAAGCGATTCTCCTGCCTCAGCCTCCCAAGTAGCCGGGATTACAGGCATGCGCCACCACGCCCGGCTAATTTTGTATTTTCAGTAGAGACGGGGTTTCTCCATGTTGGTGCGGCTGGTCTTGAACTCCCGATCTCAGGTGATCTGCCTGCCTCGGCCTCCCAAAGTGCTAGGATTACAGACATCAGCCACCGTGAGCAGCCTAGCAGAATAATCTTAACCACAGGAGCAAAAGACTTGTACAATGAAGACTACAAAACACTGCTGAAAGAACTTACAGATGCCAGTAAATGGAAAGATACTTCATATTCATGGATGGGAAGACAATATTGTAAAGATGCCAATACTACCCAATGCAGTCTACAGATTCAGTGCAATCTATATCAAGATCACAATATTTTTTGAAGAAACAGAAAAATCCAACCTAAACTTTATGTGGGGCCAGACACGGTGGCTCACACCTGTAATCCCAGCCCTTTGGGAGGCCAAGGCGGGTGCATCACCTGAGGTTAGGAGTTTAAGACCAGCCTAGCCAAAATGGTGAAACCTCATCTCTACTAAAAATACAAAAAATTAGCTGGGCATGGTGGCGGGCACCTGTAACCTCAGCTACTTGGGAGGCTGAGGCAGGAGAATTGCTTGAATCTGTGAGCCGAGATTGTGCCACTGTACTACAGCCTGGGCAACAAAAGCGAAACTCCATCTCAAAAAAAAAAAAAAAATTATATGGACTCTCAAGGAACCCCAAATAGCCAAAACAATCTTGTAAAAGAACAAAGTTGGAGTCTCATATTTCTTGATTTCAAAACTTAGAACAAAGCTATGGTAAACAAAACAGTCTGAAACTGGCAAAAAGACAGACGCACAGACTGATGAAACAGAATACAGAGCCCAGAAATAAACCCTTGTGCCTATGGTCAAATGATTTTCAACAATGGAGCCAAGACCATTCAATGCACAAAGGACAGTCCTTCCAACAAACGTTGCTGAGGAAATGTCCACATGGAAAACTAACCGCCTACAAAAACTAACTCAAAATGGGTTAAATATCTAAACAGGAGACTTAAAACTATAAAACTCTTAGAAGAAAATAGGGAAAACATGATACTGGTTTGGCAATTATTTATTAGATATAATACCAAAGACACAGGCAACAGAAGAAAAAATAAACTGAACTTCACCAAAATTAAATACTTTCGTGCATCAAAGGACACTCTAAAGAGTAAAAAGGCAACCCACAGAATGGCAGAAAACATCTGCAAATCACATATTTGATAAGGGATTAATATCCAGAATATATAGAGAGCTCCTACAACTCAACAACAAAACAACAAACAACCTGATTTTAAAATGGGCAAAGAGTCTGGGCAATATAGTGAGACCCTGTCTCTATAAAAAATAAATTAGCTGGGCACTGTGGAGTAACTCCTACCATTCTACTTTCTGTCTCTATGAATTTGACTACTCCTACTCCTCTAGTCCTAGCAACTTGGGAGGCTGAGGTGAGAGGATCACTCGAGCCCAGAAGTTCCAGGCTGCAGTGAGCTATGACCACACCACTGCACTGAAGCCTGGGCAACAAAGTGAGACACTGTCTCTTTAAAACAAACAAAAAAGCAAAGGACTTTTCTTCAAAGAATATATACAAATGGCCAATAAGCAAAAGAAAATATGCTCAACATCACTAATCCTTAGGGAAATACAAATAAAAACCACAATGAGATATCACGTCATGCCCATTAGGATGGCTATTACCAAAATGAGAAAATAAGTTGTTGATGAGGATGTGAAGACTGGAAACTCTGCACTGCTAGAGAAATGTAAAGTGGTGTAGCCACTATGAAAGAATACAGGAGCTCCTCAAAAAATTAAAAACATTCAGCTTTGTGCTAGGCTGGTGAACAGAAAAAAAATTAAAAACAGAATCACTATATGATCCAGCAATCCCATTTCTTTGCACATACCCCAAAGCATTAAAAGCAAGGACATAAACAATTTTTTTTTTTTTTGAGACTGAGTTTCGCTCTTGTTGCCCAGGCTGGAGAGCAGTGGCACAATCTCGGCTCACTGCAACCTCCACCTCCCAGGTTCAAGCGATTCTCGTGCCTCAGCCTCCCAAGTAGCTGGGATTACAGGAACCCTCCACCACACCCAGCTAATTATTGTATTTTTAATAGAGACAGGGTTTCACCATTTTGGCCAGGCTGGTCTTGAACTCCTAACCTCAGGTGAACTACCCGCCTTGGCCTCCCAAAGTGCTGGGATTACAAGTGTGAACCCAGCCTTTTTTTTTTTTTTTTTTCTTTTGAGACAGCGTCTTGCTCTGTCACCCAGGGTGGAGTGCAGTAGTACAATCTTGGCTCACTGCAGCCTCAAGCTCCTGGGCTCAAGCAATCCTCCACCTCAGCATTCCAAGTAGCTGGGACTACAGGCACACACCACCAAGCCCAGCCAATTTTTTATTTTATTTTTTGTCTTTTTTGTAGAGATGGAGTTTCACCATGTTGCCCAGGCTGGTTTCAAACTTCTGAGCTCAAGCAATCCGCCCACCTTGGCCTCTCAAAATGCTGGGATTACAGGCATGAGCCACTGCGCCCAGCCTCATGAACAGTATTTCTATACTCATATTTATACCAGCATTATTCACAATAGCCAAAAGGTGGAAGCAATCTAAGTGTCCATCAATGAATAAGGGGATAAACAAAATGTGGTATATACGTAAGATAGAGTATTATTCAGCCTTAAGAAAGAAGGAAATTCTGGCACATGCTACTACATGGATGAACCTTGAAGACATTATGCTAAGTCAGATAAGTCGGTCACAAATCTATGATTCTACTTTTATGAGATACTGAAAAGTAGTCAAATTCATAGAGACAGGCAGTAGAATGGTAGCTGCCTACGGAAGGAGAAATGGGGAGTTATTGTTTAATGAGTTCAGAGTTTCGTTTTTGCAAAATGAAAAAATTTCTGGAGACGGATGGTGGTAATGATTGTAAGTCAATGTGAAGGTACTTAAAGCTACTGAACAACACAGTTTAAAATTGTTAAATGGGCTGGGCACAGTGGCTCATGCCTGTAATCCCAGCACTTTGGGAGGCCGAGGTGGTCAGGAGTTTGAGACCAGCCTGACCAACATGGTGAAACCCCATCTCTACTAAAAATAGAAAAATCAGCCAAGCGTGGTGGTGGGTGCCTATAATCCCACCTACTCAGGAGGCTTAGGCCGGAGAATCACTTGAACTCGGGAGGCGGAGACTGCAGTGAGCTGAGATCGAGCCACTGCACTCCAGCCTGGGCGACAGAGCGAGACTCTTGTCTCCAAAAAAAAGATTAAACGGTAGGTTTTACGTTATATATATTTTACCACAAACAACAAAACTTTCTTGCCTTTGCATTTCTCTCATCTAAAATCTTTGTAAAGGCAATTTCTATTTCTTTATTCTTTCACAGAAACTTCTCTGTAAAACCTCCCATTCTTTTTACATCCGCAAGTCCAATGGTCACTAAGTCTTCTGACTCCATCCCACTATTACATCTGATAGAGACCCTGGTATGCTGTCTTTGTATATCTCTTCTTTATGCTTTCCTAGTTCTCTCCCTATCTCTCCAATTACCCTGTTTTTGGCATCTTCTTCTGCTCTGTCATGTACCAGGGTTTTGTGTATAGGCCCCACCTTTTTATTTTACAACCTTTCTCTATACAATTTTGGCTACTCTTTTGGTCTTAACTGCCTCCTCTATGACCAATTCTCAACAGACTAAGACTAAGAAAGGTATCATGGCCCCGTGGAATGGTACCAGAGTCAGCTAGAGGCTTCCAAGTACTTTCTTCCTCATTCTGATTCATATTCAGTGCAACTGGAAAACAATCCCCCTTTCTTTCCTCAACTAGACCTGTAAGGGCAAGGACTACATCTTTTTTGTTCTTACCTTCCCAATACCCCGTACAGTGCTTGGGAACACTGGACATGCTCAAATCTTTGAATGAAACTCCAGGCCAGCACTGTCCAATAGAACGTTTTACAATGATGAAAATGCTTTATGGCTGTCCCATATGGTAGCCATTAGCCACACGTGGCTATTGAGCATTTGAAATATAGCTAATATAACTGCAGAACTGAATTTATATCTTTTTTTTTTTTTTTGAGACAGAGTCTGGCTCTGTCACCAGGCTGGAGTGCAGTGGCACAATCTCAGCTCACTGCAACCTCCGCCTCCCAGGTTCAAGCCATTCTCCTGCCTCAGCCTCCCGAGTAGCTGGAATTACAGGCACACGCCACCATGCCCAGCTAATTTTTGTATTTTTAGTAAAGACGGCATTTCACCATGTTGGCCAGGATGGTCTTGATCTTTTGACCTTGTGATCCACCCACCTTGGCCTTCCAAAGTGCTGGGATTACAGGCTTGAGCCACCACGCCCGGCTGAATTTATATTTTAATTTATAATTAAATAGGCACATGTAGCTAGTGGCTACCGTAATGGATAGTGCCTCTAGAAATCCCTCTGGTTATACTGTCTTCTAGCTTGCCTCAGGTTATAAAATATTATTTTCCGGCCGGGTGAGGTGGCTCATGCCAGTAATCCTAGCACTTTAGGAGGCTGAGGCAGGCGGATCCCCTGAGGTCAGGAGTTTGAGACCAGCCTGACCAACATGGAGAAACCCGTCTCTACTAAAAATACAAAATTATCTGGGCCTGGTGGCGCATGCCTGTAATCCCAGCTACTCAGGAGGATGAGGCAGGAGAATCACTTAAACCCGGGAGGCGGAGGTTGCGGTGAGCAGAGATCGCGCCATTGCACTCCAGCCTGGGCAACAAGAGCAAAACTCCATCTCAATTAGAAAAAAAAAAAAAATCTTCCTTGCGGTCACAAGAGAAAAGATTTTGATATATCCTAACTCAATAGGGCTGGATATTTGCTCCCATATGTTTCACTATCAAAGAACATAAAATGAATTCATGCAAATTCTGAAAATTTGGGCTTCTTCTGTAACTTTGTATGATGGGTTTACCCTCTAAGTGTTGCTCCTTGGCCTGATGCACTGTCACTATTCCACTCAGTTAATGGTCCAAAAGAGAAAAGAAAGCATCCTACCATTTTCACAACGTAGAAGGCCATGGCATGTAAGTGTCGGGTAGAAGTTCCACTAACAATCACAAAGTAATCTGTATATCTCATTTCTGGAGGAACCTGGATCACACAAATGTCTCTTGCATTTTCTTGCCTCAGAAGTGAAACCATCATATCGATGTCAAACTTGGGACCAGTATGATCTGAAATGCACAAATAGTTGTTTGTATCAGGATGGCCAAGCAGATAGACGTGTATGCACCCAGAGATGCCGGCAGCTGACTGTTCCTCCATGAGGGTGTTTAGATCCAAAGTGTTTTTACAGATAGCAGGGTAAAGGCCTCCTGGAAGGTGAACCTGGGCAGTAGTATCATAGCACCGCTCAACTTTTATGGTCAGGGTGCTCAGATTACGCAGAGCCACTATACATCCTTCGCTATTAACCATATGCAAGTAGAACCAGACACCAGTGACAAATGACTTTCTACTAATACTTAAAAGGAGCAATACACCACAATCACAGAAATGCTGTGCAAAGAAAAACAGCACCACAAAATGGGTAGGAGGTGATATCCTGGAGCATATTAAATTGAATCTCAGTCATAACGGGTCACAGAATTGTGAGCTGGAAGGGCTCTTAGGCAGTATCTGGTCCACAACCTTCAGTTGAGAGATGAAGAAACTGAGGCCTAGGAGAATTACTGTGGCCTAAGATCAGTCACTGAAAGAGCTACATTTTTGAGTAATTATTATTTTGAACCTTCCAGTTTTCATATAAAACCACCGGGTTATTAACAACTGTTACCTATGAAAATCTAATTTTTTTTCCCGTAAAGATTTAGATATTCTGATCTTCAGCTTGGAGTATTACAGGCTGTAAATTTAAAAGCTCGCCCAAGTTCTAAAGCCGACTCCAAAGGACCTAGTAGCTAAGCCCACTAAGGCCTCTCCCTCTCATACTCTACATTCTTAGATGTGATCTGTTTACCATTCTTAAGTTTCTAAAAACGTCAGCAATAACTAGAGGATATTAACTTGGACCCATCTCCTACTGGCGCTTCCTACGCACCCCTTCGCACCCAGACCCTGGCTCCTCAGAATCCTCAAGCCCCAACAGTCCCCACAAACCCATTTCCCAGGATCCTAGGAAGAGGGTAAAAGGAAGTGAGGACGGTGAGACTGTGATGCCAAGGGTGGGAGATGGCCGTCCGGGAGGCTGGGATTCTGCAGTTCATCTCTTGCCCTCAATTTCTTCACTGTGAAACGGGAAGGTTGGCGCCAACAACCTTTGAAGTCCCTTCCAGCTCTGGATGTGCAGGAGTTTTGTGACTCCAAGAGAAATGCACATAGAGGGGAACCCAGAGCCACCTTGGCTGGGACCTGACTCCAGACTGCCCGGAGAGGGTCGCCTTCGTTCTTCTCCACGCCCGTACCTGCCGCGTCCGATTCTGGGCGTCCCTCGTTGACCGTCCCCTCCGCCCGCTCCTCCAGCCCAGGCTCGCTGTGCAGGCCGCGGACAAAGTTTGGGGTCTGGCAAGCCCGGCAGAACGCTGCTCCTACGGGAAGCCGCTGCACGGCCAGCAGCCGAAGCCCGGGCTCGGCTCCAACCGCGGACCCCGCCACCGAGGAAACCGCCCTGCGCCACATTAGTGGGGCGAGCAGCCGCGCCACACGGCCGCCCGGCCCCATAGCAGCAGCCTTGCGTCGGCGTCGCGGGTGGGTGGTACTTCATGGAGCCCGGCCGGGAAATTCTACGTCGATGCGTGGGCGGAGTCAAGGCCTGAAGGACGGACCATGGGCGGAGTCTGGAGCCCGTGAAGACTGCAGTGACCCGGAAGAGCTACTTGGGGATTAGGGCGTGCGGGAATAAAGAACTAGTGTTGCTTGCCCACCTTGCTTTGCTTTGTGTCGCAGTAGCGCATTACGTTGTCACTTTTTTTTTGGACTCTGTCCACTAATGTGAGGCTCATGAAGGCAATAATTTTTGTTTCATTTTTAACTCTTCTCTCCACAGCACCTAAAACAGTTCCTGGTACTGAATGTCCAGAAGTTGCTGTTAATCTGATTAGGCTGGGATTAGGACATATAATCTACCCTCTCTCATTACCAGAAAATATTCAAGATTCCCTTGCAAATTTGAAATTGCGCGAGGAAAATCTGTTATCCTGGGCTAGAGTGGGGTGGGAGGCAGAGGTGTAAAGGACCATTTGGAAACCGTTCTTAGGTCAGCCCATCATCTACACTCCCTGTATGGAGGAGTTTACGCCCAGGGGCGGTACTGTGGGGACCAGCTCTGTAAGAATAAGGAATTCTGAGGTGCCAGCTGCGGTATTAAGTCACAGGACTTGAGAACTGCGATAGATTCCTGGCACGGGTGGGGGGGTGGGGGGTTTTGGGGGCGTGGGACGCCGCAGGGAAGCAACTTGCCCAGGTCATACACTTACTGACTGCGTCAGAATCAGAAGCCAGTTTCTGGCTTCTGAACTCCAGGCCTGCTAACTGCTGAAAGGAAGGCTTCATAGAGAGCAAATATTTCAAATGCCTGAAACAGTGCCAGACACATAGCAGGCACTCCAAAAATGTTTGCTACATTATTTTAAATAATTCCAAGCACTAATTTTGGGAAGTTTTTTAAAAATAGAGAAATTAAGCATTTGTGTATATCACACCAGATATGTACAACCACTTCAAGTTATTTTTGAAAAGAAGAAAAACATTACAGATTAAGTTTCCTCTGTCCAATTTTAGCCCCATCCTCAATTCCATTTTTCCACAGGCATGAACTTGGCTTTTCTCCCAGCTTCTGGCATCCATTCCGTGTTCCCACCCTTCTCTGAACATCCCAGACCTGCTTTACCACCTGTATTTGCCAGCTCATTTAATGGGTCATTATCCCTTCAAAACTCCCAAACCCTAGACTTCATTCAGTCCAGGATCTTCATACAACAAACGAATCTGTTGTCAAAATCCTGCTTATGTGACCTCCAAAATGTTTCTGTGAGTTCAGCTTCTTGTCTTCATTTCCACTGTTTCTTCCTTAGTCCACACCCTCATTAGTTCTTGCCTAATTACAGAGACTGCCTCCTACCTGGCTTTCCTGTCTCCAGTCTGTTTCTACTCTTTTCATCCTCCATGCTGCCCTTCTATCAACTACAATCATTTTCGCTTTATCTGCTTTTTGCTGTTTTTCAAACTCACCATACCCTTTTTTATTTTTATTTTTTAAAGAGATGGGGTCTTACTCTTGTCACCCAGACTGGAGTACAGTCACACAATCATAGCTAACTACATCCTCAAACTCCTGGGCTCAAGCGGTGCTCCTGCCTTAGCCTCCCAATTAGCTAGGACTACAGGCATGTGGAACCATGGCCAGCTAATTTTTGTTTTTAATTTTTTTAAAGACAGGATCTCACTATGTTGCCCAGGCTGGTTTCAAACTCCTGGCCTTAAGCAATCTACCCCACTGTAGCTGTGAGTATAGGCATAAGCCACCATGCCTGGCAACCTCACCATATCCTTTCAATGCCAAGCTTTGCATATACTTTTTTTTTGAGATGGAGTCTCGCTCTGTCACCCAGACTGGAGTGCAGTGGCACCATCTCGGTTCACCACAACCTTTGCCTCCAGGGTTCAAGCAATTCTCCTGCCTCGGCCTCCCAAATAGCTGGGATTACAGGCACGTGCCACCACCCCCAGCTAATTTTTGTATTTTTAGTAGAGACGGGGTTTCACCATGTTGGCCAGGCTGGTCTCAAACTCCTGACCTCAAGTGATCCACCCGCCTCAGCCTCCCAAAGTGTTGGGATTACGGGTGTGAGCCACCGTGCTTGGCCACTACTCTTTTTAGAGCACCCTTTTCCCATTTTTTCATATGACAAACTCAGACTCACTCTGTAAGACATACCTTAAGCATTAAGATATCTCCCCCTACTCTCTCAGATGGCCCCTCAGAAACCCCTCATCCCTTTGTTCATAAATGTCTTTAACATTTATGTTTGACTGCATGATACCCCACTAGAAAAGACTTAGATTTAATTCCACCTCTTCTGTTTATTAGCAGTGTACTATTGAAGTTCTTAATCTGAGCCTCAGTTTCCTCATCTGTAAAATGAGGGAATGATACCTTCTTCACAGAGTCTCGAAAAATTGGATAAAATATGCAGCACAAATTATATACCATAGTGCTTGGCATGTAGTAATCATATGGAAATTAGTATCTGTCTACAAATTGACCTCATGGAGAGGAAATGGCTTGAACCCAGTCATTATGATAAAGCCCATCAGAAAAAGACAACCAGGAACACGTGTGGTCAAAGTTTTTTTTTTTCCTGAGACGGAGTCTCGCTCTGTCACGCAGGCTGGAGTGCAGTGGTGCAATCTCAGCTCACTGCAACCTCCGCCTCCCGGGTTCAAGCAATTCTTCTGTCTCAGCCTCCTGAGTAGCTAAGATTATAGGCGTGCACCACCACGCCTGGCTAATTTTTTTGTATGTTTAATAGAGACGGGGTTTCGCCACGTTGGCCAGGCTAGGCTCGAACTCCTGACCTTGTGATCCTCCCATCTTGGCCTCCCAAAGTGCTGGGATTACAGGTGTGAGCCACCGCACCTGGCCCAAAGTTAGTTTTATTAACTCGCTGTAGCAAGGGAGACTGCATGCTATGGAGGACAGAGGAGCAGCTCAGGAAGAGGGACTAGAAGGGGCTTTGTTTAGGGCTCGTGCTTATGCTCAGTGAGTCTAAGGAGAGATCAGAGGAAGTGGTGTCAGCTGTGGACTGGGTGCTGTCCTGAAGCAAGGGAAGTTTAGGAATTTTTCTCAGTAATCTTTGTTCAGGAGACAGGAGAATGTTCACAGGGGCTGGAGATGTTATTGGTCAGTCACTCACAAGAGTCGTGTGGTCTGGGGAGAATCATGTCCTATTAAAAACATTATTTTAGGCTTCACTAGGAACATCACATTCTGATTAGCAGCAGGGCTGAGAAACAGACTCAGGGTCCTTGTTCCTTAGAACTATAAAAGTTAAGATAAATGTGGAGTGCTGGCCCTTGGGGAGGATTGATGCTGAAGCTGTGTCTTTGTGTGGAATGATGTGAAATGACCCCCATGCGGAGTCTTCAGGCAAGACCGGGATGTTCCATTCTCACTGAAATGATTCCAAACAACAGTTTCTCATCATCTGTGATTTCAGAGACAAGGTTTGCCAGCACTATGCATGTCCTTAATGTTAATTACCAAAATCCATTTTTACAGGTCATATTTCCTGAGGAAAATTAGAGAGGTTCTCAGAAATGCAAAATGCCCCTCTTTCCCCCAAAACTGCCATCTACTCATGGGCTTGGACATTGTTTTCAGACATTGGTTGCTTAGTAAAGGCAGAATCAGAAGTGGGGGTGGTTTGATAATCACTACCTTTGGGGTACTGAGCCAGAGGATTGAAGCCAAAAGCAACTTCCTGAGTCAGGAATT
Organism: Homo sapiens; assembly: GCF_000001405.40. Classification (NCBI taxonomy): domain Eukaryota; kingdom Metazoa; phylum Chordata; class Mammalia; order Primates; family Hominidae; genus Homo; species Homo sapiens. The sequence continues at coordinate 23,295,577 of NC_000007.14, read as the reverse complement.
ATAAATTAACTACAGTCCATTAGTACAAGGACTTCCCTATTACAGACCCTAATTACATCCCTGGTGTGGTAATTTGGGAGCCTCCTGTTTGCTGTGTTAGCAGCAGAGCCAAAAGGTTCCCAAATTTGTGTCCTGGGGCTTCATGGGAAGGTGAGAAGCTGCAGTCACAAACACTTTCTCTGCAGCTAGCCTCAGGGGCTGGGGAGAAGGTAGGGGCCTACTTTGGGAGATGACACCACACAGACCTCAGGATCTTGCTTCAGAGAAATACAGAGCAGGCTGGGCCAAAGGCCCAAGGGCTAAACTAGGGAGAGATTGCGCAAGCTTCCTGATGTGCCCATACTGGACCATAGGGACCTTAACATCACACATTACGGGACTGGCACATAGTGTATAAATGACTACGTTTATATAATTTTGATACTGGGAAGCTTATCACTCTGACCTCTGCTTACTCAATGCATGAATTTATTATGCATCTGTGTTTCTTAAGCTGTGGACCATGAACCCCCTTTTGACAGCAGAGGACCCTCAAATCCACATGTGCATCAAACATTGTCTTTGGGCCAAATAAATGTGTCCCTCACAGCAAATAGGTGTAGATGGTATTGCAATTCAATAAAAATTTAAAAGTGTGGCTTTGTTTCAAGTAGCTCTTTGTCATGCATGTACTGAATGATTTTTTTTTTTTTTTGAGACAGGATCTCTTTGTCACCCAGGCTGGAGGGCAGTGACATGATCATAGCTCACTTAACTTTGAACTCCTGGGCTCAAGCAATTCTCTTGCCTCAGCCTCCTGAGCAGCTGGGACTACAGGCATATGCCACCATGCCTGGCTAATTTTTAACTTTTTGTAGAGACACAGCCTTGCTACGTTGCCCAGGTTGGTCTCAAACTCCTGTCCTCAAGGAATCCTCCTGCCTTGGCCTCCCAAAGCACTGGGATTACAGGCACCATGCCGAGCTCAATAACAGACATTTAAAGAGCCATACATTTTACGACAAAAGTTCATTATAACTAAAATGTTGGAATCACTGCTCACCCTGCAGCCTCAGCTTACCCTTCCCATCATCATAGGACAGCTCATTCCACCACCAGGCAGCTGTAGCTGTTGGTGAATATTCCCACCTCATGTAAACTTAATCCTTTTTCCTGGATTTCCACTGCCTTTGTACTGGTTCTGCCCTCCAGAGACCTTGCAGAAGGAAGGGCCAGGATTAAAATGACCTCTCTTATAATGTTATAAATACTATGGATTTGTATATTTATATTTTTAAAATTATTTTGTCCCCCACTTTGTAAATATCCTCATTGGAAGGAAGACAAAATCCTTTTCAAGAGAAGACAAACAGGGACTTTGTATTTTATAAACCTAGGAGTAAGGTACTAGCTCTCTGCACCCCAAACTCCCCTGGGGCTGTGGGGTTCGTATTGTCTGTCCCACTCAGATGTTCTGTGTGGGTTTGCCAGGCATGTCTTCCGGGCTTGTAAGGGCAGGGAGAGCAGCCTGGGGTGGGCACCGAGGCCTGCGATGAGATGAGCTGTTGGCTTCTCAGGGCACCGAGCCTGTGGTTTGCAAGCGTCCCAGAGCACTGCTTGCAGCCTCTCCCATAGGAGGTTCCCATGTGAGGAGGCCGCTCCTCCACCATTTGCCTAGTCTATTTGTGGAACCAAAGTGCAGGCTGTGACTCCCATCCCTTGCAGCATTGTTTCCTCAGCTTTCACAGCCGTTGTTTGTTCTGAAGCTGTGCCTCTGAACACTCACATTGGCCCCTTGGATTACTGGGCCCTGTCACAGAGCCAGACTGTTTTTCCCACAGCCTCAGAAATTGGTATTGGGGTCCCCTCTTGTCACCCCGATGTTGGTAGGTGGGCTTTGCAGGTTGTGGGTCACTCTGCGTAGACTTGTGATTCACCCTCCCAAGGAGCCTCACCAAGGTTCAAGTGAACATTCTGTGCCAGGCGCTGGACTAAGGCCAGAGAGAGGAAAGATGAATAAAACATTGTCTCAGCTGGGCGTGGTGGCTCACGCCTATAATCCCAGCACCTTCAGAGGCCGAGGTGGGTGGATCACTTGAGGTCAGGAGTTCGAGACCAGCCTGGCCAATACTAAAAATACAAAAAATTAGCCAGGCATGGTGGCAGGTGCCTGTGATCCCAGCTACTCAAGAGGTTGAGGCAGGAGAAACACTTGAACCCAGGAGGCGGAGGTTGCAGTGAGGTGAGATCACACCATTGCATTCCAGCCTGGGCAACAAGAGCAAAACTCCGTCTCAAAATAAACAAATAAATAAATAAATAAAAAACAAAACATAGTATCTGTACCCAGGGAGCTCCCAGAGAGTAGGAGAGATGATGATTAAATGTCATCAATACCGTGTAATTGTGTTTGAAAGAGGAGAGCCCACCTGCTGTGGTACACAGCAGCAATTCTCCCCCAGAGCTGGAAAAGTCTCTGCAGGGAGGTGCTATTTGAACAGACCTGGGTCTTGAGGCAGAGGTAAGGAGAGTGGACTACAGGGCCCCAAATTAGCCAACTTCAGGGGGCCCCTTTCACAATGGACTTGGGGGGAATGGAAACCCCTAAAGGGATGCAACTTGGAGGTGCTGTGAGGTGATGTTACAGGCCAGGAGAATACCACAGTGACGGTATCAACCCCTGGAGAAGCCCATGGGTTTTTACTGCCATATCTACCACAGCCTGTGAAGTGTTTTGTCCCCAGAGCTGAACTGTGATATTAAGTATTGATTCACAGGTGCGACACGGCCTCACTCCCCACTATGTCATAAGACCAGACCTTGGGTTGTTTTCTTTCTGCCAAAACCTGATTTCTAAAGGGCCTCCGATTTCTTTTGATCAGCTCTGCTGACAATCCAGTAAAACTTCTGCTTTTCATTTTCTTATCCCAGTTTTATGAGGTTCCTCCATTTTGGAATTATTGTGAGATTTGAGGCATTGTGATTAACGGGTGAGGGGAACCTCTGGCTGCTGAACTCTAGAGGGCTGGGCAAAAGAAACAAAGCCTGCCTCCTCTGCCAGTGCGTTTTGGGGAGCTTGTGGTTTGGGGGCAAGTCCCTTGAAGGAACACTTCCACCACAGTAGGGAGCCCCAAGTTCTAGGAAGGCAGGTCAGAGTGATTAATTCCACCTAGGGGGGTGAGGGAACACCTCACAGAGCAGGTCAAGCTGGAACTTTGGCCTTGGACTTTACTACTCCAAACTTTTTGGTCACACTTCAGGAAAGCATCTGACAATAGACATTCATTCCCAAACAGTTGTGGCCAATCAATTCTCCTATCTGCCTGGTGGTTTCACAAATCCAAACTGCAAAGAAATTCTGAGAAGTGTAGCTAATGAGTTCAGGAACACTACAGGCTGATCCATATTCAGCCTTATTAAAATATCAAGAGGCTGCCTTAGCTTCCTGGGAAAAGGTCCAAGCCTGAGTCCTAGTGAGGTGTGAGTGGCTTCCAAGGACACGCCTTTCTTTCCCTTTCTTTCCTTTTTCTTTCTTTCCTGTTCCTTTTTTTCTTTCCTTTTCCTTTTTTTCTTTCCTTTTCCTTTCTTTCCTTTCAAGAAAGAGTCCTGCTCTGTCGCCCAGGCTGGAATGCCATGGCATGATCTCGGCTCACTGCAACCTCCGCCTCCCAGGTTCAAGTGATTCTCCTGCCTCCGCCTCCCGAGAGGGTGGGATTGCAGGCACCTGCCACCATGCCTGGCTAATTTTTGTATTTTTAGTAGAAACGGGGTTTCACCATCTTGGCCAGGCTGGTCTCAAAATCCTGACCGCATGATCCACCCACCTCGGCCTCCCAAAGTGCTGGAATTACAGGTGTGAGCCACTGCGCCCAGCCAGGACACTCCATTTCTGTCAGGCTATGTTATTATTTGGCGCTTACAGCTGCTACTACTTTTAGGAACAAGGTAACAATATCAGAAGTACAGCTCCCTTATTTTATACCTTGGAAAAAAAATCTTAAAAGAGGTTGAAGACCTCTTTTAAGGGCCACATTGGAAGAAGAATTGTCTTGGGCCACACATACAACACACTAATACCAATGATAGCTGATGAGCTGGAAAAAAAAAAAAAGAAACCTCAGTATTTTTTTGTTTGTTTTGAGACAGAATCTTGCTCTGTTGCCCAGGCTGGAGTGCAGTGGCGTGATCTCGCCCCTACCAACTATTTGGGACTACAGGTACGCACCACCACACCTGGCTAATTTTTGTATTTTTAGGAGACACGGGGTTTCGCCATGTTGGCCAGGCTGGTCTCAAACTCCTGACCTCAGGTGATCTGCCTACCTCGGCCTCCCCAAGTACATGAGCCACCATGCCTGGCCTAAAAAATCTCGTAATGTTTTAAGAATGTTTACGTATTTGTGTTGAGCGTCATTCAAAGCCATCCTGGGCCGCATATGACCTGTGGGCCACAAGTTGGATAAGCTTGCTCTACAACACTGATCTAGTCAAGGATTTTTTTTTCTTCTTCTTTTTTGGCTATGACCTTGAATGCTCAAACAACAAAAGCAAAAATAGGCAAATGGGGTTGCGTAAAACTAAAAAGCTTTTGTACAGCAAAATAATTAACAAAGTGAAAAGATACTCCACAGAGTAGGAAAAATATTTGCAAACCACACATCTGGTAAACGTTTTGTATATTAACCCTTTAAGGAACTCATGCAACTCAATAGCAAGAAAACCTGATTTTTAAAATGGGCAAAGGACATAAAAATGGCCAACAGGTTCATGCAAAACCGTTCAGCATCACTAACCATTAGGGAAACGCAAATTGGAACTACAGTAACAATCGGGAGGAAAAATGACAGAACACTATGTCAATTAAGAAAAAGAAACACAACCACACAATGGGACGGCCCCTCATCCTGTTAGAATGGCTAATATCAAAAAGATGAAAGTGGGCGAGGATGTGGAGGAAAGCTATTTGTTCTCTATTTAGAGTTTGGAAATAATATGTTACGATCTAATTAAGACCCTAACAGTCTCTGGGGGGATGTTATAGCAACAACCGCTGTTACAACATTTTTGCAATGTGCCCCACCAAGAGACTGCTGTGAATGAGACCTCCAAGTTTGGAGCGAATCAGAGTGGCCTGCACTGATTCTAAGAAGTTCAATTCAAGGTCATCCTGTTTTTTAAAATCCTCAATTGAGAAGAATTCTAAGCCAGTGTTTTCTTTCAAGAACAACTCCCTCAAGTTTTCTCTGTCTAGAATTTGTGTTCCCAGAAGTGTTCAGGCTCTAGGCTGTACAGGTAATGACGGTGGGAAAACATTCCAGAAAATACGTTTTCAGCTGACTAAAAAGCCAGTGCAGGCCGGGCGCCGTGGCTCAGGCCTGTAATCCCAGCACTTTGGGAGGCCGAGGCGGGCGGATCAGGAGGTCAGGAGATCAAGACCATCCTGGCTAACACGGTGAAACCCCGTCTCTACCAAAAATACAAAAAATTAGCCAGGCGTGGTGGCGGGCGCCTGTAGTCCCAGCTACTCGGGAGGCTGAGGCAGGAAATTGGCATGGAGCTTGCAGTGAGCCGAGATCGCGCCACTGCAGTCTGGCCTGGGCAAAAAAGCGAGACTCCGTCTCAAAAAAAAAAAAAAAAAAGCCAATGCAGAGGGTTTTGCCTTGCTAGAACACAAATGTGACTTGAACTCTGCATTGTTTTGCCTTCGTTTTCACACTGGTTCTGCTCTTCTCTGTTAGGTTACCACATCAAAGGCAGATCCTCCAGTAGCAACAGGGTTTAAGTGTGAGGCTTTTTTTTTGAGACAGGGTCTCCCTCTGTCGCCCAGGCTGGAGTGCAGTGGCACGATCTTGGCTCACTGCAACCTCCGCCTCCCGGGTTTACACCATTCTCCTGCCTCAGCCTCATTAGTAGCTGGGATCACAGGCGCGTGCCACGAGGCTGAGCTAATTTTGTATTTTTTTTTTTTTTTTTTTTAGTAGAGAGGGGGTTTCACCATGTTGGTCAAGCTGGTCTCGAACTCCTGGCCTCGTGATCTGCCCGCCTCGGCCTCCCAAAGTGCCAGGATTACAGGCATGAGCCTCCACGCCCAGCCCAGTGTGGGGCTCTTGAGCCATGCTTGTCCGAGGTTCCCTACCTACTTGATTACAAGATCTGCTTCTGCAGAAGCTGCAACGGGTTTGGGTGTCAGGAGTTTTAACTGGAACAGCTATTCTACTTGCACCAGTAAATCAGGTAAGAAAATCTTAGTTAAAGATCTAAAGTTTGGCCAGGCACAGTGGCTAACGCCTGTAATCCCAGCACTTCGGGAGGCCAAGGCAGGTGGATCACCTGAGGTCAGGAGTTCGAGACCAGCCTGGCCAACATGGTGAAACCCTGTCTCTACTAAAAATACAAAAATTAGCCGGGCATGGTGGCAGACACCTGTAGTCCCAACTACTCAAGAGGCTGAGGCAGGAGAATCACTTGAACCTGGGTGAGTCAAGATCGCAACATGGCACTCCAGCCTGGGCAACAGAGACTCCATCTCCAAAAAAATAAATAAATAAAAAATAAAGTTTGTATTTATGGCCTGTAAATAGCAGTCAATCAGCAAGTTGCCTTGGAGCCACCATTTAATGATGGAATTGAATTAGATGGCTTCGAAGGGTTTTCTGTACCAGAAAGGGACTGACCAGGTAGGTACTCCAGGAATACCCAGGCTTTGGCTTCACTGGGCTTACCATGTAGAAGAAGACACAAACGTTTGAAGTAGAAAAATAAGGGATTTAAATAACAGTGTATCCCACAGTAGAATGATGCCTTGTGGCCATTTAAAAGCATAACTCCTAATTCTTTGACACTTTTGCCCATTGAGGGGTGGGGTCTATGTCTCCTCTCCTTACACCTGAATGGACTCAGGAGTGTTCCCACCAATAAAACATGGCTTAAGTGACACTACATGGCATCCAAGGCTAGATTTGGAAAGGCTGTGCAGCAGCAGCCTCAACCTCCCAGGCTCATGCCATCCTCCCACTTCAGCCTCCCTGGGAGCTGGCACCACAGGTCTGCACCACCACGCCTGACTAGTTTAAGTTTTTTGTAGAGATGGGGTTTCATCATGTTGCCCAGGCTGGTCTCGAACTCCTGGGCTCAAGTGATCCACCCACCTTGGCCTCCCAAAGTGTTGGGATTACAGGCGTGAGCCACCATGCCCAGCCCCACTTAGATCTCTCTAGTCATCCCTCTGGGGACACTCTCAGAACACATCAAGTGAGAAGTACGAGAGGCCACATGCATGCTGTGGTCAATAGTCCCAGCTGGGCCCAGCCTTTGATTCATCCCAGTTCAGGTCCCAGACACATGAGTGAAGAAGCTTCTGGATAATTCTAGCCCCCAGCTTTGAGTTTTCTCAGCTGAGGCCTCAGACATTGTAGAGGAGAAATGGGCCATCCCTGTTGTGCCCTGTCCAAATCCTCCACCCACAGAACCTGTGAGCATAATAAAGCAGTTGTTTATACCACTAAGTTGGGGGTGTTTGTTATGCAGCCATAGTCACTGGGATCCACCTAAATTAAGAAAAAAAAAACCTGTTCCAATTGTGTGCAAAAAGATTAGAGATTCCAGCACAAAGCAGGTACTCAATAGGCATTTTGTTGAAAACAGGAGAAAGCACTTTGTGCCGGGCGGGAAAGGAGGAGCATGGAGAGAACAGAGAGAGCCCCGAGACTGGAGGCAGGAAGGGGACATGTGTGGTGCAAGACAGAGTGAATCAACCAAATGGCCAGATGACAGGGTTCAGACAGGAAGTGGTGGGGCTTGAGGGTGGAGAGGGAGGGTGGCACAGATGAAGAGGGACTATAGGCCCTTTTCAGCCTTGCCACACACAGCAAGGTGCATCATATACAGGGCATGATCCCCAGCACAGGGCCCCGGGCCTTTGTTGCAACACCTGTCTCCTCTTGCTCTAGGCGCATTACAAGGTAAGGAAGGATTTAGGGCAAAACTTAAATCCTCATATGAACGAAGGCACTTGGTATTTACAGAGGTCGCACTTCCCAACCGCCACTACAGCCAGCCATGGAGGCCACACCGAAGAGTTTGGATTTTCCCTGTAGGTGATGGGGGACCACTGAAGGCTTCTTAATAGTGGCTCGACAATTCCAAAGCTACCCTTTTTTTCTTCTTTTTTTGAGACAGCTCTATCAGCCAGACTGGAGTGCAGTGGCGTGATCTCGGTTCACTGCAACCTCTGCCTGCCGGGTTCAAGCGATTCTCCTGCCTCAGCCTCTGGAGTAGTTGGGATTACAGGTGTGCGCCACCATGCCCAGCTAATTTTTGTATTTTTAGTAGAGATGGGGTTTCACCATGTTGGCCAGGATGGCCTTGAACATTTGACCTCGTGATCTGCCCGCCTCGGTCTTCCAAAGTGCTGGGATTACAGGCGTGAGCCACCGTGCCCAGCCTCCAAAGTTACCTTTTAAAAGATGGCCTTGGCAGGGCGCGGCAGCTTCATGCCTGTAATCCCAACACTTTGGGAGTCCGAGGCGGGCATATCACCTTATGTCAGGGGTTCAAAAGCAGCCTGGCTAACATGGTGAAACCCCGTCTCTACTAAAAAAAAATACAAAAAGTAGCCGGGCGTGGTAGCGTGCGCCTGTAATTCCAGCTACCCGGGGAGCTGAGACAGGAGAATCACTTGAACCCGGGAGGCGGAGGTTGCGGTGAGCTGAGATCGCGCCATTGCACCCCAGGCTGGGCAACAGAGAGAGACTCTGTCTCAAAAATAAAAATAAGAAAAATAAAAAAGATGGCCTTGAGGCCGGGCACGGTGGCTCATGCCTATAATCCTAGCACTTCAGGAAGCTAAGGTGGGCAGATTGCCTGAGCTCAAGAGTTCGAGAGTAGCCTGGACAACATGGCAAAACCCCATCTCTACTAAAAATAAATAAATTTTAAAAATAAAAATTAGCCAGGTGTGGTGGCGCGTGCCTGTAGTCCCAGCTACTTCAGAGGCTGAGGCAGAAGAATCACTTGAACCCAGGAGGCAGAGGTTGCAGTGAACCAAGATCACGCCACTGCACTCCAGTCTGGGCGATAGAGTGAGACTCTCTCTCCAAAAACAACAACAAAAAGATAGCCTTGAAAGCAATGAGCAGGAGACGGGGGAGGGGGGGTGTTGGAGAGTGGAGTGGAGAGGGGAAGGAGGAAGCGAGGAGAGGGTAGTGGAAAGGGGAAGGAGGGAGGAGAGAGTGGAAGGAGGGGGGAGAGGGGGAAGGAGGGAGGAGAGGGGGAAGGAGGGGGAAGAGAGGGGGGAGGAAGGGGAAGAGAGGGGGAAGGAAGGGGGAGAGAGGGGGAAGGAGGGGGGAGAGGGGGGAAGGAAGGGAGAGAGGGGGAAGGAAGGGAGAGAGAGAGGGGAAGGAGAGGGGTGGAGAGAGAGGGAGTTGGGAAAACCATTTAGAGGACGTTACTTTTACTGGATGGAAGGTCTTGACTGTGAATGGTCCAAGTTCTTGGTGTCTTGGACAGAGTTGAACAAAACACAAGAAGCAACAAAAGATAAACAAAACAACGAAGTCAGGAAATCACAGACTTATTAGAACAAAAGTACAACTCACAGAACGGAAGCAGGTTAGAGCAAGCGGCCGAAGACTTCCCGTTATGATGGTCTTCAAGGGTTTTTATTAAGCTAAAAGTATTTGGTAACACCCCTACGTGCCCATTAGAGGGCTCCAATTGGTTACACTCTATGAAGGATTGGCCCGTGACCAATCAGAGGCTAAAGTAGAGATTCGTCCGCGCTTAATCAGAGGCCAAAGTGGAAACTTCTGTCTCATCACAGGAGTGAGGATGTGGCCGGTCTGCTGCCTGTCTGCTGCCTAATCTTGCCTAGAACTGGCTGCACCTGCTGGTCTTTTGCTTCTACCTTAACCCTTGGTTACCCTAATTCCCTGTTCTGCCTCATTACTGTATAATCCAGATCTGGATTGATAGCCTTATGGAAGAATGTTGTCGAGAAAAGAGATTTTGTTTGTTAAGAAAAACACAACATACAAGGACTTATTACCTAAAGGTATCATAAGAGTCCATCATTTAAGACAGGGGTGTCCAATCTTTTGACTTTTCTGGGCCACATTCGAAAAAGAATTGTCTTGGGCCACACATAAAATACACTAACAGTAATGATGGCTGATAAGTTTTAAAAAAAAAATCGCAAAAAAAGTCCAATGTTTTAAGAAAGTTTACAAATTTGTGTTGGGGTGCATTCAAAGCTGTCCTGGGTCATGTGTGGCCCGTGGGCCACAGATTGGACAAGTTTGATTTAAGAGCATTTTTAACCCAGTCCTCAGGGGATGAAATGGTATTGGTGAACATATTTGCATTTTTCTCCTCAATAACCTTATGAGTTGCTTAGGGAAGACTCAGGCTGGGAGTGGAATCAAAATGTCACTGGCTTTTGAGCCAAGTGTCCCCTCAGGACATGTTTGATATCTATGGGGCCCAGGACCAATGGGTTAGCAGCTATTTTCATACAGCATTAAAATGAAGGAAGGCAGCAGCTGGGAGCTTTGAAACACAGCTCACCTGCTGAAGCAGCCTTCTGTTACCAAAGCAAAGCTTGCTGCTGTAGCCCTCCAAGGACCCCATGAGTGCGAAATGTTCTCGGCTACCTCTTGTTAGGAGCTTTCAGGGTTGCAGAAGTCCAGTCTTCTCATTTTAGAGATGAGGCCAAGTAAATTTTCTGAGTCAGCCACCAACAGTCACCAACCAGAAATAACATCATTAACTTGGAAGGTAGATTTTACAGGAAAAGGCCAAGAAGCTCTAGACAGTCTTGAATGGAACTGTTTTTTTTCTTTCTTTTGTTTTTTTTTTTTTGAGAAAGAGTCTCGCTTTGTCATGGGATCTCGGCTCACTGCAACCTCTGCCTCCTGGATTCAAGCGATTCTCCTGCCTCAGCCTCCCGAGTAGCTGGGACTACAGGCGTGTGCCACCACACCAGGCTAATTTTTGTATTTTTAGTGGAGATGGGGTTTCACTATGTTGGCTAGGTTGGTCTCAAACTCCTGACCTCAGGTGATCCACCCACCTAGGCTGCCCAAAGTGCAGGGATTATGGGCATGAGCCACTGTGCTCGGCCTTGAATGGAATTCTTTACATTTTATTCATATTAGGTTGTTCAGACTCACAAGGAATGAAAAGATAGTCATTAACTTGTTCTTTTAAAAAAGTATTAAAAATTCAGCCCAGCGAATTTTTATTTTATGTTAATTATTTTATCCTTTAGAAATAAAATGTTACAGAGGCCAGGCGTGGTGTCTCATGCCTGTAATCCCAGCAGTTTGGGAGGCCAAGGTGGGTGGATCACTTGAGGTCAGGAGTTCAAGACCAGCCTGATCAACGTGGTGAAACTCCATCTCTACTAAAAATACAAAAATTAGCTGGGTGTCGTGACGGGCACCTGTAATCCCAGCTGCTCTGGAGGCTGAGGCATGAGAATCACTTGAACCCGGGAGGCAGAGATTGCAGTGAGTCAAGATCATACCACTGCACTCCAGCCTGGAGTTTGAAAACTTTATATAAATGGTATCATGTTGTATGCATTCTTTTGCAACTTGCTTTTTTCTGTCTACATTATGTTGGTGTCTTCTCTCTTGGTGCTTATAGCTATCATCTCATTCGTTTTTACTAGAATATGGCTTCATAGTCCATTGCATATCACCTGGGTGCCTGTAATCCCAGCACTTTGGGAGCTGAGGCAGGCAGATTATTTGAGGTCAGGAGTTCGAGACCAGCCTGGCCAACATGGTAAAACCCCATCTCTACTAAAAATACAAAAATTAGCCAGGCGTGGTGGTGCATGCCTGTAATTTCAGCTACTTGGGAGGCTGAGGCAGGAGAATCACTTGAACCCGGCAGGTGGAGTTTGCAGTGAGCTGAGATGGCACCACTGCACTCTAGTCTGGGTGACAGAGCGAGACTCTGTCTCAAAACAAAACAAAACAAAACAAAACACATTCCATTGCATATCACAACCGATTTACCCATTCTGCTGTTGATGGACATTTGGGTTATTCCTCCTACTGCTCTGAGTATTCTTATGTGTGTCCCCTGGAACACATGTTGCAAGGGTTTCTCTGGGGCGTTACCTACCTAGGAGTGAGATTGCTGGATCCTAGGCATGTGCATCTTCAGTTTCACCAGATGATGCCAGATTGTTTTCCAGAGCCATTGTTTCAATTTAAAATCCCAACAGCAAAGTTGCACTTTCTTTCAACACTTGATTTTGTCAGATATTTTTTCATCTTTGGCAATCTGGTGGGTGTGAAATGATGTCTCATTGTATGGTAGTTTCCATTTCCCTAACAGTTCTTTTTTTTTTTTTTTTTTGAGACAGAGTCCTGCTCTATTACCCAGGCTGGAGTGCAGTGGCATGATCTCAGCTCACCGCAAACTCCGCCTCCCGGGTTCAAGTGATTCTCCTGTCTCAGCCTCCTGAGTAGCTGGGATTACAGGTGTCCACAACCACACCCAGCTAATTTTTGCATTTTTAGTAGAGACGGGATTTCACCATGTTGGTCAGGCTTGTTTCAAACTCCTGACCTCAGGTGATCCACCTGCCTTGGCCTCCCAGAGTGCTGGGATTACAGGCATGAGCCTGGCCCCCTGCAACCTCTGCCTGCCGAGTTCAATCAATTCTCTGCCTCGGCCTCCGAATAGCTGGGATTACAGGTGCCCACCACCACACCTGGCTCATTTTTGTATTTTTAGTAGAGATGGGGTTTCACCATCGTGGCCAGGCTGGTCTGGAAATCCTGACCTTGTGATCCACCTGCCTCGGCCTCCCAAAGAACAGTTCTTAACAGTTTTTTTTTTCTTTTTTTTGAGACAGAGTCTCACTCTGTTGTCCAGGTTGGAGTGCAGTGGTGTGATCACAGCTCAACGCAGCCTCTCCATCCTTGGCTTAATCAATCCTCCCACCTCAACCTCCTGAGTAGCTGGGACTACAGGCACGTGTCACCATGCCTGGCTAATTTTTGTATTTTTTGTACAGATGTGGTCTCACCATGTTGCCCAGGTTTGTCTCAAATTCCTGGGCTCAAACAATCTGCCTGTCTCAGCCTCCCAAAATGCTGGGATTATAGGCATGAGCCACCACAACTGGCCCTTTTTGACTCTTTTGTAATAATACAATTATTACGATATTGTAAGTATTGTAAAATAATATTACAATATTATAAAATTCTATTCTTATTCTATAAGCTTTTTTCTATTTAAATATTTTTATTTTTTTTCTTTTTAAACTTTTTAAAATCAACATCAAGTGGCTGGGCGCAGTGCTCACGCTTATAATCCCAGCACTTTGGGAGGCCGTGGTGGGCAGATCACTTTAGGCCAGGAGTTCGAGACCAGCCTGGCCAACATGGCAAAACCTCATCCCTACTAAAAATACAAAGATTAGCTGAGTGTGGTGCCCGTGCCTGTAGTCCCAGCTACTTGGGAGGCTGAGGCAGGAGAATCACTTGAACTTGGGAAGTGGAGCTTGCAGTGAGCCAAGATCATGCCACTGCACTCCAGCCTGGGCAACAGAGACTCCATTTCAAAAACAAAAACAAAACACAATGCCAAGAGACCTTAATAAACTTTTTATTAAAAACTAAGACACAAACACACATATTAGCCTAGGCCTACACAGGGTCAGGATCATCAGTATCACTGTCTTCCACCTCCACATCTTGTCCCAGTGGGTGGTCTTCAGGGGCAATAACACCCATGGGACTGTCATCTGTTTTAATAACAATGCCTTCTTCTGAAATACCTCCTGAAGGACCTGCCTGAGGCTGGTGTACAGTTAACTTTTTTTTTTTTAAATAAGTAGAAGGACTTTACTTATAAAATAGATGATACACTCTACACTCTAAAATAAATGATACAAAGTATAATATTGTAAATACTAGGCAATAGGAATTTTTCAGCTCCATTATAATCTTATGGGACCACTGTTGCATATATGTAATGTCTTTATGCAGTGCATGACTGTATTTCAGTACATGGATATACCACAATTTATTTATCTATTCTCCAGTTGGTGGAAACTTAAGATTGTTTCTAGTTTGTGGCTATTAGAAATAACACTATTGTGAACATCTGAGTACAAGTCATTGTATGAACATATATCTTATTTCTCTTGGGTAAATACCTAGGAGTTATGGTATGTGTATATTTAACCTTATAAAAAACTGCTGAACTGTTCCAAAGTGGTTGTTCCATGTTGCATTTCCACCAGCAGTGAATGAGAATTCTGTGGTTCTTTTCTACAAACAAGAAGTTTGTAATGTCTTTTTCATATACTTTTATTTTATTTATTTATTATTATTATTATTTTTTGAGACGGAGTCTCACTCTGTCGCCCAGGCTGGAGTGCAGTGGCGTGATCTCAGCTCACTGCCAGCTCTGCCTCCCGGGTTCACGCCATTCTCCTGCCTCAGCCTCCCAAGTAGCTGGGACTACAGGCGTGCACCACCACACCTGGCTAATTTTTGGTATTTTAGTAGAGACAGGGTTTCACCATGTTGGCCAGGCTGGTCTTGAACTCCTGAGCTCAGGCAATCCGCCCGCCTTGGCCTGCCAAAGTGCTGGGATTACAGGTGTCAGCCACAGCGCCTGGCCCTTTGTATACTTTTAAATGATGACATAATCAGATATATCAATCTTTTTCTTTATGGTTGGTGCTTTTGGGGATGTGTGAAATTCTCCCCAAATCACTTGCTTCCTCGTGTTATGATTCTCCTATTTGTATAAGCTCTTGAGAGGATTCTTAGAATTTTTTTTCTTCAGAAAGGTCTTTTATGACATCCCAGGATGGCAATTCATTAGCAATATACACTTAGCTTACTATGGCACATAATACAACATTTGTCATCACTTCAGAATAATGAATGTGACATGAAATTGAGGGTAAGAGATCAAAGTGCTCTATTATGAAAATTGGCCTGGTGCAGTGGCTCACACCTGTAATCCCAGCAGTTTGGGAGGGCCAAAGTGGGTGGATCACTTGAGTCCAGGAGTTCAAGACCAGCCTGGGCAATGTGGTGAAACCCCTAAAAAAAAATTTTTTTTTAAAGAAATGTAAAAAGAAAGAAAATTATGTCTCACATAATTGAAGTTCTCTGAATAAATCTTGTTTGCCCAGTTCAGTTCTAAGTGGAGTCCAGCATGCTTTAGAACACAGATGAGCAAACTCATTCTGTAAAGAGCCAGATAGTAAATATTTTTAGGGCTCCCAGGCCATGCAGTCTCTGTCACACTACTCAGCTCTGCTGTTGCAATGCAGAAGCAGAGCTGAGACAATATGTAATGAATGAATGTGGCTGTGTTCCAACAAAACTTCATTTATGGACACCAAAATTTGAATTTTATGTCATTTTTATGTGTCACAAAATGGTATCATTCTTTTGATTTTTTCCCCAAACCATTAAAAAATATGAAAACTATATTTAGCTTGTATGCCATACAAAAATAGGCAGAGGGCTGGCTTTGGCCGGTAAACTGCAGTTTGCCAACCCCTGATTTAGAATATAATCCTCCTGACATCTCTATAAGGAAACTGGGTAATATTATCCTCCCCATATTGCACAGTAGAACATGAGAACCTGGAGAGACTTTAGAGTTCACCCAGTTTAATTTCCCTCGCCACCTTCTTGCCTCCAATTTGCAGATAAGGAGGCTGCAGTAGAGAAAAGGGAGAATGACTGGTTTCAGGTCATCTAGCTAAGACATCTTGCTGCAGCTCAGGTCTCTCAATGTAAGTCCTAGTTATCTTCCTCTACTCAATTCCAAAAATCAAATTTTGAAGCCATATCCACAGCCACAAAATCCTTCTGCCACATTCTCATCAGTGGCTAATCTTTTTTTGCTCTAAAGGAATTTATTTCAATAAACATTTTAGCTGGGCGTGGTGGCTCATGCCTGTAATCCCAACACTTTGGGAGGCCGAGGCGGGTGGATCACTTGAAGTCAGGAGTTCGAGACCAGCCTGGCCAACATGGTGGAACCCCGCCTCTGCTAAAAATACAAAAATTAGCTGGGTGTGGTGGCAGGTACCTGTAATCCCAGCTAGTCAGGAGGCTGAGGCAGGAGAATCACTTGAACCCAGGAGGCGGAGGTTGCAGTGAGCCGAGATTGTGCCATTGCACTCCAGCCTGGGTGACAAGACCAAAACTCTGTCTCAAAAAATAAAATAAAAAATAAACACTTTAAAATTAAGGACTCAATAAGCCCAAATCTTGATACTTAATTTGCATCATTAAAACCTATACAATAGGTCAGGCATGGTGGCTCCTCCCTGTAATCCCAGCACTTTGGGAGGCTGAGGCATGTGGATCACTTAAGCTCAGGAGTCTGAGACCAGCCTGGCCAACATGGCAAAATCCCATCTCTACTAAAAATACAAAAATTAGTCTGGTGTGGTGGTGCATACCTGTGGTCCTAGCTACTCTGGGGTGCTGAGGTGGGAGAATCGCTTGAGCCCAGGAGGCGGAAGTCGTAGTGAGCTGAGATCGCACCGCTGTACTCCAGCCTGAGTGACAGAGTGAGACCCTGTCTCAAAACCAAAATAAAACAAAACAACAAACCCATGCAGTGAAATTAATAATGGCAGTTACATTGTAAACTGGAGAAACATTTTGATTAGTGAGATGACATGACATTTGTGAGAAAATTATACATAGAATGAAAATTGGTTAAATACTAATATACCATTAAGGTACCCAAATCCCAAAATGCCTATGGGAGAGCGCCAAAGAAAAAATTTATTCCAGAATTTCAAGGACAATAGGAATGGCTGTTCAGTTCTAAGCAGCAGAGGAACTGTCCCTGCAGATTAAGCTGAGGCCAGTGGGGTTGACCAAGATGGGGGACTCCGGGTCAGAGCTTAGCGCTCTTCCTGCAGTGACACTTGTGCGGTGACATGTTACATTAGTCTGGAATCCAAGCTCTATGAGAACAGAGTCCTTGTCTCTCTTGTCACTATTGAGTCCTCTCCTAGACAAGAGCTTGGGACATACTGGTGCCCAGTAAATGACAGTTGAATAATTGAAATCAGTCTGCAAGGGGTGATTCCTGGGAGCTGAACTCTGCTTTTTTTTTTTTTTTTTTGGGACAGGGCCTCACTCTGTTACCCAGGCTGGAGTGCAATGGTGCACTCTCAGCTCATTGCAACCTCCTTCTCCTGGGCTCAAGCGATTCTCAAGCCTCCCGAGTAGCTGGGGTGACAGCCACCTGCCACCACATCCAGCTAATTTTTGTAATTTTAGTAGAGACGGGGTTTCACCATGCTGGCCAGGCTGGTCTCGAACTCCTGACCTCAGGTGATCTGCCCGCCTTGGCCTCCCAAAGTGCTGGGATTACAGGTGTGAGCCACTGCGCCCGGCCTGAACTCTGATTTTTTAAGGTAACTATTCTGGCAGCTTTGGAACCATTCTTTTAAAAACCTTAAAGGATTTTCCCCCACCAAAAGCCCCATCAGAATGTGGTCACCATCACCCCTGGATGACCACCTTCTCATCTGCCCTTACACTGTCACTCTGGTTTGAAGTTGCTACACATTCTGGATGTAATGAGTGCATTGAACGTATTGCCCTCTAAACTATTAAACAATTGAAAATTCAATGAGGGCAACCAATGTTTATAAATGAGTCAGAAGTGTTTAAAATGCAGACATTTAGAAAAAGTCCCAAGAATAAGAAATTCCCAGAATAATTTATTACCTATACATTTCAATTTTCTTTGGAAGTTCTAACGCTCAACAAACATTAATCAAATTATCTCACTATCTTTTAGGTTGCTTCCCCCGTTTCACAAATTGTGATTCAGCACAAGTTAAATGACTTGTTGCTGGGGTCATAGGGATAATATAAATTTAAATAATTCACTATTTCAGCCCTCTCTCCTGCCACTTGTTAGATTGAAACTGAGGGAGGTTTGATGAGGATTTTGACCTGCTTCCTCAAAGAATGACTGTCTATTTGCTGCTCTCTGCTACCCCCTGTTGATAAGGGAAGGAAAGAGCGGATTTCAAGACCAAATTTCTCAACGTTAGTTCCTTCCACCCAGCAGTAGCAGGATTATCTGGAAACTTGTTAGAAAGCCTTAAGGGGCCTCACCCCAGAACAGTGAATTCGAAGCTCTGGGGGTGGGCCCAGCAATATGTGTTTTAACCAAACTTCAGGTGATTCTGCTGCAATTTGAAATTACTTTTTTGCTTTAGGTACTAATGTCTTGGCCTCCTAGTCATTATAAAGATGATACAGCCTCTCCACACTGCTTCCGTCCTCAGGCCTCACATGGAGTACATACCACCATGCCATAAACAGGGTGCTTCCATGCCCACTCATTCGGGCAGATGCATGTGCCGCAGCCCTGTGAAGTAGCCAAGGAGGGCAGACATACCCATTTTACAGATGAGGAGACTGAGAAAGGAAAGGCTCAGGAAGGGTCAAACAACTTGCCCAGAGTTACTCAGACTTCAGTGGCAGGGCTGGATTCAAATAGTCTTCTGTCTTCATGTCCATGCCCAGAGCTTCAGTAGTCACTACAAAGCAGGGTGGTTCTACATTCAGGGTCAGATAATTGTTTTTTGTTTGTTTGTTTGTTTTTTGAGATGGAGTCTCCTTCTGTCTCCCAGGCTGGAATGCAGTGGTGCGATCTCAGCTCACTGCAACCTCTGCCTCCTGGGTTCAAGTGATTCTCATGCCTTAGCCTCTTGGGTAGCTGGGATTACCAGCGTGCGCCACCACACCTGGCTAATTTTTGTATTTTTAGTAGAGACGGGGTTTTTGCTGTGTTGACCAGGCTGGTCTCAAACTTCTAAGCTCAGGTGATTCACCTTCCTCGGTCTCCCAAAGTGCTGGGATTACAGGCAGGATCCACTGCGCCCTCCATGGGCCAGATAATTCTTTGTTGTGGTGGTTGTCTTGTAGATTGTAGGATGTTGGGCAACATTACTGGCCTCTAACCACGGGATGCCAGTTGTATCCCACCCTAGTTGTGACAACCACAAATGTCTCCAAACATTGCCAAATGTCCTCTAGGGGGCAAAATCACCCCTGGTTGAGAACCATGGCCCTACAGTCATCACGTAAATGGGGAGAAATCTCAATTCTTGTTCTGCAAATTTTACACTCTTTGGAAGCGATTTTAGAACAAATAGCTGTATTTTTTTTGGCCTCTAGGTCATCCAGGAAATGAAGAACCTAGACTAAATGTTAATCCCCACAATACCTTTACCATTCCTTAAGAAAATTAACAATTCTATAATATCATCTGGTATCCAGTGTGTACTCAAGTTTCCCCAGTTGTCCCACGAATATCTTTCATCACTGTTTTTTCCTCAAGCTAGGATCCAATGTAGATTCTCAAATTGCGTTTGGTTGCTGTGTCCATTTTGTCTCCATTAGTGTAAAACAGGCAAACTATGTCCCATGGGCCAAATCTGGCCTACCACCTGTTTTTGTAAATACATTTTTGCTGGAACACAGCCAGGCTCTTTTATTTATGTAATGTCTATGGTTGTTTTCACGCTACAATGAGAGAGTTGAGCAGTTGCGATCGAGACTGTGTGGCCCATAAAGCCTAAGAGATTTAGTACCCAGCCCTTTATGGAAAAAGTTTACTAAACTGTGACCTAGAATTCCACCCCCTGCCTTTATTTTTAATATGATACTGATTACTCAAAGAGTCCAGGACAATCGCTTATAGAAAATCTCTTCTTTTAGATTGATCTGATTATATACATTTACACATTAAACTTTTATTTGAAGTTTCACATATGATGTGATTGTGTGTATATACAGATATTTGAAAGATATATATATATATATCTTTTTTTTTTTTTGAGACAGAATCTGGCTCTGTTTCCTAGGCTGGAGTGCAGTGGCACCATCTCGGCTCACTGCAGCCTTGACCTCCAGGGCTGAAGTGATCCTCCCACCCCAGCCTCCTGAGTAGCTGGGACTACAGGCATGTACCATCAGGCCTGGCTAATTTTTGTATTTTTTGTAGAGACGGGGTTTCATCATGTTGCCCAGGCTGGTCTCAAACTGCTGAGCTTAAGCAGTCTGCCTGCCTCAGCCTCCCAAAGTGCTGGGATTATAGGTGTGAGCCACTGTGCTCAGCCATATATATATATATATATATATATATATATATATATATATATATATATATATGTAGTTAGGTAAAAAATATTTATGAGATTATCAATGCTCTATGAGACATTGTTAAACAACTTTTTACTTGTCAAAAACTATAAATGAAATTGAGGCTGGGTACAGTGGCTTACTCCTGTAATCCCAGCGCTTTGGGATGCTGAGGCAGGAGGATCCTTTGAGGCCAGGAGTCTGAGACCAGCTTGGACAATATAGGGAGACCCTCATCTAAAAAAAAGAAACAACTGTAAGTGAAATTGAAAAGCAAATGATGAATCAGAAAAATAATTACAATACCAAGGTCTTGTCTCTTCCCACACTTTATTTTTCAGGAAGGAGAGAAAAAGAATGTCATGTCTAACATATAGTAGATGGTTTTAGTTACAAACAGAGGTGAAATCCTTACTGATCAAGTTGCCATGAAAAACCAGGGACCTCATCTTTGGAAAGTCTTAATATATGATTTCAAATATGTGCAGCGACTGTACAAAAATTTGGAAATATACACAAGAGTGTCACTCAGCATCATGCCTGGTATATAAAAAGCACTAACTAAATGTCCATGGAATAAATGAATATATGAATATCATTCCTTCACTCAGCCAAGCAAAGTAGGTTGTCACCAAAATACTCCCACCCATTTATGAGAGTAGTATTTTTTCTGAGTCTAGCAAGTGTGCACATCATACCACAGGCTTGGGCCTGTTATTGTTCCATCAGGAGTTCATGAGTGTGTATTGAAGTGGGATTCAGTTAGCTTGGAACATGATCTTAGAAACTGGACTACATTGGCTTTATGCATACAGTTACATGGAAAGCTGAAAGTATCCCGCCTCTTCTTGCAGTTAACCTGGGTTAGGCTCTAATCAATAGTAGCTTCTCTCCTTACTCTCGGGACACAGTGTTTCTATCCTACTAGTTACCTAAGACTTTATAAGTGAAACATAAAAAATAATGAAAAGAAGCCTTGCTAAGTTGCTTTTATCAGTTTCACAACATGGCTGAAGCTGCCTGCAGTATAATCCCTCTCCCCATCTCTAAAATGACATTTAACCTATAAAAAATTCAACTTCCCCAAACCACAATATCTATTTAACAATAATCTTTAGGAAAAAAAGGTTAATAGCCACTCCAGCACATCTCACATCAATGGCACTGAAAAGTGAGCTTCAGAAACAAGGTCGAAATTTAAGAAACTCCTTTAAATTCTTGGTTTTTGAGTAGCGGATCCTTTTCCTGGTTTCCCGGGAAGAACACGGCTTTTGCACGGTTGAGAAAGACACTCAGGCCTTTGCTTCTGACCACATTCCCAGGACTATTTTCTATTGGGTTGTATTCCTTGTGTTTTCTGAAAACAATCTGTTGGTTAGTTATTTTTAAAAGATCTTCAGTTGAAATATACAACTTTCTACAATCTTTTTCATGCCAGGTATAAAAGGATTCATTCCATTTAACATGATTGACAGTTTGCAAGACACTGGTGTCTTATGAAAGTACATTTATTTACTCTTGTTCATGCAAGAAATGTGCCTGCTTACTATAATTTGAGACTATCATGTTAAAATTAAGTTGACATAATTTTGTAAAGTTACTGAGATCTGGTAGCATCTTTTAGGATTAAAAACAAACCACAACAAGATTAACAGGCCAGTTTGGTATTCACCATTCAATGTAATATTTTCCTCCCCTACACAAAATGTTTAAAAGCAAAAAAGGGAAAAATGCCTATTTACACAGAGATATATTCACTTTTGACAATACACTATAGTGATATAAAGCGTAGGAACCAAAAACTTACTTGTACACCAAGAGGGAGATCACAGTGACAAATATGGCCAAGCAGCCAACGGAGATCAGGGCACTGTTTGCCATCCTTAAAGGCGAGGCTGGGTCTTAAAACAGAAGCAAGAGCATGTTAGTTATGTCTTCCACCTAGAGGACATGCCGCTTATAATGCCATTAAATAAATGAGGAAGGGAGCCGTCACAGAAGATATATGGCTCCCTCTGGGCTTTCAGTAATCTTTTCTATTAAATAATACATAGTCTTTGGGTCAGCTTATCTTCTATTTAGAGAATGAGTCAGCATGTCTGGAACACTGTGGTAAGGGCGCGGGGGAGAGATGTCACGTCCTGGAGACACCTGCTCAGGTCTTGGGTGACCCAGCAGCGCCACCGTGTGGAAGGGCTCCTGTGATCAGGCGGCCGTGCCTCCAGCTTCCTCTCTCTCTACTTACCTTCTAGCTGTGCTAAAAATCCTGAAAGTTGGCCATACTCCCCGTGCTCTTTCAGACCTCCGTGCCCCCTTACAGGAGTGCCCTTCCCCGGCTCATGCCTGTAATACCAGCACTTTGGGAGGCAGAGGCAACATAGTGAGACCCCAGCTCTACAAAAAATTAAAAAATTAGCCTGGCATGGTGGCGCATGCCTGTGGTGCCAGCTACTCAGGAGGCAGAAGTCAAGGATTGCTTGAGCCCGGGAGGTCGAGGCTGCAGTGAGCCATGATTACCCTACTGCACTGCAGCCTGGGTGACAGAGCAAGACCTTGCCTCAAAAAAAAAAAAAAAGATCACCACCTTTAAAGTTTTCCATGTAACATCTGTCACTGCTCACAGAAGCAGGGACTTCTTTGTCTTGGTTTCTACTCGATCTAGAACTGTATCTTCTGCCTAGAACTGTGCTGAGCATGGAGTAGATGCTCAGGGATATTTGTTGAAAGAATTGCAGGTGCTTCATGAATATCCATTGAATCGATACATAAAAGTCACTTCAACTAAAGTCTATAGGTTTGCTTTGAAGAATGATCTATTTCTGAAATTCTGCCTTTGAAACCCAAGCTATTAAGCTGCAATCCCCACTGAATTAAAACCTTTCCTTCTGAGCATTCATTTTCTCTTTCTCACTCTCTCTCTCTTTCTCTCTCTCTTTTTCTCTCTCTTTCTCTCTCTCTCTCTTTCAGACAGGGTTTTGCTGTGCTGCCCAGGCTGGACTTCTGGGCTCAAGGGATCCTCCCGCCCCAGCCTCCTGAGTAGCTGGGACTACAGGTATGTTCCACTGTGCCTGGCATTCTGAGCTTTCTTTATTTGGCTTTTGAAAATGACTCAGGTCCCACCTAAAGTTATCACTCACTACAAGAAGAATTAAAGGAAAGCAAATGTCTAAAACATCTAATTCACATAAGAGATCAGTGGTTTGCCAGTGCAGAGGAAGCTTAATAGAATGAATTAAGACTCTAAAGGTAATTCTAAACAAACTTTGAGCTGTGGCAGCACTGAAGGAATAACATTAGCAGCTTCTGATGGTGACTGCATCCGAGTCCATGGCCACTTGGATGCAGAGGTTTTGGCTCCCTTCTCCAGTTCCCACCCTCCCCGGCTCTCCACCCAGGCCCTGATCCACCTTCCTGGGCAGGAAGCAGGGCACCCTTGCATCGTTGGTTTTGCTTTTAAATCTGCACCTTGGATATCACCAACAATAAGCCCTCACGCAAATAATTAGATGTATGATTATTTTCTTTTAATGGGATTAAATCTCTTCTTTTAATGGGATTAAAACTGCCATTTATATTATTAATGAGAAAATTTTTTTTTTAGTTTTTTTTGTTGTGTTTGTTTGTTTGAGATGGAGTCTCACTCTGTTGGCCAGGCTGGAGTGCAGTGTCTTCATCTCAGCTCACTGCAACCTCTGCCTCCAGGGTTCAAATTATTCTCCTACCTCAGCCTCCCGAGTAGCTGGGACTACAGGCGCCCACCACCATGCCTGGCTAATTTTTGTATTTTTAGTAGAGATGGGGTTTCACTATGTTGGCCAGGCTGGCCTGGAACTCCTGATCTCAAGTGATCTGCCCACCTTGGCCTCCCAAAGTGCTGGGATTACAGGCGTGAGCCACCGCGCCCAGCTGGAAATATGTGTTTTTGTTTGTTTGTTTGTTTGTTTTTGTAGCTGGAAATACATGTTTAAGAACATATTACCTTATGAGATAGGCTTCAAGTTCAAAGGAGTTATAAGTGAATGAGCTATTAGATTGTACCTGACAATACTCCAATTAAGGAGTGAAGTAAGTGCTTTAACGCAGGGGTCCCCCACCCCCAGACCGATGGCCAGTACTGGTACGGGTCCTCAGTCTGTTAGGAACTGGGCCACACAGCAGGAGGTGAGCAGCAAACGACTGAGCATTATCGCCCAAGCTCTGCCTCCTGTCATCTCAGTGGCAACATTACATTCTCATAGGAGTGCAAACCTTATTGTGAACTGCACATGCGAGAGAGCTAGGTTGCATGCTCCTTATGAGACTCTAACTAATGCCTGATGATCTGAGGTAGAACAGTTTCATCCCGAAACCATCCCCCACCATCCCCGTTACACGGAAAAACTGTCTTCCACAAAACAGGTCCCTGATGTCAGAAAGGTTGGGGACTGCTGCTGTAATATGTACACAACTTAGTCTTTCCCTTTCATCCTACCACGTAGCACTTCTTCTAAGCCACAAGTAATATCTTACAACAAAGTTGATTATCAGTGACAGTCAGCTAGGGCCATTAGGGTAGAGCCCTAATTTGGAGGTTGGGGGAAGTTGGATGCTACCAGTAAATGCAAATTTCTAAATGAAATTCCTTTGTCTTCTTTGTTAACATTGTACCTTTCCAAGCATTCAGAGGGAAGAGAGTAGTTTTTCTGGTGAACATGTGAGGAATAATAAGTTGGTTTCTTACTGTGTTCTGTAATGCTCGGTAGAGTTTGGGAAGGGAAAGAGAGGATGCATGGTAAGTTAGAAGGGACCAAGGAGAACAGCTTGTGTCTCATTTCTCTTCCAGGCTTCATATCTTTGCTCAGGTGGATTTTCATGAAAATGTGATATCAGCCTCTCCTTTGTTGTTGTTTCATTGGAGAACACTGCTATTTTTTGATATTGGCCTTTAAACTTTCTCCTTGAAATACAAATCTATTCAAGCGTGCAGTGATCATATCCCATTGTTACTGGTCCATGATCACAGCTGATTTTTTTTCATCAAAAGGCTTTTCTTTGGCCACTATTTCACCAGATGTCTCATCACTTCCCTAAGTAGATTTGCTGTTGGATTGTAATGCCAGTCCTCAGATCCTTATTAATAAGAGTTCAATGAATTTTGTACTGAAATAGAATTAAACATTGAAAACAAAGGCCTAAATAGCTTTAGTATGGGATACACACTTTACTTGCAGTATGAAATGCTCATATGGCCATAAAACAAAACTCACCTCTGTCAGGAACAGAAATCAGGGTGCTCGTGAGAGCCAGGCTTGTGTCATCCCCCAGGGTGAGGTTCACACAGTACGTCCCAGACCCATTGAAGGTTCGTCTCACAGTCAGCAGACACATCTCATCCACATCCACAGGGCTGCAGACTGTGTTCTGGGTGATCTCGCAGGTGGGGTCAGAAATGATGGTACAGACCTCCGTGGGAATGCTGCGACAGGGGAGGTGGGCGAGGGCGCACAGGGCACAGAGAAGGGGAGAGAGGAAGGTCAGATCCATTTTACAAAGGGAAAGTCATTACATTTCTATGAAATTGAATTCCACCTCATTGTTACTCAAACTATAAGATGCTGAATTGTTAGTCTTATAATCTGCTCTTAAGCAAGCCTGTGCGCTGAGCTATGCCTTTCTCTGCATCCTCAGGAAAGTGAGGCCCTGGGGTGGAGGAGAAAAAAAAGATCTCCCCCAGGGGAAGGGGCTGATGGAAACCACGTGAAGCCCAGCTCACTCCCTCTATATTCCTTCTACATCCCTAGAATGTTCGAAGATGCAGATAGCTTGGGTGTTAGGCAGACATATTATTAGATGCCATAGTTGGCCCTGCCTAGGTTCCTGTAGAAGTGTAACAGCAACAGCAGCAGCTGTTTTTGCAGGACTTATTATGTGCCGGGCACTGAATTTTATTTATTTATTTATCTTTCCTCAGAGACCTTTGTTCTGAGTGAGTTTTAGATATATGACATGATCTTGCTTATTCCTCTCAATAGTTTTTTTGTTTGTTTGTTTGTTTTGAGACAGAGTTTTGCTCTTGTTGCCCAGGCTGGAGTGCAATGGCATGATCTTGGCTCACTGCAACCTCTGCCTCCTAGGTTCAAGAGATTCTCCTGCTTCAGCCTCCCGAGTAGCTGGGATTACAGGCACCTGCCACCACTCCTGGCTAATTTTTGTATTTTTAGTAGAGATGGGGTTTCACCATGTTGGCCAGGCTGGTCTCAAACTCCTGACTTCAGGTGATCAACCGCCTCAGCCTCCCAAAGTGCTGAAATTACAGGTATGAGCCACAGCACCCAGCCTCTCTCAATAGCTTTTTGAAGAAAGTAACATTACCCCAGTTTAACAGATGACAAATCAGGGAGAGAGATTAACGAGTCCAGGTCATACAAGCAGCCAGGGGTGGAGCTGGGACTTGAACAGAAGAGGTTTGACTCATCTGTCCTTGATGCTGGGCTACCTGCCATTGCTGTCCTGACCGCTATCTCATGGCAGCCTTCTTAGATGGAGAGACCAGGCTCTGATGCTGGACTCATGGGGCGGGGCCTGGGATGGGGACAGTCCCCCTTCTCACCAGCCAGGCCTCTCGCAGCAGCTTCACTCCCTGGGTCAGCTTTCACTGTTTTCTGCCACCCTCACCCTCATTCTGGTCCTCTCCCCAAGGTGGAGAGCTTCTTAGCTCTTCTCTTCTACCAAATAAGGCCACATCTTCATACCACTTCATTCTCCTGATTAATTTATGTATCTACACACACATATATTTTAATCAGGTAATTTATATATTATATGCAAATGATTTGCTAATGTATATTTAGTTAATCGATATAGTATTTATATATTCATTCATTTATATTTAGTTTATTACATATGGTCATGACCAAATCATAGGAAACCAAATTATATAATGCATTGGAAAGAGCTTTGTAAATTCTAAAGAGAGAGGATTATCAGGCGTTGCTATTAATGTTAGCATAGACAACTACCTGGGAGCTTAAGAGCACTCCTGTGAGCTGCTCTCTCCTGGCCACCAGCATTCCATTGGTAGGCAAGTTTTGTGATCACTGGTGGCCTCAGTTGCCTCATCTGCAAAATGGGGAGGCTCATACGATTGTTGTGAGGATTCAATATGAGAACAGGTATAAGGTGTTAAAAAATTCAGTTAAGTGTTCAAACAGTTATCATAATTATTATTCAACTTAATTGTTAAAGCTTTCTCAATTGCTCAACTGTAGCAAAACATGTGTGTGCTTGATAGCACCTCCTAGGGACCTTCCTGTCTAGGGTTACCAGTAAATAGGAATTCAAATCAATAGGAATTCAAATCAACTTAAAAGGGGTAACTGGTGGTCAATGCCTTTGTTCAGACTTGAGGTCCTCAGTTGACCCACCCATGCCTCTGTCGGAGATAATATACTCACCTCCCTTGGCAGGTCACGACAAAGTCTATTAGGGAGCTTTCAGGCCATGGCACCGGCATCAGGACGTCTGTCATCTGGATGATGTTAACCTCTAAGATTCCCTCTAACAAAATAACCCCCAGAGAAAAACACATCAAAATACAACAGAAATCAAACAAAGCCAAACAATCACTCTGGTATAGATTGAATGTTTGTGTCCCTCCGAAATTCATATGTTGAAACCCCCAAGGTGATAGCATTAGGAGGGGGGTCTTTGGGAGGTAGTTAGGTCATGAGGGTGAAGCCTTCATGTGTGAGATTAATGCCCTTATGAAAGTGACCCCAGAGAGCCCTTTTGCCTCTTCCACCACATGAGGACACAGCAAGAAGACTGCTATCTGCCATCTATGAACCAGGAAGTGAGTCCTCACCAGCCACCGAATGTGCTGGTACCTTGAACTTGGACTTCCCAGCCTTTAGAACTACGAGAAATAAATTCCTGCTGTTGGTTTATAAGCCACCCAGTCTATGGAATTCTGTTATAGAAGCCTGAATGGACTAAGGTACAGCTCTTAAGACATCAGAAAGTGAAAAAAATTAAAAAAGGAAGACAGCCCTCTTGCCATACAGAAACACATCAGATCTGGCAATCTACCCCCATAGCTTAGGATACATATCCATGCAGCATTTCCAAAGTCAAACTGAACTGTTTTTCAGTCCAGCCTAGATTTTTGTTCCTAGAGCCTTTGTGTGCATCAGAAAGTAGCACTCCATCTTGGAAAGTGTTTCAGGAAAAGGTAATCCTGGGTAGACGCAGCCCCAGGCTCAGGCCTTGGCCAGCTTCTCAAGTGGCTTGGACTCAGGGGACACTGCTTGGGCTTCCACCTCCATCCTCACTCCCAGAACTGGTGAGCACAGGTTGGGCTTCAGTTCCCCTCTGTCTTCTCTGTTGTATGCCTTAGGGCTGTGCCCAAATGCACAGCCATGTGTGGTGGCCTGCTCTTTCCCCTTTTCACATACAAGTCTGACTTTGTGAAAATTAACTAGGGGAAGACAGTGGAAGTTGTAGGAACTCGATGCTAGCCTTCCTTTACCCTACATACCCCATTCAGATGGCTGGGCTGCAGAGGCGGGATACAGGCCCAGGGCAGGCTCATTAGCATGCGGCCTTCACAGAAGGCTTGTTTCCACCAGGATGTGGAAGGAAGGCCGGGGAGGCAGGTGGGAATCTAGAAATGAATGGGGTCTTTGCTCTTGCATGTGTGGTGTCATCTTAGACAAGCAGAGGGGTGCCCTTACCACCTACCTCTACCCCTTCAGAGTTAGCAGAGAGAGTGGGTGACCCTAGGTGGAGTCTAGCATCCTTCCTCACTGGTCATCATCTTCAGCCTTACCTACAATTGTGATGGTGGCTTGAAAGTGGCCATATCTGTTAATCTGGCAGTTTTCATCAGGAATCCTACTCAGCTCCAGGGGGTTGTCACCAGCAGGTCCTGGGGTGTTTGAATCATAAGATTTTAGAGTAGTTGCTACGAACATAAAAGATACATGTGATATAATAAAAAATCTAAACATTTGCCATTTGCTTTTTAGAAAAATATCAGGAACACTATACTATGAAATTGCTATAGAAATTTGAACTAAATGTGTCATAATTTACACAGATGTGAGAGCTATAAGGTATTATAATTGCTAAATTATGTAAGGAAGCATAATCCCACATTTTGTGTGAACACAAGAAGCAAATAAGACGTTGAAACTGGCCGGGTGCAGTGGCTCATGCCTGTAATCCCAGCACTTTGGGAGGCCGAGGGGGGCAGATCATGAGGTCAGGAGATCGAGCCCATCCTGACTAACATGGTGAAACCCCGCCTCTACTAAAAAATACAAAAAATTAGCCAGGTGTGGTGGTGGGCGCCTGTAGTCCCAGCTACTCAGGAGGCTGAGGCAGGAGAATGGCGTGAAACTGGGAGGCGGAGCTTGCAGTGAGCCGAGATGGCGCCACTGTACTCCAGCCTGGGTGACAGAGCGAGACTCCGTCTCAAAAAAAGGTTGAAACTGTATTAAAATGTGTGATACAATGGTCATGAAGAAATAAACCTGGCCATACTAGATGCAGTTATATTTTAATTTTGGAAGCAGGTATTCTGGGCTCAAATTCCAGCTTCCCTTGTTTTTAGCTGTTTGAGACCACAGGCACATCATTTAATCTGTTTTTGCCTCTATTTGCTCATCTGTAAAATAAGAACAATACCTGCTGTCCTCTGGGGGCTGAACTATGAAACTTAAATGAGATAAAGTATATAAAACCTGCTGCTCATCACTGCTGCAGAGGGAGTACTTAATAAATCACAGTTTCTTTCTTTCAGTAATATGGGAAAAGATCATTCTTTCCCTGTTTGGATGTCTCACAGCTCCAAAGCTTAAATTCTAAAAGTCTTACTGTGATGAGCAGAGATGTGAGGAAGGAAAGGAGGGAATACAAGACATTTTTGAAAAATAAGCCTTGAATATAATTAGAGCAAAGAATCTAATGCCCTATTAGTTACAATTTAACAGGCTCTAATTAAGACATCGCTGCTCCTTTAGCAAGATAAAAAATCTAGAAAGAAAATAACGATACTGAAAATACAATCTTCTTTTTAATTTCAAAAGACATGTGAAGTAGACTCAGTCTTGGGGAAGGACATCAAAGCCTCATAAGAGCTGCATCTCTAACTTAGTGACATGTGAGTGAAGCAGGCTGGGAGATTTCCCCAGGGCTTCTCAGAATCGTCAGCGGGTGAACATCCCTGTGATTTTCCTGTGCCCAAAGCAGATTTCTCAGAGCAGTTCTCAGAACAGGTCTAGAAATGACTGCTCCATGGCACACACTTTGGGAAATGCTGCTCAGGTAAAGGCCAGAAAGGCCCAGACACTGTGTTAGATCGAATGCAGTGGTTTACCAGCAGGAAGAACTGTGGCAGCCTCTTGGGAATGTCCCTTGAGTTTCATATTAGTCCTCTGGAAATGACAAGACAGTCGTTCTGTCTGTCCTGAGATTCAGATGATCTACTCTACAGCAATAGGATTGTTTGTGCAGGCCATTCGAGTTCAGTAGCTCTTCTCCAGAAAACCATAAAATTTCTTCTTTTGAAAGTTCTTGACAGGCAGAATTTAGTTGTCAAGTTAGAGCATGGAATCACGACCCTGCATATTTTAAAATAAAACTTCTCTTGTTCTGCATATACTTTAGTGCTAAAAATGAAATAAAGCTTATTTTCTTAAAAAATGACCAAATAATAAAAGTCAGTGATTCTACCTTAGATAGAATGCTTTTAAAATGCATATGGAGGCCAGGCATGGTGGCTCACACCTGTAATCCCAGCACTTTGGGAGGCTGAGGTAGGTGGATCACTTGAGGTCAGGAGTTCGAGACCAACCTGGGCAACATGGTGGAACCTAGTCTCCATTAAAAATAAAGAAAAATTATCTGGGCATGGTGGTTCACATGCCTGTAGTGCTGGCTACTAGGGAGGCCGAAGCAGGAGAATTACTTGAACCCAGAAGGCAGAGGTTGCAGTGAGCTGAGATTGCACTACTGCACTCCAGCCTGGGCAACAGAGCAAGACTCTATCTCAAAAAAAAAATAAAAATAAAAATAAAAAAGCATATGGAGCTTCGCAAACATTGTGTCTATAAAGTCAAGGTATGATTCAAGGGCTAATGGAGAGAAACGCACACCTTAAAAGACAGATGAGAAAGAAGGTCAACTTCATCCTTAATTTGGTATTTATGTCCCTGTTGCCCAGAGAACGGTGTGAGAGCTCTTGATTCTCTGGGAAAGTTCTCTATGATATGATGTTATTTTATATATAGAGAGAGTATTACAGTAATTAGCATCAGTCTTACAAAAGGTTTTTTTTTTTTTTTTCAGATTTGTTCACAAGTCTGAAAAACAAATAATAGCACTGTTAGCTAAGTGAAGAGAATTCCGTGACTTAAAAATAGCACACATGCATCTGCCCTCAGATTTAAACACATCTACCTGGGTCACCTCTTCAACTGGCTTCTGCCTCACTCCTGCATTTGCATTTGATTTCTATTTTCGGCTGTGCATTATTAAGAAGCCACTTACCAAAGCAGAGAGAACATATTTTTTGGCCAAACAATAATATAATACTTGGTCATCCAAGCCCTTTAATATGGCCTGTACAGCTGGAAATGCTCCCTAGAAGAGACCCCTTTTAGAAACGTCCCTCCTCGCTCTCCCTAAGAGAGATGCTGGTTTAAGGCATTTTGGGGTTGATTATGATTGATCTAACACCTTTAGATAAAGCCAGGCAGCTTTCCTTCGCAATAAAACTTAACTAACTTGTAGGGGTTGCTAGTTTATATCTTTTTTTTTTTTTTTTTTTGAGACAGAGTTTCTCTCTTGTCGCCCAGGCTGGAGTGCAATGGCGCGATCTCGGCTCACTGCAACCTCCACCTCCCAGGTTCAAGCGATTCTTCTGCCTCAGCCTCCCAAGTAGCTGGGATTACAGACACTCTCCACCACACCCGGCTAATTTTTATATTTTCGGTAGAGACGGGGTTTCACCATGTTGACCAGGCTGGTCTCGAACTCCTGACCTCAGGTGATCCACCTGCCTCGGCCTCCCAAAGTGCTGGGATTACAGATGTGAGCCACCATGCCTGGCCCACTAGTTTATATCTTATGGTGTCACCTAGGGAGAAATTACAACAGAAATTTTAAATAGCTTTTCATTGGCTTCAAATATATTTTTAAAACATGCTATGATATAAATAGTTTATAAGAAAAACAAGCTAGTTTAATAAAAATGCAATTCAAAGTAGACTAACATTAAACAACCTAACATTAAGTCTTTTACCATTCTGGAACTTAAATATTAAAAGCATCTGTAATTTATTTTGAATTTTATACCTGGTCCTCTTATTTGTAAAGAAGATCATTAATAGTTGTAGATAAAAAAAATTGCTTCTCCTAAAGGATTACTAGAATGAAGCTGTATATTTAAAGTTGTTCAATACAGTTATAATTGTAGTTGGAATTAGGATTAATCTAATCATCCATCAATAAGAGAATGGTGGGCCGGGCACAGTGCCTCACGCTTATAATCCCAGCACTTTGGAAGGCTGGGGTGGGTAGATCACCTGTGCTCAAGAGTTGGAGACCAGCCTGGGCAACACGGCGAAACCCCATCTCTACTAAAAAATAAAAAAATTAGCTGGGTGTGGTTGTGTATGCCTGTAGCCACAGCCACTTGGGAGGCTGAGGCAGAAGGATCACTTGAGTCCAGGAGGTGGAGGTTGCAGTGAGCCAAGATTGTGCCACTGCACTCCAGCCTGGGTGTTAGAGCAAGACGCTGTCTCAAAAAAAAAAAAAAAAAAAAAAAAAAAAGAGAATGGTGAAATAAATGACAGTACATACATTCTATGAAACACTATGCAGCCACTGGATAAAGTGAGATAGACTTATATGTATTAACAGTGGAAAGATGTCTATAATGTTTGTTAAATTAGAAAAAGAGCAAATTGTAAAACAATATGAATAGCCCTCTTGTGTAAATGAACCCATTTACACAACCAAAACAAACCTTATGTGTATATATAGTATATGTTTATAAATGCATAGAAAAATATCTGGAAAGAAATCCTCCCAATTATTAACAGGGTTTAACTCTTGGGAGGAGAGTACGAGTGGGGACTTTTGCTTTTTACTCTAGACATCTACATTGTTTTAATTTTTACTAAGGAACATGCATAAACTTTGTAATTTAAAACATTTTTGAGATAATCGAAATCAGTGATAACTTGTGTTGTCTTGACTTAGATATGCTTGATTTAACAAGCTCTCATTTTATTACTAACATCTTATTGTAAAACTTTATAATTTATAACAAACAGGATTTTGTAAAAACAAGAAGCCCCAGACGTCATGATGGACCGTCGTGGGCTTGGTCCCTGGCGCCCTCTTGTGACCAGTGAGAGGATGTCAGCCTATTGCTATCCCCAGGATCCTGGGGTGCTGAGTGCAACTGGCCCAGTGGGAAAAGGGTGGTGATGGCATGGGGTAGCGTGGGGAATCAGATGGAAGCCAGTGCTACCCAAAGTGGACTCTTAAGGACTTCTTGAATGTCCCCAGACTATTAATATAGGGTGGTATTGAATTAATCATGCCTTAAATGCAGCACAGTTTTATTTTTATTTATTTTTCTCTTTTTTTTAAATTTTACTTTAAGTTCTAGGGTACATGTGCACAAAGTGCAGGTTTGTTACATATGTATACATGTGCCATGTTGGTGTGCTGCACCCATTAACTCGTCATTTACAATAGGTATTTCTGTTAATGCCATCCCGCCTCCCTACCCCTACCCCCCGACAGGCCCTGGTGTGTGATGTTCCCCGCCCTGTGTCCAAGTGTTCTCATTGTTCAGTTCCCACCTGTGAATGAGAACATGCGGCGTTTGGTTTTCTGTCCTTGTGATAGTTTGCTCAGAATGATGGTTTCCAGCTTCATCCATGTTCCTACAAAGGACATGAACTCATCCTTTTTTATGACTGCATAGTATTCTATGGTGTATATGTGCCACATTTTCTTAATCCAGTCTATCATTGATGGACATTTGGGTTCATTCCAAGTCTTTGCTATTGTGAATAGTGCCGCAATAAACATACGATGCAGCACAATTTTAATGTCAGGAGTCACTGCAGCTTGCTAACCCAGACATACTCTCAAGCTACATTCTTTCTTGGACCATTTGGAAATTGCTTTCAAGTACAGCTGTGTTTTCATGGACACTGGGTAGGTGTGGGCAGGGTAGGGAAAGAAATTAGTGGGGGAGAGGAAGGAACATAGAAATGACCTGATCGTATAAGGAGCCAGTGTGCCTTCTCATAGCCATAAAAAATGGGAGATAAACAAAAATGTGACAGGTTAGAAGAGGGGAGAGTGTGTACACATAGCAGGGACCAGTGCAAATGAGGAGGGTCAAAGAACTTTCTACAAGTCACTGAATTCTATTTGCAAAGTGACTTTACATACATTCTTCCTTCTTCTGTGTTCTATAGGTGTAAAATGGTGATAACTTTGCTTTAAAAAATCAACAGGTAGAAAATGGAATCACCGCAGAGTCCTTACAATATCCCCTTAAGGAGGGATTTAATAATATGACCTGCGTGAATATTTTGTTAGCCATTAAGGAGCCTCCCTCAAAGATCACTGCGAAACCTTACCTAAAGAAGGGGTGGGTTTTGAAGGTCTGGGTGGTGGTGGCGGTGGCGGACAAGGTCCTGGTGCTGCAGCTTTCACAGTGAGGTTAAGGCTGAAGGTTCCATTGAGCACATACGTGTGATTCACAGTATGATTGGTGGAAACAAACAGGCCAGTATTATCCCCGAAGCTCCACTTGTAGTTAATGGTAGAATAATTGAGGAAGTGGCTAGGATCATGAATCAGGACATCAAACATAATGGGGAGATCTTTGAGGAAGGTTTCGTCGGATGAATTTCGATCGTTCTTCTGGAACATAGTCACAAACACAGGAATCTGATCTAAAAGATACATCCCCCAAAGAAATAAAGAATGCATGATTGCTTGATTGTAAGTGGAGGGCTTCGACGATGCTTTTAGGTTGAAATATTAAAATGAGGGATAATTTAGCATTATTTTCCTTTTCACATGCAAGTTTTCTGGGGTTTCCCTAAGCTATTCTGGAAAACAGATGAACTACAACTAATTAAATACACAAGCTTAGGTGGGCCAGATGCATTGTAACCTAACCCCGAACACTTGGCCTTACCTCTTTTTTAACCCATTGACGTCAACAGAATGAAGTGCCTCATCCTCAGTTAGAGTTCACACCACTCACCTGTTACCACGTACACATCTTTCACTTGTGCGATGGGAACATATGCCCGTCCATGTCTTCTGTAGACAGTCACTTCCATGAGTTGAGGCCCAAGTGTCACATTGGCTGTGTTCACAGAAACTCTCACTGAACATCGTCCCAATTTCTGGAAATACTGACCTTTGGGAGGATGGAAATTTTTAGTTATTGGCTGCATTATATCATCATTATAGGAAGCTGTTCCTTAAAGACTAGCTACCACCATTTATAGATTGCTCTGAGGAGGGAAAATAGGATGGGCCTGTGGTGCTGCTTCAGAAAGGGAGATGGTGCTCATTTTAATGTAAAATCTTATAAAACAAACCCACAGTTGTATACATGTAATTGTATACAGTTGGTTAAAATTTAAAAAGCTGTTTAGTGGCATAAAACAGTTAGCCCTTAGTTTACAAATAAATGCTGTTTGTGCTAAGTAATTTGGCACTTGAAATACATGTTTTCCCCATAGAAAATACATTTAATATAATGATGAGGTGTCCAGAAGAGTTAAAAAAATTATTTATCCAATAACCTACCTTATTTTTGTTACTATTTCCGCTATATTATTAAGTGGATTTTTAAAAGGGGACTGGAATCCTCCATCTCCTAATAGTATTTGTATATAAAAATACAGCAAGTGGCTGGGCGCGGTAGCTCATGCCTGTAATCCCAGCATTTTGGGAGGCCGAGGCAGGCGGATCACGAGGTCAGGAGATGGAGACCATCCTGGCCAACATGGTGAAACTCCATCTCTACTAAAATACAAAAAATTAGCTAGGTGTGGTGGTACGAGCCTGTAATCCAAGCTACTCGGGAGGCTGAGGCAGACGAATTGGTTAAACCCGGAGCGGGGATTCCAGTGAGCTGAGATCACACCACTGCACTCCAGCCTGGTGACAGAGCGAGACTCTGTCTCAAAAAAATAAAAATAAAAATCCCGTAAGTGATGAAATAGAGGATGGCAGACATAAAACAGAATGGGGTGGTTCCACAGGCACTTTCCTAGGACACCCCTGAGTCATTCCTTTTCTTTGTCCAACCCTCCCTGCTGCTAGCTAACAGGTGGAAGTAATTCCTCTCCTTCAGGGCTCAAGGACATTTAAACAAATTTTAAAACTCTGTAACTCCTCTTACTATCATTCCCAAATCAAGAACTTTTCTAATCCTGCCAGGGGGCCTGGTTTAGACCTGTCACTGACTGGGTATCTTAGGTTGCATGCTTTTGAGACCGGGTTGTTTCAAGACCCCGTGTATCACACCGTCAAACGTGTGAGAAAAACACACTGGTCTCTCCAGGGATGTGTGGTTTGGAATCCTCCTTCACGTTGAGATGCAGGGGTAGTTCCATCAGAAGTTATAAGGGGAAGAGATGTCTCTCAGGGGTTATTCGTGAGGAAAATGTTAGTTTCAGCTCTGAGAGGTGAGACCATACTTAGTTGAGGGAGAATATCAGTTAACTCTGAGACCTCAGTGGAAGACAGAAATTCAAGGCAGTCTTGTTAGACAAACAGAGCAAGTTCTAGGCTGAAAGTTGATTTTAAATACAGACATTTGATCTGGTTAAGTTATTGGAATGTTTACTAGGCTAAAGAGTCGGCGAGTGTTAGTGAACATAAGTGACTCCATGCAAAATGTCAGAATTCTGTCATGAGAGTGACAAGTCAAAGAAATGTTTGGTGAGTTGGCTAATGGGGTCGTAATGGCAGTGAAAAATAAGTTAGCTTTAAGGCAATTGATTTATATAGATGAGCATAATATTTGACATAGCTTATACTCTGTTCAATGGGTATGTATTGTTAATATTTTGTCCTGATTTGTAAATAAGTTAATTGA
Source organism: Homo sapiens (assembly GCF_000001405.40). NCBI lineage: Eukaryota > Metazoa > Chordata > Mammalia > Primates > Hominidae > Homo > Homo sapiens. Next base: position 23,258,287 of record NC_000007.14, on the reverse strand, counting down.
AGGAAGAGGAGCTCTCTCTAATCTGTGATGAAAGATGAAATATTTAGTAATCTGGAGGCTGCTTGATTGGTAGCAATTTTCAAATACTCAGTGCCAGGTGGCACCTAGTGACATTTTAAACTAAGAATTTAGCAGCCTAATTAATAATAAGCTCAATTTGCTCCTTCTAAAAGTAATCATTTCCCCAATAATACAACAAAATGAATACCATTTGTAATTTAAAAAAAGACAGAATGGGCTAGGTCAAAGCGGAACAGTAGTTATTTTATTTGTACACAATGAAATATCGTGCAGCCATTAAAACAATGTATAAAAATTAAAAAAATCATATCATCAAATGCTAATGATAGTAAGCAAAAATGTGTATGTGATCTTAATAATGATCTTAAATACTAGCAAAGAAAACACCATAATAATTAACAATTATAATCTCTGGTATTAATTATGGATAATTTTTATTTTTTATTTGTACCTTTTCTGAGGATTTCCTACAAATAAATAGCACATGCTTCTTTAAATCTTAAAAATTCTTTAGAGAACATAAAAAAACTAAAGAATCAATCAATGAATGCTCATCAATGTGCCATTCTGTTTTTTGTTTGTTTGTTTGTTTTTCGAGATGGAGTCTCACTCTGTTGCCCAGGCTGGAGTGCAATGGCTCAATCTCCTCTCACTGCAACCTCCACCTCCCGGATTCAAGTGATTCTCCTGCCTCAGCCTCCTGAGTAGCTGGGATTACAGGTGCGCACCACCACACCTGGCTAATTTTTGTATTTTTAGTAGGGACGGGACTTCACCATGTTGGCCAGGCTGGTCTTGAACTCCTGACTTCAGGTGATCCACCCGCCTCCGCCTTCCAAGGTGCTGGGATTACAAGTGTGAGCCACATGCCCGGTCTCCATGTGCCATTCAAATAAATAAGTGTTAGCATTTTTTCTTGTTATGGTTTTAGGTAGAAAAAAATTAAGTGGTTTTGTTTTTTTGAAAAAGAGCTTAATCTTTTTGTTTTTCTCTCTTTTTAACTCTTCGGTGTCCTGGAGATTTGGCAAGGTTAACCAAGATTTCATTTTTATCTCTCACTGTTCACTCATGCTAAGGAAAGTTAGCAGGGTGACTGTTATTAACTCTCTGTGTTATCATTCTCAATTATAGAGTAAGAAAAGAGAAGGTTGAAATTTTAAGGAAAGGTAAAGAAGAAGCTTAGGGGTTTGTAAAAGCCAACCAAGTGTGTGGAAGACGTAGATGAAATTCCATCTTCTCCATCCGGGGTGGTGAGGAAAAGGTTTCCCATCAGGGAAGACGTTATGATGGCTTTGGCCGGTGCCATTTTCCCCGTCACTGTCCTCTGACCATGCTGTCCAGTTGTAAACATACGGATCAGCAGATAAACCAGCCTCTAAACAGAGATAGAAACCAGCCATGAGTGTTATCTAGGCTCAGAAAACCCAATGTGCATGCATCACTGAATTAAACACTTTTTCGTATTTTTTTCATAACTAGTTTAAAAGTAGTTAGACAACTAAACACTTAATATGTAGAATCCATCCAATAGTATGCTTATGACTTGTGCACTTTTCTGAATTTGTTATATTTCAATGAAGGTTTTATACAAAGCAATTATTCAGAAAAATCCAATGTAGAGATATCATTTAATGTATTTTTCTTCCTATCGGGTTTTCAAGTCACAATCCTATTCAAATCAGAGATACTTTATCTTTTTATTTTGACACACCTCTTTCTGTAGGTTTTTTTCCTGACACACTTGACATCATGACTGTTTATTCATAAAGACTCCGGCACACATGTCTAAGAATAAGAGCATTGTCCTAAATAGCCCTGACACCATTATCACCCCAATCAAGGTTTGTATATTTGGCTATTTTTGATGCTTTAAATGATTTTTAAAATCCCTCTTTCTGTCTCTAGATGTAGATAGATATATATAGCTATCCTTATATCTACATATGATTATAGATATATGGAAAGAAGCAGTTATGACAAAGTGCTAAAATTGTTGAATCTAGGTGACTATAGTTAACAACAATTTGTTGTATATTTCAAAACAGCTAGAAGAAAGATTTAGGCTGGGTGCAGTGGCTCACACCTGTAATCCCAGCACTTTGGGAGGCCGAGATGGGCGGATCGCTTGAGGTCAGGAGTTCGAGACCAGCCTGGCCAACATGGTGAAACCCCGTTTCTACTAAAAATACAAAAATTAGCCAGTCATGCTGCATGCGCCTATAATCCCAGCTACTTGGGACGCCGAGGCAGGAGAATTGCTTGAACCTGGGAGGTGGAGGTTGCAGTGAGCCAAGATTGTGCCACTGCACTCCAGCCTGGGTGACAAAGTGAAACTCTGTCTCAAAAAAGAAAAGAAAAAAAAAAGAGAAAGATTTGGAATGTTCTCAGCACAAAGAAATGATAAATATTTGAGGTGGATATCCCAATCACCCTGATTTGATCACCATAAATTGTATGCATGTATCAAAATAACACGCATAGCCCAGAAATGTGTATGATTATCATGTATCAATAAAAAAATTAATCAAAAATGGCTGAAAGATCTGAATAGACAATTTCTCAAAAAAGTCATACAAATCACCAACAGTATATCACTGTTGGTGGGAATGTAAATTAGTACAACCACTATGGAAAACAGTATGGAGGTTCCTCAAAAAACTAAAAATAGAGCTACCATATGAGCCAGCAATCTCACTGCTGGGAATATATACAAAAGAAAGGAAATCAATCCATCAAAGAGATGTATGTATTCCTGTGTTGCAGCAGTATTCACAATAGTCAGGATATGGAACCAAATTAAGTATCCATCAATAGATAAATGGATAAAGAAAATGTGATGGAATATTACTCAGTCATAAAAAGAATTAAATCCCATCGTTTGCAGCAACATGGATGGAACTGGAGGCCATGATGTTAAGTGCAATAAGCTAGGCATAGAAAGACAAATGCTGACTGGGCGCGGTGGCTCACGCCTGTAATCCCGGCGCTTTGGGAGACCGAGGCGGGCGGACCACGAGGTCAAATGTTTGAGACCAACCTGGCCAACATGGGGAAACCCCGTCTGTACTAAAAATACAAAAATTAGCTGAGCATGGTGGTGGGTGCCTGTAATCCCAGCTACTTGGGAGGCTGAGGCAGGAGAATCATTTGAACCCGGGAGGCAAAGACTGCAGTGAACCAAGATCGCGCCATTGCACTCCAGCCTGGGTGACAAGGCAAGACTCCATCTCACCACGCCTGGCTAATTTTTATATTTTTAGTAGAGATGGGGTTTCACCATGTTGGCCAGAATGGTCTTGAACTCCTGACCTCAGGTGATACACCTGCCTCGGCCTCTCAAAGTGCTGGGATTACAGGCATGAGCCATGGTATCCGGCCATTAACTCCGTTTTTTGAGCATGTACCATTCTGACAAGATAATTTCCCTTGATGTATTTGCACCTTTGGTCCTCTTTAACATAGATAGAGAGCTTATTTCTTTCACTAAGAGCAAAGCAAAACCAAAATATACACATTTTAGCATTTGCGCCAGCTACACAGCATTTGCTTGAGAAATCCTTGTCAGCCTAAATTAGACTGATCAGCAAACATCTGTCAAATTGGCTATTCTTTGAGTAGCCAAAAGAGTTCCAAGTAATAAAAGCAAAATCTGAGACTCAGCAAGGTATTCTCTGTCCAGTCAACTGGACACTAAGGAAAAGCAGGAGGTGGTGATGTGGCTTTTGAAGAGGGCTCCAAGCAAGGGAGAGCCACTGGTTTGCTGCAGTAGGTCTGGCTGACGTTGATGTTGATGAAGGCACTGGGTAGGACCACACACTCACTGTCTCTGTCATCCAGCTCATGGAGTGCAGTGGCAAGGGATGAGATCAGCATCTGGCACTTACAGAAGCACCTGTGATCATTAAGGTTTAGAAACTGGGTCTCCAGTAGTTTAGGAGAATACTGTGTTCTTACCATTTCTGCAGTTCTTCTCATAGACTATGTTGCCATTGGCATCTTCCTTTTGGCATCTAGGGAATATCAGGTTCACCGCAAATGTTATATTTGAGCCCACGAGGGCTGGTGAGTCACTGGTCAGGACCGCCTGCACACGGCCTCCTAGGGTATAAAAAAGTGGGGCTCGATGATCCAGCATCTTTTTCCTTTCGTTCATAAACATTTAGAGCTAACTTTATTAATAAGGACCAGAGGACCCATATGCCTCTTTATAATATATTAAATTTATATTTTGTATTCCTCACTTTAGCTTTCAGAGTACAACACTCTAGAAGATAAATTAAAAAATAAATCAGACCAGTTAAGAATTCTCTAATCACAGCAAGAACATTTACCTATGATAATAAAACAAATCAGCTCTGTTGGGTTAAGGAGACAAGTTTTAGAAGTCTGCATTTTTAAATCTCGAAACCAATGGCTGAAGGATGCATTCTTTTATCTAAAAAGAAAGATTTTCCGTTTCTGATAAGCCACACCTTTGAGACAGTAAAAATGGCTTTGGGGTGACTGGGTTTCTGAAGATGATCATTCCCAGGTTGGCTAAATAGGTTTAAAGCTAAATCTGCTCACCCTTCAAAAGTATTCCAAGAGCTACCAATGTGGAAATTTCTAAGGAGATTACTTGTGGTTTAGGAAGTGATAGTGTTGGGCTAAAGAAAATATTGCCAAGTCCAGGTGCCTCCCCACTTGGTAATGAGAGCACTGTCATTCGTGGAAATGACGTGAGCCGTGTGATCTAAAAGGCTTTACCATCTACAAGACTTACTGAAGTAGGAAATTGCAGGTGTTTGGTTTGAATCTTTTGACTTACCCTTCCAGGAGTTTTTCCACCTCATGTCTCCCCGCTTCCACACTGGGTAGAGTTTTTCATTCCAGTCATTTTCATCAGAAGACCAGCCATTTAATTGATTGTGCTCCCTCATGTAAGCAGAAGGTCTTTCATTGCCCAGCACATCATGAAATCCTGTATCAATATTCGAAACAAATTCCATTCTTCATTTAGTAATCACCTCACAGTGGTTAAAGAAACTTTTTATTTCTTACTGTTGAAAAGCACATACATAATATATTCAGTGCATCAAGTAAACAGAGGGTGCTTTGTTTTTTAAAGGAAGTCTCCTGGAAATACCTTGATTACAAGCATTCAGACCCTATGTCTTTATGAACTTTAAATGAATCAAAGAAAAATTTTGAAAGTCAATATTTTTTAGCCATCACTTGGCTTCTCAATACACATCCTCTGAATATTTAAATTTGATACAATATTATTAGGAAAACACTGATGCCAATAATCTTCAGATTTTTGCATTTTTTTTTCCCATTCTGAACTACTCACTTGGCTAAAGGAATGCCAGGCTCAGGAATGCCTTCAAGATTCCAAGCGACACGTACTAGTACCAGGAAGTTTACTGATAAACAGCTTTTTAATGGTCTGTCTTGGTGAATGTTCCATATACTTTGTGTAGTCTACATTTGTTGGGTAGAGTGTTTTCTTTTTAAATGTCATTTATGTCAAGCTAGTTGATAGTGTTTTTTTGAATTTTCTGTGTTCCTACTGATTTTCTACTTGTTATTTGAGTTACTGAGAGAAAAATCTTGAAATCTCCAACTATATTGTGGTTTTTCCAATTGCCTGTTTCTTCTTCCAGTTTTTGCTGTATGTATTTTGAAGCTTTGTTGTCAGGTGCATACTATACATTTAGAATTGTTACAGCTTCTTGATGAACTGACCCTTTTCTCAATAAGAATTGATGCTCTTTATCCCTGGTAATATCCCTTGTTCTAAAGAATACTTTGATATGAATGCTTAGTGTTTAACTGGTATATCTTTTTCCATTCTTTTACTTTAAAAAATGTTCAGATTGATGTATGTTTCTACTCATCCTTACATTTTAAACCTGTCTGCATTTTTATATTTGAAGTGAGTTTCTCATAGAAAGCATATAATTGGATGTTTAAAAATCCAGTCTGGCAATCTCTGCCTTTTAGTTGCAGGGTTTAGATAATTCACATTTAATGTAATGATCAATATGATGAAATTTTAAGTGTACTACCTTGTTATTTGTTTTCTATTTGTTCCACTTGTTCTTTTTTCCTTCTTTTCCTGTACTCTTTGGAGTTACATTTGGATTCCATTTTATCTCTACAACTAGCTTGTTAGTGATACCTCTTTCACTTACTTTGTTCTGAGTGGTTGCTCTAGGTTTGTAATATTACAGTTCTTTTAAAAATCTTTCTAATCTTGAGTTAGTGTCTGCAATTTTGCCTTGCCTGACCAGTCTGGTGGTCACATGGTCTCTTTCTTTTGAGAATTGTAGCAGACTGGTTGGTTGCCTCCAAGAAGCTGTTTCCCGCCTGCACGCCTCCTCCTATTTTCCCCTTGCTGGCAGAGTTTCTACTCTAACAGTTCAAAATTCCAGAGTATCACTTCCTAGTTTTCCTTACAATTTGGGCAGGAGCAGATAGATGATTTGATCCTGGCCAGTGAGAGCTGAGAAGCAGTCTTCTGGGAACTTCTGAGAAAGGTTTTCCTCCTTTATAACAAGAGATATGTGAGAACAAACTCAATTTTTTCCTCCTCAGAATTGATTTTGGAGATGGTAGTGTAATGATGTGATGCCCAGAGCTATGGCAGCCATATTTAACTATGAGGACACAAATCTGAGGAAACAGCTAACACATTAAGGGTGTCAGAGTGGAAAGATGAAAAGAAATGGAGCCTTCAATGAAACTGTTGGGCTGTTGCTCTAGTCTTGCTTACCTCGGGACTGACTAAGATAATAAATGTCTTAACCTATTTTGTTACAGCCCAAAGCTCAATTATCTGTATTCCTCAGCCAATGGTCTTAAATTGTTCTCCCATTAATTTCTGTGGTTCTATGTCTTGGCCTGGCTATAGACTCTTGGAGGAGAGAAACTCTGTCTTGTTCTTCTCTTAAATCCTGGGAGAGATCCTCCATGAGGTGTGGTATTGAGTGGGTGCTCAGAGAAGCCATATTGGATGCATGTCTCTGACCTATTCCTTCTATTCCTCTTCTCTGGTAGGAGAAGGGAGCAACACGTTCCCTTCTTCTCCAGGAGGCAGAGAGAATGGGAAAGAGCAGCAAAGTCGGAGTCATGGAACATGTTTTCTAGCCTTGGTTCTGTTATTAAACAGGATGTGTGACCTCAGGCCATGTGTCTTCTCTGGGCCTTCACATCTGACAAAAGCCAAATGTCCTGTGATTCTATGAGATTGCTCCTATTTGGAAATAGACATTAAGTGAGGGGAGGACATTTGTGTTTATCAATAAGTATTTGTAATTGGAAATTCACTTGAGTCATATGAAAAGAACTAAGATTATTTAGTTCAAATCCCTTCATTTTATATATGAAGAAATTCAGGCCTAGGGAAATGATATGATTCACCTAGGGTCATCTTTAGTAGAAATCAAGATTCACATCTTTTGATTCCCAGGACAAGGACAAGTTCTTTCCACTGTTCCAGAGAGTCTTCCTCTTCCTCAGATCTTGAAAGAAAGTTATTGTTTCCAGGAACATAATCAAAACGCAGATTTCTCTTCCGATTTTAAATGTCAGAAGCCCAGGAAAAGTATAAACTTAAAAGGAGAGTTACAAGGGATAGGCACATAGGTCAATGGAATAGAAGAGAGAATCCAGAAATAGACCCACACAAGCATGCTCTACTAATTTTTTTTTTTTTGAAGAGATGGGGGTCCCACTATGTTGCTCAGGCTGGACTCAAACTCCTGGGCTCAAGTGATCTACCTGCCCCAGCCTTCCGATTAGCTAGGACCACGGGCAAGCACTACAGTGCCTGGCTTGATTTTGGACAAAGATGCAAAAACAAGCCAATGGAGGGAAGATAGCCTTTTCAACATATGGTGCTGTAAAAAAGCAAAAAGCATAGGTGAAATCTTCAGGATCTAGGACTAGGCAAGAATTCTTAGACTTGACATGAACACAACCCGTAACAGGAAATTGGAACTCATTAAAATAAAAAACCTTTGCTCTCTGAAACATGACATGAAAGAGGATGAAAAGGCAAGCTACAGACTGGGAGAAATTATTTGTAAACTACACTTCCAATAAAGGACTAGTATTTAGAATATATAAAGAATTTTCAAAACTCACTATAAGAAAACCACGGGATTCAATTAGAAAAATTGGTAAAAATTAATGAAATGATATTTCACCATTTCATTCATCTCATGGCAAATAAACACACAAGAAGATATTCAACATCATTAGCCAGTAGTGAAATATCACTATATCCCTATCAGTAAGACCTAACTAAAAAGCAGTGACAACATCAAATGCTTGCAAGGATGTAGAGAAACTGGATTGCTCACACATTACTAGTGGAAATGTAAAATGGTACAGCCACTCTGTTAGTTTCTTGCAAAACTAAACATGCAACTATCATACAACCAAGAAATTGTACCCTTTGGCATGCATCCCAGAGAAACAAAACTGATATTCTCACAGAGATCTGCACATGAATATTTATAGCAGCTTTATTCATAATAGCCCAAATTGAAATAACCCAGATGTCCTTTAATGGGTGAATGGTTAAGCAAACTGTGGTACATCCATACCATGGAATACTACTCTGTGACAAAGAGGAACAAACTATTGATGCAGTTACTTCAATAAATCAATAAAGTTCCAGGAAATTATGTTGGGTTTTAAAAAAAGCAAATCTCAAAAGGTTACATACTGGATAATTCCATTTGTATAGAATTTTGGAAATTACAAAATGATAAAAATGGAAACCAGATTAGTGGTTGCCAGGGACTGGGTGAGGTTTGGAAAGAGGGAAGTAGATTTGGCTATACATCTATAGCCATGAGAATACTTTGGTGATGGAGCTCTGCTGTGTTTTCACTGTATCAATGTCAATATCTGGGCTGTGATGTCCTGTTTTGCATGATGATACCACTGGGGCAAACCAGGTAAAGGGTGCATGGGGATCTCTCTGTATTATTTCTTACAACAGTATGTGAATCTATAAATACCTCACAATAAAAAGTTGAATTTAAAAATAAAGGCCGGATGCAATGGCTCATGCCTGTAATCCCAACACTTTGGAAGGCTGAGGGTGGGCGATTGCCTGAGCCCAGGAGTTCCAGACCAGCCTGGGCAACATGGCAAAACCCTGTCTCTACAAAAATTTAAAAAATAAAATAAACCCATCCGGATAAGGTGGCTCATGCCTGTAGTCCTAGCATTCTGGGAGGCCAAGGGAGGACTGAGCCCAGAAGTTTGAGGCCAGCCTGGGCAATGTAGTAAGATCCCATTTCTACAAAAAATACAAAAATTATCTGGGTGTGGTGGCACGTGCCTGTGGTCCCAGCTACTCAGGAGGCTGAGGTGGAAGATCACCTTTAGCCCAGGAGTTGGAGGCTGCAGTGAGCTGTGATCACACCACTGCACTCCAGCCTGGGTGAGAGTAAGACCCTGTCTCTAAAAAAATTGATTAAAAAAAAAAAAACCCAATAGTAAGCAGATTTTAAAAGAAAAATAAAAGCCTGTGGGGGTGGGTTTTGGGGGCAATCAATGTGAAGGTAAATTTGAGGTCGCACCCAGTGCTGCAGCCGACTCTGCCTCCACACTTTGGCATCCTTGCTGTGTCCACCAGCAGAGAGGTGGTGGCTGGGCTGCCTCCACCTACCTTGTCCACACTTTCTCCTTCCTTCAGGGCTACGAATGGAAAATGGTAGGAAATCTTTAGTGCTTGATACACTGCTACATTCTGCCTGCCCTTATTTTTTTCTGGGCAGAATATTTAGTCCAGAGCAAGGTGAACCTGGTGAATGGCTGGGTTTTGTTACACTGCCCAAGAGGCTGAGGACTCCTCTCGAGCTGACAGCGCTGATTCGGCCTCCTGCTAATCTGTTTTATTGAGCAGAGCGAAGTGGACTGGTGAAAGAGGGTGGAATAATAGCAGGTGTCCCCCATCGGGTCTATTCTGTGTTCCTTCGTCTTTAAAGTAGCCTGTCCTGGGAGGTATCCTGAGGGTGGGTGCAGGTCTGCCTCCGTAGGAACAATCCCCACCATGCACGTCTCTCACGCCAAGCAGCTGATCTCACAAGAACACAATTACCCAGTTTTGCAAATGAGGAAACGAAAACTCCTCGTTTTGAAGGAAATGAGGAAATGGAGCAAAGCCACTGGAGACCCAGCCCCTAGGCTGGCGGGGAGCCCGAGCCTGTCCAACCCCAAACCCGGGCAGGAAGGACAGAGGTCGGGATGGAAGGCTGCCTCCTCAACTTACCCGCTGTGTGGCTTGGGGCGAGTTCCTTGCCCACTCTGTGGCCCGTGGCCTCGTGTGGGAAGCGGGACCATCACAGTGCCGGGCTCCGCGGGCTGCTAGGAGGACGCGCGGCGCACTGCGGGCCGGGAACGTGCTGCGCGCTGACACCGGGTCAGCTCCCTGTGATGGGACTTCCTTTCCAAAAACGTAGGCGTTTTCCCGGGTCGCAGTCGCAGTCGGGAGACTGAGGGTTAGGGCGCGGCCGCGGGGTCTCCTGGGCCGGGGCGCGGCCCACGTCTCAGGCCTCTGCGGCTCTGACCAGAAGCCGCTGCGCCTTTGGCCGCTTCCCACCCGTCCCGTCCCCGCAATCCCAGGCCCAGGGTTACAGCGGCTCAGCTCTCTTCCTCTCGCGAATCTGCACACTGCTTCAGTGGTCTGGACCCTGGCTGCATAGGCAGATCCCAAGAGGAACTTTTAAAACAAGGATCCTCTGACCCCACTCCCAAAGATTCCGGTTTCATTGCGTGGGTATCAGTATTGTTAAAAATGCCCTGGCCTCTCCTGCCTGACCAGGGTAGAGAGCCTGGGCTTCAGCTCCTCTCCCAGCAAGCTCCTGCAGGTCTGTGAGGAAGCCCCGCAGGAGGAGCAATAGCTTCAGGGCTGGGGAGATTCGTAAATTTGCCTCCAGATTGGAGACCCCATTTCATGTGAGGTCTCCACCCTTTTGGATGGAAGCTGGACATAGTTTAGTTGGTGGAGTTGCTTTGTTCTGTGGCCGGAGGCTGTCCAACCCTCCCCCAACCACTGTCTGGCAAGAATGGGTTGCAATTGCAATGGAAAAGAAGCTTCACAAGAGAAGGGCAGCATAGTTTTTACTTTCCATGAGCCGAAAGCAAAGAATGGAGCTGGAGGCATTTTGCTGTAGTTTCAGCCTTCCCAACAGTTTGCAGAAGAAGAGATGAGTGAGCCAGAGATGAAAGCTTCCTGAAGAACTTCAGTCCAACCTCTAGTTCAGAGGATATTATTAGCCATCATTTCAGCCAATGGCCAGAGAATGGGTTAAACATAGAAATTAAGGGTTACTCACGTTTGGCGGCATCAAGTGGCAATCTTGCAGCCAGGAGCAGAAATCCCAGGAAATAGTAGAGACATTCCATGCTGAATTCTCACGGACGCAGGCACTCAAGGTTTAACTCTGAATTCCTCTGGGCCCGTCCACCAAGAGCAACAGTGTTCTTCTGGCATCTGTGGTGCCTCCCTCTCTATTTTAATTAAATACAGGGCCTCGGGGAGGATCATGTGATGGTATTAAGCGGCACTGCCTGATCTGGTCTCTCAAGTTCAACCTCTTACAACTCATGTGCTTATGACTCACTCCTTCTTGGCATCTATTTATTCACTTTTCAGATGCACATTATTTCAATTTTGTGATTCCACATTTACTAGATTCAAGGAGTTTTTTTCCTATAGACTCTATTTCAATATTCATTTTTTTTTTTTGAGATGGAGTCTCACACTGTCTCCCAGGCTGGAGTGCAATGGCACGATCTCAGCTCACTGCAACTTCCACCTCCCAGGTTCAAGCCATTCTCCTGCCTCAGCCTCCTGAGTAGCTGGAATTACAGGTGCCCGCCACCATGCCCGGCTAATTTTTTGTATTTTTAGTAGAGGCAGGTTTCACTATGTTGGCCAGGCTGGTCTCGATCTCCTGACCTTGTGATCTGCCCGCCTCGGCTTCCCAAAGTGCTGGGATTACAGGCATGAGCCACCGCGCCTGGCTCAATATTCTTTACCAAATAAAATTTCAATCCTCCAGCCTCACTGATTATCGACTTACTGTGGTTCCTATACTGCATCAGGCACCCAGCTCACGTTTAGAGTTCACAGTTACGCACCCTTTCCTAAGATGTAGTTGTCCACCTGCTCCTGTGCTCGTGATTGCTTGTATATTTTTTTCCTCCAAGAGGAAGCAAAGATGGGGGAGGTGTCTTATCAATCATTTGAAATTGTGGAATACATAAGTGGATGATAACATGAATGTTGTGCCAGGATGTGCTGGAAACAGCTGCCCAGGCCTCTGGTAGCTGAGAAATTTACTCAAAAGCACATTTAGAATATCTGTGCAATTCCATATAACTTTTGTAATAACCTGCATAATTTTTGGTAACTGCTCTCAAAGCATTTATGTGTTGCATTACTCAGAGCCAATTGCATAAAACGTTCTGTGTATTTTTTCATATTATAGAAAGCAGGCATTAAATGTACAAACAAGTGTGTCTGTAAGATAAATTTATACAGTCAAATCATTCCTGGTTACAGAGTATGCAGAAAATGTGGCAACATGAAAACTTTACCATATGTGACCTTTCTCAAACTCACATTCACATGGCCATTTTCAGTGCAGTAGAAACCTTGGTTGCAGGTGAGGGTAAAACTTGGGGTATTGATTTATGGTTCAGTGTGTCAAGGAGGAATGGAAATAGCCTATGAAACTAAAATCCATACAGCAGGAGTGGCTGACTTCCATCCCTAAGGCGGCAAACAACTCTGTAGAGTGCCTTTTACAGCCTTTGCAGCAAATATGAAGGGGAAAACAACGAAAGGAACACATTATTCATGACTGAAACAATTTTCAAATATTGATGAATAAAGGAATAATGGAAATACTTATTAGTTTCATGTAATGTAAAGCGAATAATGTATATAGTTATTTGCTTTTTAAATTACTTAAAAACTTTTTTTTTTTTTTTTTTTAGAGACAGGCTCTCACTCTGTTGCCCAGGCCGGAGTGCAGTGGCATGATTATAGCTCATTGCAGCCTTGAACTCCTAGGCTCAAGTGATCCTCCCACCTCAGCCTTCCAAGTAGGTAGGACTACAGGCACACACCACCACACTCGGCTAATTTTTTATTTGCTTTTTATTTTTTGTAGAGACAAAAATCTCACTATGCTGCCCAGGCTGGTCTTGAACTCCTGGCCTCAAGTGATCTTCCCACCTCAGCTGCCTACAGCACTATTTGCTTTTTATGACAAACACATAACTTTTACAATTAAAAAAAAACACCTTTTCAATTTAAGGAAAAGCTACTATTAACATTTTTAAAGATATTTTTGTCCTTTGTTGCAGACACAGTTCTGGCTCATATTTCTAGCCAGATTAGCCACCCCGTCTCTAAATAAATTGGAAGTGTTAAATTCTTCTGTAACAAAACCTTCGTTTTGTTTAGGGAGACACAATGATCAAATCAACTTTTATGTCTTTTTTCCTTCCCTGCACCATCAAAGAGAAGAGGCACTGATAGGACAAGAGTCAAAATGTAGGCAGCTGGACAGAGGTGAATAAGAGAACAAGAGAAAGATCTTCATTCCAAAGAACTACAAGTTGGATAATCTGTTTCTTGATAATCAATGGTTGATAATATATAAAGTAGTTAACTCTATGTAGGACTCAGAGACAGGGCCATTTTGGGTAAAGAATATTCTCAAGCCTGTTTGTTTGTTTTGGAAAGATAAAATTATACTGTAAAGAAAGTTTGAAATATTTTGTTGAAATAATTTTTTGAGCTGGTGTACTGATGTGTACCTGAAGTCCCAGTGACTTCAGAGGCTGAAGCGGGAAGATTGCTTAAGCCCAGGAGTTTGAGTCCAGCCTGGGCAATGTAGTGAGACTTCATCTCTTAAGAAAGAAAGAAAGAAAAAGAAAGAAAAGAAAGAAAGAAGGAAGGAAAGAAAGAGAAAGAAAGGAAAGAAAGAAAGAGAAAGAAAGAAAGAAAGAAAGAAAGAAAGAAAGAAAGAAAGAAAGAAAGAAAAGACAAGAAAAGAAAAGAAAAGAAAAAAGAAAAGAAAGAAAAATTGTTCCGTTCAGATCCTAATTGCCAGGTCTGGTAAATATATTATATGGCTGGGGGGATGAAGGTTGCTAATCAACTCGCCTTAAGGCAATTGAGAAATGAAAAGGGAAACATCTCAATTATCTGGAATTACAGATACAATTACTCTGTTCGGAAATGATGTGGAGGAAAGCAAAGAATAGTCAACTTTTTTTTTTTTTTTTTTTTTTTTTTTTGAGGCGGAGTCTCGCTGTCGCCCAGGCTGGAGTGCAGTGGCGCGATCTCGGCTCACTGCAGGCTCCGCCCCCCAGGGTTCACGCCATTCTCCTGCCTCAGCCTCCCGCGTAGCTGGGGCTACAGGCGACCACCACCTCGCCCGGCTAATTTTTTGTATTTTTAGTAGCGACGGGGTTTCACCGTGTTAGCCAGAATGGTCTCGATCTCCTGACCTCGTGATCCGCCCGTCTCGGCCTCCCAAAGTGCTGGGATTACAGGCGTGAGCCACCGCGCCCGACCAGAATAGTCAACTTTTGAGAAATGCCCCAAATTGCCTTCTCTTGGCTTCTGACACTCCTCCTGGTGGCCACAGTCCCGACTTGAGGAGCGATGCTTGAGCTGTGAGGACTGAGGCAGCCACCCCAAAGGAGACCTTCGAAATGGCAGGCAGCAGGCACACCCAGGAATCCCGGCAGGCTGCCAAGGAATTCACATCTTTAATTTTAGGAACTGCTCAGTTTAAACTGGTATTTGAACTGTCTCCAGATTTACTAAGCTTTGAAATTACTCTCCTACCAAAATGTTTTTCCTTAGTTTTTCAGGGAAAGAAAAAAAGGAATTAACATCTTTAATTTTAGGAATTGCTCAATTTAAACTGGTGTTTGTAAGCAAGATCATAAAAATTAGTTAAGATCCTTTTCTCCCAACACATGGTCAGAAACTTGGAGTCTGAAAACAACACAAATTTATGATCTTACATTTCTGGAAGCCGAAGTGTGAAATGGCCTCACTGAACTAACATCACAGTGTTGGCAGGGCGGCTCTAGGGCAGAATTGATTTCCTTGCCTTTCCAGCTTCTAGGGGCTGCCCACATTTCCTGTCTCATTGGCCCCTCTGTCTCTGGCAGCCCTCTGGCACTGATTCCCACGTCTCCCTCTCCCACTCACAAGGACCCTTGTGATTATACTGAGCCCACCTAGATAATCTGAAATCATCTCCTTGCCTTAAGTCCAGCGGATTAGCAACCTTCATCTGCTCCTTGCCATATAACACATTTACAGGTCCTGGGGGTTAGGATGTGGAAGTCTTCGGGGACCATTATTCTGTCTAGCACAGTTATACAGCAGACGACATGGTAAAAACAATTTTTTTTAATTTTTATTTTTAGAGATGAGGTCTCACTATGTTGCCCAGGCTGGACTCGAACTCCTGGGCTCAAGCAATTCCCCCTCTTCAGCCTCTCAAGTCGCTGGGATTTCAGGTGCACACCATTGCACCAGCTCAACAAATTCTATTTTTAAAGAAAGCATGTGATGGAAGCAGTGATGGAAAGTACCTCTCACAGGTTACAGACTTGTTGAAACAAAGCTTTGATATTTGGCAGAACAGAAAGGCAAGAACAAACTACAGGTAGAGGAATCAGTTCAAAAAGAGAGACAGCTCATGTGACTGCCCTGTCCCAATGTGGGCGTTTTTACATGTCATAATCAGAGTCATGGATTTCAGATTTAAGCATTAGCCAATGACTCAGAGACTTCTGCTTTGTGTATAGTTCTTCGGACTCTCCTGTCTGGGTATTCTCTACATGAATGGGTAATCAAAATCCCTTGTTTCCAGGTTTACTAAGCTTTCAAATTACTCTCCCACCAAAATGTGTTTCCCTGGCTTTTTGGAAAAAGAAAAGAAAGCGAATCACAGGCCAGGTGCAGTGGCTCATCCCTGTAATTCCAGCACTTTGAGAGGTGGAGGCGGGAGGATCGCTTAAGTTCAGGAGTTCAAGACCAGCCTGGGTAACATAGTGAGACCCCCATCTCTACAAAAAAAAAAAAAAAGAAAGAAAATTAGCCAGGCATAGTAGTGGATGCCTATAGTCCCAGCTACTCGGGAGGCTGAGGTGGGAGAATCAATGGAGCCCAGAGGTCATGGCTGCAGTAAGCTGCAATAGAGCCACTGCACTCCAGCCTGGGTGACAAAGTGAGACTCTGTCTCAAAAAAAAAAAACAAAAAACATCACAAAGGTTAGTGCATCCTTTTCAGTCACCTTTGCAATGACAATGGCTACTGTGTTTTTAGCCTGTTTTTTCACCTGGAGGAATTTGATACTGGATGCAGGCAAAGGGGTTTTCTTCTTGGAGTGCTGGCTACAAACATTTTTTTTAAAAAAGGACTCTTCTCATGGAATTAGTGGCTCCATTTGAAATGGCAAAGAGCAGTACGTATAGAAAAATGTGGATGATGGCCGGGCGCAGTGGCTCACGCTTGTAATCCCAGCACTTTGGAAGGCCAAGGTGGGCAGATCTGAGTTCAGGAGCTTGAGACCAGCCTGGCCAACATGGTGAAACTCCATTTCTATTAAAAATACAAAAATTAGCTGGGTGTGGTGGCAGGCACCTGTAATCCCAGATACTTGGGAGGCTGAGGCAGGAGTGCTTGAAGCTGGGAGGCAGAGGTTGCAGTGAGCCGAGATTGAGCCACTGAACTCCAGCCTGGGAAACAAAGCGAGACTCCATATCAAAAAAAAAAAAAAAAAGAAAGAAAGAAAAAGAAAAATGTGGATGATCACAATATTTCATCCTAGTATTGTTTTTAGACCACTTTCTCTGAATTACAGTATAGAAGGAAAGTAAGACATGAACACTTATTGTGCAGATGTGAAAGCAATGGCAAATGTACTCTTTTCTTTTCTACCTTTAGTACCCATAGAACAGGGAGACATAGTGAGAGAAGCAGAATGGGATCTATGGAGTAAGAAAAAAGGGAGGGACCAACATAGAAATCTGAATGCAAACTTGGCTTCCAGTTAATTAATTAACTTAGAGATGGGATGTTGCTACCCTGCCCAGCCTGGCCTTGAACTCCTGGGAGTCCTGGGCTCAAGCGATCCTCTGCTACAGCCTCCCTTATAGCTGGCATTAGATGCATGCGCCACCACACCCAGATGGTTCTTAGTTTTATGATAACTATGGGCTATCCAGAAATGCCGCAGAACACTGGAGCAGGGGCACTGCAGGCATTCACTGAAGATTAATCATAAGCCCATGAGAGAAGAAGCTAGAGCAGAAATCAAAAAGGGGGTTGACCGTAGGATAAAGGCCAGGAAACAAAAGCTAGAATAGCACCTTGTATCCTTATTCTTACACCTAAATCCAGCTTTTCTCAATGGAATTTTTGGCACCTAAGATAGAGTTTAATTCAGCAAGTACCGATGTAGGTCCTCTGTTCTACAGTAGCCATCATCTACAAGTCATGAACAACAATCTTAGGAGCATAGGCACTCATTGTGAAGATGAGACATTAACCCTCAAAGTAGGCATAGTATGAGACATTATTTACATTTTTTATTATAGGAATTTCCAAACATACACAAAAATAGACTAACATAAGGAACTTCCATGTACTCCTCACCTACTTCAGTGATCATCAATATATGGCCAAGCTTGTTTTGTCCACCTTCTGCAGTAACATTATCTACTGGAGTATTTAAAAATGAATCCTAAACATCATGTGGCAGTCAAACTAAGTCATAAAGACAGAACTACAGGAGTGCAGAGAGATGGAGGATACAGAGAGGTCTTTATGGAAGAAGTATAACTTGACTTAGTTACTATAAAATCATATATACATATATGGTTTATTTCGTTTTTGCTTTAGAGACAAGGTCTCGCTCTGTTGCCCAGGTTGGAGTGCAGTGGCACGATCATGGCTCACTGCAGCCTCCAGCTCCTGGGCTCAAGTCTCCCAAGCGGCTGGGACTACAGGTGTAGGCCAACATGCCTTGCTAATTTTTTCTTTTTTTTATAGAGACGAGGCCTCACTATCTTGCCTAAGCTGGTCTCAAACTCCTAGCCTCAAGCAATCTTCCTGCCTCAGCCTCCCAAAGCCCTGGGATTACAGCTGTGAGCCACCATGCCCGGCCTAGTTCTTAAATGAGGAGTTAAATTGGCTAAGCAACACCCTTGATCAGCTATGGCAGGCACAATGCTGGAAACTGAGGGACCAAGGAGAACAAGGCTCCTGGCTTTGTGGAGCCTGTAGTGCTGTAAGAGGCAGCAGCCAGCTGGAGAAGCAGGGGGAGATGCTCTCAGAGCATGACAGAGCGTGCAGCCAGGGCGTGAGAAAGGGGCTGTGCAGTTTCATCTGCATCTGGGTAGGTCTGCTTAATACAAACATAATGTGAACCACGTATATGATTTTTTTTTTTTTTTTACTATTTTGTAGTGGAAGTGAAACGTGAATGATATGAAATTTCCTGGTAGCCACATTAAACAAAAAGTAAAAAGCAGCAGTTGAAATTATTTAAATAATGTACTTTATTCAATTCAATATATTTAAAACATCGTAATTTCAATATGTAATCACTATATGAAATTATTGAGATCTTTTATTTTTTTTTTTTGTGCAAAGTCTTTGAAACCCAGTGTGGGTTTTGCACTGACAGCACATGTCAGTTCAGACCAGCTCATCGCAGGAGCTCGCAGCCACATGTGCCAGTGGCTACTGTATTGGACGGCATAGTTCTGGAGGGACACAAAAGGCTTCTGGAGGAGCCACAGCTTGGGCCTCTCTCAGTGGGAAACGGCGTGGGAGCCCTGGCCCAGGAGAGTGCTGAGGCCTGCCAGCCCTGAGGGTGACAAACTCCAGTGGGCAAGGGTACAGGGTTGTGCCTGATTTTTATGGAAAGTGAGTATCACAGGGAAGATGTTTGCATGTGCATCTCGTATTTTTTTCTCTGACCGATTTCCCAGGAGTGGCAATAAAGAAGTGGAAATGTAGAGGCCGAGTTCCCATTACACATAATTGATTTAATGACCACTCCCCACACCCGACTGTCCGTCTCCAGCTTTCTTTTCAAAGTAGAAATAAATCTTGCAAAACTTGGTTGTAAAACTTTTTGATCTCAACCTAGTCATCAGTGCCTTGCTCAAGATAATGTTTAAGTGTTAGCCAAGAGTAAAATCTCACAAGGCAACTAATTTCAGGACAAGTTTAGTGTATGTACCAACAATTTTATAAAATTTAATTTTATTTTGAAATAATTTCAAACATACAGAAGAGTTACAAAAATAGTACAAGAGGGCCGGGAGTGGTGGCTTATGCCTGTAATCCCAGCACTTTGGGAGGTTGAGGCAGGAGGATCACGAGGTCAGTAGTTTGAGACCAGCCTGACCAACATGGTAAAACTCTGTCTCTACTAAAAATACAAAAATTAGTTGGCATGGTGGTGGGTGCCTGTAATCCCAGCTACTCAAGAGGCTGAGGTAGGAGAATTGCTTGAGCCCGGGAGGCTGAGGTTCACTGCTGCCCTCCAGCCTGGGTGACAGAGTGAAACTCCGTCTCGAAAAAAAAAAAAAAAAGAATAGTACAAGAACTATCATGTATCCTTTACCCAGATTTACCAATGTTAAAATTTTGCCACATTTGCACGATATCTAATTTACATATGTGTGTGTAGTAAGCATATATACTTACTAGTTTTATAATGAACTATAAGTTGCAGACATCATACTCCTTTACTCTTATTTTCTTCAGCTGCTATTTCCAGAGATCAATGGCATTCTCTTAATGTAAGTACAGTGCAGTTATCAAAATCATGAAATTTAACATCAATACAAAACATGAAATGTAACATCAATACATCAATACAATACTACTATCTAATCCCCAAATTTTGCCAATTATCCCAATAACATCCTTTACAGCCCTATATTCCCCCTCTAATTCGGGATCCAATCGAGGATCATGCTTTATATATTGTTGTCATGTCTCTTTCGTCTTCTTTAATCTGGAACATTCCTAACTTTGTCTTTCATGACATTAATATTTTTGAAGAACATAGGCTAGTTTTTAATAGAGTGCCCCCCATTTTGGAGTTGTATGATGTAGATTCAGGTTATGTGTTTTGGACAAGAACACCACGTACCTGATATTACTTCCTTTTCAGTGCATTACATCTTCCAATAACTTTCCATTCATTAAATTAAAGACGATATGATTTAAACAGAAATATCTACAGACTTACTACAGGGCCAGGCATAGAGTAGGCTCTGAAACATTCTTATGAATTGATTGAGGCTTGGAGACCTTATGTCAGTAAGGAGGCTATTCCTATTCTCACAAGAAATTTATAAAACAAATTAAAGTTTCATGCACATAAACAGCAGCAAAGTTCTCTGATTTTAGTCTATATGGGAAAATCCTGAAAAATGTTTAGAACATGCTCTCATAGAGAATATTCACATAAATGTAATGAGATATATACCTCAGCTCACCTATATAAAAACACACTCTTAAAAAAAGATATATAAAATAACACACTCTTTCTTATTATAGCAGATCCTTTTTTATAAGAGGCTACATTCTAGAAGTTTTCCATCTTGCCCTCTACCTTCAGAGTTTTCTTAGTTCACTGGGCCTGGACAATAACTTTCTTGCACATTTACTTACCTTCCTTTTATTAATCATGTGAATTCGAAAGCTCAAATATTTATAGCTAAATGGTATATTTTCACTAATTCTTTACAATGGAATGACTGCAAATGAAATGGAAGTTTTGCTCAGAACCTCTAACTAAAGGCTAAATATGGAAATAGAGGCAAAAGAAATACAATGCAGTAAAGAGTGTGCACACCTGTATAAAATGAAACAGGATGATGTTCCAGAGCCTAACCTCTGAGCAGAGTTAGATTTAGGGCCCAGCATCAGGGCTTCCCACTATCATTCTTTCCAGGAACCTGCAGATAGGGTGGAAAGGGCTATGGCTGGAAGCTGACGCAGCATTCTTGACTCCCTTCCTTTCCACCTGTTCTCCACAAAATGGAAATTCTATTAAGATTTTTGAGTGAGTGTGTGTGTGTGTTGGGCAGCAGGTAACAAGAGGTCACAAAAGGTGCAATATTTGACTGACACAGAGAGCGTCCTCTTGGCTATATTTAAATTTCCGGACATATGGATAGATTCTGGTTCATAGCAGTAGTTGATGTTTTAAAGTTTAGATGTTTTTTGTTGCTCTTTTGAGCAATTCTTCGCAGTCTTCTCACATTAGGAAACATCTACAAAGTTAGGACTTCGCACTTGATTGGCCAAAGCAATTGCCTTTGTGCAAACAGTATTTTATTTGCCCCACAGACATCTGTAATTTCTTACCATGGCCCCTACTTCCTCCAAGTTCCTCTTGGGGAGGACTGCGTGGATGGACTCTGTGTTCATACCTGGGTCAGATGGGATGGTCAGAGCAGGACAGGCAAAGAGTGGGGAGACAGATCCCACCAAAGTCACAGACTGAAAAAAAGTTGAGAAATGCTGATAAGTAACAAGCAAAGCAAGGAAATTTTTAAAAGGTATAAAAAACCATCATCTCAGAGCTCTCTGTAAAGTTGGCACTTTTTATTTCTTTCTCTTTCTCTCTTTCTTTCTTTCTCTCGACAGCTCTGTCGCCCAGGCTGGAGTGCAGTGCCACGATCTCGGCTCACCGTAACCTCTGCCTCCCAGGTTCAAGCGATTCTCCTGCCTCAGTCTCCTGAGTTTTACATGCACCCACCACCACACCTGGCTAATTTTTGTATTTTTAGTAGAGATGGAGTTTCACCATGTTGGCCAGGCTGGTCTCAAACTCCTGGTCTCAAGTGATCTACCTACCTCGGCCTCCCAAAGTGCTGGGATGCATTTCGAGATTTCTAATTTTAAAAGTTATATTGCATTTCTTGTTAGTTCTTGTTTGATTGGGCCTTCATTTGCTCATCTGCTGAGTCTTGTAGGCAGAGGGTCACAGGCAGAGCATGCAACCTGTGAGCCGGGAGAATCAAACGGGCCACCTGCCAGGGCATGCTCATGGGCTCTGACTCACCAGGGCTGGGATCCCATGCTAAGTTCTGGCTCCGCGTCTCCTGGGAACCTGTGTGTTCACATCCCTGTCTTTCTTTTTGACACTGATTGTGTACTTTGGTTATAAGCCATTACTATAGCTCCGTTTGATTGCTTAACTATTGCCAAGAGATCACTCTGATGGTCCTGATGAGCCAACCATTATGATGAAGAGCAGAGCTTTTACTGCACAAGGCCTATGGGACACTCTTCAACTTACAGCCTTGCACCACGTGACTGTCCAGCAACAGAAGAGTCCTGACTGTGGAACATTGAATTTGATTCAAAAAAGCCACCCAGAATTTATAAAAGCTACTTAGCTAACTTTTGTGCTTCTATGGTTTGAAAACCATGTGAAATCACTTGAAGAAATTATCTTTTTCTGTTGCCCAGGCTGGAGTGCAGTGGTGCAATCTCACTGCAACCTCTACCTTACGGGTTCAAATGATTCTCCTGCCTCATCCCCCTCGAGTAGGTGGGATTACAGGTGTGTGCCACCATGCCTGTAATCCCACACTAACTTTTGTATTTTTAGTGGAGACGGGGTTTTGCCATGTTTGCCAGGCTGGTATCGAACTCCTGATCTCAAGTGATCAGCCCACCTCGGCCTCCCAAAGTGCTGGGATGACAGACATGAGCCACTGTGCCCCACCAAGAAATTATCTTATTTTAAAATGAGTTACGCGTCTTAAGAAAGGTTGGAATTAAATTTGGTTCTGCACATAAAAAATAGTTCTAATTTCTGGGTTGTCTTTCAAAAGTCAGAAATCAGCCTCCCTATTAATCAGCCTTGGGGCAGATACTTCTCTTTGCCGACCCCAAAGACATTTCTTGATTCCTCATTCCCTGATGCTGCTGGAGTTTTGGGTGGAAATCTCTAGTTCTCAAGGGAAGGGGTCCGGACCCTAGTGTGAGGGAGCATGTGATCCACTCCTGGCTAATGCCATGAGGGGAAGTCTGCTTTGGGGCTCCAGGGATTATTTTCCTCCTTGACTTGTTTACTAGGTCAAGTTATTTGCATATGTTGCTGTGCATGTTCTGTCTTTCAACAAAGGTTGTACGAGGAAATGACCCAAGGAGGTGGGTGCTATGGCCATCTTGAAACCATTAGGGCAGGGGGAGAAGGCGTTGACCCAAGTCCCTGATGCAACGTCACCGAGATTGAAGCAGTGCCGGTTTTCTCTCTAGAGTTCTTGTTATGTGAGAACTAAAACCCTTTCGGTAGGGTATTCTGTTACTTGAAACTGAAAGTAGTCCAAAGTGGTAGAAATAGCACCGATTACCTGCCAGGCCCTGTGCTGAGCAGTCAGGGAAACAAGACAAATACTGGATATGATTTCCATCCTCAAGGGGCACACAAGAGTTCAGGAGTTGGCATTTTTTTTTTTTCTGCAAAGGGCCAGGTAGAAAATATTTTTGGCTTTGTGGGCCATATGGTCTCTGTCATAACTACTTAACTCTGCAGTTGTGAGAAAGCAGCCATCCACAGTCTGTGTTCCAATGAAACACATGAATAGTGAGAGTTGTATTTCACATAATGTTAATGTGTCACAAAATATTATTCTTATTTTGTTTTCTCTGACTTAACCAATTAAGATGTAAAAGCCTTTCTTAGTAGGCTGTACGAAAATATGCAGTGGGCTGGATTTGCCTCACAGCCATAGTTTGCTGACCTCTGTTCTGGGCAAAGGAGAAATCTAGAAAAAAACAAACAAACAAAAAACAGACACAAAACTGAAGGTAAAGAAAATGCAGCCTTCAAGGTTTTGGTTTTCTTCCCCTTTTATCCTTAAACAAAAGATAATCTCTCAGCAGTTGAGAAGGGCTGACCAAGAGGTGAGAGAGAACTGGAAAAACCAATCTGAATGGAAGAAATGTTCAAGGAATTGTATGTATCTGAAGTTTTGCCTGAGAGGTTCTTTCCCTAGGTCACTGAGATATTCATTCACCTACATTTCCTTCTAGTAATCTCATTGTTTTATATTTTGGTCTTTTTTTTTTTTTTTTTTTTTAAGATGGAGTCTTGCTCTGTCACCCAGGTGGGAGTGCAGTGGCATGATCTCGGCTCACTGCAAACTCCGCCTCCCAGGTTCAAGTGATTCTGGTGCCTCAGCCTCCCAAGAAGCTGGGACTACAGGTGTATGCCACCTTGCCCAGTTAATTTTTGTATTTTTAGTAGAGATGGGGTTTCACTATATTGGCCAGGCTGGTCTCGAACTCCTGAGCTCAGGTGATCCACCCGCCTCGGCCTTCCAAAGTGCTGATTACAGGTGTGAGCCACCACGCCCTATATTTTGATCTTTAATCGACCTGACCTAGAGTTCACTTCATATGGAGTAACTTAGGTGGGGATCCAGCTGTATTTTTATCCACATAGTACCAAGATTTCCTGGTACCATCTTCCGAGAAATCCGTCTTTTCCCTGGTTCGTTGCAGAGGATGATTGGAGGCAACCTGGGTGTCTGTCACCTGGGGAAGGGGAGCATGAAATGTAAGGATGCACACCAGGGGGTCACAGGCAGATGTCAGAAGAGAAGATGAGAGGTCCTCATGGCAGCACAGATCTTAAGACTGTGTGGGGAACACTCCATTCATCAGCCGTGTAACTTGAAGTCAGGCATTCACCACCACAACACTCCCTTTACACAAATACTTGGAAACAGAATGGTGGGGTAGGGGGATGTAGGAGTAAGGAAAGTGGATAAAAGAGAATAAATAAAATAT
Organism: Homo sapiens; assembly: GCF_000001405.40. Lineage (NCBI taxonomy): Eukaryota > Metazoa > Chordata > Mammalia > Primates > Hominidae > Homo > Homo sapiens. The sequence continues at coordinate 23,233,382 of NC_000007.14, read as the reverse complement.
AAAGCAAGGGAAGGGACTTATGCCGACTAATCACAAGCATGTGCCTTGAACTGAGGAATGAAATGAACTCAACTCTCCTCACCTAGGTTAATAACCACCCCCCCCAAAAAAATTGAAGAACATCTTGAAAAAGCAGCTCAGTTTCCTGTTGTGACCTGGAGGCTTCCTGCTCATTCCTGCCTTCTGAGTGAAAGTAGTTTATCACCTGGTGACTTCCTCCTAGGGGGAGAGGCAGATCCTGTGTTAGGGAGCAGGAATGTGAGAGAGGACAGGAGCAGACTTCCAGGAAGACCATTCTGGCAATGTTGTGAAGGCTGGACCAGAAAGTCATTGTCATCCACCCAGGACATAATGATGACTGTGACGATTGCTTTTCATATGCTGGACAGTAATCGAAGCATTCTACACACTCACAACAACCCCGTGGGGTAGAAACTCTAATTGTTCTGATTTTATAGATGAGCAGACTAGGGCACAGAGAGAAGTAATTTGTCCAAGATCACACAGCTAGTAAGTACTGGATCTGGCATTTGAATCCCTGCTGTCTGGTTCCAGAATCTACCATTGAACCTTCTCACTGTGCAGAGGGCCTCACTAGATGTTAGCAGTATCTGGTGAAGCCACCTGTCTGCACCACTTAATTCATGTCTTGATATTTCAAATGGGAACAAAAGTTTAATGGTTTTTTTTTTTGTCTTTTTTTCCCCTTAAATATGAGGCAGCCCACCAGGTGGCTCACGCCTGTAATCCCAGCACTTTGGGAGGCCAAGGTGGGTGGATCACCTGAGTTCAGGAGTTTGAGACCAGCATGGCCAACATGGTGAAACCCCATATCTACTAAAAATACAAAAATAAGCCGGGTATGGTGGCTCACGTCTATAGTCCCAGCTACTCAGGAGGCTGAGGCATGGGAATAGCTTGAACCTGGGAGGTGGAGGCTGCAGTGAGCCGAGATCACGCCACTGCGCCCCAGCCTGGGTAACAGAGTGAGACTCTGTCTCAAAAATAAGTAAATAAATAAATAAATAATAAATAAATAAAATGAGGCACTCCGTACTACAGGGGAAAATATACAGATTTTGTTTTGAATATGTTTTTTAGGATTTTTTTTCTTGTGGTTTTATTTCTCAAGTAATGGGTATAGACTGGGCACAGTGGCTCATGCCTGTAATCCCAGCACTTTGGGAGGCTGAGGTGGGAGAACTGCCTGAACCCAGGAGTTCAAGACCAGCCTAAGTAACACGGGGAAACCTCATCTTTACAGAAAATTTAAAAATTAGTCGGACATGGTGGTGTGCACCTATAGTCCCAGCTACTTGGGAGGCTGACGTGGGAGTATTACATGAGCCCAGGAGGTAGAGGCAACAGCGAGCCATGAATGCACCACTGCAGTCCAGCCTGGGCAATAGAGCAAGACCCTGTCTCTTAAAAAAAAAAAAAAAAAAAAAAAAAAAAAAAAAATATATATATATATATATATATATATATATATATATATATATATATATATATATATATATATATATATATATATATATATATATATATATATATATATATATATATATATATATATATATATATGCATTTTTTTAAAAAAAGAACATGCCCCTCCACATTTCTGACTAAAAATGGTCAGTGGCATATTAATCAGAGCTCACTTTTTGTAGAGACAGGGTCTCACTATTTAAAATTTTTTTGTCCAGGCTGGCCTCGAACTCCTGGGCTTAAGAGATCCTCCCACTTTAGACTCCCAAACTTCTGGGATCAAGGGTGTGATCACTGGGTGATCACCACACCCAGCCAGTCTACGTTCTTTGCTAGTGCCACTAAACATACTGTGAACTGTCCTTTCTGGGCCTGGATATTGAGAATGACCAAAAAAGGTGAAAAGGGGCCACTTTGATGGAAGTACAACTATGACAAGTCAACAGGTTAACTGTACCTTTTAATCTCTAATTACATAATCTTTAACTTAATCAGTGGGAAAGATTTTGGCATATCTTCCTAAGTCTCGAAAATAAATGACTGCATTTTGCACTAACAAACAGATCAAAATACTGCCAGTGAGTACAGTAAAACGCAGAGGAAAGAAAATGATTAGAATAATGTCAATGAACTGTTTAAGGGGGAAAGTTAAAGATTTTACATTCAGGGCTTTCCAATGTTAAACTGATCTTTCAGGCCAATGTTTTGGAGTGTGTTCAAACCTAGAAAAAAGAGCGACATTCTTCATTAGCTGGCAATAACAAGAGGCATTTTCAGTGGGATTTAATGCTGGGCATAGACTGCAGTAAGCACGAAAATAACCAAGGGGGCTGAACTCATTGAATTGATTTGTGCTGTTTACTGATGTTCAAAAATAAAAAGACCCCATTGATTCAAGTTCTCTGCCCCTGAATCCTTTCATCAAGTGTGCAAGGAATTGGCATGATGCACAAGGCCAAAAAAAGTGACACCATGAAAAAGAGAATCGTAAAGGAAGTGGACTTTTCTGGCAGGAACACACCAGGGCCTGTGAAAGGGAACACTGAACGTCTATGGGGCTGGGCCAGGGGCCACAGCTGTCAGATGGGGCCTGAGCGGAACATGTGGCTTCTGCCGAAGGAATTGGGTTTCTGAGAAAGTATTAAGGCCTGGGCCAAGGTGGCAGAGGAGAGCTCAGAATGGTGAGAAAGACAGCTGGGGTTGGCACGAGGAGAGCACACCAGGCCCCCTGAAAGGCAGCCCTGCTGTGAATAAGGGCCATTGTACAATGACACTTCAGCCCCCAGGGGCTCACCCAGACCTACTGAGGGGAGGTGGCTGTCCTTCTGGGTCAGCTCACGCCAGATTCCATGACACACAGGGCTGGAGATTAAAGGCTCAATACAACTTCTATTAGGAGGGGATTATGAAAATATGCTCTAGAAGGTACAATCTTCAGAAAGACAGCAGGCCAAAAGGGGACAGCCCTGTAAGAGAGGTAGACCAAAAGGGCAATCAGGAAACAACATAAAGGAGGAGGAGCAGGAGGAGAAGAAAGGGGCCTTAAGACTAGGCCCTCACTTTTTCTCTCTCTAACACACACACCCACCCATACACACACATCATTATGTATATATTTACATTTTATTATGAAAATTTAAGACATAAAACAGTATAATGATTCCTGTATATCCATCACCTGGATTAATAATTATTAACATTTTACCATATTTCTTCATATTTTCTTTCTTTATTTCTCTCTCTCGCTCTTTTTTTTTTTTTTTTTTTTTTTTTTTTGATAGAGTCTCGCTCTGTCACCCAGGCTGGAGTGCAATGGTGTGATCTTGCCTCACTGCAACCTCCGCCTCCTGGGTTCAAGCGATTCTCCTGCCTCAGCTTCCTGAGTAGCTGGGATTACAGGTGTGCGCCACCACACCTGGCTAATTTTTGTATTTTTAATAGAGACGGGGTTTCACCATGTTGGCCAGGCTGGCCTTGAACTCCTGACCTCAGGTAATCCACCCACCTTGGCCTCCCAAAGTGCTGAGATTACAGGCGTGAGTCACCACACTTGATCCTACTTATTTCTTTCTTTCTTTATTTTGAGATGGAGCCTCGCTCTGTCGTCCAGGTTAGAGTGCAGTGGTGCAATCTTGGCTCACTGTAGCCTCTGTCTCCCAGGTTCAAGTGATTCTCGTGCCTCAGCCTCCTGAGTAGTTGGAACTACAGGCCTGCGCCACCACACCCAGCTAATTTTTTTTGTATTTTTAGTAGAGATGGGGTTTCACCATGTTGGGTGAAACCCAACATGGTCTCAAACTCCTGACCTCAGGTGATCTGCCTGCCTCCCAAAGTGCTGGGATTACAGATGTGAGCCACCATGCCCGGCCTTCTTTATCTTTATTTTTAAACAAATCACAGATACTTCCTTAGCACTTTCATATGCATCACTAAAAAAAGAGCATTTTTTGTAACTCCAAATTACAACAGTTACATGTTAACAATAATTCCTTAATATTGCATTATACTTAGTCATTGTATTAGTTACCCGGGGCTACATAACAGATTACCATAAATTTAGCGGCTTGGAAATGCACAAATTCATTATCTCATAATCTCCATGGGTTAGAAGTCTGAGCGCAGCTCAACTGGGTCCTTTGCTCAGCATCACACAGGCAGTGATTAAGGTGTCAGGTGGGCTGTGTTCATTCTAGATCCCAGGGTCTTGTTCCAAACGCATATGGTGTTAGCAGAATTCAGTTCCTGTGGTTGTAGGACTGAGGTTTCCATTTTCTTTCTGGTCAGCTACTCTCCCAGTTCTCTGCTCCTCTTTGCAGTGCAGCTCCTCAAAAGAATGGCCACACTTGCTGCCTTCACACCCTCTCCCTGATTCCCTTTTGAAACCATTGCTATCAGGGTTTCTTTCCCACCTTCCCATTGGACAGCTCTTGTCACCATGACCTTCTTATTATGTCAAATCTGATGGTCCATTCTCGGGCTTCATCTTGTTTCGACTAAGAGCACCATCAGGCACTGCTGGTCACCCTTTTCCTTGCAATCCTTTTTCCTGGATTCTTGAACCAACTTCTCCTTGTCCCTCCTGCTCAGTCACCTTGCTAGTTCCTTCTCATCTCCTTGACCTCTGGATGTCACAGTGCTCCAATCTCTTCTCTGCTCTAGCTACATGTACTCCTTAGGTGAGCTCATAGTAACAACAATAAAATAAGCAGTGCATTTGTGTATGTGTATTTGCTAGGTTATTAATTAAAATAATAATAATTAAACAAACCATTATTAATTAAAATTATTATTATTATTATCATAGCAAACACATATACATTGGTTATTTTGTGCCAGGCAGTGTTTTAAATGCTTTACAAATATTAACTCATTTAATTTCTCATAACGACACTACTCGGGAAGATACTGAAATAAATGGTTATTAAATAACATTATTATTGTCATTTTACAGCTGGTAAAACTGAGGCACAGGGAGGTTAAGATACTTGCTCAATGTCACACAGCTAATAAATGAGGTAGCTATGATATGAAACCAAGCAGACTGGTTCCAGAATCTGTGCTCTTACCACTACATTACACTGCATTTTATTTCCCTGCCTACTACTCAGCTCTAGTCATATATCGAAATGACAACTTAAATTTATAGTGTTCAAAACTGAACTCCTGATTTTCCCTCCCAAATTGATTCCATCCACACTGTGATGGATATTGTGGATTGACTCGCTCAACATCTATCCCAACCACCCTCTAAGAGTGCCTTCCACAGCTGAGCGTGGTGGCTCATGCCTGTAATCCCAGCACTTTTGGAGGCTGAGGTGGGCAGATCATCTGAGGTCAGGCGTTCAAAACCAGCCTGGCCAACACAGTGAAACCCTGTCTCTACTAAAAACACAAAAATTATCCAGATGTGGTGGTGCATGCCTGTAATCCCAACTATTCAGGAGGCTGAAGCTGGAGAATCGCTTGAACTCGGGAGGTGGAGGTTGCAGTGAGCCAAGATCGTGCCACTGCCCTCCAGCCTGGGCAACAGAGTTAGACTCTGTCTCAAAAAAACAAACAAACAAACAAACAAAAAGAATGCCTTTCAATATTGCAGAGGCCAGAAAAAAACACACATTTTCCAGACTTCCTTGATGCCAGGGTTCCAGATGTCATTTAGCTTTTTTTTTTCTTTTTTTTTTTTTTGAGACAGAGTTTCGCTCTTGTCGCCTAGGCTGGAGTGTAATGGCACTGTCTAGGCTCACTGCAACCTCTGCCTCCCGGGTTCAAGTGATTCTCCTGCCTCAGCCTCCCAAGTAGCTGGGATTACAGGCGCCCGCCACCATGCCCGGCTAATTTTTGTATTTTTAGTAGAGATGGGGGTTTCACCATGTTGACCAGACTGGTCTCGAACTCCTGACCCCTGGTGATCCACCTGCCTCGGCCTCCCAAAGTGCTGGGATTACAGGTGTGAGCCACCATGCCTGGACTGTCATTTAGCTTTTGACAATCAGACCTGAGACTTGAATTTGGAACTGATCTAATGAGGAAGAGAGGCAAGGCATATGCATCTGTTTTGTTAGTGAAAACCCCACCAGAAGTGGTACAGCTCTGAGGCTGGCGGAAGGAGTGGTGGCTTCCCAATTTAGCAGAGGCAGCTTGCTGATTGTGGCAGGGACAGCAGTTCCCTTGGCAACAAGTTTTATGATGTGTCTCCAAGAGTTGTTCCTGGATACTGAGTCTAGCAGCTACATTGTTGGCCCTCTTAATGATCTTGTAATTCATTTTATACTCAAAAATGTCTCCTACTGCTTAGTGTAGCTCGACTGGATTCTGTTCTCTGCAACTGAAACTTGACTGGTGCTTGCAGTCTTCCTTATCTGAGTGACAATGCCATTCTTCATGGGTGTGGATATAACCGTACACTTTAAATGTGTGTGGCTTATTGTCTCTTATACCTCAACAGAGCTATTTAAAATATAATTGATTTTGAGTTCATTTTATATATAATGTGAGGTGTAGCTCGAAGTTCAGTTTATACATATAAATATCCAGTTGTTCTAGCACAATTTGTTGGAAAGACCATCCTTTCTTCAGTAAACTGTCTTCACACCTTAGTAAAAAAATCAGTTGTCAGGCCAGGCATGGTGCTCATGCCTGTAATCCCAGCACTCTGGGAGGCTGAGGCAGGCAGATCACTTGAGCTCAGGAATTTGAGACCAACCTGGGCAACAGGGAGAAACCCTGTCTTTAGCAAAAATACAAAAATTAGCTGGGTGTAGTGATATGTGTCTGTAGTCCCAGCTACTTGGGAGGCTGAGGTGGGAGGTTGGCTTGAACCCAGGAGGTGAAGGTTGCAACGAGCCAAGATTGCACCATTGCACTCTAGCCTGGGCAACAGAGCCGGACCCTGTTTCAAAAAAAAAAAAAATCAATTGTCCATACATGTATAGATCTATTTCTGGAGTCTATTTTGTTCCATTGAGCTATTTGTCTTCTTGCCAACACTACACTGTCTTGATTACTGTAGGTTTATAATACATCTTTATTTTAAAATGTATTTTATTATTATATTATAATTTATATTATTATATTTTTTGTAGAGATGGGGTCTTGCTATGTTGCCCTGGCTGGTCTGCAACTCCTGGCCACAATCGATCCTCCCGCCTCAGCCTCCCAAAATGCTGGGATTATAGACATGAGCCACTGGGCCCTACCTATAATACAACTTGAAATCAGACAGTGTTAGTCCTCCAAGTTTGTTGTTCTTTAGACTGATAGATTCTTATCTTATTTGATGAGTTAAAATTTATACTGTAATTATTTATTTTAATTGTTCTATATTTGGCCAGTAGGGTCTCTTTGAGCTAGCTCCTGCATTCTTTTGAAATGGCCCCAAGACTTACTGAGCCCTTACTTTTTTGTCATGATCCAGGCTCATCTTGTATTTTCCCTGGCCCAGCCGAAGAGTCAGATATTTCCCCAAAGAGCCCTAATTCTCAGTGCAGTGTGATATTTAGAAATTGTGACCTTGGTGCTAGGTGTGTTCATGGCTACTGGGTGTTGTTACTTGTAGGTCCTTTCTTTGTGTGTGTGTCTGTGTATCTGCACCACATGTAATTCTGTTTTTCTATCTATATTCAAAATCTTGCATTCACACCAATACCTTCAATTCCAATCTAATATCGCAGGACTCATTCAAATCTTACCCCTTTTCATCCTTGTAAATCCACTGTTCAAAAGTGAGAAACCTGGCTCTCGTTATCCTCAATATAATACTTGTTCGTGGCTGGGTGCGGTGGTTCATGCCTGTAATGCCAGCACTTTGGGAGGCCGAGGCGGGAGGATTGCTTAAGGCCAGGAATTTGAGACCAGCCTGGCCAACATGGCAAAGCCCTCTACTAAAAATACAAAAATTAGCTGGGCATGGTGAGATATGCCTGTAGTCCCAGCTACTTGCAAGGCTGAGGCATGAGAATTGCTTGAACCCAGGATGCAGAGGTTGCAGTGAGCTGATATCGCAACACTGCATTCCAGCCTGGGTGACAGAGTGGGACACTATCTCAAAAACAATAACAAAAACAAACAACAACAACAACAACAAAATCACTTGTTTGCTTAACCCTAGAATATAAAGAAAGTAGTTTCAGAATTTTCAACCCTGTATGAAAAACCAACTTGCTAATAGAGTTTGATATCTGCTTACAGTTCTTTTTTGTCTTTAGTCTGAGGGTATAAAATCAAAATGCTCCCTTCAAACGTTACCTGTGACTGGAATACACATTTCTAAAAGATATACAAATGGCCAAAGAGCACACAAAAGATGCTCAACATCACTCTTCATCGGGATATGTAAATCAAAACCACCATGAGATACTGAGATACCACTCCATGCCACTAGGATGGCTACAATTTTTTAAAATGGAAAATAACAAGTGTTGGTGAGGATGTAGAGAAATTGGAAGCCTCATACATTGCTGGTGGGAATGTAAAATGGTGCTGCTGCCATAGAAAACAGTTTGGTGGTTCCTAAAGAAGTGAAACATGGCTGGGCACGGTGGCTCATGCCTGTAATCCCAGCACTTTGTGAGGCCAAGGCAGGTGGATCACCTGAGGTCAGGAGTTTGAGACCAGCCTGGCCAGCGTGGCAAAACCCTGTCTCTACCAAAAATACAAAAATTAGCTGGGCATGGTGGTGCATGCCTGTAATCCCAGCTACTCGGGAGGCTGAGGTAGGAGAATTGCTTGAAACTGGGAGGCAGAGGTTGCAGTGAGCCAGGATTGTGCCACTGCACTCCAGAATGGGTGACAGAACGAGACTCTGTCTCAAAAAAAAAGAAAAAAAGAAGTGAAACATAAAATTACCGCATGCCCCAGCAGTTCCACTCCTATACCCCCATAAATTGAAAACAGGAGTTTAAACAAAATCTTGTACATGAATGTTCATAGCAGCACTACACACAATAGCCAAAAGGTAGAAACAACCCAAATGTCTATCAACGGATGAACAGATAAACAAAATGTGGCATATCCACACCATGGACTATTTTCCAGTCATGGAAAGGAAAGAAGAGCTTCAAGGGTGGACCTTGAAAACATTACCCTGAGTGAGGTCAGGCATGGTGGCTCACGCCTGTAATCCCAACACTTTGGTAGGCCAAGGTGGGTGGATCGCCTGAGGTCAGGAGTTCGAGACTAGCCTGGCCAACATGGGTTTTTAGTAGAAACTCCGTCTCTACTAAAAATACAAAAATTAGCCAAATGTTGTGGCGGGCGCCTGTAGCCCCAGCTACTTGGGAGGCTGAGGCAGAAGAATCACTTGAACCTGGGAGGTGGAGGTTGCAGTGAGCCAAGATCGTGCCACTGCACTTTAACCTGAGTGACAGAGCGAGACTCCGTCTCGAAAAAAACAAAAAACAAAAAACAAAAAAACCCCCAAAAAAACAAAAAACAAAAAAGAACACATTACTCTGGATGAAAGAAGCTAGGCACATCTTGTGACCCACACTGTATGACTCCATTTATATGAACTGTCCAGAAGAGGCAAATCCATAGAGAGACAGTCTGTGTCCATCAAATGCTTGTAATCCCTTACCTTCGGTCGTCCTCTAACCCCCATCTTCTGTCTCATCCAGTTCTGGCTTCATGCTGTGCCCTTGTGTCCAAGGCTGGTGACCACACAGATATTCCCATTCTTCAGACTGGAGTAGCTTCAACATCAACAAACCTCTCTCTTTCTAATACTGGTTACCTCCTATAGATTATTATCCTGAAAGATATGCTCATCCCACCAGCAGACAGAGGAGGAGGTGAAGGGACAAAATGGGCAAAGAGACAAACAGTTCCTTTTAGCCACAAGCTCCCGACTCTTTAAGGGTGGGGCTGACCCTGCCCCCATGTTTAGTGATAGAGAAGAGCTGGTGGTCCTGCTGGGCTATGTGAGAGGTGGTCTCCTGGAATGCACTGAGCCAGTCGTAGGTCAGTTGCAATGAGATGGTTTCCTGATACACATTGTGAGGAGCTGTCCCTGGCTCCTACACTTTGCACGGTGGGGTCCTCTCTGCTCAGAAAACTTCCCTCTCCTTCCATGACAACATTAGCCTCATCACTGACCCGGCCCTGCTGCCTTCTTCCTGAAGTCAGCCCTCTGAGGATTCTAGGGGAGGAGGTTGGTTGCCCCTGATACTCTATGGGAAGGGATCCACCCCTAGCTAAAACTGGGGGGTCACTGGGCTCTCCACCCACTAATTGTCCCAAACCTTCTCTTTGCAGAGGTTAGGGGTGAGTGGGTGGGGGTAAACTTGGAACATTGTCAGCTCTCTGATAGAGGCTGTTCCTGTCTGGAGGCTGGGTGGATTCCACCAATTCTCCAGTCCCCCCACTGGTAAGAGGCTGTGGGGATACATTCTCAGAGTAACTCAGGCTCTGGCTTCTGCTCCCCTCACCAAGTAACAGTACTTTGACTTGGTTCCTCCCTGGCTATAACATCTAAGTGCAGCAGCCTGTTGGCCAGTGCTGACCTGGGACTCGAATTTCACAGCCAGACACAATTGTCCAGCTGTTGCTCTGGGCACACTACTTGGGTCATGGTCTCCTTTTATTGGCAAGTGGGGTTTGGCTGAGGGGCCTTGGCCACTGGCCAATAAGCATCTTGGAATGTGTCCTCAATTTAGCTGCACACTGAGCAAGGCTTCCTAGCTGCATCCGTTTTCTCTGGACCAAAAACAGAGGTCAAAGGGCAGCCTGGGCTTCTTCTCAAATATCAATCAATAGGAAGTGCCATAGGTGGCACTGTTCCTGAGCTCCACGAGTGTGGAATAATATGCCCCCTGGCTGTCCCTTGCCTCTTCTCTCCTGGGTTCTGTTTTGTTAAATCCCTCCAGGAGAGGGTCCTTGGGAGCCCTAAGAAGTGATCCTAGACGTTTTCATTTCCGCTAATAGACCTGAGCAGGGAAACTGAAAACTAAAAATCATTTACTCCCAAGCCCTAAGCCTCTGTGCAACTTCTGATCCTGCCTGAGGCATGTCTGATGCTCCCAACGAAGTGATCTCTTGCCACCAGGATGCTTCCTGTACTAGTTTGCTAGGGCTGCCATAACAAAGTAGCACAGACTGGGAACCCTGAATCACAGAAATTTACTTCTCACAGTTCTGGAGGCTGATGTCTGAGATCAAGGTGTTGGCAGGTTTGTTTGCTCTGAGACTTCTTTCATTAGCTTTCAGATGGCCGTCTTCTTGCTATGTACACACATGCCTGTGTCCTAGTCTCTTCTTATAAGGACACCAATCACCCTGGGTTACAGCCTGCCCATATGCCCTCATTTCACCTCAATCACTTCTTTAAAGATCCTATCTTCAAACCCAGTCACATTTTGCGGCACTGCAGGGCAGGACTTCAATATGTGAATTCTGGGGAGACACAATTCAGCCATAACACTGCCCTAGGCTGGATGGCTCATTCCAGAAGACAAAATAATTAATGGACTCTTAAATCACAGGGAATGCCTGTCTGAGTAATTTCTGAATAGGTAGTTTTAGTGAGCAATGTTTGGCTAAATATATCAGCAGAAATGTCTCTTTCACTTGGGGCCATCGTGGACCAGAAAAACCAGAGCTATGCTTAGCGCTACTGTTTCTTCCCTCTCCGGTGAGCACTCAATGCCCACAGCCCCACAGCTAATTTTTATATTTTTAGTAGAGAGGGGGTTTCACTATGTTGGCCAGCCTGGTCTCAAACTCCTGAGCTCAGGTGATCCACCCACCTCAGCCTCCCAAAGTGCTGGATTACAGATGTGAGCCACCGTGCCTGGCCAAAATTTCTCTCTTCTTGTAACACCACCAGTCATTGGATTTAGGGGCCACCCTAATCCAGTTTGACCTCATCTTGACTTGAATACCTCTGCAAAGGGCATATTTCCAAATAAGGTCCCATTCACAGGCTTCTGGGTGAAGACGAATTTTGGGGGGCCACTATTCAACCCAGTAGAATTGGTAACACTCAAAAGAGGGTAAAGTTGTTTCCAATTAGTGCACCTACTCTTGTCAGTCTTGCTGGGTCTGGGAACACCACCACAGCAGTGTCCCTTGGGTTCCATCACCCTTTTTGGAAACTCCACACTTACCCAGATATAGGGAGCTTTCTGTGCACAGACTGCAGGCACCCAACTCTACCAGACCAGCCTGGCATCCTCCCAGACCTGCTGACCCTAGTGACCTTCCCTCCCAGCGTGAGTGGTCTCAGTGAAAGCTCCCATTCCTCCCACTGTGGCAAAGCCCTGGCCACAGACTCGGCCACCACAGACCAAGGAGTGCCTATGTGCACAGCCCACTGACAGAGGCTTCGGCTTCCGCAACGTGGAGCAGTACTGGGAAGCTGACGCCCTATGGGGATTTTGAGAGAAGATGGAAAGAAGCCAGCAGATAAGTGACTCGCCTTTCCTCCCCAACAACAGACTGTTTCAAATGCAGTAGGTTTCTCTGGCCTCTCTTGAGATGTCCTGTGAGAAGGAGCAACCTGCTGCGTTTGTTGCAAGCTGTGACAAGCTCAGCAGTCCCTCCCCTGCTCTTTGTTCTCCCTCCTTCCCTGACCCAGGTCTCCTTTTCTATCACTCCTGCCTCTCTTGGATTGTATATTTCAGTAAGACATTAGCGTGCAAGCTTTTGCCTCTGGCTGTGTTCTAGGCTAGGATACAACCTTCTCAGATCTCGTAGTAGAATGTTCCTAGATTTACTCAAAACAAAACAAAAAACTCCAGCCACTTGAGAGTCACTGTCCAGCTTATTCTACTCCTTTTTGGATCCAAAGGGAGACCTTTGTCTATGGTTCTGTTAGCCTATTAGCAAAAGGTCTGGAGTGAAAAGGGTAAAAGCACGTCTGGGAGAGGTCATGAAGGGGCCTATAGAATTGGCTATTTTTCTCACCGACTCCATTGTGGATTATTTTACATACAGTAAACATACATTCAATCCATTTTGATAATTGTGCACACCTATGAAACCACAACCACAATCAAAATAGAAAACATCTCTATTACCTCCAAAAGATTCTTTGTGTCACTTTGCACAGGGTCTCAAAATGATCTTTTTGTCACTGTAGATTGGTTTTCATTTACACAAATGAAGTCGTGCCATATGTATGCTTGTGTGCCTGGCTTCTTCCACTCAGCATCATTTTGAGATTGATTCATGTTGTTGTTTGTATTAGAAGTTTGCTCTTTCATATTGCTGAATAGTATTGCATTGTGTGGGTATATCTAATTATTAATCTATTCACCTGTTGATGGGTCCACACCCTCGCCCTGATTTTGGCTATTACAAATAAATCTGCTATAAACATTTGTGTACAAGTCTTTGTGTGAACATATATTTTCATTTCTCTTGGAAAAATACCTAGTGGAATGGCTGGGTCTTACTGGAGGTAGGTGCATGGTTAACTTTTTACAAAAACACCAAACTTTTACAAAGCAGCTGTACCATTTCCACAAGCAATGGTTAGATGTCTAGTTATTCCACGTCCTCATCAACACTTGGTACTGCTAAATTTTAAAATTTTAGCGATTTTTATCAATGGGTAATGGTATCACATTGTGGTTTTAAGTACAGATACCTGATGACAAATAATATTGGCATTTTTTCATGTGTTTATTGGCCATTTTTATACATCCTTGTGTGAGTGTCTGTTCAAATAGATGGCCCATTTAAAAACAATGGGTTACTTGTCTTATTATGAAAATGTAACAGTTTTCTATGCTGTGAATATTTTCTCCCATTTTCTGGTTTGTCTGTTTTCTTGTTTTTTTTTTGTTTTTGTTTTTTGTTTTGAGATGGAGTCTCGCTCTGTCACCCAGGCTGGAGTGCAGTGGTAAGATCTCGGCTCACTGCAACCTCTGTCTCCTGGGTTCAAGCAATTCTCCCACCTCAGTCTCCCGAGTAGCTGGGATTACAGGCGTGCGCCACCATGCCCAACTAATTTTGTATTTTTAGTTTCACTATGTTGGCCAGGCTGGTCTTGAACTCCCGACCTCAGGCGATCCACCCACCTCAGCCTCCCAAAGTGTAAAGATTACAGGCGTTAGCCGCCGCATCTGGCCCGTCTCTGTTTTCGTAATGGTATCTTTCAATGAGCAAGAGTTTTAAATGTTAATAAAGTCCAATTTATCAAGTTAGTAGGAAAATTCCATGCTTTTATTTGTTCTATATAGGAAATCCTTGCCTTCCACCAAGTCACAAAGACTTTCATCTGTCTTCTTCCAAGAATTTTAATAGTAATTTTAGCTTCTGTATTTAGTTCCATGCAGGTCTATGATTCAATTAGAGTTAACTTCTGATCGATGTCCATTTTTTCCATATGGGTAACCTAACCTTAACTTATGTGGATATATAATAACATCTCAAATATCAAGTGTCCAAAATTAAACTCCAATTTTCATTCCTCTCTATCTCTAATACGCCACTTAATCCTTCCACAAGTGCTGCTGCAGCCACTGCTCCCTCCCTGACTTCACCCCCTAGCACCAACCCCACTCTGCTCAAGGTCCCCACAGTCTCCTGCTATGCTTCAAGCCCACCAGGCTCTCTGACCTCAGGGCCTGTGCACTAGCCACCATTCCCCCAGGAATTTGCCTGGCTCGCTTCCTGACTTCTTCGTATTCTGCCCAAATGCCCCTTTTCAGTGAGATCGTCATTGACACCCTTATTGGTAATAGCAATAGCCACACCTAGTATAACCTATTTCCTTTCATGTTTATTTTTTAACATAGCACTTATTATTTTCCTAGATACAAGATGGTTGACTCATTTAAAAACAGACTGTCTTCCATAAATAGTATATGAGCTCCACAAGAGCAGGGATTTGGGTCTGTTTTATTCTTGACTGTCTCCCTAGCCCCAAGAGCAGTGCCTGACCTAGCTGGCATTCAATAAACATGCATTGAATGAACGAACAGTTCTGATTCTTTGGTGGTTCCTGCTCTAGACCTCCTGTAAACGTCCTGAGCTTTGGGGCCTGGCTACATCTAGCCTGGGAGGTGGAGCTGGGCCCACCCGGGTCTGAGGTGGCAGAGAAGCATCTAATGGGGCAGGATCCTCCCACCAGTGGCTGCCTGTCACCCAGAGACTGACCTTCCTCCTCCAGCTCTCATTAAAACACTCTGTTAGACCAAGTGGGGCTACATGCCACTGTCCCTGTTCTCCCCAATATTTCTTGCAGGAGATTGTTATGGGGAAGCACCCTGAATAACTCAAATAATAAAGCTTCCTATGCAAAAACTGCAGGGGGTACTGGGCTTTAGGATGTGATTGGTGGTGGGGGTTTGTTTACTCATTTACTTTTCTGTCAGCCTTGTAATGTGAGGTGTGGAGCCAAAAATTAACTTGTTATGAGAAATAAAGTAGTATTTCTCCCACACCCGAGTTTGGGATTTGAGAGACATAGTCTTTAGGAACCTGTTTGCAGTCTGGGGCTCAGCAGAATGCAGGTTGGCTTGACCTTCTCTTCAGGCTGTGTCCTCACCAGGTTCTTTGACTTTTCATGAGGACATATCTCCTGCCTAGGGCCAGCAACATAGAGGTGTGACTTGTGCAGTCCCACAGGGCCCCACTCTTAGAAACGAGCTTCGGTTGGTTTAATGCTCTGTTGTCACCATCTTGATATTCCTAATTTTTGAACAAGGAACCCTGTATTTTCATTTTGCCCTGGATCTCACAATTCATGCAGCCAGTCCTAACCCTGCCTCTCGCTCAGCACCTTTAAGCACACAGCACCAAAGCCCAGCAGTTATTAATATGCTTTCCTGAACTCACTGATGCTGCAGAGCTTGCTCAGTGATAATAGGTCTGACCACCCATCAGGCCCTCCAAAACCCACTCAGCTAACAAGCTGAGATGGGTCCCCAAAGGGCATCATCTTGGCTCCCTGTAGAACTGATTTCCCATGCTCACTTTGGCCTGAAGCGCCCTATTCTGCAAAAGGACATCATATGAAATAGCCCTGGGAAGTCACTGTGGTCCATCCAAAGGAATTCACTGAGGATCCTTTTGAAGGCATTACATGTACGTGAGAAATTTCTCTCTGATCTCAGCATACAGAATGCTTAGCCTTCTCCTGAGCAGTTGTATTCTCTTTTCAGAAAAAAAGTACTAGCGGCTGGGCACGGTGGCTCACGGCTGTAATCCCAGCACTTTGGGAGGCCAAGGTGGGTGGATAACTTGAAGCCAGGAGTTCGAGACCAGACTGGGCAACATGGTGAAACCCCCGCCTCTACTAAAAATACAAAAATTAGCCGGGCACGGTGGCGCATGCCTGTAGTCCCAGATACTGGGTGGCTGAGGCACAAGAATCACTTGAATCCCGGAGGCCGAGGCTGCAGTGAGCCAAGATCGTGTCACTACACTCAAGACTGGGTGACAGAGCAGAACTCTGTCTCAAAAAAAAGAAAGAAAGAAATTAGGGACACTGTGAGCCACAGAGCTCACTGTTGCCTTCATTATCTTGCTATTAGGAAGCTAAGAACCAACTCTGCCAGCACTGCCAGTAAGCATAGAGCCCACAGAGCACACATTTTGTGGCTTCATTTTCTTTTTCCTGTCCTCATTTTCCTTTTGCCTCTGTTTTCTCATCCACTTGTCTAAAGTTTTATTTTATTGTGTATATTTTCTTTTCTTTTTTTTTTTTGCATAGTCTTGCTCTGTCACCAAGGCTGGAGGGCAGTGGTATGATATTGGCTCACTGCAACCTCCACCTCCTGGGCTCAAGTGATCCTCCCACCTCAGCCTCGTGAGTAGCTGGGACTACAGGCGCACACTGCCATGCCCAGCTATTATGTTGCCCAGGCTGGTCTCAAACTCTTGAGCTCAAGTGATCCGCCTACCTTGACCTCCCAAAGTGCTGGGATTATAGGCGTGAACCACCACACCCAGCCTGTATATATTTTCATAAGTCATCTCACACCTTTTCTAGAAAAAATAATCAAAAATTATTAATACTAAAATAAATCAAATCCTGCAGAATTAAGCCTCTCTTCCCATAAAATCCCTATAACATAAAAAGATGTTTCAAGACTTGCTCACTTAAACTGAATTGCCCACAACAGAATTCTGGCACAACAGTGACTGGAGTCATGGGATTTGCTCTGCAGGGACCTGAGCCTGGTGTTGAAATGCTTCCAGGCCGGCAAGACCCCGTGACACCCTGAAGTCAGCTGCTTAGGGCTCTTGGAGAGGAGATCACTACCACCCTCTTCCTCTTTTTTAAAAGCAAAACAAACCCAAATCAACTCACTGGCCACTGGACAGATAAATGCTCCATGGCCTTTTCTGATACCCAAACACAATGCAATTAATCTAGCAGGTGGATTCTGCCTCACTGCCTCACTGTGTATATATATATACACACATACATTACTGTAAACAGACATCACTGAATATCATAAACGTAACTGACCAAAAAAATGAATAAAATTAGCAAACACTTGTATATTGATTCCACCTTCTTAATTAAGTAATGGAAGTAGGTCAGCTGGTTTTTCATCTGCTTCAAGCATCATTTACTTAGAGATTTTGTTTTAAGTTGAATAACTTTTCCTTCTGAACTCCTCTCTTCTAAAATCTCATGAGTAAATGGGGATTAGGTAGTTACGCTAAGTTAAAGTGCTATTTTCAAAGAATAAAGAATAGCTAATGTATGTAGATCTACAAAAAAAAATTAGGTTTGGGAAAACCAAATAATCATAGGGTAGAGCCTTTTACACCATTCCAGTTTCTGTTTCTAGGTTTCTTCTGATAAAATTGAGCCTTTAAAACAAGTATGTTTACTAACACCAGTAGGGCAATGTTTGTAATGCCCTTTAGAAACAAAGCTGGCAGTAGGCCGGGCGCAGTGGCTCATGACTGTAATCCCAGCACTTTGGGAGGCCGAGGCGGGTGGTCACCTGAGGTCGGCAGTTCGAGACCAGCCTGACCAACGTGGGGAAACCCTGTCTCTACCAAAAATACAAAAAATTAGCCGGGCGTGGTGGCACATGCCTGTAATCCCAGCTACTTGGGAGGCTGAGGCAGGAGAATCGCTTGAACCCAGGAGGCGGAGGTTGCAGTGAGCCGAGATCGCGCCATTGCACTCCAGCCTGGGCAACAAGAGTGAAACTCCATCTCAAAAAAAAAAAAAAAAAAAAAGAAAAAAAGAAAAAATGCTGGCTGTTGTATCATGTTCTGTATTTATTTTATAAATAGTACTTGTTCGTTCAGTTTACCAACCGCCAGTAAAATAAAGTTTTATTCATAAAATAACAGTAAATGTTGTGGCCTGAGGGAAACTGTACTCCAAAGTGGGCTGGAAGGAATCCCTGTGGCGTTAAGAATGCTGATGGAGAAGGGTGGGGAACCTGACAGAAGAAGCTGGAGAGAATATTTTCAGGCTGTGTTTTCACACCATGCTGGGCACACAGGGAGAAGGGGGAAGAGAACCTCTATGTAAGGTTTGGAAAATGGGGTTGGTGGTGTTTTGTCATGGCACAACTCAAGATAGAAAGGCAAAAGAGAAAAAAATTAGAAAAATAATTTTTCTGCAAGATCAATAAAAAGCTTATTTATCAGCAACAAAACAAGGATAGGAGGTATAGCCAGGCTTTACCTGGAGACCTGGGTGGTGTTAGAGCTGAGCTCTAGGGCTAGCCCAGAGAAGTTTGTAAAATGATGCTAATTAGTTAATTGGGCACGAGAAGCAGAAAGGACACATGACAGATTTCTGAGAGATACTGCATTTAGTCAGCTAGAAGCTCTAATTCATGGCTTCAGGGTGAAGATTTGGTGAGATAAGGGCATTGTGGGAAGGCAGGACCATTCAGCACAAAGCTAGGAGCCAAGGGGAGAGCTGAAGAAGCCAGGCAGGTATCTGGGGCCTCACCCCCGCGGCGATGGAGGTGGGGGCTGAGGCGGCAGCTTTCTCTGGCTTGAATCATAGCAGCCTACAGAAAATGGCAAAAGAAGGGAAATTGGAAATTTCAAGGGTTTGCCAGTTCTTTGTGAACTGTTATGGTGGAAGCAGGGGCTACAGGGTAGAGCTAAGAGAGTGCTGCGCCTGCCCCAGGAACAGGAGAGGCCCCCTGCCCCCACCAGGAATGTCAGGGGACCATCAGGTGATGGTCAAGCGGTTGTTAAGCTGTCTCTCTAAAATAATAATTGGTCGCAGTGCCAGGGAAAGGTTGTCTCCCAATAAATAGAAACATCTGAAATTGGTGATTAGCAACTTACGAATAAGATATCAGGAGTTGGGTGAGTGGACTCAAGCATGCCCACTAAGAGGCAAAATGGCGTAGTTTAACTGGTTTAGCTTCCTCTGGTAGCACTGCGCTGGTAAGGGAAGAACGCCTCAAGTGAGCATGCGTACAACCTCAGTAAACATACTGCGCATGCTTCCCCCCGCCCAGGTGCTGGCCGACCACCACGCATGCGGACAGCCCAACCTAAGGGAAGGATCAGGGGAGAAGAGATGCAACCCCCAGAAGCATACCAACATATAAAACCCCAAGTCAAAGGTCAAACAGCACACTTGACTCTCTCAAGTTGTCCGCTTGGCCCTCTTCCAAGTGTACTTCACTTTCTTTCATTCCCGCCATAAAACTTTTTAATAAACTTTCACTACTGTTGTAAAACTTGCCTTGGTCTCTCACTCTACCTTATGCCCCCTTGGTCGAATTCTTTCTTCTGAGGAGGCAAGAACTGAGGTTGTTGCAGACCTGTATGGATTCACTGCTGGTAACAACTTGACAATTAAAAAATAAATTTAGGGGCAGGGCATGGTGGCTCACACCGGTAATCCCTCACGCCGGTAATGTCAGCACTTTAGGAGGCCAAGGCAGGCAGATCACTTGAGGTCAGGAGTTCAGGACCAGCCTGGCCAACATGGCAAAACTCGGTCTCTACTAAGAGTACAAAAATTAGCCGGGCGTGGTGGCATACACCTATAGTCCCAGCTACTCGGGAGGTTGAGGCAGGAGAATGGCTTGAACCTGGGAGAAGGAGGTTGCAGTGAGCTGAGATTGTGCCACTGTACTCCAGCCTGGGTGACAGAGACTGTATTTCAAAAAACTAATAAATAAATAAATATAGGCCTGGTGTGGTGGCTCATGCCTGTAATCTCAGCACTTTGGGAGGATGAAATGGGAGGAATGCTTGATGCTAGGAGTTCAAGACCAGCTTGGGCAACAAAACAAGATCCTATCTCTAAAAACAAAATTTTAAACATTTAGAGGACGCTTCAAAGAGCCCCTTTGTCCACAGTTGAACTACATTTGGTGAACTGAAGACAGGGAAGAAAGAGTCTAGACATTACGGCCTCCATGGTCCCCTCCCCCTCCTCTTCCTCATAGTGATCACACGAACCTAACAATGTGACATGTTCGTGGTGTGATGGAAAGTTCTTTAAAGCACAATTCAGCAGTCATGTGCTTGAGGGTGGCAAATAAAGAACTTGTATGTGTGTATGTGTGTGCAAGAAAGAAAGTTCATCCTGACATTAATTGTGTTAGTAAATTGCTAGAAAAACCCAAGTGTCCATCATTAAGGGAGAAGTTAAATTCATTATAAGACAGTTAGGCACTGGGATACTATTCAGCTGTTAAAACGAGCAAGGTAGATCTCTGTATCACGGTTGGATCAGGATATCAGAAGAGCCTCTGTGTATTCCATTTAGGAGACTTTTACTGTAGGGAGTTATTGGAAAGGCTGAAAGAGTGGAGGTCAGGGAAGCTGCTGCTGGTGACCTCAGCCTGAAGGACCAATGTGAGAGGTTCACACAGGTTATAGAAGTGAACTGGGGCCTGCTCCTCCAGTGCAGTAAAACCAGATACTCACACTGAGGTTTTTGCAGTGATAGAAAAGAAGGCATTTACTGCAGGGTGCCAAGCAAGGGAAATCGTCAGCTTATGCTTAAGTCTCTAACTCCTTGATGGCTTGCAGGTAAGGTTTTTAAGGGCAGGGGTAAATGTCAGGAAAACAGAAGCTACAGGCAAATCATAAATCAATACATGGAGGCTCCACATTGATTTTGGCCGAAAAGGGTGAGATATATTGAAGCTAGGGGCTTACATGTCATAGGTAGATTTAAACATCTTCTGGTTTGCAATTGGCTAAGGAAGAGAAACTTTGTTTAAAAATGTAAAGCCAGTAGAGTTAACTGGTTAGGGGGAGTGACTTTCTCCAAGCCCTTCAGGAAAAAACTTAGAACAAAGGACAATAAAGTTTAGTCTTCATTTCCCCCTTATCTGGGGTCTACCTGCCATGCCCCTGATCAGTTTGGGGGGTCCTCAGTTAGGGGGTCCAAGCCTCTGAAAGACAACTCAGGGACATACGTGAAGATACTATCTTTAATTTCTATAGGGAAAGCAAACATCTCTGGGACTCCAACTTCTTTAGCTGTTGTTTTAGGCTACTATCACCTTCTTGTTTAACAAGTTATTTATTTACTTCTCAGGGCTAGCTAGGCGCCTGGAATTTCCCCTGAAGGAACTTAAGATTTATTTCCATGCTTACGGTCCACAGGCCTCTAAAAAAAGGGAGGGTCCGTGCTCCACCTCACACAAGGTTGTGGCGGGCCGCTGGAACCTCATGTCTCCCACATGCCTAGAGGGAGCAGCCTCCAGAGGAGAATGGCATCTCTCCTTCCTTCTTGCAGATATTGAGCAGGAACCTTTTGCAGGCCAACTTGAATCCGGAACCATGGGATGATAGGGACTCTGGGAAATGTAGTTCCGGCGTCTCACCTGGGAGCCCGCAGAGTGGGTACTGGTGATGGACAGTTAACTGCAGACTGCCCGTGCAGTCTGAGCGTGCTGCGAGGAAAAGGGATGAATGCCCACCAGACTTCACAGCGATGACCTCTTGGGAGGGGGATTTCAAATGGGAAGGGAGAAGAGGCTATGAAGAGAGAGAGCTATCCTCTCTCTTTTTCTTTTCTTTTCTTTCTTTCTTTCTTTCTTTCTTTTTCCCTCCCTCCCTCCCTCTCTCTCTCTCTCTCTCTCTATTTATTTTGAGACGAAGTCTCGCTCTGTCGCCCAGGCTGGAGTGCAGTGGCGCGATCTTGGCTCACTGCAAGCTCTGCCTCTCGGGTTCACGCCATTCTCCTGCCTCAGCCTCCCAAGTAGCTGGGACCAATGAATGCTGGGGACAATAGAGGAAGTCCCAGAGAGGATGCTTTCTGGCCCAGCTTGGGTCATGTGTCCTTCCATGACTGGGTGAAGAGGGAGACCAGGGAATGCAGGAGAAGAGGGTGTTGATTGTGAGTGCCACCCAGCATGTGTGGAGGGCTGGCCTTGGAGTGCAGGTGACAGTGACCAGTGTCCTCTGTGATGCCTTCTGTTTTCTCTGTGAAGCAGGAGGTGGGCTATTCCTCAGAGAGAGGACAGATGAGAAGACAGTGGTGAAGGTATGGACTTGCTGCTGTGGGAACAGGTGCTGAGCCCACTGGAGGTGCCACGTGGACTGCAGCCCAGGGTCACTGAGGTGGCAGGCAGCAACCTCACAGGGCACTTTCCTCTGCAGCCCTCCACCCCACAGGTGGGCTGGGCAGAGGAGACAGCCTCCCAGGAGCACAGGTTGGCCAGCCAAGTGCTTGGAGGAAGAGGAGACAGAGGAGTTGAAGTTAACACATTTTCAAAAGAATGATTATAGCCATGGGCCGTGCAATCTTGGCTAAAGAAATATGCAAGGCCAGGAGGTGGCGAAATCATGTGGGGATGGTTCTCTCTTCCCCTATTTGAGTTTTCCTCTCCCTGTTGCAGCTTATACCCATTTTGGTCTCAGGTTTGGCTTTTTAGAAGCTGCTTGGCTAGTTAGAAAGCTGGAGTTGTATTAGAGTCACCTCTGTCCACTTCTCTGGGGACCAGTGAGCTGTGTAAGGTGTTACTTTCTAGAAGTAAAAATTTTTTTTCCTTTTGTTTTGTCGAGATTCATCTCTGGGGTGAATGACAGGCTCATACATTCGGTACCATTAGATATTGTAAAAACTAGTCTGCAGAGCCGATCAATGCCTGATGCATCTTCAGAGCAGCTGAAAGTCCTTTCCCTCCAAATCTTTGTTGTTGTTGTTGTTGTTTGTTTGTTAGATGGAGTCTCGCTCTGTTACCCAGGCTGGAGTGCAGTGGTGCAATCTCGGCTCACTGCAACCTCTGCCTCCTGGGTTCAAGCAATTCTCCTGCCTCAGCCTCCCAAGTAGCTGAGATTGCAGGAGCCCACCACCATGCCTGCCTAATTTTTGTATTTTTAGTGGAGATGGGGTTTCGCCATGTTGGCCAGGCTGGTCTCGAACTCCTGACCTCATTTGATCCACCTGCCTTGGCCTCCCAAAGTGCTGGGATTACAGGTATGGGCCATGTGCCTGGACATTTTCTCTGGTTTTGATGGGGGAAAAAAAAGCCCAGAAGACCCAAAGCAATGTCCATGCAATGCTGGTCCAGGGGGCTCCCTGCAAGGGACTTATGAAAACATTGCTGATCAAACCCCCCATCCCCATGGCTCTTATTGCTGTATGTATTCAATTACAGCAAACTCATTACTTGCTCCCCTTTGAAATGTGAGAGGCTTTTTCTGTTTTCAGAATGTACACTGTGGAGAGGATGGGGGCAGGGAGCAATTTAACAAATATATTACAATTAAAATTGTTCATACTTTCCAACTCAACATTTTCACTTACGAAACATTCCTGCATTGTGCAAAGATATATTTTCTAGAAAGTTCTATTGAAGCATTATTGGCTCAGAACTAGGGGCATGGTTAAATCAATTAAACAATGGAAATATAATGGAATACTACACGGCCTTTAAAAACAGGCGTGTTAGCTAGGCACGGTGGCTCATGCCTGTAATTCCAGCACTTTGGGAAGCCGAGGTGGGTGGATCACGAGGTCAAGAGATCAAGACCATCCTGGCCAACATGGTGAAACCCCGTCTCTACTAAGAATACAAAAATTAGCTGGTCATGATGGCTTGTGCCTGTAGTCCCAGCTACTCGGGAGGCTGAGGCAGAAGAGCTTGAACTTGGAGGCGGAGGTTGCAGTGAGCTGAGATCGTGCCACTGCACTCCAGCCTGGTGACAGTGTGAGTCTCAAACAAACAAACAGGCACATTAATCTATTTGTGCTGACAGAGAAAGTTCTTTGAGAAGATGCAAATAGTATAACATTGATAATTATGAGACTGTATAAACATTGGAGAAATGTGTGCAAAACATTAAAGACTGTTATTGGGAAGGTAGAATATCATTTTAATTTTGTATTATTATTATTTTTAAAAAGACGGGAGTCTCACTCTGCCACCCAGGCTGGAGTGCAGTGGTATGATCTTGGCTTACTGCAACTGCTGGCTTCTTGGTTCGGGCGATCCTCCCACCTTAACCTCTCAAATAGCTGGGACTACAGGCACACACCACCATTCTCGGCTGATTTTTTGTATTTCTTGTAGAGATGGAGTTTCACCATGTCGCCGAGGCTGGTCTTGAACTCCTAAACTAAGGCGATCCTCCCACCTCGGTGTCCCAAAGGGCTGGGCTTACAGGCATGAGCCACCACACCTGACCCATTTTATGTATTTCTATGTGACTGGAATCCTCTATAGTGAATAAGCATTATTTTTCTCAATGATAGAATTGAGCATAATTTCTCTGCTAAGCATTTAGAGTTCATTTTTTCATTTACTATTCACAAAATCACCAGATGGTGGGTATTACATATTCTACAGGTGATACTTAGAAAAGTTAACCTAATTTCAGCAAGGTAGTAAATATTCTTTAAAGAATATTTTCAAACGCTATCTAAGGTTAATGTAATCTCCACAGGCTCATTTTGTCTCTATGAGAAGGTGACTTCTATTTTGGCTATTTCTCCTTCCCGTTATGATTTCACTTCCCTCTCAAAACTACTCAAATCCATTTCCTCTGGGAAGTTATCACAGGCTGTAGCCCCTAGTGACTGCATTCACTCTACTCTCTAGCATTTTAATGCACTCCTTTCTTGGTCTTTGCACCTGTCACCATTTGGATTTGTATGCAATGTTTCTATTCTTTTCCTCTCCCTCTTTTGCTTGAGCGTTGATCATTTGCCTGGAACTTCCCGTGATCCTTCAGAGCCTGATTCCAAACCTACAGGGTAGGTGTTAGGACTGAATCCTTAAGTGTAGCATTTGATGGGTCCTTAATATTGAGGAATAACAATCTAACCAATCAAGCAACCTTTTCCTTATACCGGACTATATGCTGAATCCACCGAATTATGTAAATGTCTCTGAGTTGAGAAACTTCTGAAATAATAGATAATTCAAGTAATGTCTTCTTTTTTTTTTTGTGGAGGAGAGGTATGAGTCATAAAGAGTCACAAATTTTTTTTTACAAAATATGCTAATTGTACTAAATACTTTGTCATACACTGGCAACCTCTTTAACATCTAGACACTAGATGTTGCAAAATTAGGACTCATTTGTCCGTTTTATACACTATATACAGAGCAAAACAACATGCACAAAACATGCAAAAAATGGTGTCTGAAAATGTCCAAGTATGAACACACTGGCATATTATCTTTTGCAATGTCTTCCCTCCCATCTCCTCTAAACCACTGAACAAGTATAGACAGTACTATACTGCTCACAAAGGTGGCTTCACAATTCAATTTCCAAAAGACAGCATTCCCCATGAATTTTAGCAAAAAGATATTTACGAAGTGGTATTTTACTACCTCTACATTTAACATACATTGGGCACTTCTAAACATCTAGATAGACTAGATGTTTCAAGTAAGGAGTTCATTTGTCCACTACGAACACAGCAGTCTTGAATAAACTGCAAACATGTGACAACAGTTATAATTTGAAAGAGTCTTCCAAATAGGAACATTCTGGCCTAGAACCCTTCCCATCTCCATCAACCCAGCGGGCAAGAATGCTCAAATTTTCAGAAGACAATCTTTCCTAGGACTTCTAAAACAAAATGTACAAAATATATTAGTTTACTAACTCTACTTTTATCATGTACTGGCAACCTCTTTAATATCTAGAAAGACTAGATGTTGTAAATCAGGACTTGTCTGTCCTTTATGTACACTATATACACAGACAAGTAAAACAAAATGCGCAGAGATAATGATTAATCTTGCCTCGCTGTAAGCACAGTGGCATAGAGATCTCTGCACTTCCCCCTCCTCCCCTGAACCAGTGCACAAACACAATGAGTATTACTCAACAGGTGATTGGGCCATTCCCCCACCAAACATTTCATATGAATTGTAACAAAAAGATATTTACAAAAGGTTATTTTTTTCTACATATATCAGGCACTTCAGAATATCTAAAAAGAATAGACATTTCAAAAAAGCTTAGCATTGTCAACCATATACACAGTAGTGAGGAATGAAATGCACACAAAACAATGGAGAGAATATGAAAATGTCTTCTAAATATGACCAGTCTGGCACAGAAGCTTCTTCTCTTCCTTCTCAGGTCTTCCAGCTCCATGTCCTCTAAACCACTTAACAAACGTGGACGTCTCGCTTCCAGAGGCCGTGTTAACAACTCCATTTCCAAAAGTCGTCTCCAGAAGACATTTATTTTCTATGATTTCTTTTAAGCAAATGAGAATTTACAAGATGTGTGATTTTCTAACTTTATCATACATCAGCAACCTCTTTCCATCTAGCTCATAGAAGGGCTAGATGTGGCAAATGTTTTCTATTAAAAGGTTTGGGTAGTGTTGAGAGCAGCTGTTTCATATTAAATACACAGGCCTTCCATAAACGGCCAGTAAATCTTCCCAAAGGGTGGTGGGCATTTCCAAGAGGCCAGACGTGGCTTGTCATTCCACCATTTCTCTCTTCCGACAGCAAGCTCTGGTAGAACGAGACCAACCGCCCGAAGGCCGCTAACTGTTCCACCCGTCATCGTTCGGGACTTCGCTCACCTCCCAAGCCCGTTAAGGCCTTTGTCCGTTGTCCTGAGGACTCGGCAGGTCTCGTCCAGTGGGAACAGAGCGGTCACCCGGGCCCGGACTCGCGCGGCTCCGTGGCCTAAAGAGGCGGCCGAGCTTGCCTGCGTCGCGAGACCGCCTTCCCGGGCCCTGCACACCCTAACGGTCTCCGCCGCGCGGTGTTGGGGCGGCCGCCATGCTTCCCGGCCCGCCTCTCCCGCCGCCACCCGGAGACACTGCGTCTCGGCGGCTCGGCGGGGTTTCGTCGAGGCCGGGCAGGATCCGGCGGCGGGGTCTGGGCAGGGAGAGCCGCCGCCAACAGTCACCGAGGTGGGGTGGGGAAGAGAGGTTCGCCGCGGCTTCGAGGCCTGCGCCCGGCCAGTGGGCAGCCACAGCGGGGCCCCCCGTGTCTGCAGGGCAGAGGGCGCAGCCAGTCCGGGGCCCCCTAGCTCATCTCCCCATCTCACCCGCCGGCCTGGAGGGCCGTGGGGGAGCGCGCCGCGCTCTGCGTCTCTTCGAGCTCTTTCTGCCGGGCCGGAATGCAGGAGTCACAAATTGATTCAAATAGGTTTACAAATTTAAAAAAGAAGCTTGACAACCACTTAACCTGTTAAAGGATACTACAGGAGTGGCAGAGAATTCCTCAATTCTTCTGCTTCTGTGCTGCCAGGGCTAAAAGCTGCTTGCATTGTAAATAACCAGGAAAAAGGAACAGATTTCCAGGTGGTTGATGATGTGTGGTTGAGAAAAGAGCCTCAAGGTAACTACTTAATATGTTGATTCTAGATTATTTTCCTCGTCCAGTGTAATTAGAGAAACAAACACACAACTAGTGAATCAAAGATTTTTATTTTGTTCCACAAATGTGTACCTTTTATATTTCGTTAGTCTGATAGCAAAAATTACATTTTCCACCTCTACAGTCAGTTCTCTAGTTTTACTCCTGTGCTTCAGTGTTTGAATGACAAGCCTCATCAGCATGACATATTTAATCCAACAGGCTTGGACACCATTTGGCAAACCAGTGGATTCACAGTGATCACTGCAGAAATCTGAAAGTGACTTGATAATACACAATTTAGGGTGGGGAAAAAGGCATTTTCCCCCTAAATCAAATATTTAAAAGTTTGCAGACTTATTTCAAGCATGTGGGAAAGTATAGAAAACAACAGCGTATTACTATGTACTACTCATCACCCAGTGTCAATTAAAAAAAAATTTTTTTTTGAGACAGCGACTCACTCTGTCATGCAGGCTGGAGTGCAGTGGTGTGATCATGGCTCACTGCAGCCTTGACCTCCTGGGCCAAAATGATCCTCCTGCCTCAGCCTCCCAAGTAGCTGGGACTACAGGTTTGTGCCATCATGCCCAGCTCTGTCAAATTTTATGCTTCTCATATTAAGCTTTTTTTTTTTTTTAAGTCACATATAAAGCTCCCTGTCTGTGCCTTTCAGATCCCATTTCTTTTTTTCTTTCCCTAGGTAAACACTGTTCTGAATTTGGTGCTTGTATTAGTCCATTCTCACACTGCTAATAAAGACTGGGTGATTTATAAAGAAAAGAGGTTTAATTGACTCACAGTTTTGCATGGCTGGGGAGGCCTCAGAAAACTTAACAATCATGGCAGAAGGAGACGCAAACACATCCTTCTTCACATGGCGGCAGCAGAGAGAATAAGAGCCCAGGAAAGGGGGAAGCCCCTAAACCATCAGATCTCATGAGAACTCACTATCGTGGGAACAGAATGAGGGAAACCAGCTCCATGATTCAATTGTCTCCACGTGGTCCTGCCCTTGACACATGGGGATTATTACAATTCAAGATGAGATTTTGGGTGGGGACACAGCCAACTCATATCAGTGCTTATTATCCACATGCTATTATTCCTGTGTTTATGAATCCATACATAATACTACAGTATTGTTTTGCTCTTTTGTACTTTAAATGGTATATCATACATACTATTCTGTACCTTCCCCCTTTTTGGTGGTTGTTTATACAAGTAACTTGAGTCATTATACAGTTATATTCCATTATGCCAAAGTTTATCCATTATCCCGTGGATGGACTTCTGGTGCTTTCTGTTTTGCTATATAAACAATACTGTGTACATTTTTGTACATCTCCTTTACACATGAAATAGTTTCTGACATGTTCATGTGCATACAAATCATTTGGTGGGTCTTGTTAAAATACAGACTGATTCAGTAAGTTTGGGGTGGGACTGCAAATTGTACTCATATGAGGAAAAATGGGGGAAACATATAAAGGTAATGCTATTGTAGAAAATACAAAAAAAAAAGACAAAGTGTCCTCATAATCTAGTATGTGGTATAGCAGAGTGGTTTAAAGCATGGCCCCTTTAAATTCAGTGTTTGAATTACAACTCAACTACTTGGAAGTTGAGTGACTTTGGATAGGTCATTTAATGTCTCCAAATCTTGCTCTTCTCATTTTGAAAATGAGAATTGTTATAATAGCACCTAGGTTATATGGTTGTGATGAGGCAATTTGCTAATATACTAGATACAGAATGCTTAGGACATTGTCTGGCACATAGCAAAAACTCACTAAAATTTGAGCTATTATTGTTAAGTTTTAGCCTCCCCCCCATTAATATATTCTTTCTCTCCAAATTGGATCACACTGTACATGCTCTTTTTATAGCAAACTCTCGTCCACTGATTGCAGAATGAAAACATTTCCAAGTTATTCTCTATTAAGTCATTTAGAAAGGCTGTTTAGTATTCCAATGTATGTATCTACCACAATTAAATCATTGTTTGATGCTTCAAGTTGAATTATTTTACTCATGAATAATACTGCATAGCTAAATCATTTTATACCTTTTAGTTTTAATATCAGCTCACTTTCTCTCCCCTTTTAATCAGCTCTCAGCTGTTACCATTCTCCCCTTCTAATCTGTGATCAGATAATCAATCGAGTTAAATCAGTTTATTTGCTATACCTTATCTACAATTCTGTCACTTGCTCTAGACCTTAGGTGAAAAGGACAGCTATTACAGCAGCTGTGAAGGCAGGCTATTTTTGCCTATTTTAGGGTATGCCTCTTAGTTAGTCCAGCTCTGCTAGTCTCACTGGATATGAGATTAGGAGATACCATCCAGAAGATGCTGGCACATCCTTTTGTTGTGGGTGCCTTTTCCCTTCTACTACCTCCCTCTTGGGGTCTGAACACTCAACCTACCTTTATACCCAGCTGCTGCCACCTCATTGTTACCTGTTTCTGATTTTCTGAAGCCGCGATGCCCCTTAGCCTAGGTCTGGGAGTTACCAGTTTTCTTGACTTCTGACACCAGTATGTATGCATGGTGCTAGTTTCTACTTTGTGGGCCTCTCTGCTTTAGTTTCTCAAAATTTTTTAGTAGCCTGTAGCACTTATTTGTGCTTTTTAAAAAACTTCGGATCCTGTTAAATTCCCACATTTTTGTCTATATGGGAGCACAGAAAACAGACTTCAACAATTAAAACTCCCAAATCAGGTATTACTAAGTAGCCTAAATCCAGCTGGATAGTCCTGTTTCCCAAACTTGCCTGAAGGACCACAAGGAATACCTGTTGACATATTCCCAAGCCCATCCCAATGGGCAGCTCCTGTAATTTGGATATGTTATCTGGATATATTATTTAACACCCCAGGTGATTCCTATAATCAGGCACAGTTGGAAACAATGGGCTTTTAACTAGGATTTTCTGAGATCTTCCAGGACACTGGGAAGTTCAACTGAGACCTCAGGGAGCTTGTATGCAATTTAGAGGTAGTGTAGGGGTCATCCCGGGGGGGGGGGGGGCGGGGCAGGAAAATTCTAGGATTCAAGTATTAGTTCGAATACTGGAAAGTCTGTAGAGCTTGAGACCAAAGAAGGAATTTATGCTCTTTTTGTTTTAATCTTGCTCCTTCTAAAGGAACTTATGCTCTATTTACCATCTCTACACCAGCATGGTTTCAAATATATATCCCCTGGTTATAGTATAGATTCTGTACCAAACACTGGGGTTCCAGAACTGTCAGATGAGTCATGCAGCTCCTCAAAAAGTGTAATGGAGCCAGGCATGGTGGCTCATGCCTGTAATCCCAGAAATCTGGGAGGCTGAGGCAAGCGGATCATGAGGTCAGGAGATCAAGACCATCCTGGCTAACATGGTGAAACCCCGTCTCTACTAAAAATACAAAAAAATTAGCCGGGCGTGGTGGTGGGCGCCTGTGGTCCCAGCTACTCAGGAGGCTGAGGCAGGAGAATGGCGTGAACCCAGGAGGCGGAGCTTGCAGTGAGCCGAGATCGCGCCACTGCACTCCAGCCTGGGCGACAGAGTGAGACTCCGTCTCAACAACAATAACAACAACAACAACAAGAACAACAACAAAAGTGTAATGGAGAATGCAGGTCTTTTGAGGACTGAATCCTTTGCATACGTTAAAATCATTTGGAGGGCATATCTTTTATTATGTAAGGTTTTATATTCACTTAGAAAAATCAGCTGAATGCCAGAACCGTGTTAGTAACTGCTCTGGCAGTGCTAGCTATGCAATTTTTGAGGACTGAGAAAGCGCAGAAGTCTGATATACCTGCTTCAACTCGTGACAGGCATTTAGTTTCTTGGATCATCCATATGTAAAATATAAATCTTACTCCCTCAATCTGAGGACACAGGGAGATCCAAACATGCACAATAATTCTTTTTTTGTTGGGGGAGGGCAGGAAAGGGGATGGAGTATCGCTCTGTCACCCAGGCTGGAGGGCAGTGGTGTGATCTCAGCTCACTGCAACCTCTGCCTCCCGGGTTCAAGTGATTCTCCTGCCTCAGCCACCTGAGTAGCTGGGATTACAGGTGCCCGCCACCACACCCAGCTTATTTTTTGTATTTTTAGTAGAGATAGGGTTTCACCATGTTGGCCAGGCTGGTCTCGAACTCTCCTGACCTCAAGTGATCTGCCCGCTTCAGCCTCCCAAAGTGCTGGGATTACAGGTGTGAGCTACTGTACCTGGCCATGCCTGAGAAGATCTAGAAACAGAAACTGGTGAATCCTGACCCCACTACACACATTATTTATTCACATGAGATCACAATTTGTTTCTCTTACAACTCATCCATTTGACAGACTAATGTGATGAATAAATAGAATTCTATAAAAGTGAGGCCAAAATAAAAAGCAGCCTAAGATTGTTGAAGAAAACTCAAATGGTGGTCCACGAGACCGCCAAAGTTGAGAGGGAACCAAACTTATCGGGGGGGAAATGCCCCTATGGTTCTAAAACTAAAAGCTTGTCACTCTTTACAAACTGATTTATCTCTTTGAGAGAATCCTGAACATGAAGTCATGCTACTAATGTTTACTCTAAAAGTAGGTTAAATATTTGAGCATGTTCCCCCTAATAATTACAGAAATTATCTCCTTCCTAAAAAAAAAAGTTT
Source organism: Homo sapiens (assembly GCF_000001405.40). Classification (NCBI taxonomy): domain Eukaryota; kingdom Metazoa; phylum Chordata; class Mammalia; order Primates; family Hominidae; genus Homo; species Homo sapiens. Next base: position 23,201,038 of record NC_000007.14, on the reverse strand, counting down.
AAAACTTTAAATTGTGAGACAGTAAAGTGGTATGGCATGAGAAAAGTACTTTATTCGTGCATAATTTTTCAGTTCCATTCAAAATTACAGTACAAAAAAATTCCCTTGCTTGCAGAGTTTTTGTTACTTTTTACTTAAATATTTAGAGTTAAGAAAAAAATCAAATTTAAAATCACTATTGATGGAAGCTTATATTCCTTATGAATATATACATGTATGCATATATACATCTCTGTATGAATCACTCAAAGCAATTTTAAACATCATTCTTTTTTGTATTTAAAATTGCCCTTTTAAACATTTAGAAGTTCCAGAGGTGGAGGCTTTAATGGAATTTTTCCCAGAGTAAATTTCTTGGATTGAAATTGTTCCAGTTCTTCTACTGTTAGTTTATCTCTGGGTGTGAATAACACATTATCTGTTGCAATGATGCTGCTTGAGGCTGACAGAGAAGTGGATATGCTGCTATTTCCAAAAGTGTCACTGGATGGCTTAGAAAAAGCAGTGTGAGAATGTGAGCCCGGACTACCAAAACCAGCCACAGAACTGCCACCTCCAAAGGCTGGGGCCACTGGAGCTCTGACAGGACCTGTTGCCAAGGAAGCTGGAAGTCCTGAAAATCCAGGTGATCCAAAACTGGAAGCTGCAGGGCTTTTGAATGAAAATGATGCAGCCGATGTGACTTCAGGCTTCCCAAATCCAAAAGCTGGAGCAGAAGTAGAGATACCTGAACTGGTAGAGGCTGCAGCTCCAAATGCTGGGGAACTCCCAAAACCAGCAGGGCTTCCAGAAGAGGCAGCAGCAAATCCAGAGTTTGTTTTAAAACTAAAGTTCTGAGCATTATCACTGCTGCTGTTATTGACTGGAAAGCCTACAAACAACAACAACAACAAAAAAAACAACAAAAATCTATTACGGTCAGAAAAATGTCACAATTATTTCCTCCCCCTATCTTTTTTTCTTATTTATGTCATGTTTCAGTGTTGAGAAGCTTACTGGACGGACGAGATGAGGAAAGTAAAAATGAGAGGCTAGAACTACCCACTAAAGCCTGCTGCCTGTCTTTTCTGCTAACAATCCCATTTTCACCTTGATCGACCTTCACCCAAGGAGAAACCACAGGGACTAGGGAATAGACTTTCACTTTGGTTTCTACTTACCTCACCAGAGCTGCTACCTGAGGACAATGCTATGCTGTTATACACAGTGACAAGAAAGTTCTCAAAGGTGCTGCTATCATAGCTATGTACTTCTACGAAACTCCTGAAAACTCATTCCTAAAATGTACTTCTAAAGCTTAAGTGTCTTTCAAAGAACATGCCCAATCTGGCCTCCCTTTCACAAATGTCTAATGAGTCAAATGCTTTGAGGCTCTATGATGGAAGGTTGTAGAATTTACGAAGGTAATTTAAAATGGCGATTCAGGCTTGTAATTTGAAACCTATAAAATCTAATTTTTCTAAATCAGTGAAGTCCTGCATTACTTTATCACTTACCTGGCGACATAAATGTTGCTGCTTGACTGCTGCCAAATCCAAATGCAGGTGCTGCTTGATTTACTCCATCCTTTACATCAGAGAGCTGAAAAAAAAAAGTGTGCAAATAATAAAGTGCTTGATGAATAGTGCTCCAGTATCTTTTCTATACACTTTATGGACAAATTCAAGTTTTTAAAATGTGCATTAAAGGCTGGGTGTGGTGGCTCACACCTGTAATCCTAGCACTTTGGGAGGCTGAGGAGGGTGAAGGGCTTGAGCCTATGAGTCTGGGACCAGCCTCAGCAACACAGCGAGACCCCCATCTCTATAAAAAATTAGCCAGTGGTCCCAGCTATTTGGGAGCCTGAGGTGGGAGGATCACTTGAGCCTGGGAAAGCCTGGATGACAAAGTAAGACTCTGACTCAAAAAAAGAAAAGAGAAGAAAAAAGTGCATTAAAAAAGGCAAAGTTAAATGCTTAACATGGAAAATGCCCATAATATGATGTTGAAAAGGATAAGACATAATACTGTATAAACAGTATAATCACAACTAGTAATATGAATATGCATAAAAAATGTACATTAGTAAGTTAACAGTGATTATCTCTGGCTGATAAATTACAGGTGATTTAAATTTTATTTATGCTTTTTTATACTTTCTAAATTTCTACAATGAGCAGATATTATAATCAGAAAAATATTTTTAAATTTTTTTCAGTGTCTATAAGGGTAGATCTGCATTTATCAAGAAATCTAGATATTAGGTAAAAAGGACCTTTATAGAATACCCAGTCTAATACTCGAAGTAGATCCACTATTATATAATTAAAAGCTTATGACTAAAAATCCATTAAACATTTCCCATTCCCTGAAAGTACTTTATGTTCTTGCTGTTCTGTGCTCTAGAAATGTCTTTCATCTCTGCTTACTGAAATCTTAATCCTACTTTCAAGGAACTTTGTATTTGCTCCTTCCTTTCAAGAAGACTTTCTTAATCATCCAAAGCAAACATAAGCGATTTCTTTCATTTGGAAGCCTCAAAAGCATTCTTTGGCCGGTGTGGTGGCTCACGCCTGTAATCCCAGCACTTTGGGAGGCTGAGGCGGGCGGATCATGAGGTCAGAAGATCGAGACCATCCTGGCTAACATGGTGAAATCCCGTCTCTACTAAAAATACAAAAAAGCTGGGCGTGGTGGTGGGTGCCTGTAGTCCCAGCTATTCGGGAGACTGAGGCAGGAGAATGGCGTGAACCCGGGAGGCGGAGCTTGCAGTGAGCTGAGATGGCACCACTGCACTCCAGCCTGGGTGACAGAGTGAGACTCTGCCTCAAAAAAAAAAAAAAAAAAAAAAAAAGAATGCTTTTGTTTTTGAGACTGCAACCTCTCCTGGGTTCAAGTGATTCTCCTGCCTCAGCCTCCTGAGTAGTTAGGATTACAGGCGTGTGCCACCATGCCTGGCTAATTTTTGTATTTTTAGTAGAGACCGGGTTTCACCATGTTGGTCAGGCTGGTCTTAAACTCCTGACCTTGTGATCCGCCTGCCTCAGCCTCCCGAAGTGCTGGGATTACAGGCGTGAGCCACTGCACCCAGCCCTCAAAAGCATTCTTGCTCCTGGTCCCTGGCAACCACTCTGTCTGCTTTCTATCACTACAAATGAGACTTGTCTTTTCCAGAGTTTCATACAAATGGAATCACATGGTCTACACTATTTTTTTTTTTTTGGTCTGGTTTCTCTCCCTCAGTGTAATATTCATTAACAGGCAGATGATAAACAAATTATATCCATACAATGGGTTACCATTCAGTATAAAGAAGGCATGAACTCCTGATACATGTTAAGTCAGCTATGGGTGGGTTGTCCCACATTCTAACCTATGGAAGGGGCCCTGGGCAGTTAGCAAGGAGCAGGGACCTTCCAGCCCTGAGGGAAGTTCCACAGTTCTTTGGACTCAGTTATCCTTTCTCCATCAGCTCTCATCCATGGTGATGGTGGGCCACCTCTCACACAAGGACAGACTACTTCCAAGAGGTCCCACTAAATTCAAATAGCATTACAAGAACTAAAAGATGAAAGAAATTAGCTTGCACAAGAGTCTAGTTATTCAGGAAGCACATATTTAAGAAAGGGGTGGGGTGTTGGGACTGTCAACCATTCACTAAGTGTAGGGAGACATTACTCTCATATCCTTATACAGAGTAGAAACCATCTGAGAAATTGGAAATATTAAAATTATAAATGTGAATATCTTATTTTAAAATAAAATTCTTAAGAACTTTTTAATGGGTGTAGAAACATCATAACTTTATTTACAAAGATAATGAACTTGCCACAGTCGGGACCATAGATCTTTGGAGACAGGTGGGTATATATCTTCCAAAGGCATTTCTGTTTAAGACAAGGAACATACTGTGTTCTTCAGTCGCAAAACGATACATTACATTCTAAATGTGCATTCATATAACTGTTCAAAGTAATTTCTTTTTACATACAGATAACCTTAAATACTTAAACTTATGTAATAGTTTGCCATTTTCAAAACTAGCACTACCAAAGTTAAAAACTTTACCCTAAAAAGCTTTTAAAAAGCATAACTATTTCTGCTTTTCTGACCAAGGAACACAGAGAAAACTATTTCAAGACCCTGACTCTTAAGTGATGCTATTTTGGGAATGTGTGTATCATAATTCTTGATAGAAAATTTTTGTTTTGCTTTCCAAATCTAAAGTAAAATATCCTCTGCAAAAAAGCAATAGGTAAGACACTTCCCTCAAGAAAACTCTCCCATACTCACCAAAGCTACTTTAGTTGATATATTTAGACTTTTCAGTTCATTTACCCTGTTCCTCCATTGATTTATTAAACGTTGGACAGAATTTAGCTGAAAACGGAAGACAGAAAAATAACAGTTCAATATTGTATGTTTAAGTTAGTTTCTTCAATAAAAACTTCACATACTTCTTTGCCAAAATCACAAAAGGTTTATGTAACAGTTTTATGGCCCATGACTTGCAAAATTTGCATTGACTTGGCCTATTTGTCAAAGATATGCCAGCTCCAGTTCCCTCTCCCGTTCAACTCCTTGTATCATCTGGTTAGTATCACAAGTACCTGGCAGCACGTAGTTAGTTATATTTGGATGGGCGGTGAATACATGTACTAGTTGAAATGCATGATCATGACTGTAGAAACAGAAAAATACAGCATTTAAACTGCTTCCTTCAGGTACTCAACTTATTCTAGTCAAGATTTTTAATTTTTTTTGATATTTGATATATGAGGATGTTAATCTGTATTACAGACTGTATCTTATTTAACTTTGTTTTTCTAGCATTCATCACTGGATTGGTACCTAACAGATGTTCAATAAATATCTGTCAAATGATAAAAGGGTTTCATTTCTGGGATTGACTGTTGGGTAATTTATAATAAAAATAGTAATATTCCTAATTATTAAAGTAAAAATATATTATCATTTTAATAACCAACCAAATTCAATGAAAATAATATAGAAAAGAAAAATAGCCTACTCCTGAAAAAAGATCATAGACCTCATCGGTTTTGCCAAAACACAAGCCACGATAAAGAAAGCAGTAATTAAGAGCTCATCTGTTATTGCAGTAGATTAATAGGAAACAAACTTACATAACTCTGTAAGTTATTGCTGGTTAAGAAGTTATGGTATTCAAGCCTCAATTCCTCTGGTGAAATGTCTGTAAAACCTGAAGTGAGGAATCAATCGGAATCTTTAAAATAAATGCCAATAATTTTGATAGTAAAGCTAGAGGTGCTAAACAAGAAAATATCTAATGTTGATTAGAAAATTTTCATAACCATGAGGAAGAAACTTAAAGCCTACACTCTACTTAATGTTTAATAAAGTGTAAAATTACAGTAAAATATAGTTGGTTATTCTGATCTTTAAATGGGGAAGATTTTCTAAAGATAAGTGGCGTAGAATGAACAACAAACACAGGAGAAAGATTTGACTACATTTATATTCAAACTTTTATTTTAAAAATTCTGCCAGAAACTATACTAAGCAAAATTACAAGGCAAATGGTACACTAGGAAAATTGCAATTTTAACATATATGACAAGAGAAGAACTAATGCCCTAATGTACAAATAGCTCTTACAAATAAATGAGAAAAGTAAATGAATTTGGGCAAAGATAATGAACAGGCAATTCACACACAAAAAAAATCAAATAGTAAATAAATGAAATAAAGTTAAATGCAACTTAAAATAGAGATAAAATGCTTTACTTATCAGACTGGCAGAAATTTTAAAAGCTGGTATTTACTGTTGTTCCAAATGTGGTGAAATGTATCATTTCCTAAATTACCGTTAAGGGAATTAAAATGGTACAAGTTTTCTGGGAGGGATAATTGTTAATAAGCATCACAAGCCTGAAAAACATTCATATCCTGTGACTTATAATACAATTTATAGGATTTAACCTTGGGAAATAGTTATATATGTAAACAAAGGTTGCTATGTATAAGGGTGTTCATTCTAATATTTTTAGTACCAGAGACAAACTGAAAGCAAAAATTAGAATATAAAACTAGGGCCGGGCACGGTGGCTCACGCCTGTAGTTGCAGCACTTTGGGAGGCTGAGGCGGATGGATCACGAGGTCAGGAAATTGAGACCATCCTGGCTAACATGGTGAAACCCCCTCTCTACTAAAAATACAAAAAATTAGCCGGGTGTGGTGGCATGAGCCTGTAATCCCAGCTACTCGGGAGGCTGAGGCAGGAGAATTGCTTGAACTTGGGAGGCAGAGGTTGCAGTGAGCCAAGACTGCGCCACTGCACTCCAGCCTGGGCAACAAAGCGAGACTCCGTCTCAAAACAAAAACAAAAACAAAAGCAAAAACAAAAAAAACTGGATTACAGCCGGGCGCGGTGGCTCACGCCTGTAGTCCCAGCACTTTGGGAGACCAAGGCCGGTGGATCACCTGAGGCCAGAAGTTCAAGACCAGCCGGGCCAACACGGCGAAACCCTGTTTCTACTAAAAATACCAAAATTAGCTCGGCGTGGTGGCATATGCCTATAATCCGAGCTACTCGGGAGACTGAGACTGGAGAATCGCTTGAACCCGGAAGGCCAGCCGAGGCTGTAGTGAGCTGAGATGGCGCCACTGCACTCCAGCCTGGGCAACAAAGAGCGAAACTCTGTCTCAAAAAAACAAAACAAAACAAAAAACAAAGAAAAACTAGATTATGATCCTAATCATATATATGTATACGTATATATGTATAGGTGAGAGGTGACAGCTTGCTGGCAGCCCTCACATTCCTCACTCGCTCTGGGTACCTCCTCTACCTGGGCTCCCACTTTGGTGGCACTTGAGGAGACCTTCAGCCCACCGCTGCACTGTGGGAGCCCCTTTCTGGGCTGGCCAAGGCCTGAGCTGGCTCCCTCAGCTTGCAGGGAGGTGTGGAGGGAGAGGCGCGAGTGGCAACCAGAGCTACCCAGGGCCCTTGCTGGCCAGCTGGAGTTCCGAGTGGGCGTGGGCTTGGTGGGCCCCACACTCAGAGCTGCCGGCTGGCCCTGCCGGGCAATGAGAAGCTTAGCACCCGGGCCAGCGGCTGCGGAGGGTGTGCTGGGTCCTCAGCAGTGCCGGCCCACCGGCGCTGCGCTGGATTTCTTGCCGGGTCTTAGCTGCCTCCCTGCGGGGCAGGGCTCGGGACCTGCAGCCCGCCATGCCTGAGCCTCCCCCTCACCTCCGTGCGCTCCTGAGCAGCCTGAGCCTCCACGAGGAGCGCCACCCCCTGCTCCACCGGCACCCAGTCCCATCGACCACCCAAGGGCTGAGGAGTGTGGGCACACACCGCGGGACTGGCGGGTAGCTCCACCTGTGGCCCTGGTGTGGAATCCACTGGGTGAGGCCAGCTGGGCTCCTGAGTCTGGTGGGGACTTGGAGAACCTTTATGTCTAGCTAGGGGATTGTAAATACACCAATCAGCACTCTGTGTCTAGCTCAAGGTTTGTAAACACACCAATCAGCACCCTGTGTGTAGGTCAGGGTTTGTAAATACACCAATCAACACTGTATCTAGCTACTCTGGTTGGGACTTGGAGAACCTTTGTGTCCACACTCTGTATCTAGCTAATCTAGTGGGGACTTGGAGAACCTTTGTGTCTAGCTCAGGGATTGTAAACGCACCAATCAGCACCCTGTCAAAACAGACCACTTGGCTCTCTGTAAAATGAACCAATCAGCACGATGTGGGTGGGGCCAGATAAGAGAATAAAAGCAGGCTGCCCCAGCCAGCAGTGGCAACCCGCTCAGCTCCTCTTCCACACTGTGGAAGCTTCGTTCTTTTGCTGTTTGCAATAAATCTTGCTGTTGCTCACTCTTTGGGTCCACATTGCCTTTATGAGCTGTAACACTCACCGCGAAGGTCTTCAGCCTCACTCCTGAAGCCAGCGAGACCACGAACCCACTGGGAGGAACAAACAACTCCAGACGGGCCGCCTTAAGAGCCGTAACACTCACCGCGAAGGTCCACAGCTTCACTCCTGAGCCAGCGAGACCACGGACCCCACCAGAAGGAATAAACTCCGAACACATCTGAACATCAGAAGGAACAAACTCCGGACACGATGTCTTTAAGAACTGTAACACTCACCGCGAGGGTCCGTGGCTTCATTCTTGAAGTCAGTGAGACCAAGAACCCACCAATTCCGGACACATAGGTATACATATATACACACATAGAACAACTTATACATCCCTGTACAAGTGGACCCTTGCAGTTCTGTTCAAAGGTCAACTGTACACACAGCTGTACAGGGTCCACTTGTACAGGGGCCACTTGTACAGGGATTTTCTTCCGCCTCTGCCACTCCTGAGACAGCAAGACCACACCCACCTATCCCTCTGCTACTCAACATAAAGACAATAAGGATGAAGACTTTTATGATGATCCACTTCCACTATGTGAATGGTCAATATATTTTCTTATCCTTATGATTTTCTTTTTCTTTTTTTTTTTTTTTTTGAGATGAAGTCTTGCTCTGTTGCCCAGGCTGGAGTGCAGTGGCATCATCTCGGCTTACTGCAACCTCGGCCTCCTGGGTTCAGGCAATTCTCCTGCCTCAGCCTCCACAGTAGTTGGGATTACAGGCATGCACCACCAAGCCCGGCTAATTTTTTTTGTATTTTTAGTAGAGATGGGGTTTCACCACATTGGCCAGGTTGGTCTCGAACTCCTGACCTTGTGATCCACCCGCCTCAGCCTCCCAAAGTGCCGAGATTACAGGCGTGAGCCACCGCGCCTGATCCGTTATGATTTTCTTAACATTTTCTTTTCTCTTACAGTACGTTATTAGTAGTTAAGCTTTTGGGGAGTCAAAGCTTATACGTGGATTTTTGACTGCACAGAGGATCAGTGCCGCTAAACTTTATGTTGTTCAAGGGTCAATTGTATACATAAACAAGAAATATGTTTGTGTGTGTATATGTTTCGAAAGAAATATACTAAAATGTAGTAGTTACCTCTGTGATATCAGGTTATTTTTATTTTATTTATATATTTCTGTACTTTCCAAGTTTTCTAAAGCAAAAGCTGTAACTTGTTTTTTATTTTTGAGACACAGTCTCATTCCTGTCACCCAGGCTGGAGTGCAGTGGCTCACTGCCGCCTTGACTTCCTAGGCTCCAGTGATCCTCCCATCTCAACCTCCTGAGTAGCTGGGACTATAGGAATGTGCCACCACACCCTGGTAGAGACAGGGTTTCGCCAAGTTGCCCAGGTTGGTCTCAAATTCTTGGGCTCAAGTGATCCACCTGCCTCAGCCTCCCAAAGTGCTAGGATTACAAGCATGAGCCACCACATCTGGCCCAAAAGCTGTAACTTTTATAATTGGGCAAACTTACTAAGAAAGGCAAAAAATGTTCAAGATATTTTCTACAAAGAATTCCTTGTAATCCAGTTATTATTAACTCCAAGGACACCTGCTTCAGAGTAAAGGAAAGACTAAATGTTTCCCTGGATTCCTTCTAATGACTTGTCTTCCCCATCTTTACTGACCTCTCAGGCCAAAAAACCCTAGGAATCACCTTGGATTTCTCTTTCCCTATATCTAGTTAATCAGCATCCTGCCAGTTCAAGCTCCAACAGAGAACCCAAATATGACCAATTCTGTCTTCACTGCTATGAACTCTAGTCACAAGCAGCAATGTCTTCTAACTTGTCTCCCTATCTCTACTTTTGCCACGGCTCCCAACAGACCTTTCTCCCCCCTCACACAGCATGCTGAGTTAGCTTTTTCTAATCAGATCACGTCCCTCTTTTGCTTAAAGTTCTTCATGGCTGCCTGCCCAGTGCAATTAGGCCCAACATGATCTGGCCCCTGGCTATCTCTCTGGCCTTACTGTCATATTACTTTCCCTTGTTTACTCTCCTCCAGTAATTCAGGCCCCACTAGTCTGTAAACACTGCCAACCTTGTTCTTACCTCAGGGCCTTTGCAATAGCTAGTCCTACTGCCAGGAATGTTTTCCCCAAATCTTCCCATAACTGATACCCTCTCTTTATTCAGGACTCATTTCCAATACTGTCTCCCAGGAATAGATAACCACTCTATCTAAAGAAATATTGTTCCCCTAATTGCCTATTCCTTCCAGCTGTGCTCAACCAGAATTCCTCATCCAAACCACAGAACACAGAAAATGATTTGAGTGATAATTTTCTCAAGTCTTGCAAAATGGGGCAAAAGTAGTATCATTCTTTTTTTAATTTTTTATTTTTATTTTTTATTATACTTTAAGTTTTAGGGTACATGTGCACAATGTGCAGGTTTGTTACATATGTATGGGCAAGGACTTCATGTCTAAAACACCAAAAGCAATGGCAACAAAAGCCAAAATTGACAAAAGTAGTATCATTCTATTATAGCTGCATGGAAAAAGTTAATTTATTAATACAATGGATGCCTAAGGACAGAAGTACTCAAACTTTTGGTCTCAGTACTCCTTTACATTCTTAAAAATCATTAAGGACCCCAAAGAATGTTTGTTTACAAGGGTTACTTACATTGATAATTACCACATTTGAAATGAAAACTGAGAAACTTAGTATTAATTCATTTAAAAGTAAGAAAACAATTACTTATCTACATAAATGAAAAAGCTATTTTCCAAAACAAAAAATGAAAATTTAGTAAGATGAATAGCCTTGCTTTATGTTTATACATCTCTTAATGTTTGGCTTAATAGAAGACTGCTGGATTCTTACATATGCTTCTGCATTCATTCTGTTGCAATATGTTGTTCTGACTGAAGTGTATGAAGAAAATGGGCATTCACACAGACACGTATTGGAAAAGGAAGACTTAAATGGCTTTTTCAAATAACTGTGGACATTTTTCTTTGATACTACACCAAAACTTAACAAGTGGTAGTTTTTTAAAGGTTAACTATAACATAGACTCAAGCCATACTAATGAACTTTTTGTGGCATTATATTAACATTCACTGGTTTATCATGCATGTAGAATGGACTTTCAGCCATGCATAATTTTGTAATATCACATATAAGTCATTTGAAAAATGCCAGTTCACTGAGTTATGCAGAACTTCTAAACATTGGCACGTTATTATACAACATCAAAAAAATTTTTTTTTTTTTTTTTGAGACAGAGTCTCACTCTGTCACCCAGGCTGGAGTGCAGTGGCACAATCTTGGCTCACTGCAAGCTCCGCCTCCCAGGTTCATGCCATTCTCCTGCCTCAGCCTCCCAAGTAGCTAGGACTACGGGCGCATACCACCATGTCTGGCTAATTTTTTGTATTTTTTAGTAGAGATGGGGTTTCATCGTGTTAGCCAGGATGGTCTCCATCTCCTGACCTCATGATCCACCCACCTCGGCCTCCCAAAGTGCTGGGATTACAGGTGTGAGCCACCGTGCACAGCCAAAAAAATTTTTTAAAGAGACAGGGTCTCGCTCTGTCACCCAGGCTGGAGTGTGGTGGCACCATCAGAGCTCACCATAACTTTGAACTCTTGAACTCAAGTGATCCCCCCACCTCAGCCTCCAGAGTAGCTAAGAGTCTTGGCATATGCCATCATACTCAGGCTAATTTTTGTATTTTTTGTAGAGACAAGGTCTTGCTATATTGTCCAGGTGGTCTCAAACCCCTGGCTTCAAGCCATTCTCCCACCGCAGCCTCCCAAAGCACTGGGATGACAGGCATGAGCTGCTGCGTGTGGCCCTCACATTTGTGAATGTTGCCATCCATTTAATCAGAAGAGATTTTAAGTACTGAGAAGCCATCATGCTCACGATGACAAAGTTTTCCGTAATTTCAATTTTTGCTTGAAAGTTTTAATTTTTTTCATTGGCAATAAACACTATCAACTGTTTTCTTCTAAATAACCATAGTTGTCATTCCTTTCAAATAAATATTGTCTTTGAAAAAAGTGGCTAGCTCAGTCCAACTTGAACAATTACACAAGATTGTTCATCACACTTGGGCATGGGGCAGACACACTTTTTGTGTGCTTCCCATTTTGTCACACAGAATACTAAAAAGGTGCGTACTCAGGGTCAAGGGTTAACAAAATTAATAATTTTTATCTCTTCATAAAGGAAGTTCTTAAGTTCAAATGGCATTAAACATTTTTTTATTGTGACATCTACTAGTAATTTATTGCCTCTGCCTTGATTCTTGCTAAGATACAAGTAGTTCTACTCCTCAATGCTGCTGCACCAACAGTGCAAATGTCAACACAGTGAAAAATGGCAATTAATCACTTAGTATTATCAGAAAATATTTTTGAACTCAGGCAACTCCTAAAAGGGCCTCAGGGATAAAGTTGCCAGACTTAGCAAATAAAAATACAGGATGCCCAGTTAAATTTGAATTTCAGATATACAATAAATACTTTTTTTAGTATAAATGTGCCCCAAATATTACATGGCATGTACACATACTAAAAACACTGTTTATCTGAAATTTAAATTTAACCGGATGTCCCATATTTTATCTGACAACTATATTCAGGAATCCACATTTTAAGAACCACTGCTTTAGGGCAACAGGCATTAGGTTCAATTTGGAATGGATTAATACTCAAGTACTAATACTTAAGCTGATTAAGGGCTTAATACTTTGTGGTTTCTTTATAGAAAATATCATTATCTGAAATTATCTTAGTTTATTTGCATCACTTATTGTTTTCCTCCCTCAAGAATGTAAGATTCATAAGGAAGGGATCTTGTCTGTCTTGCTCATCACTATATTCCTAGCACTTAGCACAAAAGAAATTCAGTAAATATTTGTTAAATGGACAAGTGAATAAATAAGAAGCGTTGTAATGCAAATGCTCACAGAAAATGAGCAACTAGAACTGAGACAGAGGAAAGATCCCAAGGTTCTGCGATATTGATTGCAAGAGCTCCCATTTGCAAGGTACCCACTGTTTCCTCAAAAGGACGGAGGCCCAGGAACACCCAGAGTGGGCTTGGGAAAGCCCGGTGGTCTAGGTTTCAGCCCAGAAAGGGCTTAGGGACTATGGACAAAAAAAAAAATAAAAATAAAAAATAAAAAAAGAGAGAGAGAATATTCTAAAGCAAATGCTATTCCAGGCCAGAGAGAGAGAGAGAGACAGAGAATATTCTAAAGCAAATGCTATTCCAGGCCAGGTGTGGTGGCTCACGCCTATAATCCCAGCACTTTAGGAGCCTGTGGCGGGCGGATCACCTGAGGTCAGGAGTTCTAGACTAGACTGGCCAACATGGTAAAACCCCGTCTCTAGAAAAATACAAAAATTAGCCAGGTGTGGTAGCGGGCAACTGTAATCCCAGCTACTCGGGAGGCTGAGGCAGGAGAATCACTTGAACCTGGGAGGCAGAGGTCACAGTGAGCCGAGATCGCGTCACTGCACTCCAGCCTGGAGGACAAGAGTGAAACTCCGTCTCAAAAAAAAAAAAAAAAAAAAAAAAGTTGCTATCCCTGTAGCCCAGCTAAGCCTCCTCACATTTAAACATTATCTCCAGAACAGGTCTCAACACAACTATTCTTAGAAGGAAAGACAGGGAAGAAAGAACAGAACCAGGCAGCCAAGGCCTTAATGACAGGCAGGATGACTCTTCTATTCACAACAGGAAGCTAAGAGGTTCCAAAGTTGTACATACAGGGAATCAAGAACGTAGAGTCTCTTCCTGGGCTTTATTTAAATGTTTTCTCCCAAGAACTATATGTCTTAAAAGACTATATTCTCCAACCTTAATCTCTAAATTATGAAGTTTGGCTAGAATACTCGAATACTTTAAACAATGCCCAAACTCTCCTAGTTGTAGCTAAGTTGGTAGTTGATTTCTTTATTTGGCATTCTTTTGGTTTTAGAAAATAATAGTTTTAGAACATACTTTAAAAATGCACAATTTTTCAGTTACCTGAAATATTAGGTTTCTTTTTCACTGGTGAATAAACAGAAAACATCCACTGCCCTGATGATTCCCAAACCTCCATATCTTTTACAATTCCTTCCCTGCAAAAAAGAAAAAAAAAAAAAGAGTAAAGGATCTTCTTAGCTGCTTGGTAAAATTTATTGTTAATGGTTTTCCACAACTGAAAATTTAAATTCTAGTAAATACTTTTCCATTATATTTTCTGAAGAGTGTTCTTTAAAGCACAAGTTTATAGAAGTGTGAACTATATTTCATGGTTACAAATAGTATTATAATGTCAGAGAAGTTAATGAGTTTGGCTTTCCAATACACTGACCCATTAACCAATGTTAATACATAACATTGGTTATGATATGTAACCATATCATATGGTATCATTGGTATGATATGTAACATTGGTTATGATAGTAATTACATAAATACTATCATAGATACCATACTTTTTTTAGGAATTAAAATCTAAAATACTAACTTTAATCTTTGTTAATTATCACAAACATCAATAATCATTTAACTGGGAAGAACAAAGTACCACTTACGTGATACAGAATCATAATATTTTAAAAGTGGGTTATAGGACTTCAGAGATCATTTTATCTAATTCTCACATTTTGCAACAGGGGAAACAGACCCACATCCATACAACTAATCTGTGGTAATGCCGTGGGTAGATTCGGCTCTAAATTAAAGTTTCTCCCTACTTAGACTATGTCAATAAAAGGAGAATTATCACAGAGAAAACTGTATTAAATTTAGAATTGCAACAAATGCAGAAAGGAAGGTTTTGTTTGCTCATTTACTTAAAAAAAAATCGGTTGTATATGGTATATGACTCAACATGTCTACAACTGGTTCTGATTTAATTAGGATAAGTAAAAGACTAACCAATTACATTTAAATTCCATCCTAGTCACCATGAGTTGAGAGAACATTACAGATAGCCAAGCATTGTTTTGACACCAGCCATAAATTTTACCATAAATATTCTCAAGAAATGTCATGTATCTACTCCATAATAAATGTAGGAAATCAAATGAGATCAGTTTGAATAGGATAATCCAAGTAAAAGTTTTAGAAAGAAATAAGATATGTGGCTGGGTATGGTGGCTTATGCCTATAATCCCAGCACTTTGGGAGGCTGAGGCAGGCAGATCACTTGAGGTCAAGAGTTCAAGACCAGCCTGGCCAACATGGTAAAACCCTATCTCTACTAAAAACACAAAAAATTAGCTGGCTTGGTGGCAGGAGCCTGTAATCCCAGCTACTTGGGAGGCTGAGGCAGAAGAATGGCTTGAGCCCAGAAGGCGGAGGCTGCAGCGAGCCGAGATTGTACCACTGCACTCTAGCCTGGGCAACAGAGCAAGACTCCGTCTCAAAATAAATAAATAAATAAATAAATGAGATGGTAAAATGACCTCCAAGTTCACAAGTTGTTCTAAATTACATCATACTTTGTAAAGGACTTGTAAGTTAGAATGAACTTAAGCAGGACTAATCTTAGAAAGATATTCACAATATAGTGTTATCAACACAAAGTGGAAAAAGCGTAATTACCCCTAGGAAGGCACTCTACTATTATAGAAAGATGATATATTTTTAAGTGAAATAAAATCTAGGGTAATACACAGCAAAAGAGTGGCTATCTATGAGTGATAGAATTGTGGGTGATTTTTCTTCTTTTTGCTACTCTGATTTAAAAATAATGCATTATTTCTTTTTTTAAAGAAAATATTGTATTGTGAAAAGATGTTACAAAAAAAGAGAAACAACAAAGATTGTAGGTGAAAAAACATAAGCAAATGGATAGTAATTTTCCTGAAAACTTTCACTTACAGAAGTTTCTTTTCATCTTTCTGCTCATCAGGACTAAGTGAAGCAAATGGGTTCTCAGACAATCCAAAGCCTTCCTTCCTGTTAGTTGAAGCTCCAGAATCAAAAGAACTGAAATATGGCTTTTCTTGATCTCTGCTGCCCCCCCATGGTGTGGATTTGGAGAAACTGGATGGCTGGATGACATTGGAATATCTCTGGCTAGTTGTATTCCATCCACGTCTATTATTACCTAAAATAAACAATAAAACAAAATAATTTTACTAGCAACTTTTCTTTCTATTTTCTTTTTAATTGAGATAGGGTCTCACTCTTTTGCCCAGGGTGGAGTACAGTGGCATGATCTTGGCTCACTGTAACCTCAACCTCCTAAGCTCAATCGATCCTCCCACCTCAGCCTCCTGAGTAGCTGGGACCACAGGCGCAAACCACCATGTCTGGCTAATTTTTGTACTTTTTGTAGAGATAAGGTCTTGCCATATTGCCCGGGGTTGGTCTCAAACTCCTGGGCTCAAGAGATCCACCTGCCTCAGCCTCCCAAAGTGCTGGAATTATAGGCATGAGCTACTGTGCCCAGCAACTGTTCTTTAAAATCTCAAAAATCTTCATTATATCTTAGTATGTCTAGACAATATAGAAAGATTCAACAAGCACTACATTTAAACTCATTTTAAATGACAATCTCTTCATTTTTTATTTATATACAGTAGTTAGGTTGTAATATCAACAAATCACATAGTGGCCAATTGCATTTTTGTTTGAGATTGAGAAGAAAATAATATAGAAAAATAGTGATATATTACTAAATTCAGCTGACAAAGCTTATTAAATGAACAACTGCTTGATAGTTAAAAGTTGACAGAAGGCATGCATCATAAATCATAAACTCCTTCAGGATAAAAACTTGGGTTTTTATCATTCTTTGCTCCCCCACCAGGCCCTATACTGTAGTAAAGGCTGAAAAATGGACATTGAATTAAAGTTTCTCGAATATGAAAGATTACATTCTACCCTCTGTTTTTGTACAGATGCTTAAGTCTATTTGACGCAGTCTTTTCTCTGGGCAAACACCTACACACCTATTTTCACAGAGAGATTATACATGGTATTTACATGTGTACAGAATGCATGTAGTTCCTCTACCAGCTTTCCAATATTTCATAAATATCAAAATGAGCCAAAAAGATTCTCTCCTCTCTTTATATATTGGTTTTGTTTTGTTTTTTAAAATCATTTTAGCAATCTCATTTACTCATCACTTCCTAGTTGGGGCCAAGATTAAGGTAATTCATCTTGTTTCTGACTGAATAAAGAGATAAGCCATTAATTATATTAAAAGTTAGAATGACACACATGCCCAGTTGTGAAAGTTCATCCTGCAACTCTAAACTACCCTAAAAAAAAAAAAAAAAAAAGTGGAGATTGCTAGACCAGATCCCTCAAGTAGAAGTTAATGGTATCTTCTTCTTCTAAAGTTCCAAATTCACTGGGGGATGATACAACTGAAGAAACTCACTTCCTCCTTTTTTTTTTTTTTTTTTTTTTTTACATTGCTTTTGGTCTTCATACTTATAATTCCAGAAACATTCATTTGTTTCTGGGAGCTAAATACAATTTGTCTGCCAAATTTTGTTTACACTCACATTCATCAGACATGAGTCCTAATTTTCGGTCTGAAATATTTCACTAGATTAATTGTGGAGGAAATAAAAGGACTGTCTTCCCTGAAGTGGGATCAGACGTGAAACCATCACGCAATACAAGGTTTAAAGGTTAGATGAGGCCCGCCGCGGTCGCTCACGCCTGTAATCCCAGCACTTTGAAAGACGGAAGCGGGAGTATCACCTTAGGTCACGAGTTCGAGACCGGTATGGCCAAAATGGCAAAACCCTGTCTCTACTAAAAATACAAAAATTATCAAGGGCATGGTGGCGGGCACCCGTAATCCCAGCTACTCGGGAGACTGAGGCATAAGAATCGCTTGAGCCTGGGAGGCGGAGGTCGCAGTGAGCCGCCTGACTGAGAGAGCAAGACTCCGTCTCAAAATAAAATAAAAAAATAAAGGTCAGATGAATAGCCCTAAAGGAGGGGAAGGAAGGGAGACAGCACCGAATTATTAACCCGATCTTTAAAAATCTTGTGTTGTTCTAAGGTTTCATGTCTAATCTCTCCTTTCCTTGAAGATAAAAAGCTTTGACAATGATCTAGGCCCAGGGACTAGATCAACGTGGCCCCCGCATCTCCTTTCCTCACCTCCCGGATAGCCCTTAACTGGGCGTCCCACATTCCCAATTTCACCCCAAATTTATGAGCAGGTGCATTTTTGCGGTATGGCTCTATAGGTTTTATTAGATTTTCTTTTTTTCTTTTCTTTCTTTCTTTTTTTTTTTTTGATAGTCTCGCTCTGTCGCCCAGGCTGGAGTGCAGTGGCACGATCTCGGCCCACTGCAACCTCCACCTCCCGGGTTCAAGCGATTCTCCTGTCTCAGCCTCATGAGTAGCTGGGATTACAGGCGCGCGCCACCACGCCCGGCTATTTTTTTTTTTTTTTTTTTTTTTGGTATTTTTAGTAAAGACGGTGTTTCACTATGTTGGTCAGGCTGGTCTCAAACTCCTGACCTCGTGATCCGCCCGCCTCGGCCTCCCAAAGTGCTGGGATTACAGGCGTGAGCCACCGCCCGGCCGGTTTTATTAGATTTTTTCAAAGAAGTCCACGACTTCTCCAAAATGAAGTCCTGATTCTGACCCAAGCTGCTAGCCTCACCCTCGAAAAAACAACTTAGTAAAAATTATATTCAATTCCGGCATTTACCTACAAGGTAGTTTCGATAGGTACTTCCGATTTAAAAACTCAGTTTCGCACAAGCATCCAGGCCCAAACCCAGGTCCTCAGAAGCTCAATAAAAACGGACCACATGAATAATATGTAGATAAAACCCTCGGTTTAAAAACGTTGTGCAGGGCCCAGTAGGGCCGGCAAGGCCGCGACGCGGGCACGTTGGGGTCACCAGCAGCGGGAAACACGCGGGACGCCCGGTCCCCGCCGGCGGACCCTTCCCGGCTCGGTTACCGCGGAGGATTCAGAGGAGAGTCACCTGAAGGCTGCTGCTGCGGTTGCTGCCGTCCTCCTCCTGCACCCCTAGCACCGGGATGTTCGTTCCAGCACCGATCTCCAAAGCGGCACCGGCCTTGAAGGAAGAATTGACAAATGGCCATTGCGACGGCGTCGCTGACGGAGGGCGTCTTCAGTCTGCACCGTTCGATGCCTGTTACTGGGCAGAGAGCCCTAAGGCAACCTCGGCGCCCGGCCGGGCTACTGTGACGTCATCTTCTCGCGCCTGGGAAGGCCTTTTTCCGCCTCTCACCCGGCAGTGCCATGAGACGCATGGACTTGAGCCAATAGGACTTGAGAAGAGCGGACCGCTCTGACGCTTTGAGTGTGTCCTGGGAAGGAGGGATGCTTGAACGGTTACGTGAAGACCGGAGGCGCGTTTGACCCCGGTGCAGGGCCTCGGACTACAGGAAGGCTGGAGGTCCAAAATGAGAGGAAAGCGGAGCAAGCAAACGCAGAACTTCAGCAAGGCCCTCAGAGGAGAATTAGCTATGATTTGAGAGACTGAGTCGTTCTTGCTGAGACGGTAAAACTTAGCTTGGGCTGAGAAAGTAACAAACTGCCTAGCCTTTCATCTGGATGGATAACAGAGTCAAATAAAGCCAGACGACGTTAAGAGGAAACAATGTTTCTTTTAGGACATGCTGCAACGGAAAAGTATTACCACTTAAGTACATTCTTACTACACACTGAGAAACCTTGTTATTTCTTCTTTTTTTTTTTTTTTTTTGAGACGGAGTCTCGCTCTGTCGCCCAGGCTGGAGTACAGTGGCAGAGCTTGGAGGCAAGCTCTGCCTCCAAGGTTCATGCCGTTCTCGTGCCTCAGCCTCCCGAGTAGCTGGGACTACAGGTGCCCGCCACCACGCCCGGCTAATTTTTTTGTATTTTTAGTAGACACGGTTTCACCGTGTTAGCCAGGATGGTCTCTATTTTCTGACCTCGTGATCCGCCCGCGTCCGCCTCCCAAAGTGCTGCGATTACAGGTGTGAGCCACCGCGTCTGGCCGAAACCTTGTTCTTTCAAGTCCACATAAACGTTGCTATTTGAAATTATATCAGAACGAGTGAAAAGTCCCATCCTTGCCTGGAGGATCTAAGTCTCTTTGACGCAGAGAAGCAGCCTCAATTTCTATCCAGGTGTAGAGCTTCAGATAAACGGTTCTGAAAACATTCTGTATTTTCTTAACTTTGCAGTTTCCAAGGAAACATGCCCTACATTCAATTCTCGTCCAGACCTGATGTTAATGCCTTTACACACAGCTATGCTTTGAGATTTCATTTAAATTTCACCTAAACTTCACTCTCCCCGCCAAAACATACAATAACTACCTTTTATTTTGTACGGTGAGACACACCACAGCTCCTCTGGTGTGCAGTCTTCTTGATTGCAATAAGTCAATAGATCTGACTTTGTTGGATTACAGGTTTGTGCTGGTGGTTTTAGGATTATTGAGCTGGGAGTGAGCCATCATTCTTGCTCATGTAATTTGTTTGGATTTTGAAGACAGCAGAATCTACAGGACGGGAACTACTTGTCCAAACTAGTTTTTTATTTTCTTTAATCAATGCAATTCATTTATTTTGAAACAAATTTATGGAAAAGTTACAAATAACAGTACAAAGAACTTTTTTCCTGAACCATTTGAGACTATGTTGCAGACCTAATGCCCCATGATCCAAATACTTATTGTATATTTTCTACAAACAAACCAGGGCATTCTACATAACCACAACACAGCCAACAAAATTAGGACATTGATACTGATGCACTACTACTCTCTAATCCTTAGACTCCATTTATGTTTTGCCAAATGTCCCAATATTGTCCTTTAGAGGAAAAGGGTTCAGTTCGGAATCATTGTTGCTTAGTCATATTTCTTGTGTCTCCTTCAATTTGGAAGATTTTTTGTTTTTCCTTTTCATGACCTTGACACTATTAAAGACTACAGGCTGCTTATACTGTAGAGGTTCCTTAGTGCAGGTCTGTTTGATGTTTTCTCTTGATTAGATTCAGATTATGCATCTTTGTCAGGATTATCACAGAAGTGATGCTGCGGTTTTCACATTGCAGGTTGTGCACAATTTCAATTTGTCCTGTTACCTGTAATGCTCAATGGATTACTTGCTTAAGGTGGTGTCTGCCAAGCTGCTCTACCATAAAGTTATTCTTTTCCTTTTTGTTATTAATAAGAATTTTGTGGGGAGGTACTTTGAAAGTATATAAAAATCTGATTGTTCATCCAACTTTTAGCTCATTCACTTATTTATTTATATCAGTATGGACTCATGATTTCCAATGTTATTCAATGGGTTATAATCCATTACTATCATTATTTATTTTGATGCTCAGATCATCTCCAATTTGGCCAATGGGACCCCCTTTAAGCTCCTTTACACATTCGAAAAAGGAGAAAAAAAAATTCCCCATGATTACTTGAGCACTTTTTTACTTTCTGGTGCAGAGATGTTCCAGGCTCATTTTTACATTCTCTACTCCAGTCCTGAAATCAGTTATTTCTCCAGGGGTCCTTTTGGTGCTGCTTAGAAACCAAGATCTGAGCTTTAATGTGCTTATTGCTACTGGGATGTCTTTGCTGTCATGAACATTGCTGGGAAATACATATGTATAAACAAACACGAACATTTACATCAAACATTTCTATATTTTATATATTAAAACTATTATGCCTTCTATGTCAAAGACTATGAAAAAAAGAAAAAAACTTGAGTTCACACTGATAATCTCCAATTTCAATCCAAAATCACATGATTCATTTTATTTTCCTCTATTTTTAACTCCATTGATAACAAGAAACTTGGCTTTCATTAACCTTAGTATATTTATTTTATTACCACCTTGTGTTAACCAGTATTGCTTTGTAGCCACTGACTTCTCATTCCTGCACATGTCAGCATGTGTAAGGACTTTGCTGGGATCAAATACCTAAAATAATACCAGTGGTGACTGAAACTTAAGTGAGGGTAAGCCCAGTGCTTGGTGAAGGTAGAGAGGGGCAAGGCCAGAATGCCGGTTGAGACTGTCTAGGTGGAGTGTGTGTGAGACAATGAGAGCCTAGGGCTTGCAGGACTTGGTAGTGATCGGTTTGGTGATGGGTATATATAGGTGGAAATCAGGAGAGTGGGGTTACAGGAAGGAAACTTCTGATTTCTTCAAGATGGCAGAGGAAAAATACTGCTGCCTCCCCTTCCAATTGGATGAGGCAACTGTCTCGACTTGATAGGAGATAGGATTCCTCCCCAATAAAAAGGAATGAGAGACACTTCAGATTCTAGGACATCAGGTACAGAGAGGGCTTATGCTTATTGAATGGTGAGTCAAACATCCCAGAAAAATACCTATGGATCTCTTATGGACTAGCAACAAAAATAGTTGGCCATCTCCTCATCATATAATGAAGTTCATTGATTAAGCTCACCCTTGTACCCCTGAATTATCAATTTTCAGATGTCTCATTTAAATCCAAATGCACAGTCAGGGACTAGACATTTGAAGGCAGATGCCAACAGGAAAGAGCAAAGCAAAGAAACAGAAAAAGAAGTTAGAGGAAACAAAAACACTAAAATATTTTTAAAATTTAAAGAAACTAAAATATCATCAGAGAGGATAACATGAAACAAGAATGGCATACTATATAAAAGAACAATTATAGAAATAAAGTACTCTTGGAAAACGTAGATAGTGGGAACAAATTAAAGAAGGTTAGAAGATAAAGTCTGAGGGAATTTCTATAAGATTCAAACTAGATCTTGAACCCCATTTTAAATCTGTTATGAGAGAGGGCGTAAAGCTCTGGAGAGTAAAAAGATTTCTAGTTAATAAGGGCAACATTTCAAACAATTTCCCAGCACAGACTTTTTTAAATAAAATTTTTATTTTTTCTAAAGTAGTGTGAATCATCTTGGGAAGGAGGAAGGTGAGAAAGATAAAAGTGGATTCAAGCTTTTTGAAGTCTTTTGAGGCAACTGTAAAGAGGGAGGAGGCTATTTAAAGGAAGGATTTATCAAACGCTGAATGATGCCACCTGTAAAATGTCCTTTCATTAAAAGAACAGATTATTTGGACTTAAGGGTCCAAATAATGACTCTCAGTGAGAGCTGGTTTGGTGCCATGTGGGAGTAAATTGGATTTTCTCAAGTCTTTGGTATAACCTTAGAAAGCAAAATTTCGTCTAAATACCTCCTTTACCCATGCATATGTAGCAAATCCAAAATTTTTGCTGTTAACAGTATATATGGCAAAAGGAATATAGACTGCTTGGTGGAATAATTGTTTATTAAACGGCTGATTTTGATTTTGTTAGCAATATTGTCATGTCAAAATAATTCATGACTTAAAATTTTCATGGGATGATATGTCAAGTTTTTGCCAGCTGGACCACAAAGTCACAAGTATATGTTTTGTTTTGTTTTTTTCAAATAGCAACAATTTTTTTAAGATGCTAAACTTTTCTGACCGAATTGTGATTTTTGAAAGCATAAACTTACTTTGTCATCAAAATAATATCATTGCAAAGGATATAACATTAACTTATCAAATGTCTACTAAAAAGCAAGCAGAGCACTTTACAGGACAGGGAGTTTTGGGCAACAAAATAGAAAATGTGCTTGTCAGTATGGTGAGTGTACTTTTACGCACTATCCTGATATTGACAATTCTGTAGAAATTTCCAAGGCAGAAAAAGACACTAATTGGGAATTATGATACAGATTACTAAGGAAAAAAACCACTTCATTATAATCCACATCAAACCTGTGTATGTATTTACTATAGTGTGTTCTAGTCAATTGACATAGCCTAAAAGGAAATGCTGGTGTACTTAAAATATCTTAGACAGGTACTGTATATTCTACATAGGAGATTGTCAAATTATATAGCTATATTGTAATATAATAAATGGATATTTCACTCTCAAAAAATTAAACTAGCCACATTTTTCAATAGAGTGCAAAATTGAAAACCCTACTAAAAATGTTCAGAATAATCAAATCTAGAGACAGAAAGTAGATTAGTGGTTGCCTAGGGCTATGGTGTTTGGGAGGTTTTCTGTGTTGAACAGCATCTCCCCAAATTCATGTCTATCCAGAAGCTCAGAATGTGTCCTCGTTTGGAAATGGGGTCTTTACAGGTGTAATTAAAATAAGGTCATACTGGATTGCGGGCCCTATGTTGTCCTTTTTTTGTTTGTATTTTGCTTTGAGAAGGTGTCTTGCTCTGTCACCCAGGCTGGAATGAAGTGGCGCAATCTCAGCTCACTGCAACCTCTGCCTCCCAGGTTCAAGCAATTCTCCTACCTCAGCCTCCTGAGTAGCTGGGACTACAGGTGCACACCACCATACCTGGCTAATTTTTGTATTTTTAGTAGAGACGGGGTTTTGGCATGTTGTCCAGGCTGGTCTCAAACTCCTGACCTCAGGTAATCCACCCGCCTCGGCCTCCCAAAGTGCTGGGATTAAGGGCGTGAGACACAGCGCCCAGCTTTTTTTTTTTTTTTTTTAATGAGACAGGGTCTCAGTCTGTCACCCAGGCTGGAGTGCAGTGGCACAATCATAGCTCACTACATCCTTGAACTCCTGGGCTCAAGTGATCCTCCCACCTCAGCCTTCTGAGTAGCTAGAACTGCAGGTATATACCACACCTGCTAACTTTTTATTTTTTTGTAGAGACAGGGTCTTGAACTCCTAGCCTCAAGTGATCCTACTGCCTCCACCTCCCAAAGTGTTGAAATTACCGGCCTGAGCCACTGTGTCTGGCTCCTATGTTGTCCTTATAAGAACACCATGTGAAGATACAGAGACACACAGGGAAAAAGCCCATGCGAAGACAGAGACAGAGACTGAAGTGCTGCAGCTACAAGCCAAAGAATGCTGAGGATTGCTGGCAACCACCAGAAGCTAGGGGAGAGGCATGTGTGGTTTCTGCTGCAGACCCTCCAGAAGGAACTAACCCTGCTGACAACTTGATTTAGGAGTGCTGGCTTCCTGAATTGTGAGAGAATAAATTTCTGTTCTTTAAAGCCACCAAGTTTGCAGTAGTTTGTTATGGTAGCCCTAGGAAATACAGGGGCGTTGGGGGAAATAGGGAACCATTGCTAATCAGTACAAGGTTTCTTTTTGGGGTGATGAAAATGTTCTAAAATTGTGGTGATGGTTGCGTAACTCTGTGGATATATTAAAAACCACTGAATAATACATTTTTTTTTTTTTTTTTTTTTTTTTAGTCTTGCTCTGTTGCCCAGGCTGGGGTGCAGTGGCTTGATCTCAGCTCACTGCAACCTCTGCCTGTCAGGTTCAAGCAATCCTCCTGCCTCAGTCTCCTGAATAGCTGGGATTACAAGTGCACACCACCAGGCCTGGCTAATTTTTGTATTTTTAGTAGAGACGGGGTCTCATCATGTTGGCCAGGGTGGTCTTGAACTGCTGACCTCAAATGATCTACCCACCTTGGCCTCCCAAAGTGCTGGGATTACAGGCGTGAGCCACTGTGCCTGGCCTGAATAGTATACTTTAAATGGTGAATTGTATGGTATGTGAATTATATCTCAATAAAGCTGTACATTAAAAAACCCTACACAAATAGAAATATACCTATCATTATGTTTTTCCTAATTCCTTTTTGATTTAAACATTTTTAGGGTTTAAGACTATTATAACCTCTATATAAAGAAAACTGAAAATTAAGAGACACTGGTTCACAAATTCTAAAAACAACCATTACCTAAAATACTTGAAGAACAAACTGAGTGGCCTATTTTAAGTTAAAAAATATTTAATATTATCAGATAAAAACATTGATTGTGACAGCTTTACATGTTTCATTCCATACACAGTGAAAAAGGCAAAGTATTACTAGGAAGGAAATGAGTAGTTGGGTTTGTAAAAGATTTATTGATCACATAAAAGCAATGAATAGGAGATGACATATATCTAACTCATGATTACAAAACTTTTAGAGACAACTAGGTTAAATATTTCATGTTTTGGCTAAGGGAAAAGAATTCATGATCTCGTTAAAGAAGTTCAAAGTCAACACTGATATTGTACAACTACCAGTGCTTTTCTAATGATCTAGAAATTTGCTATAAATAGCTTTACTTTTTGCTAGTTAATCACTTACTATGATTGGGTTTTATTTAACAGTGAGGACTAAAGAGGCAGAATCCTTTTTTAACCACTGGATAAAACAGAGACATAAATTAATGATGGGTGCTAAGCTTTACATTTTATGTTAAAAAGATGGAATATATTTAAGTGGATTGAATATATTTCATGAGGAGTTGGACATATTAAACCCCCAAATCTGTTTAGGAAGTTTTGTGAGAAAGTGTGTATATGCCTTGACTCACTCTGGCTTACTTTTAAAATGGAATACATTTGGCACTAAATAAAATAAATAGACAAGCAAACTGTGAGACTAAGCTGCTCCATCTGAGTTGCCCATCTTGACTTACAATTCATACTATTTCTTAGTTCTTGACTGAGCACAAACAGACCTAACCGTATAGCACTTCTGTGATGCATGAAAATAGAATCTAGAGCTAAGATACTGCGCTTCACTGATGAGCCAATCTTCTATTCTGCCAAAATCATAGTTACAAATGTGAAATTCATTCAAGAAATTCACATTTTTAACAAATGCTTATACTTTTTCAAGTTTTCTTGCTAGATATGTTCTTGGTTTTGTGGCCAGCTAAAATATGATCTTTGAATTAAGGAAATCCATATAAAAGAAACATCTATTTTATAGGAACCTCATTTCACTTGAAACTTTCTTTACCAAAACACCAAACCAAAACTTTGTCACCAAACTCCTGGAACAAAGCACTGGTGGCTATATTTTAGAGTCTCTGATGAGTCTGAAGTCCACTCATTTTTCATGTTTCAAGGGTCTCTTCATTTGCTCCACAAGTATCGACAACACAAATTAAACAACTTGTGACTGGAAAAGCACGAACTTTGGAGTTGGCAACCCATTTGTCTGTTTCGGTATTATATTCGAGAATGTGTCCTAATCGACCAACACCCTGAAAACCAGCCAAGACATAAACTATAGAGCCAACTGCTGCACATTTCACTGTTACACCCTTCCATGGCATTGGTGAGACCATCTTCCATTCGTTCAACTTAATATCGTAATATTCCACATTGTCCAGACCACCTTCAAAAGAATAAAACATGAACAACATGAAAAACTATATCAACAATTCTAAGGTTTCTTAAAGTAATAACTTTTTGTATTTTTCCAATATTTTATTGTGAAAAATGTCAAACACACAGAAAAACTGTAATAATTTTACAGTGAATGTCCACATAGCCACCACCTAAATTCTTACTCTTAACACAATAGACATTTAATATTTCTTTTTAAATATTGATTTTTTTCTACAAAATTAAACATGTTTTATCTATTCTGGAAAAATGCAAAATAAACCAATCGGTGATTTCCCCTCTGATTAACTTTGATTATAATTACTCAAATGTCCTTCTTTTTCCTCCTTTTAGCACTTTATGGAAAATAGCAATGGACAGGGACAGAAGAAGGAAAAGAAGTTACTGGTACACTTAAGTGATGCTTAAAGTACTGACTAAATTGAAGCTTGTGTCTAGATTCAGTTCCGACTCCCTTTCATTTAAGACAATTATTTAAGATTCTTTAGTACATTATTTATGAAAACAAAATGCCAAATTTAGTCATTTAAAAATTACAATATTGATATTTTCATGCAATGTTTAAAAATATTTAGGAAACTTTACCATTTAGGACCTGGATACAAGCCTTAAAACTTGTATTTAAAAAGTTTTTAAAGGTTTTTTAAAGTTCAAATATTTCTATTGCTCAATAGTTCTTAAGCTGGTGCGACATCATTCCCCAGGAGGTATCTGGGAATGTATAGGAGCCATCTAAAATTGTCACAATGACTGGTGACTACTGCGACATTTCATAAACAGGAATGTTTAACATCCTGCGATATTTTATCAAGTATGTTAATTCCCAGAAACTATAAAAATAGATATAATAATATACATGGTAAATGCTTCTATCTAGATTTTTAAAAATGCTTCAATAATTTAAGGAAGTATCAGCAAACTCATCAGGAAAGTGGAACAGTGAATTAACATCACATACCTAAACCATTCTGACCACCCACAGCAAATATCTTGTCTTTTACAAATACCAGCCCATGATTCTTCCTGGCTTCAATCATTGGACACAGCTCAGTCCATCTGAAAAAATTAAAGTTTTTAGTGTGCTTGTTTACAGGAAGTAAAAGAACTCATACTAATGAGAAAGGTCTATTATTCTAATTAAGTGCTCATTTACTACTCACATATGTGTACATATACGCACAAAATGTCTAGAAGGGTAGAAAACAAAAGTTGAACAATGATTATGGGTAATTTATTAATACACGGGGAAAACATGGATTTTATTCCTTTCAATTCTGATAGGATATAAGAAAATGAGGATATCTATTAAAAAACACGTTTTTAGAGGAAATCCATTTCCTGAGGTTCATAAAAACTTGTAATATGGGAACAAAAAAGAAGAGGAAGATGCTTCGAAGATAAATAATTCTTTTTTCTTTCTTCACACCTCTGCTGGCAGGAAATATTAACTAGTTCTATCACACCTAGCTTTAATTATTATTTATATATGCGTAAGTAAAACACAAACTTATAATGGGCCTCAGGCAATCAGGAAATTAATAGTATCTGTTACTATTCACATGTCCATCTTTAAATCTACACTAAGAACTTTATGCTGCTCTGGTAACAAAAAAGTACTATCATTCTGTCAAGTTTAATACCTCATGTTGCTCTGTTCACAGCCACTAATATATAAATAATGAAACTGAGAATATAAATGTGGACCCAAGTGTTAAAGGATATTAATTCACAGGTTGCAGCATTATGCATATATACACAGACAATCGAGTTTAGTTATTTTTTTCTGAGATTTAATACATTCTTCTGCATACACTCCCAAGACTGACATTTGTGATTGTGAAGGTGGTACTGGCACACAGGCTTGTGCTTTCAGCAGCTAACTTAAACCAAGAGACGCCAAACAACAGTAAGGACAACAACAAAAGGGAAACTTGGCATAAGAGTAACTCTCTATAATTATTGTTTATATCTCTTCTTTAAAATAATTTGATGGCCGGCCGGGCGCGGTGGTTCACGCCTGTAATCCCACCACGTTGGGAGGCCGAGGCAGGCGGATCATGAGGTCAGGCGATCGAGACCATCCTGGCTAACACGGTGAAACCCCGTCTCTATTAAAAATACAAAAAATTAGCCAGGCGTGGCGGCAGGCGCCTGTAGTCCCAGCTACTCAGGAGGCTGAGGCAGGAGAATGGCGTGAACCCAGGAGGCGGAGCTTGCAGTGAGCTGAGATCACGCCACTGCACTGCAGCCTGGGCGACAGAGGCAGACGCCGTCTCAAAAAACAAAAAACAATTTGATGAATTCAACTTTATAAAACATAATTAAGGCACAATGATTAACTCTGAAGTATTAACAATTCTTTTGTCTTACATTTATGTATTGTTTTAAAAATGGTTTGACAGTCACCACTCTCATTTTCAAAGTTCTCTGTTAAGGTGAGGTGGACAGCATGGCTCCTGTTTTTAGGAAAAACACACACGCTCATCCAGGTGAAGTGACCGGCATACAGCTCGGAAGTGGGACAGCAGTAAAAACTAGGTCTTCACTGCCCTGCACGTAGTGAGATTTATAGACTCAGCTATCATCATGCATTAAAACACAGTATTTGACTTGGAAAAATTCCATTTACATACCACTTTCTTCTCCAAATATAATGTTAATGATATAAAAAGACAGCATGTCTTTATGTATATCTAAATCTCCTGAAGGTTTAGAAAAAACTTTCACAAATTCCCCTTCCTCCTATAATTCACATGCAGAGTACATACTAGGTCCCCGCTATCTGCAATCTGAAGTTTAATGTTTAGAAGCGTTTTTTCGCCTGTAATCCCAGCACTTTGGGAGGCCAAGGTGGGCAGATCACAAGGTCAAGAGATGGAGGCCATCCTGGCCAACATGGTGAAACCCCGTCTCTACTGAAAATACAAAAATTAGCCCGTGTGGTGGCGTGCGCCTGTAATCCCAGCTACTCAGGAGGCTGAGGCAGGAGAATCGCTTGAACCTGGGAGGCAGAAGTTGCAGTGAGCTGAGATCGTGCCACTGCATTCCAGCATGGTGACAGAGTGAGACTCCGTCTCACAAAAAAAAAAAAAAAAAGTCATTTCTTAAAATTCTGACCGCTCAAACTGTGTCACATTGTTTCCATAGACATAATTTCTTTCTTTCTTCAGTTACTTTATTATGAGCTTCTGCTCCTCTCCATCTTTTTTAAAACTGATTTTAAAAATGTGATACATAATACATGTACATATTTTTATGGTACCTGTGATATTTTGACACATGTATACAATGTGTAATGATCAAGTCAGAGTAACTGGGATATCCAGCACCTGAAACATTTATCTTTCCTTTTGTTTCTTTTTGGGCTAGGGAAGGAACCCAGGCCTCCCATGTTGCTGCTGAGGAATATCTTTTCTTTGTGTTGGGAACATTCCAATTCTTCTCTAGCTATTTTGAAATATACAATAAATTATTGTTAACTATAGTCTCCCTACTGTACTACTGAATATTAGAACTTATCCTATCTAACTGTATTTCTGTACTTGTTAACC
This sequence comes from Homo sapiens, assembly GCF_000001405.40. NCBI lineage: Eukaryota > Metazoa > Chordata > Mammalia > Primates > Hominidae > Homo > Homo sapiens. The sequence continues at coordinate 23,170,452 of NC_000007.14, read as the reverse complement.
AACCTCTGATAACCATCATTCTACTCTCTACCTCCATGAGATCAACATTTTTAGCTCCCACATGAGTGACAACATGTGTTATTTGTGTTTCTATGGTCCATAGGCTTAGTTTTTCAGCTTCCAATTAAACACATTCTAATTATCAAACACTTAAAATGTCAAAATTGGGAAGAAATTCTTATTAAAAAAAACTTGGCTGGCTAGATAACTTTTTGTTTTTATTTTTGTTTTTGTTTTTGAGACAGAGTTTCGCTCTTGTTGCCCTGGCTGCAGTGCAATGGCACGATCTCAGCTCACTACAACCTCCACCTCCCGGGTTCAAATGATTCTCCTGCCTCAGCCTCCTGAATAGCTGGGATTACAGGCACGCGCCACCACGCCCGGCTAATTTTTTTTGGTATTTTTAGACGAGACAGAGTTTCACCATGTTGGTCAGGCTGGTCTCGAACTCCTGACCTTAGACGATCCACCAGCCTCGGCCTCCCAAAGTGCTGGGATTACAGGTATGAACCACCACACCTGGACTAGGTAACATTTTTAAAAGGAAATAATATAACATTTATTTTGAGAGTTGGATAATTATATTCACACTAGCTTTTCATTTGTGAAAATTTAAGGGCATTGAAGGGAACATAGAGAATTCAAATTTAAGCTCAATATATATAAAATGAAAGAAATGCTAGGTCTTGTAAGTTTTTAAATATTCCTGAAACTGAATATTCACCTAGTTTTAAAAAATACAGAAGCTGCAGAACTCCTTTATATTTTTACTTTGAACAAAAAAGTAAGTAAAAAATCAATATTAATTTACATTGATAGTGCCTGAATAAAGATGTAAAAATTTAGAAACCTAGAGTTTTTATGGTTATGGCTTCTCTTTTAAGAGATTTTTTAGAAATAAAAAATAATTAGCAGAATGAATCAGTTTTCCAACTAGTATGCTGTAACACTTTTTGAGCCTAGGGTTTATGGGAAGTAAGGTAGAGGTTCACATAAAAGGGAGCAAAGTTGGTAAACATCTTTAGCAAAAGACAAATTTCAAGACAACTTGCTTTTCTATTATTTGCACTGGAAAGAAGTTATTGATTATGCTTCCTTAAATCTTTTAAAAATATGTGGGAATCATAGATAAATGCACATAATTAATCATATTTTATAATTAAGCTCTTATTTTTTTATTTTTTATTTTTTTTTGAGATGGAGTCTTGCTCTGTCACCCAGGCCGGAGTGCTGTGGCACAATCTTGGCTCACTGCAACCTCCGCCTCCCAGGTTCAAGCAATTTTCCTGCTTCAGCCTCCCCAGTAGTGGATTACAGGCACGCGCCACAACACCCAGCTAGTTTTTGTATTTTTAGTAGAGACGGGATTTTGCCATGTTGGCCAGGCTGATCTCATACTCCTGACCTCAAGTGATCTGCCTGCCTCAGCCTCCCAAAGTGCTGGAATTATAGGCATGAGCCACCATGCCTGGCATCTTATTTCTTAATTTTAAAAAAAGCAGTAGCTGGAGTTGAAGACTTCCATGTTTTGTAGTTTGGCAATATTTCCTAAATATAAAACTTTAAGCACGAGAGTTTTGATGCAACTCTGGCATAGCATTTTAGTGAACGTATTCACCCAGTAACTTGTTCTAGTAAGGGAAGAACGATGGGCAATCCAGCCATATGATCAAGTGACTTTTCTTATCAAAGCTCTTTGGATGTTTCCATAAAAGGTACGACTAGGGTATCATCTGTTTTATGTCCTCATCAGCTTTAATGTCACTACTCACAACCCGTGCCCTCATGCCCTCTCCATTATTCAATGATTAGCACATTTCCTTTGGCTACATTGAATGTGTTCCATCATTAACTACAAGGTCAGAAAAACTGGCTAACCAGTTATTTCTTTAGCATTTTACCTTTTTGACACACTTTGCCTTTTTAAAAGCAGTTGATTTAAGAATAATTTTATTTAATAAACATGAATCTAAATGTACTTAGGAAGTTTACACCTAAAAAGAACTAGGGAGGCATGATTTATTAATGCCATGAGCCAATATCTAATATTTCTACTTAAGGATAAATTTATTGCTGGTCATAAACTCCCCCCTCCTCCTCTACATTTCCTGACCGCTCAAACAAAAACATTTTATGAGTTGACGAATCAATCAGATGTGTCTCATTCATAGGCATTTATTGCACGCAGAACCAGAAAGAAAGAGGTTCCCATGGGGTGTAAGTTCAAGCCATTTCTGGTGTAAGGGAAAGGTCCAGGTCATAAATATGCCACTGACCCTAGCACACTCAAAAGTTTATATACACTCTTCACTCAAGGACAAAATTCTTCTGTTGGGTTCCTCTGGTCTTTTGACATCTCCTACAGAGCTTATAGAATACAGTTAACTGTAAAATAAATTTTAAATAGATACATACGTTTCTGTGGCAGGATCATAAACTTCACAGGAATTAAGCACTCTCCCAGAAACATTGTTTCCTAAACTTCCACCACAAACATAGATTAGGCCATTGGCTTCCACCATCCCATGGCTGCAGCGCTGGGTCAGCATGCTGGGCTTTGTGTGCCAGCTTTCAGTTCTCGTATCATAGCACTCAAATAAATACAGAGCTGAGTTTCCTGTAAAAGAAAAAGGCCCCATCATGCTTAACTTTAGTGTGTGCGGGGGTTTGGAAAGAACTGACTGTAGATCTTATTAGTTAAGGAAGGAAGAATTTAGGGTCATACGGCCATTTTCATACTCAATCAACAACAACAAAGTGTAGGAATAGTTTAAGAAAACGCTAATAATCCTGTTTGTATAGACCCTGGAAAACATCCTTAAAAGGATCTGTTGGAAATACTTATTTATTGGTAATTAAACTTTAGAAAAATAAATTTGATTTCAAAAGAAAAATTAAATAAGAAGCCTTATATATGTCTTCAAGCCCCATTATGCATGACGGGAATTATCCATACTTCAAATGTTTATATAAAGTGGAAAAGCATAATAGTTCCTTACAGATGGTAGACCCATACCTTAAAATATGAAAACTACTATCTGATCATATTCTTATTTAATATTCTGGAATAGCTACAGCACCATTAACAAAATTATATTTCCTAACTATTCTCAGTTAGTGTGGTATATCCTGAAATCACACTGGTCCCTGCTTGAGTATATTCTCAAAATATTGATGTATATTTCTGATGTATTTTGATTACACAATTTAAAGGCAAAACATACATTCATCATGTTTTGAAACTTCTACACACTGTAGGAGTTCAATAAAAAATTTTAGAAATGATACTATTAAAGTTTAAGTGCTTTTTTTTTTCCTTCCCAAGGACAAAAAATTTTAGAAGTTACCAAACTATTTCTCATCTCCCACCATTCTGGGCTAATATCAAATGATTTAAAAACGACAACACCTTTATAATTCTGCGTTGCAACTAAGGTCTGTGAAAAGTAAAGATCAGAAAATAACAACTAGAAGAAGCAATGGTCATGACCAAAAATAACTTATTTTTAACTTTTTAAACATTCCTGATTTGGTAGGTTCAGTGGGTGGACACTATAGGAAAATATATAGTATATAGTAGATTAAAAAAAAACTACTACTTAAGCTAAAAACACACTTAGCAAAGGCTGAAGAAATGAAGTTATCTGCAGTACCACAGAACAGTTACCGTCTATCATCTTTAGGATTTATTGTATTTGAAATATTCTACATTATAACAGTCTGTGAAGAATGCTTTTAAAGAGAGGAAATGGTTACATTTAGGAAATAGTGATTTTTCTTGTATTCATTTGACATATAGTTGAGGGTAAAAACATAAGTATGCAGACCAAAAGTATAACCATTTACGGTCTCCCTAGTTTTCTTTATTAGCCCATTATTTAAGCTAAAGAAATTACTTGAAAATGAAAGCATACAAAAGCTATTATGTATCTAGCCTGCACCTATTCATTTAGAAAAATTATTCATTTAGAAAAAGAGCACTACTGGACACTAACACACTATCCAATAAGGTTTTTATATCCACACCCACATCCCATTCTGCTCAATAAGCATAAATACCACTACAGTCATTAAAAACTTAAAGAATAAAACAAATGAAAAAGAGCATTCTTTTTTCTAATAAAAAGAAAGCAAATATAATACAAATTTTAAAAGCCTGAATATAGTAACGAGTTCTTAAAGAGTCTATAAGTTGAACTCTGAAATCTTTAAAACAAATAATATTATGCAGCCCAAATAATTTAGAACTATAATTCAGATAATGTCAACTAATGCTTCATTATGATAAAAAAAATGGGCCATTAATCTAGGAAGCTAAAGTTCTGTAATTTAATGGTTTGTAAAGCAACGACATAAACCTTCAGGGAGATGAGCTCTAAAATGTGACAAACACATATTTAAATTACCAAGAAAGTATCTGGACAAATAATACCAGCTGTTTATTTAAATATGAAAGCCAAGATACTTGGCTTTAAAGCATATGCCCCAAACCAAAATACTTAAGAAGTCCTTACCTACTTCTGAACCTCCAGATGTATAAATTTTGCCTTCTGCAGCACATGCAGCAAGGCTGTCTCGAGGTGTCGGAGGACCCAGTTTCGAATACCAGCTATCCTTCACTACATTATAGCAGTCCATTCGCTTTATTGGGAAAAGCTGAGAGCCTCCCAAAATGTATACTACATTGTCCCAAAACACGCATGCTGCATCTCTTCGTTTTTCAAAGGGGCAGCGGATGTCTGTCCAGCTATAATCCTGTAGCAGAAAAGGATGGGAAGCTTTCAGTAAGGAAAAAAATATAACTGAAAAGGACAATGCAAAGATACAGTCAAAAAACATATAAGAATATGTTAATTTATTAGACTACACATACAAATGTTTGGCTTGAGACTATTACCAATTTAATCTTGTGTGGTTTCTGCAGAATGTTGATTAGATGGGGCGGAGGGCAAAAGGCAGGCACATGACTGCTTTGGGTCCTTTCTGGCTCTAAAATAAACTTAAATATATTTGGATATACCATCACCACCCTGTCTTCTATTCCTTCTGTTATTGAAGACAATACAAGAAGATTCTAAAATAAGTTGTTTTATTTTTTAAAAAAGCTTTTTCAAATGTAAAGGTCTCCATCCCTTCCCTGCCAGATATATAGTGTGATATAAGTAATCAATGGATAATATGAAGCTCAAATTGCCATTATCCTACTGATAGTCTAAAGCCAGAAGGTATTTTGTGGACTTCTTTATTAATTTTCTATATTGAGTTGAGCCAATGTAGTCAGCTGGACTTTAAAACTGTTGATGTTTATAAGGAAATACTTGAGTAATCTCTTCTAAGTACTCTGGATACTCACTTTTCACCCCAATGATTAGAAATACACACCTATCAGTACTTGACAGTAAGGGCTGTTCACAGCATCTGTTTCTTCACTATGTTTGATAGCATCGAAGAATGCTTGTGCCGCCCTTCCATGTATGTGCATGGGGGGATGCCCCTAAAGTTATAGTATCTTGGACCCTCTCTTTTTTTGAGATAGGAAGCTACAGCGTTCCTGCTATTTTCTGAAAATAATCAGGGTCAGATAGGAATTCATACCATTCCCAATCTCACCAAGGAAAGCACTATGTGTGATTATTGAGTTTCCTTCGAGAAAATCTGACTGATAACCTATGATCGTATCCAGTGTTTCAGGCATTCATTGGATTAAAGTATCACAGAACATCAGGAATGGTCTCTTAGGAAAGGAAGAGCCCCTAATGTAGAATACTTTGACTCCTGACAAAGATGAACATTTTGCTTTTTAGGTGACCAGGAAAATAGAGCCTTAATAGCTTAGGATGTTATTCTCTAATTAATATCCCCGTAGGTTACTCAGTGGTGGGCACACAAAACAATGTGATAAACATAACATGTTCGTGAAACTTCAATTCCACTCAATAAACACTTGAAAAACTGGGGGAAAATATTTTCACTTGTTCTCTTAGAGAAACTGTATACCACAGAATGAAATAAAGAGATAAAATAATGATCATATTGTACAGGGAACAATCCCTCAAAGATAAACTAAATCATTCTCTTAAATGTTCTTCATATCTACTCATAATACCTATCTAATCAGGTTTATGTAGCAGAGAATTACAATTTCATTAACTGCATTAACTCAGTGAATCTCAAATCTTGTCACTCTTACCCCTAATTTATTTGACATTTATTACTTGAGAGCTATATGGGAATTTTTTTTTTTTTTTGCTGATTATAGTACCTAGATACTGTATGTAGTTGGCGGGGGGTGGGGTGGGGAAGAATAGATGGGAAGTCAGTCTTGTCAGCTCAGTGGCTATGACTGTTGGGCATTACCCTAGTGATGAAACTAGTTCCAACCTGGGCTTGCAGGTGAAGGCAGTGCTATTTATTGCTCCCTGCAATAGGGAAATCTACAGGGAAATCTAGAGGAATATGCAGTTCTCATGTTAGCAAGAAGATGGACAAATAACAGTAGAGTCACAGATGGGACGGTATATGTGTGTGGGCAGGGTCAGGGAGCTGTTACCCTAAAAATATGATTTAATTCACTTAAGTTTTACTGAGTATCTATTCCATGCAAGTTCTTATACTTAGGTGCTGAGATGTGAAATGCGGAAAATTGGAAAGCCTGGAAAAGATATGGGTAGAAGGATTTCTTAAATTTTGATATATCTCTCATTATACACACGTACACATGTGGACACATCCATGTATAAAGTCCTATTTTCCTTGGTCCTAGTCAGCCTTTCTTGCCTCTGCTGTGATATGCCATGCTATACTTTTTTTCTAAGCTCAAGACTGCTTTCCTTTTTGTAGGTTTTCCTGATTTCTTTCTTCTGAATCCTTACCACTTGAAGTCCAGGCTTGATGACTGAACACTCCATTGTATCTTGCCCTATGTGATTTTCTAGCTGTAATACAATAGTTCTCATTGCTCCTACAAGAGTAAAAGCTTCGGGCCGGATGTGGTGGCTCATGCCTCTAATCCCAGCATTTTGGGAGGCAGAGGCAGGCAGATCACCTGAGGTCAGGAGTTCAAGACCAGCCTGGCCAACATGGTGAAACCCCGTCTCCACTAAAAATACAAAAAATTAGCCGGGCATGGTGGCAGGCACGTGTAATCCCTGCTACTCGGGAGGCTGAGGCAGGAGAGTTGCTTGAACCTGGGAGGCAGAAGTTGCAGTGAGCCGAGATCACGCCACCGCACTCCAGCCTGAGCAACAAGAGCGAAACTCCGTCTCCAAACGAGCAAAAAAAAAAGAGTAAAAGCTTCTTGGGAGTGATAAGTTCTAAATATTTTCTCTAAATGCCTCAAGGCAAAAGATCAGTGTGATATTTTCCTTCAAAGTAAGGACTGATTTTATATAATGTATTCTGAAAACACATAGATCCTCAAATAATAGAAATACTGTAGTAAAAAGGCAACCACAATCCAAAATGAAATACTTTTCATTTTTAATACCTGAGAACTTTATTTTGGATCATTTTGAGAGAAAATCGAGCCGAATTAGGGAAGGCAGGGTCTTAGGGAAAAAAGAAAGCAAAATTATCAAAACTTTAAGATTTCTTAGAGAAACCACAGGGAATCAATCCAACCTGAGTTTAAGATGACTAAATTACAAGTACTTTCTCTTAAGCCATTATTTGATATATCTTAGTTTCTAAGCGCTTTAAAAAAGGTCATACACCTATGGTGACAATCTACATGAAAAGCAAATTTATGTAGATGCCAGAACATTCCTAGAAGTAATTTCATGAGAAACACATAGAAACAGTTTTGGCTTCATTCATCTTACAAGGACACAAAGAATGTAGTTCAAAGGAACTGGGAAACTTGGGTATGAAGCCAGGCTCTGTATGGAGGAGCTATGGATCTCAATTAGGGTCACTTAACTTCTAAGGGACTTTAGTTTATCTGTACAACAAAATGACTGAATGACCAAAGGTCTCTTCCCTTTCAGTCCTAGCATCCAATGATCTTAGAATCCAAATGATTTAGGATGCATCCCTAACCAAATAGCTACTATTAATTTATTAGTTATTGAGTACTTACCTTTCCAGGAACTATGCTGAGATATTTTAAAACATCATCTTATTTAATTTCCTTAATAACTCTATAAGGTAATATACTCATTTACAGATAAGAAAACTAAGAGATATTAAGTAACTTACCAAAGGTCACATAATTAGAAAATGGTGAACCCAAGATCTTAATCTAAATCCATCTGACTCCAAAGCTGCGTCTTTAGCCCCTGCACTGCTTCTCTAAAAGTCTTTCATGGCCTACTAGAAAGAACAAAGGACTGGGAGTAGAGTGATCTGGGTTCCTCTTGTCACTGTTGTGTTTCTAGCAAAGTGATTCTGGGCACTTGAATTGTCATTGTTGGATCTCAACAGACTCATCTATAAAATCAGGAGGTTAGCAGGATGGCTGCTGAGGTCCTGCACAATCTCCGTATCTTTTCACTTATAAGCACAACGCTCAACTGCCAAAAGCACAGCTGTTGTGAAAATGAGTTTTTCTCCATATGTTTGTATAGTATTTGGCCCAGGGCTCAGCATACTGAGGGAATGTTTTCATTGAGTGATAGTTCACATTTGTAGAAAAGTATATATCATCCATTAGGGCCACCCTCATTTTTGACTCTGCAAATGTCAGAGACTGTAGATGCTGCACTCTGCTCCTGGTTTGTACCAGTTCTTCATTGCAGCACTATCTTTATGTTACACTGGCTCCAGCTGGCATCTTATCATTATGGCTCCTGGTTCTGTGGTGGCTGCACCACTGAAAACCAGAGGGACCTGTAACCAACCAGCCGGCAGTTCCTGGGGTTGAGGGCCAGGCTTTCATCTCCTGTTTTTGTAAATCCAAATAGTTTCCACTTTCATCCTTTGCTAGAGCAATTTTTCTCCTAGGAATTTATCCTAAAGAAAAAACTGGACAGTGTACAAAGCTGGCAGATATAAAGGTAATTCACTGCAGGAGTATTTTAACAGGAAAAAACTGTAAATCAACTAAATGTGTTTGATGAAGACAGGTATTAAATTATGGTGTATCCTTGTGATGGAATACTCTACAGCCCTTCAAAATGATGACATTCTCACTGATGTGAAAATATCTCCATAATAAAATGGTGAGAGTAAAATACAGTCTGTAAAATAGCATGTAGGCATGATCCCGTATTTGTAAAATGTAAGGACTGAAATGATGTTCACTAACTACTGATGACTGTCTTTGGACGTTGTGGGCACTTTGACTTTCTCCTTTATATCTTGCTATATTTTCTACAAAGAATATGTATTTTTTTAAAAAATAACAACGAAAATACAATGAATGGTACCAAAAATATGGTACCAGGAAAACAACTACTTTTGTCAGCAGAAGCCTATACTAGTGCTAAATGTTTTAACAGGAACATTTAATTCAAACTAATTTAAAGGCTCTAAGAATTGAGAAACACAAATAGCTATTATATTATGAGACTAAATTTAAACTATAGGACAGATTAGAGGCAGTCTTTGCTTTCCTTCCAAATAGCACGTTCTTAAGGGCACTCTGGTTTTCCAGAAGCAAACACTTGATCATGTCAAGTAATTCCATAGGATGTATACATATTTTGAAATATGCTCATTTTCAGTAGTCACATAAATATTACTGGAAACATATTAACCTCCTTAAGTCCAGAAAGAAATTTAGTAATTAGCCATTAGGAAAAATATCCTTGTAACTCAAATTCTTCAACAACAGTAACATTGTAGCTCAGTAGCTTCCACAGTTGGGGAGGAGGAGGGAGGTTGTGCTATTGCAGGCTGCTAGATAAAATCAGGCTTAATTAGCAACAAACAATATACAAATGGGCATTTCTTAGCTGTTAATGATTAGCTAAAATTAGCAAACAGTCCAAAGTGAGGCCAGTGGCAAGCTGAAAGGGAATTATTAAGAATCACTGCTGCTTTATAAAGTCACAAAATGTTCTTCCTGTCTCCACTCTCAAATTAAAACCACACCACCAAAAACCAAAAATCAAACCTAAGCTACTCAGAAACTCAATCATTAAATAAAACTCAGTCTGAAGTTGAGTAAGCATGACATGGATATTATGCTTGATAACAGTACTTGTCCTTTGAGTAGAAATAACATATTAGAGAAGTATATAGTATCCCTGTGCTGCTACCTTGCCAGTTATCTAAACAGATTGCCTTTAAGTGAACTTTGCCATGCAATTTTTAATCTTGGCGCAGCAAGGTATATTACACTTTAAATTATCTCAAATCCCAGAAAGCAATAGTATACTCATTTATAAAAACGTTCTCACCAATGAAACAAACATCTACTCTTTGTACAGAGTACAGGAGATGTCCCAGGTGTCTGGAAGAGTTCAGAAGATGAAGGGAAAAGCAAAGTGGGGAAGATGGTAAGCATTTTTGTATTTAAATATGGGAAGATTAGAAAACCCAAGGGTGACAGGGAGAATCTGACAGAGGAGTGAAGGAGAGCAAAGAAAGGAAAAAAGAGTCAGATGAACATAACTGACATTCACACAAATCCTGAGAAGATTTAAACTTTTTGGCTTTAGACCAGAAAACTGGTTTAGAAAGGCTAACTGATGGTGGGGCAAGGCTGTAATCCTAGCACTTTGGGAGGTTGAGGCAGGCAGATTGCTTGAGCTCAGTAGTTGACACCAGACTGGGCAACATGGTAAAACCCTGTCTCTACAAAAAATCTAAAAATTAGCAGGTGTAGTGGCATGTGCCTGTAGTTCCAACTACTCAGGAGGCTGAGGTGAGAGGACTGCTTGAGCCTGGGAGGTTGAGGCTGCAGTGAACCGAGATCACGCCACTGTACTCCAGCCTGGGCAACAGAGTGAGACCTTGTTTCAAAGAAGAAGAAGGAGAAAATCCTAACTGACTTGCCTAAGGTCATATCTAGAAAAAAGATAAAAGGAAAAAAAGATCTCAGCCAGGCTTGGTGGTTCAGGTACTTTTATCCCAGTGCTTTGGGAGGCCAAGGCAGGAGGATGGCTTTAGACTGGGAGTTCAAGACCAGCCTGGGCAACATAGTGAGACCCTTGTCTCCACACAAAAAAATTTTTTTTAAATGGCCATGTGTGGTGATGCACGCCTGTAGTCCCTGCTACTTGGGAGGCTGAGGTGGGAGAATCACTTGAGGCCAGGAGGTTAAGGCTGCAGTGATTACCACTGTACTCCACCCTGTCTGACAGAGGAAGACCCTGTTTTAAAAACAAAACAACAAAAAGATCTCACAAAAGACAAAAGACCAATGATCTAGTCCTTCAGCTCTTCCACCTATGTCTAATTTCCTTTTTTTTAAAAAGTGCAGTCCAGTTAGATTCCATTCAGTTATACAATACTTTTGGGGGCTTTTATGAAAAATTTTAATAATCATACTCACCAAGTCAAGATGCATTCATACCCAGGATTCAATATACTTTTAAGTCTTTTCTCTTTCTTCCTACCCAAACCCTACGAGTAAGTCTCCCTCAAGAAAACTTCCATGAAGCTTCCACAGAGGTTTCCTGGTTGACATATCTGACCCAGGGAGCTCTCTTCTTTCCATGCCACCAACACAGTCATTGTCTATCACACATCAGGACAATTAACTGTTAAGTTCAGCAGAGGTGTTGACAGCCACCTCTGTGCTAACTGCTGTGTGCTTATGTGTACACCTCACGCACTGTGTGTGTGAGGACAGGGTCCTGTAGTATGTGTCTTTCATATCCCTTGCTGGTGTCCAACCCACAAATTTAAAATCCTATATGAACCATGAATATATGCTAAAATATTACTTATTTAAACATACTTTTACAACCAGCTAACCATACAACACACTCTGTTGTTAGTAACAGGTAAGGATAATTATCTTTTATAGCTGGATCACCAAATTTTCATAGAAAATAATCCATACCAAATCTAACTGAATATGATTCAATACTTCTGAGGTGACAGCTCTTAATGCACCTCTGGGTCAACATATGAACAATTACCAAAGGTAACCAATATTAATTATTGGTGACATGGTCTAGTAAAGAGTGTGAATTCCCTGTTAACCTCAGCTTGACTTATCCCTTCAGCCCTGTGCTCATGGACCCACTGCTCTCTTGCTACCTCCCAAAGGCTAGAGTCCCTTAAAACCCCACCCCAGGCTGGCTGTGGTGGCTCACATCTATAATCCCAGAACTTTGGGAGGCTGAGGCAGGAGGACTGCTTGAGTCCAGAAGTTCAAGACCAGCCCTGGCAACACAGAGAGACCCCTGTTGCTACAAAAAATGAAAAAAATTAGTGGGGTGTGGTGGCAAGTGCCCAAAGTCCCAACTACTAGAGAGGCTGAGGTGGGGGATCACTTGAGCCTGGGAGGTCAAGGCTGCAGTGAGCCACGGCCGTGCCACTGCACGCCAGCCTGGGTGACAGAGCAAGACCCTGTCTCAAAAACACGACACAACACAACTTCACGGAGATAACATTCCCATTTTCCTCATTTCTTCCCATTTACAGCCTTCAATCGAATATGTGCAGCTCTGTTTCCACTCTCCCTGACCCTTTTTAGAGTGATCTGTTAATTTATAATTAAGGCCAGCTGTGGCTATGGAGAATGAGTTTGATGTCATGACTCCCAGCACCAGTCATATTTTCACTGGGGGTTTCTTGGAGATGCAGTGACATAACACAAAGAGAAACAAATCTTTGAATGTGGGGACTTCAGGCACTATACCAAGGTGGGGTGGAAGGGGCTGTGAAGTTGATTTTAGAACAAAACTACCGACCAGTGTATTATGGAGGTACTTGAAAAGAAATTGAGACTCTCTATTTTGGAAGACCTTCTAGGAAACCAGAGCATATAACTGAGAACTTACCTCAGGATGTGATTTACTCTCTTCTTTACATGAACATGAAGACCACCTGTCTAACAAACTGCCTTCAAAGAATCAGGGAGAATACCTTTCATGCACAAACTGCAGAGAACACTGTTTACCCCTGGCTGCCCATGATGCTGACAACTAAGGAAGCTTAAGGGATACTCATGATGACCCACACCTGCATCTCAGCAATGTCAGCTGCTGGGGCCTGCAGCTAGAGGTCCACCTCATCTGGGATGATTGCTGCCTATTTTAGATATTTTGTTCTTGTAGGTGCTTCTGATCATTGTAGCAGTGTTCACATTTTTACTTCTGTGTAGTACTTCTAGAGCTCTTTGCTGGTGACAAACGCTACTGATATACTGCTATAAAACTCTCAATTTTTTGTGATGTAACACCATTTTCCTTTAAGGTTTATACTTCATTTATGCACATGATCTTTTAAAATCGTACACAATTTATAACTGCTGATTTCCGCCATGATCACAGGGTGGGACTGTTTCCTCCTTAGGGAGGACCTGTTTAAGAGGGAAGGCGGCTATGATACAGGCACTGCAATATCTTTAATATAAAATATTTCTGACAGGAAAATGTGTCCCAAGTTAAAGATAACTTCTTTTTCTCTTCTTTTATTTAGAGCCTTCTATATTTAGATCCAGTCTTATAAAACCAACTGAGAAAATTATGTAAAGTTATATTGGTTCATTCATCCTTATAAACTTGAGTACTCACCCTGTGCCAGACACTGAGCTCAGTAATGAGTCTACCTTAGAGTTCTGAATATGAAAATGCACCCAGGGTAAACCTTCTGAACCTGGTAGTTCCATGAATAGGGTGCCACATAGTTTTCTGCCTTAGTAATTTACAGGCTCTGGCCCTCGCCCTGCTAGTCTTACTACTAGTTTATTGTTGGCAGGGAATATGCAGAGTCCCATATTCTCCAGGGCATAGTCTCCCGTTTCTCCACCGTATGAAGCCAAGATCCTTACAAAGCCCCAGCTCACCATTTCACTGGGAGGAGGAATCCAAATAAAAACTGATCAGTTAAGTCAACTTTTATTTAGGTATTAATATCGTAAGACATTACCATGTTACAGACTGAGAACACCAATACTAGGATAAATAGAACACTGAATACATAACTCTTTTAGAAACCACTAAGCACTTGATGATTTAAAAACATACAGGATGGGAAGAGGCAGCTCAATAGGCTTTATAAAAGGATGATAACAAGAAAAATATCATTTCAATTCAATATAGCAACCCAAGACTTCTTTTTCTGTCAATATTCAGAAAAAAGATTTTTCTTTGCTATAACTTTTTAGTCATCAATAAATACAAATATTTGCCTCCTGTCACCAATGAAATACAAGAACTATAACTGATGGAATGAAAATGTTTTTATTGGTAGTTCATTCCTCAATTATTTAAATTTTCCCATAAATTTTCAAAGTGCAATTAGGAATGACTCATTTATAAGAGCAAGGCAAGACAACAAATGAGAATTCTGAAGTTACAGTCTCACTTCCAGGCTCGTGTAGAAGAATATGCATCTCTTTTCAACTGTCCAATAAAAAAAAATCAAGGAAAGAATTAGAACTACAGACTAAAAATAAAGTGCTAAGAGTCATCCCACATTTGCCTTATTCTAGGAACAATGCTCCCTGCCTCCTAAATGAACTCAGAATTCTTCTTGCCCATCTGTACATCAAAATAGCCATCTACTTTATTTTAAAATAAAATATTTTCCACCAACACTTGGCTTAATTGCTTTTTAACTGCCAAAATCAACACCATAGTTATGGTTTGGGAAACAAATTGGGTGTAATTATTATTAATCTATAGTTTTTAGGATTACAATTTTTGTTTTGTTTTGTTTTGTTTTGTTTTTTTGGTTGCTGTTCTCTTGTTGCCCAGGCTGGAGTGCAGTGGTGTGATCTCAGCTCACTGCAACCTCCACCTCTCGGGTTCAAGCGATTATCCTGCCTCAGCCTCCCCAGTAGCTGGGATTACAGGCGCCTGCCACGACGCCTGGCTAATTTTTTGTAGCTTTAGTAGAGATGGGGTTTCACCATGTTGCCCAGGCTGGTCTCAAACTCCTGACCTCAGGTGATCCACCCACCTTGGGCTCCCAAAGTACTGGGATTACAGGTGTGAGCCACCGTGCCTGGCCTAGAATTACAATTTAAACTATCATTTCAGTTTTTCTTTGGGGAAAAAAAAAGTTTATAATTTTCCTGTTCTTCACTCAAAAGGATCCTGAAAAATTAAAAAACACAAATAGCCATTGCCGGTGTCCTCACAGTGAGGACACTGTGCTTATTGGATAGCACACAGGCCATGAATTCTCACGGCACCTGCTAGTCACTCAGTCTTCTATTGAGAAAGCCAGATTTCTGTAGGTAAAAAGTCAGCCTATATTCTGGAGATGAAGGAATAGACCAGAAATTGATGTCTGAGCCAAGAGCGGGCCAATAGGGACAGTCCAAATATGATGGTGATTAACAAATCTAACCTGATCCTTCCCTCCTTGGGGAGGTGTTTTTGCTATCTGGTGGCATATTTGCTCTATGGGTATGGTGTTAAGTGTTATGGTAAGAAAGAGAAACTGATGGAAGTTTCTTTCTCTACCAAAATATAAGAGGAACTGCTTGCCTTGGAGGAACTGCTGAGACTGGTAACTTTGTTACAAGAGGGCCAGATATAGTCTTCTTACTGGATCAGATTAATATAACCAGGAAAACTTGCCATATAGCTAACACTTTGGCTAACGCATATTTCTGTTTCTATCTACCCAGATCATTAGATTGAATTCCTTTTCAGCTGGCAGGGAAAATTTTTAAATGTCATGGTCTGACCTCAAGGATCCCTTGACTCTTTAGCTCTATGCCATAATCTAAGCTGCAGGCATCCTGGACCATCTCACCTTCCCAAGGTCACATACTGGTCTCCTGTGTTGATGCGCGTAATGCTAACCATTTCTGGAGACCAGAAAATGGAAAGGATCCTATATGTCTTGGTAAGAAATGTTGCTTGACAGGACAGAAGATAAGTTAGCCTAGAATACAGTGCTGATTGCTTCAAAGTCCCTAGATGTTCTTAGGTCTAGAGCAGAGGTTGGCAAACTATGGCCTGAAGGCCAAATCCACCCCCTTAGCTGGTTTTGTAAATAGTCTTTTTTTGTTTGTTTGTTTGTTTTGAGACATAGTCTCACTCTGTTGCCCAGGCTGGAGTGCCGTGGCGTGATCTCAGCTCACTGCAACCTTCACTTCCTGGGTTCAAGTGATTCTCCTGCCTCAGCCTCCCGAGTAGCTGACATTTCAGACATGCACTGCCATGCCCAGCCAATTTTTTGTATTTTTAGTAGAGACGGAGTTTCACCATGTTGGCCAGGCTGGTCTCAAACTCCTGACTTCAGGTGATCCACCCACCTTGGACTCCCAAAGTGCAGGGATTACAGGCATGAGCCACTGCACCTGGCCTGTAAATAAAGTCTTATTGGAACACAGCCATGACCATTTGCTTATGTATTGTTTATGGCTGCTTTCCTGCAACTGGGTCAGAGAATGAATGGCATGCAAAGCTGAAAATACTTACTCTGGCCCTTTATAGAAAAGTCTGTGGAGCCCTGATCTACAGCATGTTGGAAGAACCCCTTGAAAATGGACAGCTTGCTGACCCCTAGCACCTCCTACATATTAGAGATGGCATATGGTTATTACACTTCTGGGTAAACTGCAAAGCTATCAGTTACAAGTAAAATCTAGAGTAGGAGAAATCTTTCTAAGTGGGACAGGCTACAGTAGTATGGCTCAACTGCCTGTGATCCTGGGGCATTAGGATGCTGCATATAGCTTGAGGTATGTCTCAATATAATCAGAGCATGCCCCAAATTCTGGAGCAAGGCCAGCCTCCTTTATGCAGGTATCATTCTTTCAGTAGACAATTCCCAGCTGCCCATGAGGTTCTGACAGATGGCAAATGTCTAACACCAAGGGAAACCAGGTGACCATGTCATTAACCCATCTTGAACAATTTTACCTGACCTGCCTAGCCACAAATACAGCATGCCTTCAACCAACAATGTAGCATGTAAATGCAAGACTGGGCTTACGGAGGTTCCAAAGGCACAAAATACCCAAATAGACTAATGACAGTGCTTATCCAGTAGCCCTTCACTTAATTCACTATCTTTCTCCCTCACCCAGGACTGTGCCTTCATGGAGGGGTGTCACTAATATATCAGCTAACAAACTTGAGAGGCCTGGGCTTGGTTCACTTTTGATAGTAATAGCCAATAATGAGCTGCAGAAGCGTTGTAGCCCCCCCGCCGCCTCAGGAATTGTTTTGAAGGACAATATGAAGGAAAGTGTTCTGACTTGACAGAATTCCAAGCAGTTCATTTTATTGTCCATTATACCTTTTAGGAGAGAAAGCCTAAGGTCAGTTTTTATCAAGTCTTGGGCAGTTGCTAGTGGTTTATCCAGAAGGATGTAGGCTTGAAATAATGCTCTGGTCTCATCAGGTATCTATCCAACCAAAAATGGGTTTGCAAAATCATGAAAGAGATCATTATGTGTTTGGATTCAGCACCACTTATGGATATCACCTTGCAAGTTTGGGGTGTTATCCTTTAGGATGTGGTATTTGCTCTTCCCCAGCAATACATGTAGTACCAGAAAAATATGGTATTCTTTCTCCCACAGCCAAAACACACAGGTCTATGAAACAAGGAGTAGAAATGTGAGTGGACCGTCTTAAGGTTATAAGTAATGATCTATTAAAAATTTTTTTATTCCTATACCTATGACTCAAGCTCTCCTGACCCAGTTGGTCGGCATGATATGTAATGAAAAGTTCACTAAACTTGGTGATCATTTCTAGGTGGTTCAAATAAAGGTCATTTAATCTTTTTTCTTTGTGGTTTTCTAGGGTTTCCAAATATTCTAGAATGACTATGTGTTATTTCATATTAAAATTATTAAGGGGAAAAAAACAAACAAATTTGGCCCAGAAAGAGATTTTCATTGAAAATGGGACATAAGGAAGAAACTGTAATGAATGCAAGGAGCTGCTGACATAAAGGGGTGAGGAAGAACTAGTTTCCCTTTTTCTTTGACAGTGGTTACCACGCAGCATTCCAGAACAATTAAGGAAACATTTGGAATCTAAGCCTGATTTCCTTATCTGTAAAATGATCTATGTATCTCATAACATATGTGAAAGAACACCATAAACTATCATCTCTAAAGGTATGAGTTATTACTACTTCTAGTTGGTGAGTGTCTTATGTGTTCAGTGATTTCAAAGACAACAACAAAAACCAAGAATAAAAATTAGTTACCTTTGGGTTAAAATATCTACAAGACTGTGGTTGAGAGCCTCCAAATAGGGCTATGCGGTAGTCATGTTTCTTTCTTCTAGGTCTTGTGCCATCTACAAGTTCTTCTCGGTCCTCTGGAGACAGTAGATGGTACCTCATTCCACCTGTAGTAAAATACATGGCAACGCTTCAAGAACTTCAGGCACTAACCAGTGCTTTGAAAACGAAATACCCAGACATAATAGGGCCTTTATTTCAGTAACTTACTTTTATGATATCTCTATAGCATTTGAGGAAAGTGAGGGGGAAGAGGCAGGAGAAATGCATAAGGATCCGAGTACTAACCAATTCATTTATTCTCAGCAATCACCATTATTCTAAGACTGCCCCACCCAGTAAGCAACTACTATGTACCAGTGAATTATCTGGCTCCTCAAGCAACAGCTGCCAAAATAATAATTATTGAAATCCAGATCTCCTAACCCAGTGGTTCTTGATCTTTACATTAGAATCACCTAGAAAATCTCTGAAACTATTGATACCTGGGACCTACCACAGACTAATTAAATAAAAATCTCTAGGTAGTGTTTAGGAATTGGTATTTTAAAGGGCTTCTTAAATCTTGCCACTTAAAATGTGGTTCAAAGACCACCTGCTTCAGCATTTGGGAGTTTGTTAGAAATGCTGAATCCCAGGCCCCTATCCCAGACCTACTGAATCAGCATCTGCATATTTAACACCCCACGGTAATTAGGATGTACATAAAACTTTGAGAAGCACTGTCTTAGATGACTCTAAAATGCAATAAGGTCAGAACTACTGTGATCTGTCATGATCCTTTTCCTTCAGCAATTCCTTAATTTTGTCAGTGCCACTTAACAATCAAAAACTGTTAAAGTATCATTTCAAATCAGTGTGGGAAAGGAGGATGGTCTATGTTAGACAACAATATGAAGAAAGAAATTATACCCCTACCTCATATTTCACTCTCAATTTCAAATCAATAAAAATCTGAATATATAAACCCATAAATGCACTAAAAGCTTAAAAAAAAGAAAAGAAAAAAAAAAAAACAAAACAGGCCCAGAATGGAGAAGCCTAAGAATGACCAAAAACATAGGAGCCAGAAAAAATTGTTCAGACTTAACTATATGAAATTTTGTTTAAGTTAAAATAGTGCATGGCAAAAAGAAAAGGCAGAATTAAAAGATGACAAACTAGGAAAATATTTATAAATAATAAAAAATACTATTAAAAGACACTTTATTAATTTATAAGAATTACCAGCAACTTAACCAAAAATTGGTGAAGTATCTGAATATAGTTCACAGAAAAAGAACTATAACTCTTAAACATATGAAAAGATGCTTGAGTGCTCTAGTTAGAAAAATACAAATTAAAATCATACTTTTTTCACTTATCAGATTGGCCAAGATCAAACTGCCTGGACCACAGGGTATAATATGGTTGTATCGGGGGAGGCAGCACTCTCTTCCATTGATGGTGGGGATGTGGATGGGTATAACCATGGGAAGGGTGATATAGCCCAATCTACAAAAATTATAAATGTATACACCCTTTAACCCAGGAATTCCCCTTTCTAGGAGTTTATCAATCTAAAGTTCACTGTTAGGGAAGTGGTTAAAAAATTATGCTATGTCTATACAATAGAACATTATATGTGGCTGTTAAGATGAGAAAGATTAGTATGTACGCATGGAATGATCTCCAATAAATAATATGGAATGAAAAAAAGCAAGATGTAGAACAGTACGCAGAGTGCACTACTGTTTGTGTTAAAAATGTATATTTTAATGCAAATATACAAATTTTACACATGTAATTTATACATGGATATATAAGTAAATGACTGTATGCACAATCTCAAGACTACCTCTGGAAGGGTATATACAAGATAATAATGTTAATCTCCAGGGTAAGAGAATGAGAGAGTAGGGAAAAGGGGTATCAGGGAGACTTACTTTTCACTATGTATCCTTTTAATACCTTTTGAATTGTACAATATTATCAATCTAAAAATAAAATAAGGCCATTTTATTTTATTTTTTTCTAGAGCCAGGGTCTTGCTCTGTCACTTGGGCTGGAGTGCGGTGGTGCCATAACAACTCACTATAACCTTGAACTCTTAGGCTCAGCAGTCCTCTCACATCAGCCTCCCAAAGCACTGGGATTGCAGGCCTGAAACAGCATGCCTGGCCCAAAAATTCCTGACACATGCAAAACATTTCTATAAATGAG
This sequence comes from Homo sapiens, assembly GCF_000001405.40. NCBI lineage: Eukaryota > Metazoa > Chordata > Mammalia > Primates > Hominidae > Homo > Homo sapiens. The sequence continues at coordinate 23,149,971 of NC_000007.14, read as the reverse complement.
GCTATGTTGGGTCTTTATTAAAAGGATAGAGAAAGAAAACTCATTTGGAGAATAGTTGGTGAATTAATGAACATCTTTATCAATATTTATCATTTCTTCCATTTCAGAGTTTGAGTAGAAGCTCTTTTGCATTCAAACAGCTGGATATTTCAGAGGCCAAGGCATGCTGACGCAAGCTCTAGGTCAGGGGTCTGAAAACTTTTTCTGTAAAGGGACAGATAGACTTTGCAGGCCACATATGGTTTCTGTGGAATATTCTTTGTTTATTTTATAATCCTTTACAATTGTAAAAAATCACATTAGCTCAAGTCTGCATTTAGCCTGTGGGTAGTTCTTGAAGTGTGCTTCCATAACCAGCAGCATCAGTATCATCTGGAAGTGTGTTGAAAATCCTAATTATTGAACACTAACCCAGACCTTCTGAATCAGAAATGCTAGGGAGGGGTTTGAGAGCCACTGCTCTAGGATGGTTCCACACAGGCTGAAAGTGGACTGTGTAGTCTATGAACGCAATATTCCCAGTAAGAGAAAGGTAGGAGGGAAGGAGAGAGACAAGAGGGAACTGTTTCCACCAACAGGCCATGTGGTAAAAGTGGCTGACCATGGCCAACTGTGCTGACACACTGGAGGAGGCATGCCTTTGGCTCTTTCACTAATGGGCCTTTTTTTTCCTCCCCAAGAATAGGGCTGGGGGACACTTTGGTATCTTTCTCTGAGGAGCTAATTGTTGCTTAGGCTTATTCCTTTGGGAGTTATTCTTTCCAGATTTAGGTATAATCATTTCTAAATTTTCAGTAAGAAGTTGGCCTGGCCCTTTGTGGTGGCTTTGGCTGTGCACTTCATTTGTATTTTGTAATTCATTTTCTTTTGGATGTAAAATTTTTAAGCTTAGTTTTATGTTATTTTTCAACCGTCTTTTCTGTTTTTCTTCTACTCTGGAAAGGCAACAAAGTCCGGTGGTAGGAAGACAACTGATGATCTGAAAAAGAAAGGCTGGAAGCCTTTCCCCAGTTTAGCTCTGCCCAGGCCCCAAAGCTTGGAAGCTTCTCAGCTGCTTGTGCTTAGTCAAGGAGTAATAGAACAATCCACTATTATTTATTTTAAAAAAGGAAAAGAAAAAATGTAATAAGCCTAGTAAGTTAAACTAAACAACAAAGCATCCTGCTCAAGTGTCTAATCCTCACACTTGGTTGAATTTCTGAAATAATACTGCTATCCTGTTTCTTAATCAGTTCAGAATCCATGTAATAACTAAACACTAGATTCTGAGACTGGCTGGTTGTTTTCAACAGCCCAGACCATGTATGAAGAAATAGAAATTCTAAGGCCAGAAAAATAACACACAGTTTGGGAATTGGGCATAACAAAAAACCTGATACTAGCATGTACAAAATCTAAGAGACAAAAGTCCTAATGTAAAGGCATCTTCTTGGTCCTGATTTTCTTTCCTCTCTGCATTTAAAGAGACAAGTGGCCATGTACGTTCTATCTTCTAAACACTCTCTTATACCATGGTTTTCCAAGACACTAGCCTTTGGTTCAAGTAGCTTTGGGGCTGCTGTTTTTTTTTTTTTTTAATTTTCTTGTACCCCTTAAATATAGGTATTTGTAAGGATGTGTCCTTGACACACATCTCTTCTCCTTTTCCTTTGACAACCTCGACTAGGTTCAAACACACTTAGTCTTTTTCAGTTTTGTTTTCATTTAATTAAAAAAAATATGCATTTGGCACTTATGAAAATTTTCATTATTAGATATCCATGTAAAATATTTTTAGTAACTATAGAACATTGCATTGTATGGATATATTTCTTTCCAATCTATGGACAACATTGGGTCTACTTACCTAAAACCCCATCATACTAGTAAGCAGTAGCTATGTGATAAGTCTAATGAAAATACTGGAAACCTAGAAATTGTTTTTATTGGCTGTATGAGGCAGAGGAGATAAAGTCTTGGATCTGCTCAAGATAAGGAGTTGGAACTGAGATGAAGCTGGATCACTAGGATTGGTGGTTACACTTTTAGTGAAAGGATGGGCTAAGAAAAATACCTGCCCAATGGCAGAAGCAGCAGCAATAATTTGTCTGTTTCAACTTCAGCTTCAGGTAGAGGTAAAGTCTCCCTCTTTTGAGAATTTATATGGACAGTCTTACCCTCATGCAGGTTCGAGGTTTGAATTTACCCTACCTGCAAGTCTAGGAAACCATAAGCCAAAGAAAACTCAAAGTAGTCCTGGATTGTTGTGCCCTATAGAACTTGGCAAAAGCAAACACCGTTCTATTGAGGAGAAGAGAGAAGACCTGCCAGAGAACACAGAAGACACAACCTAAGCCTCCCAATATTCCTGATGATTAAGGTCAATCAAATATAAGCATACCATTCAAAATTACAAAACATATAAGGAATTACGCCACCAGAAATAAGTCAATAGAACCAACAAATAGCAGCACTGTTCCTCAGGGACTTCAGATACTGACATTACCAAACATAAAACATAAAATAACATTTGAAGAGTTTAAGGTAAAGCAAGAACTGAAAACACAAGCAAGGAAAAAAGACCATAAAAAATGACCAGGGTAGGCCAGCGTTGGTGGCTCACACCTGTAATCCCAGCACTTTGGGAGGCAGAGGTGGGCGGGTCTCTTGAGGCCAGGAGTTTGAGGCTAGCCTGACCAACATGGCGAAACCCTGTCTCTGCTAAAAATACAAAAATTATCTGGGTGTGGTGGCGCACGCCCATAATCCCAGCTACTTGGGAGGCTGAGGCACGAGAATCACTTGAACCCAGGAGGTGGAGGTTGCAGTTAGCCAAGATCATGCCACTGCACTCCAGCCTGGAAGCCAGCGAGACTGTCTAAAAAAAAAAAAAAAAAAGTCCAGGTTAATAAGTAATACATAGAAGGAAAAAGATACAATTTACAATGACAACAAAAATATCTGAAATAAATTAAGAAAATTACTCATAAGAAAATTACTCATAAGAAAATTACAAATTCTCCAGAGACACATGGCAATTTAAATGAAGTACAACAATAATTAAAAGGTATTAGAATGAAGTAGAAGAGAAACTGACTGTGTGTATGTGTACCTACACTATACTTGATCTTAGCCAAAATACTGAGAAGTGATGTGTGTACATATAGATATATGGAAATTTAGTTTAATGTGTTTCAAATCAGTGGGAAAAAATGAATTTTTCAATAATGGTATTGAGCCATCTTATCAGATATATTAGGAAAAATATTATTTATTTCACACCCAATAGATTTCAGTAAGATATAGCCTTAAAATTAAAAAAAAAAGAAGAAGAAGAAGAAGAAGAAGAACTCTATAAGTGATAAATGCACAAGAGGAAAATTTAGCTAATTTTTAAAAATCTCCTTGGAACAGGGAAGACCTTTCCAACCACATCACAAAGGAAAAGACTAGTTCAGACTTAACAATATAAAAACAACATGAGATCAGACTTGGCCATTTTAAGATCCTTTTTCTCCTCTTCTCTTGAAAGCTATCCCAAACAACAAAGAAACAAGAAACAAACACAAACTCCGTCTTTGATAGTACTAAGAGACTTGCAACCCCAAAACACAATCTATGAAGACAGCTGGCAGATGGAGTGTCTGTTAAACCTAAATGGTTGTGCCAGGAGACACCAATGAAAAGCAAGCTAAATTACCCTGCAGAGCCCTGAAAAGGCTCATAATTGGAGATACTAAGTACCTAGAAGTGCAGGTAGGGATGAAAACAAGATAACTCTAAAATACCGAACAAACGACAATTGAACTTCCAGTTCTCCTTCCCCTGTTGCACAGTCAGGTACCCACTGTACCTGTACCACTGTAGGAGACAGGATTCGTCTTTGGAAATACTGAAAGAGAAATGTTCCAGACTCAGAGAACAGCACAGAAAAGGATGGGAGTCTGAAAACATGGATTAAGGCCAGGCACTGTGGTTCATGCCTGTAATCCCAGCATCTTGGGAAGCCTCGGCAGGAGGGTTGCTTGAGCCCAGAAGTTTGAGACCAGCCTGAACAAGATAGCGAGACATCATCTTGACAAAAAAATACAAAAATTAGCTGGGCATAGTGGTGTGTGCCTGTAGTCCCAGCTACTTGGGAGGCTGAGGTGAAAGGATCACTCGTGCCGGACAGGTCAAGGCTGTAGTGAGTTGTGATTTTACCACTGTACTCCAGCCTGGGAGACTCTGTCTCAAAAAAATAAAGTAAAATAAAACAAATACAAATATGGATTAAGTGAAAGTCTGCATAGCAAAATATTACTTCATCCAGTTCCCAAATGCCTACACCCAGCTTATAGTTCCCTGAGACAATATCTACAAATACTGACATCTGGGGGTCCCCAATTTTAAAAATGACCAGCTACTCTGATTATGCTACAGTTTAGCCCAAGAACTGAGATGCCCACTCATACATACAGCCTTATCTATCAGTTTTGTAATAACTCACTCTCATATGATATAAAACCAAATATTTAAGAAAAGCTTCCAATAAAAAAAGGAAAAGGAAACTCTAATATAGAAAATACAGACAACATAAGAAAACTTCAAAAGCACTACAAAGACTACTTTAGAGTGATAAGATATTGCAGCCATGAAATAATAAATTAGAGAATAAAAACTCCAGAAATTAAAAAGTATAGCTGAAATAAAAGGGTTGAAAAAAATCAAGCTCTCTCTCAGAAAAAGGCCAAGAGACAAAGATGGATAATTAAAAAAAAAAAGAAAGAAAAGGATCAGATTGGCACTAGACTTCTCAAAATAACACTGGAAGCTAGAAGATAAATTCTAACTGAAAATGATTTTCAGCATAATTCTATCTTCAGTTTAACTATCTTTCTTTCTTTTTTAAATAGACAAGGTCTTACTCTGTTGCCCAGGCTGTAGCAGTGCAGTGGCAGGATCAGAGCTCACTGTAACCTCAAACTCCTGGGCTCAAGCAATCCTCCTGCCTCAGCCACTGGAGTAGTTGGGACCACAGGCACATGCCTCCACGCCCGGCTAGGTTTTTTTTTTTTTGGAGAGTTGGAATCTCGCTATGTTGCCCAGGTGAATCTCAAACTCCTGACCTCAAGCAATCTTCCTGTCTTGACCTACCAAAATGCTGTGATTAGAGTTGTGGGCTACTGTGCCCAGCCTCCTTCAATAATTTATGATAAAATAAACATATGAGATTTGTCAAGCCTCCAAATATTTACTGATAATATACTCTATCAGGAACCTTTTAGAGGATATGTTGCATCAAACAAAAAGAATTAAGGTAGAGGACAGCCAGGATCCAAGAAGACAACCGATCTAACAGGAGAGGAGTGAAATGGCTTCCCAGGATTGTGCAGAAGGAAACCCTAGGACAAGAACTGTGCCTCAGGCCTAGAGAGCAAACAGTTCATATTGGAATAGGCAGAAGAAAGGTTCTACAAGGCATATTTCCAAGAAAGAAAAGCAACAGATTGTTTAATTGTATAGACAATTTTATTAAGTGGCATTGTACAAAGGTGTTGAGGGGTTGGGACTTAGCCAGCAAGCAAGAAAATGGAAGCAAATGAAAACGATGTGGCAATATTTATCTCTGGGCCAAAAAAGACAAAATACTGTTTAAGAAAGAAAATGTGATCACAGTACACTACTTGGCTGAGTAAAATAAAAAAGGAAACACTAGAAACAAAAGCGCATGAAAGTTATTGTATACAAGAATAGGAAAAGCATAAGTAATTTGTACCTTCTATCACATATACCCCTATAAAATAAGGGTTGAGGCCAAGTCCCTTCCAGGTGTACAGTTCAGAAACCCAAGGGATTAACTATCTAGAAGAGCAAAATCTTGAATGTTTCTCCCTGGCTACTGAGTCTAATCCATTCTAAAGGGTTTTAAGCCCATGAGAAACTGGCTACATGATCAGGTTATAAATGGTTATTAAGGCAACTTACTTATCACCATCTTAAGGCATTCAGGATTGTCTTGAATAAGTGGTTCAGCTTGTACCGTTTTACTTAAGAAATTCTTTGATATAAGAGGAAACCTGACTTTAGCAAGGATATCAACCATAAATGGCTGGCGATTAGGTTCATCGTATTTCAACCACCTGACTGCAGCATCATAAACCTAAGGGGGAAAAACAGCACAGTAAAGTTCTTAGAAGACAGCAACATTTCCAATTACCTATGTTTACTCTCATATTGAAGGGAGAGAACCTCATAAGGAGATAACCACTTATTTCTAGTATTTTTCATCCCTGGACACTTGCTGGTTCTTCAAAACAGCTTACATACTGCTCTAGTGAGTCTTGTAGGTAATATGTTTTTTAGAACTAACTACTATTATGTAGTGTAATGACAGGGAGGATGTTGAATTTATGATTAAAAAAAAGATAGCTTCCTTTTCAGACAAAGACATGATATACATTGCACTGAAAAAAAACTATCAGTCAACAAAAGTTTCAACATATACTCATTTAGTTTAGTACCAGGAAAACAGGTTAATTTCTCAAGAGGCCGTCCATTCCAGGAGATACGAAGGTCACCCATGATTTTATTTCAATATTATATTCCTGCATTATGAATGGATAGACTTATCTGCTTTTTAGAAACTTTAAGATATAAAGAATTCTATACTTAAAAATAAATTACAGGATATTCAAAAGAATTGTCTTCCAAAATAATACTGTTGCTTCATTTAACTGCACTGAACAAGTCCAAGTTCCTCAACATAATTTAACTTACAAATCATTAAACACCCCCCAAAAAATCAATTGCTTCATATACACACACATCTCCCATACCCACTAAATTAATTTTGGGGTGATATTTGTAATTAATTTTCGAGTGATATTAATAAGGCCTAACTTCTGATCTCTTTCTGAGTTAATTTTTTATGGGAATTGGTCTTTTTTTAAACAAATTTATTTTAGAATAGTTTTAGATTTATAGAAAAGTTGCAGAGATAGCACAAAGAGTTTCCACATACCCTGCCCCAGTTGTTAAGGTGTTGCATTAGTATGGTATATTTGTCATAACTAATGAACCAATATTGACACATTAACTAAATTTCATATTTTTTTGGATTTCTTTAGTTTTTATCTAGTGTTATTTTTCTGTTCCACAATACTATAAAGAACACCATATTACATGTAGTCATTAAACCTTAGAATCTTCTAGACTGTGACAGTTTTTCAGCCTTTCCTTGTTTTTGACAACCTTGACAGTTTTGAGTTCTGGTCAGGTATTTTGTTGAGAATGTCCTTCAATATGGGTTTATCTGATGTGTTACTTATTAGACTGAGGTTATGGTTTTTTAGGAGGACGATCATAGAGGTGAATGGCATTTTCATTACATCAAGTGTGCATACTATCAACATGACATCACTGATGATGCTAATGCTGACCATCTGCAGGTACTGTTTATAACGTTTCTCCAGTGTAATGTTACTTGTTACTCCTTTTCCATACTGCATTTAAGTCAACCAATTTTGATCATGGAAGTAAATTTTTTCTATTTATCTAGTGAGGTCCTCCAGGTCCAACCTGTCAATTTGCAAATTGATACTCTGGGCCACGAAGAAGACTGGGCAAAAGAACATTGCTAAGTGCAAATTTTTGTTTTTAGAACAAAAGCAACTTAAAACATATGATCTTATAGTACCTATATTAGTTTTCTATTGCTGTTGTAACAAATTACCACAAACTTAGTGGCTTAAAATATAGAGAAGGATGTGGGGCTGAAAAGAGAGATTAAGTGAGTCTGCATATTAAAGTGTTCCCACAGCCAGGCATGGTGGCTCACATCTGTAATCCTAGCACTTTGGGAGGCTGAGGTGGGCAGGTCAACTGTTTGAGACCAGCCTGGCCAACATGGTGAAACCCCATCTCAATTAGCAGGGTGTGGTGGCACATACCTATAATCCCAGCTACTTGAGAGGCTGAGGCATGAGAATCGCTTGAACCCGGGAGGTGGAGGTTGCAGTGAGCCGTGATCATGCCACTGCACTCCAGCCTGGGCAACAGAGTGAGACTCCATCTCAAAAAAATAAATAAGGCCGGGTGCGGTGGCTCACGCCTGTAATCCCAGCACTTTGGGAGGCCAAGGCGGGCAGATCACAAGGTCAGGAGATCTAGACCATCCTGGCTAACACGGTGAAACCCCGTCTCTACTAAAAAATACAAAAAATTAGCCGGGCACGGTGGCGGGCACCAGTAGTCCCAGCTACTAGGGAGGCTGAGGCAGGAGAATGGCGTGAACTCGGGAGAAGGAGCTTGCAGTGAGCAGAGATCACGCCACTGCATTCCAGCCTGGGCAACAGAGCGAGACTCCGTCTCAATAAATGAATGAATGAATGAATGAATGAATTAAATAAAGTGTTCTCCCACCCAGCTCCCAAATGACTGCAACCAGCTTACACTTCTGACAGTTTATCTGACAGTTCTATAGGTCAGAGTCCAAAATGGGTCACAGTGGACTAAAACCAGTGTGTCTGCCTGGAGACTCTACAGGAGAAACCACTTCCTTGCCTTTTCCAGCATCTAGCAGCTGCCTGCATTCCTTGGCTTATGGTCCCCTTCCACCTTCAAAGACAGCAATGACCAGTCAAGTCTTTCTCACATTGCACCACTTGACGCTGCCTTCTTTTGCTTCCCTCTTCCAAATTTAAGGATCTTTATGATTACACTGGGCCCATTTGGATAATCTCATCTCAAAATCCTTAACTTAGTCACATATGCAAAGTCCTATCTGCCACACAGGTATATTCCAGATGCTGGGGATTGGGAAGTGGACTTCTTTGGGGAAGGCATTGTTCTGCCTACCATGGTACCCAATGGCTTTATCTCTATGAAGTGGCCTATTTCTCAAAGAGCCAGCCTGGCAAGCACCTAAGATTACAATACTCTGTTTAGTGTAAAGAACATATTCTTTCCTAATATGACTCTTTCCCTTGTCATGTGTCCAAACATGAGTTTTAAGAAACCAATAAAGACATTTTTATTAAGAAAAATGTGAGAAGGCAATTTAGTCACCTGATCCTCTGCTCTCACAGTCAGAGTGTCCTGGTTGAGAAGATGTGTTACTCGCTTGACATCAAGTTGAAGAAATTCATCAGTTTTGTAAACTTCAGTAAAGTGCTGATGAATAAAGTCATCTGCAGTTGCTTTCAATTCAGGACAATCTAGACACTCCGCTAGCACACTTATACCTAAACACAGAAAGAAAATAAAAGAATAGAAAATCATTTTTAGAAAAACCAAGTATACATTCAAGATGAAGCATGACTTCAGGAAAATTAGTTGAGTAAATTTCATAAATCTGGATCCGTTTCTGTTTCATTGATTTGTCTATTCTTGTGCCAATACTATACTGTCTTATAAAAGACTGGTTTTTTTTTTGTTTTTTGTTTTTTTGTTTTTTGAGACGGAGTCTCGCTCCATCGCCCAGGCTGGAGTGCAGTGGCGCGATCTCGGCTCACTGCAAGCTCCGCCTCCCAGCTTCACGCTATTCTCCTGCCTCAGCCTCCCGAGTAGTTGGGACTACAGGTGCTCGCCACCACGCCTGGCTAATTTTTTTTGTATTTTTTAGTAGAGACGGGGTTTCACCGTGTTAGCCAGGATGGTCTCGATCTCCTGACCTCGTGATCCGCCCACCCTGGCCTCCCAAAGTGCTGGGATTACAGGCATGAGCCACCGCGCCCAGCTGGTTTTTATATTCTGTAGGAGAAGCCCCCTTCAATGTGTTTTCAAACTTTTCTTGGCTATTGTTAAACATTTTCTCTTGCAGACAAATTTTAAAATAAGCTTATCACATTCTACTTTACAAAATCTCCATGTGATATTAATCAGAATTGCACTGAACTTTTGTATTACTTTGGGACAACTTCTGCAGCATGGAGGAGCTCCACTTAAAAACATGACATACATCAAACTTATTCAGATATAAACTTTTATGTCAGGAGTCTGCAAAGTACTGTTTATGGGCAAAATCTAGCCCATAGCCTGTTTTGTAGGGTCAGCAACTAAGAATAGCTTTTACATTTTTTTTGAAAGGTTAAGGAAAAAAAAAAAAAGAGGAGGAGAAAAGGGAGAAGTGAAGACGGAAAGGAAAGGAGGAGGGATAAGGACCACATGTGGTCCATAAAGCCTAAAATATTTACTTTTCTGATCCTTTACAGGAAAAGTCTGCTCCCTCTTCTATATAAAACTACAAATTATTTTTGTATGTGATCAAGTGGCAAGCATCCTTAATCATGTTGACTTTTTTTCAATTCATTATCTGTTTTTCCATGTTTCAATTTCACATTGTCTTCATTTAATGAATTTTGATGCTTTCATATTTGTGCCATAAAGGTTCTCAAAGCTGATGCTTGTTAACCAACTTAGATTAGCTGGCATTTTCCACCTCCTTTGTAAAATTTACTAACCAATGCCATGACATGTTTGATGCTCATGGTGAAAAGTTGGCTGTATTTGTACACTTCTAATAGTTTCACCCAGTAGTATTCCTATTTTAAGGATTATTATTTTTGCTTATTTAAACATCAGAAATGGCTACTGAAATCACAAAAGGTGCCTTCAGCATCTGCTGCTATGATTTTATGTACTCAGTTTTCTCCTACAGCTTGTTAGCATAGTAAATTATGTTACTAGATTTCTTGACATTGAAATGATTGAACCATTGTGTCATTTTTAAAGTAAATCCTAGCTGGTCACAAAGCATTATTATTTTTAAAATAAACTTCATTTTTTTCAGAGCAGTTTTAGGTTTATAGCAAAACTGAAGAAACATTACAGAGTTCCCATGTCCCTGTTGTCACCACACATGCATAACCTTTCCCACTATCCCCATTCCACACGAGGGGTATTCTTGTTTTTTTTTTTTTTTTAGCATTAATAAATCTTTTTCAATGAAACTAAAATGTTATATGTGTTTGTACACATACACGTATATACAAGCCCACACTTTCTTCATCCAATGTTGCTATTATGGTAACCCTACCCCAGGAGAATGAGCTGGCAAGTTTTCTACCCTTTCTAGAGATTTAGAACAATTTAAATAACGTAAGAATTAATCTATTCTTTGAAAGGTTGATAGAATTAACCCACAAAGCCTTCAAGCCTGGAGCACTAATTAGAAATACATCTTCATGGTGGCTCATGCCTGTAATCCCAGCACTTTGGGAGGCCTAGGTGGGGATCACTTGAGGTCAGGAGTTTGAGACCAGCCTGGCCAACACGGTAAAACCCCATCTCTACTAAAAATACAAAAATCAGCTGAGTGTGGTGGCGCGCATCTATAATCCCAGCTACTCAGGAGGCTGAGGCAGGAGGATCACTTGAACCCGGGAGGCAGAGGTTGCAGTGAGCTGAGATTGGGCCACTGCACTCCAGCTGGGGCGACAAAGTGAGACTGTCTCAAAAAGAAAAAAGAAATACATCTTTACTTTTTTGATTGTTTCTGAGGTTACTGGCTTCAGGTTTTATACCTTCTTTTTTTTTTTTTTTTTTTTTTTAAGATGGAGTCTTGCTCTGTCGCCCAGGCTGGAGTGCAGTGGCCCGATCTCGGCTCACTGCAAACCCCACCTCCCAGGTTTCAAGTAATTCCCTACCTCAGCCTCCCAAGTAGCTGGGAGTACAGGCGCATGCCACCATGCATAGCTAATTTTTGTATTTTTAGTAGAGACGGGGTTTCACCATCTTGGCCAGGCTGGTCTTAAACTCCTGACCTCATGATCCACCCGCCTTGGCCTTCCAAAGTGCTGGGATTACAGGTGTGAACCACCGTGCCTTTTTTTTCTTGAGACGGAGTCTCAGTCTGTTGCCCAGGCTTGAGTGCAGTGGCACGAACTCGGCTCACTGCAACTTCTGCCTCCCAGGTTCAAGCAGTCCTCCTGCCTCAGCCTCCTGAGTAGCTGGGATTACAGGCACCAACCAGCACGCCAGGCTAATTTTTGTATTTTTGGTAGAGGTGGGGTTTTACCATGTTGGCCAGGCTGGTCTCGAACTCCCGACCTCAAGTGGTCCGCCCGCTCAGCCTCCCAAAGTGCTGGGATTACAGGCATAAGCCACCATGCCTGGCCAGGTTTTATGCTTTTTAAGACAATTTTGGGCTGGGCACAGTGGTTTATGCCTGTAATCCCAGCATTTTAGGAGTCACCGTGCCCAGCCCAAAATTGTCTTAAAAAGCATAAAACCTGGCCAGGCGTGGTGGCTCATGCCTGTAACCCCAGCATTTTAGGAGGATGAGGCGGGCAGCTCACTTGAGGTCAGGAGTTCGAGACCAGCCTGGCCAACATGGTGAAACCCTGTCTTTACCAAAAATACAAAAATTAGCCGGGCATGCTGGTGGGTGCCTGTAATCCCAGCTACTCAGGAGGCTGAGGCAAGAGGACCACTTGAGCCTGGGAGGCGGAGGTTGCAGTGAGCCGAGATCACACCACTGCACTCCACCCTGGGCGACAGAATGAGACTCTGTCAAAAAAAAAAAAAAGACAGTTTTGGTCACTGCCTTTTGCTTTCATGTCTATAGTTCTAATTCTTGATGCTGTTCTTTGATCTTTTCTTCTTGATAAGACTTGTTAAGTCTGAGGTTATTTTGTATCATTCTTTGAAATACTTAGCTTTAGTTTTTCCAAGTCTATAGTCTATTAGTTTTATTTCTCTGCTTTATTATTTTTTCTTTTCTTGAGATGGAGTCTCACTCACTCTGTCGCTTAGGCTGGAGTGCAATGGCGCAATCTCAGCTCACTGCAACCTCCGCCTCTGGAGTTCAAGTGATTCCCCCGCCCCAGTCTCCTGCGTAGCTGGGATTATAGGCACACACCACCATGCCTGGCTAATTTTTGTATTTTTAGTAGAGATGCGATTTCCCCATGTTGGCCAGACTGGTCTCGAACTCCTGACCTCAGGTGATCCGCCCACCTTGGCCTCCCAAAGTGCTGGGATTACAGGTGTGAGACACTGCACCTGGCCTAATCTATATTTTAAATCATATTTTTTATACTTTTATTAGGTGTTTACAAATTATTTTTCTCTGAGTAGGATACATAAGTCAAGAAAGAATAAAAATAAATACATTTATTTGGAAAAAAATTTAAGGCTACCAATTTCCTTCTAAGAAATACTTTGGTTATATTCCAAAGATTTCAGTTTATTGTGTGCTTATTGCCATGTTTCTATATAGCCTATAAGTTTACCTTTAATATCTCTAAAAATTAATTTTCTAAATAATTCTTTGGTTAAATTTTCAAGTGTTCAGAATGGGGTGGGAGAGAAAAGCTGTCCTTCCATAGTTAATTTTTAGTTTTACTGCACTGTAATCAGGGGACGTGGCCTGTGTCTCCTCTTTTTTAGGTGCTCCAGCTTTTCTGTGGCTGATGATCAGTACTTGTAAATACTCCAAGGGTATCTGAAAACAATCTGTGTTCTCTGATGACTAGGTAAAACATTCTGTGTTATCTAGCTAAAACAAGTTTGTGTTATTCAAATCCTTCTTTTTAAAATCTGACTTGAGATTTCTGGGCAATGCTATGAGTTACTCACTAGCCATTCCATAAATTCCCTTTCTGTGTAAACCAGCAACATTTGGTTTATTTTGCTTGCAAGTAAGAAACCTAACCGGTACATCCTTATCTTGAGCTCTTTACCTCTCTCACTTAGCTAGCTTCAGTACTTCTAATACTTTTCTCAGAAGGGATACATGTGATTGTTTTCTTGCAATATCCAAATGAATGATGCCTTGAAATGCAATTTTCTCTCCCTCTCATTTGCAACCTTGTGACATTATGTTCTAATTTTGTGCTGCAGATAAAAAATTAATGGCATTCTGATTCTCTTTCTTTTCTAAGTAACTTGTTGTAGACACCAGCTGGGATAGTTGATCTCTGCCCTATGGTCTCTAGCCTTCTTCTCATGGCAGCAGAAGAGTTCCCAGCAACAATGGAGGGCAAATCCCAAAGCACAAGCATTTTTCTATCCTCTGCTAACTTCACATTTGCTAATGTTCCACAGGCTATAGCAAGTCACACGGCCACAGATTACAAGGGAGATGGGAGGAGCTACCAAGTCACATTGCAAAAGGGTGGACACAAATGGATGGAAAGAATTTATGGTTATTTTTTGTAATATACTATACTGCTTCTCTTTGAAAGCCTGTAAATTCTTTTATATTGATATTCTTTCTTTTTTACTGTTTTAAGACCAACTTATTTTTACACAGTCACTCATTCAGAAGCCAGTGAGACATCAGGGCAGCAGAAAGGAAGCCGGGACAGAGTAGGCCCTGTGAAGGACCAAAGACAAATAGCCACAGTTATGAAATTTTGTTTTATTCTAATAAAGACTAATGTATGCCTGATAGCCTAGTGATAATACATGTTTAGCAGGTCACAACATTTTTAGAAAGCACATATCATTCAAATAAGGGCATTATATGGCTGGAGACTTCAACACCCCACTTTCAGCACTGGAGAGATCTTCCAGACAGAAAATCAACAAACATCAGACTTAATCTGCACTATAGACCAAATGGATCTAACAGATATTTATAGACTATTTCATCTAAGAGCTATAGAATACACATCCTTTTCCTCAGCACATGGATCATTCTCAAGGATAGACCATATGCTAGGTCACAAAACAAGTCTTAAAACATTTAAAAAAAACTTAACAGTATCAAGCATCTCCCCTGACCACAATGGAATAAAACTAGATATTAATAACAAGAGGAATTTTGTAAACTATACAAACACATGGAAATTATACAGTATGCTCCTGAATGACCAGGGGATCACTGAAGACATTAAAAAGGCAACTGAAAAATTTCTTGCAACAAGTAACAAATGACGATAATATCCCTAAACCTATGGGACACAACAAAAGCAGTACTAAGAGGGAATTTATAGTTATAAGTGCCTACATCAAGAGAGGAAAAATCTTAAATTAACAATCTAATGATGTATCTTAAAGAACTAGAAAAGCAAGAGCAAACCAAATCCAAAATTAGTAGGAGAAATAAAGATCAGAGAAAAAATAAAACTGAAATGAAAAAAATACAAAAGATCAATGAAACAAAAAGTTGTTTTTTTGAAAAGTTAAAACAAAATGGACAAACCTTTAGGTAGACTTAGAAAATGAGAGAGAAGATCCAAATAAAATCAGAAATGAAAAAGGAGACACTACAACTGATAGTGCAGAAATTCAAAGGATCAGTAACAGTTACTACGAGCAACTATTAATATATGCCTATAAATTGGAAAATTTAGAATGAGCAAATTTCTAGATACATACAACCTACCAAGATTGAATCAGGAAGTAATACAAATGTGAACATATCAATAACAAGTAATGACCTTGAAGCTATAATAAAAAGTCTCCCAGTAAAAAAAGCCTGGGACCTGATGCCTTCCCTGATGAATTCTACCAAATATTTAAAGAGGAACTAATACCAATCCTACTCAAACTATTCCAAAAAAACAGAAGAGGGGGGAATACTTCCAAACTCATTTGATGAGGCCAGCATTACCCTAATACCAAAACCAGATGAAGACACATTAAACAAAAGAAAACTACAGGCACCAATATCTCTGATGAACATTGATGCAAAAATCCTCAACAAAATATTAGCAAACCAAATTCAACAACACATTAAAAATATAATTCATCATGACCAAGTGGGATTTATCTCTGGAATGCAAATGATGGTTCAACGTACACGAATCAATCAATGTGATACAGCGTATCAACAAAATGAAGATAAAAACCATAAGAAAATTTCAGTCAATGCTGAAAAAGCATTTGAAAAAATTCAACATCCTTTCATAATAAAAAACTAAAAAAAACTGGGGATAGAAGGAACATACCTCAACATAATAAAAGCCATATACAACAGACCCATAGCTAGTATCATATTCAATGGGGAAAAACTGAAAGCCTGTCCTCTAAGATCTGGAACACAACCAGGATGCTCACTTTCACCACTGTTACTCAATATAGTACTGGAAGTCCTAGCTAGAGCAATCAGACAAGAGAATGATATGAGAGGCAGCCAAACCAGAAAGGAAGAAATAAAATTATCCTTGTTTGCAGACAATATGATCTTATATTTGGAGAAACTAAAAGACTCCACAAGAAAACTATTAGAATGGATAAATTCAGTAAAGTTGCAGGATACAGAATCAACATACAAAACTTAGTAGCATTACTATACACCAACAGTGAACAATGTGAAAAAGAAATAAGAGGGCTGGGCATGGTGGTTCATGCCTGTAATCCCAGCACTTTGGGAGGCTGAGGCGGGCGGATCGCCTGAGGTCAGGAGTTTGAGAACAGCCTGGCCAACATGGTGAAAACCAGTTTCTACTAAAAATACAAAAAAATTAGTCAGGTGTGGTGGCATGTATCTGTAGTCCCAGCTACTCGGGAGGCTGAGGTGGGAGAATCGCTTGAACCCAAGAGGTGGAGACTGCAGTGAGCCAAGGTCACACCACTGCATTCCAGCTTGGGTGACAGAGCAAGGCTCTGTCTCAAAAAAATATAAAAATAAAATAAATAAAATAAAATAAGTAGCCCCATTTACAATAGCCACACATACATAAATAACTAGGAATTAACCAGAGAAGTGAAAGATCTCTATAATGAAAACTATAAAACACTGATAAAAGAAATTGAAGAAGACACCAAAAAGTGGGAAAATATTCCATGTTTATGGATTGGAAGAATCAATATTGCTAAAATGTCCATACTTCCCATAGCAATCTACAGATTCAATGTAATCCCTATCAAAATACCAATGACATTCTTCACAGAAGTAGAAAAAACAATCCTAAAATTTATATGGAACCACAAAAGACCCAGAATAGCCAAAGCTACCCTAAGCAAAAAGAATGAAACTGGAGAAATCACATTACCCAACTTCAAATTATACTACAGAGCTATAGTAATCGAAACAGCATGTACTGGCATAAAAACAGACACATAGACCAATGGAACAGAATAGAGGACCCAGAAACAAATCAACACACCTACAGTGAACTCATTTTCAACAAAGGTGCCAAGAATACACACTGAGGAAAAGACAGTCTCTTCAATAAGTGGTGCTGGGAAAACTGGATATCCATATACAGAAGAATGAAATTAGACCCCTATCTCTCATCATATGAAAACTCAAATAAAAATGAATTAAAGACTTAAATCTAAGACCTCAAACTATGAAATAACAAGAAAACACTGGGGAGAAATCTCCAGGACACTGATCTGGGCAAAGATTTCTTGAGCAATACCCCACAAGCAGAGGCAACCAAAACAAAGATGGACAAATGGAGTCACATCAAGTTAAAAAGCTTCTGCACAGTAAAGGATGCAATCAACAAAGTGAAGAGACAACCTATAGAATGGGAGAAAATATCTGCAAACTACTCATCTGACAAAGGATTAATAACCAGAATATATACGGAGCTCTATAAGAAAAAAATCTAATAAAGCCAATGAAAAAATGGGCAAAAGATTTGAATAGATATTTCTCAAAGACATACAAATGGCAAACAGACTTATGAAAAGGTATTCAACATCCTTGATCATCAGAGAAATGCAAATCAAAACTATAATGAGATATCATCTCACCCCAGTTAAAATGGCTCATATCCAAAAGATAGTTAATAACAAATGCTGGCAAGGATGTGGAGAAAAGGGAACCCTCGTACACTGTTGGTGGAAATGTAAATTAGTACAACCACTATGGAGAATAGCTTGGAGGTTTCTCAAAAAACTAAAAATTGAGCTAACATGTGATCCAGCAATCCCACTTCTGGGTATATACCCAAAAGAAAGGAAATCAGTATATCAAAGAGATATCTGCATCCTTATGTTTGCTGCAGCACTGTCTACAATAGCTAAGATTTGGAAGCAACGTAAGTGTCCATCAACAGATGAATGGGTAAAGAAACTGTGGTATATATACACAATGGAGTACTACTCAGCCATAAAAAAGAATGAGATCTAGTCATTTGCAACAGCATGGATGGAACTGGAGATAATTATGTTAAGTGAAATAAGCCAGGCACAGAAAGACAGACATCACATATTCTCGTTTATTTGTGGGATCTAAAAATCAAAACAGTTGAACTCATCTTCTACATCTACTCATCTTTCTACAGAGAGTAGAAAGATGGTTACCAGAGGCCTGGAATGGTAGTCGGGAGATTGAGGGGAGGATTAATGGGTACCAAAAAAAAAAAAAAAAAAAGAATAAATAAGACCTATTATTTGATAACACAACAGGGTGACTATAGTCAATACTTAATTGTACACTTTAAAATAACTTAGAGTGTAATTGGATTGTTTGTTACTCAAAGGATAAATCCTTGAGGGGATGGATACCCCATTCTCCATGATGTGCTTATTTCACATTGCATGCCTGTATCAAAACATTTTATATACCACATAAATATACCAACTATGTACCCACAAAAATAAACATGCAAACACAAAAATAAATAGGCATTAAGGAAAGTTTTATAAAGAATGAAATATCTACTATAATCCTCTTTAAAGCCTTGATTCATTTTCAAAGATCAACAATAATTTTTTTTCAATCAAAAGAAAAGGAAAATAAGTTTTTTTCTACCAAAATACACAAGAACCATTTGTTGGCATTTTTATTTCAAGTTCCTGGGAAAAAAGGGCCAAATTTTCAAAGGCAGTTAATAACAGCTGTACAAGGTCTTGTTTCATTTGATTTAGCATCAAGTAAAAGTAAATATGCCATGGAAGACAGTCGAGTTTTATCTCCACCTCTCATATTGGCCCACTTCTCCTACCACGTCACAGTACATAAGCATGCATCCTTGTTGCCCCACTAAGAAATCTAAAATGATTCGGATTTTTAAATGGTTGCTCAGATGACACTCACCAGCAGAATTCTTTACCCTTAAGATAGGTTGGCAGCGAACACTACCAGGTATCAATGTCATCAGGAATAAATAACTCTTTCAGGAAAGTCACTTTCTTGATCCCTGTTAACCATTATGTAAATTCTTTTTGTTGCTATACCTGTTTACTAATTGTGTTTGTTATGCAAAGGGAATACTCCCCAGACATGCCTGATCTATTATTTCTATTTCGTAACAACAAAGTATGTTCACTTTACATAGTGCCATAGGTTTACTCTTAATCTTTTTTCTTTCTTTCTTTTTCTTGGTACCAGATGTTGTTATTTATCGAGGCAGATCATATGTTTGGATCAAAAAGAGAAACTGGCAAGTAGATCTTAAAACATACATTTCTAAACCTGAGTAACAGATGAAAAAATAAGTCTTTAAATTACATTTTCCATTGAAAATTCATTCAACTGTGGTGCAAGAACTTATCCAAGAACTTACAATGTCAATTTCTGAGGGATATAAATCATATCCCTCAGCACATATGTATTTTCAAAAGAAAACAAGTCATCTTAAAGTAATATATTCCCATATGCTAATTGATAATTGTATAGCAAATTGAAAATTCTGAGTAAACTTAAGGTATGTTTAACAACAAAATAAATATAGCATATATGGCTAGCTTATAAATTTCTTAGTGTAAAGGCAGCAGTGAATTTGCATCTTGCAACAGATCTGTAAATCCAGTTGCTGTTTTTCTGGAATTTTATAGATATGATGTCTCACAAAACCATGTTCCACAGGGCTAGAAATATCTCTATGCAAAAACTTATGAGATATTTTCCCCAAATGACATGTAACTTTTAAAAACTTTTCCAGAAAAAAATGAAAATTTTATCAACCACTTATTCTTACTGAAGAAAAAAGACTACTAATTGCTCTTTTAATTTTGCTCTAACGGATGTTTTAAAAGTTTAGACACCAATGATGTTTTTGAATTGCACACTGCTAGAAGATAACTGGATAAAACACATTAGATGATTTCAAAAGATGAATCAGTACCTGATTCATCTGGCACATCATTAGTATCCAGAATAAAATCTGTAGAAATAATATAATTTTCAAAGAACTTATACATGCATACATTCTTATACATGCCTACATTCTTATTTATACATGCTCCATTCTTAGGAAAAGGAGCCTCTAAATCCAAGGACAAGGAGGTTCTGCTCATCTTACTAGTTATAATCATTTCTCCTCATGGAGTAACTGGGGCTTTCTGATTTTGTGGAACTTTAGTTTGTAGGAAAGCATAAACATGACGTTAAATCTTGTTGGTTTCTGCTCTGGAGAGTGTTTCCAACATCCCTGTTTTTTTCTGGTAAAGTTCTGGGACTGGCTCCATAAGTCTTCAGTCTCTTGATAACTGTGTCTCTGGTCTATTATTCTCAGGCCGAATGAGAGGCTTCCCAGTCAGATCAGCAATACCCACAGTTTGGGGACGGTTGAATTCAATGTAGTCGACTCGGCCACTAGCTAGATGAACAGCAAGCAGTGAAGTGTTGTTTAAATGACCTCCAAGGGCACATACAAGTTAATCATTGTGTCTATCTGATAAGCTCATCTAGGGCTTCTGCCTATGGCAGTGTCCTTGGAAAACCAGCTATATTAGGTGAGATTTTTCAGTTCATGAAGGGCCAGCCGAGTCGTAACATCATTTGGGATGAGTTTCCCTTGGTCAAGAAAAGCCTTGGCTAACATACCAATTTATGTGCCCTGTAGCATGTTGTCCTGGAGCAGTCCCTGCTGGAGAGGTGCCTCAGCTTGAAGTGTTTGGTGATGTACAACAACACAGTGCCCTTGCCTAAGCCCAGGTCTGGGGCCCCCATGATCACTGCATGCAGTAGCTGCGGAGATGCCCCTGCAACCATGGACAGAGGCCCAGGCTGTGCCAACTGTAGGGCTTTCGTCTGACCTGTGCACTCACCTGATCCACAGCCAAGGTCCCAGATGGTAGAAAGCACTTTTATTTTTTTTTGTTCAAGTTAACCAGTGCTTTCCTTTTCCTCTATAAAATGTGCTGGCTTGGAAACAATTCAAACATTCACCCATCAGTAAATGGATAAACACATTTTGGTATATCCATGCAATGGAATATTATTCAGCCATAAGAAGAAATGAAGTACTGATAAATGCTACAATATGGATGAACCCTAAAAACACTGTGCTCAAAGAGGCCAGACACAAAGGGCCACCTTTGGTATGATTCAATTTATATGAAACACTCAGAATAGGCAAATTTATAGGGGCAGAAAGCAGATTCATGGTTGCCAGGCCTGCCAGAGGAAGAATGGGGAGTGACTGCTAGTGGGTGTGGGAGTTTCTTTTGGGACCTGCTAGCTGTAGGGTCACTTTTTTTTTTAATGTGGTAAAATACACATAAAACTTACCGTGACATTTACTACATTTGCAATGTTGTACCACAGTCACCACTATCTAGTTCCAGAATATTTTTATCACCCCAAATGTAAGCTCTCTTTTGATCTTTGAAGGTGAAAAATATCACTAGAATATATCTGAGGGAGGAATATCTTAGTTCATTGATCAGGTTTAATACTCAGTATAACTTAGTCCGAAAGTTAAAGTTCTTTTTTTTTTTTTTTTTTTTTTTTTTTTTAAACCCAAAGAAGTCGTAGTCTTATTTGATTATTGCTTTCTCCATCTGTTCCTTCTGGAACTCCTACCTCACACTGCAGTTCCTGTATCTTCCTTCCCTTTCTTTTATCTTCTCACTAGTGGCTTCCTTTGCATTTTTGTTTCGTATCATGAGGCAACTTCCTGTTTGATCTTCTTCGGTTTGAGTTTTAAGAGTATCGATTCTATTTTTCAATTCAATTGAATGTCAAAAAACTGTAAAACCATATTTTTACACATCGTATTTTTAAGTTTGCTTTTTTTTTTTTTCTTGAGACAGAGTCTCACTCTGTAGTCCAGCCTAGAGTGCAGTGGCGCAATCTCGGCTCACTCACTGCAACCTCCGCCTCCCGGTTCAAGCGATTTTCCCGCTTCAGCCTCTGGAGTAGCTTGGACTGCAGGCGCGCACAACCATGCCCGGTTAATTTGTTCCCTTCTATTTCTCACATTAAATTTGCCTTACAGGAGCCATTCATTTTGGCTGTTTAGCTTGGTTTTCTGTTCCTCAAACTACTGTTTTTTTTTGTTTTTTCCAAGACAGGGTCTCACTGTCTCATGCAGCTGGAGTGCAGTGGCAAGATCTCGGCTCACTGCAACCTCCGCCTCCCGGTTCAAACGATTTTCCCGCCTCGGCCTCCGGAGTAGCTGGGACTACAGGTGTGTGCCACCACGCCTGCACTCGGCTAATTTTTGTATTTTTTTGGTAGAGAGGGGTTTCACCATGTTGGCCAGGCTGGTACTGGGTTTAATTTTTTACATGATCTTTGCCCGATTCCATCAGCTGCCACCGGTTCCTTTAGCATTTGTGGAAGCTCGATTGATGGACTCTTTCTGGGCAGCAGAGAATTGACAGGTGGTGAAAACTAAGCTAGGAATTATCCAATCAGCTGACATTGAGAGCCATGCTCAAGGCTAAACAGAAAGCAAGCAGAAGCAGTTTCCCTAGTTATTGGGCTATGGCACTTGGCTCACCTGGCTGGGCCACTGTCTTTGCCAGAAGCTTAGCCAGGAATCAGGCTACTTTCTAGGTGGCGGGGCTGTCCTTCCTCCCAGCTTTGTGAACAGTAAGGATAGAAGGTATCCAGAGGCAAAACTACTAAATGGTCTCCTCAGAAGCCCAAAGCCTAAGATGTGCTTAGCACAGACTCACTCCAGGTTCCACACTATGCTTTGCACCACCACATCTACTACCTACCTATATTTCAGCCATTCTTCTTTGTAGTTGAATCACCCCAGGAGGAAATTTAGAGTGCTAGGGAGTTATAGAAACATACATAAGCCATCATTTCCAAAAACTTAATTAAGGTAATTCCCCGTTTATAGTATTGTCTGAAGATAATTATTTATATAATGGAAGTAACCTTAAGTCTTAGGAATATAAATCTTATTGATGAGTGAAGCCCCAATTACGGCCCAAAGAGATGGAAGGACTCATGCCAGAGTGTCTCTGCTGTACAGGTAGGATTAGAGATTGGCCTTTTATTTTCTAATATAGGGATCTTTTCAATATGTAGACCCATGGCTACCTTTTAAAAATTCCTTCAGTATATTCACCTGCATAGCTATTTCTCTTCCTGCTCCATCTAGTCCAATCCCTTTTCTGGATATTAGGCTAAGTCTCATTTTTATTCCCTTCACCTGACTTTTACTTCCTCCTGAAATTTATTCTGCTGCTTTCCACCTGCCTTCCAAGATCTCTCTCTCTGTGCTCACAGTGAGGGGGTATGCAGGAAGGAGTACTAAAGTGTCCGGAAGGAGGAAAGCCTACAAAAAGTAGGGACAGAGGAGACTTGCCAAAATTCTGAAGCATCTTCAGGAGCCCTTTGCATCAGTCTTTGCGTTCTTGTCATTTAGCACCCCTCTTCTTTTCTCCTGGGTCAAATATCTTAGCACTGACTGGATTCTTTGACCCCTCTTTATACTTTCCTTCATTCTACTTTTCTTTCCTCCCTGCTTTCCTAGCACTCCTATACCAGCGCTCTTCCCTTTCTTTAAAGCCTCTGAATCACAACAAGCGTAGGAAAATGGAATTAGAGTAGTCCCCCTTATCCATGGTTTTGCTTTCTGTGGTTCAAAAACATTAAATGGAAAATTCCAGAAACAAACAATTCATATGTTTGAAATTGTGTGCTGTTCTGAGTTGTGTGATGAAATCTCACGTCATCCTGCTCCATCCTGCCTGGGACAGAAATCATCCCTTTGACCAGCATATCCATGCTGTATAACCTACCTGCCTGTCACTTAAGAAACCATCCTGGTTATGAAGTGGACTACCCTAGTATTGCAGTGCTCTGTTCAAGTAACCCTTATTTTACTTAATAATGGCCCCAAAATATAAGAGTAGTGATGCTAGCATATTGTTAAAGTTGTTCTATTTTATTATTATTGTTGTTAATCTTTTACTGTCTAATTTAGAAATTAAACTTCATCATAGGCATGTATGTATCATAAAAAACACAGTATATATAGGATTCAGTACTATCTGCAGTTTCAGGCATTCACTGGGGGTCTTGGAACGTATCCTGCAGATAAGGGTGGGCTACTGCACAAACATCTGGACGTTCATTCATGTGCCACTAAGGATCATCACACAGTGAAAAGCATACCACACTCTGGAAGGCTCTGATCAACTTTTTCTGCTTCTCCTATCACAAAATAGAAAATACTTTATTAATAGCTTCAAAATGGCTATAGCAGTCCCTCAGTTAGTATCTTAATTTATAGACTAAGGTTATGTTTTCTAGTATAAAACAGCATTTTGACAATGTGG
Source organism: Homo sapiens (assembly GCF_000001405.40). Classification (NCBI taxonomy): domain Eukaryota; kingdom Metazoa; phylum Chordata; class Mammalia; order Primates; family Hominidae; genus Homo; species Homo sapiens. The sequence continues at coordinate 23,125,635 of NC_000007.14, read as the reverse complement.
GGAGGCAGCAAGGTGTAGTAGCTAAGAATTAGATTACTTGAGTTCCAATCCCAGCTCGTTCATACACTAGCTATGTGACCTCTGGCAAGTTACCTAACTATAAGTTGCCTCATCTGTGATAGACCTTAGCATATCATAAGTGCTTAAATAAAAGGAAACATTCATAATCATGTTACTATCACCACATGCAATCCTTATTCATTGTCCTAGATCCGTGAAAAACCATTAAAAATGCCATTTTGTGTTTTAGAAAATGTTGATATAATATTTAATAAGCTTGCTGCTGCCCAGGTTAATATGCATCTCTCTAAGCCCCTCTTAAATTTTATTACTAGAAAACGTTCTAGTGGACAATGTCTTTAAGGTTAAATGCGGATACTTAAAATCAGCCTTTTTAAAAAATTAAATTAGAAATAAAGGATAAAACAAAATAAACACACAACAGGAATCTGATATTTCTTACCAAGACAATTTGAAGCATCAACTTGTTCTTTCAAAAAATCAACACACATTTTCTTCACAGGTTCAATCTGATATTGGTTTGCTGCATCCAGCAAAGACTGAACATTGTTGCTATTCACGGAAATTCTGCAAATAAGTTAGAGGGAATATTAGTTACCCATGATTTTTTATTATTTAAATGTTACTGTGGAATGTATCCTAATAGCCCCTGAAATTAAACACAAAATTAAACTTTCAGTCCTTGAATTAGTATGGCATAGGATACTGAAACTCTTCCATCCTTGCGGTTTTTCATTTTGAAGAATTTGTAGTGCAACTATTTGTTACGACAATGCTTTGCCATGGTAGATACCAACATTACTTCTCTAAAATAAAAATAATACTTAACTCACCTAGCAGTATAAGCAAATTCCACCAGTTGTTCAATAATATCAGGTTCAGCATCTTTGAGTTCTACTTCAAAGGACTTTGATTCAAGCATGTTAGCTACAATGAAGAGAAGAAACATAAATGGCATCTGTACTACCACAAGTTTGACTGAGGAACCACGGCATTCCAGGCCATGTTAAATATGCAGAAAAATAACGGGACAGTTCTCTCTGGAAGAAAATGCCCCAGCAAGCCCAACATTTCTATAGTCAATGCAAATTAATTCTCCACCCAAGATGTGCCTTAAATTAAGCTAAGAAAAGAGTGAATTAGTGTACTTCTTTTTAAGACCATATTAACAGAAACATAAAACTAGATTTTGTTTTTTTCCCAAGCTCATAAAATAGTACTAAGTAGAGGAAGTAGGACTTGGACCCAGTTCTGAACACCAAATCCAGGGTTCTTTCTGGCACAATATGCTACAGCTATTTTTTTTTTAAAGTTTAACTTGCCGGCTAAAATATTATGAAATTTATCTGCTTCTTTGTCTTTCCACCTAAGGTTAAAAAGAAAACCCTGGGCTTTTTTTTTTTTTTTTTTTTTTTTTTTTTTTTGAGACAGAGTCTCGCTCTGACGCCCAGGATGGAGTGCAGTGGTGCAATCTCGGCTCACTGCAACCTCCACCTCAACCCTGGGCTTTTAAGTAGAAGCTGTACCTCCATCAATAAAGGCATCAGGCCTTTAGGTCTAATGAAAGGACATTTTTTCCTTTGGTTATCAGCTGACTACTTTTTCAATCTCTTCACTGTTCTGTGGCCTTAAGTTCTTAACTGCTTTAAAAATTAGAAAAATGACATATTCTCTTTTAGATTTTACTTCATTCTCATAGAAGAAATAATGGCATGTTTTACCTTAAGATACTTACTTGTGAACATTAAGTTAAAAAAATGACTGGCTGCAGCAAGAACAACACGATGAGCAGGTATCTTTCTTTCCTGGACCATGAGGATCACGTCACACAACGTTTTCTAATCAAAGGAAAAATACATAAAATAAAAAGAGGCTCACTAGCCTAGCTTGGCAATACATGTTAAAAAGGTGCTTGCCAAATGCTTTATCTCTATTTTCTATTTAAAGCCAATCTTTTTCCAGCGCAGAATTTCTTTTGAAGACATATTTAGAAAGGACTTACAGAGTCGCTGCCATGTAGTATAAAAATTTTGCACTGAGTTTTCCAACAGTCAAGAGGAAAGAAAAAGTTCCTCATAATCAGAAACAAGTCTACTAACCCTTCAGAGAAGTCTTTTTTTTTTTTTTTTTCTGACACAGATTCTAGGACATTTCTCATGGTAAGCTTTTCTGGGGGAAATTCAATGACATCATGGCAGTGCCCCTGACACCCTGACAGTTTTTCAAACACAGCAATTAGTTTTTATATGATTTATTTTCCATTATTTATCCTTGATGAAATTGAGAACATACACTGCATTTCCTAAGAAAGTAGCATTCACAGATCTAACTTGAAACAGAAACAGCTCAGAATACAGAGAGGAGATGAACTAAATGTCCTTTCAGCAATCTTTTATTAAATAACACTTCTCTCAAATGCACTTCTGATAGAAGCTGGATAGCAGCCAGTTTTAAATTCTGATTTCTGACCAACGTCAAAATAGTATCACCATAAGCTGCTTAAAGAAGGCAGCTCTGAGTAATACTTAATTAAAATGTGGGGAAAACGGAATAATAAAGAAAAAATTTAAGGCTTACTAGAACACTTATAAATGAATATCAAGAAAAATAAATGTCCTTTTTGCCAAATAAAATCTTAATTTCTTAACGAAGTTAAAGACAAAATATAGAGATTAGGCTTACAGAAAACTTGGTGTATACAATGTATTAAAGACTGTCCTAGGCACTGGGAATATGAGGCAAATAATATATTCAGAGTAAAAAAAATATCGCTTACAAATCTAAGATTGGCTTCATGGCTCAGAGGATTTGCATTTTGCAAATTTTAAGTATTTTACTAAAACTGTTAATATAGTTTCTGATAGATAAATCTGTTATTGTATTATTTTGTGAAGATAAAATAAAATAATAATGTTTAGAATGAGAGAGAAAATAAGCCTCAAATAGCAGGCTAGGAAATGAACAAAATTTCACTTTTACAGCTTATTTGAAGATTTTCAAATAAGGCCTAGTATTGACTATTGCTTAAAACTTATATGCAGGTTTATAACTAAAGCTATTTTTATTCTCATAGTGTCTTGAATTTTTAAATTTTATTTCATTTGGGGAGGGGGTACAGAGGCAGATCTCTCAGGTGTTTTTGCTACATACTATACCAAAAAATACCAAGTAGCATAACCAAGTTAACTATTTGGTTACCACCAAAAAACAAGTGATCAAGTTGCCTTGGAGGTCAAAGGAGGGAGAGAAGGAGAGGGAGAAAGGGGTGGGGAGTGAAGAATAAAGATGATAAAGCATCAAGCAAATCAGATTATATCAGATCATGGGGAGAAATCTATGGCCAGTGATGGAACTTCTATGAAACATAGGGTTAAACCAAAATACAGCAAAAACATCTCCAAGGCATACTCAACAACAGAGTTTATAAGTAGAATGACTTTATAGGCACTGAAGGAGGTTGAAGAAATGTAGATCTTTGTACAGCAACTGAGTTTTAGTCTAAGATTAATGTCCAGCTGGATATTAATGGTTGGAGGGGTGGGGAAAATAAGTAGGAAGAGTCTTTTGTATCCAAATGGTACATTTATTTGCCTATACTACAATAGACTGATAATTTCCAATAAGAGATGGGACTGCCGGGTGCAGCGACTCATGCCTGTAATCCCAGCACCTTGGGAGGCTGAGGCGGGCGGATCACAAGGTCAGCAGATTGAGACCATCCTGGCTAACACAGTGAAATCCCGCCTCTACTAAAAATACAAAAAATTAGCCAGGTGTGGTGGTGGGCACCTGTAGTCCCAGCTACTTGGGAGACTGAGGCAGGAGAACGGCATGAACCCAGGAGGCGGAGCTTGCAGTGAGCTGAGATCGAGCCACTGCACTCCAGCCTGGGCAACAGAGCGAGACTCTATCTCAACTAAAAAAAAAAAAAAAAGGATGGGACTGACCTATAGTGAAAGGCCCCTCCTGTTATTAATAAGCTAAAGAAAGGTATATCCACAGACAAGAAATGGGGGCTCGGTGTGGTCGCTCACACCTCCAATCCTAGCATTTTTGGGAGGCCAAGGCAGGTGGATTGCTTGAGCCTAGGAATTCGAGACCAGCCGGGGCAACATGATGAAACTCTGTCTCTACAAAAAAAAAATACAAAAATTAGCCAGGCGTGGTGGTGTGTGTCTGTAGTCCCAGTGACTGGAGGTGGGGGTGGTGCTGAGGTAAGAGGATCACTTGAGCCCCAGAGGTGGAGGTTGCAGTGAGTTGTGATTGCATCACTGTACTCCAGTGATATCATTATAACAAAGAGACATCTGCACCCCCATGTTTACTGCAGCACTATGCACAACAGCCAAGATATAGAGTCAACCTAGGTGTCCAGTGATAGACGAATTGATAAAGAAAATATGGTATATATACACCATGGAATAATATTCAGCCATAGCAAAGAATGAAATCTTGTCTTTCACGGCAATGTGGATGGAACTGGAAGACATTATGTTAGTTGAAATAAGCTAGGAACAGAAAGTTAAATGCTACATGTTCTCACTCATATGTGTAAGCTAAAAAGGTTGATCTTATCCAAGTAAAAAGCAGAACAGAAGATACTAGAGGCTGGAAAGGGTAGAGGGAAGGGGAGGCGGAAGGAGGGATAGAGAGAGGTTTGTTAAAGGACATAAAATTACAGCCAGATGGGAGGAAAAAGTTCTAATATTCTATATCACTGTAGGATGACTATAGTTAACAGTAATAGATTCAGGCTGGGAGCAGTGGGTTACATCTGTAATCCCAGCACTTTGGTAGGCTAAGGCAGAATTGCTTGAAACCAGGAGTTCACGGCCAGCCTAGGCAACATAGTGAGACCCTGACTCTACTAAAAATAAAAAATTAACCAGGTGTGATGGCACATGCCTGTAGTCCCAGCTACTTGGGAGGTTGAAATGGGAGGATCACTTGAGCCCAGGAGTTTGAGGTTGCACTGAGCTGTGATCATGCCACTGCACTCCAGTCTGGGTGACAGAGCAAGCCTGTCTCTAATAAAATAATAATAATAAATATTAGATTCTAGAAAGAAGATATTGAATGTTCCCAACAAAGAGAAATAAGCGTTTGAGAGAATGGATATGCTAATTAGCCTGATTTGTTCACTAGACATTATATGCATTGAAACATCACTACATTCCGTATAAGTACAACTATTATTTGTCAATTAAAACAAAAAAAAATTTTTAAGAAATCAACAGCAGACATCACATGTAATAGTGAAACATCAGACATGTTCTCATTTCAGTCTTGAAACAAGGTATATGGGGCTGGGTGTGGTGACTCATGCCTGTAATCCCAAACACTTTGGAAGGCCGAGGTGGGCAGATGGCTTGATCTCAGGAGTTCAAGGTCAGCATGGGCAACATGGTAAAACCCATCTCTACCAAAAATACAAAAACATAGCCAGGTGTGGTGGCACGCATTTGTGGTCCCAGCTACTTGGGAGGCTGAGGTGGGAGGATCGCTTGAGCCCGGGGGCAAAAGGTTGCAGTGAGCCGAGATTGTGCCACGGCACTCCAGCCTGGGTGAGAGTGAGACTCAAAAATAAAATAAAATAAATAAAATAATAATAAAATAAAACAAACCAGGTATACAAATCCTTGTCATTACTGTTATTCAACCTTGCTCTGGAAATCTTAGCCAAATTAGTAAGACGATAAAGATAAATCAAGTTACACTTATAGAAATAACAAGAAAAGTCAGTAAAATGGCCAGACACAAATAAGATAAATATGGAAACACAATTAGCTATCTTGTATGAGAAATAAGCCATAAAGAAACACAAATGAAAAAAAAATCCCAAGTCATAGAAGCAACAAAATAATTAAATATTGAGAAACAAAAAAAATGTGAGGGATCTTCATTAAGTGGCAATTTGATATATGACAAAGATACCATTTCAAAAATGTAGTGAGAAGGTGGAGAACAGGACATGTTTAGGGCAGTGAAACTAGTCTGTAGGATATTGTAATGGTGTATACATGTCATTATACATTTGTCAAAACCTGTAACATGTGCAACACAGAGTCAACCCTAATGTAAACTATGAATGTTAATAATATGTGACAATATTGGGGGCTGGGCACAGTGGCTTACCCCTGTAATCCCAGCACTTTGGGAGGCTGAGATGGGTGGATCACTTGAGGAGTTTGAGACCAGCCTGGCCAACATGGCGAAACCCTGTCTCTAGTAAAAATACAAAAATTAGCTGGACGTGGTGGCGCACGCCTGTAATCCCAGCTACTCAGGAGGCTGAGGCATGAGAATCGCTTGAACCCAGGAGACAGAGGCTGCAGTGAGCAGAGATCGTGCCACTACATTCCAGCCTAGACAACAGAGCGAGATTCTGTCTCAAAAAAAAAGGAACAATATTGACTCATCAATTGTAACAAACATACCACACTAATGCAATATGTTAATGATAGGGGTAACTGTGTGTAGAGAAGGAGGTGAGGGAATAAATTTAAATACTATACTTTCTGCTCAATTTTTCTTTTTCTTTTTTGAGACAAGGTTTTGCTCTATCATCCAGGCTGGAGTGCAGTGGTGCAATCTCGGCTTACTGCAGCCTCGAACTCCTGGGCTCAAGTGATCCTCCCACCCCTCGTCCCAAGTAGCTGGGACCACAGGCGTGTACCACCATGCCTGGCTAATTTTTTTTTCTTTTGTAGAGACGAGGTCTCACTGTGTTGCCCAGGCTGGTCTCCAACTCCTGCATTAAAGCAATCTTACTACCTTGGCCTCTCAAAGTATAGGGATTACAGGCACGAGCTACCACACCTGGCTCAAATTTTCTATGAAATTAAAACTGCTCTTAAAAAAAAAGTCTAGGAAATAATGTGATAAGAGATCAGATAATCAAAAATGATACTGAGATAACTTAATCATTTAAGGAACCATGAGATTCCTCACTCATAATGTATTCCCTCTTCCCCTGGGAAGGTAAGTACTGAGAAGGAAGCTTCAGTCTCCATCCATCACATGTGGAAGAGTGAATACAGGATGAACAAGAGTGTGGCAGAGGACACCGACAACAGATAGCCAGGCATTCTGGCTCATTCTTCTTTCCTAGGTCTGCCCCAAAAGTGGGACATCAATCATTGGGGCAGGGTTGCTCCTCTGGCAGGAGAGGACTGTTCCTGCTCATCAGCTGCTCTGCCTCAGACTGGGTGGGTAAGTTTAGTTTAGGGAAGAAAGAATAGAAAGCCCAATTTAATGCTCAGGTCAATGTCCTATAGTTAGAACTAGTAGTGACGGGTCCTCAAATATGTATGCACAGATACTCAACGCGTCATAAAGAAAGAAACTTTGGTGCTGCTTTAGTGCCTGAAAGATTTGGGGGCTTTTACAGGAAGAATCCTTTGGTTCTAGTAAAGGCTCACCTCAGAAGCAGCAGACATTTTAGGCATCTGTTGGTATCATGACCTTTTGCTCTCTATCAAGTTTACTCGACAGGATTACAAAAGGCAGTTGGGTCCATGTAAGTGCTAAAGCACTGTATGAGGATTAGCTTTTAATCACATGTGCTGTCATTAGTAAGAGGCATGCAGTCAACTGCCCCACGTTCTATTCTTTGTTATATCCCAAAGAGAAGACTGAGGAATGACTAACCTTTAGATTTATGTGGCTTGTCAAGAAGGTTCTGCAATCAGTCCCTCCCAGCATGATATCAAATTGGCATTGAGTATAAATCCCTGAGCAGATTGTAGATTCAACTACAGCTGGGTGGTAGATTTAAATCACTGAAAACATAAAGGGAAATGAGGCCCTTATTAGATGGGGTAAATAATTTTCTTGGATTAGTTACTAGAAAAGCTTCAATAAAGCAATAATAAATGCAAAGGCTAAGAAACATTAAAAAGACTTCTCTAGAAATCACATTTGTCAGAAAAGCAGAGAAAAACAGGATTGAACTTAAACACATACACAATTAGAATAAGGCAAGTGGGATAGTGAAGGAAAAACAAAGGAAGATACCTAGACTAAGCAGAAGGAAAAGAGGGACTGCCTTCCTTAAGGGAAACATATGCCAGGTCAGGCCAAACAGCTTTGCAAAGGAAAGGAGACTTGGGCATAATTGCCCTTTAAGAGCTGGGACTAAGAAAAAAAAGCTATTTTTGTTATTTATTCAAGGAAGGTGTTATGGACCAAACAGGAATAGAAGAAGAGAAGTAAGAATTCAGGAGTAGGTTAAAACAGTTCTCTCAGAAAGGCCTGGATCAGCACTTTGGGAGCCAAGGCATGTGGATCACCTGGGGTCAGGAGTTCAAGACCAGCCTGGCCAACATGGCGAAACCCTAACTCTACTAAAAATACAAAAATTAGCCAGGCGTGGTGGTGCGCGTCTGTAATAGCAGCTACTCGGGAGGCTGAGGCAGGAGAATCACTTGAACCCGGGAGGCAGAGGTTGCAGTGAGCTGAGATCATGCCACTGCACTCCAGCCTGGGTGACAGAGCGAGACTTGATCTCAAAAAAAAAAAAAAAAAAAAAAAAGGCCTGGCTCTAGGAAAATTTTATGATTCCTCTTAATGCTAAAGATATTAAGAGAAAATTAGAGGATTTCTCTTAAAGAATAGGACAACTATAATAGGCCATTACAATTAAGTTCAGACAGATTTGAAAAGGAGAAAGATCAGCAAGAGTATTTCTTGCATTATTAAGTAATTTTCAAGGTGATATTGCTGGGAAGACAGGTGTGGTATTTGCTATATGGCATATGGTATATAGTGGAACTGAGAAGTTTGTGGAATTAAGACTGTAAGGGAGAGTACTAGATCACATTAAAGTAAGTCAAATAACCCAAAAGTAGTCCAGCTCTAAGTTATATGCTGGACATCCCCACAATTAGAATTACCTTTCTGAGAGTAGTGACGGCTGGCAGTAGCTGAGCTAATTCTGAACACATGTGCTCTCTTATTTTCCACTAGGGGAAGTTCTGTAGGAAAGGCATTAGAGGAATATGTATGCAAGCAAAACAAACACCAAAATCATAAGGAAAAGAAAAAGAAAGGTATTCTAATCTAAAAAGGTCAGCTACCTGATGTAGAAAGGAAAAGATCCAACTTAAGCAGGTTAACAAGTCAGCTGAGGCTGCCTGAAAGAACAGATGTACCACAGAGGAAAATGCAACACTAGAGACATAGCCCATTTTGACACAAATAGGTGACAGAAAGGAACATGTCTGCGCTGCTGCTGAGTTTGCAAGGCCTAGAAATTTCAAATACTGAGGAAAAGCAAGGTTTTGAGGAGCATGCTGTAAGGGCCATAGTGGTCCCTGTGGGACCACGGGCCTTAAAGGAATGTTAAAGGCCATTCTCCAGCTGAGACAAATGGAGAGGAAAGGAGGACAAACCCCTCCAAGAGACAGGATTCATAGATACAAGGAATTTCACAGCATGACAGGATCTTAATGGGCACACAAAAGTGCAGAACAATCAGGAAGCTCAGAATTGTAAGGAATGCAAGGCCACAAACTGTGCTCTGCAGAACTGCTGGCTACAAATGTAAATCACTCTCCTCTCAAAAATGAGAGAAGGCTTTGTCATTAGATAGAACTCAATCATTTCAGCATTAGGTTGCCAGGAACATAGGGTTCAAAAAAGATATCAAAATTAAGCTTTAAATGTGCAGGATGGATAATAGGGAAAAAAGGGAAACTCTATGATACCTGGTAGCTGAGTATTATCACCCTGGCAAATCTCTAACAATTGTCTAAGAAAAAGAATGAGTCCTGGCCAGTCGCAGTGGCTCACTCCTGTAATCCCAGCACTTTGGGAGGCTGAGGCCGGCAGATCACGAGGTCAGGAGATCGAGGACATCCTGGCTAACATGGTAAAACCCCGTCTCTACTAAAATACAAAAAATTAGCCGGGTGTGGTGGTGGACGCCCGGTAATCCCAGCTGCTCGGGAGGCTGAGGCAGGAGAAATGCTTGAACCTGGGAGGCAGAGGTTGCAGGGAGCCGAGATCACGCCACTGCACTCCAGCCTGGACGACAGAGCGAGACTCCATCTCAAAAAAAAAACAAACAAAAAAAACCCAAAATGAGTCCTATGCCAGAGAAGCATCAATATACATTGAATAAATCTCTTCTATAGATGGTAAACAGTGCCCCTATAAGCATGGAAGATTCCTCCCAACTGAGTTTAGCCCTAGAGTCTATAGATTACAGAAAGCTGATTCAGACTGGCAAGCCAAAAGCCAAGATTGTTATGTTTTCTTTGAAAACCCTCTGTTCCCCAGAAACCAAAGTTTATATTCTGTTTTTGGCTGCAAAAAATAATGTGGGTTAGGACTGTATAAATAAAATGTCAACATCTGGGCTGTTTGGTACAGAGATGAGAGATCTTCTTATATCAATCCTAGGGACGTTCTAACATACCGGAAAGTGTGGCATCAACTACCTTGAAATTGGACAAATTCAGCTTTGGAGGTGCTAAGCTAACTAAATCCATTCCAATGGAAGCCAGCCCACATTGCAGCTGCTGAAGAAGCTACCCTGACTGTACCCAAACACTCAAGCAAACGCTTTCTGGCTGACTAAACTGAACAGTATAAGAAACCAGGGTGAGCACATATTTGGAATTCAATTGCCTTTCATTTTAATTCAGAGGATGAGCATAGATGTTGGAATTTAATCATGAGAGGGCTCATAACAGTCAGATTTGGGAGATTCTGTGTTGCTAATACAGAATTATATGGAGTGCTTTAGGCTGTCATTTGGTTCACCACAGAACATCTAGAGAGCTATGACACCTTGGCTTAGAAAAATTTGAGATGGGAAATAGAAGTGAATTGCCAGCCTGTAGTATCTCAAGGCCTGGTGTTAATAGTTATCCACCCATTTCAAAGCTTTCTTGGGTAAAAATTTAAATAACCTCTTAAGCTGGTATTCGGATGATACAAAAAAGAACAGTTATTGGTAGAGGAAAGTAGCCACATAAGCATTTAAGATAGAACAAAGCATTCCCTGAGCTAGTAAGAAAATAGACCAAAAGACAAGGCAAACTTGGAAAAAAGAACTTACAGCTACTTGGTCCAGCTACTTTGTGCTGGAGTTTGGGGTGGGGCTTTGGTGCCTGAATTCTATCATTCAGCCCACTGAGATTCTCAACTCAGGTTGTTTATATAAGGAAGTATCAATAACCAAACGAGACATAAGAAGATGCACTTTTGACTGAAGGGCAAGTACTTGTTAATCTCCCATATGCAGTGCTTCTCTCATAAAACAAAGTTGGAAAATGAGGCTTTGCTTGATAAGCCAAACTTTAAATTGCCCCTACATATCCCAATAATCTAAATTTTGGAAGCTGCACAGTCGTATGTCCTACATGGGAAAAATGAGAGATGGTTTGGCCCAAACCCAGCTTATGGAGTCCATCATAACACATACCTTACCTGTCCTACTCAGCAGATGGATTCCTTAAATACAACAAGGTAGCCCTCAACAGAGTAACTTTACCATTAATAAAACAACAGTGTCTTCAGTTCTAACTTAATTAGATTAGCAACTCCTCTCTCATTTGACAAAGTGAGGAAGTGAGGTAGATATGAGCTCAAGATGCCTCATTTCCTTTCAGCTTCTTACATTCGTGCTTTTCAAGCTTCTTTTTTATGTAGCAGAATTCATTCTCAAATAAGCTAATCTGATATAATTTATATAGACAGCATGGTCTCTATGTAGCAAGAATTAACAGCCTGGCAACCAAAAAATGGAAGAGGCTCCCTTCAATATTCGGGGGGTTTTTTTGAGACAGAGTTTCGCTCTTGTTGCCCAGGCTGGAGTGCAATGGCACGATCTCGGCTCACAACAACTTCCGCCTCCTGGGTTCAATCGATTCTCATGCCTCAGCCCCCTGAGTAGCTGGGATTACAGGCATGCGTCACCCGGCTAATTTTTGTATTTTTAGTAGAGACGGGGTTTCACCATGTTGGCCAGGTTAGTCGTGAACTCCTGGCCTCAAGTGATCTGCCTGCCCCAGCTTCCCAAAGTGCTGGGATTACAGGCGTAAGCCACTGTGCCCGGCCTGGCTCCCTTCAATATTATACTTAATGATTCACTTACAAAAATTTTGCTTCTAATCTCAGCAATTAGTCTTTCTGCTAGTGGGTTCTGTTAGTTTAGAGATTTTGAGGCCCAAAAGAAAAGTGATTCCACCAAGTGATAGAAAAATGTTTCCATGGGATTGAAAGTTAAGACTGTGACCTGCCTATATTAGCCTCCTCATTTTTACCTCCTGTTCAGGTAAAAAGAACAAAAGACAGGGCTTTGAAGGCTAGCTTAATATTCAACGTAAGTTCATAACAATGTCAAAAGAATCTTCAAAAATACTGACAGCCATAATACCATTTCTATTCTTCGCAAAGACTACATTCCTCAACCTCCAGCTTTGCCTTCTTACTCCTTCATTTTAGCAGATGATCTCATTCTATTTTTTTTTTTTAGAGAAAAGAGAAATCACTGGATAGAAACTCCTTCATTCTTCTGATTCCAAACACACCTACTATCAATCCCCTCTTTCTTCCCACTTCTTATGGAAGAGGAACTGCCCCGCCACCCCTGTCTGAGATTAATCACATTTGCTTTGGATCTCATATCAGGAATTATCTATTAATTGCCCACTCTGTCTCATATATATCCAACCTCTACATCTCTTTTTCCCACTAGTTTTTAAAGACACCTATATCTTTCCCATTTAAACAAATAAAACCCAGCAACCTTCGTTTGACTCCCTCTCCCTTCAAGGCCAAATTTCTCAAAACAGCTGCCAGAATTTCCTCATATTCTACTCACTTCAGCTTACATTAATCTGATTCCCATTTGTCTGCCCATCAAAATAAGTCTTACTACAGTCAACAAACCACTCTGTGTTGCTATGTCCTACTATAAGTATTTTTAGTTTTAATCTTATTCTGATCTTTTACCAGCTTCAAAAGTTGCAGTCCTCCTGTGAATACAGTGCTTTAGACCATTTGGCCATCCTGACTTGCTGGGAAGGAGAAACAATTTCTTCCCAATTTTCGAAACTCTCATTTTTCTCCTATTCTTCTGGTGATTCCTTTGTTATCTCCTCCATAGGCCCATTTTCTATCCTTTATTCTGGACTCTGGACTCTTGACTCTTCACAGCTTCAATGAAGAAGTTATCTTCTATATGCAGATAATTCACAAATATATACATCTAACCCACAACTTTCCAGACCTGTCAATTTGTCATATATACTTCAGTGTCACAATGATATCACAAATTAAACACATCTAAAACACAAATTATAATCCTTTCCCCAATGCTTTGATCCTTTTCCAATACCTCCTTTCTCAGTGAATAGTGTCATCATCCATTTAGTTATGCATTCCAGAACCCTAGAGATCATAAGTGACACCTTATGCTGAATCCCTCAACATCCAATCATGTACCAGCATCACAATACAAATAGCTAACACTTACTGAGATGTTACTTGTTATCAGGTCGTATTTTAAGTTATCTTAATTTGGTTACCTAATTTAGTTATCACAACCACATATGGCAGTTATCATCACCAAGTCCTGTTGATTTTATTATCTTTTTAATCTATCACTTTTTCTTCATTGATGTTGCTTATGGCTGCCACTGTCATCACCTCAGTCCAAAGGACCATCATGTCTCACTGGACCACTACAGCTTCCTATTTGGTCTGCCAGCAAGCACTCTGAAAACTCTTTAATTCATTTACCACAAAGCAGTAAGTCTTTTTTTTTTTTTTTTTTTTTTTTTTGAGACGGAGTCTCACTCTGTCTCCAGGCTGGAGTGCAATGGTGCAATCTTGGCTCACCACAACCTCTGCCTCCCGGGTTCAACCAATTCTCCTGCCTCAGTCTTCTGAGTAGCTTGGACTACAGGCACGTGCGACTATGCCTGGCTAATTTTTTGTATTTTTAGTAAAGATGGAGTTTCACCATGTTAGCCAGACTGGTCTCAAACTCCTGACCTCAGGTGATCCACCTGTCTCAGCCTCCCAAAGTGCTGGGATTACATGTGTGAGCCATTGTGCCAGGCCAAGTCATCTTTTTTAAAGAAGAAAACATACCATCTCTACAAACATGCATGCACATGCACACAAACATGCATACACAGATTTTAGAATAAGGGCAAATCACCTAACTTGACTTATGAAGCTATGCATGGGCAGGTCTCTAGCTACTTCGCCAGTTTCATCTAGAACCATCGTCCGCCTTATGTTCTGTGCTCCAATTACACTGACCTTTAATCAGTCTCGAACTTGCCATTCTATAATAAAGTAGGTCTCCAACTCAGAGCCTCTGAATATGTTGTTCCCTCTACTTGAGTCACTCTTCCCTTTTCTCTTTACCTAGTTAACACCTACTCTTATTTCAGCTCTCAATGACCATTTCCTTAGAGAAAACTTCCTGATGGTCAAATTACCCACCCATATGCCCTCGTTGTACCATGTTATTCTCCTGTGTAATACCTACCACTGTTGCAATATTACATTTATTTGTGTGATTACTTGACTAATGTCTTGCTTTTCTACTAGCCTATAAACCACAAGAGGATTGGGACTGTCAGGGTTTGCTTATCATTGCAACCCCAGAATCTAGCAAAATGTTTAGCATACAGTGGGTTGTCAATAAGTATTCATTTCAATGAATGAACTTGGAAGCCAAATTGAACTAGAGTAATAAATAAATAGTAAGTAAGAAAATGTAGTGAACCGCATGTTCTCACTCATAGGTGGGACTTGAACAATGAGAACACACGGACACAGGAAGGGGAACATCACACTTTGGGGACTGTTGTGGGGTGGGGGGAGGGGGGAGGGATAGCATTAGGAGATATACCTAATACTAAATGACGAGTTAATGGGTGCAGCACACCAATATGGCACATGTATACATATGTAACAAACCTGCACATTGTGCACATGTACCCTAAAACTTAAAGTATAATAATAATAAAATTAAAAAAAAAACAAAAGAAAATGTAGTGAATTTACTCAGCTTTTCATCTTAATGGGGGGAGAGAAGTATTTAGAGGGGTATGTTGAGATTAAGAATGGGTTTGCTGGTTGTTTGGTTCAAAAGCTGGAGAGGTTAAAACAAGCTTAAGTGCTAATAGCAAGAATCCAGCAAAGAAGAAAAGTTAAAGATGCTCAACAAAGATGGAATAACCAACAGTATAATACTTCTGAGAAGCCCAGCATCCAGGAAGCCAAAGCCTAGGTAGAAGTACTGGCCTTAGAAAAAGCAGCAGCATCTCCATTGTAGCAGGATAAGAAGAGAAAAGGGAAAGTGTCAAAATAGGTTTATAGATCTGGTGGTAGAAAGTGAAAAGGTAGACAGTTCTAGACTAATGACTTCTATTTATCTATGGTGTCAAAAGAAGGTGATCTGCTGAAAGTGAGGATCTAGAGAAAGGACTCAGATTGGAGGAAAATAGTAAAACAAAAAGATTGCTCACGGGCACTGATAGTCTAGTGGAAATTAGTGGCCAAGCACTTACTTGGCAGAAGTTGCCCAGTGAGATATTTTCCAGCTGTGCTTGGAGCCTTGCACAAAGAAGGTAATCAGTCATCAATACTCAAGTTTGCCAGATGGACATGAAAAAGGGACAGAGGGTCAAGAAAACTGGGACACTGGAGAGACAGTGGAGTGACAATAGCTTCTAAGCTGGACAGACAGAAAAAGAAAACAGAAAACAGTAAAGTACAGGAAAAAGAATAAGAAGGTCTGGATGACTGGAATTGTCAATGAAAGTTAAGAGAATTAAATGAGACAAAGCATGTAAAACACTCTGCAGAGTGGCTGGAACAGTTATAAGTGCTCAAGAAGTCTTATTAATATCAAGGGTTTAACACTGAAGGTTTAGATTATTCACAAGAGAACCTAAAGATAATGACATGTAGTAATTTACAGTCAGACAGATGAGAATACAGAAGCAAAGTCATTTTAGCCGGAAGGTGAGCCCAGTTAACTGCCCAGTATCTAATTGTGAAATCAGCTTTGTAGTTCTCTCACATAACTCTCAATAAGGACTTTAACATAAGCTTTCAAGTTCCAGTTATGCTTTAATTCATTTAATGTGGAGAAACTATAAACTATGGTGGTACTCAGGAAGGTCTTAAAACATCTTCCTCCAATGTTAAGAGACTCCTGGACTTCATTAACACAAAAGAAGAGTATGGCAACAGCAATGTGCATGTGCAATAGTGACTGTGACCCAGACCTGCCTTGTAAAGCCTCTATTTTACATATCAGGTAATAACATTAATCTAAGCAAAAAGTTAAAGAAATAAATGAAAAGGTACTCAATCCAATTAAATAAGATGCTCCTATACACCCAGTTAGAATGGCTAAAGTGATAAGACTGACAACATCAAGTGATGGCAGGGATGCGGAGCAAAAACCTCTCTCACACACAACTGGCAGAAGCGTAACATGGTACAATCACTTTGGAAAACTACACGACGATATCTTTTAAAGCTGAAGGTGGTATAGCTTATGACTCAAAAATTCCTGTTTGGTATTTCCCAACACAAATATTAATACATACATATGCATACCAAAAGGCATGTACAAAGTGTACAAAAATGTTCAAAGTAGTACTAGTCTTAATAGTTCCAAACTAGAAATAACCCAAATGTTCATAATGATAGAATGGATAAATTGTGCTATATTCATTCAATGGGATACTATATACCACAAGGATGAAGTAGCGCTACACACAGCACAGATGAATCTCACAAACAATGTTGGCTTTAAGAAAACAAAACACAAGAGTTTATGCCATATGATTACATTTATATAAGTTCAAACACAGGAAAAACCCACTTTTTGCCGATGTGCTGCAGACTTTCATGAATGCACCACACACCAAAGACAGAACAAAGAGCTCCTCTTAATAACAGGGGTGCATAGTGCCCTTAGAAGATGGCATGGCATGGTATTTATCAATGGTTGCTTCTGCTCTAACTTCGATGGTTACAGAGTTAGAATAGTTGTTACTACTGTGGGGTTGGTGACTGAGAAGGGCATAAGGGGGGACCTCTGGTGTACTGGTCATGTTCTCGTCTTGTTGGTGGGATGTGCACTTTGTAATAATTGAGCTATACATTTATGATTTGTGCCCTCTTATATGTATCCCATACTTCACTGGAGAGTTTACTTAGAAACAAAAGGCTAGAAATGACAAAAACAATGTAGGAAAAGGCTTTAGAAGAAGCCGAGGCTGCTGGCTCTGCAGAATCCCCTTTTGCCTCTATGTATAGAATCGGCCACTATACTACAGAGAGATGGAATGACCCAAATCATGTTATCTAAAATAACAAAATGAAATAATGAGAGAGCAGGATTGGAACTGAGGTATGCTAATCTCACAATGTTCTCAAATTCTTGAAGGAATGTTTCTGGATGTTTACAGAGGGGTCCTTGTCATCTAGGCACTCATTATCCTGATCCTTAAAGCAATGAGATTGTAAAGGGATGTAAAAGTAGTCATAACACAAAAATATTTACTAAAGAACAAGAGCACTTATAAAGTTGGTCCTCACTCAAACATTCCTACTCTGGCTCAGACCAGCCACTGTTTCTGCCAATTCCCATCAACTGCCCTTGTCAGTCATTCTCGGTCAATTGTTTCCTGTGTTATGATGTTAAACAGGACAATACAATATAACCATAATGTAAATCAATTGCGAAGTGAAACTGCACATCTTGCAAAAGATGCATGATTCCATGAAGTTGATAAAAGTGCTATTGGAGAACTGTTTGAATCACATGCCAAACCACTGACAACAGGAGAACCTGGCAGATTAAGGTCAGTTAATCATTGTGGAGGGGACCCCTGGTTGTTCACCAGGTAACCATTTTTTCCTTCCTACTCAGTAACAGAACCCTGATTTTTCAGTAATTGTACTTCTATTGTAACGGTAAATAAGTGATGTTAATATACTCCAAAGCTAAGAAATGTGAGTCACTTTTTAAATCCAAAGAGCTAAACGGACAGTCTCAGATAATCCTCTGCTCCTCAAGTAAATATTTGCTGCTGCAATCCAGTTTCACCCTATTTAGGGATTAAGGCAATGCTTTACAATGCTATGATCCACGAATGAAAACATATATTCGAGGGAGTGGGAGGGAACCTAATGAGTCTTCAACGAGTTTAAGCCCTGGTTAACTATGTTCAACTACCATTACAGGCAGGCAATAGCTAAATGCACCAGCAATTTGAAGTCTGTGGTATTGTAGATACAAAAAGGTTTACATGAAAGGAACATGAATTTGAAAATAGATACATGAAAGTCAGTTACATAAATTAACGAATTCAGGCATTCACAGTACTTCAGCACAAAGGCCAGGCCAGGAAAGATTTAAAAGCATTCCCACAGACTGCACTGGTGCACTGTAGCAGGAGCTGGTGAACAAAGACAAAATCCCAGCAGTCAGCGTTTGCTTATAGAAACCAGAAGTTAATATCTTCATAAAAATCTTAAATTCCTCTACTGTTGCCCATATTCCCAGCAGAACCACCAGACAAAGCAAACTAGGTTTTGCAGTTACACATAACTCACATCCTGCTTTGTCCCCTTGAAACAGGATCCCAGTCAACAAAACCCAAACATTCCCACAAATCTACTTAGATGTGTATTATCTATAAATAAAGCTTACAGAAAGGAAAAAGTGACTTTCTATGCTTATCGGTGTAGATGTTATGGAATTAAAAAAAAAAAAAGCCTCTTTGTTTCACCTTCGCCAGCGTTAAAATCCGTTCTTTTCATAACCCACCTTTCGCCGATGTGCTGCAGAATTTCACGAATGCACCACACACCAAGGACAGAACAAAGAGCTCCTCTTAATAACAGAGGCGCACAGTGCCCTTAGAAGATGGCATGGTATTTATCGATGGCTGCTTCTGCTCTAAATTAGCACGAACAGGAGGACTCCTCTTCAACTAGCTCCACCGGGGAACACAGGAGGGGGCGGGGATCCTTATTTAAGAGCAGCTGATGTCAGGCCAGCAACTCTCCTCCCTTTGGGGGCTTCGGTTTGGGCTATGCCAACGGGTTTCTTCACACAAGATCTCACGGCACCTTAAAACGGCTCGCCAATGGAAGGATCCTCGCCCCACAAAGAGATAACTAGGGCAGAGCTGTTACACAACCGATACCCGACGGCGAAAGCCAGCCTGAGGAGTCCCCCAGGAGTCTGACTTGGGAGCTACATCCTCGGCAGACGAGAAGCACTTTTGCTCGAGAATTGTTTTACGCGCCCCTCTACCAACTGCGGAATCGCTCGCCTGCGAAAACGGAAGGAGGGGCGAGGACAGAGAAAGAGGGGCGCGATCCACAGGGCGCGGGGTTCCACCCCGGGAACCAGGGGCCCGAGCCCCGGACCACCTCCCACCGTCGTCCGTCACTCCCACAGAGGCGGTACCTGTTTCCGCATGTTATTCATGACGCCCATGAAACCCGCCAACAATTTAGCTTCTTCCCGAGCAGCAAGTTTCTTCTCGGTCTTCTTCTTGCTGCTCTTCTCCACCCCAGAGGCTGCCATCCTCCCTCAGCTCGGTTCACGCCCGGGGCTCGCCGGGCCGGGCGAGGGGTCGCACTCTCTGGGCACACTGGGGATTCTATCGACCAAACACGGCGATCGGCAGTGCAGCTGCAGCGCCCAGCTCTGGAACGCGCGGCAGGCGGCGGTGGCTCGGCCACTGCCGAAAGACAAGGCCGGGCGGCCCCCTTAGAAACGCTCAGGGAGCGACGCTACCAACTGGGCTGCGTCCCCGGGCAGAACCCGAGCCCTGCCCAGGAGCCTGCGCACTTCGCGCAAGGAGGCGGGGGCACTATGAGGAGAGTCAGGGGCGGGGCCTGACACGTCACAGTGGCGCGCCGTTCCGAGCAATGAGACTGCAGGCACAGGTGCGGCCGGATTCCCTGTCGCTGTCCCGCGCTGAGTGAATTTTGCCTCGGAGCTGGTCCGAGGTCGCGCCTGCTCTTTTGTGTGCCCAAGGCAGATTTCCAGGTTTCGGTTACGTGATTATCTTTTTTTTTTTTTTTTTTTTGATAATTGGGTTGTGGAACATGCAAAGGTGTCTCCCATCAGTGTAAGGCTTCATGGGACAGGGTCGGTGTTCAGTGCAGTATCTGAGCCTGGTGTATGGTAGGCGCTCAATAAATATTAAATGATGAAAGGATATTACTGCAAGTTAAAGTCATGTTACACGGAGCACAAGATTTATTTTCGTGGGATTCATAACGCAAGAGCACACAGTCCCGTTGGTGTCTCCTTGGCGTGCAATGAATGTCTGCCTAACTAGGCTGGCTTACTGTGTGTTTACAACTGAAATCAGTTGTCAGTCGGTTCTAGAAATCTTCAGTTAGGCTTCTCTAAGTGTTTTACGGGAACACGGAACTCAATCACAGCCCTCATGGAAATGTTTTTTGTAACCATATTCTTTCTACTGTATAGTAATATACAGGATTATTTGAAATTGTACATTATTTAACATTATGAAAACTTTATATCTCATTGGTTTTCCTCCTCGGTCTATATAGGACTATACAGAGACATTTTATGTAAAATAATTTACACCATTGAGGCTTTTTTTTTTTTTTTTGGAGGCAGGGTCTCGGCCCTGTCGCCCAGGCTGGGGGTGCGGTGCAGTGGCTAATCATAGCTCACTGAAGCCTCAGCACTCCTGGGCTCAAGCAATCCTCCCATCTCAGCCTCCCAAGTAGCTGAAACTACAGGCGTGCAACACCACTCTGGGCTAAGTTTTAATTTTTAAATTTTTTTGGTGGTGGTGGTGGTGGTGGTGGTGGTGGTGAAGAGGTCACACTATGTTGCCCAGGCTTGTCTCGAACTCCTGGTGTTATGCAATCCTCCCGCCTAGGCCTCCCAAAGTGCTGGGATTACAGGAATGAGCGGCCAGGCCTGGCCCACAGTATACTTTTCTTGTTGAGGACAAACCATATAGCATAATCCAGATGAAAGAGCAAGCTATATATACGCCTCAATTTTTACAAAAGAGTAAGATACTTATGTCTCTGTACTCTTTATCTTTCTTCTATTAATCTAGAGGTTCTCAGATGTGCCTCTATTTTAACTAGTTGATTTGGGGATTTCAGGTGAACCCTGGCAATAGGAATAATTTATTGTTAATAAAATTATAAATGAGAAAATTTTTCATTCACTTTATTAAATGACCCAGGACACTGAAGAAAAACGGAATAAATTTTTTTCTTTTTTTTTTAATTGAAAAGAAGTAGAAATCTGTCTTCTAACTCTAAGGCCTTGGGAGATGAAGGATCCGTGATTCAAAGGCAGAAATGTAAGTGATGAAAAAGAATGCTGTCCTGTAATAAGGCAAAAAAGAAACGAGGAACAGCATCCTTAGTCCTTGATGTTAGAACAGTCTTTTTACATATTGCTGAATATAAAACATCAAAGTTCATGGAAGAGCCATAGGATTCAGAGCTCAAAGAGGCCACAGAGATTATATAGTACAGGGATTAAGCATGAGACTTTGCCTGGATGCAAAGTCAAACATCTCAACTTTCTAGTTGTGCAACTTTGGGCAAATTGATTAACTTCTGTTATGCCTCAGTCTCCTTATCTGTGAAAGTAGAACCTACTACATGGAACTGGCGTAAGGTTTATAAAAATGCTTAGAGGGGTGCCAGCACAAGACACTTAAAATTACTTTACTGAGTTAATAATACACACATACTTCAGAGATATTTTGGGTTCTGTTCCAGACCACCACATAAAGTAAATATCGCAGTAAAGTGAATCACACAAATTTTTTGGTTTCCCAAAACATATGCAAGTTATGTTTACACTATACTGTGGTCTATTAAGTGTGCAATAATATTATGTCTGCAAAAGCAATGCACATACCTTAAAAAGTGCTTTGTTGCCAAAAAGTTGCTAATGATCATCTAAGCCTTTGCAAGTTGCAAGTTTTAAATTTATTTTTATTTTTATTTCTTTTTTTTTAAGAGATGGAGTCTTGCTGTGTTCTCCAGGATTGAGTACAGTGGCTTATTCACAGATGTGATCATACTACACTACAGCCTCAAACTCCCGGGGTCAAGCAGTCCTCCTGCTTCAGCCTCCTGAGGAGCTGGGACTACAGGCCCACATCACCATGCCCACTAGATTCACAGTCATTTTGCTTGTGGAAGGTCTTGCCTCAATGTTGATAGGTGCTGACTGATCAGGGTCAGGTTGCTGACTGATCAGAATGGTAGTTTCTGAATGTTGGGAATGGCTATGGCAATTTCTTAAAATAAGACAACAATGAAGTTTGCTGCATTGATTGACTCCCTTTCACAAAGGATTTCTCCATATCATGCAATGCTGTTTGATAGCATTTTACCCATAGTAGAACTTCTTTCAAAATTGGAGTCAATTCTCTCAAACCTTGTCTCTGCTTGGTCAACTAAGTTTATGCACTATTCCACATCCTTTGTTGTCATTTCAACAATATTTACAGAGTCTTCACCATGAATAGATTCCTTTTCAAACAACCACTTTCTTTGCTCAGCCATAAGAAGCAACTCTTCACCCATTCAAGTTTTATCATGAGATTGCAGCAATTCAGTCACATCAAATTCCACTTCTAATTCTAGTTGTTTTTCTATTTCCACCACATCTGCAGGTACTTTCTCCACAGAAATTTCAAACCTCTCAAAGTCATCCGTGAGGGTTGGAATCAACTTCCAAATTTCTGTGAATGTTGATATTTTGACCTCCTCCTAATCACAAATGTTCTTAATGGCATCTAGAATGGTGAATCTTTTCCAGAAGGTTTTCTATGTGCTTTGCCCAGTTCCATCAGAAGAATCACTGTCTGTGGTAGCTCTAGCCTTATTAAATGTATATTTTAAATAATAACACCTAAAAATCAAAATGACTCCTTGATCCATGGGCTGTAGAATAGACATTGTGTTAGCAGTCATGAAAACAAGATTAATCTCCTCATATAGCACCATTATAGCTCTTGGGTGACCACGTGCATTGTCAATGACCAGTAATATTTTGAAAGGACACCTTTTTTTTTGAGCAGTAGGTCTCAACAGTGGACTTAAAATATTCAGAAAGCTGTGTTGTAAACAGATGTGCTGCCAGCTAGGTATCGTTGTTCCATTTATAGAGCACTGGTAGAGCAGATTTAGCATAATTTGTCAGGACCCTAGGATTTTTGGAATGGTAAATGGGCACTGGCTTCAACTTCAAGTAACCAACTGCATTAACTCCTAACAAGAAGAGTCAGCCTGTCCTTGAAAGTATGAAAACAGGCATGGACTTCTCCTCTCTAGCTATGAAAGTCTTAGATGGCATCTTCTTCCAATAGAAGTTGTTTCATGTACATTGAAAATCTGTTGTTTGGTGTAGCCACCCTCTTCGATGATCTTAGCTAGATCTTCTGGATAACTTGCTACAGTTTCTACATCAGCACTTGTTGCCTTACCTTACACTTTCATGTTAAGGAGATAGCTTCTTTCCTTAAACCACAGGAACGAACCTCTGCTATCTTCTAGATTTTCTTGGGCAACTTCCTTACTTCTTTCAGCTTTCATAGAACTGAATAGTGTTAGGATCTTGCTCTGGGTTAGGTTTTGGCTTAAGGGAATGTGGTAGCTGGTTTGATTTATTTAGACCACTAAAACTTTCTTCATATCAGCATTAAGGCTGGTTTGCTTTATTATCATTTATGTGTTCACTGGAGTAGCACTTTAAATTTCCTCCAAGCTTGTTTGCTTTTCACTCACAGTGTGGCTGTTTGGTGCCAAGAGGCCTAGCTTCCCAGTCTTGGCTTTCAACATGCCTTCCTCACTAAGCATAGTCATTTCTAGCTATTTATTTAAAGTTAGAGATGTGCAACTCTTCTTTCACTTGAACACTTAGAGGCTATTGTAGGGTTATTACTTGGCTTAATTGCAATATTGTTGTGTCTGGAGGAATAGAGAGGCCTGGGGACACAAAGAGAAATGGGGAACAGCTGGTCACTGGAGCAGTGAGAACACACGCAACATTTATTGATTAAATTCGCTGTTTTATGGGCTCGGTTCATGGTGCTCCAAAACAATTATAATAGTAACATCAAACATCACTGTTCACAGGTCACCATAACAGATATAATGATAATGATAATAATAATAATGTTTGAAATATTGCAAGAATTACCAAAATGTGACTCAGAGAAACAATAAAGTGAGCACATGCTGTTGGAAAAATGGTACTGATAGACTTGATCCATGCAGGGTTGCCACAAACGATTAATTTGCAAAAAAAACAAACAAAAGAACATGCAGTATCTGTGAAGCACAATAAAGCATACTGCAAATAAAATGTGTGCCTGTCCTGTATTAACTTTGTTACTATTTAATCTAGCATTTCCCAAAATGTGTTTCTTGGAATACAACTAGTCTTATGATTCCCCTAACCTGAACTGGTTCTCTGGGAATGCACCCACAGGAGGATAGGTCCTTGGGTGATCTTGGCCAATCCAGCTCTCCCTGCAACTTGTAGTTCTCAGAATAACCGAGAATGCAACTTTCTGAGATAGAGAGGTGATGTCCAGAATAATCCATATTGTGTCCTTGTTCCTCCCAGAACAGGGTGTACTGCAGCGCTTGTTCTCAGTGATCCTAGTGCCACCTAGAGTATAAAACCCAGAGCACAGTGCTTTCAGTGTCCCTCAGCTGCAGTGGAATGTGGAGCACACACAGATAAGACCCTTTCCACACTCAGCAGCTTTCTTGAGCCTTAGAGGACTGGCTTGCTGTGGATCCTAGGCTTCTATTTATTCCTGCTGCTCATCTATCTGTGCATAGTAAATCTTTGTCTAGCCTGTGTGAGTGTTCTGTCTCTCTCACCAGACTCATGCGATTGGTAGAGAACCTTTGCGACAATTTTGGGAGACATGTAAAATATATCCTTGGTGAAAAATCCCAAAATATATTTGCATATTAAGTGTTTAGAGAAGGTTTTCTGTACCTATTACTTAAACCTATTGAACTTTTCTATAGTCCAGTACTTCTTGAAGTGTCAACTTAGCCAATTCCCATTTTCTGTGAGTTGCTTACTCCTCTGTTCACCCACAGGAGGGATTCCTAAAGCTGTACCTATTCTGTGGGGCTTTACCTCTACCTGGTCTCAGTTTATTGGATTAAGGTTGAACACCTAAACCAAAGAGACCCAATTAATAAGCTGAAGTAAAGAGCATCATGTTCTCTTTGGACACTGGACAGATGGATGTTGATGAGCTTGTGTGCAGCAGTTCTACTGGAAGTATGTACAAGGGGCTCAGCCAGCCAATTTGGACGGTGTATGTGATAAGCAGAGAAAGGCAGCAGTCTGCAGAGACTGCAGAATGAAAAAAAAAAAAAAAAAAAAAAAGCAGAAACCCAGAGAGAAATCAGACAAAAGACCAGGTGGTGGGCAGGGGTCTGGGGATTATCCAAGCTTAAAATTCAGGGTCTCTAAACTTGAACAGCCTGATTTCAAAGCTGTGGGCCTAGCAATGTGTTCACATAGCAATTTGGCTTTGTAAAATTTATAAAAGTAAGATATTTTAACCACAATAGCTTGAGTCTATTGTCTCATTTCACCCTGATTTTCCCTCTATCATACTTTTTTTTTTTTTTTTTTTAACTATCTGGTGGTGTTGAAATTGCCATATATATCTTTGGGAACAAATCACAAATTGAACTGAGGATATATTTTTTGGCATCTAGCAGGATATATATTTGTAGATCACAGTTACTTCCATACAGTTAAGCTATTTCCAGCCCTTGTAATGTAAGAATGGCATTCAGGAATAGTCCCTAGTCCCACTGTGCCAACCCTATCTTGTGATGCCAAAGATGCAGGGCCTGAGATCTCCTAATATGTCTTACAGTAACCAGCACTGAAAGTATTTAAGTAGTGGAGGAGAAGCAAGTTTTAAACAGGTTTCATCAGCTAAGCCACAAGCTGGTCTATGGAAAATTCTTCAGTCATCAAATACGTAAAATTTTAAGCAGAAGGTTGGTACTCACTTCCAATCAGAAGTGGAAGGAATATATATGTCATGCATTTTTTTTTGAGACAGAGTCTCACTCTGTTGCCCAGCATGGAGTACAGTTGTGCAATCTTGGCTCACTGCAACTGCCACCTCCTGGGTTCAAGTGATTCTCCTGCCTCAGCCTCCCAGGTAGCTGGGATTACAGGTGCCTGCCACCATGCCTGGCTAATTTTTTTTTTTTTTTTTGTATTTTTAGCAGAGACGGGGTTTCACTATGTTGGACAAGCTGGTCTCCAACTCCTGACCTCTGGTAATCTGCCTACCTTGGCCTCCCGAAGTGCTGAGATTACAAGTGTGAGCTACCATGCCCAGCCAGTCGTGTGTATATTTTACAATATGACGTATGAATGGTAAGTGTGACCTCAACTCCCAGAAAGGTAAAATAAGGGCCTCTGAAAATCTACTCCTCCATAAAAGCAACAGGAACACTGGGAAATTGTCAAAATTAACTTTTTCAGATCTCTGGAAACTAACTAAAAGCTTATAACAATCCAAGAAGTAGTTATTTAAGACAAATGGCTGAATCTCATAACAATGAGACTTGAGGTGTTTTAACTCTTCCTAATCCCTTCTCACTCTCTCTAGCTTTATAGTAGCCTTAAAAACCAACAGCTTCACAACTATGGTAGCTGTGAAACCCACCAGCCCACTGTCATTGGAGAAGTCAGAACAGGTTAAGAGGTCCTCAAAAGCCTCATCCCTAGGGTGTTTTTAGTGTTCAGCCTGTCTGGCACCTTACTGAAAAGCTCCGTTCTCAGGGCTTGTATTTATTTGACATGAATCAGAGCTCACTTTGTGCAAACAGCTCCGCCAGCAGGGAATTTGACAAAGACAATAAGCAGCAGTTGTTTAATATTGTAGCTGCCTAAGGCAGTATTGCCATTTAGGGCTTTCAAAATGCTGACCTAAACACTTAAATGGAAAAACTGAGTATATTAGTCAGGATTCTCCAGAGAAACAGAACCAATAAGATGAATGGATGGATGGAAAGATAGATAGATAGATAGATAGATAGATAGATAGATAGATAGATAGATAGATGATACATACATACACACATGTATACATACATATGTCACAGGATCCTTAGGGTGTTGCTTCACCAGCCAGAAACCTCTGTGGCTAGTGGTACCTTCTGCCTGAATATTGCTTGCACCTGCTGGACTTGTTTTGCCCACTCGGCCTGGCAAGCTGTGCTCAGCTCAGGCTACCGGCCCGGATCCCACACCTGCCAACAGCAAACCAGGTTCAGAATGGTGAGGAGTGTGTGGGCCAGTGAGCGTGGGGTCCGGCCACTGTGCACAGCCAGGCAGGCTGGCTACTGTGGCAAGGCAGGCAGCTCCAGGCGCCAGCACAGGTGCTGGCTCCGTGCGAGGCTGTGGCTGGTCCAAATGTTCTGTGTGCAGATTCTGTTGCAGACACCCACATCTGGATGAAGGGAACACAGTGGCACCCGGAAGCTTGGAGATGCCAGGAACCACACAGCCCTAAAGAGGGTGTCACAGCCCTGGCTGGGGAGTCCCTAGGTCTGGGCTTCCCGAAGGGCCACAGCTCTTCTCTCCTTCTTGTTGTCCATAACATGGCAAGCAGGGGGGCGTGTTTCATGCCTGTTTGTGTTATAGCTCTTTCAGTCCTGTCATTTGTTGGGTCTTGAGCTCTTATCCTGAATCCAGGAAGAATGAGGTAAGCAAGCAAGGTGGAGAGGGCAAGCAAGGTGGAGAGGAGCTTCATTGAGTGACAGAACAGCTCTCAGGAGACCTGAAGTGGGTAGCTCCTTTCTGCAGGTAGGTCATCCTGATGAGTGTCCAGCTCTCAGTGGAGAGGAGACCCATAGTGGGTAGCTCTTTTCTGCAGGCAGGTCATCCTGATGAGTCAAGGAGACTCGAATTGGATAGCTCCTTCCCACAGCTTGTAGTCTTGAAATCTGTGTGAGTCTGGGGTTTTTATGGGCTTCAGAAAGGAGGAAGTGTGTGCTCATTGGTCCATGGGCAGCCATGGGTGGGCCCAGGAAAAGCACCGTAAGTTCTCACTCTGGGCCACAGACTCTACCCAGAACTGGCAGCCTGGCCCCCAGGCTTCAGGCCATTCTTGGCTCGAAGGAGGGGCTTTACTGGGGACCTGCCCCTTCCCATCCAGGAACCTGTCTGCCTCCTGCCCTCATCAACATGTCATCCATGGCACCTTGGCTGTCCACACTGAGGGGTGTCTGCAGGCCCATGCCAAGCTGCCCTCAGTCACTGCCCCTCCCATCTCCCTCCCATGCTCTTTGGCGCCCAAAGTCTGGAGGGGGCTGAGGTGGCTGGGGGCTGTTGTGTCAGCACCACCCTGAGCCCATGTACAGCTGGCCAGGTTATGACAATGCCCAGGCTCAACCACAACTTTGCTCTGCCCCAGAGCAGGTGCTGGGAGCAGGGAGAGGCCACAGAGCAGGAGCAGGCACTTCCAAGCCTGCGGGAGCAGGGGAGCTTCCCAGTCCCTGAGAGCACAGGGATGCCCAGGTCTGGAGTTGTGGCTGGGTGGCTACAGCTGTGCCCCAGAGCATGGTGCTCCTAGCCTACCAACTTGGTAAGGCAAGGAGCTCCCACCTATTCCTGGCCCCTGCTAGCTCTGGGGAGTGCACAGCCCCAGCTGCACTTCCCCCACTGCAGCCTGTGTCTTCACAGTGTGGCCACTCCAGATGGTCTGCTGCTGCTATCACATATACATACATAAATGCATGCATACATACATACATAAATATACACAGATTTGTTATGGGAATTGGCTCATACAATTATGGAGGCTAAGATGTCCCAAGATGGGTTGTCTGCAAACTGCAAAACCAGGGAAGCTGTTGGTGCAATTATCTGAGTACAAAAGCCTAAGAACCAGGGGAGCAGATGGTTTAACTCTCAGTCCTAGGCTGAAGGCCTGAAAAACTGGAGGGACTGCTTATGTAAGTCTGAGTCCATTTGCCTGAGAATCTGGAGTTCATTTTTTTTTTTTTGAGACGGAGTCTCACTCTCTCGCCCAGGCTGGAGTGCAGTGGCTCGATCTTGGCTCATTGCAACGTCCACCTCCCTGGTTCAAGTGATCCTCCTGCCTCAGACTCCTGAGTAGCTGGGACTACAGGCATGTGCCGCCATGCCTAGCTAATTTTTGTATTTTTAGAAGAGACAGGGTTTCACCATGTTGGCCAGGCTCGTCTTGAACTCCTGACCTCAGGTAAGGTTCCTAAGGTCCCTCCCAAAGTGCTAAGATTATAGGCGTGAGCCACCACGCCCAGCTGAGAATCTGGAGTTCTGATGTCTGAGGGTACGAAAAGATGGCTGTTTCAGCTCAGAGAGAGCAAATTCAAACTTTTTCTGCTTCTTTGTTCTATCTGTCATCAATGGTTTGAATGACCTGCCTACATTGGTGACCGCGGGTCTTCTTTACTCAATCTACTGATTCAAATGCTTAATGTCTTCTGGAAACATCCTCACAGTATTCCTAGAAATAATGTTTTACCAGTTACTGGGTATCTTTAACCTAGTCAAATTGACACCTTAAATTAATCACCACATTAGGTAATGAGATGTCCATAGTTGGCTTTGAAAACTATGACATATATTTGGGAATCTAGAAGGCCAGGAGAAACCTGAGAAGGCCTGAAACTCTTACCTCTGGTTGACTTTTGTGGCTCTATGCAAGCAACAAGTGACAGGTAAGGCAGAATTATAAGCTGCCTGCTGGAGCATTAAAGGTGCAACCCAACACACACATAGAACCCTTTGGCAGAGTAAAAGAATTATTGTTTTAAGTGATTTTTTATATAAAAAGGATTATACACCATGACCAAGAGGGATTTATCCCAGGAATGCAAGGTTGGTTTAACATATGAAAAATCAATCAATGTAATATATATTATATTAATAGCATAAAAAACAAAAATAACATGATTATAGATGTGGAAAAGGCAGTTGAAAAAATCTGGCACCCTTTCATGACAAGAACATTCAGTAAATTATGAATAGAAGGGAACTTCCTCAACCCATTAAAGGGCATCTATGAAGAACCCACAGCTAATATCATACTTAATGTTGAAAGACTGAAAATTTTCCCTCTAATATTAGGAAGACAAAGATGTCTCATGTCTCCACTTCTATTCAACATTGTACTGTAGGTTCTAACCAGGGCAATTATGTAAGAAAAAGAATTAAAAGACATTAAGCTTGGAAAGCAGGAAGGAAAACTATCTTTATTCACAATTGACGTTAACTTATATATAAAAAATACTAAGGAACACACGCACACACATGCACACGCACACACACATACACACACACAGCATTAGAGCTAATACAAATTCAGCAATGTTTCAGGATACAAGATCAAGATACAAAAATCTGTTGTTTTTCTGTGTACTAACTTAAAAAATAATAAATATGAAAATGGAATTAAGAAAATATTCTATCATAGCATAAACAAGAATAAAATAGGAATAAATTTAACAAAGGAAGTACAAGGCTTATACACTGGAAAATATAAAACATCATAGAAAAAAATTAAAGAAGACCTAAATAAATGAAAAATATCCCATGATAATGGAGTGAAAGACTTAACGTTGTTAAAATAATAGTACTCTCCAAGTTGATCTACAGATTCAATGTAATTATTATCGAAATCCCAACTCCTATTTTTTTTTCACAGAAATCAACAAGATAATTCTAAAATTAATATGGAAACACCAAGAGGCCAGGCATGGTGGCTCCCACCTGTAATCCCAGTACTCTGGGAGGTCGAGGCTATTCGATCACTTGAGGTCAGGAGTTCGAGACCAGCCTGCCAACATGGTGAAACACCATCTCTACTAAAAATACAAAAATTAGCCAGGAGTGGTGGCATGCATCTGTAGTTCCAGCTACTGGGGAGGCTGAGGCAGGAGAATCACTTGAACCTGGGAGGCGGAGGTTGCAGTGAGCTGAGATTACACCACTGCACTCCAGCCTGGGTGATAGAGCAAAACTCAGTCTAAAAGAAATGCCAGGAACTCAGAATAGTCAAAACATTTTGAAAGAAAAAGGCAAAGTTGAAAAATTTTAAACTTCCATATTTTAAAACTTACTACAAAGTTAATATGTAGTACTAACATAAGAATGCAAGTATAGATCAACGGAATAGAATTGAAAGGCCAGAAATAAATTCTTGTAGTTATGGTAAATTGATTTTCAAGAAGAGTGTCAAGACCATTTAATGAGAGAAGGAATATTTTATTTTTCAACAAATTATGTTAATATAACTGGATAGCCACATGCAAAAGAATGAATTGAGATCCCTATCTCACATCATATACAAAAATTAAATGGGAACTAAATATAAGAGGAAAAACTGTAAAACTCTTAGAAGAAAACATATGCTTAAATCTTTGTGACTTTGGTTTGGGCAGTGGCTTCCTAGGCACCAAAAGCACAAGCAACAAAAGAAAAAAATAGATAATTTGGACTTCATAAAAATGAAAATCTTTTGTTCTTCAAAGGATACCATCAAGAAAGTGAAAAGTCAGCCCATGGAATCACAGGAAATATTTGAAGATCATATATTGGAAAAGGAACTTGTGTCCAGAATATGAAAAAACACCAATAACCCAATTTAAAAATGGGTAAAGGATCTTAACAGACATTTCTCCCCAGAAGACAGACAAATGGCCAATAAGCACATGAAAGATGCTCAGTTCCGTTAGTCATCTGAGACTAAATAAAAAAATAAATCAGAACTACAAGATACCACTTCACACCCACTAGGGTGACTGTAATTTTAAAAATGTATAATAACAAGTGTTGGCAGGATGTGGAGAATTTGGAATGCCCATACATTACTCATGGGATTGTAAAATGATGCAGCCACTTTGGAAAACAGTTCAGCAGTTCCTCAAAATGTTGTTTTTTTTTTAAAAAGGAATTATTATATGACCCAGGAATTCCACACCTAGATATATATACAAGGCAATTGAAAATATGTCCACACAAAAATGTGGGCACAGACGTTTGTAACACTGTTACTCATAATAGCCAGAAAGTGAAAACAACTCAAATGTTTATCAATTAATGACTGGATAAACAAAATGTGGTATATTCCATATAATGGTAATGTTCCATAACATGGAACATTAGTCATTACTGAATCATAAAAAGAAATTAGATTCTGATACATGTATAATGTGAATGAACTTTTAAAACATTATGCTAAGTCTAAGAAGTCAGACACAAAAGACCACAACTTACGTGTTTCATTCACATGAAATCCCCAGAATAAACAAATCCAAAGAGATGGAAAGTAGAATATTGTTTGCCAGGGATTGGGGGTGGTAAGGAGGCAATGAGAATTTGCTACTTATACGTATGCTTTTTTTTTTTTGGAGTGATAAAAACGTTCTGGAATTAGATGGTGGTGATAAATGCACAACTTTGTGAGTATACTAAAAACCACTGAATTGTATATTGTAAAGGGGTAAACTTTATGGTATGCAAATTATATTTACTATAGCTGTTTTTATTTATTTTTTTGAGATGAGATCTCACTGTCACCCAAGCTGGAGTGCAGTAATGTGATCTCAGCTCACTGCAAACTTCGCCTCCTAGGCTCAATTGATCCTCCTGCCTTAGCCTCTAAGTAGCTGGGATTACAGGTGTGTGCCACCACGCCCAGCTAATTTTTGTATTTTTTGTAGATACGGAGTTTTGTAATGTTGCCCAAGCTGGTCTCAAACTCCTAAGTTCAAGTGATCCACCCGCCTTGGCCTCCCAAAGTGCTGGGATTATAGGCATGAGTCACTGTGCCTGGCATATTTTTAAAAATTATAAATGCAACTTTTTCTTCATTTTTGAGGGGAAATGCATGAAATAGAATTTATCAGAATTACTATGTTTTTATAACAGTACTACCAACAGTGAGTTTGTCTATGTTTGAAGTTTCATATTTTATACATCCTGGCATATTGGACCACATCTTGACAATATAATGCATCATGTCCTGATAAAGTCTTGCGATCCCAGAAGCACATGTGATTGAGAATGAATTAGTATCTAGGATATAAAAAAATGCTTACAAGTCCATAAGAAAAACATCTTTAAAAAAGGACAAAATAAATAATTAGAAAATGTACTCAAAAGGAAATTGGAATGACCAATAAACATATAAAAATGTGTTCAACATCACTAGTAACCTAAGAAGTGCATGTTAAATCCAAAATGAGATAGGCTGAGTTGGGCAGATCACTTGAGGTCTGGAGTTCGAGACCAGCCCGGTCAACATGGTAAAACTCTGTCTCTACGAGAAATACAAAAAAAATTTAGCTGAGTGTGGTGGTGGTTGACTGTAATTCCAGCTACTCGGGAGGCTGAGGCACAAGAATCACTTGAACCTGGGAGCAGAGGTTGCAGTGAGCCAAGATTGCACCACTGCACTCCAGCCTGGGCAACGGAGCGAGACCTCAACTCAAAATAAATATAAAAAAACAAAATGAGATAGGTTTTGGCATCCATCCATCCATCTGATTGACCAAAATTCTACAGGGATACAATACCAAATATTACTAAGGATATTTAGCATTTATCCATTGCTGGCAATATTATAATTTGGCACAGTCACTTTGGACAACAATTTGACGAAATCTAGTAAAGCTGACAATGCATACTCCCTAAGCAACTTCACACCTAGACTGGGCATATCTACAAGGAGAGATATATGGGAATAGCACATTCATGGCAGTATTTTTTGGTTGTAAACAATCTAAATGTCCACTTATAGGAAAATAATAAAGAAGGCACACTGTACCATAATTATATTGCAGTAAAAAATGAGTTAGAGCCATAGGAATAAACATAGATTCAGTAACATAATATAGAGGAAAGAAAGTAAGATGCATAAAGATGCACCATTATGAAGCCATTAAAATGGTGTTGAAGTGTAAGAAATAGTAAACCAATGTATTGTTTAGAAATTGACACATCGGTAGTAAAAGTATTATTTTTTAAAAAGTATGTGAATGATAAACACCAAATTAGTATAATGGTTAGCTACGTGAGGAAGGGAGATGGGTGAATTTTAGGTTGAGTTCACTTGAAGCTTCGACACTTTGGGTAATGTGTGTTTTATTTTTGTTTTGTTTTTCTTAAGCAAGATGCTAGGTACATGGTTATTATGCATTTTGCATATCTAATCATCTAATTATATAATATTAAGTTTATCTATATTAAATTTAATTTATATACAAAAACCAAAACAAATGAATGATTAGCAAAAAAAAAAGGGCAATAAACATGGAAACTAGGAATATTCAAAGTGTTACCACTCTAAAAACGAACATCACCATCCTTATGTCACTTTAAGCTTATGATTCTGACATTGTTTATAGTCCAGAATCTAAATTATTTCCCAGTTATTTCCTTTTTAAAAATTTGTACTTGGGAATATCCCAGTTTTATCAGTCTCAAACTGCATGGTCCAGTAGTTGCTTATTTCTTGTCTCTTCTTTTTTCTCAGATCAGAAATTAACATTTTCTCCTACGTATTATATATCTGCTCCATCAGAAACAATCTTCCTTATATTTTATATTATTTTATTTTTCATAGGATATTTGCATATTTATTATTTCTTATGATATTTTACATGTGTTTCTCTTTTAAGGATGGGAATATAATCATAGAAAGGCTAAGCCATTTTTCCAAAGTCACTTTGCATGTGGTTGAAGCATGATTAAATTTCAGGTTCTAATTTTTAGTCCACTGGGACACTAACTACTCTTTTCTCCACCAAGTGTCACAGCTTCAATATTTCTGCTCATGTCAAAAGGTGCTCCTTATGGGGGAGGGGATGGGGAACGTGGATGGGGGGAAAGAGGAGCATGTCTGCCTACTCTCACTTAACCAGCCAAAACATTTTGCTTCTTTCCCAGACATCCACTCCTTTTACCTCTCGAAATAGCTCTGCCCCAAGGAAGGAGTAGCTGCTAATCTAATTGGTCAGAGCCTAATAGTCATTGGGTACCATTTTACTAGTGGGTAGAGTCACTATGCATTTAAAGAACGGCACCCACACTCATCACTCATTATCTAATTCTATGAAGTTGAAAAATGCCCAGGCAGGGCTTGTATCTGTTGGGCAGGTCTATTTATTTGAGCTTCTTCCAGCCTGCAATTTGATGTGTAAGTCAGGCTGAGCTCTGCCCCTCTGACACGGCCATTTCTGATTTAGGGGGTGCTGGCCAGGGTGGGAGGCTGTCTGCCGAGTTGCATTCTCCACTCTGGCTCTGCCAGAGTTCTGCCTTGAGGGGCTGTGAGTGCTTCTCTAGCTGTTCATAAAATGGTATTTTCTCCCTTCTGACTCTTGCTTCTCACGTCTACGGGTGGCTTTTATACTTGGGTACCCTGCCTGGTAGGGCAGTGGGTTAGTAGTAGGATTCTCAAAACTCAACTCTAAACTATTAATACCGTTTAGCACCCAAATTGGCACATATTGTTCAGCAATGCCTCCCTTCTCAGTGAAAACAAATTGTCATTACTCTTTTTTGCCCTGGCATGACTGGGGAATAAACATTCTCTTTATTCTTCAGGACTCAAGGGTAATATATAATGCTTCCTACTCTGTCCATTTTACTATTTTTTTTTTTTTTTTTTTTTTGAGACGGAGTCTTGCTCTGTCGCCCAGGCTGGAGTGCAGTGGCATGATCTCGACTCACTGCAAGCTCCGCCTCCCGGGTTCATGCCATTCTCCTGCCTCAGCCTCCCGAGTAGCTGAGACTATAGGCGCCCGCCACCACACCCAGCTAATTCTTTTGTATTTTTAGTAGAGATGGGGTTTCACCGTGTTAGCCAGGATGGTCTCGATCTCCTGACCTCGTGATCCGCCCACCTCAGCCTCCCAAAGTGCTGGGATTACAGGCGTGAGCCACCATGCCCGGCCCATTTTACTACCTTTTTGTTTTGTTTTATCTATTTCACCAGCTACCATAGCTTTATCACATATAACTGTCAGAAAATGACTGTGATAAAAGATAATAGGAGTTTGATGTGACATAAAAGAATAACTTGAATAGGAGTGAATGTTTCTTGATAAATACAATTGACACTGAGTGATTTCCCTCCTAGAAATAATTCATTTACATTCATCATAACAACCAATAACGGAAAACACAAGTTTGGTCTGCTTTTTTATTTCAATTTTATTTAGATTAATGTTAAATGGTTGTCACTATTTCTGTTAGATTATATCTCTTAAAATAAAATGCTTTGAAATTATTTAGTATATGCTTTTGTCTAGCAAATAGAATTTTATCATTGCCAACAAAAGAGAATTACCCATGGCTGTGAATGTTCACATATGGAAAGAGCCCCAGAAAATTGCCTTGATCCCCAATTCCTGCCCGCAAGGCTCACAATCATATAAAGTAAGAAAATGAGGGATTTAAGCTGATAATTAGTTTTAAGTATTTAAGCCATGTTTTCCTTCAGTAAAATAGACAAAAACTACCATTTAGTGAGCACTTACTGTGCGCCAATCACTGTGTTACGTATTTTCTCTATATAGTCTCCCTTTACCTTCACATGCCCCTCTGAGCTTGGTGCTGATAATTTGGGATTTGTGAAAATTAAGAACATCTGCTCTTCAAAAGGCACTGTTAAGAGGACGAAAGGACGAACTACAGTGTGGGAGAAAATATTTCCAAATCACATACTGATAAAAGTCTTGTATCCAGAACATATAATGAACTCTCAACTCAGTAAGAAAAAAAAAACCATTTGGGGAAAATATGGGCCAAAGATTTGAGGAGATAATTCTCCAAAGAATATACATAGGTAGGAAAAAATCACATGAAAAGATGCTCAACATTTTTATTTATCAGGGGAATACAAATTAAAACCACAGTAAGATGCCACTTTACACCTGAAAGAATATCTAAACTTAAAACAGTTGACCATATCAAGTGGTGGTGAAAATATGGAAGCACTGGAGCTCTCATACACTGCCAAGTGGGAATGCAAAATGTACAACTACTTTGGAAAGCAGTTTGGCAGTTTCCTAACAATATGCCTCCGATATGAATTAGCTACTCCACTCCTAGGTATTGACCCAAAAGAAATGAAAGCATACGTCTTTACAAAGACCTGTATGTAAATGTTCAAACAGATTTATTTATAATACCCAAAAACTGAAA
This sequence comes from Homo sapiens, assembly GCF_000001405.40. Taxonomy (NCBI): domain Eukaryota; kingdom Metazoa; phylum Chordata; class Mammalia; order Primates; family Hominidae; genus Homo; species Homo sapiens. Next base: position 23,088,332 of record NC_000007.14, on the reverse strand, counting down.
ACAACCCACTATCCATTAGTAGGCAAAGGGATTTAAAAAAGGACTGTATCCATATAATGGAATATTCTGCAGCAATAAGAAGGAATGAACATACAACAAATGCATAAATATCAAGATAATTATGCTGAGTAGAATAATATAGACAAAAAGTACACATTGTATCATTCTATAAATGTACACATTTATAGAAAGTTCTAGAAGATGCAAACTAATATTTAGTGACAGAAAGCAATCAGTGGTTGCCTGGGACATGGGTTTAAGAAAAGGAGGAATAAGAAGATAGGATTAAAAAGATGTATGAAGCCAGGTGCAGTGGCTCACACCTGTAATCCCAGCACTTTAGGAGGCCGAGGCAGGTGGATCACTTGAGGCCAGGAGTTAGAGACCAGCCTAGCCAACATGGTGAAAACCCATTTCTACTAAATGTACAAAAATTAGCCAGGCGTGGTGGTGCTTGCCTGTAATCCTAGCTACTTGGGAGTCTGAAGCATGAGAATTACCTGGACTCGGGAGGCAGAGGTTGCAGTGAGCCGAGATTGTGCCACTGCACTTCAGCCTAGGCAATAGAGTGAGACTTTCTCTCTCAAAAACAAAAAAGGATAGAGAAAGCATTTTGGGATACGGATATGTTCATGATCTTGATTGTGGTGATGATTTAACGGGCGCAAAAATTATCTAATTGTACATTTTAAATATATGCAGTTTATTTTATGTCCATTATACCTCAATAAAATTGTTTTTTAAAAAACAACTATGAGGCCATGGAGGCTTTTGTACATTTGAGCAATAAATGTTATTTGAACTGCCTTAGTACTTTTAAAAGCACCTAAAGATTTAACAGATTTAAGCTGGTAACAAGCTTGGAGATATTGGGATCACTTTTTGTTTGTTTGTTTGTTTGTTTGAGACAGAGTCTTACTCTGTTGCCAGGCTGGAGTGCAGTGGCACAACATCGGCTCACTGCAACTTCCGCCTCCTGAGTTTAAACAATTCTCCTGCCTCAGCCTCCCGAGTAGCTGGGACTACAGATGGTGTGCCACCACGCCCAGCTAATTTTTGTATTTTTAGTAGAGACGGGGTTTCACCATGTTGGCCAGGCTGGTCTCGAACTCCCAACCTTGTGATTCACCTGCCTTGGGCTCCCAAAGTGCTGGGATTACAGGCTTGAGCACTGCGCTCGGCTGGGATCACTTTTTAAAAGGAGCTTTATATATATATATAAAATGACAATGGAATCCTAGGTTTTGGAAATCTTTATCAATATGACATACAAAAAAAAAAGACTTTTCAGTGTTATTATTTTTGAGACAGTGTCTCACTATGTCACCAGGAGTACAGTGCCACAATTATAGCTAACTATCTTCTGGGCTCGAGCAATCCTCCTGCCTCAGCCTCCTGAGTAGCTAGGACTAGAGGTGTGCACTGCCATGCCCAGCTAATTTTTCTTTTTTTGTTGTTTTTGTAGAGACAGGGTCTCACTATATTGCCCAGGCTGGTCTCGAACTCCTGGTCTCAAGCAATCCTCCCACCTCCTTGTTATTTTTAAAATTCTTAATGAGATTAGGCATGTTTTCATACATTTATTGACTATTTGTATTTTTTCTTCTGTGAATTGCCTGTTTATATTTTTGTTCATTTTTCTTTTGGATTTTTTTTTCTTATTGACTTGTAAGGATTTTTGGTTGAGGTAGATTTCAGACAAACTGAGTTGGAGATAATGTACATATAAAAATGTCCAGTAAGTCATTGAAGATGCAGGATGAGGTCTCCAAGGAAAATAAAACAAATGAGCAAAAGCAGATTATGAAATCAGAGCCCAAGGAAGAAACAGATCCAGTGGAGGCAAAGAAGTATTCAGAGTGACCTGGAAAAAACATGTCCTTATATGACCCTTACCAGTCACAGGTCCTTTTACTATCCAATTTAGCGTGCATGCTTGACTGCAGGAAGTCCGTCTTTTTTTTTTTTTTTTTTTTTTTTTTTTTTTTTTTTTTTTTTTTTTTTTCTGAGTTTTCCTTCCCAAGTATTTCCAAAAAGCCCCAGGGGTGCTGAAACATGTCCAGGTGTCTGTTCTTCTAGCTATTATTTTCCTCTTGGCAAACACCAAACTCAGTGCGCCCCCTTGGGGCTAAAGGGTTCCACAGAGCTACTCCCATGCTGTAACTCCAGAACCTGCTGCTCATGCACTGTTGAGTAAGACACCCAGTGACCTTCTGAAGCCCTGGTGTCAGAGGCATTTGAACCAGAGCACTGTGAGAGTATGTTTCCTTTTCTATGTCTGATTTGGCTCTATGTAAAGATAAGTTTGGTCATTTCTCTGAAGATCCAGGAAAATTCATAGATGAGTTTGAGAAATTAACTCTCACCTGTAGTTTAACTTGGCAGAATCAGCATGTTTTGTTGTTTCTGTGTTGTACAGTGGAAGAAAAACAACACCTTTTTTTTTTTTGAGGCAGAGTCTTGCTCTGTCATCAGTCTGGAGTGCAGTGGCACGATCTTGGCTCACCGCAACCTCTGCCTCCTGGATTCAAGCGATTCTCCTGCCTCAGCCTCCCGAGTAGCTGGGACTACAGGTGCGCACCACCATGCCCAGCTAATTTTTATATTTTTAGTAGAGACAAGGTTTCACCATGTTGGCCACGATGGTCTCGGTCTGTTGACCTGGTGATCTGCCTGCCTTGGCCTCCCAAAGTGCTGGGATTACAAATGTGAGCCGCCGTGCTCAGCCAAAACAACACATTTTGGGGACAGCTAGGACCCATGCAGATGAGGTATTGGCTCGTAACCCTAACCATAATATATATCAGGCAGGAGGTATAGCAGTTCCAGATCAAGATCCAGGGTGGAACTATCAAAGGTGCAGTGACGACTTGGGGAGTAGAGATAATATGGTCTCTTGTTTGTTGGAAGGGATAAAGAAATGTATGAAAAAGCCTGTTAACTATGAAAAGGTTAAGGAAGTTTCACAGGGCAAAGACGAGAATCTAGCTTTGTTTCAAGGGGGTTTAGTTGAGGCAATCAGGAAATATACTAACACTGATCCTGCCTCAAGGGAAGGACAAACCCTTTGGGAGTACACTTTATATTCCAGTTTGCCCCTGATATCCACAGGAAACTGCAAAAAGCAGCTATGGGTCCCCAAACTCCTATTGAACAGGTTTTGTGTTGTTTTTTTTTAAGACGGATTTTCACTCTTGTTGCCCAGGCTGGAGTGCAATGGCATGAGCTCGGCTCACTGAAACCTCTGCATGCTGGGTTCAAGTGATTCTCCTGCCTCAGCCTCCCAAGTAGCTGGAATTACAGGTATGCGCCACCATGCCCAGCTAATTTTTTTGTATTTGTAGTAGAGATGGGGTTTCACCATGTTGCAGGCTGGTCTCGAACTCCTGACCTCAGGTGATCCACCCACCTTGGCCTCCCAAAGTGCTGGGATTACAGGCATGAGCCACTGTGCCTAACCTAGAACAGCTTTTGGATATGGCATTTTAAATTTCTAATAACAAGGACAAAGTAGAGGAAGCAGAAAGAGCAAGAAGGACCTCCCACAAGGTGCAGCTCTTGGTTGCAGCCTTAAGCTCACCTCCCACATGGAGTTGCCCTCCTGGCTCTTGGACTGAACAAGGGAAGCTGAAAGGTAGGAAACCCAAAGCTGGATGTCCAAGTCACTGTGCCTTAGGCATGAATCAGTGTGCACACTGTAAGAAAACTGGCCACTGGAAGAAGGATTGCCCAGTGTTCTGAAGGGAGCCATCAGCACCTGAACCAATGATGGCAGAAATAGCCAGGCAAGCCCAAGAGTGATGGGGCCTCAGACCTTCTGCCACAGCTTCTGTTGGACAGCTAGCCATATCTCTGGAGGAGCCTCGGTAACTCTTGATGTGGCAGGTAAGAATATTAACTTCCTTCTAGAATGCGTACTCTGTTTTGACCCATTATAATGGGACTCTGTCACCCCAAAACTGTATAGTCATGGGGATAGATGGACAAGCTCATAGATGACATTTACCTATCCTGTAAGCTCCTCTTCAGGGACTGTGGTTTTCTCCTGAATGCCGCACCCCTTGTTGGGAAGGGGTTTGTTAACTCAGCTGAAAATACTAGTATCTTTTGGAAATCATAAAGCAGACAAGAAATTGCTCCTTCTCCTTTCCTTTGAATAAATATCAGGCTTTGTTGCTAAACATCCTGATATAATTCTTTAAGTAAGCCAAACTTTGAATCAAGCTACCTATTTGCCTGAACCCAAAGGTACCCTAGATCATTCTTGCATACAAGTTATGGAGAAAGTTTACTCCAGCTGTCCGGATTTAAAAGATGATACTCTAGATAATCCTGAGTTAGAATGGTTTACAGATGGAAGTAGCTTTGTGCACCAGGGAAACAGAATAAAAAACTGCTAATACCAGGTGCTAATCAGTGGAAACTAGTTAAACATTTGCATGACTCTACTCATTTGGGAAGAAATTCCCTGTTTCAATTAATGTCTTGGTATTTAATAGGAAAGGCTTACTTAAAAGTGTAAAGCAGGTAACTAACTCAGGCCTGTGAACTGTGTGCCCAGAATAACCCAAAAAACCAGTCTTTACCTCCTCCTCTAGTAAGGCCTGTTCAGCATAGGGGAACGTACCCTGGTGAAGATTGGCAAATAGACTATACTCACATGTCCCCATGTAAAGTGTTTATTTATTAGTATTTGTTGACACCTTTACTGGTTGGATCGAGGCTTTTCCTACCTGGTCTGAAAAGGCAATTGAGGTTTCTAAACTCCTACTAAAGGAAATAATTTCTAGATTTTGGCTGCCTAAGAGCTTACAGAGCAATAATGGCCCATATTTCACAGTGACAATTACCCCAAACACATCTTCAGCCCTAGGAATTCAGTACCGCCCTCATTCGCATGGAGGCCACAGTCTTCCGGGAAAGTAGAAAGAACTAATCAAACTCTAAAAAGGACTCTTGCTAAACTACGACGTCAGAAACCTGGCTGTCTTTATTACCTGTAGCCTTATTATGGGTTCAAGTGGCCCCTAAGGGAAGTCTGCAGCTCAGTCCTTTTGAAATAATGTATGGAAGGCCTTTCTTAACTACACACCTCCTAATAGACGTAGATACTTTCAAGCTACAGAATTATGTGATCGACTTAGGACAAGTGCAAAGCACACTCCTTGATTATGGAAACCGAAGACTCCCTTCCCCCACTAAGGAAGAGAATCTTGTTACAACCCAGCCGGGAGACTGGGTCCTATTAAGAACTTGGAAGGAAGGATCCCTAGCAGATTAACTTTCCCCAAAATGGAAGGGACCCTCTTAAGTTCTCCTTAGTACCCCAACTGCAGTTAAACTGCTGAGAAAAAACAGCTGGGTCCACTTATCTTGAATTAAACCTGTCTCTTAGGAAGTCCCACAGGCCTAGGGAACCCAAGTGATCTCGTTTATTCCTGTGAGACAATCGGTGACCTCTGACTCCTGTTCAGAAGAAATGAAAGGGATGGATAACATAAAGATATAGATGGGCATTCTACTTTTGGGTATAGGTTGGAATCATGCAGAGAGTAACTTATTTACCGAGTGGGCATAGACTTTAGCCTCTCTACCTAATCAGACAAACCGTTGGGTATGTGGAGATTTTAACAGCGGCCCAAGGGGGAACTTGTGCTCTGATCAAAACCAAATGAGTGTATGTTTCAGACTATTCACATAATATTATCTGGGATATGAAAGCTTTAGACACTCATATCTCTGCCATTGATGCACTGTCAGTCGACCCTATATCGGCTTGGTTCCAACAACTGCCCGGCTCTTGGAGAGCCTTCCTGTTTAGTTTACTTGGAATGATTTTACTTATTTTACTTTGCTGTTGTGGAATATATTGTGGTTGTACTCTTTGTGTAGGAATGCAAGACAAGTTTACTCAATGCTTTCTTAAATTGGACACTTATGAATCTTCCAGATATCACCTTTTGTCAGAACTTGGAGTTATGAATGACCTTCACCATACCAATGCTCTCTGACTGAGCTTCTCTCTACCCCGAATGCAAGAGACCCTAATAGTTAGGCAGGAATATAATCACCCCTATTCAGCCTGAAGAAGTTGCAGAAGACGGATCTTCATCCTTCTGCAACCCTTAGGATTAAGGGTCCTCTTGTAAAGGGTGGGGGGAGATATGTCAGAGGAAGTCAGAGTTTGAACCAGAGCAACTCCATCTTGAGTGAGGGCTGGGAAAATAAGGCTGGGACTTGCTGGGCTGCATTCTCAGAAAGTTAGGCATTCCTAGCCCCTAGATATTTATGGTTAAGGGAACAGATTAATATTGTTTACAAAACAGACCCAGACTTGGGACTGTCCAGTATCCTGATATCTGGAGAACAAAGGCATTCCTAATTTTGATTTAAATAGTATCGGCCGGCACTTTGGGAGGCCGAGGCAGGCAGATCACGAGGTCAGGAGTTCGAGACCAGCCTGACCAACATGGTGAAACCTTGTCTCTACTAAAAATACAAAAATTAGCTGGGCATGTTGGCGCGTGCCTGTAATCCCAGCTACTCAGGAGGCTGAGGCAGGAGAATCACTTGAACCCAGGAGGCAGAGGTTGCAGTGAGCTGAGATCACGCCACTGCACTCCAGCCTGGGCAACAGAGTGTGACTCCGTCTCAAATAATAATAATAATAATGTCAATCCTTGCAAAATATAGTAATTAAGAAAATCAATCCTTTATCACAAACCCTTGTAGCAGAACACATCTCCCCACATATACAAGCATTGTGCCTAGGGTGGATGCGTTCCTTCTTTTACTTTCAGGAACGTCCTACTCTATGTATGGAATAGCTGTGCTTTCACCACTTTACTTTCTTAATAAACTTGCTTTTTTGCACTGCAGACTCACCCTGAATCCTTTCTTGCTGAGATCGAAGAACCAACCCTCTCTTGGGATCTGGATCAGGACCCCTTTCCTATAATACTGGCAGTCTGGAGATGTGTGCCCTAACCAGGCCATACTCCCGTTGCCCCATGACCATCCATGCTGTGGCTACTGTTGCTGAAGCTGAACCTCAAGGTTACTGTTAAATAGGGTAAGCCAAATAACTGTGGCTCAAGCTGGGCCACCTGCTCTAATTATTACCACCAGGGTTATTGCAGATCCCAGCACAGGCTATGGTCATTCCTTATGATGTACTCTTTGGAGAGACGTACAATTTGTTGGCTAATGGGTCAACACAAAAAATGGCCCAGCCTTACCACCTTCAAACTCTTATGGTTCATGTAGGTGTTTCCTTGGGCCCCAAACCTGCCTTCAGGATGGCTGGGTTGAGAGCAGATTGACTGATGCAAGGTTCACTTTTCCCAGCTGACCTCCTAGCCTGCCTTTTTCCTGTTTTCATGGTAAAGATTTCCCAGGATCTTGCTGCTCTTCCCTGTTGCCTAATTTGGGTTAGGCCACCAAAGTCCATCAAACAAATTTGACTCAATTGGACTTGGGATGCAAAAAGACAAGTTCTCACTTCCATTCCCCTCAAGAGTACCCTCATGTGTTGAAGGCACTGATCGACACACATCCTAATTCCCAGCAGCATGTAAGTTTCCTCAGCAATGGATACGTTTGGGGGTGGCAGGAGATGTCTAAAGCTATCAAAATGTCCTGTTGCATCACAAAAGCTCCTTCTCTCACTCTCTCAGCCAGCAAAGGTAACTTGAAGGGTTGAGTCCCCAGCAGAGGCGGATTTTCTATGATGTTAATGAAGCTTAGGTGTCACTTGCCCTGGCTCCTTCCAAGTGACAGGGGAAGGTTCTTACAATGTATTCACAAGCTTATATATTTTTGTAAAATTTGTGAAAGTAAGATATCTTGTGGCTAGGCGCTGTGGCTCACGCCTGTAATCCCAGCACTTTGGGAAACCAAGGCGGGTGGATCACGAGGTCAGGAGATTGAGACCATCCTGGCTAACACGGTGAAACTCCATCTCTACTAAAAATACAAAAAATTAGCCGGGCGTGGTGGCGGGTGCCTGTAGTCCCAGCTACTCGGGAGGCTGAGGCAGGAGAATGGCTTGAACCCGGGAGGCGGAGCTTGCAGTGAGCCAAGATTGCGCCCCTGCACTCCAGCCTGGGTGACGGAATGAGACTCCGTCTCAAAATAAATAAATAAATAAATAAATAAAAAGATATCTTGTATTCTTTTTCTTAAAGAAGTTCTCTTCCCGCAATCATATAAACTTTATGCTCCTCAAAATCTGGATCCATCCCTGATTTCTGGCAAAACTTTGTGAAAAGTTGTTTGTTTTTTTAACTAAGAGGAAAAATGGCATAAAGAATCCAGCTGACCTAATAACATTTCTCCTTCTACTTCTTACTAGCTGTTATGATGCATGCAAGGAGTGTTACTTAACCTCTCTGAACCTGAGGTTCCCAGCTAGAAAATTGAGATAATAATGTATGTCATGGAGTATTACTGTAGGAATCTATTATTACCACCAGGGATATTGCAGATGGGATCATATAGTACCTAACATGGTGTTTGTCACATAATAGATAATCAAAAGTATTGTGTGTTATTGTGGTAATTATTACTTTGTTAACTGTATAAACATCTACCTTGGAGGGCTGGAAACTTATTTCGCATGTTTCCCACATTCCTGTTTATTCTCGTGTTGTACCTAGACCTGATTAAACAAAGCCTTGAACATGAAGGAAGAAGCCAGAAGAACTGGGCTCAGCCTTGAACTCTTAACTGAGTAATTAAATTGCCAAGCACTATTATCTCCTTGCTGATCTCAAATTTGAGGTGTTCTGGGTAATTACATTGCCTTGCCTTTATATATATCTATACACATATATGTACATATATATGTGTATATATATATATACAGATCTATATATAGATATATGTGTATATATATACACACATATATGTACATATATGTGTATATCTATACACATATATGTACATATATGTGTATAGATATAGATATATATATGTATGAAATCTCTAGATAGATAGATTTTTTTTCAGACATTGTCTTGCTCTGTCACCCGGGATGAAGTACAGTGGTGTGACCACAGCTTACTGCAGCCTTGACCTCCTAGGCTCAAGGGGTCCCCCAACCTCAGCCTCCTCAGTAGCTGGGACTACAGGCATGTGCCACCACACCTGGCTAATTTTTTGTGTTTTTTTGTAGATATGGGGTTTTGCAGGGTGATCTCAAACTCCTGGGCTCAAATGATCCACCCGCCTTGGCCTTTCAACTTGCTGGGATTACAGGTGTGAGTCACCCTGCCCAGCCCAGTATTATATTTTTAAAAATTCATATATAGGCAAGAAGTCTAGAAAATGTCCTTCATAACCATGCACTTTTGGGCTAAACCTTAAAGGGAAAATCTGACACTGAAAGTATAATATAAGGGTCAACATTCTTTCAAAGGTGATTGTAAAATGGCAAGTTGGTGGTCTTCAGCTTGTGTCGATATGTCAATTCAAATGCTGGTGCCCAGAAACGGAGCAGTTCTTTTTTTTTTTTCCAATTAAAGTGCCAAACATTTTAAGTCATCCAACTTCATCCAATTCTTAAGTTGAAAAAAAAAAAGTATTATTTAGTCATATCCTCAATTTAAAAGATGTAAATTATATATTAATACATAGATGCGCTAATGAAAAAGGCTCAGGAATGAAAGGCAATACTGTATCTCAAGGACCCTCAAGGAATTATTTAGGTTGATACATTTCTTATAATTACTTAGTTGGCTGTTTGCCTGTGGGTCATACACTAATTCACTGTAACCACAGCTTGTAATTGAAATGCTGTTTTAGTTAAAGAAGATAACATGACTGTGAATCCTTCTATGAAAGGATTTCAGTCCAAGGCATTTAATTCTGCTTCAGATTTGCTAGATGAATGTAAGTGTTGAATCTCCTGAGTACTTAAAATAGGTGCAGAGTATCTCACAGCCATCTTGATTCAAGTATATAAATATTTATGCAAAGCCCTAAGCTAGGCTGGGTGCTGTAATTGATTGCAAATGGAAACTTTTCTCATTATGTAAATTAGCAAACTATTTGCTTCCTTCTATTAGCTTTGCTGTTTGAAGTCATTTTCTAGTAATTTATTTAATAAAAAGAATTAGTGTCTATTGCCATAAACTACCTAACACAGTAGACACATAAATGCTGATTATATCAAATCGTTACGTGCTAAAGGGAATTTTGGATATAAAAGATATGGTCTCTGTCCCTAAGTACTTTCCAAAGTTGATGCTTAAATCCCAGTTGAGTGAACTGGACAGTGATGGTCCCCAGAATGGTGTAGCACCTAAGGCAGACTAAAAGTTGTGGCCAGAGTGATGATACAGGTGCCAGATATTCAGTTTGCACTATGTGCTAGACACTGCACTAAACAATCCACATTCATTATTTCATTCAATGGAAACAAAAAAATATGCTATAGAGAATACTACCACCCCTGTTTTACAGATGAGGAAACTGAGGCTTCAAGAGATTCAGCAATCTGCCTTAGGACACAGAGGTAGAAAGTGGCAGGCAGTCTGACTCTGGAAGCCCACACTGTTTCCTATTATACTAACCCTGAATAGAGAGGTAAGTATTTCTCCAAAAGTATCAGGCACCCATCCACTGAGTGGACCTGGGTCCCTTGGGGTAATTGGACCTTATATGACTCCCCTGTGCTGTGGCTCCTCTGGTCCCCTGTTGCAGCCATTCCTGCCTGCCTGCCCTCCCAGCACTGACTTGGCTCCATAGTTGTGACTTCCTCTCTCGCCTAACCCTGGGTGACAAGTCAGGACCCCAGCTTAGCTCTCAGCTCTTGCCTACTTGGTTGCTCTCCTTGCCTGCCTAAGCCAATGCTTTATAAATCACTCAGTCTCAGGTATTTTTTTTTATATAACAATGCAAGAATGGCCTGATACACCTCTGTAACAACTTCTGCCGTCCTATGCCCTGGGATCTTCAGGAACAGACAGTGAGGCTCCTTTCTGCCAGCTCTTTCTCCCACATGTTTATAGAGCAAGTCTGTGAGCCTGTTGTCTGGCTTCTCAAGTCACGAATGAGTGAGCTGTAAATAAAATTAACAATTAGCCTTAACCTTAGCCTTTCTATTATCAAAGGCAAATCTACTTGAAATATAAATAAGGAGAATCTGCTTTCTTCTCCTGCCTTATCTCTCACCAGCTTCCTATGCCCCTGGCTCTTGCCCTTGATGTTCCTGCCAACTGGATTATCATCATCAGCCCCCTAACCCACGGTACTATTTTTGGCTTCTGGGTCTCAGTATCTGCTGCTAGCTTCGCTGGTGCTAGCTCTACTTGTTTGTCAGGTCTAATCTCAGACGTTTCCCCTTTCAGGAAATCTTCCCAGATTCTACTGGAATGCTAAAACAAACAAACAAACCCTGAGTTACTTTCCCCTCCTTTGTGCTTCCCTATCTGAACACCTAAGTAGTGTTTTACTTCTCTGTTCACACATCAGTCTTCTCTGTTGGAATAGTCATATTAGCTGTGATAGCTGTAATTCTAACAACTAATACAGTGCCTGGCATAAACCAGATGCTTGATCAATAGCTGTTGAAGGAGTGAATTAGTTTGTTAATCTTATTTCACTTCATAGGTCAAGTTGGCTAGAGGAAGTATGCACTTTTTCTAAATTTATTCCCATTGAGCATCAGCATTCTTGTCCAGTTCATCTGAAGTGTCCATCTGCTGCCCCTCCACCCCACTCCACTTTTTAAAGGATAATTGTGTTCTTCTGAGCTTATAGAGTATTTCTTTTCATCCTTCCTCATTGTCCTTCCCCTACCTGCAAACACACACATGAGAGTGGCCCTGAAAAGTCAGTGGAAACTCTTCTCCCCCACTCCTTTCTCACTGGGGACTTGTGGACTAGGCATTCCTGGTAATTCCTTACAGCTTCTCTAGACTTATTTTCTACCCTCTTCCCCTTTGTATTTCCACCTACCTTTCTCCACTCTCTATTCCGTGAACATTTCCAGCAATAGACAAAACAAACAGACAAATTATGAAACAATCAATTTCTGAATCTCCAAATAGGTTAAGCACAGTTCCCAAGTATTCCATTGCTGGAATTCATTCCATGCCATTCCCCAACATTTAAAATCTGTTGGGAAATGGTTCAAAAAGACATCCTTTTGATCTGGAAAGATAGCAGAACATATTGAAAATACATATAGAACATATTGAAAATACATAGAAAAATTGCCTGCAAACCAAATTATAAACCAATCACTAACATTGGTTATATAGGGGATGGGAAACATTTAAACAGAAATAAAAAGGTTAAAAATATTCTCATAACCCTTCAACATAAGCCTTTCTTATTTTAAGTCTTACTACTTGTTTTAGGGAAACAAGGGGTAACAGATATAGCAAAAATAAGGAAGTTATAAATATTGCAAAGTTCTTTCAGAAAAGGCTCCTGGGTCCATTTCTCTTGGCGCAGAGCTTTGGCATTTTGCTATATTAAGACTTTGGTATTTTGTTATCTAAATGGGCCAGGGCAGGTCATTTGCTGTTTCTCTCCTTTCTGGTGACAGTTAGCTGATGAGAGGCTGGAGAGGAGAGGCCTGGGGTGCTGCCATCAACAGAAATCTCTCTCGGTCCCAACCATGAAGGTATCAAAATAATCAAGGAAGTGGTACTCCAGGGGTAAATGTTAAGATGCCTCCCTCCTTCTGCAGACAGCCTAGGAGCTAAAAAGAAAGTGACGGAGATCAAGTACCTGTGAACTTGTTAGTCTTTATGGACTGAAGGTAGTTATCTCAGATAATGTGTGGGAAAAAAAATACAAAACTTGAAAAGCAAAATCTCTGAACAAAGTTATTCATTATAGTGTGTCAAAGTTTTTTTTAAGCCACTAGTGAGGGAACTGGAAATTAGACAACTAGACAAAAGAATTGGCTTTTCCAAATGCACACACACACACACACACACACACACACACACGTATACAGTAAGCAAAAGAAAATATTTGCTAATTTAGATATAAAATTGGCTAACATTCTACAGGGCAATAAAACTATAACATCTTCGGTGTTAATTTATCTAAAGCTTATAAAACATACCACCTGATCAAATCCTTCAGGGTAACCTCTAACTTTACGGCACTGTAACACTATTGGCCCTTTTATCAGTTGTGGGTTGTTAGTCAAATATACTTTGTAAACAAAGTTACAATGCACACTAGAATCAGAAAGAATGAACCAGAACTACATGGTTTGACTCCACCTCTGGGCTAGAGAGTCTCCTTTCAGTATTAACTTTGGAAGTTTTCCAAGTTTACCTTTGAAAGGGAGCCAATATTCTTTTATACCACAATTGCTAGAATTGTACATAAAGTAGGAAAAAGCCTCGAGGAGTCATGTCTAGGGATTCAACCCATAACTTTAGCATTTGGAATGTGTTGAATCTGTTTTTGGCTGCTTAGAAACCTTTTTTACTCACCAGCTAGTTCCTCACTGAGTTCTATTTAGGCAAAATGATCATTTCTTTTCTATAATAGCTGCCTTCACAACCAAAGCTGCTTCTTTTAAATGCAAGAGTCAGAGAACTGTTGTAAAATAGGACCAAGAGAAATCTTGTTGGCAGAGATTATTTTTTCCCCTCTTTACCTTTGTATTCACATTCCTAACATAGAACCTGGCATAGCAGGCATTTAGTAAATGAAGTAAGCATATACAAACTTAGCTAGACTATAAATGCTTCTTGCTGAAGAAGTTTACCTAGTGCTGGAATGTCATGAGATTGGATGAATGGAGTTTGTGAATTGCCTATTTGAATTTCAGTATCTTTTCAGAAAGTAGGACAACTGGATATTGTGTTAACTTCACCTTTATGTCTTTGATTATGTAAAATATTTTCTAAATTTTTTCATTCATCTCTTTCTCTCCATAGATAGATAGATAGACAGATAGATAGATAGATAGATAGAGACAGAGCGAGACTCTGCCTAAAATTAAAAAAGAATTTTAGACAGAGTCTTGCCCTGTCACCCAGGCTAGAGTGCAGGGGTGCCATCTCAGCTCACTGCAACCTCCGCCTCCCGGGTTCGAGCGATTCTTGTGCCTCAGCCTCCTGAGTAGCTGGGACTACAGGCACACACCATCAAGCCCAGCTAATTTTTTGTATTTTTAGTAGAGAGAGGGTTTTGCCACATTGGCCAAACTGGTTTCAAACTACTGGTCTCAAGCAATCCACCCACCTCGGCCTCCCAAAGTGCTGGAATTGCAGGCATGAGCCACCACGTCTGGCCCATTCCTCTATATTTGTGATGATGAGTTTCCAAAATTTGCCTCATAAATGCTTCAAGAGAGACAGTAATTTAAATGTGTTCCCAAATTTGGCTGGTTTGTGATTTTTTTTATTTTTTTTATTTTTTTTTTATTTGAGACCGAGTCTCGCTCTGTCGCCCAGGCTGGAGTGCAGTAGCGTGATCTCTGCTCACTGCAAGCTCCACCTCCCGGGTTCACGCCATTCTCCTGCCTCAGCCTCCCCAGTAGCTGGGACTAGAGGCACCTGCCACCACGCCCAGCTAAGTTTTTGTATTTTAAGTAGAGATGGGGTTTCACCGTGTTAGCCAGGATGGTCTCGATCTCCTGACCTCGTGATCCACCCACCTAGGCCTCCCAAAGTGCTGGAATTACAGGCGTGAGCCACCGCGCCCGGCCTGGTTTGTGATTTTTTAAAAATTATTAATTTATCTCCTTTGGGGGCAACATTAACTTCTCAGTTAACAGAAATAAATGTAGCACTTTGTTGCTTCATAGTCAGTTGGCATTAACTGCTACTTTCTTCAGACTAGTAAGGAAGAAGCTGTTTTCAAGACTGGCATATAACAATCTCAGTTAATGGACACTTTAGTATTTCCACAAAATGTATAAAAGCATTCAAGTGTATTCTTTTCCTAGTGACACAGTCTTGGGAAGAATCTTATCATCACACAACAGCATTTAACTGTTTTGTGTGTGCATTCGTGTGTGTTTGTGTGTGTATGTGTTAGAGAGAGAGAGAGATAAAGAGAGAGAGAGATGAGATCTTAAATGTTTGACTGCCTTTGAGAAACAATCTAGATTTGATCCCAGGTCACATGAGCTCTGTGCTAAGGCACAACCAATCCCCTTTTTCCCCTCTGGCTGCCTTACAAGAAGACTGGGAGGGTTCCTGAGCCTCCTAATTCAGATTCAGCTGTATTTCACACTGACAGGCACGTTTGAGATCCCACACCATTCCAGTCCTGTAGGTGGGGCAGGATGCAATTTTGTTCTCACAAAACCTGCAACTTAAAGAGAGGAAAAAAAGGAAACACTCTAAAATCAAACGATACCTTCAATTCCATCAGGACTTGGGGAAGAAAAAAAAAGAATCAAGTGATATCTGATCCTCACAGGCAAAGATAAAAATTCCACAGTGGAAGTAGTTGTATTTCCTGCATTAGAGAAAGCTCCAGGAAATTGTGAGCCACAATTCCAGTGTCCTTTGAGACCACTGACATCTCTTTGTCCCTGTCAAGTGGGAGGTTAAAATGAATGTTTTACTTCTCCCAGTGGACTGGGGCCCATTTGAACCCGGAGGAATGGAGATTGAGACGGAATGCTTGATTTTTCTTGTTCATGGTTCATATCTTCTGTCTCTAAAGAGATATCACCGAATCCTTGTGGTTTCCTACCCTCTTCCCTTCTCTGGTTATATGTAAATAACTATACATATGAGATAAAAGCAAGGAAACAGGTTAAGGTAAAATACAACATTTCTTTTATAGCCCTTCCCCAAACCCTTCCTCACTGCATCTGGAAACCTATATCTGTGTTTTTTCAAATGAGTCTAGCATCTTTTCTTTAGCAGAAAGATAGTAAAAAGTCTTAGAGGTCAGTGAAACCCTGGACTATAAGAAAAGTAGGGCATAGCAACTTAATATGCTTGGGAAAATCAGTATGAACTCAGGACTTTAAAATGACATATTTTCCAGCCCTGTGACTTCTCAAATGAACCAGCAGCCACAGCAGGGGCACTCACTCACCACCAACTCTCATGTAGACTTACAAGGCCCAAATTTGGGTCTTTGATAATTTTCTCCACTAGAAGGAGCCTGAACTCTTTGGATTGTGGATTTCCAAGATATGAGACAGAAAAACAAAACAAAACAAAACCCTAAATCAGTCAGGAAATATTATTCTTCCATTGGGAGAAAACAAGGATTCTTAAAAAACAAACAAACAAACAAACAAAAACATTAGAGGCTGGGCATGGTGGCTCATGCTTGTAATCCCGGCACTTTAGGGGACTGAGGTGGGAGGATTGCTTGAGCCCAGGAATTCAAGACCAGCCTGCGCAACATCGTGAGATCTTGTCTCCACAAAAAATACCAAAAAATTAGCTGGGTTTGGCTGTGCATGCCTGTAGTCCCAGCAACTTGGGAGGCTGAGGTGGGAGGATCACTTGAGCCTGGGAGGTCGAGCTGTTACTGGGCCACTGCATTCCAGCCTGGATGACAGAGCAAGACTGTGTCTCAGTATGTATATATATAGTTTGTCTGCTTTGCCTTTCAGCTCTCGCTTGCTCTCTCTCGCACTCTCCCTCTCTCTCTATATGTATATGTATTAGAGTGAGTGCTGAAAGGGCAAAGGAGACAAATTAAAAGTGTTCTCATTGGCTAAGTTTTGAAAAATTAAGAATCAAAAATGATTATTTGTATTATTTTAAGTTCAAAATGATACTCAAAACAATTAAAATAAAGTGTAAGTAGAAAGGTGGTTATAAAACAAGAGAATAATGAAGACAAATAGATTTGTTCAAGTCTTATTAATGAAAGTAATTAGTAAATTAGTAAATAAGTAATTTTTAAAAGTGGGTAGCTTTTTTCAATTAATTATCTGTCTTGCTAAAAGACTATTTTTAAAAGAGAGCATTATATCTATATGACTCTCTTGGGCAGATATGAAATAAATCCATGTGGAAGATTTTACTTAACTCATTCATTTTTTTTTTTTTTCTTGAGACAGAGTCTCACTTTACTGCCCAGGCTGGAGTGCAGTAATGCGATCTTGACTCACTGCAACCTCCGCCTCCCAGGCTCAAGCAATTCTCATGTCTCAGCCTCCTGAGTAGTTGGGACTACAGGCGCCAGGCTAATTTTTTTGTATTTTTGGTAGTTACGGGGTTTCACCATGTTGGCCAGGGTGGTCTCGAACTCCTGGCTTCAAGAGATCCACCCACCTGGGCTGCCCAAAGTGCTGGAATTATAGGAGTGCGCCACCACGCCCGGCTAGATTTTACTTAACTCATTAATTAATCAGGGAACCAGTGCTATGTTACTACTTGGTCAAAGGAGGATTTAAAGAATCACCTATATATAAGCAATAAGGAATGCTAAGATAAATTTACAAATAAATGCAAAATGAATCTATCCACAAGGCAATAATCAAGTGCATTCCACTTTAGTTTCTTTTCTATGGACAAGAATCCATTGTACTACTGTCAGTTCACTACAACTTATAGAATTATAAAATAGTTCAAAGACAATGAAACCTAGAAAAATGTGCTAGACAGGGCAGCCAATCATTTTTTGTTGTCTTTCAAAATCTTTTACAATTTTTCCTGACAGCTTGTTTATGAAGTATAGAAAGGTCTTTATTTCCATATCTATGTACGGGAAAGAATAAACACAGGGAACATCGAATAAGTAGATATTTGTTTCAAGAAAGAGAACAATTGATCAACACTAGTAATCAAATGAAATAGCCAGGAAAATGAAGGTTTGACAGTTAATCAGCAGATGTAATAATCATGCAGGAACATAATGTGTTCCAAGAAAATTAAGGAGCCAGATATCCCAGAGGAATTAGCTACATAGAGTCAATCCCTTACCACCCAGGAGAAGGAAGATATTCCTACATCTTTGCTATGCAAAGTACTTGGATGGTTCAACAGCCAGTAGCAATGGCATCTCTTAATCCAGGCCCTACTCCAGCTTTACTAAACCAGAGTATATACGTTAACAAGCTTCTCAGGTGATTTGCATGCACCGTGAAGTTTGCAAAACCCTGAACTAGATATGCTACTTATTATTATGAGATATTCATGAGACAGAAGTCTCCCTTTATACCTTCAGGCCAGACCATCATATTAGAGTGGCAGGACTATTGGTTAGGTACAGGCAGACATAGAAAACATGAGATAATTTATCATTTTGTAGAGAGAAACCATGCATTGGAAAATTCAAATCTATAGGAAAGGCAATTGATTAGAAGCAAAAGTGAATTTTAGTTGTAATAGAGGTTTAATTTAAGTTCTAGTAATTTAAAGATGAATTATTTTGGGCTGTGTGATCAGATTCCAAATCCAATGGAGAAACAATCATTCAACCACCCAAATCCTGCAGTTTTGGTGATCAGTATAATATTGCATGAGTGCTTTGTCTCTAGTTTAAGTTGTTTAAAACATTTACAAGAACCTGATATATTAAATTTGTGATTTTAAGTAATTATTTAGCATATAATTAAAGAAGTTTATAATCAGTGTTTGAATAGCTGGGAAATTTTTTTTTTTTTTTTGAGACGGAGCTTCACTCTGTCGCCCAGGCTGGAGTGCAGTGGCGCTATCTCGGCTCACTGCAAGCTCCGCCTCCCGGGTTCACATCATCCTCCTGCCTCAGCCTCCTGAGTAGCTGGGTCTACAGGTACCCACCACCACGCCTGGCTAATGTTTTGTTTTGTTTTTTTTTTTGTATTTTTAGTAGAGATGGGGTTTCACCGTGTTAGCCAGGATAGTCTCGATCTCCTGACCTCGTGATCCACCCGCCTTGGCCTCCCAAAGTGCTGGGATTACAGGCGTGAGCCACCGCGCCTGGCCATAGCTGGGAAATTTTAAGTTGTTAGATCTGTTATTTGGTTTATCAGTTGTATGAATAGTATATGAATGTTTACAGTAACCATTTAATATTTAAAGAAATATTAACTGCTTAATGTATCAGTCAGGTTTTTGCTGCAATATTGACATATGAAAAACTCCCAAATTACTTATTTTATATTCCTGACCTGCAGGTGGGCTGGGGAGGTTCTCCTTCAGTCTGTGAGTTTAGTATGTTTTACGTGTTTCTATTCTGGGACCAATGGTTACCTAGGGTTATTCTCATGGCAGATGGCAGAAGAGTAAGGGAGGAGAATGGAAATGTGATGGCTAAAAATGGACATGTTCTCTTTTCCACCCACATTCCATTGTCTAAAGCAAGAGATGTGGCCAAGCCCAACATCAAAGGAGTAGAATGACTGGGCATGGTGGCTCCTGCCTGTAATCCCAGCACTTTGGAAGGCCAAGGTGGGAGGATTGCTTGAGCCCAGGAGTTTGAGATCAGCCTGGGCAATGTAGGAAGACTCCATATCTAAAATAAATAAATAAATACATAAATAATCAGCCAGGCACGATGGCATACGTGTGTACTCCCACTTACTTGGGAGGCTGAGGTGGGAGGATCACTTGAGCTTGGGAGGCTGAGGCTGCAGTGAACTATAATTGAGCCACGCACTCCGGCCTGGGTGACAGAGCAAGACCTTGTCTCAAAAACAAAAACAAAATAATCCAAAGGAGTAGAAGGCTTTACCTACAGTGAACCATGCAAAGGTGGGGAGGGAAAGAATTGTGAGTAAATAATGTAATCTTCCACTCTTAATAAATCTATGAGATTAAAATGTTAGATATATAAGTGCAAATAGTCACGATCATTCTTCATGCACAAAAGCCTCACATAAATGACTTTATAGCAAAGTTCTGAGTCATGAAAGAATCTTTTGTTTTTGGGGTCAAATGCAATATAATGTGAACTTATTATTTATTTGAGTGTTTTTGTAGCAGGGTTGCAAAATTACTTGTGATACAGAAATTTAGAAGTGATTTAATTTCTTTATTTTGTTTAGAGCTTATTTAGTCTTGTGACCTGGTAGGTGGTGGGAAAGAAAAACAAAACCAAAAAACACAAATTAATCTGGTTTAAAATGTATTCTGATCCAGTCGTTTAAACCACCCCTTATGTAATTCTCAGGTTCTCAGACTTCTCCCATTTTCACCCCTTCATTGCCTTCCTACCTGGAAGTACGTGGGGGAGGGGTATAGTTTATTGTATTCTTACGATATAGGGCGGGAAGAGGGGTCTCTATGGCCTTAATCTTGGTTCTTGAGTGTGCATTGATTAGTGCCTATTGAAGTTCACCCAAGTTTTGGCGTTAGACTTCAGTGGCTGCTAAAGTTGTCTATTTTTTCCTGG
Organism: Homo sapiens; assembly: GCF_000001405.40. Taxonomy (NCBI): domain Eukaryota; kingdom Metazoa; phylum Chordata; class Mammalia; order Primates; family Hominidae; genus Homo; species Homo sapiens. The sequence goes on along the minus strand of NC_000007.14, from coordinate 23,068,058 downwards.
TTTAGTCAAGCCCTAGTCACCCTTCCTTGTTGGCTTGGCCTACCTTCAGCTCTCTCTGGCTAGAGACCTTTCTGAATCTCTCCCTTATCCAGCCCCCAGTCAGGCTATTCATCCTGAAGACTTTTGCTGTGGGATCATCTATCCCAGTGCCACAGCAGGCCCCATGGCAGGCTTGTGGCTTTCAACTCCGTGTCCATGTTACATAGGTACCAATGTAGGCTTTGGAGTGCACATTAGGATCTCTCTCTCTCTCTTTCTCTCCCCCAAGGACCTTAGCGCTCCATTCTCCTAATCATGCCAGGAAATCTCGAGGTGAAGACACTTGGCAGAACTGACCTGGAATCTCAAATAGGCAAAATGACCACCTTGGAGCACAAGTTTCTCACCATCCACCTTTCCCTTCCCCTGTTTCCTGTTTTCCTTCTTGCCATTCCCTGGACAACAAGAGGAAGGTTTTCTTTTACTTCTCTTCTATCACATCCTGTTTCTACCACAGAGTGGGAAGCTTCTTGGCAAAATGTCATAGGCAAAAAAGAAAATCTCTATGATTTGAATTGCCAAGTCTGGCTCCTAACATGTGAAGTAGGAGTCAGAGAGATGTGGAAAAATCTTCTCTTTCACCATAACAGTTGTCTCATTACAAAATCCTACTTTACATGCCAGAAGCTGACTGTTGCCTCTTTCATTCCTAATTACTACCCTCCCCCCAAATCACACAGACAGATGCTTTGAACTCTTTAAAGAGAAGATCGTGACTAGGAAAAACAAAAGAGAAAAGCATGTGATTTTTTTCAAAACACTGCTGCTATTACACTGACACTTTACGTTTGTCAGGGCACGAGTTGAATAGCATTTCAGAAAATCAGATTTGTTTCCATCTTTAGATCAATAACCTTCTTAAGGCAACATGGTGGAGATCAATCTTAGACATACCTGACAGCCATGGAGTTTATGTTTTTGTGTATTTGGGGGGGTTGTTGGGCAGCCAGGGGTGATGAGAATTATCCAGGAATAGGAAAGAGAAATAAATTTGTCATCATCAAATTACCTATCATTATGGGGTAAGCAATAGGAATCCCTGTCCTGTTTATCATCCACCCTTCATTGCTGATCAAAAGATTTGCATTGTCATGATCCCTGTGTCATCTGTGGTGAGACCATAGGATATACAGGTTTAGGACAATAAGTTGCCACTCTGGCATTCAGCCTCTCAGAAGGAAATACATCTCTTCTACCAGTCATCTGGGAAGATTAGGATCTTGATTAAGAGTACTGTTGTAATCAGAGCCCTAATTGACAGTGTTAATGCTACTCGCTTTTCAGTGCTTTCACGAAATGGAAACGATGTCATACACATCATTCAGCTTATAAAATCCTACCAGAGCAGAGTTTTATAGAATTTTCTATAGGAGGTTTCAAACCAATCTCTACCTCCATCAGGACTTGCCAAAATCTGGAAGATCAGCTGATTTGTCCAATGAGAGGGAAAGGTCATACCTACTGCTTCTATTCTCTTACTGTCCTGGCAGCTGGGGTTGGCAGATATACCTTGATGACAAAACACTTTGATAGCATTGTGCCTTGTGAAGTGATACTCTGAGAGTTACAGCCTTTTTCGTAGAAGATAGTGTTTCTTTCATCTCTCTCCCTGGACCTTTAAAGTCTTTTTAAAACTCAGAATCACATTGACATAAACTTTATGGGACAATTCAGACTCTTAGATTAATTATTCAGTCAAGAGGAGAGCTGCAGATATTTTAGAACCATTCTAGGCAAAGACAGAAACAGCATTTTAGAGATTGCTTCTGTATTACTCACTATTCTCAGCAATATTAACTTAATTGGCATGAGCATGAGGCCAGTGAGACTAAGGTTGTGTGTTCACACCTCCAGAATGCAGTCATCTTGATGCTGTTTCATGACCTTATATGAGTATCTCAACCCTAAAGAGCTGCCCTTGGTCACAAGGGAAGCAAACAAGTGACTGAAGTGGTGTCTCACGCTCAGGTCTTACTGATCTCTTAGATCCTTACTAATCCTATGAACTTAGGAGACCCTAATTGTATCATGGCATCAGGGTCTCAAGATTTTCAATTTTTGCTGCAAAACTTGTCAGATTCAGTCACTGGTTACAGGTCTCCAAGGTTAAATATTTTGTTATATCTGTTTTTTTTTTTTGACGGAGTCTCACTCTGTCGCCCAGGCTGGAGTGCAGTGGTGCAATCTCGCTCACTGCAACCTCTGCCTCCCAGGTTCAAGCAATTCTCCTGCCTCAGCCTCCCAAGTAGTTGGGACTACAGGCGCATGCCACCACGCCTGGCTAAATTTTTGTATTTTTAGTAGAGACGGGGTTTCACCTTGTTAGCCAGGATTGTCTGAATCTCCTGACCTCGTGATCCGCCACCCTCAGCCTCCCAAAGTGCTGGGATTACAGGCATGAGCCACCGCACCCGGCCAATATTTTGTTACATCTGAACTGAGGTCCCTACTGGTTCTTGATTCTAGGCACCAAATTTAGACAGATTCAAAGATTCCTCAGGCCCCAGGAGGAGCCTCAAGAAAATTTAATATTTTTAATATATAAAACAGTGATCTTCCTCAACTGGATGGGGGGTGGGCACTGTTTTTGAAAGAGCCATTTAAGAATCTGTGAGAGAAAGCCAGCCACAGTGGCTCATGTCTGTAATCCCAGCACTTTGGGAGGATGAGGCAGGAGGATCGCATGGGCCTAGGAGTTGGAGGTTGCAGTGAGCCATAATTGTGCCACTCTACTCCAGCCTGGGCAACAGAGTGAGACCCTGTCTCTAAAAAAAAGAAAGAAAAATCTCCAAAAGGAGGCATTAATTTTAAAACATTACTTAATACTATAATGTACTTTGGGAATAGGATATTACATGAACTTTTCCTGCTATCTCAGAGTTTTGGCGGAGGCTTCAAAGGGCAAAAATAATACAATAGGTATCAGCTATTCTCACATCCTAAAGAAAAGGCTGGCCACCTTGGGCTGGCCACATTTATTCTGCTGTCATCTGCCCATGACCCACTCCCAGGTTATCTCAGAGGATGGGAAACATTCAAGTTTCAAGAGATTTGGAACGAGGGGCATTGTATTAGTCCATTCTCACATTGCTATAAAGAACTGCCTGAGACTGGGTAATTTATTTAAAGAAGAGGTTTAATTGACTCAAAGTTCCACAGGCTGTACAGGAAGCATAGTGGGGATCGGGGGTGGGTGCTCAGGAAACTCAAAATCATGGCAGAAGACGAAAGGGAAGCAAGCGTGTCTTACATGACTAGAAAAGGAAAAAGAAGGCACAGAGGAAGGTGCCACACACTTTTGAACAACCAGGTCTCATGAGAACTCACTCACTATCATGAGAACAGCAAGGGGGAAAACCTGCCCCCCATGATCCAATCACCTCCCACCAGGCCCCTACTCCAACACTGGAAATTACAAATGGATGTGAGATTTGGGTGGGGACACAAACCCAAACCATATTAGGCAGGTTGCTGTGCATTTCTTCTCCTTCCCTCCAAGGAAGCAGAATTCAGAGGGGAGAGACTTCACTTACTTAAAATTTATCTAAAGCCAGTGAAATAGGCTGCAATGGAGCCATTTGGAGAACTTGAGTTGGAGGGACAGAAAGACTGACACTTGACACACACCCAGGAAGTCTGAAATTGAGAGGTTGTGTCCAGGTCTGACTGAGTAGAAAGCACTTCAGCAGGTCAAGAACACAGGCATGTTTCTCCTAGGCCAGGGTCAATCTGACTAAACCTGGGCATGGGTTGTATCATTGTCTTGAAATGGGCCATGCCCAGGAGGGCCTCCTGATAAAGATGAGGCAACTGCAGCAAGAAGAATCTGCAGGTGCACCTTCAGACACAGAGTGGAGGCAGGGCAGCCTGAGGGGGCAGAGACAGGAAGATGGACAGGCAAGAGGTAGGGCTTCACCCATGATCCCAAAAGTGGTATCCCAAAGAGAAGGAATACATATTTGGGAACTAGCACACCAAGGCAACTGTAGTGGTCAAGTGGAATTGCTCTGTCCTTATGCTGCTTCTCTCTTGCCCCAAACCTGTAAGGGGTTCTGACTGTAGCCAGCAGATGTGGGAAAGGATTGCTGGAGACAGAGAGAAGAAACTGATGCAGCACCCCTCTAAATCCACCTAAGCAGAAAGGAGGGGAAATGTTTTCAACTGCATCAGAGTTTAGAATTTTGATATTTCACCGAACTAAATTATTTGAGATCTGACAAAAGAAAATATTCCTTTATTACCACAGAATGGCACCTCCTTTTCCTTTTTTCATCCTAATGCATGAGTGAGTTTTGGATATATGACAACATAATGTTAATATGAGCCCAGTTAAATTACATATGTCTTATTTCTCCATACTCTTTTCATAGAGAGCTTTAAAAACTCTCCTAACTCCAGTCATCAATGATTTTTATTATAAAACCTAATGGATGGTGCTTTAAATTAATTAGGAAGATTTTGGTTGCAAGTAAGAGAATACGTGACTAAATTTGGCTTAAACAGTAGGGGTCTATTATCTTACATTAAAAAGAAGTATAGATGTGGGAGGTTCCGGAAGAGTTAATGATGCTTGAGCTGCTGGCTAACTATGCTGAAATTCTCTTGACTTCTCCTCATGGCAACAAGATAGCTGCCACCATTGTAAACATTACACCTTCAATCTGACAACACCAGCAAAAGTAAAGGATTTTCTTTTCATATGACTCTCTATTTAATCAGGGAAAAAAAGATCTGGCTGGGTGCGGTGGCTCATGCCTATAATCCCAGCACTTTGGGAGGCTGAGGTGGACAGATCACAAAGTCAGGAGTTCGAGACAAGTCTGGCCAACATAGTGAAATCCCATCTCTACTAAAAATACAAAAAATTAGCCTGGTGTGGTGGTGTGCTTCTGTAGTCCCAGCTATTCAGAAGGCCGAGGCAGGAGAATTGCGTGAACCCGGGAGGTGGAGGTTGCAGTGAACTGAGGTCGCACCATTGCACTCCAGCCCAGGCGACAGTGCGAGACTCCATCAAAAAAAAAAACAAAAAACAAAACAAAAAAAACTATTTCACTGCCTTCAGCAGATTTTGCCTTATAATTAATTCACCTTCATTGGGTCACATTCTCATCCTTAAATCAATGACTAGTAAAGGGAAATGAGAATACTGTGATTGGCTTAGACCAATTATGATTCATTCCCAGAGGCAGAATCTACCTTTCTCAGCATATTGCTGCCTGGTACTTGAACAAATTTGACAGTCTAATAGCAATGGAGGAGGAAGGAATGGCATTTGCACTCACAATGTCTGCTACAGAAGTCTGTGCCAAAGGCTCCTAACAGTGGAACTGCGTGGGCTGGGCTGCAGTGCTGAGTCACTGCGCCTATGTGTTGAAGATCCTCCTTAATAACAAATGCCTCTGTCATCCCTGCCCCAAGGCCTAATGCGAAAAGTTGGGTTAGAGTTTTTGACTTTTTTTTTTTTTTTGAGACGGAGTTTCACTCTTGTTACCCAAGCTGGAGTGCAATGGCGCTATCTCTGCTCACTGCAACCTCTGCCTCCCGGGTTCAAGCGATTCTCCTGCCTCAGCCTCCCGAGTAGCTGGGATTACAGGCATGAACCACCACGCCTGGCTACTTTTGTATTTTTAGTAGAGATGGGGTTTCTCCATGTTGGTCAGGCTGGTCTCAAACTCCCAACCTCAGGTCATCCACCCACCTCGGCCTCCCAAAGTGCTGGGATTACAGCTGTGAGCCACCATGCCCAGCCCGAGGTTTTGACTTTTTAATTGTGAGAAATAACTACCATTCTTTGGTACACGGTGTTTTAATATAAAGCATATTGTTGTTCCATATTATTTCTACTTTGCTTCAAGTATATTTGAAGAAAGAATAATATGTTATCTTTCATAGGACTAGAAACGTGAATACCTCCCTTTGAAAATAGCGCACAAATACATAACCAAAAATGGTAAGCACTCTTATCACCATGTTTTATGTTCTTGGTGTAATAATAACACAGTTATAATAATAATAATAATAATAATAATAATAATAATAATAATGATAGTGATATCTACCACTTGTTGAATGGTGCCAGCCACTGGGCTGAGAATATTTATACACACACACACACACACACACACACACACGTTTTTTTCCAGTTTTCATAATGCTTTTTTTTTTAACTTTTATTTTAGGTTTGTGGATATGTGTGAAAGTTTGTTCCATAGATAAATGTGTGTCATGGGGGTTTGTTATACTTATTATTTTGTCACCCAGGTATTAAGCTTAGTACCCAACAGTTACCTATTCTGCTCCTCCCCCTCCTCCCACCCCCCCCCCAAGCAGACCCCAGTGTCTGTTGTTCCGTTCTTTGTGTTCATAAGATATTATCATTTAGCTCCTACTTATAAATGAGAACAGGTGGTATTTGGTTTTCTGTTCCTGTGTTAGTTTGCTAAGATAATAGCCTCCAGTTCTGTCCATGGTCCTGCAAAAGACATGATCTCATTCTTTTTTTATGGCTGTGTAGTATTCCATGGTATATATGTACCACATTGTCTCTATCTAATCTGTCGTTGATGGGCATTTCGGTTGATTCTTTGCTGTTGTGAGTAGTGCTGCAATTCACACGCATGTGCCTTTACGGTAGAACGATTTATATTCCTCTGGGATATACCCAGTAATGGGACTGCTGGGTTGAATATACTTACATGTTTTTAAACCTGTATGCATCATGAATGAGATAGGATTGACTCTCTCCATTCTACAGATGGGAGAATTAAGAGAGAGCTGGCAAGAGCAGTGGCTCGTGCTGGTAATCCCAGCACTTTAGGAGACTGAGGCTGAAGGATTGCTTGAGGCCAGGAGTTTGAGACCAGCCTGGACAACACAGTAGGACCCCGCCTCTCTATATAAAAAAATAGCTAGAGAGCTAATAGAAGTTGCCCAGTTTTACACAGCTGGGAGCTGTACTTTGAATCCTGCTGACTCCAGGTGAGCCAACTGAATGACTGTGGTGTCCTGTTCTCACTAGGCTTATGATCTCACCTGCTACGGATGAAGAGCCACAAGGGAAAGGGGAATGGGAAGAGAGATGTTTGCTAATGGCTGAAATTGATAACCATGTGGGCAGAGTTCAAAATTCATTTATCAGAAGACAAATCTTAAGTTATAGTTTTAGAGAAGCATAACTGTATTGGCAAGGCTGCCTGAGGTTAAGTCCCAGCTTGACCACTTACTAGCTGCATAACCTTGGCCAAATTATTTCAGCTGTCCCTGCCTTAGTATCCTCATGTGTAAACTGGGAATAATAATAGTACCTCCATCACAGAGCTACTGTAAAGATGGAGTTAATGGATAAAGCACCTAAAACAATTGCTGACACTTAATGTGTCATTGAGAGGATGTGAAAATAATGTGAGCTTCAAGTCAGACGGGGTCGGGTTTTGAATGCTGACTCTGCTACTTGCCGTGTGACCTGGACAAAAATGTCAGGCTCTCTGTGTCTAATACATAGTTTGTGTTAATGAATGGGGTTTTAAAATATGGCCTGTTTTAATATTATGTCTGCAACACTGTCCCTTCCCCCATTATCATTTCCTCCTATTTTGGTAGGTGTCACTTTGGTACCAAGTGACTTATTAAAATCAAGTTGATGCTGTGTTGATATAGCAACTCAGACTCCCCATCTTCAAAGATAACTAGACCTCAGTTTAGGATCTCAAATAATATCTGGCCAAAGAATTGTCAAAAGTAAAACATTTAGTACTAAAAAGAAGTGGGAAACATTGGGAAAGGTGATGGCAGTTATCTACTAGGTATTTTATCCTCTGAATTTCTCAGCAAAGGAATATAGCCATCTGAATAGGAGGCAAAGGTATGTGACTATTTCCTGTTTCTACTGGTGCTTATGATAATTTGAAGCAAATGCACTGTTGCTGTAATGAATTTGGGCAATTTCCTGAGTGCCCTGCTTTTTCTTCTTCCAAAATTACTTCTCCTCCCTATCTTCAATAGGTATATCAGATTATATAATTTATTTAGGGCCCTGTTCTTAGCCAGATGCCATAAAAGAGAAACCTGACAAATGAATTCATCCAAAGGTGTTAGTAACCTCCATAACTGCAATTTATAATGACTGACCGAAAAGAACTGCAATTTACAAAATAAGATTTAAAAAATGCATTTCTTTTTTTTTTTCTTACAGACAGAGTCTCACTCTGTCACCCAGGCTGGAGTACAATGGTGTGATCTCAGCTCACTGCAACCTCCGCCTCCTGGGTTCAAGCAATTTTCCTGCCTCAGCCTCCCAAGTAGCTGGGATTACAGGTGCCCGCCACCATGCCCAGCTAATTTTTGTATTTTTAGTAGAGACGGGGTTTCACCACATTGGCCAGGCTGGTCTTGAACTCCTGACCTCAGGTGATCCACCCACCTCGGCCTCTCAAAGTGCTGGGCCTACAGCCATGAGCCACCATGCCCAGCCAAGAAATGCATTTCTAATAAGAGTTTAAGCTGGTAGAGATTTTAGGGGTTGGAGACTCACCCAAGGCCCCTTATAAGCTCACATTGTCTGCTCTCTTGGTCAGAAAGGTCCTGGAAGCCCTGGTGGATTTGGCTTTAGTATATGCACCAAGTTATACCCTGAGCAAGATAAGTACAAGGTAGGACTCTAATGAGGGGGCAAAGATTCACTTCCTTTGATTTTTTCTTTCTTTCTTTTCTTTTCTTTTCTTTTCTTTCTTTCTTTCTTTCTTTCTTTCTCTTTCTTTTTTCTTTCTTTCTTTCTCTTTCTTTCTTTTTTCTTTCTCTCTTTCTTTCTCTCTTTCTTTCTTTCTTTTTCTTTCTTTCTTTTTTCTTCACATAGGGCAGAGTCTTTTCCTTAGACACAAACCAAGCTCATTGAATTGCATCAGACAAAAACCATATATTTTAACCTGAATAATAGGAACAGTTATGGCTATAATCTTGTCCTATAATTATTATTATTTTTTCTGATGGCTAAGGTTAGACCTGCTCAGTAGTGCTCAGTAGTGAAAACAGGAAGTTGTTTTGTGAAATTTTTATTATCACAGACTTAAACTCCAAACAACTCAGACCAAAAGATAAACTGCTGTCCTGAAATTGCTCAAGCCATTGCCCAAATGTCCACTTCCCTTTGAGCTTTATAGAGATGGCCGAAAAATACTTTAGCATTGGTAGGCACTAGGGGTTCTGATGAGTACTTATAAGGATCACAATTTGCTAGGCTGCCATTCTGCTTTGGGATGAAATGGTAATCAATTTTAGAGCCTAAGACATTTTACAACTTAACTGACAAACCAAAAGCAATTTTCAGTTTTTCACCAGGATCTGGGGACTAGAATTCCCTACCACACTATTAAACATTTCTTGGCAGCGGCTCGTGGGATGTGCCTGTCAGCTCTTGGCAGAAGCTATAATAGAATCGTCCTTCTTCCCTCTATCACTCTAGCAATTCACAGTCGATTTACAGTACTTTCTGGGAAAGGCAATTCTCAGTCCTAAGGGACATCAAAATGAAAAGCACACCAAATGAAGTGTTTAATTTCATCAACCCGAGGATTAAGTAAAAAGTCATTTTCTCCTTTAGGCTCATAATAGAAAAATAGCCTTCTGTTAGAGAGACTTAATTATGTGAGCACTTATAAAATAAATTCCTGTCATAGATTATGTGTCATTTAAAATTGTAACAGAGAAAAGTGTTTAAATGTAAACTTGGTTGTTGATGAAAAGAGTCAAACTGTAAAATATTTTAAGAGACTTATTCTGAGCCAAATATGAGGGAGCATGGCCTATGACACAGCCCTCAGGAGGTCCTGAGTACACGTGCCCAAGGTGGTCGGGGTACAGCTTGGTTTTATATATTTTAGGGAGATTGAGACATCAATCAAATACATTTAAGAAATACATTGGTTTCATTCAGAAAGGTGGGACCACTCAAAGTGGGAGCTTCCAGGCTATAGGTAAATTTAAACTTTTTCTGGTTGACAATTGGTTGAGTTTATCTGAAGACATCGGATCAATAGAAAGAAAATGTTCAGGTTAAAGGATTGTGGAGACCAAGTTTTATTGTGCAGAGGAAGCTCTCAGATAGCAGACTTCAGAGAGAGCAGGTTGTAAAATGTTTCTTATCAGACTTAAAAGGGTCCCTGGCTCTTAGTTGATTTTCTCCTGGATCTGGGAAGGGAAGAAGGAAAACAAAGGGGAAAGGGGCTTCTCTATAGAATGTGGATTGTTCCCACAAGAGACTTTGCAGGGCAATTTCAAGATATGGCAAGGAAATATATTTTGGGGTTAAATATTTTGATCTTATTCCTTGTCTCATAGTGTTATGCCAGAGTCAGACTGGAAAGTAAGCCACGATATGCAGGGTTAAATAACACCCGTCTGATGAGAATTTACGGTTTGCAGGGCATAACTCCCCAGGCCCCTTAGGTAGGAATTTGGGCAAGATAAAAAATCAAAGCTTAGTCTTCATGGTCAATTCATCCTTTATGGACTGACATACATTTTTTAAAAAGTAACAAATAGATCCTAAAATATATTTCAAAAGAATAGAAGCTTATTTCTCTTTTAAATGAGTGGACTATGTTTTTTTTTGTTTGTTAATTTTGTTGTTTTTGTTGGTTTTTTTTTGAGATGGAACCTCGCTCTGTTGCCCAGGCTGGAGTGCAGTGGTGTGATCTTTGCTCACTGCAGCCTCCACCTCCTGGGTTCAAGTGATTCTCCTGCCTCAGCTTCTGGAGTAGCTGGGATTACAGGAACATACCACCACCCCCGGCTAATTTTTGTATGGACTATGTTTTAAAGCAGTTTTAGGTTTACAGAAAATTGATTGGAAGGTACAGAGAGTTCTTATATATCCCACTTTGCAGCCTCCCAGGCCCACTCCCCACCTTCCCCTTCTTTATGATTTCCACCACTATTCACATCTTTCATTTGTTACACGGTACATTTATTACAATTGATGAGCTGATATGGACACATTATTATTAACCAAAGTCCATAGTTTACATTAAGATTCACTCTTTGTGTTCTACGTCTACCAGCAAATGTATGACATGCCTCTACCATTACTATCATACAGAATAGTTTTACTGCCCTAAACATCCCTTGTGCTCCAAGTTATCATCTGTCCCTCTCCTCAAACCCCTGGCAACTACTGACCATTTTCTGTCTTCATTGTTTTACCTTTTCCAGAATGTCATATCATTGGAATCATACAGTATATAGCCTTTTCGGACTGGCTTCTTTCACTTAGCAATATGCATGTAAGGTTCATCCGTATATTTTCATGACTTGATGGCTTTTTTTTCATGTCATTGCTGAATAATGTTTCATCATATGGATGTGCCACAGTTTATGTATTCATTCACCTGTTGAAGGATACCATGGTTTCTTTTGGGGATTGGCAATTACGAATAAAGGTGATATAAACATTTGTCTGCAGAGTTTCCTGTGGATATAAGTTTTCAACTCATTTGAGTAAATACCAAAGAGCATGATCGCTCCATCATAGAGTAAGATGTTTAAAATTTTTTAAGACTTGCCAAACTGTCTTCCAAGGTGTCTGGACCATTTTGTATTCCTACCCAGCAGTGAATGAAAGTTCCTTTTGCTCCACCAAATCCTCACCAGCATTTGGTTATGTTAACATTTTGAATTTTAGCCATTCTAATAGGTATATAGTAGTTTCTTATTATTGTTTTATTGATTTTATGCATTTCAAAGTGTATTAAAACATATTTCTACCTCCTGTATCCAAGGTTCTTAACCTTGAGTTGAGAGATGGAATTCAGGACCTTCATGAAGTTGTGTATAAAATTGTGTGTGATTTTCTGGATAATGAGTGGAGCTTATTTTTATCATTAGAATTTAAAAGAGATTTATCACAAAGACAAAGTACCTTTGTTTTAGACCATTTTATTATTATTGTTTTAATTTAAATCACTTTTAACAGTATTGTTTCAATTTAGATTCTGTGCTGTTTGAAAAGTTAGGCCATAGGCAATTGCACTTATAATTATCCAACAGATTTCTGGGGAATCGTTAATGTAACAATCACAATATTAGACACTGGAGATACAGAGCTCAAGAAAATATGATATCTGTTCTTAGGAAATTCATACTCATGTAACTCCTGTTATCAGCCAATAATCAAAGAGGAAGAAGAAAGGCTGCCCTGTCATTCTGATTACTTCTGGGTGCTCAGTCCTGATTGTGCCAGTAGATGTCACTGTAGTGTAGGACAGCTAACCTGATCAGTTAACCTGAAGGCATGGAATTCAGAAATCTCTCTCTTTTTGGTGCATGATGTACATTTTAAAAAAGTAATGTAGATTTTTTTCTTACCGACACAGACACAGAGCTGACATGAGTATAAAATTGTAGTTATTTAAAAATTTAGAGGATATTTTGAAGCCTAACTAAAAATATTTCTGCAAAAGAATATGCATAGCCAACAATATTATAATTTAACATATAATGTTTTAAGCTGGCAATTTGAAACTTCTAAGCTTTCATCATGATTTTAAAGGTAATTGGAGGATTCACATTAAACAAAAAGCCCAACAACAACCATTACTTATATTTGTTAGCATCTGGCATTTCTCTTGTAAAACCCAAAGACAAATTGAATACTTCTAGTAAGAGTGAAAGATTTAAATTTTAGCCTCTATGACATATATGTTATTTCAGAGATTCTTCTATTCTGAAACAAGAAGAATTCTGTACAAGGAAAAGCTGAACTAAAAATCAAAAGTCTTGCTTTAATTTTTAAAGTGCTTATTCATTAATCAAATAAATTATGCTCATACCCAAGATTTTTTTTTCTTTTCTTTTCTTTTTAAACGAGATAGGGCCTTGCTCTGTTGCCGAAGCTGGAGTGCAGTAGTGCAATCATAGTGTTGCAGCCTCAATCTTCTGGGCTCATGCGATCCTCCTACCTCAGCCTCCTCAGTAGCTGGGACTATAGGCACATGCACAGGCACATGTCCAGCTAAATTTTAAAATTTCTGTAGAGATGAAGTTTTACTATGTTGCTCAGGCTGATCTCAAACTCCTGAGCTCAAGCAGTTCTCCCGATTTGGCCTCCTAAAGTGCTGGGATTACAGGTGTGAACCACTATGACCGGCTGAATTTTTTTTGAAATAAAAATTTGAGTAGCAGTTGTATAGACTCAGACTCAATTACATTTAATGTTTTTTTTTTTGTTTTTTTTTTGGCTAGTCTCAAACCATTAAGGACCAATGAGATAAACTAATATACATCATGCTGAGGTGTAGGAGTTTTTCTTTATGCTGAGGAGCTAATATTCTGGATCCAATCACCCAATGAGAATGTCTAGCTTACTTTTTAGCATCCATATCCCAAGGAGGGTTTGTCAATGCAAACTCCTTTTCATATACAAAATCACTCTGAAGAGGTCTTTTGTTTCTAAATGTTCACCAATTAAGTGGGTGGATATTTAAAAGCTGTCTAATTTGTACTGGGAAGGTTGGCATGGGAAGCTCATTTTATGAGCCAGCATTACCTTAATATTGAAACCAGACAAAATAATTACACGTAAAAAAACTACAGACTAATATCCCAAATAAACATAGACCCCAAAATTCTCAAGAAAATATTAGCAAATTAGATGCAGCAATAAATAAAAAGGATAATGCATCATAACTAAGTGGGATTAATTCTAGGAAGGCAAGGTGGCTCAATATTTAAATCTAAATTAACGTAATTCATTATGTCAATAGATAAAAGAAGAAAAATTATAGGATCATCCCAATAGATGCAGAAAAAGCACAACAAAATTCAATATTCTTTCATGATAAAAACTGTAAGAAAATATCCTCAACTTAACAAAGGACATTTATGAAAATCCTATGGCTGACATCATTCTTAATGGTTGTCTTAGTTTGGTCTGTGATATCGTTTGGTGTGTCCCCACCCAAATCAATCTCATCTTCAATTCCCATGTGTTGTGGGAGGGACCCAGTGGGAGGTAATTGAATCATGGGGACAGGTCTTTCTCATGCTGTTCTTGTGATAGCAAGTAGGTCTCATGAGATCTGATGGTATTATAAGGGGGAGTTTCCCTGCACAAGCTGTCTTTTTGCCTGGTACCATCCATGTAAGACGTGACTTGCTCCTTGCCGTCCACCATGATTGTGAGGCCTCCCCAGCCACACGGAACTGTAAGTCCATTAAACCTCTTTTTCTTTCCAGTCTCAGGTATGTCTTTATTAGCAGTGTGAAAATGGACTAATACAGTCTGCTGTGACAGAATACAGATTGAGTAGCTTAAACAATAGACATTTAGTTTTCACAGTCTGGAGTCCGAGAAGTCCAAGATCAAGGTCCCAGCAGATCTGGTGTCTGGCAAAGGCACTCTTCCTTCTTTGCAGATGGCTGTCTTCTCATTGAATTCTCACATGGCCAAGAGAATGGTGAAAGACTAAGTGCTTTCCCCTAAGCTCAAGAATAAGTGAAAATTGTCTACTCTTACCACTGCTATCACCTTACCAGAGGTCATAGACAGGGCAATAAGGAAAGAAAAAGAAAAGACAGAGATTTTAAATGAAGAAATAAAACTGTTGCTATTTATAGATGAGAATCTGTAACATAGGAAATCCCAAAAGAATATACAAAATGGCTACTGGAATTTATAAGGGAGTTTAGCCAGGTTGTGGGATACAAGCTCAATATTCATATATCAGTTGTATTTATATATATTCATAATAAAAAAAGGAAATTAAAATTTAAAAATCACTTTGCAGTAGCACTCAAATTATTAATTACTTAGGTATAAGTCTAACAAAATATGTGCAAACTTTATATGCTGAAAATTAAAATATTGATGATAGAATCACAATCTTTAAAGAAAGAAGTATCTGTGTTCATGGATTGGAAGACTCAATATTGTTAGGGTGCCAGTTATTCCCAAGTTGATTATAGATTCAGTGCAATCCTAATAAAAATTTTAGCAGATTTTTTCTTTTATAGAAGCCAGCAAACAACCGAGCACAGTGGCTCACACCTGTAATCCCAGCACTTTGGGAGGCCAAGGCCGGCAGATCGTGAGGTCAAGAGATCGAGAGAATACTGGCCAACAAGGTGAAACCCCGTCTCTACTAAAAATACAAAAATTAGCCAGGTGTGGTGGCACGTAGCTGTAGTCCCAGCTACTCAGGAGGCTGAGGCAGGAGAATCGCTTGAACTTGGGAGGCGGAGATGGCAGTGAGCCAAGATCACGCAACTGCACACTTCAGCCTGGTGACAGAGAGAGAATCCGTCTAAAAAAAAAAAAAAAAAAAAGAGAAACCAGCAAATATACCCTACGTTTATATGGGAAAGCAAACCGGCAAACATACCCTACATTTATATGGGAAAGCAAAAGATAGTCAAAAATTTTTGCAAAAGAAAAAAGTTGGAAGACTCAACACTGCTAACTAATTTCAAATCTTACAAGCCACAGTAATCAAGCCATTATGGTATTGATCAAAGGATAGAAACAGATGAATGGAGCACACGAGAGCAGGAGTTGTCAAATTATGGCCTCCAGGACTAATCTCACTGGCTGTTTCTGTAAATAATATTTTATTGAAATAAAATAATACTTCATTAAAATACAGCCATGCTCACTTATTTACATGTTGTCTATGGCTGCTGTTGTACTATAACGGTAGAATTGAGTAATTGTGACAGAGACTGTATGGCCTGCAAAGCCTAAAATCTTACTTATCTGTCGCTTTAGAGGAAAAGCTGGTGAACACTTCAAATAGAATCCAGACATAAAACAACATATACATGGTTAATTGAATTTTTTTTTTTTTTGAGACGGAGTTTCACTCTTGTCCAGGCTGGAGTACAGTGGCATGATCTTGGCTCATTGCAGCCTCTGCCTCCCGGGTTTAAGTGATTCTCCTGCGTCACCCTCCTGAGTAGCTGAGATTACAGGTGCATGCCACCATGCTGGCTAATTTTTGTATTTTTAGTAGAGACGGGGTTTCACCGTGTTGGTCAGGCTGGTCTCAAACTCCTGACCTCAGGTGGTCCACCCAACTTGGCCTCCCAAAGTGCTGGGATTACAGGCATGAGCCACCGTGCCCAGGCTGTTAATTGACTTTTGACAAACATACAGAGGTAATTTAATGTAGAAAGGATAGGCTTTTAAAAAATGCTGCTGCAACAATTAAACATATGTGTGTAAAAATACGAACCTCAATGCATACCTCACACTGTGAGGGCCTTTAGGCAGAATTATCTACTTCCTCCCTTAAACTTAACTCAAAATGGATCTGAAATCTAAGTGTAAAACCTAAAACTATAAAACTTCTAGAAGAAAACACATGTGAAAATCTTTCTGAGCTTGGGTTAGGCACAAATTTCTTAGCATCCAAAAAGCACAAATCAGGAAAAAAAAGTTGACAAATTGGAATTAATCAAAATTAGAAACATCCACTCTTCAAAGGACACTGTTAAGAAAAATGAAAGAGAAGACACAGTCTGAAAGAAATATTTGTAAAACACTGTATAATAAAATACTGATATCCTTAATATGTAAAGAACTCAATAATAAGAAAATGGGCAGGGCACAATGACTCACACCTGTAATCCCAGCACTTTGGGAAGCCGAGGTGGGCAGATCACTTGAGCTCAGGAGTTCCAGGCCAGCCTAGGCAACATGGCAAAACCCTGTCTCTGTTTAAAAAAATACAAAATTAGCTGGGTGTGATGACTCAGGCCTGTGGTCCCAGTTGAGGCAGGAGGATCGTTTGAGCCTGGGAGGTGGAGGTTGTAGTGAGCCGAGATGGCACTACTGCACTCTAGCCTGGGTGACAGAGTGAGACCTTGTCAAAAAAAGAAAGAGAAAGAAAGAAAAGAAAGAAAGAAAGAAAGAAAGAAAGAAAGAAAGAAAGAAAGAAAGAAAGAAGGAAGGAAGGAAGGAAGGAAAGAAAGAAGGAAAGAAAGAAAGAAAGGAGAGAGGGAGGGAGGGAAGGAAGGAGGAAAGGAAGGAAAAGAGAGTGAAAGTAAGCAAGAAAGAAAGAAAGGAGGGAGGGAAGGAGGGAGGGAAGGAAAGAGGGAAGGAAGGAAGGACAGACAGAAAAGAAAAGAAAAGGAAGCAGCCTGGGTGACAGAGTGAGACAAAAGAGAAAGAAAGAAAGGAAGGGAAGGAAGGAAAGAGGGAAGGAAAGATAGAAAAGAAAAGAAAAGAAAGCAGCCTGGGTGACAGAGTGAGACAAAAGAAAAGAGAAAGAAAAAAGAAGAAAGAAAGAAAGAAGGGAAGGGAAGGAAGGAAAGAGGGAAGGAAGGAAGGAAAGATAGAAAAGAAAAAGCAGCCTGGGTAGCAGAGTGAGACAAAAGAAAAGAGAAAGAAAAAAAGACAAGAAAGAAAGAAAGAAAGAAAAGAAGAGAAGAGAAGGCAGCCAAGCCCATTTAAAAAAATGGACAAAATATTTGAATATTTTATGAAATGCAGATGCCACATAAACAATGAAAAGATCATTAGTCATCAAAGAAATGAAAATTAAAACCACAAAGAGATATCACTACACATCCATTAGTGCTGATGGGTATGCTGTGCCAATGGAGCTCTCATACATTTTGGGGTGGAATGTAACACTGCAGTAACTTTGAAAAACAGTGTGACAATTTCTTATAAAGTTAAACGTATACTTATTAGATGACCCAACTCATCTTTTAGATTTTTACCCAAAAGAAACAAAAACATACACAAAGATCTACACATGAATATTTATAACAGTTTTCACCAAAAAACTGCAAACAACCTAAATGTTCATCAGCTTGTGAAGGGATAAACCAACTGTGGTACATCCATACTGTGTACAGGTAGATTCCACGTGATAGAATTTCATACAGAACAGTACTACTAAGTGATAAAAAGAACAAATTTCAAATACACCATGCTAACTGAAAGAAGGCAAATTTATAAAGCCATATGGGATATGTTTGAATTTATATGACACTCTGGAAAAGTTAAAACCACAGTGAGAGTCCTGGACTGGGGATTAACCACAGGGGACATGTGGGAACTTTCTGGCATGGTAGAAATGTTCTGTATTTTAATTGTGATGGTAATTGTGTACCTGGATGTGTTTGTCAGGATTCCTAAAATTATGGGTATGTCTAAAAAGGGTGAATTTCACTCTAGGAATTATATCTCAATAAACCTGACTTTAAAAAATGGCCAAATCAGGGAAAGATTCTGAGTAAAAGTAGAAAAGCTCCCTGACTTGTATTGGGAGCAAACCCAGAATTTGAGAAATAATTTAGGAGAAATCCAGAAGCCCATATAAACATTTTTATGTTCAAATATTTGTATCTATGAAGTCTCAGGGTATCTACCTTGTGAATATCAAGGGTCTATGGCAGACACAGTGAAACACAAGCATCTAATAAGAATCTATTTTCACATAGGAGATCTATGGGTATTTAAGGGAGGAAGTAGATAATTCTGCCTAAAGGCCCAGGCCAGTGCTAACAGAGGTAATGATATTACCTATAGAGTAGCTTCTTGGTGGATGAACAGAGGATTAAATTGAAGAGAAAATCATTCTAGACAGAAGGAACAATGTAAGGTCCTAAGATTTGAGGTAGTAAAGTGCATTCTAGGAAAGATAAGTTATTTTCGAAACATTGAAGCACAGTTATTCATTTTATTACTAACTTTTCTTATGCTTAATTTGTTTTCTTCATTCATTTCACATATTCTTGAGTGCCTACTTTGTGCCAGGTACTAGGTAAGGTTTAAGGAGGTAAAAATAAGCCTGAGAAATATGACAAGATCCCAACTCTACTAAAAAAAAAAAAAAAAAAGCCAAGTGTGATGGTACACCTGTAGTCCCCAGCTACTCAGGGGTCTGAGGCAGGAGGATTGCTTGAGCCTGAAAAATCAAGGCTGCAGTGAGTTATGATCACACCACTGCACTCTAGCCTGGGTGACATAGCGAGACCCTGTCTCAAAAACAACAACAAAAAATAAATAAATTAATAAATTTTAAGTAACTAAATATATAAGCCATTATTTCTGTTCTCAAGGAGATCATGGGCTAGTAGGGGAGTCCCAGCATGTGCATGCTTGTGTACACACAATAATGACTCTTGAGTATCATAAAATTTCTAAATAAGGTATTAGCATGCACATGCAAGTTGCTCAGAGAATAGAGGGTCTAACTCAATATAATGGTTGTGAGCAACTAGTGACAGGGAAAATTTCACAAAAGAAGGACATGTGAGCTGAGTCTTGAAGTATGAGTAAGTTTTGTCAAGTGCACAGGGGACAAACATCTCGCAGGACAGAGGGAATAGTGTACACAAAAGCATAGCAGCAGAAGAGAACACAGCACTTGGAGAAAATGACAGGTTGTTTAGCAATATGACTAGACGGCACAGGACAAGGTGCATATGAATGCACAAAGAGTAGACGTGATTTAGAAAAGTGGATAAAGGAAAATCATGAAGTGTTTATATGACACACTAAGGAATTTGGACTTCCATAGACGGTTGGGATCTACTGAAATATTTTACTCAGAGTAATGACATGATCAGATTTGCATGTTAAAATGGTCATTTTGCCAGCATTCTTGAATATGATTTGAGGAAGGAAGAGACTAGAGATAGGGAGACTAGTTTAATGATTGCTGCAGAAATTGAAATATGGCATGCTGGGCACCTGACCTGAGGCAGTGACCATGAAAGTATAGTTTAAGGGGGCCGAGTGCAGTGGCTCATGCCTATAATCTCAGCATTTTGGATCACTTGAGGTCAGGAGTTTGAGACCAGCCTGGCCAACATTGTGAAACCCCATCTCTACTAAAAATACAAAAATTAGCCAGGCACAGTGGCACATGCTGTAATCACAGCTGCTTGGGAGGCTGAGGCAGGAAAATCACTTGAACATGGGAGGCAGAGGTTGCAGTGAGCTGAGGTGGCACCACTGCACTCCAGCCTGGGCAACAGAGGGAGACACCATCTCAAAACATAACAAAACAAACAAACAAAGTAGAGTTTAAGGGACATTCTTAAGGGATATCTGAGACATGGAACTGATAGGCTTGGTAATCAATTCAAAGTGTATGGGAAGAGGCCTACTGAGGGGAATCCAGGGACTGAATATATCTACCAAAGTTCTGATTTGGGTAACTGGACGTTGATTATTACAGGAGAAGAGCTGTTATTACAGGAGAAAGAGCAGATTTTAAACACAGTTGGCTAATAAGAATCTATTTTTCACATAAGAGACCTAAAGCAGCACAAATTTAAATTAGAGAAAGATGTCAATTAAAAATATATTACAGATCTATGCTGGGTGCAGTGGCTCACTCCTCTAATCCCAGCACTTTGGGAGGCCAAGGCGGGTGGATCATCTGAGGTCAGGAATTCGAGACCAGCCTGGCCAACATGGTGAAACTCTGTCTCTATTAAAAATAAAAAATTTGAAGAATGAGGAGGAGGAGGAAGAAGAAAGAAGAAGGAGGAGGAGGAGGAAGAAGAAGAAGAAAGAAGAAGAAGAAACTACTACACTACTGCTACTACTGCGCTACCACCATATTTTTTCTGTCTAAATTTGAAAAGACATTTAGCCTCTCCCTCTCCCTCTCCCTCTCCCCCTCCCCCTCTCGTCTCCCTCTCCCCATGGTCTCCCTCTGATGCCAAGCCGAAGCTGGACTGTACTGCTGCCATCTCGGCTCACTGCAACCTCCCTGCCTGATTCTCCTGCCTCAGCCTGCCGAGTGCCTGCGATTGCAGGCGCGCACCACCACGCCTGACTGGTTTTCGTATTTTTTTGGTGGAGACGGGGTTTCACTGTGTTGGCTGGGCTGGTCTCCAGCTCCTAACCGCGAGTGATCCGCCAGCCTCGGCCTCCGGAGGTGCCGGGATTGCAGACGGGGTGTCTGGTTCACTCAGTGCTCAATGGTGCCCAGGCTGGAGTGCAGTGGCGTGATCTCGGCTCGCTACAACCTCCACCTCCCAGCCGCCTGCCTGGGCCTCCCAAAGTGCCGAGATTGCAGCCTCTGCCCAGCCGCCACCCCGTCTGGGAAGTGAGGAGCGTCTCTGCCTGGCCGCCCATCGTCTGGGATATGAGGAGCCTCTCTGCCTGGCTGCCCAGTCTGGAAAGTGAGGAGCGTCTCTGCCCGGCCGCCATCCCATCTAGGAAGTGAGGAGCGCCTCTTCCCGGCTGCCATCACATCTAGGAAGTGAGGAGCGTCTCTGCCCGGCCGCGCATCTTCTGAGATGTGGGGAGAGCCTTTGCCCCACTGCCCTGTCTGGGATGTGAGGAGCGCCTCTGCCCGGCCGCGACCCCGTCTGGGAGGTGAGGAGCGTCTCTGCCCAGCCGCCCTGTCTGA
Organism: Homo sapiens; assembly: GCF_000001405.40. Taxonomy (NCBI): domain Eukaryota; kingdom Metazoa; phylum Chordata; class Mammalia; order Primates; family Hominidae; genus Homo; species Homo sapiens. The sequence goes on along the minus strand of NC_000007.14, from coordinate 23,046,651 downwards.
GAAGGGAGGAGACCCTCCGCCCGGCAGTTGCCCCGTCTGAGAAGTGAGGAGCCCCTCTGCCCGGCAGCCACCCCGTCTGGGAGGGAGGTGGGAGTCAGCCCCCGCCAGGCCAGCCGCCCCGTCCGGGAGGGAGATGGGGGGGTCAGCTCCCTGCCCGGCCAGCCGCCCCATCCAGGAGGAAGGTCAGGGGGTCAGCCCCCCGCCCGGCCAGCCGCCCCGTCCGGGAGGTGAGGGGCGCCTCTGCCCAGCCGCCCCTACTGGGAAGTGAGGAGCCCCTCTACCCGGCCAGCCGCTCCGTCCGGGAGGGAGGTTGGGGGGGGGTCAGACCCCGCCCGGCCAGCCGCCCCGTCCGGGAGGGAGGTGGGGGGTTCAGCCCCCGGCCCGGCCAGCCGCCCCGTCCAGGAGGGAGGTGGGGGGGGTCAGCCCCCCGCCCGGCCAGCCACCTCGTCCGGGAGGTGAGGGGCACCTCTGCCCGGCTGCCCCTACTGGGAAGTGAGGAGCCCCTCTGCCCAGCCAGCCGCCCCGTCTGGGAGGGAGGTGGGGGATTCAGCCCCCCGCCCGGCCAGCCGCCCCGTCCGGGAGGGAGGTGGGGGGGGGTCAGCCCCCAGCCCGGCCAGCCGCCCCGTCCGGGAGATGAGGGGCGCCTCTGCCCAGCCGCCCCTACTGGGAAGTGAGGAGCCCCTCTGCCCGGCCAGCCGCCCCGTCTGGGAGGAAGGTGGGGGGGTCAGCCCCCCGCCCGGACAGCCGCCCCGTCCGGGAGGTGAGGGGTGCCTCTGCCCGGCCGCCCCTACTGGGAAGTGAGGAGCCCCTCTGCCCGGCCACCACCCCGTCTGGGAGGTGTACCCAACAGCTCATTGAGACCGGGCCATGATGACAATGGCGGTTTTGTGGAATAGAAAGGGGGGAAAGGTGGGGAAAAGATTGAGAAATCGGATGGTTGCCGTGTCTGTGTGGAAAGAAGTAGACATGGGAGACTTTCCATTTTGTTCTGTACTAAGAAAAATTCTTCTGCCTTGGGATCCTGTTGATCTGTGACCTTACCCCCAACCCTGTGCTCTCTGAAACATGTGCTGTGTCCACTCAGGGTTAAATGGATTAAGGGCGGTGCAAGATGTGCTTTGTTAAACAGATGCTTGAAGGCAGCATGCTCCTTAAGAGTCATCACCACTCCCTAATCTCAAGTACCCAGGGACACAAACACTGCGGAAGGCCGCAGGGTCCTCTGCCTAGGAAAACCAGAGACCTTTGTTCACTTGTTTATCTGCTGACCTTCCCTCCACTATTGTCCTATGACCCTGCCAAATCCCCCTCTGTGAGAAACACCCAAGAATGATCAATAAAAATAAATAAATAAATAAATAAAACAAAAAAATAAATAAATAAATAAAAATAAAAATAAAAAATTTAGCCAGGAGTGGTGGCGCACATCTGTAGTCCCAGCTACTCGGGAGGCTGAAGCACAAGAATCACTTGAACCTGAGAGGTGGAGGTGAGCTGAGATGGTGCCACTACACTCCAGCCTGGGCGACAGAGCAAGACTCTGTCTTTTCTTGTATCTCATACGGATTTTGAGATATATCTCATACGGATACACACACACACACACACACACACACACACACACTCACACACACACACAATCTAGATTCCATTCTCCTCTTTCCCAGCCAGGGACATATATAGATATAGATATAGATATATCTGTCGCCCAGGCTGGAGTGCATATATATATTTGCTACTTCTCATTCAAATACAAAACAAAATGGAATCAGAGACCTTTCAGACTCTGTCCAATTTATGCCTGAACTGTTTCACCGGCGATACAATGGTTACCTTAGAAATGAGCTAAATAGAAAGTTGTTTCCTTTTGTGTTTGGAATAATTGTCTTGTTGCCTAGGAAGATACATTCTAACCTTAGGCTTTCTGTGGAAGGTTACCACCTCTTCCTCTCTGTTAGTTTATTTCAACTCTGCTTTGAGATTTCCACTGAAATCTTAAGACATGTTGTTCCAGGTTTGTTTGAAAGGCCTCTATCTTTAATAGCTTCTACAATTGTAGCAATAGTTATCAAGTGTCTGCTATGCACCAGGCACTGTGCTAGGTGATTTAGTGATGTGATTTCTTTTCTTTTAATTCTCAAAATCCGTATGAGATACAAGTTAGTTCGGTGATTTTGAAGATAAGAAGTAGAAGCTCTGTTAGCTTAAGAATCTTGCTCCAGGTCTCCTAACCAGTTAGTGAAAAAAAACCCCAGTATTTATATATTAGGTTCGCCTGACTACAAAGACCTTGAAATTTCCATAGTCATATTGATTAGAGTCACACATAAAAGAATAAAAAATTTTAACGAAAAAATTTAAACATAAACCAAAGGGGAGGGAATAGTATAATAAACCCCCACGTATGTTCACTCAGCTTCTGCAATTATTTAACTCATAGCTAATCTCGTTTCATCTTTGCTTTCTACTATTTCCTCCCTCTTTCCCCTACTATTAAATTATTTTGTAGCAAATCCTAGACAGTATATCATTTTATTTGTAAATATTTCTCTATGTAGCTTTAAAAGATAAATATTCTTTCTGAAAACCCACTAATCATAATACTATTATTGCACCAAAAGAAGTAGGCAATAAATTCCTTAATATCATCAAATATATATAGTTAGTGTTCATATTTTCCTGGTTGTCTTATACATTCTTTTTATAGTTGGTTGTTTGAATTAGGATAATTAGAGCTAATTTTTACTTGAGGCACATTGTTTAAATTAGTTAAACCTCATCTCAGTTCAATCAATTTATCATTGTATCTGCATGCATAAAAGCTAGGAAAAACTCAATGACAAATTGTGAATAAATTACTGAATCAGTGAGTGACCAGCCAGTCTCTATTTCTGATGTAGACCAGGACAGACAAGGTAGTCAGTCCCATTGGTAATCTGTGTGAAGTAAATAATCACATTGGTTCCTTAACCAATGTGCGAAGTTTCACAGTGTTTGACCAGCTATGACACATCAGATTATTGTGGCTTCCTTGGCTAACTGAGATCAGCAGGGACTTCCATTTTGGGACCTGTGGACCACACCCCCAAGCATAAAAAAATTTTTCAAAACCTTAAGTTCCTTCAAAAAAATTTCAGGACCTAGCTAGCCCCCAAAAGTAAAAACAGTAAACGACAACAACAAAATAACAGCAGCTTAAAACAATAGCCCCCAAAATAAAAATCATAGGATGTTTATTTCTCTATAAAAAAATAAACATAACAACTTAATGTATGTCCCTGTCATTTTCAGAAACCCAGACTGCCACCAAACAAATCCACTGGCACATAAACTTCAAATTAAACAAAACAAAACAAACAAAAAGAAAACAAAACAAAACAAAAAAACAAAAAAACAAGGACTAAACTCTGACTGCCATTCTTTGTCTGCCATTCTTTGTTCTGAATTTCTTCCTCAGGGCCCTATAAAAAGTCACACCCATGAGCCAGAGCTAACATTCTTTTGTGTTGACCCAAATTTTATTTTTAATTTTTATTTTTTATTTTTTATTATACTTTAAGTTCTAGGGTACATGTGCACAACGTGCAGTTTAGTTACATATGTATACATGTGCCATGTTGGTGTGCTGCACCCATTAACTCATCATTTACATTAGGTATATCTCCTAATGCTATCCCTCCCCCCTCCCCCCACCCCACGATAGGCCCCAGTGTGTGATGTTCCCCTTCCTGTGTCCAAGTGTTCTCATTGTTCAATTCCCACCTATGAGTGAGAACATGCAGTGTTTGGTTTTCTGTCCTTGTGATAGTTTGCTGAGAATGATGGTTTCCAGCTTCATCCATGTCCCTACAAAGGACATGAACTCATCCTTTTTTATGGCTTCATAGTATTCCATGGTGTATATGTGCCACATTTTCTTTTTTTTTTTTAATTATACTTTAAGTTTTAGGGTACATGTGCACATTGTGCAGGTTAGTTACATATGTATACATGTGCCGTGCTGGTGCACTGCACCCACTAACTCGTCATCTAGCCTTAGGTATATCTCCCAATGCTATCCCTCCCCGCTCCCCCCACCCCACCACAGTCCCCAGAGTGTGATATTCCCCTTCATGTGTCCATGTGATCTCATTGTTCAATTCCCACCTATGAGTGAGAATATGCGGTGTTTGGTTTTTTGTTCTTGGGATAGTTTACTGAGAATGATGATTTCCAATTTCATCCATGTCCCTACAAAGGACATGAACTCATCATTTTTTATGGCTGCATAGTATTCCATGGTGTATATGTGCCACATTTTCTTAATCCAGTCTATCATTGTTGGACATTTGGGTTGGTTCCAAGTCTTTGCTATTGTGAATAATGCCGCAATAAACATACGTGTGCATGTGTCTTTATAGCAGCATGATTTATAGTCATTTGGGTATATACCCAGTAATGGGATGGCTGGGTCAAATGGTATTTCTAGTTCTAGATCCCTGAGGAATCGCCACACTGACTTCCACAATGGTTGAACTAGTTTCCAGTCCCACCAACAGTGTAAAAGTGTTCCTATTTCTCCACATCCTCTCCAGCACCTGTTGTTTCCTGACTTTTTAATGAGTGCCATTCTAACTGGTATGAGATGATATCTCATAGTGGTTTTGATTTGCATTTCTCTGATGGCCAGTGATGATGAGCATTTTTTCATGTGTTTTTTTGGCTGCATAAATGTCTTCTTTTGAGAAGTGTCTGTTCATGTCCTTTGCCCACTTTTTGATGGGGTTGTTTGTTTTTTTCTTGTAAATTTGTTTGAGTTCATTGTAGATTCTGGATATTAGCCCTTTGTCAGATGAGTAGGTTGCTAAAATTTTCTCCCATGTTGTAGGTTGCCTGTTCACTCTGATGGTAGTTTCTTTTGCTGTGCAGAAGCTCTTTAGTTTAATTAGATCCCATTTGTCAATTTTGGCTTTTGCTGCCATTGCTTTTGGTGTTTTGGACATGAAGTCCTTGCCCATGCCTATGTCCTGAATGGTAACGCCTAGGTTTTCTTCTAGGGTTTTTATGGTTTTAGGTCTAATGTTTAAGTCTTTAGTCCATCTTGAATTGATTTTTGTATAAGGTGTAAGGAAGGGATCCAGTTTCAGCTTTCTACATATGGCTAGCCAGTTTTCCCAGCACCATTTATTAAATAGGGAATCCTTTCCCCATTGCTTGTTTTTCTCAGGTTTGTCAAAGATCAGATAGTTGTAGGTATGCGGCGTTATTTCTCAGGGCTCTGTTCTGTTCCATTGATCTATGTCTCTGTTTTGGTACCAGTACCATGCTGTTTTGGTTACTGTAGCCTTGTAGTATAGTTTGAAGTCAGGTAGTGTGATGCCTCCAGCTTTGTTCTTTTGGCTTAGGATTGACTTGGCGATGCGGGCTCTTTTTTGGTTCCATGTGAACTTTAAAGTAGTTTTTTCCAATTCTGTGAAGAAAGTCATTGGTAGCTTGATGAGGATGGCATTGAATCTGTAAATTACCTTGGGCAGTATGGCCATTTTCACGATATTGATTCTTCCTACTCATGAGCATGGAATGTTCTTCCATTTGTTTGTATCCTCTTTTATTTCCTTGAGCAGTGGTTTGTAGTTCTCCTTGAAGAGGTCCTTCACATCCCTTGTAAGTTGGATTCCTAGGTATTTTATTCTCTTTGAAGCAATTGTGAATGGGAGTTCACTCATGATTTGGCTCTCTGTTTGTCTGTTGTTGGTGTATAAGAATGCTTGTGATTTTTGTACATTGATTTTGTATCCTGAGACTTTGCTGAAGTTGCTTATCAGCTTAAGGAGATTTTGGGCTGAGACTGTAGGGGTGGGTTGCCCCTACACACCTGTGGGTGTTTCTCATAAGGTGGGACGAGAGATTTGGAAAAGAAAAAGACACAGAGACAAAGTATAGAGAAAGAAATAAGGGGACCCGGGGAACCAGCATTCAGCATATGGAGGATCCCGCCAGCCTCTGAGTTCCCTTAGTATTTATTGATCATCTGTGGGTGTTTCTCGAAGAGGGGGATGTGTCAGGGTCACAAGACAATTGTGGGGAGAGGGTCAGCAGACAAACACGTGAACAAAGGTCTTTGCATCATAGACAATGTAAAGGATTAAGTGCTGTGCTTTTAGATATGCATACACATAAACATCTCAATGCTTTACAAAGCAGTATTGCTGCCCGCAGGTCCCACCTCCAGCCCTAAGGCGGTTTTTCCCTATCTCAGTAGATGGAGCATACAATCGGGTTTTATACCGAGACATTCCATTGCCCAGGGACAGGCAGGAGACAGATGCCTTCCTCTTGTCTCAACTGCAAGAGGCATTCCTTCCTCTTTTACTAATCCTCCTCAGCACAGACCCTTTACGGGTGTCGGGCTGGGGGACGGTCAGGTCTTTCCCTTCCCACGAGGCCATATTTCAGACTATCACATGGGGAGAAACCTTGGACAATACCTGGCTTTCCTAGGCAGAGGTCCCTGCGGCCTTCCGCAGTTTTTGTGTCCCTGGGTACTTGAGATTAGGGAGTGGTGATGACTCTTAAGGAGCATGCTGCCTTCAAGCATCTGTTTAACAAAGCACATCTTGCACCGCCCTTAATCCATTTAACTCTGAGTTGACACAGCACATGTTTCAGAGAGCACGGGGTTGGGGGTAAGGTTATAGATTAACAGAATCTCAAGGCAGAAGAATTTTTCTTAGTACATAACAAAATGGAGTCTCCTATGTCTACTTCTTTCTACACAGACACAGTAACAATCTGATCTCTCTTGCTTTTCCCCACATGAGACGATGGGGTTTTCTAGATAAACAATCATGTCGTCTGCAAACAGGGACAATTTGACTTCCTCTTTTCCTAATTGAATACCCTTTATTTCCTTCTCCTGCCTGATTGCCCTGGCCATAACTTCCAACACTATGTTGAATAGGAGTGGTGAGAGAGGGCATCCCTGTCTTGTGCCAGTTTTCAAAGGGAATGCTTCCAGTTTTTGCCCATTCAGTATGATATTGGCTGTGGGTTTGTCATAGATAGTTCTTATTATTTTGAAATACGTCCCATCAATACCTAATTTATTGAGAGTTTTTAGCATGAAGGGTTGTTGAATTTTGTCAAAGGCTTTTTCTGCATCTATTGAGATAATCATGTGGTTTTTGTCTTTGGCTCTGTTTATATGCTGGATTACATTTATTGATTTGCGTATATTGAACCAGCCTTGCATCCCAGGGATGAAGCCCACTTGATCATGGTGGATAAGCTTTTTGATGTGCTGCTGGATTCGGTTTGCCAGTATTTTATTGAGGATTTTTGCATCAATGTTCATCAAGGATATTGGTCTAAAATTCTCTGTTTTGGTTGTGTCTCTGCCCGGCTTTGGTATCAGAATGATGCTGGCCTCATAAAATGAGTTACGGAGGATTCCCTCTTTTTCTATTGATTGGAATAGTTTCAGAAGGAATGGTACCAGTTCCTCCTTGTACCTCTGGTAGAATTCGGCTGTGAATCCATCTGGTCCTGGACTCTTTTTGGTTGGTAAACTATTGATTATTGCCCCAATTTCAGCTCCTGTTATTGGTCTATTCAGAGATTCAACTTCTTCCTGATTTAGTCTTGGGAGAGTGTATGTGTCGAGGAATGTATCCATTTCTTCTAGATTTTCTAGTTTATTTGCGTAGAGGTGTTTGTAGTATTCTCTGATGGTAGTTTGTATTTCTGTGGGATCAGTGGTGATATCCCCTTTATCATTTTTTATTGTGTCTATTTGATTCTTCTCTCTTTTTTTCTTTATTAGTCTTGCTAGCGGTCTATCAATTTTGTTGATCCTTTCAAAAAACCAGCTCCTGGATTCATTGATTTTTTGAAGGGTTTTTTGTGTCTCTATTTCCTTCAATTCTGCTCTGATTTTAGTTATTTCTTGCCTTCTGCTAGCTTTTGAATGTGTTTGCTCTTGCTTTTCTAGTTCTTTTAATTGTGATGTGAGGGTGTCAATTTTAGATCTTTCCTGCTTTCTCTTGTGGGCATTCAGTGCTATAAATTTCCCTCTACACACTGCTTTGAATGCGTCCCAGAGATTCTGGTATGTTGTGTCTTTGTTCTCGTTGGTTTCAAAGAACATCTTTATTTCTGCCTTCATTTCGTTATGTACCCAGTAGTCATTCAGGAGCAGGTTGTTCAGTTTCCATGTAGTTGAGCGGCTTTGAGTGAGATTCTTAATCCTGAGTTCTAGTTTGATTGCACTGTGGTCTGAGAGATAGTTTGTTATAATTTCTGTTCTTTTACATTTGCTGAGGAGAGCTTTACTTCCAACTATGTGGTCAATTTTGGAATAGGTGTGGTGTGGTGCTGAAAAGAATGTATATTCTGTTGATTTGGGGTGGAGAGTTCTGTAGATGTCTATTAGGTCTTCTTGGTACAGAGCTGAGTTCAATTCCTGGGTATCCTTGTTGACTTTCTGTCTCGTTGATCTGTCTAATGTTGACAGTGGGGTGTTAAAGTCTCCCATTATTAATGTGTGGGAGTCTAAGTCTCTTTGTAGGTCACTCAGGACTTGCTTTATGAATCTGGGTGCTCCTGTATTGGGTGCATATATATTTAGGATAGTTAGCTCCTCTTGTTGAATTGATCCCTTTACCATTATGTAATGGCCTTCTTTGTCTCTTTTGATCTTTGTTGGTTTAAAGTCTGTTTTATCAGAGACTAGGATTGCAACCCCTGCCTTTTTTTGTTTTCCATTTGCTTGGTAGATCTTCCTCCATCCTTTTATTTTGAGCCTATGTGTGTCTCTGCATGTGAGATGGGTTTCCTGAATACAGCACACTGATGGGTCTTGAGTCTTTATCCAACTTGCCAGTCTGTGTCTTTTAATTGGAGCATTTAGTCCATTTACATTTAAAGTTAATATTGTTATGTGTGAATTTGATCCTGTCATGATGATGTTAGCTGATGATTTTGCTCGTTAGTTGATGCAGTTTCTTCCTAGTCTCGATGGTCTTTACATTTTGGCATGATTTTGCAGCGGCTGGTACCGGTTGTTCCTTTCCATGTTTAGCGCTTCCTTCAGGAGCTCTTTTAGGGCAGGCCTAGTGGTGACAAAATCTCTCGGCATTTGCTTGTCTGTAAAGTATTTTATTTCTCCTTCACTTATGAAGCTTAGTTTGGCTGGATATGAAACTCTGGGTTGAAAATTCTTTTCTTTAAGAATGTTGAATATTGGCCCCCACTCTCTTCTGGCTTGTAGGGTTTCTGCCGAGAGATCCGCTGTTAGTCTGATGGGCTTCCCTTTGAGGGTAACCCGACCTTTCTCTCTGGCTGCCCTTAACATTTTTTCCTTCATTTCAACTTTGGTGAATCTGACAATTATGTGTCTTGGAGTTGCTCTTCTCGAGGAGTATCTTTGTGGCGTTCTCTGTATTTCCTGAATCTGAACGTTGGCCTGCCTTGCTAGATTGGGGAAGTTCTCCTGGATAATATCCTGTAGAGTGTTTTCCAACTTGGTTCCATTCTCCGCATCACTTTCAGGTACACCAATCAGACGTAGATTTGGTCTCTTCACATAGTCCCATATTTCTTGGAGGCTTTGCTCATTTCTTTTTATTCTTTTTTCTCTAACCTTCCCTTCTTGCTTCATTTCATTCATTTCATCTTCCATTGCTGATACCCTTTCTTCCAGTTGATCACATCGGCTCCTGAGGCTTCTGCATTCTTCACGTAGTTCTCGAGCCTTGGTTTTCAGCTCCATCAGCTCCTTTAAGCACTTCTCTGTATTGGTTATTCTAGTTATACATTCTTCTAAATTTTTTTCAAAGTTTTCAACTTCTTTGCCTTTGGTTTGAATGTCCTCCCGTAGCTCAGAGTAATTTGATCGTCTGAAGCCTTCTTCTCTCAGCTCGTCAAAGTCATTCTCCATCCAGCTTTGTTCCGTTGCTGGTGAGGAACTGCGTTCCTTTGGAGGAGGAGGGGCGCTCTGCGTTTTAGAGTTTCCAGTTTTTCTGTTCTGTTTTTTCCCCATCTTTGTGGTTTTATCTACTTTTGGTCTTTGATGATGGTGATGTACAGATGGGTTTTCGGTGTGGATGTCCTTTCTGTTTGTTAGTTTTCCTTCTAACAGACAGGACCCTCACCTGCAGGTCTGTTGGAATACCCTGCCGTGTGAGGTGTCAGTGTGCCCCTGCTGGGGGGTGCCTCCCAGTTAGGCTGCTCGGGGGTCAGGGGTCAGGGACCCACTTGAGGAGGCAGTCTGCCCATTCTCAGATCTCCAGCTGCGTGCTAGGAGAACCACTGCTCTCTTCAAAGCTGTCAGACAGGGACATTTAAGTCTGCAGAGGTTACTGCTGCCTTTTTGTCTGTCTGTGCCCTGCCCCCAGAGGTGGAGCCTACAGAGGCAGGCAGGCCTCCTTGAGCTGTGGTGGGCTCCACCCAGTTCGAGCTTCCCGGCTGCTTTGTTTACCTAAGCAAGCCTGGGCAATGGCGGGCGCCCCTCCCCCAGCCTCGCTGCCGCCTTGCAGTTTGATCTCAGACTGCTGTGCTAGCAATCAGCGAGATTCCGGGGGCGTAGGACCCTCCGAGCCAGGTGTGGGATATAGTCTCGTGGTGCGCCGTTTTTTAAGCCAGTCTGAAAAGCGCAATATTCGGGTGGGAGTGACCCGATTTTCCAGGTGCGTCCGTCACCCCTTTCTTTGACTCGGAAAGGGAACTCCCTGACCCCTTGCGCTTCCCAGGTGAGGCAATGCCTCGCCCTGCTTTGGCTCACGCCCGGTGCGCGCACCCACTGGCCTGCGCCCACTGTCTGGCACTCCCTAGTGAGATGAACCCGGTACCTCAGATGGAAATGCAGAAATCACCCGTCTTCTGCGTCGCTCACGCTGGGAGCTGTAGACCGGAGCTGTTCCTATTCAGCCATCTTGGCTCTATTTCCGTGCCACATTTTCTTAAACCAGTCTATCATTGATGGACATTTGGGGTGGTTCCAAGTCTTTGCTATTGTGAATAGTGCTGCAATAAACATACATGTGTATGTGTCTTTATAGCAGCATGATTTATAATCCTTTGGCTATATACCCAGTAATGGGATGGCTGGGTCAAACGGTATTTCTAGTTCTAGATCCTTGAGGAATCGCCACGCTGTCTTCCACAATGGTTGAACTAGTTTACAGCCCCACCAACAGTGTAAAAGTGTTCCTATTTCTCCACATCTTGTCCAGCACCTGTTGTTTCCTGACTTTTTAATGATCACCATTCTCACTGGTGTGGGATGGTATCTCATTGTGGTTTTGATTTGCATTTCTCTGATGGCCAGTGATGATGAGCATTTTTTCATGTGTCTGTTGGCTGCATAAATGTCTTCTTTTGAGAAGTGTCTGTTCATATCCTTGGCCCACTTTTTGATGAAGTTGTTTGTTTTTTTCTTGTAAATTTGTTTGAGTTCTTTGTAGATTCTGGATATTAGCCCTTTGTCAGATGAGTAGGTTGCGAAAATTTTCTCCCATGTTGTAGGTTGCCTGTTCACTCTGATGGTAGTTTCTTTTGCTGTGCAGAAGCTCTTTAGTTTAATTAGATCCCATTTGTCAATTTTGGCTTTTGCTGCCATTGCTTTTGGTGTTTTAGACATGAAGTCCTTGCCCATGGCTATGTCCTGAATGGTAATAGCTAGGTTTTCTTCTAGAGTTTTTATGGTTTCAGGTCTAACATTTAAGTCTTTAATCCATCTTGAATTAATTTTTGTATAAGGTATAAGGAAGGGATCCAATTTTAGGTTTCTACCTATGGCTAGCCAGTTTTCCCAGCACCATTTATTAAATAGGGAATCCTTTCCCCATTTCTTGTTGTTGTCAGGTTTGTCAAAGATCAGATGGTTGTAGATGTGTGGTATTATTTCTGAGGGCTCTGTTCTGTTCCATTGGTCTATATCTCTGTTTTGGTACCAGTACCATGCTATTTTGGTTACTGTAGCCTTGTAGTATAGTTTGAAGTCAGGTAGCATGATGCCTCCAGCTTTGTTCTTTTGGCTTAGGATTGTCTTGGCAATGCAGGCTCTTTTTTGGTTCTATATGAACTTTAAAGTAGTTTTTTCCAATGCTGTTAAGAAAGTCATTGGTAGTTTTATGGGGATGGCATTGAATCTTTAAATTACCTTGGACAGTATGGCCATTTTCACAATATTGATTCTTCCTATCCATGAGCATGGAATGTTCTTCTATTTGTTTGTATCCTCTTTTATTTCGTTGAACAGTGGTTTGTAGTTCTCCTTGAAGAGATCCTTCACGTCCCTTGTAAGTTGGATTCCTAGGTATTTTATTCTCTTTGAAGCAGTTATGAATGGGAGTTCACTAATGATTTGGCTCTCTGTTTGTCTATTATTGGTGTATAAGAATGCTTGTGATTTTTGCACATTGATTTTTTTGTATCCTGAGACTTTGCTGAAGTTGCTTGTCAGCTTAAGGAGATTTTGGGCTGAGACTATGGGGTTTTCTAAATATACAATCATGGTGTTGACCCAAAATTTTAAATAGAGCTTCTTTTCCTTAACTAATTGCAAATCAGAAAATCTTAAAATCTCCTTAGGACCTGTAAGCCCCCACATCAAGATGTTCTATCCTTTTTACGTCAAACCAATATATAACCTTCATATATTAATTTATAATTGTTGCCTATAACTTCTGGTTTCCTGAAATTTACCCCTGCCTTTAAAAACTCTTAACCTGTGGCTAGGCGTGGTGGCTCATGCCTATAATCCCAGCACTTTGGGAGGCCAAGGCGGGCGGATCACGAGGTCAGGGGATCGAGATCATCCTGGCTAACACAGTGAAACCCTGTCTCTACTAAAAATACAAAAATTAGCTGGTGTGGTGGTGCACGTCTGTATTCCCAGCTACTCAGGAGGCTGACGCAGGAGAATCGCTTGAACCGGGGAGGTGGGGGTTGCAGTGAGCCGAAATCATGCCACTGCATTCCAGCCTGGGTGACAGAGTGAGACTCCATCTCAAAAACAAACAAGCAAACAAACAAAAACCCTTACTTGCAAGCCACTGGGGAGACAGGGTCTTAAGTGTGAGTTGCCTGATTCTCCTTGCTTGGTGCCCCGCAAATAAACATCCTTTGTCTGGCTACAAACCTTGGTATAGATTTTTGGCCTTACTGTGCCAGGCTAGTGGACCCCAGTTCGTTTCAATTACAACTGCTTCAAAAACAAATTAAAGACTTAATGAGCCCAGAATTTGAATGTAGATCTATGAGATTAAAATGTCACATGATTAAAAATATAAGAGCTGCATCTATTTATTTTCTACACAACACCAAGTCATGCCTGGATGTCAAAATCCATTTAATGGTGCTCAAGTTTTTGAAGCAGGTAATGCTTGTCTCTAATGCCCTCCCTCTCCCTTTAGTTCTTTCCCAGATCCACTGTGGCTGGGGTCCATGTTTCCCTGTCTTCCTAGAGTTCCCTTCTAGAACACTTATTTAGGACTGGTCCGACTCCAAATTCACACCTTCTCCAAAATTGGTCATTCTCTACCTCACCCTCCAACCAAAACCCCTTTCTCTCAGGATAAGCTAACGTAGTGGAAAGCTTATGTTCTCTGGAGCCCAAAAAGTATGGGGTGGAATCTCTTCTCCACCGCTGTGTGACCTTGATCAAGTTGGTTAACTTCTCTAAGCATCGGTTTACTGACTTGTAAAATAATAAAATTACCCATCCAGGTGCGGTGGCTCACGCCTGTAATCCCAGCATTTTGGGAGGCCGAGGAGGGAGAATCACGAGGTCAAGAGATCGAGACCATCCTGGCTAACCAACATGGTGAAATCCCTTCTCTACTAAAAATACAAAAATTAGCTGGGCATAGTGGCGCACAACTGTAGTCCCAGCTACTTGGGAGGCTGAGGCAGGAGAATTGCTTGAACCCAGAAGGCAGAGGTTGCAGTGAGCCGAGATCGCTCCACTGCACCCCAGCCCGGGTGACAGAGAGAGACTCCGTCTCAAAAAAAAAAAAAAAAAAATTACCCATGGGGTTGTTAAAAGGCATAGAAGCATTTATGCATCCTGCAGCTTTTAGCCACCTGCATCCAAGCTCTCTTTTGTATGATGATCACAAAGATGAATCAAAGTTCCAGACCCTGAATGGGGACCCAGTACATAAAAAAACCAGTGGTTGAGCCTCAGGGGTGGCCAAAGAGACAACCAGCTATCAGCCAGCCTTTTCCTCTTTTGTTTTGTTTTCAACAAAAAACAAGATTCATATGCCAATTGCCCACAACCACTTCCCAAAATCACCAAAGCAAAGTTGTCAAAACTATGCTCCTTCACTCCACACATTCCTTTCAGGCCATAGGTTGCCCTTTCATAACTGGGTATCCCTTTTCAGATCCCTTGAGATATTTGTTGAGACCTGATTTGGAGACAGGGGTACAGCAGATAAGAGAGTGGGAGCACACTGTAAAGTTTGCTTCATTTTTCAACCATTAGAAAAGGCTCTGCTTAGGCCGGGCGCGGTGGCTTACGCCTGTAATTCCAGCACTTTGGGAGGCCGAGGCGGGTGGATTGCCTGAGGTCGGGAGGGAGTTCTAGACCAGCCTGACCAACATGGAGAAACCTCGTCTCTACTAAAAAAAATACAAGGCTGGGCGCGGTGGCTCATGCCTGTAATCCCAGTACTTGGGAGGCCGAGGCGGGCGGATCACGAGGTCAGGAGATCGAGACCATCCTGGCTAACACGGTGAAACCCCATCTCTACTAAAAATACAAAAAAAAAAAAAAAAAAAAAATTAGCCGTGTGTGGTGGTGGGCGCCTGTAGTCCCAGCTGCTTGGGAGGCTGATGCAGGAGAATGGTGTGAACCCGGGAGGCAGAGCTTGCAGTGAGCCGAGATTGCGCCACTGCACTCCAGCCTGGGCGACAGAGTGAGACTCTGTCTCAAAAAACAAACAAAAAAATTAGCCCGTTGTGCTGGCGCATGCCTATAATCCCAGCTACTTGGGAGGCTGAGGCAGGAGAATCGCTTGAACCCGGGAGGCGGAGGTTGCAGTGAGCGAGATCACGCCATTGTACTCCAGCCTGGTCAACAAGAAGGAAACTCCATCTTAAAAAAAAAAAAAAAAAGTAGAAAAGGCTCTGCTTAGAATTAGCCACTCTGGGAGTTGGAGGAGAGCCTTCTTCTAAATTTCCACAGTTATTGGTGTTTCATAGCATGGTCATGGGCGAGCGGAAGTAGATCCAGGACTTCCTGGCTGGAGTTGAGTGTTGCATGAATTCAGCAGATTGTTCTGGGGGCCTTTCCATCTCGTTTGATATGTGACTTCTCTTGGCAGCCAGTCAGTGAGACAATGACGTTCTCTAGTGTCTGAGAGACAGATTTAAAACGGTACTTTGGGGAGGGGTGTGGTGGCTCATGCTTGTAATCCCAGCATTCTGGGAGGCCGAGGCAGGTGGATCACTTGAGGTCAGGAGTTTGAGACCAGCCTGGGCAACATGGCAAAACCCCATCTCAACTAAAAAAATAAAAAAATAAGCCAGGTGTGGTAGTACACACCTGTAATCCTAGCTACTTGGGAGACTGAGGCAGGAGAATCACTTGAATTCGGGAGGCAGGGGTTGCAGTGAGCCAAGATCATGCCACTGACTCCAGCCTGGGCAACAGAGAGAGACTCTGTCTCAATAAAATAAAATAAAGTAAAATAAAATGGTGCTTTGGGAAGCCTGGGGTTCCGATAATGATGGAGAAGGAATAGGAGAGCAGAGGGGCTTGAGGCCCTCTTCACTCCACTTCAGATCTGTCGGGTTGGCTTTGTTCGGTGTCATTTGTTATTCTGAAGGAAACTTCATTTGGAAAAAGAACAGAAAGCTTTGCTGCTAAACACACACACATACACACGCACACGTGTGCTTGCGCCAGCAAACCACTATCTTGGATATTCTGCTCAAGGAGAAGTTAAAGAGGAATCATGGGGAGAGGGAGCAGGTGGGCAGCAAACAGTAAGGCCTTATGTGTACTATAATACTGTATTACTAGTAACAGGTATTCCCAGTGAAGTTAAAAATATATGTGTTCAAGTGTGGTTGGTAGAACCTTTGGATGAGTGATTCTCAACCCTGGCTGCACATCGTAATCACCTAGGGGGTGTTAAGAAAATCCTAGTGCCTACGTTTCATCCCATAGTCTCAAGATACTTGGTTATTAACCCAGCTCTGGTTGCTAGTAATTAAAAACATATATCAATACAGTAGCAATAGAATAATTATATATTATATAAATACACATATAGAAGGACATAAAATAAACATACAAAAATTGTAGGGAAGTAGCATAATTACAGAGTTGAATTATTAAGAATGTCTATAAATAATGGCATCTTGGGATATCTTCTCAATTTTATGTTCTTCTTTGCTCATGAAGACACAAGATAAATGGCCATCAGCCTTCCTGGTGTTGTGTCAGATTAACAGAGATCATAAAACAAACATTTATAATTATGTCTATATTAACCAGAGAAATAATGACATACATTCATCTTCATGATCTATTACTGGCTGTTAGTTACAATAAAGAAAATTTTAAAGTGTTATCCTTCGGGTAAATTATCTGATGTTAAATACTTGCTCCAAAATGTGACTATAAGAGGGTATTGGTCATGGTATTGGAAAACACAAGGCCATAAATGTCCACTCTGTTGAATAATGTTGCAAGAAAGAATAAGCATTAAATAACTTCAGAAACCATTTATTGTAAATTTACTCCAAAGTGTGTTATTCTTCAAGATGACAAAATTTAATAGCCCACAACCAACTATAATATTAAAATCTATATTAGGGCCAGGCGCAGTGGCTCACACCTGTAATCCCAGCACTTTGGGAGGCTGAAGTGGGTGGATCACCTGAGTTCAGGAGTTTGAGACCAGCCTGGCCAACATGGCGAAACCCCGTTTCTACTAAAAGTACAAAAATTAGCCAGGTGTGGTGGTAGTCACCTGTAATCCCAGCCACTCAGGAGGCTGAGGCAGGAGAATCGCTTGAACCCGGGATACGGCAGTTGCAGTGAGCTAAGATCATGCCACTGCACTCCAGCCTGGGTGACAAGAGCAAGACTCCATCTCAAAGAAAACAAAAAGCCATATATTTTTTATATTATATATAATATATAAGACATAAGAGTAATAGAAATATAAGAGTAATTTTATAACATTAAAATAAAAAAATAGGAGCTTCTTTCTTTTCTTTTTTTTTTTTTTTTTTTGAGATGGAGTCTCACTCTGTTGCCCAGGCTGGAGTGCAATGGCATGGTCTCTGCAACCTCCACCTCCTGGGTACAAGCAACTCTCCTGCCTCTGCCTCTCTAGTAGCTGGGATTACAGGCACCCGCCACCAAGCCTGGCTAATTTTTTTTTGTATTTTTAGTAGAGATGAGGTTTCACCATGTTGGCCAGGCTGGTATTGAACTCCTGAGCTCATGATCCTCCCTCCTCAGACTCCCAAAGTCCTAGGATTACAGGTGTGAGCCACCGTGCTCAGCTGGAACTTCTTACTTTTCAAGCATTTGAAATGGATGTTTCCTAATTTCCTGCTTTTCAGCATTAGAAATGGTATGATGATAGAACCATAAAATAAATTGTCCTAAAAAGTCCACCAAAACCCCTGGATGTGAAACATGAAATATTTAGAACACACACTCTTCTGAGTTCATAGGGTAAAATTCTTTCCTCCTTGATGCAACTGCTTTGAAGGGAGCATTCTTTCCTTGGGAACCATGGCCTTTGTTGTTATGGATCAAATAGCTTTCCTGAAACTCCCTCTGTGGGTGCTGGTACCCCTTCATCATGGGAGCACGGTCTGTGAAAATGAAGAGCAGACTCCTTACCCCATACAGACTGTTTCATTTTGAGAGTAACACAGGTTAAGATGGGCACTTCTGGCCGGGCGCGGTGGCTCACGCCTGTAATCCCAGCACTCTGGGAGGCCAAGGCAGGCGGATCACGAGGTCAGGAGATCGAGACCATCCTGGCTAACACAGTGAAACCCCGTTTCTACTAAAAATACAAACAATTAGCCGGGCATGGTGGCGGGCGCCTGTAATCCCAGCTACTCGGGAAGCTGAGGCAGGAGAATGGCATGAACCCGGAAGGCAGAGCTTGCAGTGAGCCGAGATCCCACCACTGCACTCCAGTCTGGGTGACAGAGCTAGACTCTGTCTGAAAAAAAAAAAAAAAAAAAAATGGACACTTCTGAAATTTGAAAATAGTCTTCCAGATTCAAATGTGGACCATGTGCATCCCATTTGAAAAAGCCTCTAAGAAATGATGGTTGGGAGAGGGTGGCTATGGGGAGGCTGATGGAAGGTACTAGAGTGTTCTTGTCCTGGACAAGGTCATCCGTCTGTATTCTTAGGTCTAGAAAAGTTTTAGCCAAGAAGATTCAGGCAGAATTTTTCCATTCCTAGTGGTACTTAGTAAGGTCATTTATAAATGCAAATATCTATTTTGAGAAACAAATAAACGTTCCAAAATATTTCCCTCTTGTGCATCAAATAACATTTTCCATAGGGCAATAGGCAGGGGAAGAAATGAACATATTTTGAATACCTATTGTGGTCCACACACTATATAAATTATTTTTATATGTTTTATCTCCTTTAATCCTCCTTTAATGCCAGGTAAAAAATGTTATTCTGTGGATTACAAATTAAAGTTTCAGAGAAGCTAACTTACCCAAAGTCATCAATCAGAGGAATATTGATGCCAAGATTCAAATTATAGGCTGAATTCAAAGTTCACATTCTTTAATTTCACCAAACTGCTTTTTTTCTAAAAGGTATAAGGAACGAAACCACATGAAAACAAATGAATGACAGAATTGG
This sequence comes from Homo sapiens, assembly GCF_000001405.40. Lineage (NCBI taxonomy): Eukaryota > Metazoa > Chordata > Mammalia > Primates > Hominidae > Homo > Homo sapiens. Next base: position 23,027,801 of record NC_000007.14, on the reverse strand, counting down.
AGTTTGATGGAGGTTGGGGAGGGGGCTGCAGTATAGTGTAATGACTAAGTAAATGGACTTGGGAGTCAGACAGACCTGAGTCCCAGATTCTTCACTCAGCAGCCCACTGAGTTTGGGCAAGTTATATCCTTCACAGGAACTATTCTAAGTATTAAATGACAGAGTGATAAATAAAATCTTTGGCAGATACCATCACAAAGAAGATGAGAAAAAAATATTTGACAGAGCATGGCACATAGTAAGTGCATGATAAATGCTGGCTATAATTGTTTTCATTTTTAGAAATTTAAACACTCTGTTCCAACACTCTTATGAAATAAAAGCTGAGGTCCAGAGAGTCTAAGTGAATTTCTCAAAGACATAGGATGAACCACTGACATAACTAGAATTGGAATTCAGCTATTTTGTGTCCTGGCATATTCTCATTATCTTTCTAAGACATTGTGCTTCACAGGAGGATTTCAAGAGTTTTTGAGATAGTCATCTTTTTTTCTTTTCTTTCTTCCTTTTTGTTTTTTGAGACCAAGTTTCGCTCTTGTTGCACAGGCTGGAGTGCATTGGCGTGATCTCGGCTCACAGCAACCTCTGCCTCCCAGATTCAAGTGATTCTCCTGCCTCAGCCTTCCAGAGTAGCTGGGATTACAGGCATGAGCCACCTTGCCTAGCTAATTTTGTATTTTTAGTAGAGACAGTGTTTCTCCATGTTGATCAGGCTGGTCTCAAACTCCCAACCTTAGATGATCTGCCCACCTTGGCCTCCCAGAATGTTGGAATTACAGGTGTGAGCCACCGTGCCCAGCCGAGATAGTCAACTTAATGGCCATGTTTTGTGAACCACATGAAACAGAATATTTGAAACTAATACTATTCTTGAAAAATCCAGGATGTGAACACTGTTATGAGCTCAATAAACATAACTTCTCCTTCTTCCTTTCTAACAGAACCTCAATTTTCTCCATGTATCCTCTCCTTCCCCATCTCTAGAAGTAAATTCTGTTTAGCCTAAAACAGTAGTCCTCAGACTATACAATATATGGAGGACTTGTTAAAACTCAGATTGCTGGACCCCACCCTCAGCATTTCTGACTCTGTAGATGTTCATTTCTAACAGGTTTCCAGGTTCCCAGCAGCTTAAACTGCCGCTCTGAGGACCCTGTTTTGAGAATCACGGGTTTAGGACCATCAGTGGCAGCTCCCTGTTCTAGGGACAGGCAAGTGTAGTAAGTTGGCCCAGTCAGACTAAAGGCAAAGATTTATGTTCCTTGGTGGGAGGATTTCCTCTCTCCTGTTGTAGGTGAATAGTGAACAATATTGCTCCAGTCCTTGCAATTGGCCATCTTATCACCATGAGGAGAGAACTAGCTTCGGTCAAAAGCCAGCACCGTAGATGGAAGAGCAGAGAGATGGATAGAGCCCAAGTGTTTGATTACATCATTGAGCCAGTGAATCAGCTAAGCCGGAGGCTTGATCTTCCTCTGTACCTTCTGGTATGAGAGGTTGTGCAAATGTCCTAGTTTAAGCTAGATCAAATCAGAACTTCTGTTATTTTGGCCACACTTAACTACCTAAAGTCAGGTAAATTCCTAAGACAATAAAATGAAAACGTGTATTTGAAAATAAGAAATATTTTAACTTAATGCCAGCTTTTTTTCATCCAAATAGCTGGCAACTGTAGCTTTCTTTTTTTTTTTTTTTTTTTTTTTGAGACGGAGTCTCGCTCTGTGGCCCAGGCGGGAGTGCAGTGGCGCAATCTCGGCTCACTGCAAGCTCCGCCTCCCGGGTTCACGCCATTCTCCTGCCTCAGCCTCCCGAGTAGCTGGGACTACAGGCACCCGCCACCACGCCCGGCTAATTTTTTTGTATTTTTAGTAGAGACGGGGTTTCACCGTGTTAGCCAGGATGGCAACTGTAGCTTTCATTAATGAGATAATACACACTTAAATACGAATCTATTTCTGTGCTTTACCTCACAGAAAGTGCTTAATAAAAGCACAGCCCTATTCTTAGTGTTTTCTTGATTTACTGTGGGCAGGAAAAACAATTGTCTTTCAAAAGATTCACTGTGATTAGTGAGCAGTTGTCAGTGGGAAACATACTTCAGAATATTACTAAATTAGGAAACACTTGAAATTCTTAGACAAGATAAATTCATTTTATGTCAGTTGATCCACATAATCTTAACTATTGCCAGTTTTTTAGAGCCTCTATTCTGTTTTATAAATATAAGTAGGAGTAAATAAGTTAATCCAACTCCTTTATGTTATCATATTGTTACTGTAAATAGCTGCAACTATGGTAAGGATATTAAAAGGAAAAAAATGCTCAAATAACATACTAGGTCCTCCTCCTAACATCACAGAACTGGAATATATATATATATTTACCCAGTCCATTTCTTTCTCATAGAAACACGAGATTCATTGTTTATGACTGTAAGCAAACAACATTTTTGTCTACGATTCTGATACAATTCCATTTAAGGCTTCTCTGTGTAAAGGTCATTTTATTGTGGCATAAGTATTTGGTTCTCTTTCAGAAAATATATATTACCTGAGGACAGAGCTGATCTAAATCTTTAAGTCATTTGGAAGGGGACAAATAACAGTTTGAGCTTTTCTGTTTCCCCTACACCAAAGAACAGGGTGTGTAGTAGTAACAGCATTTGTTGCTACTTGGCTCTGCTTCAGATATTGTGCTAACTGGTTCAGGGTAACTTTTGTTTCATTCGATCATTAATTCATTCAACATATATTTTTGGAACACCTAACATTTGCCAGTCTGCTCTGTCAGAATGTTCTATAGAACATTTTCTGCTAGTATGTTCATCGGGGTGAAAAAGAAGAGCAGTCTAATTTTGGATTCCAGGGCAAGAGTCATATTGCCCAGGACATAGGAGATGAAGAAGATAGGAATCATGTTTCCCTCCTTTTTATTTCCCGAGTTTCTGCTCCCAGCATGATATACTGTGTTTCTCAAAGGGTATTCTTTGTAATTTCAACAAGATAATGATAATAGATGTTATTTTAAAAGTTGTCATGGCTAAAATTTTGAGGAAGAAACATGGGAGTTCAACCATTAAACAGGATTCTTGCTACAGAAGTTCTCAGTGCCTTTAATAAGCTTTGGGGAACTCCGAGAAGGAGGCACATTTTGCACTATTTCTCAAACTTATTTGACCATAACCTCTGCACCTACCGAGCCCCATGGGAGGGGCTTACAGTGTCAGGGCTTCATGGTACACACTTCAGGAAAGGGCTCATCCAAGCTATTTTTGCTTTTAAAAGTTTGTCATTTCTCCTTCCCCTTCTAAGCTCTTTCATGCTCTGAAATCTCAGGGTTTTATTCTCCACTACTGCAAACTCATCACCTTTCTGCCAACCTTTCACATCTTCAACATATCTAGTTGAACCTCATAGACATTTCTAGTCAGACCTCACAGACATTTCTAGTCACATTTGGGATATCTATAATAGACATTTAGCTATGATGCAGGAGATGCAGAGCAACAGAGTGAGGAGGAGAGAATCTCAGGTACCAGAGCAAGTGAGGATCTCAGGAGGAAACGAAGAATAACCAGGCCTCCTTTGTCACACTGGGTAACAACGGGTAACAACTTTGAACAAGCCCCCTATGCTCAATGAACAGAACATTTTACTTTCAGATCAGAGTTCAGTCCCTTCATTTTACAGATAAGAAAACTGAGAACACACATCTTACAAGAGCGATGTGAGCTTTCAGCTCAAGCCTGACTTCTGGTTCAAGGCTCTTTCCATTCTCTCACTCTGCATCTTTTATAATCTCTCTGGGTCTTCTCATTATCTTACTTCAGCCTCAAAATTCCACTTGCTCAGATCTCTGGTATCTCCTAGGCAAGGAAAAAGAGGGATGAAGATTTCCTCTGCAGGCACACATAGGCTGCCAACACTAGGCTATTCATCCGAATAAGGAAAACATTCTCAGTTTCTGCAAACACAAGGCGCAAATTGCACAGGAATAAAAGCAGGCTTATATTAAAGCCTGGCTATATCTCATTGGCTGAGCTGGATGGATCTGAAGAACTGGCTCACCAGGAGAGGTCAGCTTGATCCATCCAACTATGCCACAGGTATTCCGTGTGGCAATCTCAATAGGTGATGGAGGTGGCCAAAATTAGGTTCTACTAGGGTTAGTGGTGGCTTGGGCCACCTGAGGAATGTAGGGCACTTAAGGTTTCCATGCTTCAGGGCCAGCCTTGGGGAAACTGGGAATTGATTGACCTTTCTTTTAAGTGACCTCATACCCACACCTTCTTCCAAGGTTCCTTCTTCCCCTTCCATCTCTAAGCCCTGGCTTAGCCTGGAGCCACTCTCTTTCCTTTTGAATGAGGCTTCATTGAATGTGGTCCCACATTTCAGACTGTCCTTGGCCCTCTGCTCAGTTGAGGCTTAACTATCCTTTAGGGTTTCCCTTCCAGTGAGATTTCTGCAGGGGTTCTGATATCTAACTGTTCAGGGTGGCTACTTAGTGTGTAATGTGTTACCCTTCCCAAGTACTTGCCCCATTTTCTCACTCTTGGCTACTCTCTCCACATTTACAATGTCTCAGTGTGATAAATAGACCCTGTGATGGAATGTTCATATACTCCAGTCAGTCTGTAATGCAGGCAGCAAGGGAACACCCACCTAGCATCCCCTCTTGGTTAGGATGCACAGGAAGGCAATTCAGAGCCTCTTTTTCTAAAACAGAAGGAGCTTCCCATTGGCCGCTGTTGCGTCTTTGGACAAAACTCTGACAGATGGGATTTGAGGTTAAGTAAACCTGTCTTTGTCCCTCAACAATCATCATGTTACCAGAGGTTCATCCACATTTTCAGAGAAACTGTTTTTTCTATGAGTTATTCAGAGAAAGATCTTTCTGGGAGATTTTTATTTCATAGTATCATCAAACAACTGTTATAGTTCACTTTTCCCTTGTTTATGAGGACTAGTGTTATCTGTAGCAGTATTAAACATTATCCTATTTTATGGCTGATAGGTTAAATTATGTAGTTGTAGAAACTGTCATCAACTATTCTTAAGCCAGAAAGCTTGAAAATCCAGCTGGTTTTCATTCTCTACACTCAACCCCATTCCTGCCCTCTGCCCCCAGCCCTGCTGGGACATTCTCTTCCCGGAAGTGCTCTCTCCACAATGTCAGTGATAATATATCCTAGAGCGAAACCAGCAGGACTGACCAGAAACCACTTAGTCCAGAAAAAAACTCTCTCACCACCACCTTCAGGCCGGGCACATGGAGGCATCTAACGTATGTAGACTGACTCACGGTAGGGACTTAATAAATGGTTGTTGATTTTAAATCTCAATACAGCTGAGGAACGATTTGCAATGAAACAGACATGCAGAGTTGCTTTAAAATTGCAGAGCACGAAAAAATCTGTGTGAGTCATCAGGGAAATGCAAATTAAAGCCACAATGAGATAGCACTACACACCCACCAGAATAGCTAGAATTTAAAAGACTGATAATACAAATATTGGCAAGGATGTGGAGCAACTGGAACTCTCATATTCCACTGGTGGGTGTGTAAGTGATACAATTACTTTGGAAAGTCATTTGGCTGTATTATATAAAGGAGAGCATATGCCTACCTTCTTCCCAACAATACCCCTCCTGGATATATACCACAGAAGAGTATGTAGATGTGCACCAAGAGGCACGTACAAGAATACTCCAAACGGCATTCTTCGTAATAGTCTCAACTGAAAAGAACCCAAATATCCATCAGCTGTAGGACTGTCAAACAAATCATGGCATATTCATATAGTAGAATACCTAACAGTAATGAAAATGAACACACTACAATTCCAATAAGAAATATAGATGGACTTCACAAACACAAACTTGATAGAAAAAAACCAGACACACAAGCATATATCCCATATGATTCCACTTACATGAAATTTAGCAGGCATAGATGAACTAAACCATCATGAGTCAAAACAGATGTTGTCTTTGAGAATAAGAGACAGGGTGATGATTGGCAGGCGGTCCAAGGGAGCTTCTGGATTGCATCAATATTCTTTTTCTTGACCTGGTTGCAGTGTTTGCCTGTAAAAATCCACTGAACTAATCATATTTTTGTTGTCTCTACTTTCCTATATGTATATTATACTTCAATGTTTTTTTTACAAAAGTTCCAGTTGCAGAGCTTGTAGGACTGATCCAGGTCAACATAGTCTGCCCCCTTTGACCCTTTAGATTCATCTTATTTCCTTCAACAGTTGCTTTGATTCTTCTCAGCCTTGGTTGTGTCTTACTGTTCATGGTCCCCAGAGATTGAGTCCTCCCTGGATACTCTTCCAGGCTCAGATATCTACATTTCCTCCCACTGCCCTCCCCATTTTTTTCCCCTAAAGCCCCACACTTTCTTAGGGACCTAACCAATTAATCTTAGCTAAGTTGCTGATGACTAATGTGACTTCTCATCCTGGTGCAACTCAACTTTGAAAAACACCCTCAAGAGTGCTTTAAAGGTTAGTATCATGGTCCAACCCACAGGGGTAGAGGTTTTTTGGATGATGCCCTTTCAATGACAGGGTAGCTGGCCCTAGACATGTCTATGCTGAGGACTTGCTTCAGGTAAGCAGAGAAGATGAGAGAATAAGTGCTTTGCCTCTGCCAGCATAACAGGGGTTTTGATAATGGGATGGGTCACTTCCACATGGTGGTAGAGGAAATGGAAGCCACACTTGTTCTTATTGAACTTTGATGATGTACTCGCTTGCTGAATTTTTTTTTTTTTGGCATAAGTATCAGGGTGTGGTGCTGATGACTAAGTAAATGAGAACAGAATTGAAAAAATGGAAGTATTACTCATACATTGGACTCCCTTAGCACAGAGTTACAAACCAGCGAGAGTCAGCTGGCAAAACTTTTTGGGGGTATGCCTCTTTCTGGCATTTCATCCCTCCTCTTGCAGCTGGGCCGAGTTCCCAAACTCACCCTCCCTTCATCCAGTGCTTGTGCTTGTTGAATTCCTTTGTGGGAACCACTTAGCAAAGGAACCAAGGAAGTGTGTGCCTTGATTGCTGCCTCTGCTCTCTGGGTGAGGGGTTAACACATGGGAAATGATTTTGGAAAGATAAAAGGTGATACACAATGAAGTGTTAAACTGCATCTAATGAATGCAGCCAGTGGTCAGAAACGGGAGAAGTCACATTTTCCAATCCTTGGCCTGTATGCTTGGGGACAGGTGTGTAAACCTGAAAAAGATTCAAACCCAACCAATATAAGATGGAGGAGGAAAATGGCCATCTTTTCATGTGCTCCTTTAACCTGTCTTTTTGAAGGTCCTCCATTGGCCAAGCACTATACTATTGCAGGGGGTCCAAAGATGACAAAAAAAGTTCAACTTCTTCTGCGGGAGTCAGTTTATCATATTTACCTATGTATTTTCCCCATGTTATTTTCTGTTCGCTGGGCCACCATTTGTCAGAGAAAATCTGTATACAAGTTCATGCTTCTATACTAAATACTCATTAGCAAGGTCTTTTGCTTGTCAGCAATAACCAGAGCTTCTCTGTGGAATTTATGAGAACATTTTAAAGAATTTTGAATAATGCATTAGCTAAAAGTGAAAGGAAGAATGTTTAACTGAGGTTCACTTAGGCAGAATTAACAATAAGCAAGGCACAGTCTGCTGTGTCTTCATCTAAAGAAATAATGTACACTTCTGCTTTTTTTTTTTTTTTTTAAGACAGTATCTCACTCTGTTGCCAGGCTGGAGTGCAGTGGCACGATCTTGGCTCACTGCAACCTCTGCCTCCTGGGTTCAAGCGATTCTCCTGCCTCAGCCTCCTAGTAGCTGGGACTACAGGTGCCCGCCACCATGCCCGGCTAGCTTTTTGTACTTTTGTAGAGATGGGGTTTCACCATGTTGGCCAGGATGGTCTTGATTTCCTGACCTCTTGATCTGCCTGCCTCGGCCTCCCAAAGTGCTGGAATTACAGGTGTGAGCCACCGCGCCCGGCCACACTTCTGTTTTTTTGTTTTTTTTTTTTTTTTAATAAAACCAACACTTGTTTATTGTAGAACATTTGGTAATTTGAAAACATGTATGAAGAAGAAGATAAAATTCACTTATGATTTCTCCATGCTTATATGTTGCTGATATATCCTCCTGACATGAACACTTGCCAGATAGTGACCATGTCATATACTGTGCAGTTTGTAACCATCTGTTTCATCTAACATGATGAAAGAAATGTCTTTTTCCCATGTCATCAAATATTTTTCAAAAACATGATATATAAAAGCTGCATAATAATCCTCTCCTGACAGGAATTCTTCTAGAAGACATTGGTTAATAAAATGTCTTAGAAGATAAATGTGGATATTTTTCATTTCCAGTCATGTGAGGGTAGCAGTTAGTCATTATGTTTTCCACTCCTATCTATATGACCTACTCGTAAATATGAACCAGGTTGGTGCAGCTATTAAAAGACAAGAGAAAGGAGACGTTTTTCCCCTTAAAATATAACATTATAAAGTTTTAATTTATGTCTTGTTGTTTAAGATGTGAAGAATGTTTTCTTCTTTTGAGAGATGTTACTCCTAGAAAAACCAAAATTCTCTTCACAAAATGCAATTGGTCCAGCTTCTTTCACTGAATGCATGATTCTGGAAGTCTACGTATTGGTTTACACAGGGGTGAAAGACACAATGATTTACTTAGAATAGGTGATGGAGATGGGAATTTCGGGGACTCTGGGAACAGCTGCAGTTGGAACTCACAGATGTTGAATGCAAACACTGGGAACTGGAGCAATTCAGTGCAGCTGCAGGAAATGGATTATCTCATTGTCCTTTCCACAACAGGACCTCATTGATCCCCATCTTTGTTACCGTGACTCATTCCATTGTCTCTACTTCTGCCACTCCTTTGTTACCTATTACTTCACCATCCACTTTATACGTCTTGACGCTACCTAATGGCTTCAGTTTACTGAAAACGTGCCCTTTTTATAGCTTCTCAGGGCTTCTTTCTACTGACTGATTTTTTAGCTTCTGCTTCCACCACGTGATTTTCTCTTCCTATTTCCAGTTCAAATTCTTGAAAGAGAGTGGGTGTTCATGTCAGGTCACCTCTTGAGGTTGGCTGCCCTTGGGTTATACAGTTCATGAAGGGGGTTGTATGGTATAGATCATGGCTCAGGTTGCTGCCTCAGCTGGGTCCACTGGCTGGGGTAGTTCCCTTAAAAAGGGAATCTGATATAGCAAGCCCTTGAATGACCTCTCAGGCACACTCTTTTTGTTTTGACTTCATTTCTTTGATTTTCTTTTTTCTTAAAGAATGTTTAACATACCACAAAAGCAACATTTTGACATATTTTTCATGTTTTTTTAAACAAAATTCTTTTTAATTTAAAATAATCATGTTATCTATTTTAACCATTTTAACAACAGTTGTTGTCCAATTGACTTTAATAGAAATATATAATATTTGAACTAGGCCGGGCATGGTGGCTCATACCTATAATCATAGCACTGTGGGAGGCCAAAGTGGGCAGATCACTTGAGGCCAAGAGTTCGAGACCAGCCTGGCCAACATGGTGAAACCATGTTTCTACCAAAAAAATACAAAAATTAACCAGGCACGGTGGCACACACCTGTAGCCCCAGCAAGTCAGGAGGCTAAGGTACGAGAATCGCTTGAACCCAGGAGGTGGAGGTTGCAGTGAGCTAAGATGGTGCCACTGCACTCCAGCCTGGGTGACAGAATCAGACTCTGTCTCAAAAACAAAACGAAACAAAGAAAGGAAAAGAAAAAGAAAAAAAGAGAAAGATATTTGAACTAAATTTTTCTTAAAATTCCTGAAATTTAATGTCATAGGGAAAATGTTTATGTTTATAATGTTCAACTGGCACTTTTATACAGTTATTTGCAAGAAGATAAATGCATTTTAATAGTTACTTTAGAATTATGCGTGTGGATATCAGAGACTAGCAAAGATGAGCAGGAAAGATCTGGAATATGTTGACTTTTATAAAGTAGGTTAAAAGCATTTTCCTTTTGAAACAGAATGTTCTCTTAGGCATTTTTTCTGGTGCTTTGCGATTAAAATATAAACGGCTATGTGTAAAACTTAACTGCAGACTGTTATTGTTGGAAATTATTTTTATATGCACAAATTGTGATGGAAAGGAGAGTAGACTGGAAACATAAATTTGTGCTTTCGTTTTACTCTGACTTAGAGGGAAGACAACTTAAATTGCCTTCTATACTACCTTACCACTGCAAAATGGGAAGTGAAGTCAGGCAGTAAACTGCTTCCTGTCTTCTTGCAGGAAGGAAACAAATTATATATAAATATACATAGCCAAACTTCAGTTTCTCTCCACTCAATCTATCCTATGCACGGCACTGATTTGGCACTAGTAACATGTTATATTATTTCCCTTTTGTCAACCTTGGGTGTATATTAGAACCACTTGGGAAGCTTTTTTAAAAACCCAATGACTAGCCTCACACACCAATTTATTTATTTATTTACTGTGGGGTGCGGTTTGAGTACTGATAATTTTGAAAGGCATCCTAAGTGATTCTAATGAGCAGACAGGAAGCCACAAGGCAAAAGGAGAAAATCTGAACAACTGAGCTTGCCTTCAAGGTGTTCTATTATCTATCTGCAACCTAGCTTGCCAGGCTTGGCTGACTCAAGTTGCCTCCCATGCCCTCTGAACATTGCTTGTGCTTCCCCTCTTGTGTTATTTCTCCAGGCATTCTGGGAGTTACTTTCTCACCATTTTATCTGGTTCAAATTCCTCCCCAGTTTTCTAGACCCAGCCCATTTTGCCTTTTTCATGAAGCCTTCCCTGACTGCCCTTGACTGCAGTGCTTGCATCCTCCTCTGAAAACACAGCGGCTAATGCCTAGAAAATCATTTGAACAATGAATCGATTATGTACTGCCTTATGTAATCTCTCCACTGCTGCATTAAATAATTACTTTAATCTTTGCTTAACCTTTCATCTGTTTGTTATGCAGCTAACTATACTATAAGCAAGCTTCTAGCATTCATCTGTATCCTTGACAAGCCACGTGCCTTGTACAGTACAGGAAGTCAATAATATTTACCTGTCCCTTCCATCCTGACTTCCACAGGTTTGGTTCGAGATTCTCTCCTGGAATCTTGTCCTGGTCTTGGCTGGGCTTCCTGCCACCAGAAACTTTGGCTCTTCAAATCAGGTCAACACATTACTGGCACACATGGCCAATGGCCAGTAAAACTGATGGTGTGTGTGTGTGTGTGTGTGTGTGTGTGCATGCGCGTAGGTGTGCACTCTTTTGCCCACTCTTGTTTCTCTCTATCTTATGATCTGGCTGACTCGGTTTCTTTCCTTCCTTGGTCCCTCACTCTCCTACTCAATGGGACTTGACGGCAGAATTCAACGTCTCAGGTTTTGACTGCTTGTGTTCTCTAAGATGAATAACATGCTGCCTGGATCTTCCTCTCCCTATTTCTTTGAGTAAACACTTGTCCTGAACAGGCTCTGGCCAAGGGGACCTAAATTAAGTCAGTCTGATCTGTCAAGAATTTCCTCTCTACCCTGTTTTTTTTTCTTTGGATTCTCACCATTTAAAAGAAACCTGATTGCATTGTCCACATGATTAAAAGCTGTTGTCTGTCCCTCATTGCCTTAAGAAGAAAATCTAAACCTGAGCTATCCAATATGGGAGTTGTTAAAGTTAAAATTAAAAATTAATGCCAGACATGGTGGTTCACACCTGTAATCCCAGCACTTTGGGAGGCTGAGGTGGGTGGAGCACCTGAGGTCAGGAGTTCGAGACCAGCCTGGCCAACATGGTGAACCCCTGTCTCTACAAAAAATACAAAAATTAGCTGGGTGTGGTGGTGAGTTCATGTAACCCCAGCTACTCAGGAGGCTGAGGCAGGAGAATTGCTTGAACCTGGGAAGTGGAAGTGCAGTGAGGTAAGATCCCACCACTGTACTCCAGCCTGGGTGACAGAGGGAGACTCTGCCAAAAAAAAAAAAAATTAAAAATTGAGTTTCAGCCGTGTATGGTAGTTCATGTCTGTAATCCCAGCACTTTGGGAGGCTGAGGTGGGAGGATCACTTAAGCACTCTACCCCAGTTTGGGTGACAGAGTGAGACCTTGTCTCAAAAATAAATAAATAAATAAATAAATACATTGAGCTCTTCAGTCACACCACATTTCAAGTATTTGATAGCCACATGTGGCTAATGGCTACTATTTTGGACAACACAAATATAGAACATTTTCACCAGTGCAGAAAGCTCTGCTGGACAGTGCTTGTCTGAATATCTTAGTGTAGCTTGTGAGGTCTTTTACAATCTCACCTCAACCTTTTGCTCCAGCCCAATTTTTGGCCGTTCCTCATCATTTAACCCCATCTACCTTCTCAACATTCCACAATGGCTCTGTGCCCTTTCACAGCTCCATGCCTTTGAACATGGTGTTCTCCCTTTCTGAAATACCCTTTGACTTTCTTCTCTGGCAAACTCCCATTTACCTTTTAAGATCCAACTCAAACATTACCTTCCTTGTGGAGTTCGCTGACTTTCCTAAACAGTCATTTCTTGTCCTCTGTTTCCATTGCTCATTGAACCAATCTCTATTGTCCTTATCACTGTAGTTTGTTATTATTTACTCATTAATCTGATCCTCCCTTTGGAGGGGGATCCTATCTGTTTTAGCAATCTGCCCTAATAATTACCTGAAATTGTTTGCTTGATACCCTTTTGATATCAAGTAATATATCTTCTTATTTATGTGCTTGTTATTTATGAGTTCAGCATGTTTGAAAAGTTCACTTAGTGTTTCTGGAGAAATCCTGCCCATTTCTAGTGTAAAGCTAGAATGAACTTCCTGTCTTCTAGGGTGGAGGTCAGTTTTTCTTCTAATTAATCCTGACCAGTCTTGAGAAGGATGTGGTAGGAGAGGTTTACAAGGTCAAAAACAGCAGTACTGTCTGCAGGCGCAGGTTCAGGTGTTCTCGGGTTCCAGTTATTATACAAAACATTTAGTATATGTTCAGAGAAAAAGTAGGGAGGAATGATGGAAAAAATAAAAACAACCCCCATGGAAAGAAAACTGAGGCATCGTATTTGACTTTTTCCAGGCTAAGCCCAAAAGCAATGATGTAGTGAGGGGGAAGTTTGTATTTCCATTTTGCAAAAACGTAATTTTTTTTTCCTCCCGGGATTTGATAAGATTTTGATAAATTCTTGTGAATTTAATTACAGGGAAGTAAATCCTACTGACTAGTAAATTATCAATTTGTTTCTCTTTTCTCACAAAAGAGAAACAAATTGATACCCTTCACATCATCCGGTAAGGTTTATTTTTTTCTGAGAAGGCCATAAGCCCTAACGGCTCAGAATCTAAGAGACCTTCGCTGATTGTCATCGCCTAGCGGCCACCGCAAACCTTACAGTCAATCAACTTCCCTCGGACGCCCGGATCACGCCCATTGCTCAGACCACGCCCACTCAAGGCGCCTCATGGCTCCGCCCCAGGCCCAGCAGAAGAAGATTCTCATTGGTGGAGAAGTTGTTCTGATCCCGCCCCGGAGGACGGCGATAGGCTGAACTGGCGTGGGGCGGTGGTGGTTGGCTGCTTGAGGACGGGTCCCTGGTCGTGCCTGTCAGAGAGGCTGGCGGCAGTGGTGGCTCTCCCGGCTGGGTTGTCAGTCAGTGAGAGGAGGGGGAAGATGGCTCACCGGGACCCGTTCTGCTAGGAAGAAGGGGAGCAGGTGGTGCTGCTACTCGGGAGGAAGCAGAGCAGCCTCCGTCGCTGTCGCTGAGAGCCTCACGAGTCGAGGTCCTGCAGGTGGAGCTCCGGCAGCCGCCCTGGTGAGTCCAGCCGAGAGACCCACGCCGGGCCCCCAGGGCGTCCGGCAACGGATAACTTTTTTTTGTCAGGGAGGAGCCGGGGCGAGGCGGCGGCGAGGACAGGACCGGGACTTTGTCCCTGGGGCCGCGGCTCCACTGGGGGTAACGGCTCCCGCGCGAGGCGCCATGGGTGGGTGCGAGGCGGCGCGGGGCGCTGGGGGCGGCTGGCGGGCGGGTGGGCTGCGGCCGGCGCTGCTCGCCCCGAAGTTGGGCGCAGCCTGCCCGCTGCCTGGAGGGCGGCAGCTTTGTGCGCGCGACTCGGGTCTTTCCTTCCCGGCGAGGAGCAGTCCAGCCTCCTGCTGTGACCCGGGTGCCGCCGCCTCGGCCCCACCGGCCGCCCCTCTGCCGGGTGGGCCTGGGGCGGGAGCCCCCCGTCCCCTCCCTGCCGCGGCGGATGCTCTGGCCTCTGCCTCCTCTCCCACTCGCGCCCTCTACTTCGGCGAGGCCGCCACTGTCCGTCCGGTCTGGTGGCCACAATGGTCACTGTCGACCCCCCGCCCTCGCCCCCTGGAGAGCAGCGTTGGCCCGAGTCGGTCTTTGGTCCCCTGCAGGGCGGAGAGGTTCAGACAGCAGCCACGCTTCCTTCCTTGGTTATTTCGCTGAAGATCTCTTCTTGAGCCCTTGCCCCTTCTTTCTATGAGTTATTCCTCTCCTGAGGCTCATTTTAACATACTCGGGAATCCTCGGGGGTTTGGCTGAAAATGGTTGCATTAAAACACCCCCAAGTTTGTACGCTTCCCCGAAATTTGCTGTCTGCCCGTCAGCTTGCACATGTGTGCTTTGTGAGTTTAGACATTCCTGAAAGATTTTAATTTTGCCTAAGTGGTTTAGTACTGCACAGAATCTGCTCTCTGAGAAATACACTATCACAAGCCTGGCAGCCGCGGCGCTCTTCAGGTAGGGGGAATTTGTTCCACCGGCAGCTACTTCTTATCTCAGAGACTGCCCTACAGGCAGTAGGGCCAAGCTGACCTTTTGCAAATTATTTATCCTTGGATCACACAGTAGTTTTTGGAGCAGGTGGGCCACCTCTTTGGTTCATGTAACACTTTACAGTTTGAGGTTTTCAGCTTTCAAATCTTATTGCCATAAAGTCAGAAAGACTGGGAGGCTTGTTTTCCATGAAAACATTCTACTGCTAACATCCACAGGCACCCCACCTCCCCCGACATTTCCAAGTATTTTTTTTTCTTTAGGTGAATACATTTTAAGGTTTACAGGATGAATAGTAGTCTAAACCACCATATTTTTGAAGTGCAGGCAAAGACAAGGAAGGAAAAACATTTAAGATCTGCTTGGCCAATAGTGGCTTCAAAGTCAGCTATTCAAATAATCAGTTCAATCAAACCAAGTGGCAAGGGGGAAAAGCATCACATATTTAGGAAACAAATTCTGGATTTGGCTCGTTTATCCTTATTCGATTTATTGAAATTACCATGAGGGATTAGAAGGATTAGAAACCTTCTTAGTCATCGGCATTAGCAGTACCTGGATACAGACACCCGATAAGGCATTAGCTGGGTCAGCGTTTATCCTTGCTCTGCTTCCTTTCATTGTTGTATTTCTGTTTTATGAAATTTGCTCTGGGTTGTATTTTTTAGACTGGTGTCTTTGACGGTGAGTTTAAATATATGTACTGTTTTATTCAGCATCCTGTTGCCTAATATTTATTTTATAATGGATCTTAAGAAATTTTAAGAAATCTTAGTATTCAAGACCTATTTTGGGGTATCGTTTATATTTTATAAATGATTGAAATTATATCAAACATAAATTTATTTTTTCACTCTTCCAGGCTGAGTAGGTACTAGGGATACAGAAATGAATGTCATAGCTCTTGTCTTCAAGGAATTTACTATCTAACATACAAGATGTTAGTAACATTACAGTAAATTAACAATTATAATACTATGTAGTCAGTGGGAATAGAGATATGCCTAGTGTAGTAGGAGAGTTTAGAGTAGGAGATAGTTAACTTGCCTTGAGTGTAGGTGGAGTTGGGAGCACACAGCCAAGTTGTGAAGGATGATATGATTTTGCCAAGTGCAGGAGGTAAGTAACTTCCCAAGAGGAGGATATAGTAATTGAGAAGGCAAGGAGGCCTGAGAAACTGTGGCAATTTAGATAAGTCATTGACAATGACGAGTCAGTGTCAATTGACATTGGCAGTTGACAAAGTCAATAACATTGACATTGATATGGCTTGAATGCAGGGGTTAGTAGGAAATGGTGCCAGATGAAGATAGTGAGGGTGGTAGAGGGCCAGATCAGGGAATGGTATCCTTAGCTAAAGGGATTGGATTGAACGTGATAGATGAGAAGCCATTTATTGGATTTGTATTTTAGACCTTTACTGTGGCAGAGTGAGGGAAAAACTAACAAGTCCTAATCACCTATGAGAAGAAAGGAGGACTCAGGACTGTGAAGGTTTGACTTGGGGTTCTGTTGATGGAAATGAGGAACACAAAAATGGAAGGAAGATGATAAATTCTGTTTTGGCTATTTTGAATTTGAGGAAGCAGTGGAACTTCAGGCGAAGATATAGATAGATGTTTGTATCTGTGGATGTGAAAATCAGGATTAGAGAGATGATTGGGGGTTGAATTGAAGCTATATTGATTTAGTTGTGATGAAATGACTCAGGGAAAGCCTTTAGCCTGGTGAAAGTGGCAGCCAGAGAACAGACTCTCATAAATAGCAGAAGTAGGAAGAAGAATTGTCTGAAAGTTAGAGGAATAGTAGCTAGCAAGGTAGGAGGACCATCAGGAAAGATGCCAAGGGCGGGGAGATTTTCCAGTGGAGGAGGAACAGGTTAACAATTTTGAATGCTGTAAGGAGGTGTCAAGTTAGGAGAGGGCCCCAGTGACCACTGAATTTGTCAGGAGTCCATAGGTAACTTTAACAAGAACAGTTTTAACTGAGTGGTGGTTCAGAAACCAGGCTTCAGAAGATTGAGAAAGAATGGGTGTGATAAAGTAGACATGCTTAAGTGAGACTTTTCAAGAGAACTGAAATAAAGAAGGGAGAAAATGATAGCTATAGCTTTCATTGAGTAGTGGTTCTCAATCTTGGCTGTGCATTTACAATAATGTAATAATAATTTACAATAATCTCAGGAACTTTAAAGAATTTTGTTTTCCAGAGGGAATCCCTATACCAATTTGGTGTGGGGGGGTGTTGAACCCAGATATCAATATTTATTTCAACAGCTTTTCTATTGAAGTGTAATTGACATATAGTATACTACATATATTTAAAGTGTACAATTTGATATTTGACATATGTTTATACCTGCAAAACCATCACCATAATCAAAATAATATTCACCTCCAAAAGTTTCCTGTGTGCCTTTATAATCTTTTCCTCTTATCCCCAGGAAACCACTGTCTACTTTGTGTCATTATTGATTACTTGCATTGATACTTTTTTATAGTTTCTTAAGTAATTCCAGTGTGCAGCCATGGTTGAAAACCATTGCAGAGTGATATTGTTTGAGGGAATGTTATGTTTGTTTGTTTACATGCATAAGGAAAGAGTGAGTAGAGACAAGTAGGAAGAGATTCTTAAGCAATTCAGGAAATGAGATAATTATTGGAACTAAGACCCTGAGGAGATAGAAGTGAATGGAATTCAGAGCTTTGGCTAGTAAGAAAGGAAGACATTCCTGGAAGCAACATCTCTAAGAATATAATGTTAAAGACAGTATATTTCTTTGTTATCATCATCAAAGTTGGCATATAGTATCCAAATTGGTTCCCTGAAGTACTTCTGAAGTACTTTAAAAAATTAGAGAGCATCTTAATATTGTGAAAATGGATACCCCTCAGAACAATTCCTTAAATGGAGCCTGAGATCCCTGGCATCATCATGTAATGCTTTGTCATTTTTTGGAGGGGAGCAGATGGAATTAGCAGTTTGACTATTGCTTATTGTTGAGAGCCAAGTCCTGCCAGAGTCTTTTTGCCCTTCTCAGAGTTAGGCTGCATATCTGCACTAAGGAAAAAGAACATTTAACACTTGAAAATCTCCTATTTAAAGTATCTTTGCTCAGAAGAAATCTTGTTTGCTTGCCCTTTGGATATATGCCTTTTAAATACACTGGAGGATAAAATCATTCCTCTGTCTCCTAAATGAGACAGAGAAGAGTTGTGACTAGAAGTTCTCAAAGGCTCACATTTTCTATCTTGAGAAAAGTAATACCTATCCTCACCTCACCACCTTTTTTTTTCTTTTTAAAATTTCTGGCTCAGGATTTGGATATAGGAAAAATCTGAGTCCTGCTGGTTCTGAAGTCCAGGGCTTGTTCCTCAGCCTTGACTCTTGGCTTTCATAGGGGGCTGAAAACAGAATAGCTTATCCAAATATTATTTGGCATTGTAACTTGGTCATAAATAGAGAGGAAGTGAAAAGTTTTGTCTGATTGTCTTCTAGAGTTCTGAAAATTTCTTTCATTGTGATAAAGAATTAAAGTATGATTCTTTTCTAGAGAGGAAGGCATCCCTAATTTTGGTGCAGCCTAAAAGAGTGGAAATATCAATGTTAGCATGATATTGGTTATTATTATTGTCACAGCCTTATTGTAAACATTCTATAGTTTCTTAATTACTAATATAATAATCATTGTAGGAAATTTGAAAAATTCAGGAAAGCATAAATGGTAAATAACACTTATAATGTCTCCACCCAGAGATACTTATTTCCTTTATGAAATATCTATTAGTGTCCTTTGTCTATTATAATACTGGAGATTTTTAAAAACTAAGTTACGAGAGCTCTTTATGTATACAAACTATTAGGCTTTTGTCAAATTACATTGCAAATAATTTCCCTAGTTTGTCATTTTTATCTTAATTTTGTTTTTGATGTGAATTTTCTTTTTAAACAGATTGCTAACATTTTAATGTGTTTAAACCTATCAAATTTTTCTTTTATGATACCTCACTACTTAGAAAGGGCTTGCATTTCCAAATTATGTGACTATTCACCTCTGTTTCCTTATATTAATTTCACAGTTTTTAAAAAAATTTACATCTTTAGTCTATTTGCAGTGTATTTTAATGTAGAGTGATGGTTCAGTTATTTTAATGCTGTTTATTGAACAGTTATCGTCTTCAGAGGTTTTAAATACCAAATCATGTGTGTATACTCTGTCTGTCTATAGATATGGATATATGACTTTTTCTAGGTTTTTCTATTTAGTTTAATTGGGCTATTTCTTTTTGCTCTAGTAATTCCAAACTGTCTTAATTATTGTGAGTTTTTAATGTATTTCACTAAATGGTTTTGTGAATACTTATTATTGTCTTTGTCAAAACATTTTCAGTATTTCTCATGTATTTCTTTATTCATGTTACATTAAAGGCAGTTAGGATCCTAAAAGAACCTCACTGGAATATCTGAGTTAATTTTCTAGAGAAAGTTGTACTATCTCTATTAATACAATGTTATCATTTATTGAAGTCATCTTTTATGACTCAAAGATGTAGTTTTGAGTTTTCTTCATGTATTTTATAGTTTGTAGTTTTCTTCATGTGGGTTCTGCCCATTTTTCAAGTGGTATATTTGATATTTTAAAACTTATTGATTCTATTGGGAATGGAACTCTTAAAATTATTTTATAAAGAGGATTAAGTGTACCTGATGGAACATAGAAAGATGGCTAATTCTCGTATACTGTTTTCTAACTGGTCATTTTATGAAACTCTTAATTCTGATAGTTTTTATTGTGTTTTGTAGTAACTAAATTATAGCATGTGTAAAGCGCGTGAATGATTTTGTCTTCTTGCTAACACTTAATCCTTATTTCTTTTTCTTAGGACATTGATCAGAACTTCTAGAATAATATTAAGTTATAGCAGTGAACAGTGAGGATCCTTGGCTTATTTCTCATTTAAATGGAAATGCCTTTAGGGTTTCACAGTTGTGTGTTCAAAATTTTTATTTATGGTATGTTAAGGAAATAGTCTTCTATGCCTTTTCAGGGGGAACCAAGATAGATATTCAGTTTGATCACATGCCCTCTTAATGTACCTTGAGATGATCATATGGTTTTCCTTCTTTTACCTATTGGTTGATGAATTGTGTTAGATTTCCAAGTAGCTTTCATCAAACAGTTGCTGTTTTAGGGATAAAGGCAACTTGATAATAGCATATCTCTTTAAAATAGTGCTATATTTGATTTGCTATATGAGATTGATCTTTAGTATTCCTTTTGTATTACCTTTTTAAGGTTTTGATTTCTGAATATGCCAGCTTTGTAAAAAGAGAGACTGAGAGAGAAGCTTTCCATGTTTCCATTTTTGCATGTGCTCTGGCAATTAATCTCTTCCTTGGAAGATTTGAAATAGATTGGCTCTAAAAATGTCTAGGTCTTTTTGGACTGAATACAATTATAAAGATCTTAATATGTGCTTGTGTACTAAGTATTTTGCATAATTAATTTCATTTAGTCCCTATATAACTTTGTGAGGTGAAGATTATTATTTCTATTCTACAGATAAACTGAGACTCAGAGGTTAAGACAGTCGTCCACCATCAATAAAGTACACAAAGTTTAAACTCAATTTCTATCTGATGTAATAGCCCATGTTTTCTAATCAGTACCGTAATGTTTTTCTTAATTAGGACTCTTTCTTCACCCCATATTACTGAGAAGTAAATTTAATCATTTTATTTGAGCATCTTATTAAGTATTTTTCCTCTTTGCACACTTAGTTTTAATTTTTGGTAACCCTGTTATATTATCACTGTTCTGTTCTGTGTTGATGTGTCATCTTTTGCTATTTTAATAAATACTGTGATCTTGGAGTGAGGTGGGATAGGGTGGGGGAACTTAAAATTGTTGTTCATATAATGCACTTAATATAATTTACATTTTAATTCGTTGAGTGTTCAAGATCAATTTGCATTCCTGAATCTTGTTTGTACCTTGTAAGAATGTTATGTTAAGTGTACCACATACAAGAGATCAAAGAGTTTTGGAAACACAGTACTTTTCCATTTTAGTTTGAATTATTTTTGTTGTGAGCCTTGCATCAGGGTAGCTTTTTAGTAGTAATGTTAAGTGATATATGTTTGGTGTGCGTTTTCTTGAACAAAGAGTCTTTTCATAGTTGACAAACATTAGTTGCTTTCTCATATAAATACATAGAATTCAGTCATTTGTACTTGACTTAATGAAAACATAATATATGAGTTATTAAACTGTACCATGAAGATTAGGTTTTAGCTACTGGAATATTTATATTTACTATTATGTTGAGTGATGTATAGGCTTGGAAATTTAAGAGAATAATGTAAGCCTTAAAAGTGCTTAAATTGGCCGGGTGCGGTGGCTCATGCCTGTAATCCCAGCACTTTGGGAGGCCGAGGTGGGTGGATCACGAGGTCAAGAGATCGAGACCATCCTGGCTAACATGGTGAAACCCCATCTCTACTAAAAATACAAAATAATTAGCCAGGTGTGGTGGCAGGCGCCTGTAGTCGCAGCTACTTGGGAGGCTGAGGCGGGAGAATGGCATGAACCTGGGAGGCAGAGCTTGCAGTGAGCCAAGATTGTGCCACTGCACTCCAGCCTGGGCCACAGAGCGAGACTCCATCTCAAAGAAAAAAAAAAGTGCTTAAATTGGGAAAGCAGTCATAAACTCTATATTTATCTTTTTGAACTCTTCTGTTCCCTCCCTTTAAATATAAATTAACATTTAATTAATTCAGTTAGGGTTTTGGTTATAATCAGCACACCCAGACTGCACTCCCCATTCCCTTCCTATGGGGACAATCTGACCCTCTTAAACCTGCCAGACACATGCATGCTCTTTTGTTCTAAATTTCAAGGTTCCTGCTGATTTGTTAATCAGTATATGTCACAGTAGTGGACAAGGTGACAAATAGCCCCCGCAGCAGTGTACACATTAGTAGTTAAGAAAAGGGAGAGACTGTTTTGGAAAATCATGAAACTTCAAGTGAGTCCTGATAGGGAAATGGAGAGGAAGGTGAAAATATTATAGAAATGGATGGGGGAAGAAGGGAAGATAAAAATGTGTAAATCAAATAGATTGTTGGAGAAATATAGAAAATTGGAAGAATGGTTACATGGGTGGTAGAACCAGAATATTCAAGTCAGTGAGGTCAAGAAGTAGAGTTTCAGAAAGGAAGACTCTTGCTTCAGGTTACAGAAGAACAACCACCATAGAGAAAGAGCTGATAGAGTTGTCATTTATAAGGTCATGGAGAGTAGATGATGAGACCCAAATTTATACTGTAAAAGGGGTTAAGGAATAAATTGATGGTGAGCAGCTGGAAGTGCTGGTAGTAGATTAAGCTACTAAATCAGAAAGTTAATCAGTGAAGAGTAAATAAGGATGGAGTAACTAGGGCATTAGAATCTGATGAAGCCTTACTCCTGTGCCCCCTCTTTTCAGAACTATAAGATCATAAAATACATTCTCAATTGTCCAAATGATTAATATTTTGTTAGTGATACTTAGAGGTATCATTCATTGAGTACCTTTTGTTTGCCAGTGCTTTATTTGCATTATTTTTAATCCTTAAAACATCCCTAAAAGACAGATGTTATTATCTATCATTCACAGTTGAGGAAACTGGGACTTAGAAAGTTTAAGTAACTTGTTGAAAATTGGCCCGGGTTTTTTGGACTCCAGAGTCAGCATTCTTTTCATTATGCCATGTTGCTTCCTTTATTTATTGAGCTATATTAAAACACTGGGGGCTTATAAGAGGAATATAGGTGGGATTCCTCTGCTTGTAGAAAGTAGTAGAAGAGGCCGGGCGCCGTGGCTTTCACCTTTAATCCCAGCACTTTGGGAGGCCAAGGCGGGCGGATCGCGAGGTCAGGAGATCGAGACCATCCTGACTAACACGGTGAAACCCTGTCTCTACTAAAAATACAAAAAATTAGCCGGGCATGGTGGCACGTGCTTGTAGTCCCAGCTACTCAGGAGGCTGAGGCAGGAGAATCGCTTGAACCCGGGAGGCACTGGTTGCAGTGAGCCAAGATTGCACCATTGCACTCCAGCCTGAGCGACACAGTGAGACTCCCTCTCAAAAACAAAACGAAACAAAAAAAGCAGTAGAAGAGAAATCCTAATTATGCTTGCTGTAATTTGTGTTGACTATATTTTTATTTAAAATGTTTTTATAAAGGGAATCCTTCTAGTAAGCTTCCCTACTATACTTATAATATCTAATTTTTAACAATTGCTGTTATTTGGAGATGAGATTTTTTTTTTACCCATGATAATGATGGGTTGAGAGGAAAGGAAGGACAGGCCAAGAAAAAGCATGTAAAGAAAAATAAGACTAAAACTTTTTGTTTTCACTATGAGAACATCAAATATGTCATACAATTTTAGGTTGCACCTCAGAAAGGCCAGCCTCTTCATGGAAATCATATTGAGCTAGTCACAAGATGGTAATTAAAGCAGATGCTCTCCATGTCACCAGATTATAGAGCTCCAAAGAATTTATTGTAATACAGTGTGATTTACTGAATTTAGGTTTCATCAATCAGGAATTAGTTATTGGTGAAAGGGTCTAAGCAGATGTTTGGTTTTTCTATAATAAACCCTTTCTTCAAAAACAATGTGTAATTGAAAAAGAAATGCTTAAAATACTTTAGGGATTAAACAATCTTATAGGACTTTCAATTACTTTGGGAGGAACCAAGATAGAAATTTTTGCTCTGCTAATTTTAGCCTCACATTCAGCTACAAAACAACGTCTAGGTTACATTCTGCTATACTAGTATAAGACAGTATTATTGAAAACTTTATCTTAAAAATAATTTTATATTTCAGCCTCTGCTAAAACAAATTGACTCTTAGCCCAGTTAATATGAATCAGCATGGTCATACTGAACTATTTATTTCTGCTTTGGTTACTATAATGTTTTTAAACCAAGAAAAACAACTATATTCATAATATCCACATAGTTTCTGATTGGGGAGAATCAAATAGAATTTTGTACAGTCAAGATCTGTTGTTTTTATTATTATGGCCCTATTAGCACACATTACCACCATTAACTGTGTTTACTTACATTTTCTCATTGCACTTCCCTCTTTGCCCTACTATTTTCTGTTGAACATCTGAGCCTCTATTGGCAGACCTCATTAAAGGCTGAAAGTCTCATTCCAACATATTAAAGGGCAGCGACTCCCTCTAAGACATTAACTCCCAACTTAGTTGGAATTTGATTCTCTTAACATTTCTGTCTTTCTTTGTCCCCAACATTGTAAAAAGGAAAGCACTTAGAATGCAAAGAACTTTAAGGAATCAAAGTAGAGCTGTGCTTTGGAAACCATATTTCCATATGCTGTTATGTTTGGGAGAGAGGAAAGAGGGGTTATTGATAGCAAAATGATTGAAAGATAATGTTTACATTGGGCTTTCTTTTACATTCCTCCTCATTTTTTCTCATAGCATTTATTTATTTTATTTTATTGTTTATATTCTGATTTACCTTGATTTGTTTTAAAAGGACTTAAGGCACACTCATTTCTGCTGTTTTAGGTTTATTTGTCTCTCCTAATAGACTGTGAATCCCCTAAGTCAGCTATGTCGTATTCATTTTTGTAAATCTAGTATCTAGGACATAGTTGGCATTTAATAGTTTATGAATAAATGGATGATATTTAACCACCTTAATATAAGAAAAAAAAAGAGCCAGGCTGGTTGCTGAACCCTAGCTTACTGCAGCTTTAGTGGTATTATGGGCTGCATTGTGTCCCATCCAAAATTCATAAGTTGAAGGCCTAACCCCCAGTACCTCAGAATGTAGCATCATTTGGAAATAGGGTCTTTAGAGAGGCAGTTAAGTTAAAATGAGGTAATTAGGATGGGTCCTAATTCAGTATGATTGGTGTCCTTGTAAGAACAGGAAATTTGGATAGGCTGTATAGAAGGAGGACAATGTGAAGACATAGGGAGAAGACCGCCATCTATAAGCCATAGGGAGTGACCTGAAACTATTCTCTCAGAGCTCTAAAAAGGAACCAACCCTCCTGAATCTTGATCTTAGACTCCTAGCCTAGAGAACTGTGAGAAAATAAATTTCTGTTGTTTAAGCCACCCAGTCTGTGGTACTTTGTTACGGCAGCCCTAGCAAACAAATATAGGTGGCTTTTATACTTGGATGTAGCAAAATCTCAAATACCCTTAATTTGCCTGTTCCCAAGAAATAGTTTGCCAAGGCTAATGTCAAAGCCTCAAAAATTTATATACTTCCCCTAGGTAAAACATGGAAGAGAAAAATTTGGATAGCTTAATGAAGAAAGTAATAACTATTTGCCTCCTCCTTCACCTTTCCCAATACAGCCAATGGCAAGCAACTGGCTAATTCCTTAATTTAATTGAATTTGTTTAGTTTGGCAAGGAGAAAGTGTTTACAGGGTATTTGTGTTCCTAGGTGTTCAAGAGCCTCTCCCTGGTTGCTTCTTCATGGTAGAAAATGGAAGGGGAAGACTAAATAAAATACTTTTTAATATGATGTTGATTTGAGCTAATTGCTTGTGTATAATCTTAGTCACATTATTTTACTTGTGTTATAGTCAACAGGGGCAAAACAGTATATCTTTTACATGCCCATTGCTGTGGTAGTTGCTGTACCCTTTGATCATCAACTAGTCATACTGAGTTGCCACAGTGGTTTTTCAGCATTTTTCATTACATGCTGTAGCCGCAAACTATATGTATATATATATATATATATATATATATATATATATATATACAATTTTTACCATTATTTCTTCTTGACAATTTTAATTGAGTTGTATATCAAGTAGTGCTGTGTTCAGTCAATTTTTATAGTGCTTTGAGATGCTTTGTGAAGAGAAAATTTCAAACATATACAAAAGCAAAACATTTGCTCTTTCATCGTTTGGAGGCAGTTTTCCCAGAGTTCTGAAAGTAGGGTAAACTAAATTAGAGAACTGAACAAAGGTCTCAGCCCCAGAATTAAAAAAAAAAAATGTTTGCCATAAAGCAAAGGAAACCAAAACCAAACAGAAAACCTCTGACTTAGGGGCAAATAAGAATTTTGGTCTAATTTTGGCATTTCAACTTCAGTCACACCCATGTTTTTGGATCACTCTTGTTACCAGTATGTAGGCACTGTGGTAAATACCAGTTGATAGATTTTTCTCATCTTTTTTCTTTTCCTTCATTCCAACTGAGAAAAATACTGCAACCACATGCTAGCAAGTGGCAGAGCTGGGTCTAAGTAAATTGAATACTTTTTCTCCAGTACCCTACCATGTTCTTTTACTACCCTATAGTTCTCAACCTGGCTGCCAAACACAATCATCTGAATAATTTACTTTTCCCTAGCAATTTATTTTAAAATGAAAATATCCTACTTTTCAATTTAGAATGAAAATATTAGGAAGAAGAAAAGAGTAAACCAGAGTAAATTATTTATGAGACAAGGGAAAGGTTTTGAACTGTTTTAGGTGCCATGGGTAGGGATTGCTGATAGCATGGTGATTAGAATGGGGTCTTTGGAATTGGGCTGCATGGGTTCTAACCCTAACTTAACCACTTTGGTAGTGTGTGATCTTGGGCAAGTTACTTCTTTAAGTGTTAGCTTTCTTTTTTGTGAAATAGAGGTTATGTTAATTTACCAGCTAGGATGGCTATGAGAATTCAATTAAAATTCCAATAAATCGCTTAGCATAGTGCCAGAAACATAAGTGCTTGAGGAATGTTAGTCATTATCACAACATTATCTATGGACATCTACCATTGCTATGTATGACACATTTGGTCACATTGAGTGTTTTCCAGACCATATTCCCAATGATGCCAGTTGTGTATGGACAGCAAAGGATCCCATGGTCAAATACATTTAGGAAAATATTTCATTCCAAATGCTTTTCTTAGAGATTAATAATACAGATTTAGCATATTAAAGGCTCTGAAAAGTCCTTTGATAAAAAAAAAAAAAACTTCTTTAACTTTGTCAAGTAGTTAGTTAAATTTTCACAAGGAAAGCCTTTTTTTTCTGCTGTCCTCCGAGGTCTGTCTTCATGTGGCTTCTTATGCAGATGTCTATCCCTCAGCTCTTGTAGCATGGTGGTTGCCTTCTAAGAGGGATTATTCAAGAGGACAGGCCCTAGGTGGAAGCTCTTATTAAGTCTCTCCTTGCAGCACCTTGCTAAATTCCACTGGCAAAAACATGTCACTTTGCCAATTCCAGCATTGATGTGGAGGAGGACTATACAAAGGACTAAATAACAGGAGAGATCGTTTGTTGAAGGTCGTAAATATAATAGTAATAGTGTACCACATATTTTTAAAAAATGTCCATGATATATTAGGTGAAAAATAATCAAGTTTTGGTAGAATGTGATTGTATTTTTATGTTAAAATCAAAATATAAATGGACTATGTATACATGTATGTGTATATGTGTATATATACATATGTACATGTTTTGATAGAGCAGATATATTTTGTTTGGTTGAGCAGATATCTATATAGATATAGATAGGTACCTATCTATATAAATATATTATTTGGTTGATATCTTTTTCTTGGTTGAGGAGATATATTTTGTTTTGGTTTAGATATACTGCTCAATATTTTTAAGAGTAGAGAGTTTTCAGAACTGCTGATTATATAGCATATGTGTAGAAAAAAGTTTGAAATAATATAAAGTTAACAGTATTTTCTTTTGAAGAGTGGGATAGCAGCAGTGAGAAGGATGATTATTTATTTTAATTATGTGGAAAAGATTTAAGTGTGGCCATTTAAAAAAATCTCCCGTAAAGAAAAATATTAGCAGGGATGGGAGATCGGTTTTCTCCCTAGGTGTTGATAGTTTTTGTGTATGTTTTATTTTCTTTCTTGGTGGAATTTTTATAATCTTTTATAGTTGCATAGTGAGCAGAACCCTTGTTTTAAACTTTTCATTGTTGATTTTGTGTATTTCTGATAATTTTCTCATGATGGCCCTTGCAATTATTCGTCTAGAAAATGTAAGGTGCTACCTTGACTTATTTTCCTCTCGTCTATTCCCTGCTTTTCCTTTGCCATCTGGATTACAATTGCCTTGAGGACACAGATCATATTTTACTATTCTTTTGCTAATGGTGCAAACTAATAGAAACACTTTGCATTATACTCAGCAGGCAATCAAGGGCTTGCTGAATTATTAATGTTGCAATTTGAACATATACTAGTATTGACTTTTTGCATATACGACCTCCCATTCTATGTTTGTTTTTGCTACTTCTGTTTCTTTGCTCTTACTCTGACTCTGCCCAGCCTACTGTCTGGATAAATTATATGAACGGGCTGTCGACTTGACATCCTGTTCAGTGAATATGTAGAAAGCATTTCTAATCACCATGTTATTTAATATGCAATTGTGTGATAATCATGTTAATGAATGTGATTGAGGTAATTATTATAGTTCAGCACTTTTACACTGATCTCTTAAAATCTGTTAACATAAACTTTATCATTTGTATGTTAGTTATCAGGGCTTACTGAAGTTTGATTCACTGAGGTAATACTTGAATCACTTAGTATGTGCTGTAATTATATTTTGTAAAAGGTGGTGCAAACATTTTGGAAAGCTTTATTTCAGCAATAACTGCTCTTGTAGATTTTTACCCAATATTAAATGTAAAATAATTTGTTTGTGATATTTTTATATTTAGTGAAATACATAACATATTAATGGACTTTTAAGATTTCTTATAACATTCTAATAAGAGGTTTTCTAAGTCAAGATTATCTGCATCAATCAGTCTTTAAAATAATCAGATGATGCTGTTTTGGTTCACAGATGCAGTGCCAGTTCTCTCCTGGCAGCTTACCTTGCCAATGCATGCATTTCATTAATAAGAGCCCCAAGTTTTTCCTAGGTAGGGTGTAAAAGCTGAGGAGTGAAAGGAAGGTAGAGAAGAGAAGCATAGGCAAAGACATGGAGCCTGGAGTGGCATGGATTATTTTGGAGAATAGTGTTAAGTAAAATTTGGATAGGTAAATTATGACCATATTTTAGGGAAAGTTTGATGTAGAAGATTTGTGAGGTCTGATGTCATGGTGTGTTCAGGAGAAAAGAAGTTTCAGCAAGATTATATGGCAGCAACATGCATGGTGCACTGGAAAAGGGAAGAAATCAGGAGCCAGAAGGCTGTGTGATCAGCAGATGCAGAGGAAATAAGGGCCCAGACTCAGGGCGTTGCTGTGGAGATGGAGAGCAGATGGTAAATTTGACGGGCATTATAAAGGGTGAAATTTATTCTTCTATTCAATAAATATTTATTAGATACTTGCTGTATGTTACTTATGCTTATAGTATCTGGACTGAAATTTGCCTGTAGTTACTAATACAGTTTAAAACTTAAAAATTATGTTATATAATTTTTATTTGAAAAAAATTTTAAAAAATGTTGAACCACTGAGTCATGTGCTATGTTAATGTCAATAAGAAGTGCTCATCGTAGTGCCATAGTTCCCAGAGATCTCACCATTCTGTCTGCTCTTATCTAAAAGAAATCTAAATTGTTAATAAATTGTACATGATCTTAGTCAAGGCTATTTGAATGCTGGCTCAAAAAAGAGGGAGAATATTTGCAATAGAAATCCAAGAGCAGTAACTGTTGGCCTCAGAAGTTTCATAGCATTCTGTTTGCTGCATTCTTTTGGTCAACATGGTTATTAAAAAATAGTTCTTCCTAACTTCTCTTATTAGAGTCCAAATCAGATATCCTTTCCCTGGAAAAAATGTTCTTCTGAAGTCCTGGAGGATCTTGTCTATGACCATACCACCTTGAACGTGCCTGATCTTGTCTGAAGTCATGGAGGATCTGAGAAGAACAGGAAGATAGAAATGGGAAATGAGAAGAAAGAACTTCTTACCTTCTAATTGTTCTAGCTTTTCCAACAGAAACACACTGGGCTGGTTGCCACAGCACACTGATATCCCAACATGATCTTATTTGTCCTTGGGGTAGGCAAAAGATGGTTTAGCCAAAAACCATTTTATAGAGTAAAAACCTATGTTCTATTCTTGATAATCAGACACTTGTTTTGTGATTTTTGGGGAAAATAGGCCTAAGTAATAGGCCTTTGGAAAGACTTCCCAAACCTCTCTTACTATGAATTATATTACTTCTCCTGGTGCCTTGAGAGGCAGCTTTATTTACTTGATGACCTAGGTAGGCAGTGAGGCATCAACACTTCTTTTTAAGCAACAGCACATATACTGTCCTCCTTCACAATTGATTGGTCAGTTTCTAAGCAGCAAAATCCTAAAATTAAATTAATTTTATTCTGTAACATAATCTGAACATTTCTCTCCATTCTGTTTTCCTGAAATTCACCCAGGAATTCTTGATAATCTTCTGGTAGCGCTTAATTTAACTACAGCAATGGCCTCATTGCATAGGAGAGAAGTTTAAAATTTCGTGATGTGTCACAATCCATTTATAGAAATTTGGTTGCTCTATAAATTTATAGAAACTTAAGCTTCATAATGATATATAAAACAAATGGTTATAAAAAGTTTTATAGTAGTTTGTCGTTAGTGCTTAATGGTGAAGGGGATGATGTAAAAGATAGGAATAAGGAAATTTTTAGAGTTTTACAGTGAAAGTTACAAATACTT
Source organism: Homo sapiens (assembly GCF_000001405.40). Classification (NCBI taxonomy): domain Eukaryota; kingdom Metazoa; phylum Chordata; class Mammalia; order Primates; family Hominidae; genus Homo; species Homo sapiens. Next base: position 22,997,246 of record NC_000007.14, on the reverse strand, counting down.
TTAAAATATTCTTATAAAATAATTAAAATGTTATATGTCTCTGATGACAACACTAAAAGATAAATTTTGGTAATTGTTATTAATAACATAATGTGGGAATTGAAGAATAAGACATTTGACTTAGAAAGGTTTTATTGTACATTGAAAATATAAAAAATTAATGTTATACAGACTTATTGGGCTAGTGAAATACTACATAGACTCCTAGCAAGCCTTCTAATGTAATTTTAAATATTCTGCTCCGGAACATGTTTGGCAAAAATAGGAAGTTAGTTACACAGCAGGAAACATGTATTTTAATTGTCTCTTTTATCTTTGAGAAGAATAAAGTTTTTACAAATGCAAGTATATTTTGAATATTACTAGAGATGTCTAATTAGATTTATAAAGCTTGCAGAGTTATATAGTCAAGTCTTTGGCATAGATGTTAATAGGTTACATATTATATATGAAATGTGGGGGTGGGTTAGCAACTTGTAGAGAGCCTCTTGCTGCTTGCTGGTAGAGAGAAACAGTTTTTAAATCATTTTGTGGCCAGTTTGCTTTTTGTCCTATCTAAGCTTTACTGATACCTTTAGTCAGAACTGTTACTCATCTTGAAGCCCAGGGCTAATGGAAAGAATTTTTTTTTTTTTTTTTTTTTTTTTTTAACAATTGTACTGTACGTGGTAAGGACAAAGAAAAGCTTATGTCAGCTAGTAAACACTGTTGGCTTTTTAATTTTTTATTTCTTTAAATACTTATCCTACAATAGTACTCCAAACCTCACCATCACACAGTATACCCATGTAACAAACCTGCACATGTACCTCCTGAATCTAAAATAAAAGTTGAAATAAAAAAATTATCCTATACTTTATAGAATTCCATTATTCTCTTTCCTACATAATGCATTGATATTTCAGGATTCATTTTTAATGTTTGTATATTTTTGCTTCTTTTTTTTTTTTTTTTGAGACGGAGTCTCACTTTGTCATCCAGGCTGGAGTGCAGTGGTCTGATCCTGGCTCACTGAAACCTCTGCCTCCCGGGTTCAAGTGATTCTTCTATCTCAGCCTCCCAAGTACCTGGGATCACCTGCACATGCCACCATGCCTGGCTAATTTTTGTATTTTTAGTACAGAGGGGTTTCACTGTGTTGGCCAGTCTTTCTCAAACTCCTAACCTCAAGTGATCCTCCTGCCTCAGCCTCCCAAAGTGCTGGGATTACAGGCGTGAGCCACCGCACCCAGCCATACTTTCTCTTCTAAAGATATTCTTACTTTTATAGTTAAAAGGAACTTACCAGGGGCCAGGCACGGTGGCTCATGTCTGTAATCATTTTGAATGGTACTTGATATTCACATGACGTCGTGTTGATGTTAGCTTAGATCAAGGCAGTGCTTGCCCGGTTTCACCACTATACAGTTACTCTTTTCCTCTTTCCGTACTCTCTTTTTTTGCAAGTGAATAGCTATGTCCAGTGCACTCTCAATGGGGGAGCAAGGACTAAGCTCTACCTCCTGGAAGAGATAGTGTCTACATCTGTTACTGGGAATTCTTCCGTAAGGAAACTTTATCTCCTATTCTCTTATTTATTTAATCATTTATTTATATGAGTATGGCCTCATGTATGTTTATTTTATACTTTGGGTTATAATGCAGTACTACATTACTTGTTCTGTTGCTTGGATTGTTCCAGCTTTGGCCATTGGGTGTTCTTTCAGGTTGGCTTAATATTTAAGAGTATAAAGAGTCCCTAACCCAAATGTTTGAAAACAGGTGGTCTAGGCTATGATCATAGACTTTGATCGTAGGATTGAGTAGCTGAGGCAGATAGGAAGAAAATATTGTAGGAGGAGAATTCTAGGAATTAAGACTTCTAGGAATTTAGACTTCAGGTAAGAAAAAAAATCACCAAGATTTAAGCAGGAGTTGTTTGAAAGCATGACAGTGAGCTAGGAGCTAAGATCATCCAGAAATGAAGGGGAGGGACCGAGCAGGGCAAGGGCGTGGGGTGGATTGATTGATAGATGATGGTGATAGAGTTTCAAAGCAGCTTTGGGTGGATGGTTGAAGGAGGAAGAGAATGATCTTGAGTGGTAATAAGAAGAAAGGAGAACACCTACTTTACCTCTAAGCCCAGTGGTTTGTTTCAGGGATGTGTGAGGAAATGCAATCACTATTTGGTAAGCTTGCATGCAGGGAAACTAGTGTCTCATGAAAAGAAGAAAGCAACATTTGAAGAACTGTTGAAGATGTAGAGGATTTTGCTGGTAATAGACTGTAAATTCCAGAGGACCCATGGAAGTATATCGTCCTTCCAGAATTAGGATGGGATGGGAGATGGGAGCAAAACAGAAGATGTACAAAGAGTTATGATGACTAGTGTGTGAGATGAGTGTCATCTAGGTGTCTGTAGCTTCTTGTGGTGCTGGACATAAACAGAGATGAAGGGAATAAAGACTTTAGTCCTGGTGGACCTAAAGCAGACAGTGGTGGTGAGACTGTGAAAGTTTCAGGATAGGGAGGCATGTCATAGACTCCCTTTTGAGTTCTGCAGGAGACAGAGAAGTTTGGGGAGGAACAATTTTATTCTGAGCTTGCATGCGTGCTAAACAAGTGAGTGTCCATGTGAGCTCAGCTATACAATGAGGGCTCCCATTTGATCTCTATCAAGTGGAAGATAAGAGACCCAGGGCTGACTGGTGTTACTAATGTATAATATACATACAGAAAAATGTACAGTTTATGAAATGTTTAGCTTGGCAAATTTTCACCAAATGTATACACTTGAGTAACCAGCACCTAGATCAAGAAACAGACTGTTATCAGAACCGACAAGATAGGCCCCTCAAGAGCAGCCACTATCCCAACTTCTAACACAAATGGATTCGTTTTATCTGTTCTTGAAATTTACATAAATGTAATTATATAGTATGTACTCTGTTTTCCTGCATTCTTTTATCCAACACTGTAACACAGATATAGTTTATTCATTAAAAGTTATATTTTGTTGTATAGAATTTCAGATATTGTACAGTATACTGTAATTTATTCGTTCAACTACTGATGGACATTTGGTTTGTTTCTAGTTTTTGACTATTAAAAAATACCTGCTGTAGCCAAGCATGTGGTACACTCCTGTAGTCTCAGCTACTTGAGAGGCTGAGGTGGGAGGACCCCTTGAGCCCAGGAATTTGAGGCTACAGTGAGCTGTGGTAGCGCCATTACACTCTAGCCCGGGTAACAGAGTGAGACTCTGTCTCTAAAAACAAAACAAAAACAAAAGCCTATTGCTCAGATGAACATTTTCTGAACATAGCTTTCAGAGAACATATGTCCTCATTTCTGTTGAGTATTAACATGGGTAGAATTTCTGGGTTCGTAGAGTATATGTATATATCCTCAAGTTTAGAGGATATTGCTAAAGAGTTTTCCAAGATATTGTACCAATTTGCATTCACATTAGCTGTGTCTGAATATTGATTGCTCCATATCTTTTTCAACACTTGGTGTGATCTTTCATTTTAGCTACACATGCGTACGTGTGTGTGTGTATGTGTGTGTGTGTGTGTGTGTTTGTATGGTGTATTTCACTGTGGGTTTTAACTGACATTTCCCTGATGACTAACAAAGTTGAGCACGTTTCATGTGCTAAGTTTCCATTTGAGTAAGTGATGGTCTTGATTTCCTATAGGATTGTCTACCTTTTTTCTTAATAATTTATGAGTTCCTTATATATTCTGGATATGAGACTTTTGCCATGTATATGAATTGCAGATATCATCTGCCACCCTATGGCTTTGCCTTTTCATTCTCCTAGTGGTATCTTTTGGTGAGTAGAAATTCTTACTTTCAAGGAAGTCCAGTTTATCCTTTTCCCCTCCTTGTGATTAGTGCTTTTGTGCCTCTTGTTTAAGAAACCTTTGCCTAGCCTAAGATTATGAAAGTACTCTCTTGCATTTTCTTCTAAAAGCCTTATGGTTTACTGTTCACAATTAGATCTGTGGTCCAACTGAAACTGTTTTTATTTTTGCATACAGCATGATCTCTAGGGTCATGGTTCTTTTTGTCCTCCCCATGTAGCTATCCAAATAACCTAGCCCCATTTATTATAAAGAGCATCCTTTCCTCACTGAATTTCAGTGTCATTTTTGTCATAAATCAGGTGACCATATATGTGTGGGTCTGTTTCTGGCCACTCTATTCTGTTCCATTGGTTGTTTTCTATTCTTCTGACAGTGCCACCACTGGCTTAATTACTATAGTTTTTGGTAAGTTTTATACTAAGCTTTGCTGTTGGAAGTCCAGGTCCCACAGTTCTGTTGTTCTTCAAGACAGCCCTTGACTGTTCTTGGTTCCTTGTATATTCCTCTTGATTTCTTTTAATTTTTGAAAAATTAACCTTAATTTTAACTGGAGAGTTATTTTGAATTTTTGTAAAAATTTTACCTCCCCATTTCTATGTAACTTGATGTAGTGTGGTTCCATTTGTGATAACTTTCTGTCCTAATTTATTAAACAATGGAATTCATACAAAAGAAAACTTTTGTGCATTTATATTGGCTTTGCTTTACAAATATACATAACAACATAAAAAAAGTAGATACAGGCAGACAGAAAATAACAGTAAGACAAAGAGAATTGGTTATGAAACTCACAGTATTCATAATATAAAAACAAACAAGTTACTCCAAAGGAGAGATTTTCCTAGTACTGAAAACTTAAGATGTGAATTTTCTAGACTCTGTTGGCTTTTAAGGAGGATAAATGTCATCTAGCAGTGCTTTGGTAACATTTTGGACATAATTTCAAAGCCCAGTTTCTCCAAACAGACAGTTCTATAAAATCAATAATACAGTACATATATGTGGTTTTCTGTTAGTCTGACTTGATCCAAGGAGAAATATTTTTTATTTTAAAAATAAAATGCGTATTACCCAAGTAATCTTTTATGAGTGAATGAATGAATGAATGACCAAAAAATGTTTTAATCATGTTTTTTTATGAGAATTAGACAGCAGGAACCTTAGAATGTATTCTTTGACAAGAACCTGCGTTGTTCATTAAGGCATATCTGGATACTTTCGTAGACAGCTGAGCAGAGTTTATAAGAATTAATAATAATAATAATATTGCATAGTGATAATAGTTTGTTGCCAGGAATGGAAATAACTGCTTTTATTTGCATTTTAAAATGTACTCCTCACAATAACTCCTTGCAAATAGGTACTGTCATTATCCCTATTTTGCAGATTAAAAAAAAGTAAGGCAAATATATCTTACCCAAGTAAGTAATAGAATCAGAATTCATTTCTGGCTACTCTACCTAAGTTTCTACTACCTTATAATGCTGATGAAAATTAAGTAGCTTAATGAAGGATTTGTGACTGAATTTGGAAGTTAGGAAATTCAGATAGAGCTCAAGTTTTCCGTCAGGAAATAGTTTCCAAGTCTACTCCCATACAAATGGATAGGTAAAGAAAAATACGTTGTATTTTGACAAACATTTTGCTTGAGATAAAACTGTTCTGCATTTCCTTTAGCTTACTTCTTTAAATTTATACTTAAGTAAATCCCAGTCTTCTGCATCACTGTTGTCAAATATGGTCATTTTGAATATTGTCACTTTTACTTTTTAAAAAATGAACATTACACTTTCAAGAAACCACATGGCTTGCCTAGTTACTGTTGTAAAGAACTGAAATATAAGCAAATTAAATTACTTTAATGCTTTCTATAAAGTCAATTTTGGATGCGTGTCTTCTTATATTTTCACAATTTTGAAATATTTTCTGCTTTCTTTTAAGATAAATGATCTTTTTGAAATTATTTTATTGAAACTAGGGAAAAATGTCCAATATGTTTTGCAGCTGGCATTCCTGAAAACTAAATGAAAATTGGAGAGCCAATTTCATCATGTTATGATATTTATACTTTTGTCAAAATTCTTGCATTTTAAGGCTTGTTTGTGCACATTGGTTTTGAAATGAATTTAGTAATTTATGTTTGAAACTCATTTCACAAATATGAAGTAAAAACTTTATAGGATTATCTCTGTTCATAGTAATCTGACTAAATAAAATATATTCAAAACGTTAACATTTTTCTATGTTAATTTTCAGGTTGAAGGTTTAGAACAGATGTGGAAAAATGTTTACTTCAGAGAAAGGGGTTGTGGAGGAATGGTTGTCAGAGTTTAAGGTAATATTTACTGTTCTACTATAGTAATTATATTCCAAGGAAGTTTTGTCTGGCGTTTAAATTCCAGTGATTTTTGTATTTTATATGACTGAAAGGCTAAATATCTGTGGAAGTATTTTCTATCAAATCTCAATAGAGAGTTATTTACACATAGTAATCTTTTCTAGGAAATTGATTCCTTTTTTCCCCCAAGTGGTTCAAAGAGTTTATTCATTTGTTTATTTTCTTTCTTTCATGGCAATACCACAAAGTAGTTAAAGTCTCTGAATGTTGATGTCATTCTCCAGCGACCATCAGTGATTCATTGTCAAAATGTTTCTTCCAGTTTGGAGGGCAGTGGAACTGGGGTGACCAACAATGAGGAGAGGATGGGAAGATATTTGCTCAACTTTATACCAGTGAATCTTTCTCTAGTTGGCTAACCCAGTGGCTATATAAGGGGTGTATGACCTTTGATTAGTTAATGAAGAAAATAAAACATATTTTCTTGTCTCATGAGCTTTTCTCTAGGATAGCTAAAATAGTATTTCTTTAATCAGCTAATTACTTTTCTCTGTCCTTATGTGACACATAATTATGTGCACTTGCATGATCATGAACCACAGGAATGAAGAGTTTGGGCTGCAACTATCAGTTTGATTTTGTCCAGCCCAGTCAGCCCAAGACCTATAAGGACAAAGTTACAGTCTGACAAAGTCAGGCTTATTGGCTTGTTGCATTGAGAGAGATTGCCCAACAGACACCATGGGACCATCTCACCAAACCAAAGAAAAGATAAAATTATAGTAATTTGGAGGAAGGGTAGAGTTTAGGTGAAATTTAAATGAAACGGTATTCTGGTAGACTCAAAACAAAGCAGGGCTATTTATAATGGGGTGAACATCTGGTCTGGCCTTCAAAGTAGACCCAGGATCTTGTTGTCTTGAAAACTACAAAGTTAATGTAGATTTGAAATGTTATGTTCAGAAACTCCATATTTATATCTCTGCACCTGGGTTGAAAATCAAGGCTGCTTCTCTATGTCAAAGTGACTTCGATGCTCTAGGCAAGAGTGGGATGTTTTGTTCTTACTGATACATGTTCAACAACAAACTTTTTTATAATCTGTGATTTTAGATAACAAGTCATCTTAGTAAGTAAGAACTTAGTAGTCACTCAAAGAAGGAGATTGTTATGACATTTTTCAGTTGCAGTGTGTATTTAGGAAAAGCACCGTTTCCTGTTAATTTTAATAGCTGGCCTTATCTGTCTCTTTTATCTAATCCTGATGAATAGCTGGGCAGACTTTTACTTTCTCAGCTTTTATAGCCATGAATTGAGCATCCTTCTATGGATTCCCCAAGTCATCATGAAGTGACATTAGAATGTTACAGAAGTGCTTTCTACATATTTTAATAACTTGTGGCCAGATGAGGTGGCTTATGCCTGTAATCCCAGCACTTTGAGAGGCAGAGATGGAAGGATTGCTTCAGGCCAGGAGTTTAAGACCAGCCTAGGCAACACAGCAAGACCCCCTCTCTCCAAAAAAAAAAAATAAATAAATAAATTAGCTGGGCGTGTTGGTGCATGCCTGTAGCCCCAGCTACTTGGGAGGCTGAGTTGGGAGGAACACTTGAGCCCAGGAATTCAAAGTTGCAGTGAGCTATGGTGGCACCACTGCTGTCCAGTCTGGTGACAGAATGAGACTTTTGTCTCTGAAAGAAAACAAAACAAAACAAAAAACTTTGATTAAATCTTGTGTGTGTGTGTGTGTGTGTGTGTGTGTGTGTGTGTGTTTCCTGCTTGTGTTATCTTTGTGATTAAAATAGTCTGTTATCACGGCTTTTTTTTGGCAGATTGATGGAAATAGTCAAGTTTAACAGTTGAATGCTATTTCTTCTAGGGCATTCTTATGTTAATGATGAAGTAAAATATGCAAAAGCAAATGTCGACAGCTATCCATTCTTTAAGATGGGAGTTGTGGAAAGAGAGCATGTTAAAGGGTGGGTTGTAGGGGTGAGATCAGCTAGTAAGGTAAAAAATGGAAAACCATGACTGATCTCCTTCCCTTTCCATCTGTTTGTTTATTCCCTTCCCCTCCTGGTTTGGATATATAGACACCTAGGAAGTGCAGTACCGAGGAGTGAGGGGCAGAGCAGCGGTTAACAGCAGTAGTGTCTGAGGAAGTAGGTGGTTGGGGTGAAGGGCTGCAGAGGTGGCGTGTAGAAGAATAGCCAGAGTAGTTACATTGGTAGATTGGTTACATTGAGCAAATAAGTTGATTGAAGAAATAAGTAAATATTTTGAGGATAATGGGAGTTAGATTTCTATCTGTCTGAAAAAGGAATTACAATCATGGAACAGCGAAAGCCAAGAAAGAACTCTAAGGTGTTGTGTTGGAATCATTATGAACTCATGGGTTCTAAGTATGCATATGATACATATGTGTGTATGTATCTGTACATGTATGCATGCATATATCTCCTAGCTTTGTTCACTGGGAGGACCTAGAAACAATGGCACCCTGGTCGCAGTGAGTACACTAAGCTCCCAGATCTTGTTTTCCAAATACCATCTTCCACTACAAGAAACCAGAGTATGAATAAATAGGAAATATTATTTAAGTAATATTTTATCAATATAACATATTATGTGGGTAACAATATTTTATTAACATTTTTCATAAATTTAATGCAAGCATAGGGAAACTTTTCCTTTAGGAGGAGAGAGTGAATCATGGCCTGCAGGAAATAAAATGTAGTTTAAGTAGTTTCTCCTGCCCAACCCCAAGATTAACTTTACCCAATTTTGAATCAATTTGATATTCAAATGTTTTAAATTATCTTCAAATCTGTATTATAGCCAGTTCAAGGAGGGATATTTCCCATTCCTTGGTTAATTTGGTAGGCATTCCTGATAATTATTTGGAGTGTTATTCTAAATTGGGTTAATGTGTGTTGTATTCAGCTCTATGTTTGACAAAGAGAAGAAGGTTATCAGGCAAAATCAGCAGCATACCAGAGGTAATAGAATATAGAAAAGTGCTTGGGAACATGTCTGCTAAGTACTTTTAAAATTAGAGTAACGTATCTCTTGAAATCTCTGGTGTTAAATTACATATTTTTGTTAAAATATTTAAGAAAGGTTTTGGTTACATACATATTTCTAGAAAAGCTTCTGCTTGATTGTTTTATTTAATAACCATGATGCTAATAAGGCCAAGTCATCATGATTGAGTAAGTGAACTGAAAGAAACCCTTTGACTTAATTCTAATTCTCCCCAAGCTGGTTTTATGATGTTGGGCATAACCTCTCCGGGTCTCATATTTTCATCAGAAAAGTTAAAGTACTGTAAGTGGTTTATGAAGATGATTTTTAGCTCTACACTGTTGCACAGTCAGTCTGAACTCCTAACCTCACCCAACATCTCTCAGATGTGTAGAGATGAAATTTTTGAAATTGAAAATTTGGTAAAATTATTCATTGTCTGCTCTAGCTATGGACTCTCATTAGTATTTTCTTTTTTTAAAATTTGAGACAGGGTCTCACACTGTCACCCAAGCTGGAGTGCAGTGGCACAGTCTTGGCTCACTGCAACCTCCACCTCCTGGGTTCAAGTGATTCTCATGCCTCAGCCTTCTGAGTAGCTGGGATTACAGGTGTGCACCACCATGCCCAGCTAATTTTTGTATTTTTATTAGAGCTGGGGTCTTGCCGTGTTAGCGAGGCTGGTCTCGAACTCCTGGCCTCAAGTTATCCGCTTGCCTTGGCCTCCCAAATGTGTTGGGATTACAGGCGTGAGCCACCGCGCTTGTCCTATTTTCTTTATGTACCAACTAAATGATTAGTCTAGGACTTCATTATTTTAAGATTTCATGAATAGTTCAAGCTCTATCTTTTCAAAGATTTACTTATAAAATATTATCTTTCAGATTGTGTTATTTTTGTTACTGCTGTGTGGTAGATTTATCTAGCAGATTTCCAGACTCCTGATTTTTTTAAATTTTCTGATAGTTGCTGAATCTCAATATGTGACTCAAAATCAAATCTTATGTGTGATGTTGTTGAATAGGATTGTTTTAATTACTGGTTCTTCACCCATCTGTCCATCTTCATTAATTCTCTGCTACTCAACCCCTATCACCTCCTTACATTTTTGAAAAACCATCTGTCAAATGATACTTTAGTATGAGGCATCTGTCTTCAAATTTTGTTGTTGTTGTTGTTGTTTTTTGAGACAGAGTCTCGTTCTGTTGCCCAGGCCGGAGTGCAGTGGCACTTTCTCAGCTCACTGCAACCTCTGCCTCCCGGGTTCAAGCGATTCTCCTGCCTCAGCCTCCCGAGTAGCTGGGACTACAGGTGCGTGGCACCACACACCTGGCTAATTTTTGTATTTTTACTAAAGACGGGGTTTCACCATGTTGGCCAGGCTGATCTTTAACTCCTGACCTCGTGATCCACCTGCCTCAGGCTCCCAAAATGCTGGGATTACAGGCGTGAGCCATCGCGCCCAGCGTCAAATTTTGCCAAGAATAATATACCAACATAATTTTCCATTAGGTGCTTTTCAACTCCAGTTATGCCTTCTGAAATGTGAGAAAGCTAAGCTAGTATTTAAGAAGGTCACTACCTTTGAACTAGTACAGTGTGAGAAAATTTAAATGTTTTTGCTATAATAGTATTTAAATTCATTTGGCTCCTTTAGATCTTGTTTTTTAAAACACCATTCATGAACACAACATTTTCTCCCTCTCTACAGACAAAATTAACTTTTCCCACATTCATTAAATAAAATGATGACAGAATTGTGAATAAAAGGTATTATTACTGCACTAATATTTAAGATACCCTTCCTTTCATTTATCAGTGGTAGCCTGGGTCCATGGTATTTTCCAGAGCTTGTCTTTTCAGACAAACAGCTGTCTTTTTGCCTTTGGGTGTTTCACAGAAAATATTTTACCTCGTGACGGTCAGCTAGTATATAAGCTGAACATTGTAATTCATGTTTTTAATGAATGATCTAGTTTTAGCCTAGATGATATATATATATATAAAGTAGTAATCTTTCTATTCACTAATTTTTTTAAACATTTATATTTTGGTTCATTTATTCTTCAATTTTATAGTTAGATATATATGTTAGACATGTATACACAGTATACATAGACATGTATACATGTAACTATGTATACATAGTTACATATGTTAGACATCAATGTGTTTTAAATATATATAATGCATTTTATATATATAAATTATATATATAATTTAGATTTATTTTTATTCAGAGGATTAGGAATCTGCTGTTTATTTGACTGTTATTCCCTTTTATATAAATTCCCCCAGTATTAGGTTACTCTTGATCAAATGACGGAAATGGAATGTTGCCTCGAGATCTTTTGTGTCATACTTTTGAAATATTGAAGAATGCCTTAATCTCGTCTTTATGTAAGCAGTTGCAGTAAAACCTTTTTTTCCCCCGTCGGGAGAATTGTGAAAGGTTTCCAAATAGTCCACATTTGCTTGCCCTTCTGGTAAATAAAACTCTCTTATTAAACTTAAAAAAAATTCTATTCACTTATATATCCCAAGGTGAAATATGACCCACTTTTAAAGAATCTACCAAAGTATAAGCAATGGCAATTTTCATTTCTTATTTTGTTTATCTATAATATGTTCCCTCAGCAAAGATTTGCGTATGAGGGCCTGTGGTGAGTGCTGTGGTTGCAGAGATGATAAGACAGTTCTTGCCCTCAAGGAGCTCACAGTAAAGTGAAAATGAATCAAATGTCTTTATTGTAAAAATTTATGCTGTTTAATTTATGCACACATCCACCTATATACTAATCATAACCCATATTAAATTTTGAAATACTAGGATATGAGACATATAAGGAATAATGTATGTTTAGAGTGAGTTAGGAATATCCTGAGACATGGTATCTACTGCAGGATTGGCAATGACTGACTGAAGGAAGTAATTTGGGTGAGAGAGAATAATGACTTAGGAAACAGATATCGCTGAGGAGGGGGTGTGCTCCAGAAGGAAAGGTTTTTATCATTATGATAATGAAATGTTTTTATTCAGATTTCCCTACTCTTTTATTCAAAATCATCTGACTTACTACTGGAGTTTTATCTCTTCCCATTACTCTCTGGTCATGGTGTTTGTTCTGAATAGGTGGTTCTGGCAAGCTGTGACTAGTTGTCTGTATTTTAAATGGCATTAGGAAAATTCGTTTGTTGGTAGTGTGGATATCTTTTTCTCTAGCTCTGAAAAGTCTAAATTTTCCCTTCAATTGGTTAAGTAGAACAGCCTTCTCATGCTCAACCGTCAGAGTATGTAACTCCGGAGTTAATTTGACCCTGTCTCATTCTGTTACCCAGGCTGGAGTGTAATGCTGCAATCATGGCTCTCTGCAGCGTTGACCTCCCAGGCTCAAGCCATCTTCCCACCTTAGCTTCTCGAGTAGCCAAGACTACAGGCATATGCCACCATGCCCAGCTAATTTTGTTTGTTTTTTTGTAGAGACGAGGTCTCACTATATTGCCCAGGCTGGTCTTGAACTCCTGGGGTCAATCAGTCCTCCTGCTTCAGCCTCCCAAAGTGCTAGGATTACAGGCATGAGACACTGCGCCTGGCCTATATTCCCATCTCTAATCCCAAACTATGATCAAAGATGAAGTGTTGATGTTAGTTTATGTCCTTGTTGATAAGAGGATAAAGTATATTTTTTGTTTTATTTTGAATTTTTGTTGAGATATAATTAATATAAGATAAAATTTACTAATTTAAGGTAAACATGTTTACCTTGCCTTGGTTTTTGATATATTCACAGTGTTGTACAACCAATGCCAGCATCTAATTCCAGCACATTTCCATCACCCCAAAAAGAAACTTCATACCTGTTAGTCACTCCTAATCTTCTTCTCCCATCTGCAGTCCTGGCAACAACTAATTTACTTTCTGCATCTATGGATTTGCCTATTCTGGACATTTCATAAAAGTAAAATGTATTTTTTTAAATTTGTTTAGACATTACCAGAAACATCTTTACCAAATTATGCCACAAATTTGAAAGACAAGAGTTCTTTAGTTTCATCTCTCTATAAAGTTATCCAGGAGCCACAAAGTGAGGTAAGTACTTTTATGGTTTATTGTGCTAACAGTATTGACTTGATTGATTTTTAATTTTTTATTGTGAAATAGATATAAAGGGGTAAGAAAATGTATATGTTTAAAGAACAATACTGAAATGAACTCTAGTGTACCATTCCCCAAGCCAAGAAATATAATTTATTACCGTATTCCAGAAGCCATCTCTGAACATTTTCTCTCTTTTTCTCTCTCGCTAGAGGTAGCTTTGAAAAGTCTATGTCACTGCATTTCATTTTATTCATTCAGCAAGTATTTGAGTGCCCATTATGAGCCATCGGCTATGCTAGGCAGTAGAGAATCAAATTGAGTAACACATGGTTTTTATCCTGAAAGAGGAAAGTGGGAGAAAATAAGTAAACACATGGTTTCAAGGCAATCCTTAATCCAGTCTACGGATAAGCACAAGTTTTCCAGGTGGCAAGGTAAAAGAATATTCCATGCAGTGGGGATAGTATACGGAGGCTCAGAAAATGCAAGGCATTTAAAGAATGGCAAATAGTTTAGCCCGGCTAGTGCCTTTCCCAGTCTTTCCTCTTGCCCCACTACCACTCTTTCTTTTTTCAGATGGCTAATTTAGATTTTTTTTTTTTTTTTGAGACAGGGTCTCATTTTGTTGCCCAGGCTGGAGTGCAGTGGTGTGATCATGGCTCACTGCAGCCTTGACCTCCCAGGTTCAAGCGATCCTCCCACCTCAGCACCCCCAATAGCTGGTACTTCAGTCGTGCACCATCACACCTGGCCAATTTTTGTGTTTTTGGTGGAGATGGGATTTCACCATGTTGCCCAGGCTGGTCCCGAACTCCTGGGCTCAAGCAATCCATCCACCTCAGCCTCCCAAAGTGCTGGGATTACAAGCATGAGGCACTGTGCCTCACTAGCTGCCCATTTAGTTTGAAGGTAATAAAATAATCTATATTCCAGATTCTGCTGCTTGTAAATCCTACCATTCATAGTAGAAATAGAAAAAAAATTGGAAATAGGATGAAAAGTAAAAAGGTATGGCATTTGGAAAAAGGTGAATAGGCTAATGCAGTAGTTAACAATAGAGGGTAAGGCTGTGATAGGAGCTGAAGCTAGAAAGCTAGGTTTAGGACATAACCATGGTGGGCCTCAAATTCCATCTTAAGCAGTTTAGACTTTTTTTGCACTGAGGGGTTAGGAAGGTGGCTATGTGGAGGATAGATTGGCAAATGAAAAGATGGGGAATGCAAGAAGACTAGGAAGCTATGACAATAGCCTAGGAGGGAGCTGTTGAGAACCTAAACTTGGGCAGCGTCAGGAGGAGTGGAAAGAGGTATGGTAGAAGAGAGGGATCTGAAGTACATAATTCCTTTTGTACTTGAGTTTGATTGATGGCATGATAGACTCTAACAGCAGATTCAGTGGTAAAGTAACATATCCTGGAGTCCAGTCCAATATGGATCTATGTATCTCTGGGATGAAACTACCAAAATTGAGGGAGGCTCTTCTTTTGAGTAGTTAACCTCTTTTGGAGGGGGTATAGAATATCCCACTCCTACTGGTAATACTATAATGCGTATCATGAATTTTAGGTGCTGAAGGGATTAGGGAGTATATTGACAAGCCAAAAAACTTTAACTGGAATAACTGAATTGAAGAATCATATTTGTCTTGTCTCTTCCTTCTTCCCAAAGCTTCTTAACTTGTATAGAATGCACAGGTAGGCTGTTTTCTTGAAGGATTTTACTTTTTAAATATTGAGTGAAAGCTGTTTTAAGGTTTTCCATGTTTGGTTTAGAATTATATATTTCACCAAATAGGGTAAGTATAGCCATACGCTTTATGTTTTTTAACAAATGTTGTTGATCATTTATTATTTATTATTTTGAGAAGCTTAAAAATTATTCTGTCATGAAGTATGTTTTAACTAGGCTACTTTGGAAAGTGTTTGTAGGATAAATTTATGATTGGCTAGATTAGTTTATAGCATTCCTTTTATTCAGATAACTCTAGTGAATATAGCTCTAATGGTTCAGAGCAGTGTTTCTCAAACTACTAGTGATGATGGACCAGTTTTTTAAAAAAATTATCATCTGTCACAGACAAATATGTGTATCTGAAATACATGACTAACATGAACTCACACCATGTGTGAGGCACCACACAAATTTGATATTCCCTAACTGATGTATACTCTGATAAATCTGCTAATCACTCACTTGGATCTTGTAACAATATTAAGTTGCTATAAAAGTTTATAAATATTTCCTCTCAATTTCTATATTTATATTGTTGGAGATTGATAACAGTTTGTGGATGATCCTCAGGACCACACTTTCCGAAGCATTGGTTCTGGTCTTGCATGTTAGTTTCGTGCTTTTATTCTGGTTCATGTGGTGAAGACTGTGTGTATTCTGTATTCTTAAAAAAACCACTCGCTCTTTCAGATATATTTGGAAGTGCTTCTAAAATATAACAGTGTAATCTACTTTAACATTTTAACCTCCCTTTTGCTGTTTAGAATATTTTGTGTCTAAATTTGAAAATATTCCTAACAAGTTGATATTATTATTTTCCAGAATTTTTGAAATTTGAGATATTGTTTCTGGTATTATTTGAAGTGCAACAAATTTGGCATTTAAACTTCACTAATAGTACTTTTTCATTATTCAGTTTTATTCATTTAATAAATATTTATTAAACGCATTTAATGTGTCAGGAACCACTTAGGAATTATGAGAACAAAATAGACTAAATTCTTGATCTTGTAGATTAAAACTTGTTTTCTAGTTAGTGAGAAGACATTAAACAAATAACTAAACATATAATACTATGTCAGTTAGTGATAAAGCTATAAGGATAAATAAAATGAAGTAAGGGAAATATGTGTTGGGACTGAGGAAGTTGGCGATTGAATCAAGATCCAAACGAATTAGGAGTTGGGGTGGAATCAGGGGCAAGAGCCTTCCAGGAGAGGGAACTGTAGGTGGAAAGGCCCTGCGATATGTGATGTGTTCAAGAAACTTATAAAGAGGCAGTTTATATGGGTACAGTGCAGTTTGCTTAAGCGGCGCTTTTAGTTGACTATAACTTTGAGACAGGCCTATGAGTAGAGGTTGATACTACTTAAGTCTGTTATGAAATCAGCTGTTTTTTGAAAGACCTACATAAAGTCTCCTTGGAGTTCTAGGAGTCGGGAGTCCAGAGAGTGGAGAGGTCCGGTACCAGTAGCTGCTGGTTCCTGAATAGTAGTGTTCTCCAACTTTTCCGTATCTTTTTCTTACCCAATGTTCCTGAGTAATTGTTCAATACAAAAAATTTTGCAAGATTTTCCTTCTAAATTTACCAAAACTTGACTCTTTTCCTGCTTAGTCATTAAAGAACATTTTCCTTACTTAGTCATTAAAGAACATTTTTGAGTCATGTGCCTGTTACCACTAGAAATCTCTCTTAGGATACAGACTTGTTACTTATGAATGAATTGTTGTAAAAATCCATTTGCAGCTTAGTTGTTTCAGAACTCAAAATTTATTTTACAATGGAGAGATGACACATGGTGACTAGGTTCTCATTAAACCCATAAAAGCCCATTTAACACATATAAATATACTTGAGGTACAGTCTCTCTTAATAATACTGTAAAACCTAACCACCATAAATAATATGGTTTCCATGAAAAAAAAAAAACATTAAAAAATGCAACCCAGACACCAGGAACACAGCAGGTTCTAATGCTCCTTTGCTTGCTTCAAATATAGTCAAGTTAGATATGTCAGACACTGTCCGTATTTCCCACACTGTATATCATTTTATTCTTCCTGACATTTTTCAGGTATGTTGGTAAAGAAGTCAAAATACCTGGCTCCAGGTCTGACCCTTGTGAGTCATGTGATTTTGGTCATAGTGGATAGCCTCTTTGTCTTAGTTTCCTTCTGTGGAAAGTGTGGATAATGATATTTTACCCTCCAGTGTTGTGGGAATTTAATGGGTTTATGTATGTGTAAGTACTTTGTAATCTGTGACACACTATGCAGATATTGATATTTATCTGTACTAATTTCAAATGCATAATTTCATCTAATCTTGTTGCAATATATTTCTACCTCCCCTTTGAATCTGTCTTGTTATATTTTCGTATGGCAAAAACTCTAAATTTTGGATTTTAAATGGGTTATAAAGCCTTTTGAGTATGTTTTGATTAAAATTATGTGTTCATACAAACTGTCTTGAATAAAATTTCAAATAAGATTTCATAATTTTGCAATGTTTGTTAGACTATCTCAATTGATTTAGCTTTCTGAGGGATTTAGAGATGAGGGAGGGATGTTATGCCACAATTCAAGATTATTGATGTGGGTCCGCAAAGAAAATTTTGAAAACTCCACCCTGAAAGCTAAATATCCCTAACCAGTCATTCTTTCTTCCAGCCACCTCTATCCCCATTCCAAATTCCTACGCTAAAAACTTTTCTTGCTATCTCTGAATGGCATGACTTTACCTCCTGCCCCTCTGTTTTTCTGTTATCTTTCCATGGCCACAGTGGACATCTGTTGCCCTCTAAAGACCATTTCAAGAGTGGAGAAAGTATTCCTTGTGGAAGATTAACTGTCAGAAGTTAGGTAATTTTTCAATAGGAAAGACTAGTTTGACTTAGTGTTTATTGAAGTATAACTTTTGTTATACCTTTTATAAACAATATTGACTTTAATTATATTCAGTTTACATATTTCACTTACTTGAAATCAAAACATCCACTGTAAATTAGTTTTTGTTCATTACCATTATTGGTTGTAGAAAATCTGTTTAGTATATTTAAATTTGTTGCCTTAGGTGAGGTATAGTTCATTGGATATATATAATAAATAGCCTGATAATTTGCTTGAAAAATCAGTACCTTGTGAACAGTACCTTGTGAATCTCTTAACATATTTGATTATGACTTGTGTGCAATCATTGTATATGCTTTAAGAGAATACTTACCTATAAGAGGGTCTTACCTTGCCTATCTGATTTTTTAAAGCCCATTATAAAGATACAGTCAGCTCTATTAACTGGATAATGTTGAGAGTGTGGTGGGAGAGGAAAAGGTTGTAGATGACTCCAAATTATGTTTAAAATAAAATTACAGCAATATTTAGATTATCCAGGGCCAATTAATCATGGTTACAATAGGGTTCTAGATCCAGGGGAGTCTGTAGTTATTTAGCCCCCCTATGTACCAATCATTCCTGTCAGATGCTGTCAAATTATAAACTCAGGAGGCGGGAGATAGGACAGTAACTACCCAGGATTCCCATTCAATTTCTTCAACCCCATAGTCAATCCTTTATATAGTGGCATGTGTTTTACCAGGAAGAAAGGATATTTTAGGAAGAAACTCCCTACAACTTAGCTATTTTAAGAACTTAAAAAGATATGATTTTTACCAATCTGAGAAAACCTTTTATACTTCATATAGTAGTTCCATTCAAATACAGTCCAGTTCTTGAATTAACATTTTGTCTTTCTTCTAGTTGCTAGAACCTGTCTGTCACCAGCTCTTTGAATTCTATCGCAGTGGAGAGGAGCAGTTGCTTCAATTTACGCTGCAATTTCTCCCAGAACTAATTTGGTGCTACCTTGCAGTCTCAGCCAGCAGAAATGTGCATAGCAGTGGATGCATTGAAGCTCTTCTTCTAGGGGTTTACAATTTGGTTTGTATTTAATGGAGTTAACAAAATCTTTTTTGACAAAATCAAATATATAACCTGTGCAACTGCTTTTCATTTTAATAAAGCTAGTGTTTGTTTTTTCATACACCAAATGACTCATAGCCCATTCTTCCAAATATAACTTTCTGGGGATTGGGAGACATACAAGCGTACATGTAATTATGTAACTTACCTTTATGGATTGATTGAAGGTTGAAAATCAGACCATTTCATTTCTTTTATAGAGATATCTGAAAATATCAGTGTTGCATTTTAAATTTTGTAAACTTAAAGTCCATTGTCTATAAATGATCTGTTTCTGACCTTCACAGAAAGTTTGGGAGAAAAGATTTACTCTAATATTCACCAATCATAGTTGCATAAAATCTAGACTGTCTCCAGAGTGTACAACATTATTTTAACATACGGCTTGCATTACTAATAGAGTTTATATGTTAATTCGTATGGTATTCTAGATACTTAAGTTTTGTACCTTTCAAAATAGAAAAGAAATATAAGGTCATTTTCTTCACATATTTCATATTTAAATGATTACTTCGCTTAGCAAATATAACTTGTTACATGAGTAAGATCAAGGATTATTAAGACACTGTATCTGTATCTCAGCCATCCTGAAAATTTGTTACATATGTTTTTTAAGTGGAAGGATGTACAGTTTAACTACCGGTGTTGATGAATAATAATGGATTATCATGGTTTAAGGTTTTAACTTAAAATTCCTTTCTATTCAGGTCTTTTTCAAAAAAATGTTTTAGACTATTTAAATTTAGTTTGTAAATTTGTGTGTAAGAAAGTATGTATTTTAATATATTTTCTTTCACTTCTATAGGAAATAGTTGACAAACAGGGACATACCAAAGTATTGAGTTTTACGATTCCATCTTTATCCAAACCATCTGTATACCATGAAGTAAGTGACATTTTATCACAGTAAGTTTATTGACCCTAAGCTTTGATATTGCCACAAGTTATAATCTAGTTATTTAGGAAAAAAATTGATCAATTTATTAGTACCTGCAAAAGTATAAACACCCACAAAGTATTTACTATTTCCAAATTGAGATAAGAAATCAAAATAAATGAACATCAAACTAAAATGTGCTAATAAGAGATCTATTGAAAGTATTCTTTTTGAAATATTTTTCCCTCTTCCTGATGGATGGCTACTTGTGTGTGTTGGCCGGCGGGCAGGGGGGTGGTGGGTGGGCAATTGTGTATTTCCATGGTAGAATTTGTGAAATTAAACTAATTTTTATTTCTCATTTGTGGTTTGTTTTAAAATTAGTTATTAAATCTTCGAGCAGAAAATTTGGTAGGCAGCCTAAATATGTTTAAGATATATGATGTTCGTGGTAGCTATTTTAGTGGTATATATATATTCTATATATCACCTTTTCAGCAGAATAGCTTTTTTTTTCTTTATTCAAATGTCTTTTCTCTAGCCTTCCAGCATTGGGTCCATGGCTCTGACTGAGAGTGCACTATCCCAGCATGGTTTGTCAAAAGTGGTATACAGTGGACCTCATCCTCAAAGGGAGATGCTGACAGCACAGAATCGGTATACTGTGGGGATAAAAATTCTTATCTTAATCCACTAATTTTTTAAGAAAATTATTTCAGTAGACTTATAAATAATGTTTAATGAGTTGTGTGTGACAATTTATTTGAATACTGAGTCATTTTATACAAGAGAAAAACAGATCTAGATTTGTCACTGTGCTTTGCTTCAGGTGTCAGCTGGAACACTGAATTTTAAAGACAGGTTTCATATGGCTGTTACTTGGAAAGTCTTTTTTTCCTTGTAGTTTTTCATTATTGGTGTGCTTATACTGTGCAGGTCTGTTCTGTAACATTGTATCTCTCCCCAAGGAGTGCTCTCTCCCCTATTATAGTTGACTTCTTAGAATTCTAAAGATTTGTTAATATTCTTTTTGTTTGTCTTTAGGTTTGAAGTGTTGACATTCCTTTTGTTGTGTTACAATGCTGCCTTAACTTACATGCCCAGTGTTTCTCTTCAGTCACTGTGTCAAATTTGTTCAAGGTAAAGTAAAATTCAAGTGCTTCTAATATTGAAATATATGAATCTATGATTGCTAGTCTGGTACATACCTAAGTTATTTTTGTTTTGTGTAATCATTTGTTTAAAACATTAAATAAGTTAATGTAAAGCTCAGCCTACCCAACACATGGAAAGTTCCCTATAATTGATAGTCACAAAAAACATGATAAAGGGCCGGATGCGATAGCTCATGTCTGTAATTTCAGCACTTTGAGAACCTGAGGTGGGAGTATTGCGTGAACCCAGGAGTTCAAAACCAGCCTGGGCAACATAGCAAGACCCCTGTCTCTATAACAAATTTTAAAAAATCAGCTGGGCATGGTGGTGCACGCCTGTAGTCCCAGCTACCTGGGAGGCTGAGGTGGGAGGATCACTTGAGCCCGGGAGGTTGAGGCTACAGTGAGCTATGATTGCACCACTGCACTCCAGTCTGGGCGATAGAGCAGGACCCTGTCTCAAAAACAAAGAACACAAACAAAAACAACAAAAACAAGAACATCATGAAGAATGTAAAGCTGAATAACGTTTAAATTGACTATTTAATCAGAAAAGGATTATAGTATATAGCTAAATGATAGAGCTGTTATGACCTTTCAAGTTTTGGCATGTGGTTGGCTTCTTTTTGTTTGCATTTATTTATTTATTTTTACTGTGCTCTAATTTGGAACTAAGAAATAAGTAAGAGATACTGGTTCTTAAACTTTTCTTGTTAAAAATAAATTGAGCCAAGGGGTTATAAAATAAATTATATCCTTGAGTATAGTATATTCACATTTTAAAAATCCTGATTTAAAAGAGTAGTTAATGATAGTATGTATGGTATGATTTCCTGATTGGTTGAATATGACCAGAATATTAACAATGATTATCTCTAGTTGGTGGAATTGTGGTTTATTTTAATTTTCTCCTTTGTGATTTTTTTTGTGATTTTCTAAATTTTTGGTAATGTGAATGTTACTTTTTTTAAAAAGGAGAAACAAAACAAACAAAAATGACAGATTATTCCCCTCGATAATTCAAGTAAATAAGAGATATTATAGAACTAAGGAACATGTGGAATAATTTCTATTTGAGGAATTTATTTAGAAAATGCAACTTATCCTGAGTGTATTAGTCCATTTTCATACTGCTATGAAGAAATACCCGAGACTGGGTAATTTATAAAGGAAAAGATGTTTAGTGGACTCACAGTTCCACATGGCTGGGGAGCCTCACAATCATGGTGGAAAGTAAAGGAGGAACAAAGGCACGTCTTACATGGCAGCAGGCAAGAAAGCATATGCAGGAGAACTCCCCTTTATAAAACCATCAGATCTCATGAGACTTATTCACTATTGTGAGAACAGCATGGGAAAACCCAACCCCATGATTCAATTACCCCCTGACTGGGTTCCTCCCACGACATGTGGAGATTATGGGAGCTACAGTTGAAGATGAGATTTGAGTAGGGACACAGCCAAACCATATCACAGAGGACGGGATCATTGAGCAATACTTAGAAATGAAATGAAAACAAAATAAACAAAAAATCAGAACTTGATACTGAATAGGATAGAAAGCCATGCAGAATCAGCAGAGGAAGAGAATTCACAAGACAAAGGGCTTGGTAGAGAAGATAGAGACGTGAAGTCTTTCAGGTGTTTTCCAAATTAGAGCATAATTACATTTCCTAACCTTAAAAGATGGTACCAGTGGTTCATCTCTCCCACTCACCAAGTCGTTCTAAGATGTTTTTTGCTTTAAATTGTTTAAAGGCAGAAATGTCCGGACTTTTGAATTTCACAGATCTGTAAAATCTCAAAAAAGGTGGAACAGCTGGGTTATTTACATAAGTGTTGGCAACTTTTTATTTTGCCAAGTCATTATATTGTAAATGTCTACCATCAACATTATTTAACAAAAGGGAGACTATTTTAATATCAAAAAGGTGGGAGGGTGGAAGGGAAGGAAAATAATTTATAAGTTAAAAATGGGATAAGTTTAGCTTTCCTTGCTTTTCGTTTCACTATGGTCTAGTGAAAACTCTGTTATCGACTAAAATGGGTATAAGGACCAACATTCAGAAATACTGGTTTAAGGAGTAACAATGCAGCAATTTTCACCTCTAGAACTTAGAACACACTGCAAAGTCCAGGTCCTACTTTGAAGCAGTGTATTAGATGGTAGGATCCAGGAATGCCTATATATGTATATATTTGTATTTTTATGTATTATATATAAATGTATTTTTTGAAGCTCCATAGATGTTCTAATACAGTGCCCAACCACTCTTGACGTTTCCCTGAAACTACTGACGGAAAAGTTAGAAAAGAACATGTGTCACTGATTTTTAGCCTATCTAACTCTAACGTAGTACATTCTAATATACTTACTTTTATATTATGAGTAGAAAATTGCTAATATACCAATTTTACCTGACCAGGGAACTGAATAATTCTTCAACAGAGAATGCAAGTAAAAACTGGCTTTAAAAACAAAGAGAAACAGATTATTTTAAAACTAGCTATAGGATTTTGGCCAAGGAAGTTTTGGTAGAAATAGATCAATTTATGCCACAAGAGAAATTAATTTCATGTAAATGTCCACCAGCTGTGAAAAAAAACAAGAGTGGGGGAAAAGATCTAAGTAATTTAAAAGACTTAAGCTATCTAAATAATGCTAACTCTTAACTACAATGTGTTATATTAGAGGAACTCTATCAAATTTATCATTCCTGTCATTTTTAGTTGTTTATGTCTTTAAGTTTTCATTTTAGATTCCCTATTGACTGTATTCTCAATGATAAAATCCAGTTATTTATTTCTCTTACCTACTGGCTTTCTTAATCATTTATCAGATATTCTAATTAGGAGGTTTTGTACATTTCTAAGATGAATAGAAAAGAATTAGAAAACACTTTTGTTAATCATGTTAAGCCTAGTTCATATCTATGGAAAGAAAATTGGTTACAGAACTGTGGTGATAAGTAAGTTAGAAATGGTTATACCAGTTAAAGTACAAGAGCTTCTTAATGATCTTAGCACTAACACAGGTTTTCCTGAAGATGAAAGTGATCCTGCTGTTACATGGGCCATCTAATCCTGTTTGCCATGTGATAGTTGTTTTAGATTGCTGCTCAATTTGGTTGATGACTATACCAAAATGATTGACTGGGTCATCTAGGAGAAAGGATACATAAATACAACCAGAAAAAATTCATGGGATAGATGAACTAGATTCAGTGACAAATGTGTTACAGTCTTTTTTTAATCTTCTGATTTTAATTAGTTATGAAAATAATTAAAACAATCTTGAACACTTCCCACCCTCCACCTATGCTCACACAAATTCATTCTACTGAGCAAAAATCTGTTCAGTTACTATAAGCTTTGCCTTCCTGATTCAGACTGATTGATGGCCAGCTTGATAGCCTGTTTTCTTCCTACATAGTATGTGTGAACAACTTGAAGAAGAGATCTGACAGCAAGCAAGAGCTAAACTGAATAAGCTATAGTCAGGAAGCTTTTGTTCTCTGCTAGTACTAAATGTATATGGCACTATGAAAAGAAATATACTCACCAATGCTACAAATAAGTTTTGCTAGTATATGCCAGAGTCCTCTAAGTTTGAGGAAATGATTTCTTTCTGTTGGACATTTAATACAAGACTGTTTAACAAATGGCTTATCTTCTTTTTTGATGTGGAATATAAATATTAAGAATGAAACTATGCTCAGCTATTAAGTTGAATTCTCTCCCATTGTCTAAGGGACAGCTCTGATTTTGTTTAGCTAGTGAGTCATCTAACTGACGAACCTGGATATGGATAGCTGTGAGTTCCTGATCAGTGTATTTGTTTCTGTGTACCTGTAATGAATCCCTGCCTCTCCTCACTTCTAGGTCAATTTTTCTGACCACCTGAACAGATTGTTTTCTGTCAATTAAGGGCAGCTTTGTTACGAGTAAGCCATTTTGCTCCTGACTAATAAAATTTATATAAATATAAAGCACTTAATGCAGCATCAGCCACTTTGCTATCATCTAGTAAATGACAGCTGGCATATTATTGTACCCCATCAGTGAGCACACACATTCACTATGGATGCACATAAGTCATTGCTTTCATTTTTTTTCTCACCTGTTTGCTATGACTGTATCAACAATTCTAGAGCATATCTGATATAAGGTCATTTCTGGTTGAAAGAACCTATGGCAAATTTTTCAATTGCTTGTTATTTTATTTGGAAACTTCTTTTTACCGGTATGTAAATCTTGCCCATCCTTCACAACCCAACTGAAATAATCTTTCCTCCAACTACGTGAGCATGATTTTTGTGTGTGATCTTCACTTGAGAAACATGACAGAAGATGCAGACTTTATTAAGCTCTTAAAGAGCAGAACAAGCAGGACAGAAAAGTGCTCATTACTATTCAGGCAATTCTTCCACTTTCTCTTTTCTCCTTTCCCCTTTTTCTATTCTCCTGGTCTTTTCCTCTCCACTTCTCTCTGCCCCTCTTTTTTTTTTTTTTTTTTTTGTGAGATGGGGTCTTGCTCTGTTGCCCAGGCTGGAGTGCAGTGGCACAATCTCTGCTCACTGTAACCTCCGCCTCCCAGGCTCAAGCAATTCTTGTGCCTCAGCGTCCTGAGTAGCTGTGACTACAGGCAAATGCCACCATGCCCAGCTAATTGCTTGTATTTTTAGTAGAGACAGGGTTTCGCCATGTTGCCCAGGCGGGTCTCAAACTCCTGAGCTCAGGCACTCTGGGGGCCTCAGCCTCCCAAAGTGTTTACAGATGTGAGCCACCACACCCGGCCTGTTTCCCCTTTTCAGCCAAGTTTCTACTCACTAGCCTGATGATCTGGAGATCCGATAATAATAATCTGATAATAATATTATATGTAATATTATAATTATATATTTATATATAAATATATTATCTGAATACATTTATATTATCTGATAATTAACCTTTCTTTTCTACTTTTGGTTCTGGTCTATCATGAATAAATAAACTCACTGGAATGGGTCTTCCTAATCATTTTATGGTTTGTAACTGAGGCTATATTAACAATCCCAAAAGTTTATTTTTATTCTAAGAATAACACACATGTCTCTCACCAGAGAATGAGAATCACAACAAGAGTTTTTCTCACTTACACATTGATGCTAAGAACTTCTCCAAGAAATATATTGACCAAATACACCTTCCGGAAAGGATTTTATTTTCACATGCCTTGTGAATTTGGCAGAGTAAATTTAATACAGACATAGCTGTTATGGCACTCAGCTGCTCTTTTGTAAGGACATACCCTTATGTTTGGATTTGTGAAGGGAAATCAGAGAACTTCAGGACATAGCCGTGATGAACAGAGGAGCCAGGCATTCATGTGGCATATAGCTTTATTGCTTTGTTTTTTTGGCATTTAAATTCAGTGAAGGGTATATGGGCAAACAATATCCTTGAAGATAGGAATCAGAAAAAACCTAATTCAGAGAATTCTTAAGTACCAAAATAAAGGAGTAGAGAAAAGAGATGCCATTACCAGTTAATGATGCAGAGGGATAGGACTAGATTATTTTGGGTCTCAGCTCAAATGATACCTCCTTGGAGAGGCTTTCCGTGACCATCATTCCTAAAGTAGCACTTTCCCACCCTAGTTTATTTCCTTGTAGCACTCATAACACTGTAATTACCTTGTTTGTTCTTTTGATATAGACTGTCAACTGCTAGAAACTTCAAGAGGTCAGGAACTTTTTGTTCACTGCTATATCACAAGAGCTTAGAAGTGCCTGGCATATGATAGAACCTCAATAACTGTTGAATGAGTGAATGATAGATGAGCTCTTCAACTCAGATTTATGATTTGATAAGTAGAGTTAGGATTAAAGGAAATAATTGGATTTTTACTTTTAAAAAATCTTTCATTGGTAAATAAAATCATCAGTTTTAGTTTTCCTAGTTATAAAACATTAACAATTTGCATTTCTGAATAAACGTTTAATTTCAGCCTCTGATAGATGATCACTTATTTCCTTACAAGTAGCTAGTATAGAAAATGAGAGAACCTGGAATTTTATTTCCTTTGTAAATCTTTCATGTGTGTTGGTATTTGAGAGAATTGTCTCTGTAATTCTTACATAAAGTAAGTTTAAAAGATGAGTGACCATCCTAGAGCCATGCAAATTTTTTTTTAGTTGTATAATAACAACAGTAACTTACCTATGTTCTGTTTCCTGAACCCTATACTATTTCCTTCCTGATTCCTAAACCTGTATATTCAATCCAGGAACCATCTCTGTCAACATGTCCCATAGATACCGTGTAAGTTTTAGGACTCTTCCTATGGCAACCAACTGATATCTACATCAAACTAAATTATACCGAAGGGGCCAGATGCGGTGGCTCACACCTGTAATCCTAGAACTTTGGGAGGCCGATGTGGGTAGATCACTTGAGGTCAGGAGTTTGAGACCAGCCTGGCCAACATGGCAAAACCCCACCTCTACTAAAAATACAAAAATTGCCAGATGTAGTGGTGGGGTGCCTGTAATCCCTTCTACATGGGAGGCTGAGGCAGGAGAATTGCTTGAACCCGGGATGTGGAGGTTGCAATGAGCTGAGATCATCGTGCCACTGCCCTCCAGCCTGGGCGACAGAGTGAGATTCCATCTCAAAAAAAAAAAAACCAAAAAAAAACACCCAAATTTTTGTACCTAGGAAGAGCAGTCATGGAACTGGCCTCAGGATGGCCAGACGTTGGCTCATGCCTGTAATCCCAGCACTTTGAGAGGCCACGGCGGGTGGATCACTTGAGGTCAAGAGCTTGAGACCAACCTGGCCAACATGGTGAAACCCTGTCTCTAATAGGAATACACACACACACACACACACAAAATAAACAGGTGCGGTGTGGGAGGCTGGGGCATGAGAGTCACTTGAGCCCCAGAGGTGGAGGGTGCAGTGAGCAGAGATTGCACCACTGCACTCCAGCCTGGGCAACAGAGTGATACTCCATCTTAAAAAACAAACAAACAAAAAAAGAACTGGCCTCAGGGTCAGCTGGATCCAGAGACTCAGATATTTTTAGGATATTCCCTCCCATCTCATCATCTTCATTTGTTGGCACTGTACTTTGTTTTTGCAGATAGGCTTCTTCCATGTGGTAAGAACAGTGACCTCAGGCAGCTAAAGGCTTACATTGTCCACTTTTTTTTTTGTTTTTTTTGAGATGGAGTCTCGCTCTGTCTCCCAGGCAGGAGTGCAGTGGCGTGATCCCAGCTCATTGCAACCTCCGCCTCCTGGGTTCAAGCGATTCTCCTGCCTCAGCCTCGTGAGTAGCTGGGATTACAGGCACATGGCACCATGCCAGGCCAATTTTTGTATTTTTAGTAGAAATGGGGTTTCACCATGTTGGCCAGGCTGGTCTTGAAACCTGACCTTGTGATCCATCTGCCTTGGCCTCCCAAAGTGCTGAGATTACAGGTGTGAGCCACCGTGCCAGGCCCTTACATTGTCTGCTTTTAGTGACCTCAGCAGAAAGAACTTCTCCCAGCTTCAGTATTAAAAACATCCAGCAAAGGGGGTGACAGCCTGAGACTTCTACATACCCCTATAGGGCCATATTGGGTAATACAATTGGAAGAGTACTCTGTCAGGTTAAATATTGCTTTGGTTGTATTAACACAGATAAACAATGATAACTTAAAGTAGATATTTATTTCTCTCTCACATAAAAGTCCAAGCTGGTAGGTGGTCTCAGAGGTAGATTGCTTATGTTTCCAATGTGTTCAAGTTGCTTCTGTCTGGGGATTCTGCCATTTCCTATGGTATTGCCCTTGTTGGTATGGTCTCAGATCACTACTATTACATCTGCCTTCTATCCTGCAAGTGGGGAGAAAGGGAGTGAAAGGCAAGTAGCTGCTTTTTAGGGGTATGACATAGAAGTTTTTTTAGGGGTATGACCCGGAAGTTTCACCACTTTGGTTAATACACCATTGTCTAGAACTTAGTCACATGATCACATCTAAATGCAAGGAAAGCTAGAAAATGTAGTCTGTAGTGGAGCGGCTGGCATTCCTAGCTAAAATTGCTGGGGGAAAGGAAGGGAATGTGACTTATATGTATGTATTATTACAAATAGATATGGAGGTAGTGATCTCTGTAATAGATAGTTTTATTAGCAGACTCACCATAATCATGTGATTATTCTTGATTTTATGGGGAAAGACTAGTTCCTAAAGGGAAGAGGGATGGCAGTGCTTTTAATAGAAGATAGGGATGGTGGCATGGCAGACAAAATTGATACTATACCACGGTACCTAAAAATCAACATATCTGAAACAGTATATTCCAGTGTTCCTATTTGTTCTAACTCAGTTAATGACACCGTCATGTGGTCAGCTATTCAAACTAAATGTGGAAATAATTATCCACTCTTCTTATTTCTTTGGTCTCACCTTCTTTATACTTCCTAGATATGACTCCAAACCTACCCTTCCTCCTACCCACCATTATGTCTTGTATTCAGTCCTCCTTCATCTCACTACTGGGATCCTCATCCCACCCATCTCCAGTTTCAATGAACTCTTCCAATATAGCCAGAGTGATGTTATCGGAAGACCAATCTGATTTTGGTACTCCTTTGCTTAAAACAAAACAAAACATCTTTAGTTGCTTACCAGTGTCTACGTGGTAAAACCTAGCAGGTTATAAGATATTCATGTTCTGGCTCCATGATGTGATGAGCTTCTCTAGTATTTCCTAGTGTCCTAGCCCTCTATCCTGCTAAAATATCCACAGTCTCCTCAATGTCATGCTGTTTCATCCCACCTCTGCCTTTGAACTTTCCTATGTTTTCCACTTGGAAAAATATCACTTTTTCTTCAAGACTCAATTCAAAGGAATCTCTTTTCTGAGAATTCCTCTCTGACTCTCCGCTTCTTCTACCTGAGTTTACCATTCTCTCCTTTACCACATCTTGAACTTGTTCATTGAAAATATTTGCTTACTACACAGTCTCCATGATTAGATTGTGAGTCCCTGTGGGAGCTACATCCATCATGTATATCTCTAGAGTCTGACACAGTATCAATCTTTAATAAATATTTACAGAATGAATAAATGAATTAACTGAAAATTTCTTTCATCCATCGGTTCTCTATTATTTACAACCATACAATCATCCCTATCATAACAATGTGAGATGTAAGAAAGTAAAATTTTTTGTTTGCTTCTTTAGTTAATAAGAGTAACAGGAGTCTCTATTCTAGTTTGGGCATACATTTTTGTAAATTCAAACAAAACTTGAGTTTGTTTTATTTCACATGCAGCTAATTTTTCTGTTTCCCTGCTTACTTTTTACTCTTGGTTCTAAAAAGTTCTGGGATCCTCTAATATCAAATGCATTTATGTTGATTTTTTAAAGTTGCTCTGAATTAATGACATTCTTGGGGAATATTTTTGAAATGGTCTGTGGCATACTTAGACATTTTAAAGTGAAGGCTTAGATTCATTGAGTAGG
Organism: Homo sapiens; assembly: GCF_000001405.40. Lineage (NCBI taxonomy): Eukaryota > Metazoa > Chordata > Mammalia > Primates > Hominidae > Homo > Homo sapiens. The sequence goes on along the minus strand of NC_000007.14, from coordinate 22,966,690 downwards.
GGAAATAACTTTAAGTTCTAGGTAGTCAGTGCGGGGGAAGAGTGAGTAAATAATTACAATCTATTGGCTAGTATTATATTAAGTGAAGCTCATATTATATCAAGCATAGAATATTATGTGAAAGCATCTATTTTCTAGTAAATTTATTAAAAATAAAAACTTACTGTTTATTTTAAAAACAGTGCATGCTGACCAACGTGGTGAAACCCCATCTCTACTAAATACAGAAAAATCAGATGGGCATGGTGGCACAGGCCTGTAGTCCCAGATACTTGGGAGGCTGAGTCAGGAGAATTGCTTGAACCTGGTAGGCAGAGGTGGCAGTGAACCAAGATCATGTCACTGCACTCCAGCCTGGGCGACAAGAGGGAAACTCCATCTCAAAAACAAAAACAAAAAACAAACAAACAATAAAACAGTGCATGTTGGTCAGAAAGTTCAAAAATACATGTAAATATAAAGAAGAAAATAGATCTATAATCCCACAGATCAGAGATAACTATGACTTTTTAATGTACTTTTTGCAGTGACACACACTATACGCCTATTTGTTTATTGCAAAATGGGATTATGCTGCATCTGTTGTTTTGGACAGTTTTTTTTCCCTGTCATTTAAATAGATTTTCAAAACATTATGTTTAGTTTCTATAGTATTCTCTGAATGATTTATATAATTGGTCTCCTGTGTTGGACTTTTAGGTTGCTTCCTTTTCGTTATAATAAATGCTCCTTAGCTTTAGTACTCCTTAAATATTCCTCACTATAATACATATTTCTGGAGCTGAGTGTGATACCTGTAATCTCAGCGACTGGGAGGCTGATGTGGGAGGATTATTTGATGTCAGGAGTTCAAGACCAGCTTGGACAACATAGCAAGACCCCATCTCAAAAAAAAATTTTGTTTTAAACAGCTAGGTGTGGTGACATGCACCTGTACTGGGGAGGTTGAGATGGGAGGATTGCTGGAACCCAGGAGTTCAAGGCTGCAGTGAGCCATGATCATGCCACTACACTCCAGCCTAGGCACACAGCAAGACCTTGACTTTAAAAAACTAATAATAATAAATAAATATTTCTTTGTTTTTTTTTTTTTTTTAGTTTCCATGTCTTCTTTTTATTTTTATTTTTTTACTTTAAGTTCTGGGACACATGTACCGAACATGCAGGTTTGTCACATAGGTATACATGTGCCAAGAAATAAATATTTATTTACATGTCATTTTGTTTATGGTAGTTTCTTGAAAAAAAAAAAGTAAAATCTATTGATCTTTCTTTAGCATTCTACCTTTGGTGTCATGTTTAGGTAGCATGCAAAGAGTATGTAACTATTTGCCTATGTTTTATTTCCTTTGTGGTTTTTAAACATTAACGGTTATAATCTATCTGAAGTTTATTATGGTATACTGCATGAAGTTTGAGTCTAATTTATAGAATTTTTTTGGATCCTGCAGTTTGTGTCAAGAACTTTGTCAGAAATTGTGGATCATACCACACATCTATTTATGACAAATAGTGCCAAGTTTCTTTTGTCTTTCTTTCTTTCTTTTTTTTTTTTTTTTAATGGAATCTCACTCTGTCACCCAGGCTGGAGTGCAGTGGCTCGATCTTGGCTTACTGCAACCTCCACCTCCCAGGTTCAAGTGATTGTGCTGCCTCAGCCTCCCTAGTAGCTGGGAATACAGGCACATGCCACCATACCCAGCTAATTTTTGTATTTTTACTAGAGACAGGGTTTTACCATATTGACCAGGCTGGTCTCGAACTCCTGGCCTAGGTGATCCACCTGCCTTGGCCTCCCAAAGTGTTGAGATTACAGGTGTGAGCCACTGAGCTTGGGCAGTGCCAAGTTTCATGTAGTAGGTTTAGCAGTACCCAAAAATTATTGGTAGTTAATTGACCAAAATTAGCGAACTAACCAGTAAGTGAATCTGGTTCATTTACTCTGTGTATCAACATACCTCAGCTTTATATGTTTTTTCCTGGTATAACTTACTCAGGAATGTATTACAGACAAATGTTCTGTTTGGAAAGATTCTTTGTTTCATAAATATTAGGTTTGTTATGAAAGTGTACCTAGTACATTGTTGGCTTATAAATGTTAAAATAAATCACCTAAAATTTTACCAATTTTAGAAATACATTTATTTTGGTTTTTCTAGAATCTGTGTTTGTGGATATCCTCGACAACATGTAAGAAAATATAAAGGTATAAGTAGCAGGATACCAGTTTCTTCAGGATTCATGGTGCAAATGTTAACAGGGATTTATTTTGCCTTGTAAGTATCTCATCATATGCGAAATAAACATTTAATTTCTTTGGAAAATTATAGTCTGTTCATCTATTGTCACTATATTATAATGTCAATAGATAAGTGATTTGCATACTTTTTGTGAAATATGAAGATCTTGATAATAGTTTTAATACTTTAAAACTATTATCTTAGTTTAAAACATATCTTTTAAAGTTCTGAAGAATTTCTAACCAACTAAAACACTTCATCATCTTTCTTAAATTCAAGGACGGAATGAAAATCAGTAACACTTAAATATATTCATGGTCCCTTTCTTCATTTTTTTTTTTGCTATAATTTCCAAATAGCTTTTTTTCCTCAAGAAATATATTTTTCCATTGCCAGAAACTTTAGCTCTTAAAAAAATTTCAGAGCCTCTTTGATTAGAAATAGTTTATTATTAGCTTTCTATTAGTTTCTAATATTGGCGCTCAGTCTGTCTTACCTGATGACTTGGGTACTAGTATTTTTCTTTGAACCCTATCTTTTACTTTATAATTCTCTTATTATATGTATCTCATTTACTTTGCATTATATTCACTTGATACTTTTAATTTTCTCTAGTAGAGTATAAACTTTTTGAAGACAGAATTTATAAACTTCTTAAAGGCAGAATTTATGGTCTGTGGGCCCAGTCTGGCCTGATGCCTGTTTTTGTCAAGTTTTTTGCAATACAGTCATGCGTGTTTGTTTATGTATTGTCTATGGCTGCTTTTGTGTTACAATGGCAGAGTTGAATAGGTGAGACTGTACGGCCCACAAGCCTAAAATACTTATTGTCTGGCCCATTAAGAAAAAATTTTCTGACCCTTGTGTTAGACCATTAATATTGTCCCACAGTTCTTGGATGCTCTGATCTACTTTATTTTATCTTTTTTCTTTGTGTTTCAGTTTGAGTAATTTCTGTTAGCTATATCTTCAGCATTTATGGATTTTTTTCCTTGACTAGATCAAGTCTAGAAAGGAGACCACTGAAGGCATTTTTCATCTCTGTTACCGTGTTTTATTTCTAACCATTTCATTAGACTCTTTCTTGTAGTTCCCGTCTCTTTGCTGAAATCTTCATCTGTTCATGCATGTTGTCCGTCTTTTCCACTAGAGCCTTTAGTATATTAGTCATAGTTATTTTAATTTCCCAAATAACTTCAACATTTAGGTCATCTATGAATTTAGTTCCACTGCTTGCTTTATCTCTTGACAGAGTTGGTCTTGTTTGTTTTGCTTTTCATGTGCCTTGTAATTTTTGATTGTTCATGATTTTGTTTAGCAGTAGGACAGTAGAGACTGAGGTAAATATTATTTATGACAGGAAATGGGCATGCCTCTTCTAGGCTGCTAGTGGAATTATTATAGGCAGAAGTGACCTAGGATTGGGTTTTGTTGTTATGGTTACCCTCAGGGCACCATCTACTTCAAATTCCTCTAGTGCTACCTGGTACTTAGGTGGAGAGCTGGATTGCTGGAGGGTTTTTCTTAATACTCCTGCTTCGTCCTCAGCTTTCAGCCTTCTCTGTATGCCTCCACTGCAGATAGGTTTCTTTCCATGTTCTCACCCCTTCCTCCAGCAGTACAGTTCTGTTGCTTGGTTCTGGGTGTGCACTAGCCTGGTGGTGGCTGGGGCGGTGGTGGGGTTGGGTGGGGGGGCATGGAAATGGGGGGAGGTAGTGTTCTCTGTTGTCCTGGTCCAGCCTCAGTTTTAGGCTGATCCCATGTCCCCGCATCTCAGGGATGGGAGTTTCTCAGTAGTCCTGCCCCTTCAGTGATGACCCCCACTACTTATCTCAGCATAGAATGAGAGGTTTTTTGCTTTTTTTTTTTTTTCTTACCCTCAGAGCCGAATTGGTCTTCACTTGTTCGCTGGGGGGTGAAAGGGATTGCTGCTCTTTCCCCAAAGGCTTTAAAATTTTTGTTCTGTGTGATAAAGGCATCTGGCTGGCTCTTTGTACTTTTCTCACAGGAGTGGTTACTCTTTTCCTTCAGGCCTATACCATCAAGGGCAGTTTTCTCTGACCTGCCCTGTTTCTAGTTTTTCTTGTGAGTGCCTAAAGGAGATTTATGGCGAAGAGCCTGTGGTGGATACAGGCTCCCACTTGTATGTGCTTTTAGAGATTCTGTACTCTCCTGCTAGCCCATGAGTTACCTTTTAGCAATTTGGCTTCTAGGAATTTGTTAAGAAAATTAGCTAAATGTTTCTTACCTGCTTGTATTGTGGCCCATCTCTCCTTAGAGGCACCTGTCTCCCTTTAGGGTTCCGGCTATGTGGAAGCCCTTGTTACCTCGGCTCTTTGATGGATTCTTGAGAATTTATAATTTTGTAGATTACCTGGCTTTATCTTGTTTTTATGGTGGGAGCAATGTTCTTGCCAGTTTTTAGGCCTCGCTTGCACTCTTGATGTAATTTATACCTCTTTATTTTGTTGGAAGTTGATCAAGCCACTATATCCCTGTTCATTTTTGTAATTTAGCTGATTTTTAGGAAGGGTTTGGCATATCTTTGAAAATTATGCATACACACACACTCACACATGCACACACACACACATGCACAGACACACACACACATGCACACACACTTTTTCCCTCAAGTTGCTCTGCTATTTGCAACATGTAGCAAATACACTTCTAAGTGATTATCAGAATGCAAAGAAATAACTACTCAGGATACTGCAAGCCACACTGGTAGTAGATTCTCATTAAAAACTGTGGGAGTTACAGAATAATTTGGCCATAAAGTGTTCTGAACATTTTTCTAAGGTATATAATTTATTATTCTCTGATTTGCTTTGAAAGTATAAAATGCTTTGAAATTGCCTTAGCTTTTTTTATTTCTGTTCTATAAATAGTCATGTTCTTTAGAGAAGAAATGTACATCTATAAAATTTTCTTTGCTATTAATAGGCATTTAGATGCAATTGAAAGGAATTCAAAGATTTAAAGATACATTTTTAAGAGGAGTAGAATGTTAAGCAATGTGCTAATATGATCTTTTATTTTCTTCAGTAAAGATAGTTTCTCATTGTATTTTGTTCAGTTATAAATAATTATAATTTCTTCATTTAATTCATCTAATTTTATAGTTATAATGGAGAATGGGATCTAGCTCAAAAAGCACTGGATGATATTATATACAGAGCCCAGCTAGAATTATATCCAGAGCCATTGCTGGTAGGTGCCTGACTTATTTATGTAAATGTTATAATTTAAGATTTCTCAATTTAGAACTATAAATTGAGAGCCATTCATAGTTTATTAATATGTCATTAATACTCAGTGTATTCATGCTCTTGTTATACATGGAAGTTTTATAACTTAGAAAAGTAACAAATAATTTTTTTTTAAATTTTCTTTGAGACGGAGTTTAGCTCTTGTTGCCCAGGCTGGAGTGCAATGGCACGATCTCGGCTCTCCGCAACCTCCGCCTCCTGGGTTCAAGCGATTTTCCTGCCTCGGCCTCCCGAGTAGCTGGGATTACAGGCACGTGCCACCATGCCCAGCTAATTTTTTGTATTTTTAGTAGAGACAGGATTTATTCATGTTGGTCAGGCTGATCTCAAACTCCCGACCTCAGGTGATCAGGCCCCCTCGGCCTCCCAAAGTGCTGGGATTACAGGCGTGAGCCACTGCACCTGGCCAAAATAAAAATTTTTATTAGACTGACTTCCTAGACACCTAACTGTCTTTTTAACTTATGAGAATTGTTCTCCTTAACATACTTTAGCTGCATTTATTAATTAACATTAGGCATTTGGAAATCTAATTGAATATTTTGAAATTTTTAACTTTATCATTTACATATTTTTTTAACCATGAATTTCCCTCTTAGCCTCCTATTCTTATCTTAGAGGATTTCTGTATCATCTTATAAAATGCTTGGGAAGAGCCTCTTTGTATAAGCCTGTTTAGCATCATGTTTTATCGAAGGGTTAGATAATATATCTGCTCTATCTGCTCATGTTGATCTTAAACTATATTTTTTCTCCTTAGGTTGCTAATGCAATAAAGGCTTCATTGCCTCATGGTCCCATGAAATCTAATAAGGAAGGTACAAGGTGTATTCAAGTTGAAATCACACCAACTTCCTCTCGAATATCAAGAAATGCAGTAACCAGCATGTCAATAAGGGGTCATAGGTGGAAAAGACATGGTAAGAAATACGTAACTCTTCAAGTCAAACCATTGTTGATTCTTTTACATTTTTCACTGTACTTATGGTGCTATAACTTCTAACTTCAGTAAATAGTAATCTGGAAGAAAGAGCTGTGGAGTTGCCCTTAACTCCTAATTTATTATCTAGGAGCAATAGGCAGTAAGAAAAATGGAGCCCCTTATGTTACACATATGAATGAAAATGTATTTAAAAATCATATTCAATTTGAAATTGTTACTTCAGTAGGAGAATAAGGAAAATGCATTTTAAAATTACTCATACATTTTGGGCTTGTATTCAAAAGTATTTGCAAATGTTCCTTAATTAATATTTCTGATTTCTCAGTGAACTCTTAAGCAAGTGAATTTACATATTGAAGTAGAACAACTAATAGGGACTTTAAACACTTTGTCTGCACTTTCTGGTAAAGAATGCCATAGTGTTGACGCAACACTAGTTGTATTTTCTTGAAGTTAATTTTCTTTCAAGATTCTGTGTATGTGTGTGTGTATATATATATCCCTTCTTGTCTGCTTCATTTTATTATTTTAAAATTTTATTGGAAGTCATTTTCATTCACTATGGCTTTTTCAGTGCTTTCCCATTTCCCTCCCTTGTCTTTTAATTTATTGTTCTTTATTTAATTTCATATTATTTTTATAACTTCCCTCCTACCTAGAAGTTATTGTAGTGTCAACAACCAGTCTAAGAAGGAAATTATCACCTTCCTCAGAAGGTAACCATGGTGGGAAGCAAAAAGCTACTTCTTTACCCTAAGCAAACGTGTATATTAGAGGTAAAACAAAATCCATTCTCTATTTTCTTCTTCCTGTAAACTGAGGTGAAAATAATAGTTCCTTTTGGTATATTTGGTACTGGTTGTGTTGTGGTTTCTATAGAGAAAATGGGAAAGGAGAAGAATGGAGCTATTTATGGTAAACTAGAAAGTTGGTGATGAGAACAGTTGCCATTGTTTTCACTTAAGGAATCTAGGTGATTGTATGTCAGAAAACAATAATGATTATCCAGCTTACCTAGTGATCATTTTTGGTGTTTTTAAAGTGTAGCAATTCTTGAAAGTTCCATAGGAAAGTATAAAAGAGGCGGTGATGTTTGCCAATAGCAAGGCAAATTATACCACCATTTAAAACATATAGTCTAAACATACTTCAGCTTCTTCAGTGAAAATTATGCTACTGAATGGGGCTAGATTACAGGTAGAAAGTAATTTAATTAGATATGGTTTACCCTGAGGTTGGTTTTTCTGTTTTGGCATTAATGTGTGAGAACAGGCACGGAGGCAATGAAGCAGATCATAGTGGTTACTGTGGCCATAATTGCTTCTAAGCTACTGCTACAGGAAGCACAAGAATGAATTTTAATTTCTTTTCCACTTTCCTTCTTGCTATTTAGGTAGACATATTGGGAATTTGGGAGAGAAATGTAGGTCCTGCAGTTAAAAATGTGAAATATTGATGCTCCCTTGTATTTGTGCATATGTGTGTATATGAGAGAGAGTATGTGTGCATGTCCAGGCGTACATTTAAACAAGGAGGTCTGTACCCTGCAACAAAATGGAAGCCATTTCCCAGACATATTTTATAGGAAAAAAATTACAAAACAAGAGAAAAGACTGCTTGAATGTATTGTTTCTAGCAGATTCTTACATATCTTCCAGATTGTATTTTGGCTGCCACTTGAGGGGTTAGCACTCTGTCTTAGGATTGTACCCTCATTAAAGTAGCATTCTTATCACCTGTACCCCTTCACAATTCTAACACTTGGGAAACTCTGTTTATTATAACAATAAAGTCACAGATGAGAATATAGAAGTGAATGAACTATAAAAAGTAAGTCACATGCATGGAACAGGTACAGAATACAGCTTAGCCTTGTTTATCACTCTTCTTTAGTGTGAATTCCCTTTATCCAGTGGACTCTAAAATACTCTTAAGTCCTTCTTATTTGCCTCTACAGGTAGGTTGCAGTCTCCTCCCTTTTTAGGGTAGTCTTGGCTTTCCCTTCTAGAGCAGTAAAGTTACCATGTTCGGCTGAATTTGAAAGGTTTCTATTTTCCATCCTCATGGTCCTGCTTCCTACTTGAACACATTGTTTTTCTAGGCTCTCTAACAGGCACTGGCTTCCTGTGGGGAAGGTAGACACCTTTGCTGTACTTCTTAGATATATAGACAATTCTCAAATTATAAATAGATTTTTAAATTTAATTTTGTTTATATATAAATTACAAATTTCTCAAATTATAGATTTTTTAATTTAATTGTGTTAATATATAAATTCTATTGTTAATATTTATATATAAATCAAAACAAAATTTGTTTATACATTTCTTTAGAAACAATGTTAAAGGGCTTGTAGATCCCAGGGTGAGCCACAACAGCCTTTTTATCTCATAATGTTTCTGAAACATAGGACTATAGAATGTAAGTTCAGTTTATGGCTGTATGAAAATACATTTAGAGTTTCTATATTTAATGGAACTCTAAATGTGTTTCCCATTCCACCCACTCATATCCCTACTATTCCCTCACCACACCAACCCTCACAGTAGGACAAATTTCTTCCCAAACCCTCAGCTGTATCTATCATACAGTAGAAACAAGGAATATCCCACCTTAAGCCAGTGGTGATGAGGATTGGGAAAGGAGAAGGGACGAGAACCATGAACTTTAAGAAATATTCTTTTTTTCCTCTTTCTCCTTGCCTCTTTGTTTTCCTAGTTTTTGGAAAGAAGAAAGCAATTGGCCCTTTTTTCTTTTTTTCTGTTGGAGCTCTTCTCTTTTTCTTTTACTTATTTGTCTTTATTTATTATTGCATTTCCTCTAATTTCTCCTCTTTCTATCTTTTCTGGGTAGAAGAGGGAAACGAGTGAATGAGGTTTTCTCATGGAAGACGCCAAGTAAAACTTTCCTTTTTGCTTTTTTTTTTTTTTCCATCTCCCTTTACCATAAAAGAATATACGTAATTAAGCCATGTGAATGTACTGGTGTGTTTGCATATCTGAGTCACCAAAAATTATTACACAGCCGACAAATACATTAAATTAGAGCAATTAATGGATATTTATTCTCTTTTATTATCAGTAACAGAAGAATCTTTCAATTTTCTTTACAGCCCAATCTCACATTGTAGTGTTTTTAAAATGAATTTTGAAAAGTTTTAATTGTTTACATTTTAAAATATTTTAAAGCTATCCTAGAATGTATTTTAGGATTCTGTAACGCTTCATAGATCTGCCATTTTTTTCTTAAGGTTAAGAATTATTCACAACATATTTTAATGGAAAGTATTATAATGGAAGTTTAAAAATTACTTTATTCTTAACATTTCTACACATTTCAGAATACGCATCTCTGGCCATGGTTTTGCTGTTGTTATCAATTCAAGTTTCTAGAATTGTATTTTGACCAGTCCTGTTATTTGCTTGGCTCTGTTTTTTATTTTTATTTTTTTAGTAAACTTTATTTTTTAGAGCAGTTTTAGGTTAACAGCCAAATTGAGTGGAAAATAAGAGAGTTCTTAAATACCTCATGACCCCACATTCATAGCCTCCCCCAGTATATCAACATCCCGCACCAGAGTGGTACGTTTGTAAGGACCTATAATTTAAATTTTGACCAGACAGTGCATCCTCATGTCAATTAAATAGGATGATTTTTAAAGAAAGGTTGGTTTTAACTGAGGTATTATTTTGGAGAGATCTGTTTGACAACTAATGGTGTGTTTGCTTGATTTGCCCCACTTTTCAGTTTAAGTTAAACAATTGTATGGACATGGCTTAACTTAATGTGTTTTTCAAATTTTTTAAACTTTGTGTTTAAATCTTTGAGAAAATTCTAATGACTTCATAATTTTATGTCAGTAAATATGTTTGGGAAATAAAATTACAGTGTAGAATTGCTGCTTTCGACTTTTAAGGAACATAATTTCAGAATTAAAAGCTTTATGTGTTGCTTATTCTTTTATGCGTATTGTGTTTAATTTAGTCTATAGATGGCAAATAATTCAAGGCAAAGGTGTATTTTTTCAAACATAGATTTTCAAGTCACCTACAAATTGAGGGCTGTCTAGAAGTCATAATTTGAAAGTAAAACATAGTGGGAGAAAGATAATAATAAAATAAGCTTTAAAAAGCATTCAATAAGTTTAGAGAAGACTGAATAGATTATGACCATAATAAAAGTCAAAATGAAAATTCCAGTAAGAAAAATGAGATAAAATTTAGTAAAATAATTCATTAATTTTTCAAGTTAATCATTAAAATTCAATTTTGCTTAAATATTTATTTCCTTTTAAAAATAAAAAGAAGTTAAAGGAAAATAGAAAGTTATTTCTTTATAATTATGCTTTAATTCTATAGTCATTCTTAAATGTCGTTTCCAAAGATACCTTCATCATCTACCATTTCAGCTATTTTAAAAAGCCCCTTTTCTTAAGTCCCTGAAAAGTTCTCTACCACTCCAGTATTCTAGTATACAATTTATACTTGTTTATTTCCTTGTGTTTTTCCATTCCTTCCTCCTTTTCTAGAGCAAATCTAATTGCTATTTTCTCTCTGTTCACGACAACTACTACTACCATGATTACTCATTCTTCTTCCACTTTTTAAGAAATTATCCATACTTGGAACAATGTAAGAGATTTCCTCCTTTCTTTCAAAATAGTTATTGTAATACTAGTCATTCATTCTATAAAAGTCCCCTAATTAAGTTATAGTTCCAAATAATGAGTGCTTATATTTTTTGCCAACTAATCAAAAGGCTTATCCAGTGGAATCTCGATTTTTTTATTGCTGCCCATCATTCTTCCCACTTGTGCCTTTGTGAGATAATGAGACAAGTAAGTGAAAACATTTGGTATACTTTAAAGCACTACATAAAGGTAGATTATTAATTAAGAACAGTTTTGTTTGTTTTACTAGCTACAAAATAAGTATATTCTTAATAAGTTTTTATTAGCTAGTTTGCTATTCAAGTTGTCCTGTGATTCTTTAGTACTTTCCCAAAACTGTAAGTTTTTGAAACTTGTAATTTGGATTTTCTCAATTTGAGTTAAACTTGTTTAGTTTGAGTATAGCATCAAATGCAAAAATACACGTTATATAATAGTAACAATTACTTTAAAGATTTTTTGTATGTTCTGTGATACTGGAGTATAGTACTCTAACTTTATTATCTAACGTGTATATCACTATTACAGTAAGGATTTTAAAAATGTTGTTATTGTTTCAATCCCAAGTTAATATAAAAATAGAAATTACATAGACAAAATTTATGTTTCTTATTTATGTACAGTTATAACTGTTTGCAACTAGTAGGTATCAATAATAAAAGGAATGTTTATAAACAAGATACTTTCAATGTTTCCCTACTTTTGGTCCTGGCAGATGTTAAATGGTTTATTTTAATAACAGTGCATTTAATTATTTTCAGTTAGGGGATCCAAGAGTACAAAATTTTAAGTAGTAAAAAAGAATTAAAAGTAGCAACTGTATATATTTCTAAGTCTTCTAACTTAATGATGCAAAATAAGTACTGCAAGAATTTTAGAATATTTAATTATATGCAGTGTTTATGTGAACAATCAGACTAAATGAAATTTATGTAGTTGAAATAAAAAGAAAGTACAGTTTCATGTTGTTAAAGCAGTTTTATTGCATTTTTCAGCATTTAAAATAATTGCTTCTCTTTAATGGATGCCATCATATTTAAATAAAGTTAAATGATTATAACAGAGTTCAAAGAGATTTAAAAAAAACAAAAAAGTGATTTGTTTCATAATTTGCTTATTCAGTGGTTTAGTACTAGCTTGTTAGATGAAAAAAGAAAAGAATAAAAGATTGCAATTCATATCGGAAAACATTTAAAACTGGTTATTGATTTAGAAAATTCTAATAAATTTCTGCTGTATAATAACATTGATAAAGCAAGGAAGTACTAATTATTGAACAAATCTGAAAAATTATAATGGGTGTATTTTAGTAAATATTATAAATAATAATTGTTTATAAATATTTTTAAGCATTTAAGGTTGTCTTTCTAGATATTACAAAAGGTAAATGGTAATAAATCTTGAAATGGAACATTTATTTTGTAAATCTGATTTTACAACTATGAGAAAAGTCTTCAGTTGAGGAGAAATAAAGTTGCTAACAGTTAAGAAGCATTTTGAAAAACAAAGAAATGGTAATAATTTTAAACCCCAAAGTAGTAAACTTTACAGAATTGTCTATTGGAATGATTTTTACATCGGCAATTAAAAATTTATAATGTGTATGTTTTTATTTTAAAGGTTGTCTATACTTATTAAGGAAATTTAGAAAATAAAAAATTATCTGGCAGTTTTATTTTAAAAAATGTAAATACTTTTAGTATCATTTTGAGAAGCTCCATTACTTTCAGATTCTAAAATGCTATTTGAGGAACAGATTTTCTTTCCCAATATAGAAGATAAAACATTTGGACAAAAATAAGCATTTCTTTCTTACCAAAAATTTTGTGAATTTTAACTGGCATTTTCAATGTGGAACTTCCATGGAGGACAAAATAAAATATTAGGAAATATTAGATTACTCAAGGAAAAAAGACATATTAACCAAAGAGCTGAAATACATTGATATGTTTGACACATGTGGATATTAAGTTTGAGAGAGGAAAGAAAGACTGTGTACAGAATCCTGACTTAGACAATTTTTGAGGAAAACAAAAAATCTCATTTTATTTCCAGGTAAAATGAAGTTAAAAAATTTTCCAGCCAGAGACAGAATTATTGGTCTCATGAGGCAAAAAAACTTGTTCGTAAATTATTGTATTCTACATTTTTACTAAGGGGGACTTACATAAATCTTGCTGTAGTTAAGAAAGTTATTATTTTTTATTATTGATTATTGAGCACTCCTCCTTTCTCCACCTTTTTATGAGCATTTGCTGCACATTGCACACCAAGGAAGAAATAAGCTTTTACAGGTAGTTTTGTAATAGGTGTTGCTGACCTGTTTTTGGTCTGTGCTACGTGGTCATGAGGATCTGTAATAATCATAAAGGATTCACCTGGTCCTGCAGCGGCCGTATGTTGCAATTCTCTATTGGATTTTATTTAAAACTTGAGACTTAATAAAGATGACAAAAGGAGTTACTGAGAGTAATTGAATCCACCTCAATAAGGAGAATTCTGTCATTTACCATGTATACAACTAAAGCTAAAGATCTGACTGTTTATCTCTTATGGAAACTGCTGATAGCTCCTAACTGGTGTGTCTATACAAATTGTCTTGTTCCAGACTGTTTTTCTGTATGCCCCAGGCTGCTCTTTTCTTACCTAGAAAGACTACTTACTGCTTCAGAGCTCAGATTTTGACATCTTAGTCTTTGTTTTTGCCCTTGCTCAGAGTGCAGCCCTTTAACTGCAGGGTCCCATCCTGTGTTTCTGTGATAGCTTTGTTTTCCTCTAATCTGCCTTGTAAATACTGGCCCAGGTTAAGCATTGCCACAGTGCTATTCTTTATGACTTGGGACACAGTTTATGCTCAGTATCTTGTGTTACGCGAATGTGACTTCTATTGATAAAAAAGGCTAGTAAAGTATGAAAGATATGCAAATAGTTTTTTCATGTAGCTGTCACTGGCCATCCACTGTAATCACAATAAAATCCAGACTTCGTGCTATGGCATATGTGATCCTGGTGATATGACCTCTTGACTACTGCTTTGACCTCACTTTAAGACCACTCTCACCCTGGTTCATTAGACTCCTTCATTCTAACACTTCAACGTACTAAGCCATTCTGCCTTAGGGGCATTGTCTAGTTATTTGGAGTATTTGAGCTGAAATTTGAATAGTGAAAGGTATGTTGACTTCCCTTACTCCAGATTGTTGTGTGGCTAGCAGTTTTTCATCATTCAAACCTCAGCTTAAACATCTCTTCTTCAAAGAGGTTTTCCCAGACCACCCATCTAAGTACTTTTATCCCCTATTACCCTACTTCCTCTTTCCCATCTTATTTTTTTATTGCATTTTCTGCTATTTAAATTATCTTGTTTACTTGGTTCCGATATTACAGTGTGAGCTCTGTTCCCTTATTATATAGTGAGGGAAGAATCTATCTTTTTGGCTGTTGTATCCCCAGCATCTAAATCAATGTCTGACATATTATAGGTGCTCAACAAATTTCAGTTGAATGCATGAATAAGTGAGTGAATGATAAAGAAATGTATAACATAGGGTGAGCAAGTTGTTCTTTCTTTTCTTGTTTTGTTGAAGAACAGTATAACAACATGATAGTAAACTAGATTAGGGGATATTTACTTATAATTCCAGTATTTAAAGAATTTTCATTTAGTTTTTTCTATGCATGTATGTTTTCATGGTTGTACTCTATTTAAACTTTTTTGGTATTTTGTTTTTGTTTAGTTAATATTGTCAGACATTTTCCCTAGTTCTCCTAGTAAATACAGTTATTTTAATGGCTACATGATATCACATTGAGTTAATATTCCATCATTTGCTTAATCATTCTTCTAATATGTTAAGAAATTTGTTTCTGAGTTTTGCTATTATAAATAACACTGTAAGGAATAGCTTAATGAATACAGATAACATTTTTCTCCATTGAACAGAATATATTATAAACATAAAATGACTATATTAAAGGATATTTGTTCTGGTATGGCATTTAAAATATCTACATCTCATAAATTGTAAAAGAATGTGTATGACTTTGTTTTGGGGTTTATTCTAAGTTAAAGTATTTTTCATAATTCATGTAAAAAATTGTATGATGCAGACAAATAATAAATTATATTTTTAAAGCTTCAGCTTATTATTTTCACAAATAAGTTTGTAAGCACCCCATGTCAGAGCCAGATGCCTTTAGACTCAAAGTAATCTGAGTACAGAGATGTATAAATTCTATGAATAAATAAATTATTCTTTTATTAAAATTCTCACCTTTAGTAAATATGGCAGCCATAAAACAAATAAAAGCAAAAGCTAAGGTGGTTTTGTAAGTGACATAATAAAATAGATATTTGGGATTATAAAATGACATTTGAGAGAAATCACAACTTTTCGTCATCAGTTTTAATAATATTTGCAATTTGCTTCACTTTTTTTCTTAAAGCTGGAAGAAATTTTTTTGGGCAAAATTATTTGAGTACCTTTGAGAACTAATTTGGAAATGTCTATTAAAAGTATTCTTTAACTTTCATTTCTACATGTGGAGAGTTTACCTATTTGTGCATATAGGGGGTTACACAAATAAAATATATCCTGAGAAGTTTCTTTTTGGATCTTTTTTGAGCTTTTTGAATTATTTGAAGTCAAGTACTTGTTTTTTGTTTTTTTTTTAAGGTGTGGATTAATCATGACTCCATTTGCATAGATTGTTAAGTTCTGGGAAAAACAAAATCTATTTTATTATGCATTTATATTCCCTTACAGCATCTTCTATATAATTTTCTTAAAGAAAGGATTAAGTTCTACTCTTTAGCTATATATGCCATCCTCTGGATAACATAATAAAAAAATAGATTTTAAAAATGATCTTTTTGACCTAAGCATCTTGCTAAACCTACATTTAGAGACGGCTCCTTCACTTTTCCAAAACAAAGAGGCTTTGCTTTTCTTTGCCATGTAAAAATTCTTATTAGCATAAGCTATATGTATTTCATTTATCCAGTCAAGTAACACATTCACAGCTTACCCTTCTCATGTCTTCTGTATGTTTTCTCACTTTTATTTATTCTAATAATTTAATCTCATAACAGAATATTCACTCAATTCATCAAAAAAAGATGTATTGAGTGTCTACTATATACAAGCTACTTTTCCAGGTACTAGATACATAGTAGTGACTAGATGAAAATTTTAAAAACTCCTTCCTCATGGAACTTAGGTCTAGGAAACAAGATAAATAAATAATTGTAGGTTAGAGAGTGTTAAGTGCTAAGAAGAAGAAAAAAGGAAGAGGGTATGTGAAACGTGGGGGCTATTAAAACTTTGGATGGGTTGACCAAGGGAGACTTCACTGTAAAGGAAATTTTTGAAAAAGATGTGAAGTAAGGAAATGAGCCATTCAGCCACCAGGAGAAGACAGCAGCCAGGACAGCAGTAAGACAGTGTGGGTGGGAATGTCGGGTCACAGAGTTATATAGGGAAAGAAGTTGGAGAGCTGATAGAGAGCAAGATTAGGTAACAAATGTTTGTTTGGATTACTTAATTATCTTTCTTTATTCTGTAGTTTTCCTGAGAATTATGTTTCTGTTCTTTCTAGCTCTGTACAGAATTACTTGCTCTTCTTATAAATTTAATAAGCAGTTTAAAAAATCTGCCATTGTTAACCATTTTTGAGTGATAACAAGTATCAATTAATTAGGTAAAGACTTATGCTTGTGGGAAAACACATGATCTTATTTTTCTACTTGCCATTTAATTCCATGATTTTTTTAAATGTAATATCATTACTTCTTGGGCTGCAGACCTTTATTCTGATAAAAGTGATTACATTTCAGTTGCGTGGTACTGCTTTATGTAATATTCTCCCTGTCATTTTCTAGTTTTTCTTGCAAAATCCTGAATTTCTGCCATTGAAGCACCACTTTAGATTAACAGCTTTCATTGGCATCTCTTAAAAAATTGACCCAATTAAAAAAATACACAGACCTAAACTCAAGAATTATTACTTTCCTAGGATTTCTTCCAGACTTTTATTTTCTCCGGCTCTCCATTCAAAGTAAATTGTTTGCTTTTTGTAAAATGGCCAGGAATCTACATGAATAAATTAAACCTAACTGTGGGATGTCAGAGGATATTTAACTCAAACGGACTCGAATGAAGAGTTAGAGTTAGTATTTATAGTATGTTAGAAGAGACATTTGAAGTTAAAAGATTTTACTGGTTAGCTTCCCCCACTGAATAGTTGTGTAGCTCTTCCTGAACTTCAGTTTCCTTGTCTGTAAATGGGAATCAAATTGCCTACTTCAGAGGCTCACTAATAGATTGTTTTGAGATTACAATTGAATAATATATGTGAACACTTTCAAGAAAGCGACTTAGGGCAATTCATTGTAAGTATTGTTCTGTATTCTATTAGGCCTATGCTTAGCTTTTAAAATTTTATTAAATTTTAATATTCATTGCCTTTTTTATGTCTGGATAATTTCCGAAGTTTGATTTTTTTTGGACTGGAGATCCCTTTAGTAGATCTTTTGTGAAACAGCTTCCACAATGTAAATAAACAAGTCTTGGCTGTCACTCCACAGTGCCATGGCGATTTTATCTCAGTTGCAGTGACCTCTGGCATGTACCTCAATAAGAATTTATTTGCCCTAACTTGGAAGACAGTTGTTAGCAATTGGAAACAGGCTTGGTTGGAGGTTTTTAGTTTCATTAATCCTTTATTACAGAGCACCCAGAAGCAGCAGTGCACTACTACCTCACCAACATTCTTCAGCCTATCTAGGAAATAAAAACTTCATTTAGAGAACCTTTAGTCAAAAGCCTATGAAGCACTAATTTAGGGGAAATAATTACACCAGCATGTTGGCTCAGCAGTGCGAGGCACCATGAAGCTTTGAGGAGGGGCTCCCAGAAGTGCATATTGCTGCTGGGTATGGAGTATCCAAGGCACCCGTAACAACTTTTATCTTAAGTTTTTAAAATTTGAAAGAATCAGAATAGAGCAGTGGTTCCCAGACTTTGTTACACGTTAGTCACCTGGGGCTTTTAAAAATCTTATGCCCAGGTCATATCTCACACTAATTATAAATTAGAATGTTTGGGGGTTGGAGCCAGGCATCAGTAGTTTTTAAAGATGCTCAGGTGATACCAATGTGCAGCTAAGTTAGGGAACCACAGTAATATGTGGCTCTGGCCTTTGTTCTTTTACTACCTGTTACTGTTTCTCAGCCTTTAGCATCATTAGTGGGAGTCTGATAATCCTATCACGAAAGTATTTGAAAATAGTAGGTGATGTCCCATAAGCAGGTTTGTGGTCTACAGTTTTTAAAAAGTATATGCTGTTTTACATAGTCTTATGTTGCTTTGAACTTTGTTTCACTACTGTCACCTTCTAGGTATATTTATGTTACTTTTCCCCATTTACATGAATAACTCCTTGTAACATTATGCCTTTCTTATTTAAGACCAGAATAAAATCATGTCTACAGGTATTAACTAGTTAGGAGTTTTGTTTCTTTGTTTCATTTATAATGGCTGTTTTCAGATAAAGGGCTGACAACGAATTTGTTTTTCCAAATCCATTTTTATTTTTCTCTAGTCTAGTAATGAACTAAATTTATGAAATTGGTATGAGTCTGAATAAATCAACTGCTTAACTATATCACAGCCACATTAATACTTACTGTTAATAATAGATGATGTATATGTGAGACAAAAACTATACCTGTGCCATTACTAACCATGATATCATATATGAATAAGCATTTTCCCAAATATCATGGTTTATTAAGTCAGTCTCAATGTAGCCTCATAAAAAATAGAATTTTAAGAGTACAAAGGGGAACTTCTGTGTGGCTTGGTTCCTAATGTTGACAAAAGCTAAAGGTTTGGCTGTAGATCCTTGAACATTTGCCTAAGACTTGACATAAATTCAGGTGGTCACCATATTATCTTAAAAACACTAGAAAATTACCCAAAGAACACAAAAAGAACAATTTAAAAACAAATTTTATTTTGATTTATTAGAAAATTTATCTTTCATATTCCATGTGAAATGTGTGTGTGAAAAAATGCAGAACGTGAATTGATGCTCTGTGAATTTTTTGTTTGTCATTTAAAATTAAAGAATATGACCCTATTGTCTCTGGTGCTATCAGAGTATTATAAATTATGGAAATTACTACAGTGCAAATATTTGGCTTAATTCATAACATTCAGTCATCTAATTTTTGTTTTGAGTCTTTTGCTTTTCTCATTTCACGTTTTTGTTTTGTTTTCATCCATCATTTTGTCTTATCATCTTCAATTCTAGAGCAACCTGACAACAATAATGATGCTACTGAATTGGGCATCCTTGTCATTCCTGAGATTAGTGTCACAAATGTGGCCGGAGAGAGAACCGGGAATGGGGAAAAAGGCAGAACACTAGGAGAGATTGATGCTCAGCATATACAGGGTGTGCAGGAAACAGCCACAGATCCTAGAACTGAGAGCAAAGGCTTGCCAGAGATCAGGAGGCAAAAATCTGTAAGAAAAATGATGGAGGATGGAATAAACTCACCTGGCAGAGTGCAGTTTTAGCAGAGCACTTTATAACTGCACTCCAAGGTATCTTAAGGCAAAGGGCCACTGATGCATGTTAAGCAGCAGTTGCACAGTCACAAAAATTTTGCATGTAATCTAATCCAAATGCATGAATTATGCACCACATTTCTCAATGACTCTTAATGTTCTTTGGAATGATTATACCTTTATCGTCTTTGAGTAAATTTTTATGAAAACTGAGGCAGAAAATTCCTTCTAAAATAATTTTCTGCTTATGTTTGGAGTTCTAAAATTACTTTTTCGGCTTTGTCTTTTTGCCATCTTTGTTATGAAGGATAATGTGTATAGAATTTTATGTTTGAGCTTGTGATATTTAGAGTCTAGATTTTTTTAATTTGATAAAATAATCTACAATATAGAGTACAACCTTCTAAAAAAGTCTTTAAAGTATTCTAATACCAATTTTTTAAAAGTTCCTTGGTAAGAGCTTTGATTTTATACTGCTTTGCTACTGAAGGAGAGTTCACCCCTAGTTTTACTGCGTGATATTTCTAATTGTTTCTTATCTTTTGCATGAATAGGAGAATTCTTTCTAAAAACTTAATGGGGTATGGTTTATGGCATGCTTTTTGTTTAATACACTATAAATTACTGTCATTTAATTACAGTGAAGTATTTTTGACATTTTATAATAAATGTTTTGATTTATCCTTTGATTTTCTATAATCTGTTGCTTTATAAATTATGCTAAAGCTTAATTTATGTAAAGCATAACTGATTTGGTGTTAATCATTTAAAAAGATTGCTTAAAATACTTAATGTTAATTAATCTTTGTCATTTCTTTGTTTAGGAAATACAGAATTAACAGGTCAAGAAGAACTGATGGAGATATCTGAAGTTGACGAGGGATTTTATTCCAGGGCTGCGTCT
The DNA here is from genome assembly GCF_000001405.40 of Homo sapiens. Classification (NCBI taxonomy): domain Eukaryota; kingdom Metazoa; phylum Chordata; class Mammalia; order Primates; family Hominidae; genus Homo; species Homo sapiens. The sequence goes on along the minus strand of NC_000007.14, from coordinate 22,946,083 downwards.
AGTACCAGCCAGTCGGGTTTATCAAACAGTAGTCACAATTGTAGTAACAAGCCAAGTATAGGAAAGAACCACAGACGGTCAGGAGGAAGCAAAACTGGAGGAAAAGAAAAAGAAACTACAGGGGAATCTTGCAAAGATCACTTTGCTCGAAAACAAACTCAGAGAGCCCAAAGTGAGAATCTTGAGCTTCTCTCTTTGAAGAGACTTACTTTAACAACCAGCCAATCCCTACCTAAGCCTAGTAGCCATGGTTTGGCTAAGACCGCAGCGACTGTATTTAGTAAATCCTTTGAACAAGTCAGTGGTGTCACAGTCCCACATAACCCGTCATCTGCTGTTGGTTGTGGGGCTGGGACAGATGCCAATAGGTTTTCCGCTTGTAGTCTCCAAGAAGAAAAGCTTATTTACGTTTCAGAAAGAACTGAACTTCCAATGAAGCATCAATCAGGTCAGCAGAGACCTCCTAGTATTAGCATTACTCTGTCCACAGATTAATTAGTAACATATTTTTCTCCCATAACCTAGTGAACCTGGAAATACAACTTTGCTTCTTTATGAAAGTACCCTGGGTCTTTCATCCGTATTCCTGACAGGAGCCCTGATGTCTTAAATTCTGAAGGCTCCCCTGACTTTATGAAGGGAAGATTGTCTAGGTTGCAGTAAGTTGAAATATGGTTTTGTTATTTCTTGATTAAGATTTTTTCCCCTTGGTTTGAGTCTTTTTTTTCCCTCCTCTTATTTGTTATTGTTGCCCTAAGATTGTCAGTGACAATAAATTTTGACAGGTTGTCTAATCAAGTTGGTTATGTCTCATGTGAGGTTGTAAGGTGGTTTTTCTTGTTTTGGTTTGGTTTGGTTTTTTAATAGCTCCTATTTTGATGGCTGTGTGTTTGGCCTTCAGAGTCAAAGGGAGTCTGCATGTATGGGAACTGTTTTATAGAGAATGGGGCAGAGGCACAACTCCAGGAATTCTCTAGCTCCTGGTCAGGAAGCCAATCTGAAAACAGGCATGTGGAAACACAAAAATGATGTGTATGAAAAGCACCTGATGAAAATATTTGTAAGCAGATCATCTTTATGATTAGAACAATTTGCTCAAAGCCCTGGAAAATGCCTGGTAACCCAGTGCCTAGAATATTATATGATTCCAGGGGATGGCTAGAGGCATTTCTGTTGTTATCTCTGAAACATTTTTATATCAAAAATCAGATTGCTGGTAGGTGTGTTGTTTTGAAGTGTTTTATCTGGATTTAGCATGTGAAGATCCCTTTCAATTATTAAGGTATAATAGGCTGTAAAGCTGATTTACCCTACTGCTGGACTTTGGAAATCCTAGTTAGTTTGGACTCCTATAATTCAGAGCATACGTCATTGGAAGACTTCCTGGAAATCAGTGTAAATCTTGCAACATAGCTCTCAAGATACCACTGTATAATATGTAATTGTTTGTCTGCAAATGCATTTTTCATCTATAAAATGTCATGAAAGAAAATAAAGGTAGTGAAATATGGACAAAGGACATTTATATATTAACTAAAGTTGTTTATGTTTGTGTTCTTAAATTTAAAACACGAAGAAAAAGAAATGTCTTTCTTGTTAGTGAACAGGCCTGTTTTAAATATCTTAGTATGATATCAAAAGAATAATCAATTTAGTTACCTCCCAACTAAAAAGTAAAAATGAAAAAGACGACATGGCAGAAGTTGAAACAAACTTGTATGTATCTGTATGTGACCTCTAGATGGAAATAAAAGTTTGATGTTTGCTAGCCGTGGTCCTTTTGGCTATGGTTGCGGTTCCCCTGTAAAGCAAATGTACTTAAGTCATCATTCAGAGTGAGAGAGAGAAAGCACGGCTGAGGCTGAGTCAGTTGACCGTTGAGGAAGACCTAAGGAGCTGTCCAGTTCTTGGCTCTTTTTCACTGTGACTGCACAGCGGTTTCCTTCTTCATAGTCCCTTGCTGTAGTCACCAAGAGAGCATGCTAGTGTTTTCCTCTTGTTCCTGCTTATGCAGAGCTCAGATATATGAAAAATTTGTATGCTTTGAAGGCTGCCAAAGCATTTATACTCTGGACATAGTTTTAACTGCAACTGCTTTGGCTACCAGTTTAAACCGAGTTCTTCAAAAAGCATGAACTCGTTTTCATTCATTAGCCCTGTTTACAATGTGGATTTTGACATAAATGAATTTGATTTTCTTTTAGCTCCAGTAACAGAATGGAATAAGATCTATTGCCATAAATTGTAGTTAAGAACTGTAAGGCAATCGGGCAGTGAAACTTGATATTGTATTAACTTAATAGGAACCCTGTGTACAATTTAAAATATTTGTAAAATATCACTGTGAATTTACAGATGTCTTTTTGTCATTCTTTAACAATGAATTTCCCCTGTGCATAGTTATTAATAGTATTGGTATTATTAAAAACTAATTTGGCATTTTAAGATTGGCATTTTAAGCAAGTTGAGGTGCTTAGGAAACATTGTAGAATAAGTTTGGGGAAATGTTAGCTGACAGAGCTGAGAGATCAGATTTTCATGTTCTATCACTGTAATGGAACCTCATTTAGACCTCTCTAGACCTTTGCTAGCTGTGTGGTCTGAGGACCAGTAAGTAGGATTGGCATTATCTGGTATCTTGTTAAAAATGCAGAATTTCATGCCACTCTAGGTCTACTAAATCAGAATTTGCATTCTTAACAAGGTTCCCAAGTGATTTTTATGAGAAGAAAGTATCAGAGTGCAAACAAATTACTCGTCTAATATGTAGAATTCCCAGTGGTCTCACAGCCCTAGATCAAATGTGTCAGACACTAGATCATTATAATCTTCATTGGTTTTGACAGCTAATTAATTAGTTTAATAATATTGACATATGGCTTCTTAAGTATTTGAATTCTAGATTGCTAATGATCCTTATTTTTGCAGTAAAAAAGTAACACTTTATATTTTTCTTGTTAACTATAAATGGAATCAGAGCTGTAAATGCCTGAAATTTTAAGTGTGAAAAGGGGTGCCACCCTTTTATATACTGCACAACAAATTTGCATTTGTATATTCTTTTTAAAAAATCTCTGAAGACTTGCTCAGTGAAATGGTTCTGATTTTTTGCTTCAAATGATTTGCACTAATTGATTTTCTGGAGAGCGGAGTTACGTTAACAACAAAATTCTTTTATAGTTCCTTTGATACTATTTCAAATAAGGATTACACATTGAAAGTTTTTATAGAAATTATGAAAATTGGATAATCTTAACTATGGTAACCATTACTATTATCCATACTACTTTCTCCCCACTGAACTTTCAAATTTGAAAATTGGGGTAGCTTTTGTAGGTCACTTTCTTATAAAGATGCTGATGGTCACAGATCTCCTAAGTATCCAGAATAATATTTTTATCATGAGAAGGATTCCACACAAAATTGGGGTCTTGCACCCCATATTTCAGAGGATCTGAACAGAAATTGTGGCTTCATTGCACATTTTAAATCTCTATAGATTCTTGAAATCACCCAACCTCTCACATTTGAAAACCCAACGGCCTGGAGTATTCTGGTGGCACTGGAGCCAGCACTAGCTTTTTGGAATCCAAGTGGGGAGAGAAACAAAAATAGACTTTTCAAGGGACTGTCCCAGACTACCCAGGGCAAATGTCTTCCCTTCCCTTCCTGAAGCCACAGGAAAGCACCCTGGAGTCCTTTGTATACCACTATGGAAATTTTTAAGGCAAGCTCTCAAGACTTGAAGAGTTGGAATTCTCGGCATTTAAATGATGCCTGAAGTTTGTTTTGAAAAAGCAATATTTCATTGCTCTTTTCAATTGTGAAGCAACTGCTCAGCAAATATTACTCATTTTTTTAAAAAGTTGAATTAAAGGGAAATATATTTTTAAAACCAAAATAGATCAAAATGATCCCAGTTTTAAGGGATTTTGCCTATTTTGGAAGAATAAAACTAAAATGTTAAAACTGTTGAATTACAGAGAACAGATGTACTCTGAGACATAATTTTAAACAAATATTTAAAATAAGGCAGGTTAACATTTGCGTTTAGGCACAATAAATCTGTATTAAAGGGAAGCACATCAAGGAAATATATACATGTTGAATAATGTAACTGAAAAATATTTTTTAAAAACCACTTAAAAAGAAAAATAATTTGATGGGTACTTTAAGCATTGTAGATAGAAATTAATGTATAATAGTGTCCTCCCAGTCTTTGTATGAAAAATTAAAACTCTCTAGTCCTTTAATGAGCATGAATTTATACTTCTACATTTGTTGCTTAGTAAAATTATACTCAGTACTTTGAGTTATTCAGATTTATGTTTAATATTGTTAAATTCTTCATCAGAGAGCATAAATATATTGTCTTCTATACTTTGTAACTTGTGCATATCTAAAGAAACTAACAACGAACATTTTGGGAGATGTTTTTGTGTTTTTTTATAGTAGAGTTTTAGAGTACATTTGTCTTAATAGGAAGTTTTTACCATAAACCCAAGATTTTATTTCACGTATTGTTGCTTTCTCTTATATGGAACTTATTGTGTACCTCTTACCTTTATTTCTAATCATTTAGTGATACTAATCTTTTCATAGTAAATATATTTGTTTCTAATTGTATTCCTAGAGTTTACATTCCTAAAGAATAAACGACGACTTTGGCTATTTTTGTGTGTTCCCTACCTTCTTAAGGCTATGGAAATAAACTGGAGTTTAGTTTTTTGAATTTTTGTATATTTGTGTAAATGTTCTCCATATGTAGTACTTTATACAACAAGTGTTGCCTCTTGTTTTATTGAAATAAAAACTGAAAAAAATATTTTTTCCAGATCAGTTTACTCATTTAAAAAATTATTATAAAAATTTGCAGAAGTTTTGATATGAAGGAAGAGAATAAAGGAGGAAGACTTAGGTAAGTTGAGCCATTGAGAGCTTTTGGGGGTAAGTGATAAGACAATGACCTCATTCCTGGCTTTGTGCTTTACATGTCATAGGGCTGAGGAGTATGACAGGTCCACTCGTATTCATCCAAAGATGAAGATGAGCTCTATGGGCCATGCACCAGTGGCGGATTATTTGTCATATCAGAAGCACAGGCAAATTTAGGTAACATCACTTTGTCCTTCTAACTTTAGAATCTTTATTGCCATGTGTGGTGAGTAGTAGTCCCAACTACTCAGGAGGTTCACTCGAGCCCAGGAATTTGAGACCAGCCTGGGCAATATAACGAGATCTTATCTCTTAAAAAAAAAAAAAAAGCAAAAGAAGAAGAAAGAGTCTATATCTCTTGAGTACAGAGATTATATGCCCCTAGTACCTAGATAGGACTTTGTGCGTGGTAGGTATCTAGACATTTATGAGACAATAAATGAGTTAGGTTGATGTTAGCTTTGGAAAAGAATCAAGGATAAGTCTTCAGTGTTTTCTTTAACAGTACAATTTTAGAATTTTGTTTGTTGGCTTTAGGAAATCTCAGTGGCATTACATGAATTGCATTATAGCATGTACTTAGAAAAAAGAACTTATGGCTGGGTGCGGTGGCTCACACCTGTAATCCCAGCCTTTTGGGAGGCCGAGGTGGGTGGATCACCTGAAGTCAGGAGTTCAAGACCAGCCTGACCAACATGGCGAAACCCCATCTCTACTAAAAATACAAAAATTAGCCAGGCATAGTGGCGGGCACCTGTAGTCCCAGCTACTCAGGAGGCTGAGGCAGGAGAATCACTTGAATCTGGGAGGCGGAGGCTGCAGTGAGCCGAGATCATGCCACTGTACTCCAGCCTGGGCAACAGAGTGAGACTCTATCTCAAAAAAAAAAAAAAAAAAAAAAAAAAAAAAAAACAGAACCTATTAACCTATTAGACACTTGAAAAAATTCCTGGCTTGTAGTTGATTATATGTTTGGTTAATTCCATTTCATCTAAGGAACTAAGTAATTTAGGAAATGTGTTCTTAACTACTCTTAGAAGGGTACTTGTAGAGAACCAGAGTGGTGATTTTGTAAGCAGTATTTTGTCCTATACAATATGCACTCTTCCAGTAACTCCAGTAGTCCACATAGCTGACTCACCTCCTACAACCCGACTTTGTTAATATCAAGATAACTGTTTTATAATTGTAGAGAAAGATTTTTTACAACCAGTTGTAGTTATTATTTTCTTTGCATTATGTTATTGTGATAGTAGTGGTAGCTAATATGTGTAATTAAAATGATCATCTTATCCTCAAAATCATCCTATAAAGTGCATAGAATCCCCATTTTACAGAAGAGGAAACTGAAGCTCTCAATAGGGTAGAGGACTTGGCTAAGGTCACCTAGCTGCTGAGTGGCAAAACTCAGCCTTGAACACAGGTCTTAGGACTCTCACTTTATATAGCTTGGTAAAAGAAGATACTAATTAAATCCTACCTAATAGAGATGTATTTAAAATTCACTCACCCCATCTGTCTTACAGGTAATAGTTTTAAGGTAAGATAAAATCAAAGTGTTCTAAAAGTAAATCATAATACATTTTACAGAATTAGAGATAATTGTGTTTTAGTGGTCAAACAATGCTCGTTATTCTGTTAGTAAAAGCATGGTAAAATGCAAATTAAAATAAGATTTCTCTTTTTTTTTCCTGTCAGATTGATAAAGATGAAAAAGATTGGTTCTAGTATTGACATTGGTATGGGGAAATCATTAGTCACTGAGATGATTAGCAGGACTGTAGATTGGTACAAATGAATTGGTGGGCAGTTCAACAGGATCTATCAGACTTTAAAGTGTATCTCATACCCTCTGAAACAGCCATCCTACTCTTCTATATTTATTCCATTCTCTGTATTCTACTGAAAATTTAGCACAAATATATAAACATAAGCATGCAAGGTATTCATTGCAGTATTGCTTGTAATAGCAAAAACAAGCCAGCAAATCTAAATGTCTGTTAATAGAGGAATAGATAAATTATGGTACGTACATATAGTGGAATATAATGTAGCCATTAAAAAGAATGCAGATCTGTATGTGATGATTTACATTGATTATTCAGTGTATGATCCCACTTGCATTATAAATGTGTGCAGTAGTTAAATATGAGTGTGTGTATATGTATAATACACACTTACGTTTGCTAGTATGGGGGAGGAGAGCATTGTTTCTCAAAGTGTGGTCTAAAGACAGCCTGCATTAGGAAATTTTTTTTTTAAATGGGGATTCCTGGGCATTGTGCTAATTTCCCTGAATCAGAATCACTGTGAGTGAAGCATGGAAACCTGTATTTCTAACGGGTTCCTCAGTTGATGGCTTATACAAATGTAAAATATGGTCTAGTAGCTGTCAGCAATGAATTGGATATCTGGTAGTGGATTGTAGTTAGAAAGGGCAAACTTCTTGAAGAGATCTTGTATTTTAAATGAGGCCTACCTAAAATAAAGCCAGTTGAGTAACGTTATCAGCATAGACCTGTTAATGAAGGTGAATTGGCCTGACATAGAAAAATGATTCTACCATACAGCACTACACACCAACTAAATGAGCAAGCCTTTTAAAAAATCCTTGTTGAACTTCCCAAATATCAGATGACCTGTTAATAAAGCACAAGTAAATAATAGGACTTACTGTGGTAAGAGAAAGTGCCACCTTGATTTGGTTGTGTGTCAGAACCAGAAAGTAAGATTATTTGTAGGGCTTTGGGATCTATGCTCAAATGGTTTAAGGTATGTCTGTCAAGGCAGGGAACTGATTGGGATTAGCAAAGTTGATAGTTCAGAATTAGTGGACACAGCAAGCAGGGTTCTTGAAGATTCCTGAAAAGTCAACTGTTGTTTGAGAAACAAGCTGTTTGCCCAGGTGAGCAGGGCTTCACCTGTAGGAATTGTCTTCAACCTTAGGAATTTCCTCTACAAACAACAACAACAAAAAAATAGGGATTGTTCTTGTTTTTATTTGCTTTGTTTTGTTTGTAATCTTATCTTTCCTGGGCAAAGATTTCCTGGAATAAACAACTAAGTTATGTTGACATACATGGGCTACAGTCTTATCCAAGCTGTATTGACACTGATGGATTCAGTTTGTTTTTCTTAGCTCTCTCTATTCAAAGATTATAAGTCAATATTATGTATATAGCAATTGACAGGTCATAAGTACGGCATGCTAACTGATCGTACCACTGGAGCTCCAACAATTGATGTATCTTTGGTGACTTCTTAGTGTTCTGCTGAAGATCGCAAAGATTTCTGTAGCTTCTTGACCTCTATAACACTTGGTTCACACTTGTTAAGTGTTCTAATATAATCCACATCACATTGTGCTGTGACTTATCTTTCTCATATTTGTCTCCCTCACTAGACCACAGCCCTGTGGGAATATAATATAACTAATACATAATGGTGAATAAAGATTTGTTTTACTAGATAGAATATAAATCGAATCCAGGAAATCAGTGGCAGCATAGGAGAGACTGTGTTGCTTCTCTTCTATTCAATAGAAGTCTTTGAAACTCCTTTTATTCTCTAATATTCTTCATGGAGATGAAAATGAAGGTTGTAAAGCTTTACTCTGATTATTTTAAGCATGCCTGCATAAAAATGTTTTGAGAAGTAAATTATGCATCATGTTTCTCTTTAGTTAGACTATGAATGGTGTGAAGAATTTTCTGGGCTAATGTTTGACATTTATTATTCACTCCTGTAGATTTGTGGTGAATATGAATGGTATCTGGACTAATCAGAAAACAACGTAGGAAAGGCCTAACTTCAACACTGAATTCTTGCTCCTTGTCTCACTTGCTTCCTTTTGTAGAAACTACAAGTATATTTAACTTTTGTATCCTAGATCCACTACGGCCTACTGAAAGCCTATCATGCATTTATCTTTAAACTTTTACTCTCTTCATTTAGCCAACATATTTCTACTTCTATGTTGCCTGCTGTGCTGTGTAATTTTCTACAAACATTTTCACCTCCAAATCCCTTGAAATGAAACCCTCTGGAAGAGCATCACCACTTTTTCTTCCTCTATTCTAATTCCCCTCTAGTTTCCCCTCTAGTTTAAGACTTTTGTTTCAATATTTATTCTTTCCTTAAGCCTTTAAATTCATTTATATCCACCAAGTTGAATTTGATGAGACAGGACATGTTTGAAAGAAGGACAAACCAAACAAGCAAGCAAACCCATGAATACTCGTACAATAGGACATAATATACATTTCCCAGTTCCCTGAAGGGGTAAAATTGAGACTGGTTATACAAGCAGTATTGCACAGCATGCTGATACTAGCTAGACATAGCCTACAGTGTTTCAGCTTCACTCAAAGATGGTTCTGGAGGACAGTGAGGAAATGAACTTTTTCCAGCGAGAATAAATATGAGCAGTATTTCTAGTCTGCTTTGCACCGAAAGTGAGCCATCCCAAGATACAGATCTACACCATTTATACCTGGCCAGGTGGTTGGAAACACAGACGTAATAAGATTGGAGGATGAGTGACAAAAATTGGGAGCTAAACATATTGGACTTCTTAAAATAGGCTCAGATTGCAAGAATAATTGTTTCCTACAGACATATTAAACAAAGGCCCTGTGGTGAAGGAGGTGCTAAATAATCAGATGGTCAAGATGACTTTGAGGATATCAGTAAATCTCTTTGGTATTCCAGCCTTTGTTCAAACAGTTTATGGGCAAAGCGGCTATACTGGAAGGATAGGGCTACACAGGAACTTCAACAATACAGGCCTCCTTTCATCAAGGCTGTCCTTATTACTGCCAGGAGCCGAACTGGCCAGCAGCAGTGACCATCCTAAGATACAACATCTGAGGGTGACCAGATAGTTAGTGGCAGATTGATTATATCAAATATTTTCTTTCATGGAGAGACAACTATTTGTCCTCATGGAATAGAGCCTTACTCTGGATCTGGCTTTAAGTTTGCCTTCCCTAAGCACCATGCTTGTGTGTGCAATAATAAGCTTCCTGTTCACCATTATGATTTTCCCCAAAATATTGCTTCTAAGAAACTTATTTTACAATGTAATCAGTGAGGTAGAGGTAGAATTACACTTTCAGTCATGGGAAACTAGGTAATTAACATCAAAATTCCCATTGGCAACTAGATAATCCAGCAAAACTCTTCAAAACATGAAAATCTAGGCCAGGCGCAGTGGCTTATGCCTATAATCCCAGCACTTTGGGAAGCCGAGGTGGGTGGATCACCTAAAGTCAGAAGTTCAAGACCAGCCTGGCCAACATGGTGAAAGCCCGTCTCTACTAAAAATACAAAAAAAATTAGCCAGGTCTGGTAGCACATGCCTGTAATCCCAGCTACTCAGGAGGCTGTGGCAGGAGAATCGCTTGAACCTGAGAAGCGGAGGTTGAGGTGAGCCGAGATAGCACCACTGCACTCCAGCCTGGGCAACAGAGGAAGACTCTGTCTCTAAATAAATAAACATGAAAATCTAGAGAGGCAAGCATTGGCACAACTTCTTTCCTGGAGGTATTGGCTGATTCTAGAAGCATTTAAGGGGATAAGCAGTGCTTCTTACTGCTCCAGGATATTAGGAGGACAAAAACTGAATGCCAGTGCCTGCCAAGTCATAAAAGAGGGCTTAGGAAATTCCCATGCTTTGGGCTGGGACCCAAAAAAGCTCCACCATAGGAGTAAGAGTGAATTGGAAGTGCATCAACTCTCCCCCATACACAGGGAATTCAGCACGGATTCAAACCATCCCAATTCCTGAAATCAGATTAAAAATGATCCCCTAAGTGCTTGGTAATAAACAAATCCTCTGTGGAGGTGGAAAAAAAACCCCATCATCTTAAGCCTCAAGTTCTACAATTTTTCAAATACAGTCTTCACAAGAGAAAAGAAAAATAACCAGACACTTCTATAGCAGAGCAACACTCATTGAGAACAACAAGCAGCTTTGGGTAAAATTGCTTAAAACCTCTGTTTGAAGCCATTGAAGAACTTTCAGCTAAACAGGACTCTAGAAGACAAAACGCCAGAGAGAAGGTGTGCAGAAAAGAGTTAACATAAGAGGCTGAGATGCTATCCTTAGCCCTGATTTTAAAGCTGGGCTTTGGCTAGTGTCTGGGAACTTGGATTACCGGAATGTTCCCACCATTCCCTAACTGATAAGGGGGTTTACTCTTTGTAAACTATATAAACAACATGGTTTATGCTGAATTCCCGCTTTGCTTCTAGGAGTCTGGAATTATGATTTGTGCTGGGCAGAGGGTGCCTCTATCACTAACTTCCAATACAAACTTTGGGCAGTAAGACTCTAACGAGCATCCCTGGCAGACAACATTTCACACCTGTTGTCACAATTCAGTACTGAAGTAATTAACCACAGCCTGTGTGATTCCACAGGCAAAGGATTCTTGGAATCTTGTGTCAGGTTTCCTCTGGACTTCACCCCATGTCCTTTTCCCCTTTGCTGATTTGCTTTGTAGTACTTTTCTCTAATAAATCATAGCCATGAGTATGACTATATGCTGAGCCTTGTGAGTGCTTCTGTTGAATCACTGAACCTGGGGTGCTGGCGTGGTCTTGGGGACTCCCAATACAAAAGTATTTTAACCAGAGAAGTGAGCAGACATTCTGCAGCTACTTCTTCCATTATGGAATTTGCCAAATCTGGGTAAAAGGCCCAAGAAGAGAGTTACTGTTAAGAATCAGAGAAGCAAACAAGTTATGGAAACCACACAGGACTGGAGAAACAAAAAGAACAGGGCCTTTAAACCAATCGCACTTGGGAGAGCAGAGATCCTAGTAAGACAGGAAGTTCAGAGAAGTGAGCCTGGCACTTTCCTTGTTTTCCTCTTGAGTATTTGCTGAATTCTTGGATTGCTCAGAGAGGGAAAAAAAAAAAAAAAAAAAAAAAAAAAAGAAAAAAAAGAGGCGGAAACTTGCTGAAAGCCAGAAAAAAGATTTTTAGTTTTTATGCATCATGGCACTGAGAGATAAAAATGTTATTTCACAACCCTTCAAAAGGGAAAGCCCCTAGTACATATCCCAGGATCTCATTTAAGAACTCTGTAGAGATACAAACAGGAGAATCAAAGTAAATTATACCTTATAAAAATTGTAACTTAGCTTCAAGTCAACTGAATGATTGATTGAATTAATGCAGTCTGCCTGCCACCACTCTATCTTCCCACCAGGAATATATCATCCAGACACTATAAAATGTATCATATCTAATAGCTAACATTGTGTCAAAAATTTCAAAGAATATTAAAAATCTGAACTATGAGGGAAAAGGCAATAAAAACATCCACAGATGACCCAGTTATTAGTGTTATCAGAGACAGACTTAAAAAATAGCTTTGATTAATGAGTAAAGATGGAGAATTTCATGAGAATCAGAATCTATTTTAAAAATTCAAAATTCCAGAATTAATGCAAAACATACATATTTATGCATATTGAAGAATGGATTAATCAAAAGAAAGAGATTGTCAGACTGGATTTTTTTTCAAAAGATCAAACTATATGGTGACTACAAGAGACATGCCTTGGATTCAAAGACACAAGACACAAATAGGTTTAAAATAAAAGGATCCAAAGTGCTATACCATGCAAACAGCAACCATCTAAGAGAGGCAGAATGGCTACACTAATATCAGACCATTAGACTTTAAATCAAAACAAAGAAAATTGTTATTAGAGATAAAGAGAAATTTTATAATGATGAAAAGGTCAACTATCACAAAAATATAACAATTATGAACATGCATGCACCTAACCCCAAAATACACGAAGCAAAAATTAACAGAATTGAAGGGAGAAACCGACAATTTGGTAGCAGTTGGAGATTTCAATATTTTACTTTCAGTAATGGATACAATACCTAGGTAGAAGATAAAGATTTATCACAATAATTCAAGGTTGATGAATTAGCTTCCTAGAACTGTTGTAACAAAACACCACAAACTGCATGACTTAATACAAGAGAATTTATTCTCTCATGGTTCTGAAGGCTGTGTGAAATCAAGGTGTCAGCAGGAAAATATCCCCTTTGAAGGCTCTAAAAAATCTTTTCTTGCTACTTCCTAACTTCTGGTGGTTCCTGGCAGGTCTTGGCTTGTAGCTGCATCACTCCAATCTCTACTTCTGTTGTCACAGGGCTTTCTTTCCTGAGTATTTTCATATGACCTTTTTATAAGAACACCAGTTATTGGATTTAGGGTTCACTCTAACCCATTATGACTCCAACTTAGCTAACTACATCTGCAAAGATTCTATTTCCAAATAAGGTGAAATTCTGAGGTTTTAGACCAATGTGTTTTGGGGGATCATCATTCAATCCCATACAGTCGTCCCTGTGACTCCCCAAAATTCACATTCATCCCACATGCAAAATACATTTACCTAATCTCAGCATCCTTCAAAGTCTTAGCCCATTCCAGCATCACTTATAAGTTCAAAATCTCATCTAAATATCATCAACTAAAAAAGTCCTAAATCTCATTATCAAAATTAGGTATTGGTGAGAATCTGGGTATGGTTCATCCTGGGGAAAATTTCTCATCTGTGGACCTGTGAAACCAGAAAATAAGGTATCTGCTTCCAAAATACAATGGTGGGACAAACATAAGAGAGATATTTCCAATCAAAAAGGGAGAAATTTGAAGGAATAAAGGGGCCTCTGTTAGCCAACAGGTTTCCTGATTCCATTAAGATTCAAGATGTAAGAATAATTCTCTGTGACTTGGTGCTCCATCTTCTGGGCTGCAGCAATAATGACCCCATCTACTGCATCCATGGCTCAGTCCTTGGAGCCAGACTTCTTTCATTTTACCCCATCTTTACCCCTTTTAGTACAGGCTGGCAGTGTTCCTACTGGCACAAAATCCTCAAAAACCTGTCTGCTTCCTATGCAGCTCATGGGCGTTCAAGCCATTAGACAAGGGAGTCTTGCATAGATTTGTTTCTAGATAACTCCATCTCTATTTGTGGCTTCTGATAAGATGGTTGATTGTATTTGTAAGTCGCATATCTCATCAACAAACTTTTGTCCACCACGCCTTTGGTGTTCTCTCCAGACCATATTTTCTCATCTTTTGCTATCTAGATAGGCTGAGAATTTTTTCAGGCAGCAAATGCTGGTTCCTTTCACATAATAGTTCCCTTCTCAATTTATCTCACACCTCTTGCATTTATACTATAAGAAGCAAGGAGAAATAAGATCACATCTTCCACACTTTGCTTGCAAATGTTCTCCACTAAATCTCCAAGTTTATATCTCACAATTTTTACTTTCCATCCAAATCTAGAACACAATTCAGTCAGCTCTACTGCCACTTTATAACAGTAATCACCTTTCCTCCAGTTTTTTAATCATGTGTTTCAATTCCTTCTGACCTCACCAGAAGCATCTTCAATGTTCACATTTTTACCATCAGTCTAATCATGATGACATATGTGTTACCTAAAGTGATAGAAACTCTACTATTCTCTTCTTTTCCTTTGAGCCCTCACCAAAATCACCTTTAATGCCCATATTTCCACCAGCAAACTTTTTAAAGCAATTTAGGTTTTCTATCATGTATCTCAAAATTCTTTCAGCCTCTACCCATTAACCAATTCCAAAGTCCCTTCCACAATTTCAGATATTTGTTATGGCAGCACCCCATGCCCTGGTACTAAAATCTATATTAGTTTCCTATGGGTACTGTAACAAATTACCTCAAACTCTGTGGCTTAAAACAACAGAAATTTATTCTCTCACAGTTCTGGAGGCTAAAAGCCTGAATTCAAGGCCTATGCTCCCTTTGAAGGGTGTAGAAGTGTCACCACTCGTAGTGGTGACAGGCTGGTTTTTTTTTTTTTTTTTTCTTTTTTTTTGGCATTCCTTGTCTTCTAGCTGCCTCATTCCATTCTGTCTCTGTCATTAGATGGCCTTCTTTCCTGTGTGTCTTCATGTGGCCTTAAAAGGATACTAGTCATTGGATTTGGGGCGTATCTTAATCCTATATGACTTCATCCTAACTAATTTCATTTGCAGAGACACTATTTCCAGGTAAGATTATATTCTGAGATTCTGTCTTTCACGTTATGATGCAAACTGTGGGTTTATCTCACATGTTCTTTATCACATTGAGGAAGTTGCTTGATATTTGTAGTTTGTTGAGTGTTTTTAAAATCATCATGAATGAATGTTGAATTTTGTCAGATGTTTTCTCTGTAAGTATTGAGACGAACATGTAGTTTTTGTCATTTATTCTATTAATATGGGGTAGCACATTAATTTATTTTTTGAATGATAAACCAACCTTGCATTCCTGGAGTGAAGCCCACTTGGTAATGGTGTAAAATTCTTTACACCATAAAAATTCTTTTTATGTTTCTTTGATTATTTGATTTGCTAGTATTTTGTTGAGGAGTTTTACATCTCTACTCATGGGGAATATTACTCTGTATTTTTATTTTCTTATGATGTTTTTTCTGGCCTTGTGTCAGGGTAATAGTGGCTTCAAATAATGAGTTCCCCCCTTCTCTATTTTTTGGAAGAAATTATGGGGTATTGTTATGAATTATTCTTTAAATGTTTGGCAGAATTCACCAGGGAAACCACTAGGCCTTCAACCACAGTATTTTCTTTGTGCAAAGTTTTTTTTGATTACTAGTTTATCTCTTTACTTTTATAGATCTGTTCTGATTTTCTATTTCTTCTTCTTTCTTTTCTTTTTTTTTTTTCTTTTTCTTTTTCTTTTTACTTTGTTTCTAATTCTTTTTTTTTTTTAATTATTATACTTCTAAGTTTTAGGGTACATGTGCACAATGTGCAGGTTTGTTACATATGTATACATGTGCCATGTTGGTGTGCTGCACCCATTAACTCATCATTTAGCATTAGGTATATCTCCTAAGGCTATCCCTCCCCCCTCCCCCCACCCCACAACAGTCCCCGGTGTGTGATGTTCCCCTTCCTGTGTCCATGTGTTCTCTTTGTTCAATTCCCACCTATGAGTGAGAACATGCAGTGTTTGGTTTTTTGTCCTTGCGATAGTTTGCTGAGAATGATGGTTTCCAGCTTCATCCATGTCCCTACAAAGGACATGAACTCATCATTTTTTATGGCTGCATAGTATTCCATGGTGTATATGTACCACATTTTCTTAATCCAGTCTATCATTGTTGGACATTTGGGTTGGTTCCAAGTCTTTGCTATTGTGAATAGTGCCGCTATAAACATACGTGTGCACGTGTCTTTATAGCAGCATGATTTATAATCCTTTGGGTATATACCCAGTAATGGGATGGCTGGGTCAAATGGTATTTCTAGTTCTAGATCCTTGAGGAATCGCCACACTGACTTCCACAATGGTTGAACTAGTTTACAGTCCACCAACAGTGTAAAAGTGTTCCTATTTCTCCACATCCTCTCCAGCACCTGTTGTTTCCTGACTTTTTAATGATCACCATTCTAACTGGTGTGAGATGGTATCTCATTGTGGTTTTGATTTGCATTTCTCTGATGGTCAGTGATGATGAGCATTTTTTCACGTGTTTTTTGGCTGCATAAATGTCTTCTTTTGAGAAGTGTCTGTTCATATCCTTGGCCCACTTTTTGATGCGGTTGTTTGTTTTTTTCTTGTAAATTTGTTTGAGTTCATTGTAGATTCTGGATATTAGCCCTTTGTCAGATTGAGTAGGTTGCAAAAATGTTCTCCCATTTTGTAGGTTGCCTGTTCACTCTGATGGTGGTTTCTTTTGCTGTGCAGAAGCTCTTTAGTTTAAATAGATCCCATTTGTCAATTTTCACTTTTGTTGCCATTGCTTTTGGTGTTTTAGACATGAAGTCCTTGCCCATGCCTATGTCCTGAATGGTATTGCCTAGGTTTTCTTCGAGGGTTTTTGTGGTTTTAGGTCTAACATGTAAGTCTTTAATCCATCTTGAATTAATTTTTGTATAAGGTGTAAGGAAGGGGTCCAGTTTCAGCTTTCTACATATGGCTAGCCAGTTTTCCCAGCACCATTTATTAAATAGGGAATCCTTTCCCCATTGCTTGTTTTTGTCAGGTTTGTCAAAGATCAGGTAGTTGTAGATATGTGGCATTATTTCTGAGGGCTCTGTTCTGTTCCATTGGTCTATATCTCTGTTTTGGTACCAGTACCATGCTGTTTTGGTTACTGTAGCCTTGTAGTGTAGTTTGAAGTCAGGTAGCATGATGCCTCCAGCTTTGTTCTTTTGGCTTAGGATTGACTTGGCAATGCGGGCTCTTTTTTGGTTCCCTATGAACTTTAAAGTAGTTTTTTTTTTCCAGTTCTGTGAAGAAAGTCATTGGTAGCTTGATGGGGATGGCATTGAATCTATAAATTACCTTGGGCAGTATGGCCATTTTTATGATACTGATTCTTCCTACCCATGAGCATGGAATGTTCTTCCATTTGTTTGTATCCTCTTTTATTTCGTTGAGCAGTGGTTTGTAGTTCTCCTTGAAGAGGTCCTTCACATCCCTTGTAAGTTGGATTCCTAGGTATTTTATTCTCTTTGAAGCAATTGTGAATGGGAGTTCACTCGTGATTTGGCTCTCTGTTTGTCTGTTATTGGTGTATAAGAATGCTTATGATTTTTTCACATTGATTTTGTATCCTGAGACTTTGCTGAAGTTGCTTATCAGCTTAAGGAGATTTTGGGCTGAGACTATGGGGTTTTCTAGATATACAATCATGTCATCTGCAAACAGGGAAAATTTGACTTCCTCTTTTCCTAATTGAGTGCCCTTTATTTCCTTCTCCTGCCTAATTGCCCTGGCCAGAACTTCCAACACTATGTTGAATAGGAGTGGTGAGAGAGGGCATCCCTGTCTTGTGCCAGTTTTCAAAGGAAATGCTTCCAGTTTTTGTCCATTCAGTATGATATTGGCTGTGGGTTTGTCATAGATAGCTCTTATTATTTTGAGATACATCCCATCAATACCTAATTTATTGAGAGTTTTTAGCATGAAGGGTTGTTGAATTTTGTCAAAGGCCTTTTCTGCATCTATTGAGATAATCATGTGGTTTTTGTCTTTGGTTCTGTTTATATGCTGGATTACGTTTATTGATTTTCGTATATTGAACCAGCCTTGCATCCCAGGGATGAAGCCCACTTGATCATGGTGGATAAGCTTTTTGATGTGTTGCTGGATTCGGTTTGCCAGTATTTTATTGAGGATTTTTGCATCAATGTTCATCAAGGATATTGGTCTAAAATTCTCTTTTTTGGTTGTGTCTCTACCAGGCTTTGGTATCAGGATGATGCTGGCCTCATAAAATGAGTTAGGGAGGATTCTCTCTTTTTCTCTTGATTGGAATAGTTTCAGAAAGAATGGTACCAGCTCCTCCTTGTACCTCTGGTAGAATTCAGCTGTGAATCCATCTGGTCCTGGACTTTTTTTAGTTGGGAAGCTATTAATTATTGCCTCAATTTCAGAGCCTGCTATTAGTCTATTCAGAAATTCAACTTCTTCCTGGTTTAGTCTTGGGAGAGTGTATGTGTCGAGGAATTTATCCATTTCTTCTAGATCTTCTAGTTTATTTGCGTAGAGGTGTTTATAGTATTCTCTGATGGTAGTTTGCATTTCTGTGGGATTGGTGGTGATATCCCCTTTGTCATTTTTTATTGCGTCTATTTGATTCTTCTCTCTTTTCTTCTTTATTAGTCTTGCTAGCAGTCTATCAATTTTGTTGATCTTTTCAAAAAACCAGCTCCTGGATTCATTGATTTTTTTTGAAGGCTTTTTTGTGTCTCTATTTCCTTCAGTTCTGCTCTGATCTTAGTTATTTCTTGCCTTCTGCTAGCTTTTGAATGTGTTTGCTCTTGCTTCTCTAGTTCTTTTAATTGTGATGTTAGGGTGTCAGTTTTAGATCTTTCCTGCTTTCTCTTGTGGGCATTTAGTGCTATAAATTTCCCTCTACACACTTCTTTGAATGTGTCCCAGAGATTCTGGTATGTTGTATCTTTGTTCTCGTTGGTTTCAAAGAACATCTTTATTTCTGCCTTCATTTCGTTATGTATCCAGTAGTCATTCAGGAGCAGGTTGTTCAGTTTCCATGTAGTTGAGCAGTTTTGAGTGAGTTTCTTAATCCTGAGTTCTAGTTCATTGCACTGTGGTCTGAGAGACAGTTTGTTATAATTTCTGTTCTTTTACATTTGCTGAGGAGTGCTTTACTTCCAACTATGTGGTCAATTTTGGAGTAGGTGTGGTGTGGTGCTGAAAAGAATGTATATTCTGTTGATTTGGGGTGGAGAGTTCTGTAGATGTCTATTAGGTCTGCTTGGTGCAGAGCTGAGTTCAATTCCTGGATATCCTTGTTGACTTTCTGTCTCGTTGATCTGTCTAATGTTGACAGTGGGGTGTTAAAGTCTCCCATTATTATTGTGTGGGAGTCTAAGTCTCTTTGTAGGTCACTCGGGACTTGCTTTATGAATCTGGGTGCTCCTGTATTGGGTGCATATATATTTAGGATAGTTAGCTTTTCTTGTTGAATTGATCCCTTTACCATTATGTAATGGCCTTCTTTGTTTCTTTTGATCTTTGTTGGTTTAAAGTCTGTTTTATCTGAGACTAGGATTGGAACCCCTGCCTTTTTTTGTTTTCCATTTGCTTGGTAGATCTTCCTCCATCCCTTTATTTTGAGCCTATATGTGTCTCTGCACGTGAGATGAGTTTCCTGAATACAACACACTGATGGGTCTTGACTCTTTATCCAATTTGCCAGTCAGTGCCTTTTAATTGGAGCATTTAGCCCATTTACATTTAAGGTTAGTATTGTTATGTGTGAATTTGATCCTGTCATTATGATGTTAGCTGGTTATTTTGCTCGTTAGTTGATGCAGTTTCTTCCTAGCCTTGATGGTCTTTACAATTTGGCATGTTTTTGCAGTGGCTGGTACCGGTTGTTCCTTTCCATGTTTAGTGCTTCCTTCAGGAGCTCTTTTAGGGCAGGCCTGGTGGTGACAAAATCTCTCAGCATTTGCTTGTCTGTAAAGTATTTTGTTTCTCCTTCACTTATGAAGCTTAGTTTGGCTGGATATGAAATTCTGGGTTGAAAATTCTTTTCTTTAAGAATGTTGAATATTGGCCTCCACTCTTTTGTGGCTTGTAGAGTTTCTGCCGAGAGATCAGCTGTTAGTCTGATGGGCTTCCCTTTGTGGGTAACCCGACCTTTCTCTCTGGCTGCCCTTAACATTTTTTCCTTCATTTCAACTTTGGTGAATCTGACAATTATGTGTCTTGGAGTTGTTCTTCTCGAGGAGTATCTTTGTAGCATTCTCTGTATTTCCTGAATTTGAATGTTGGCCTGCCTTGCTAGATTGGGGAAGTTCTCCTGGATAATATCCTGCAGAGTGTTTTCCAACTCGGTTCCATTCTCCCCATCACTTTTAGATACACCAATTAGATGTAGATTTGATCTTTTCACATAGTCCCGTATTTCTTGGAGGATTTGTTCGTTTCTTTCTCTTCTTTTTTCTCTAAACTTCTCTTCACGCTTCATTTCATTCATTTTGTCTTCCATCACTGATACCCTTTCTTCCAGTTCATTTCATTGGTTACCGAGGCTTGTGCATTTGTCACGTAGTTCTCGTGCCGTGGTTTTCAGCTCCATCAGGTCCTTTAAGGACTTCTCTGCATTGGTTATTCTAGTTAGCCATTTGTCTAATTTTTTTTCAAAGTTTTTAACTTCTTTGCCGTTGGTTCGAACTTCCTCCTTTAGCTCGGAGTAGCTTGATCTTCTGGAGCCTTCCTCTCTCAACTCATCAAAGTTATTCTCCGCTCAGCTTTGTTCTGTTGCTGGTGAGGAGCTGCGTTCCTTTGGAGGAGGAGAGGCGCTCTGATTTTTAGAGTTTCCGGTTTTTCTGCTCTGTTTTTTCCCCATCTTTGTGGTTTTATCTACCTTTGGTCTTTGATGATGGTGACGTACAGATGGGTTTTTGGTGTGGATGTCCTTTCTGTTTGTTAGTTTTCCTTCTAACAGTCAGGACCCTCAGCTGCAGGTCTGTTGGAGTTTACTGGAGGTCCACTTCAGACTCTGTTTGCCTGGGTATCAGCAGCGGTGGCTGCAGAACAGCTGGTATTGGTGAGCCGCAAATGCTGCTGCCTGATTGTTCCTCTGGAAGTTTTGGCTCAGAGGAGTACCCGGCTGTGTGAGGTGTCAGTCCCCGCCTACTGGGGGGTGCCTCCCAGTTAGGCTACTCGGGAGTCAGGGACCTACTTGAGGAGGCAGTCTGCCCATTCTCAGATCTCAAACTGCATGCTGGGAGAACCACTACTCTCTTCAAAGCTGTCAGACAGGGATATTTAAGTCTGCAGAGGTTATTGCTGTCTTTTGTTTGTCTGTGCCCTGCCCCCAGAGGTGGAGCCTACAGAGGCAGGCAGGCCTCCTTGAGCTGTGGTGGGCTCCACCCAGTTCGAGCTTCCCAGCCACTTTGTTTACCTACTCAAGCCTGAGCAATGGCGGGTGCCCCTCCCCCAGCCTTGCTGCCGCCTTGCAGTTTGATCTCAGACTGCTGTGCTAGCAATGAGCAAGGCTCTATGGGTGTAGGACCCTCGGAGCCATGTGCGGGATATAATCTCCTGGTGTGCTGTTTGTTAAGCCCGTTGGAAAAGCACAGTATTAGGGTGGGAGTGACCCGATTTTCCAGGTACCGTCTGTCACCCCTTTCTTTGACTAGGAAAGGGAATTCCCTGACCCCTTGTGTTTCCCGGGTGAGGCAATGCCTCGCCCTGCTTCGGCTCACACACAGTGCGCTGCACCCACTGTCCTGCACCCACTGTCCGGCACTCCCCAGTGAGATGAACCCGTTACCTCAGTTGGAAATGCGGAAATCACCCGTCTTCTGCATCGCTCATGCTGGGAGCTGTAGGCTGCAGCTGTTCCTATTCGGCCATCTTGGCTCCACCCCCCTTTTTTTTTTTTTTTTTTGATACAGAGTCTCGCTCTGTCACCCAGGTTGGAGTGCAGTGACATGATCTCCCTCACTGCAACTTTCACCCCCTGGGTTCAAGCAATTCTCACACCTCAGCTTCTCAAGTAGCTGGGATTACAGGCGTGCACCACCGCACTGGCTAATTTGGGTTTTTTTGGGTTTTTTTTTTTTTTTTTTTCATTAAAGTCAGGGTTTTGCCGTGTTGGCCAGGCTGATCTTGAACTCCTGACCTCAAGTGATCTGCCTGCCTGGGCTTTCCAAAGTGCTGTGATTACAGGCATGAGCCACCATACCCAGCCTTCTATTTCTTTTTAAATCATTTTCGGTAGTTTGTACCTTCTAGTAATTTGTCCATTTCATCTAGGTTATCTAATGTGTTGGCATACAGTTGTTTATAGTATTTCCATGTAATTATTTTATTTGATTCCTAAATTTCCTTTATTTTGTAAGGCCAGTAGTAATGCCCCCTATTTTACTTCTAATTTGTGCAACATGAGTCTTGTCTTAATCTTATTCAGTCTAGCTAAAGGTTTGTCAATTTTACTGATTTTTTTGAAAGATAAACTTCTTTTTTGTTTATTTTCTCTCATTTTTCTATTTCCTGTTTCTTTAATTTCTGCTCTAATTCTTACTATTTTCTTCCTCTTGCTTTGAGTTTCGTTCTTTTCTTTTTACAGTGTACTTAATATGGAAGATTAGGTTATTGATTTGAGATATTTCTTCTTTTTTAATATAGGAAGTTACATCTATAAATTTCCCTCCAAGTACTGCTTTAGCCATGTCCAACAAGTTTGGATATGTTGTATTTTCATTTTCATTCATCTAAAAGTCTGAATTTACTTGTGCTTTCTTCTTTGACCGTTTGGTTATTTAGCAGTATGTTGTTTTATTTCTACATATTTGTGAATTTCCCACATTCCTTTCTGTTAATAATTTCTATTTTTATTCCTATGGTTGGAGAGCATACTTTGTATTATGTATGTCCTTTTAAGTTTATTGAGACATGTTTTGTGACCTGACATATGATCTATTCCTGAGATGGTTTCATGCACACTTAAATATGAGTATTTTGTTGTTGTTGGGTGAAGTGTTCTACCAATGTGTGTTAGGTCAAATTTGTGTGTAGTGCTCTTTAAGTCTTTGGTTTTCTTGTTGATCTTCTGCATAGTTGTTCTATCTATGATTGAAAGTGGAGTATTGAAGTATCTCACTATTATTGTTAAATTGTGTATTTCTTCTTTCAATTCTCATTTTTTACTTCACATGTTGTAGGGTTCTGTTGTTAGGTGTATATGTATTTCTAATTGTTATAGCTTCCTGATGGGTTGACACTTTTATCATTATAAAATGTCCCTATTTATTTCTAGTGCTTTTTTGTTTTAAAGTCTATTTTGTCTGATATTAGTATGGCCACTGTAGTTTTTTTATGTTTGCTGTTTGCATGACATATCTTTTCCCATACTTTTACTGTCAACATTTTTCTGTCTTTGAATCTAAAGTGTGTATTCTGTAGACAACATATACAGATGGTCCCTGACTTATAATGGTTCAACTTATGACTTTTTAACTTTACAATGGTGTGAAAGTGATATGAATTTAGTAGAAATCATACTTTGAACTTTGAAGTTTGATCTTTTCTTGGGCTAGCAATATACAGCACAGTACTCTCTTGTGATGCCAGGCAGTGGCAGTAAGCTGCAGCTCCCTGCCAGCCATGCTAACGTAAGTGGTCTGAGCATGTTCAAGGTGGGCTAAGCTAAGCTATGATATAGTAGGCTGGATGTATTAAATGCATTTTTGACTTATAATATTTTCAGCTTATGATGAGTTTATCAGGACATAACCCTATCGTAAATTGAGAGCATCTGTGGTTGGATCTTGCTTTTTATCCAATCTGACAATCGCTGTCTTTCAATTGGATATTTTGATCATTTGCACTTAATATTATTCATAAAGTTAGATTATGTTTATTAGTAATAAATATTATTAATCATAAAGTTAGATTAACTTTATTATTCATAAAGTTAGATTAACTTTATTATTCATAAAGTTAGATTATGCCGTTTGATTTTTTGTTTTCCATGGGTCTCATGTGTTTTTTGTTCCTCTATTTTTCCTTTACTAATTTCTTTTGCATTAAATGAATATTGTCTAGAGAAACATTTTCAAACTCATTTAATGATTTTTTTCACTGTAGGCTTTTGAGTTTTTCTTACTGTTTGCTCTAGAGCTTTCCTATACATATTAACCTATCAGAGTCAGCTTCAGATTTGTTACAGTTGACCCTTGAGCAATGTGGATTTGAACTGTATGGATCTACTTGTACATGGATTTTTTTCAACCAAACTTGGCTTGAAGGTTTCTCAATTGAATGTGAAACCTGTGTATATGAAGGGCTGACTTTTTGTATATGCAGGTTCTGCAAGGCTGACAGAATTTTAAAAATTCATATTTTTAAAAATATGAATTTATGTTGCTATTATTTTTACCCATAATCCTCACTATGTGAGTTCTATGGGACACATGGGTGTGGGGAGCCGTGTGGAACTAATCCCCTATGTATACCAAGGGACAACAGTAACTTAATTCCACTGAGATGTAGAAATGTTACTCCACTTCCTCTTTCCCTTTTTTTGTGCTATTGTTGTTATACATACCAAATATTTATATTCTACAAACCCAAGAATACATTGTTACAATTATTACTTTATGTAATTTTGTGTCTATTAAAGATGGAAAAAGAAAGAGGAGAAAGTATATATTTATAGTGTTTGCTATATTTAACTTCTTCTTTACCTTGATACTTTTTATTTGTTCTTGTGTGTTTGAGTTACCATCTGGTATTATTTTCCTAGTCCAATATTTTGCCCCAAGCTACTGCCTTTATTCTGTTTTTGCAAAGTATTCATTTCTATATGTTTTAGGCCCAAGAATACATACATATGTACATGCAAACATATATACATACATACATGTAGTTTTATATACTTGCTTTGTAAATCAGCCAAGAGAAATGTGTTAGCTCATTTTTGCATTGCTATAAAGAAATACCTGAGGCTGGTTAATTTTAAAGACAAGAGGTTTAATTGGCTCACAGTTCTGCAGGCTGTACAGGTAGCATGGTGCCAGCATCTGTTTCTGGAGAGGCCTTAGGAAGCTTATAATCATGGCAGAAGGGAAACAGGGAGCTAGTGCTTCACATGGCAAGAGAGGGAGCAAGAGAGAGGGTGGGGAGGTGCATATGCTTTTAAGCAACCAGATCTCACATGAACTAGCTGAGCAAGAACTCATCACCATGGGGATGGTGCTAAGTCATGCATGAGGGATCCACCCTCATGATCTACTCAGCTGTCACCAGGCCCCACCTCCAACATTGAGAATCACATTTCAACACGAGATTTGTAGGGGACACACATTCCAACCATAACAAAAAGAAAAAAGAAGAAATATGCATTTATGCCGGTATATATTTTTACCTTTACCCATACTTTTTGTTTTTTCATGTGGATTTATACTTTCATTTGAGTTTACTTGCTTTCAGCCTGAAGAACTTCCTTTGGTCTTTCTTGTAAAATATCTCTGCGAGCAATGATTTTTTTTCAGTTTTGTTTATTTGAGAATGTCTTTATTTCATCTTCATTTTTAAAAGATGTTTTTGCTAGATATAAGATTCAATGTTGACTGTTTTTCCTTTCAGCATTTTGCATATGTTATTCTATTGCCTAAGGTTAGTCAAATACTAACCTTATTTGGGATCTCTTATATGTGATAAGATGTTTTTCTTTCCTGCTTTCAAGATTTTCTTTTCTTTTGTTCTTTTTATTTTTATTATTATTTTTTAAATACAGGTCTCACTCTGTCACTCAGGCTGGAGTGCAGTGGCACAATCATGGCTCACTGCAGCATTGAAGAGATCCTTCCACCTCAGCCTCTCAAGTAGCTGGGACTACAGGTATATGCCACCATGCCTACCTAGCTTAAAATATTTTTTTGTGGAGGCAGGATCTACAAAAAAATCACACCACCCTATGTTGTCAAGGCTACTGTCAAACTCCTGGGTTCAAGCTATCCTTCGTCCTTTGCCTCCCAAAGTGCTGGGATTACAGGCATGAACCACTGTGCCTGGGCAATATTTCCTTTTTATCTTTGTTTTCAGCATTTTTACTCTCATGTGTCTGAATTTGTATCTCTTTGCATCTATTTTCCTTGGAGTTCATTGAGCTCAGATATGTAGATTAATGTTTTCTCAACATATTTAAACATTTTATGCTATCATTTCTTCAAATAGTTTTTTTTTCTGTTTTCTTCTTTTTCCTTCTTCTGATATTCTCCTTATGTGAATGTTGGTGCACTTAAAAGTTTCCCATATTTCTCTGGGACTCTTTTAATTTTTCTTCATTCTGTTTTTCTTTCTGTTCTTCTGATTGTCTAATCTCTGTCAATCTATCTTAAGTTTGTTGATTCTTCTGACACTTTAAATCTAGTTTAGTTGAGCCCCTCTATTAAATTTTCATTTCAGTTATTCTACTTTTCAATTCCAGTATTTCCATTATTAGTTTTTTTTTTTTAATAATTCATATCTCCTAATTGATACTCTCTACTTGATGGGACATGGTCATCATAACTTCCTTTACTAATTTTTTTTGAGACAGAATCTTCCTCTGTTTTCCAGGCTGGAGTGCAGTGGTGTGATCTCGGCTCACTACAACCTCTGCCTCCCGGGTTCAAGTGATTCTTCTGCCTCAGCCTTCTGAGAAGTTGGGATTACAGGCACGTGCCACCACACCTGGGTAATTTTTGTGTTTTTAGTAGAGATGGGGTTTCGCCATGTTGGCCAGGCTGGTCTCAAACGCTCAACTTCAGGTGATCCCCCTGCCTTGGCCTCCCAAAATGCTGGGATTACAGGTGTGAGCCACGGCGCCTGGCCTCAATTTGCTTTACTTTTTAATGCATCATTTACTTGAGTTCTTTGTACGTATATAATGGCTACTTTGAAGGCTTTGTCTATTAAATCTGAAATCTAGCCCCTCTCACATGCAATTTTTTTGTTCCCATGTATGCCTCACACGTTTCTGTTTCTTTGCATGTCTCAGAATTTTTTATGAAAATTGGACATTTTAGGTAATACATTGTTGGGACTATGGATATGGATTTTTCTCTCCCTCTCTGGGACTTGTTTTTGTTATTGGCTTGAGTGTGTTTTTGTGACTTGGCTATACTATTTTAATGAAATCTGTTGTCTCCTTGTCACATGCGTCCATGTGAAGAGACCACCAAACAAGTTTTCTTTGAGCAATAAAGCTTTTTAATCACCTGGGTGCAGGTGGGCTGAGTCTGAAAAGAGAGTCAGCAAAGGGAGTTAGGGGTGGGGCAGTTTTATAGGATTTGGGTGGGTAGTGGAAAATTACAGTCAAAGGGGGTTGTTCTCTTGCGGGCAGGGGTGGGGGGTCACAAGGTGCTCAGTGGGGAGCTCCAGAGACTTATTGTCCAGGAGAAGGAATGTCACAAGGTAATGTCATCAGTTAAGGCAGGAATCGGCCATTTTCACTTCTTTAGTGATTCTTCATTTGCTTCAGGCCATCTGGATGTATACGTGCAGGCTTGGGCTCAGAGGCCTGACATTCCTGTCTTCTTATATTCATAAGAAAAATAAAACAAAATAGTGTTGAAGTGTTGGGGTGGCAAAAATTTTTGGGGGTGGTATGGAGAGATAATGGGCCATGTTTCCCAGGGCTGCTTCTAGTGGGATTAGGGGTGGCATGGAAACCTAGAATGGGAGAGATTAAGCTGAAGGAAGATTTTGTGGTAAGGGATGATATTGTGGGGTTGTTACAAATAGCATTTGTCATACAGCATGATTAGTGATGGCCTGGATATGGTTTTGTATGAATTGAGAAGCTAAATGGAAGACCCAAGGTCCAAATAAAAGAAGGAGAAAATCAGGTATTAAAGGACTAAGATTGGGAGGACCCATGACATCCAATCAGAGTGCCTAAGGGGGTTCAGTGTGATTATTTGCTTGGTTGGCGAGTTTTGGGGTCTATTCTTGAGTTTTTTTATATTGTCATATACCAGGCTAGATTGATTTTAGGTAAAAACAACACTCTTCTTTTAAAAATATACAGAGTCCTCTTTTTTTAAGCAGTAAGTTGAGGCCTCAGCAATTTTGGAGGAAAGAGAAATGCAAAGCCAGCAATTGTTTGTTAAAGAAGGATTAGAAATGGCTAGGAGTGAGATTGATAGTGTGGTGGAGATAGCTGGGGAGAGGTAGAGGATGGCATAAGAATGGGAACGAGAATAAGAGTGACTATGAAAGTAAAGAATAAGACTTTATCAGGGTGAAAGTATTGGATTGTACCTTGCCACTGAAGATCTTTTATCCACTTTAAGAGAGACTTAAGGGTGGTGGTTTGAGGTAAAACCAGGAGCCACTGAATACCAAGAGCCTGAGAAACTGCTTGGGCGATTTGACTAATAAAGGCCAATCCGTTATCAGACTGTATTATAGAGGTGGGAAGGCCAAACCCAGGAATTATGTCTGACGGAAGGGAAGAAATGACCACAGTGGCCTTTTCAGGCCCTGTGGGAAAGGCCTCTACCCATCCAGTGAAAGTGTCTACCCAGACCAAGAGGTATTTTAGTTTCCTGACTCGGGGCATGTGAGTAAAGTCAATTTGCCAGTCCTGGACAGGGGCAAATCCCCGAGCTTGATGTGTAGGGAAGAGAGGGGGCCTGAACAATCCCTCAGGAGTCGTAGAATAGCAGATGGAACACTGAGAAGTTATTTCCTTGAGAATAGATTTCCACGATGGAAAGGAAATGAGAGATTCTAAGAGGCGGGCTAGCAGCGTGTAACCTGCATGGAAGAGGTTATGAAATGACAACAGAATAGAATGGGCCTGTGAGGCTGGAAGGAGATATTTTCCTTGTTCAAGAACCATTTGCCTTGTGTGGGAAGAGATTGACAGGTGGAAGTTTCAGTGGGGGAGTAAGTGGGAGTGACCGATGAGAAGGAGAAAAACTGCCGTGAGGGACAGAAGTTGGAATGCTAGCTGCTTTTTTAGCTACCTTAGCAGCATAAGCATTACCCTGAGCGATGGGATCTGACACCTTTTGATGGCCCTAGCAGTGAATGACTCCAGCTTCCTTGGGAAGTAAAGCGACCTTGAGAAGAGTTTTTATTAAAGAGGCATTAATGATGGAGGACCCTTGTGTAGTGAGGAAACCTCTTTCAGCCTATATAACAGCATGGTGGTGCAGGATATGGAAGGCATATTTACAGTCAGTATAAATATTAACACATAGTCCTTTTGCAAGAGTGAGGGCCCGAGTTAAGGCAATGAGTTCAGCTTGCTGAGAGGTAGTGGAGGGGGCAGAGTGGTAGCCTCAAGGATAGATGTGAAAGATACTATAGCATAGCCTGCCTTTGCTGGTGAGTGGCAATTAGGCCTGGTAGAACTGCCATCAATAAACCAAGTGCGATCAGGGTGAGGAACAGGAAAGAAGGAAATATGGGGAAATGGAGTGAATATCAGGTGGATCAGAGAGATACAATCATGTGGGTCAGGTGTGGTATCAGGAATAATGTGGGGGCCAGCCTAAAACAGTAAGGTTAAGTTGTTTGGACAGAAAGGCTACAGGATGTGGTCCTGGCTCTTGTGTAAGAATTTTGACTGCACGGCCCTGTACTTTGCCTGCGTGTAATGAAAAAGGTTGGGATGAGTTAGGGAGAGCTATTGTGGGAGCAGCTTTTAGGGCTGTTTTTTAAGGAATGGAAAGGGGAGTGTGGAGAGGATTTAGGATTTATGGGGTCAGCTAGGTTTATCTAGAGCAGAATATTGGGTTGTGGAGGGAGGTATTTAGGATAGGAGAGTATATGGGTTAGGCACCATGGGTGGATAGGCAAGACAATTTGGTTGATAAGGCGCAGATCCTGAACTAACCTGTAAGACTTGTCCGGTTTTTGGATGGTAAAATGGGGGAATTGTAAGGAGAGTTTATAGGCTTTAAAAGGCCATGCTGTAACAGGCGAGCGATAACAGGCTTTAATCCTTTTAAAGCATGCTGTGGGATGGGATATTGGCATTGAGCGGGGTAAGGGTGATTAGGTTTTAATGGGATGGTAAGGGGTGCATGATTGGTCACCAGGGAAGGAGTAAAAGTGTCCCATACTTGTGGATTAAGGTGGGAGATACAAGGGGAGGATGTGAAGGAGGCTTTGAATTTGGGAAAAGGGCAACAATGAGGTGTGGTTGTAGCCTAGGAATAGTCAGGGAAGCAGATAATTTAGTTAAAAAGTCTCGACCTAATAAGGGAGCTGGGCAGGTGGGGATAACTAAAAAGAAGCCCATAAAAGAATGTTGTCCAAGTTGGCACCAGAGTTGGGGAGTTTTAAGAGGTTTAGAAGCCCGGCTGTCCATACCCACAACAATTATGGAGGCAAGGGAAACAGGCCTTTGAAAAGAATGTAATGCAGAGTAGGTAGCCTCCGTATTAAGAAGGGGATGGACTTGCCCTCCACTGTAAGATCTACCCAAAGCATCTGTGATGGTCCAGGAGGCTTCCGAGGCAATCAGGCAGTGTCAGTCTTAAGCCGCTAAGCCGAGATCTGGGAAGGAGTCAGTCAGAGAGCCTTGGGCCAGAGTTCCAGGGATTCTGCGAGTGGCTGCCAGGCAAGGTGGACAGTCTGATTTCCAGTGGGGTCCTGCACAGATGGGACATGGCTTAGGAGGAATCCTGGGCTGCAGGCATTCCTTGGCCCAGTGGCCAGATTTCCAGCACTTGAAGCAAGATCCTGGGGGATGAGGTCCCGAAGGAATACCTGACCGCTATGGCTTAGGCGTTTTGAAGTTCTTTTGTGCTGGAGATGTGTCTGGGGTTTCTCTCACAGCAGAGGCAAGTAATTGCAACTCTTCTCTATTATTGTACACCTTGAAGGCGAGGTTAATTAAGTCCTGTTGTGGGGTTTGAGGGCCGGAATCTGATTTTTGGACCTTTTTGCAATGCTGGGAGTGGATTGGGTAATAAAATGTATATTGAGAATAAGATGGCCTTCTGGCCCCTCTGGGTCTGGGGTGGTAAAGCGTCTAAGGGTTGTTGCCAAATGGGCCATGAACTGGGCTGAGTTTTTATATTTGATGAAAAAGAACCTAAACGCCAACTGATTTGGGAGAGGTCGGATAAAGAAAAAGGAGCATTAGCCTTGGCTATGCCTTCAGCTCCGGCCACCTCTTTAAGAGGAAATTTTTGGGCAGGTGGGAGAGGGCTAGTCACGGAACGAAATTATAATCTGGACCAGGTATAAGGAGGGGAGGTGATAGAAGGATTATAGAGTAGGGGAGCGGAGGCTGAGGAAGAATTGGGACCTGGCTTGGCCTCATGAGGAGCAGACTGGGGAGGAGGGGAGAGGTCAGATGGGTCCGTAAAAAAGGAGGATTCAAAGGACTCAGAGCTTGAGGTGGAGACCGAAGGAACAGGAGAGAAAGAAGAAAGATTTGGGACGAGTTGCATTGGGAGCAGAGACTAGGGAGGGACCAATGTGTAAAAGAATGCCTGGACGTCAGGCACCCCAGACCATTTGCCCATTTTTTGACAAAAATCATCCAGGTCTTGTAAGATGGAGAAATCAAAAGTGCCATTTTCTGGCTATTTAGAACCATTATCAAGTTTGTATCGGGGCCAAGTGGTGTTGCAGAAAAAAAAAATGCTTAGGTTTTAGGTCAGGCGAGAGTTGAAGAGGTTTTGTTTTTGAGAACACAGGCTAAGGGAGAAGAAGGGGGAATAGACGGTGGAAGTTTGCCCATAGTGAAGGAGGCAAGCCCAGAGAAAAGAGAGGGTAGAGACACGGAGAAGGGGGGTGGTGAGCAGCCCTGGGCTGCAATGTGGGTGAGCAGCCAAAGCGGGCGTCCCCGCAATTGACTTGCCACCAAGGGAATGTGGGTGAATGACCAGGGCAGGCGTCCCCGCGGTGATCAGACACCAATGGAGTGTGGGTGAATAATCAGGCAGGTGTCCCCACAGTGATTAAACACCAAGGGAAGACTGTCTTCCTGAGTCTGTGACCAGCTACGGAGTTTTGGGTCCACAGATAAAATGTGCCTCCTTTGTTTCTACTAGAGAGGAAAAAGAACTGGAATTGGAAGGAAAGGGAGATTGAAGGGTAGTGAGAGAGGCTGGAGAAGAGAGTGAAAAGACTGCTTACCCAATTTGAAATTGGTGAGATGTTCCTTGGGCTGGTTGTTCTGAGGACCTGAGGTCATAGGTGGATCTCCTCATGGAGTGAGGGTGAGGACAGGGGACTGATCTCCCAAAGGAGTCCTCCTGTCCTGGGTCTTTGGCACCAAATGTCACACGTGTCCGTGTGAAGATACCAGCAAACAGGCGTTGTGTGAGCAG
The DNA here is from genome assembly GCF_000001405.40 of Homo sapiens. Lineage (NCBI taxonomy): Eukaryota > Metazoa > Chordata > Mammalia > Primates > Hominidae > Homo > Homo sapiens. The sequence continues at coordinate 22,913,778 of NC_000007.14, read as the reverse complement.
TAAAGCTGTTTATTTCACCTAGGTGTAGGTGGGCTGAGTCTGAAAAGAGAGTCAGCAAAAGGAGTTAGAGGTGTGGCAGTTTTATAGGGTTTGGGTAAGTAGTGGAAAATTACAGTAAAAGGGAGTTGTTTTCTTGTGGGCAGGGGCAGGGGTCACAAGGGAGCTCCAGAGACTTATTGTCCAGGAGAAGGAATGTCACAAGGTAATGTCATCAGTTAAGGCGGGAACCAGCCATTTTCACTTCTTTAGTGATTCTTCAGTTGCTTCAGGCCATCTGGATGTATACACGCAGGCTTGGGCTCAGAGGCCTGACACTCCTACTGTGCCGGGTATGACTCCTAGGAGGGCATTGCCTTGGGTGTGCACACAGTGAAGTCGGATGACAGTGATTTTGGCAGGACATTCTTTGACTATCTTTTCCCCTAGTTTCTCTGTTAAGCTCTCTGCCTCATTTGGTATCACACCCAACTGTAGACTCCAAGAATTAACAGCTGATTCCTCTATTGTTTTCAACAATGCCCTGGGGCATAAATTGCTCTGCAGTCTGATCCAATTAAACTTAGGCAGGGGTAGTTTTTGAGACTAGTCTTTAGTTTTAGTTTTTGAGACTAGGTTTAGTCTGACCCCAGGAGAGTACTTCTTTTTTTTTTTTCCAAGATGGAGTTTCGCTCTTGTTGCCCTGGCTGGAGTGCAGTGGTGCTGTCTCAGCTCACTGCAACCTCCGCCTCCTAGGTTCAATTGATTCTCCTGCCTCAGCTTCCCAAGTAGCTGGGATTACAAGCGCCCACCACCACACCCAGCTAATTTTTGTATTTTTACTAGAGACAGGTTTCATCCAGGCTGGCCTCGAACTCCTGACCTCAGGTGATCCACCCGTCTTGGCTTCCCAAAGTGCTGGGATTACAGGTGTGAGCCACCATGCCCAGCAGAGAGTACTTCTTAGCTGTCACTTTCCTTGGTTCTCTTTGGTGAAATAGCAGGTACATGCTTTAGCTGGTGCTCTTAATTAAGAAAAGCTGTTGTTTTCTAGAACACCCTTAGGCTTGAACTTTCCCACATTCTCTTTCAAATGGTCAGTTACTTTGGGGAAAGATTGGAACTCTCTTTTCTGATGAACTAACTCTCCCCATAGGAAAAATCTCTGAAGCACTATTCTGGGTGGGGCAGTAGCCTCTGATCTTCTTGGCTTCCCTCTCCTTGCTAACTTGAGCAAGCTGAAGCAAAGGTCACTGGGGTTATCCCAGCTTGGCCGGCTGCACTTGGGGTAGACCCTCCATTTTATGTGTGAGTGTTAGGTGGAGGAAGGGAGCTCCCAATCTCCTGGCTATACTCTCCTGGAATTTTTCCTTTTGAAGTTGGAGTTGGAGGCCTTGAGAAATGTTGGCATTCTACCCTCCTGTTAAGATATGGTACCCCTTGATTAGGAGCTGAGGAGAGAGGGAACTCCCATCTTCCTGGTTGTATCCACCTGGAGTGGAGCTTCTGTCAAGCTGAGCTGGGTGAATAAAGTTGGGAGAGGGTCATGACTCAAATTCCACATACTCTTATTGGTTCCTTCTGAGTTTTAGTGGATTTTCTTTAATAAATGTTTCTTCATTTGCTGTATGCTTTGGAGAATTTCCAGAGACTTTAAATAGTTGTTTTAAAATAGTTTTTATCAGCTATGCTTGTATGCCAGAAAGTGGGTCCTTGGAGTTTCTCATGCTGCCATACCAGAAGTGGAAACTACTTAAGTTTAGAAGACAAATGACCATAAACATTGGTTTTAAAAACATTTTGTGGTCTTCTATGTAGCCAATGAATATATTTTTATGGCAAAATCACTAGCCAAGCTTCAAACACATTTGTCTCTTCTTATTTCACTGATTATTCTCTTTGAAAAGAGGATAAAGATGTTCTGCTAAGTTGAGGCTACATGATCAGAAACATTTAGTTAGAATTCACTTCAAAAATATAGTACTGGGATTAGAAACATTTCAGAGAAGTCGAACCTTTTTATTTGTATTATTATTACGATTTTTTGATATGGAGTCTTGCTGTGTCACCAGGCTGGAATGCAGTGGTGCGATCTCAGCTCACTGCAACCTCCGCCTCCCAGGTTCAAGCGATTCTTCTGCCTCAGCCTCCTGAGTAGCTGGGACTACAGGTGTGCGCCACCACGCCCAGCTGATTTTTGTATTTTTAGTGGAGACACGGTTTCACCATGTTGGCTAGGATGGTCTCCATCTCTTGACCTCGTGATCCGCCCACCTCGGGCTCCCAAAGTGCTGAGATTACAGGCGTGAGCCACTGCGCCTGGCCTTTTGAACTTTAATGTAGGTATGAGAACAATAAATTATTTGTCTCTAGGGACTATTTTAGGAGTAAATTATCTTGCTGCCAAAGACATTGCTGAAGTTTTCTTCTAAAACAGTGAGACTGATTATCAAAGAATTGCTTGGTATAAAAACAAAACAAAAATCTAGTACTAGGTCAATTGCTTGTAATTAACAATAAACAAATGAGCCAAAACAAAACCAGCCTACACAATGTTGCTCTCATTTACAAGGCCCCTGTTTCCTTGATAGCAGCCACCAAATTGATGGCCATCGCACAGGTCCAATTTCAGTATTTGTCCCCAGATGCTATCATACAATGGTAAGAACTCCTATATTTCTTCCTTTCTGTTCCTGAAATGAAAAGCCATGTAAATGAGCACTTTACATAGTTATTACTTTAGTCTTGCCATGAAATGTTATCAGCTGTAGGCTTCATTTATACTAAAACCCAAAGTTCTCAAAATGCACAAGTCCGAAAAGATAAGCCCTAATTGTTGTATAATACAGCTTAATATAATAAAATATAAACATTATGAATAATGAGAGTGACATAGTTTCTGTGGATTTCTGCATGGTTTTTTTTTTTGAGTGAACATATTTCAGAAAGAATAAGCATACTCTTAAAATACTTTCTTACAGTAACTCACTAGAAGTTAACTAAAATTAGTTGCCCCCCCAAAAAAACCGGGAAAATGTAATGATATATTTTATGCCAAAAGTAATTGGATTGCTAAAATAGATCTGCTTATGATTTAAAATATGAAAATTTGCCCATTTTAGAAACATTTTACACATCATATTTTAGCATTTCTAACCTTGCAGTTATACATGTGCATCTTGGGAAACAGTTTTTATTGTAGTGGTCCTACCCTCGTTTTTCATGTTAAAAAAGAAATGGTTTCTTTATGCTAAGAAAGATAATATTAGGTGTTAAATAGGTATGTATTAGTCTGTTTTGCATTGCTGAGACTGAATAATATTAAAGAAAAAGGTTTATTTGGCTTCCGATTCTGCAGGCTGTACAAGCATGGCATCCACATTTGCTTGGCTTCTGGTGAGGCCTCAGGAAATTTACAATTATGGTGAAAGGTGAAGGGGGAGCAGGCATGTCACATGGCATGAGAAGGAGCAAAAGCAATGCCAGGCTCTTTTTAACCAACTAGCTCTCTTGTGAACAAACAGAATGAGAACTCACTCATTACGATGGGAAGGGCATCAAACCATTCATGAGAGATCTGCCCCTATGACCTGCATACCTCCCACTATGCGCCACCTCCAACATTGAGGATCACATTTCAACATGAGATTTGGAGAGGAGAAAGATCTGAAACACATCAGACAGTACTTGGCATGCCTTGCTGGTGCTTATTAATAGCCTTACATATTTGTCACTGAGTTGCATTTCATATGTGCATATTTTCTGGTCTGGATTTTTTCCCCTTTATTTCAAACAGTCATGTCCGTATGTAATTCATTCAGTTCATACACATGCACTAAAGGCCTACTCTGTGTGAAGCCCTCTGCTGGGTACTGAGAATGCAAAGATGTGAGGGTCATGATTATTTGTGCTAGGTGTCCTAAGAGAACTAGCATAATGGGAGTGGGATGGGGAATGACTAATTTCGTCTGAAAGAAGGATCTGGTGAGGACTCACAAAAGAGGTGCTTAACAATACCTACATAAAAGAACAGGAGTTTGCCAGGTGAGTAAGGGAGAGAAGGGTCCGGGGAAAGAAGTATCAGGCAGAGGGAACTACAGGAGGAAAGATCTAGAAGAATAAAAGACCTTGATGTGTTCAGAGCATTGTAGGTGTGCAAACTTAGGGAGTCAGCAAGGCCATCTTTAGGGTTAATAACCCGCTAGAAGGATTCACAGAACTCACTAGAAGCAGTCACGCTTATGGTTATGGTTTATTATGGCAAAGGGATATCGATTAAAGTCAGCCTGTAGAAGACATGCGTGGAGTGGTGTGTTAGGCCATTCTTGCATTACTGTAAAGAAATACTTGAGACTGGGTAATTAATAAGAAAACAAGTTTAATTGGCTCATGGTTCTGCAGGCTGTACAGAAAACATAGTGCCAGCATCTGCTTATGGGAAGGCCTCAGGAAGCTTCCAGTCATGGTGGAAGGCAAAGGGGGAGCAGGTGTCTCACATGGCAGGAGCAGGAACAAGAGGTGGTGGGGAGGTGCTGCACACTTTTAAACAACCAAATCTTCCAACAACTCACTTGCTCTCATGAGGAGAGCACCAAGCCATGAGGGATCCACCCCTGTGATCCAATCACTTTCCCCCAGGCCCCACCTCCAACACTGGGAATTACATTTCGACATGAGATTTGGTAAGGACACAGATTCAACCCATATCAGGCAGAGCCCAGGAGAAGTCCATGTGTGGTTTCTAGTTGTCCTCTCCCAGCATGGTCATGGACCATGTTAACTTCTCCCAGCAATAATGGGAGACAGTCCACCTAGAGTATTATCAACCAGGAAAGCTCATCTGAGCCTTAATGCACAGAGTTTTTATTGGGGCTCAGTCACATCAATACAGTTGACTGCCTGCATAACTGGCTTTTAGGCTGTAGCCCCTCTGGAGGTCAAGCTGATACTGCATAGTACCAAACCCCCACAATAAATCACACTCTTAGACTACCCAGTGTGGCCCAAGGCCCCCAGGTAAACAAAGTCATTCTTATCAGTCAAGACATTTCAAGGGCTTACAGATGACCTTTTAGGAGCTGAGAGTAAAGGCCAGACCTCTCTTTGGGTACACTTAATTCTTTACTACACAAGGTATAAGGAGTCCAGTCTGACTGGAGTGCAGATTTTATTAGAGGCTGGAAAGGTGTTCAGGGTCAGATGGAGAATCACTGATGGGGTGACAAATGGAGGGGGAGTAAATGCAAGTAACAGAAGATGTAGATCAAAGATGCATGGAATTAACAGCTCTATTTGGAGAATGTGGTTTTCAACATTACCTCTCCACATAATGCCTGGAAGACCAGAATAGAGGCATAATAAAACCAAAATCACAAGCAAAAGAAATGCCAAATCGTGTCTGTGTGCTGGAACATTAGAGCATGTGTTTCACAACAGTGCCATACAAGAAAATGTAACCAAAGCAAGCTACTTAAATTGAGTATATAGTGGAAGTCAGACTAAAAAGGAATCTATGGGTACCAGGGCTCTTGTTAGCTCCTAAAATAGAAGAGCACCAACGTCTTCCAAAAGAAATTTGTCAAATGACCTTTTTACCACTCCATTGTATGGAACTATGCCTTGTGCATTTCCCTATTTTTCATCACTTAAGCTCTTCTTATGTTTTAGTCTACTAAAACAAAATTATAAACTCAGAAAATTTGGAGGCAAGAGAGGTCTTAATCCTCCTTTAAGTCCACTTTTTGCTTGAGGGCAGCCCTCAGACTGCCTGCATGAGAACCTTCTGGGAAGATTTCTCATTCCTAATAATAGATTATGGGTCAGCAAATGGGAGAGTGGGGGTGGTAGTGGGAAAGAAGCATAAAAATCTGCATATTTATTTATTTATTTTTGAGACAGGCTCTTGTTCTGTTGCTCAGGCTGGAGAGCAGTGGTGTGATCTCAGCTCACTGCAACTTCCGCCTCCCGGGTTCAAGCGATTCTCCTGCCTCAGCCTCCTGGGCAGCTGGGACTATGAGCATGCGCCACCACGCCCAGCTAACTTTTGTATTTTTTTAGTAGAGACGGGGTTTCACCATGTTGGCCAGGCTGGTCTCAAACTCCTGACATCAAGTGATCCACCCGCCTCGGCCTCCCAAAGTGCTGGGATTACAGGGGTGGGCCCCCGCACCCAGCTGAAATCTGCATTTTAATAAGCATGTCAGTCTGCATCTACCTATGAATCCTTCAAAATATTTTGCACACTTCCTTATGATTATTTGTTTAGATAAGCACCAGGAAAATATTTGGCTCATTGAAGTCTCTAATACCTAAAAGGTTCTCAATAAATGGTGTTTGAATAGTTGTTCACTCTCCTAACAGATCTCCTAGATTCCAGGGACCAGAAGGGGCTGAGGGATTCCGTGATGAGGTTGCCTGGACAGGCTAAGGTAACGTGCCAGCCAGCCTCAGCCAGTTTTTGGCTAGACCCCACCAGGTGCCAATACTTTTTTGCTTCATTGTTACCTTTGTTTCTTAATAAAGGTTTATTTTTAAAAATCCAGGCATCTTAGTTGAACTAAGTAAGGAGAAAGGGAAAGTTTTCACACCACTCCTAGATACCGTTATTCTTTTGTGAAGGCCCGAACCAGCCTGGGCCAGGTGATTGACTTGTACACTAGAAGAACCATTGCTTTTTTTTTTTTTTTTTTTTTTTTTTTGAGATAGAGTCTCACTCTGTCACCCAGGCTGGAGTGCAGTGGCACGATCTCGGCTTACTGCAACCTCTGCCTCCCAAGCTCAAGTGATTCTCCTTCCTCAGCCTCCCGAGTAGCTGGGATTACAAGTGCCCGCCCCCATGCCCAGCTAATTTTTTGTATTCCCACCTTCCAACCCCAACTTCTGCAAATGAGTGCTTCCAATCTTGGGCTTTTAATTCTTTTTCAATTTTTAATAGATGTGTAATTGTGCCCTAGATTGTACATGTATTAAAGAAACCCAGCCAGGTGTGTATTTTTCATTTTGGTAATTTGATGTCTTTAAGTCTGCATGCGTAAGTGGTTTGTCCACCTTGGCTGTAAGTCAGGCAGAATCAGGTACTAACCTTATATATTTAAAATTGTCTTTTATTAGTACTATATTACATATTTATCTTTCTTTTGTTACTTTTAATATTTTATACTAGTATATTTTATGTATATCTGAAAATGGCCTCCATTTTGTCATGTATCATTCTTTTTTTTTTTTTGAGACCGAGTCTCACTCTGTCACCCAGGCTGGATTGCAGTGGCGCGATCTTGGCTCACTGCAACCTCAGCCTCCTAGGTTCAAGTGATTCTCGTGCCTCAGCCTCCCAAGTAGCTGGGATTACACACACACGCTACCATGCTCGGCTGATTTTTGTATTTTTAGTAGACGTGGGGTTTCACCATGTTGGCCAGGCTGGTCTCGAACTCCTGAGCTCAGGTGATCCGCCTGCCTTGGTCTCCCAAAGTGCTGAGATTACAGGTTTGAGTCATGTATCATTCTTTCATAGCTGAGATAAATACACGAGTCCATTTTTTTCTAGCTTTTAGAATAGTTTTTAATGTTTAATGCCACCTCTTTAGAATAACTTTCAAATTTAATACATCAGTCAGTGGAGATGGAAATATTAATTGATCTGAGTTAGCAAGTATCAATGCTGTTCTGGAAAAAAAATTGCCGCATTCAGATGACTATATTATTATAACTACTAATCATCATCATCATTATCATTATCACCATCATGATCATCAGTAATGGCACTGTATGATAGTCTTACTAATCTTTCCAGATGAATTACACTATAAACTTGTCAAGAGGGTGGGCTGGAGACTGTAACTGGTACTTAATGTAATCTAACTTAATGAACATATTAATATTTTACTTCATCTTCTCACACAACAATAAGGCACATGTCTTCATAAATTTATTTTTCCTCTATTAGAGTTTTGTATCCTCCTGTAAATAGATTGCAAAATTATAAATTGTGTTAAAGAAATCCTCCGTAACTTAATATATTTCATTTTTATCAAACAACTTATGTAGACATAAAACATTTTATATTCTATGTGAAAAACCAGAATGCATGATGCCATGTATAAATATAACTGCATTTCAGGAAAAATTGAAAAGAATTATATAAAAATAAAAACTTACAGGATGATAATAGCACTTTTTTCCTTCTTAGCAAATTTTCTTTAATTATATTATTAAATCCTTATGAGAAGAAATTAAGTAAAGATGGTGACATGGTTTGTATATTTGTCCCCTTCAAATCGGTGGCTCATGCCTGTAATCTCAACACTTTGGGAGGCTGAGGCGGGTAGATCACTTGAGGTCAAGAGTTCAAGACTAGCCCGGCCAACAAGGAGAAACACTGTCTCTACTAAAAAAAAAAAAAAAAAAAAAAAAAAAATACAAAATTAGCCGGGTATCCTGGTGCGTGCCTCTAAATCCCAGCTACTCACTACTTGGGAGGCTGAGACAGGAGAATCGCTTGAACCTGGGAGGTGGAGGTTGCAGTGAGCCAAGATCACCACTGCACTCCAGCCTGGGCAACACAGCAACACTCTGTTTCAACAAAAAGAAAAAAAGAAAAAAGAAATGTAATCCCCAGTGTTGGAGGTGGGCCTGGTGGGTGGTGTTTGGATCACGGGGGTGGATCTGTCATGAATGGCTTAGTGCCAACCCTTTGGTGGTAAGTGAGTTCACAAAAGATCTGGTTTTTTAAAACTGTGTGGCCCCTCCCTCCTTCTCTCTCTTGTTCCCTTTCTTGCTGTGTGATACTCTACTCCCTTTCTCCTTCTACCACGATTGTAACCTCCCTGAGGCCCTCACCAGGAGTCTTGTGGATGCCAGCACCATGCTTCCTGTATAGCCTGCAGAACCATGAGCCAATTAAACCTCTTTTCTTTCTTTTTTTTTTTTTTTTGAGACAAAGTCTCCCTCTGTCACCTCAGCCTCCTGAGTAGCTGGGACTACAGGTGCATACCACCACACCTGTCTAATTTTTGGATTTTTAGTAGAGACAGGGTTTCACCATGTTGGCCAGGCTGGTCTCAAACTCCTGGCCTCAAGTGATCTGCCCACCTCGACCTCCCAAAGTGCTGTCATGAGCCACCATGCCTGGCCCTAAACCTCTTTTCTTTATAACTTACCCAGACTCAGTTATTTCTTTATAGTAATGCAAGAATGGTCTAACACAGATGGTGACTTGTATAAAATATTTTCCTTTAAAATGTGACTTATACCTTTATTCTGTTGAAAGCATGATGAATTATGTTTTACTTCACTTTGCTTTCCAGGAATAAGTGCTATGGGTTACCAAAGACATATATATATTATTATTATTATTACTTTTTTTTTTTTTTTGAGACAGAGTCTCGCTCTGTTGCCCAGGCTGGAGTGCAGTGGCACGATCTCAGCTCACTACAAGCTCCGCCTCCTGGATTCATGCCATTCTCCTGCCTCAGCCTCCCAAGTAGCTGAGACTACAGGCACCTGCCACCACGCCCGGCTAAGTTTTTGTACTTTTAGTAGAGATGGGGTTTCACTGTGTTAGCCAAGATGGTCTCGATCTCCTGACCTCGTGATCCGCCCGCCTTGGCCTTCCAAAGTGCTGGGATTACAGGCATGAGCCACCATGCCCGGCCCTAAAAACATATTTTTTTAAGGTTTCAATTACTAAGTTTCTTTAGGATTTGATAATTTCTACATTTTTGATATTATTGGTCTTACTATGTTATACATTTTCTTGATTTTGTTTTATCAGCTTGAATATTATGGTATGTTTATAGCTATCTACTTCTAGGTAAAAATAAAATTTGTTAGGGAATATAGGAAAATTATAATCCCTTCATTTTTCCTTCAACATTTCATAATAAAAATTGTGAAATGTTACAGAAATGTTGATTCCTAGTGCTTATTCCTTTATCCAGTGGTTGTCCACCCCTCTCTGGCCAGGTTATGATATTAAAAAATGTCTTCACATGTTGACAAATTTCCTTTAAGAGGGAAACATCATGAACCACTACTCATGAGGGATATTAGTATGTCATTTTAAAAAAGAATTTGACATTAGAGTTATTGTCTCATAACATGAGTAGACAGTGTTTCCTCCTGCTTTATTTTCTGAAAATTTTACATGAGATCAGTATTATTTCTTCCTTGATTGATAAAATTTACCAGTGAAACTAAGTGTCCTAGAATTTACTTTGTGGGTAGGTTGCTGGTAACAAATTAATTTCTTTTAACAGAGATAGAGCTATTCAGATTTTCTGTTTCTTCTTGTGTCAATTTTGATAAGTTTTATTTTTCTAGGAGTTTGTTCATTTATGTAAGTTGTCAAATTTGTTGGCATAAGGTTTTTCATAATATTCTCTCACAATCCTTTTAATATTGGTTGAATCTATAGTTATAATTGTTTTTAAATTCTTGGTTATTTGGAGTCTCTTTTTTTTTCATTACAAGAAGTTTGTCAATTTTAGATTGTTTCCAGTTTAGGGCTATTACAAATAAAGCTGTTATGAACATTTGTGTACAAGTTTGTATGCTTGCATGTTTTCATTTCGCTTGAATATATGCCTATGAGTGAAATTACTGGATTATGTGGAAACTATGTTCAACCTTTTGAGAAACCACTGAACTGTTTTCCACAGTGGCTGCTTTATTTTATACTCCCCCACTCCAGGAGTGTATAAGGGATGCAATTCCTTCACCTCCTTTCCAAAATTTATCAACACTGCCTTTTTTATTCTAGCTATTCTAGTATGTGTGAGGTGGTATCTTACTGTGGTTTTGATTTGCATTTTCCTAATGACTAATGTTATTGAATACCTTTTTATGTGCTTACTGGTCATTTGTATACCTTCCTTGGCTGCTGCAGTTTAATTTATCATTTCTTCCATTTATGGTCTATGCTTTAGTGTTCCTATCTAAGAAACTATGTTTATCTCAAGGTCACTAAAATTTTATCCTAGTTGTCTTCTGGAAGTTTTATAGTTTTAGATTTTATATTAGTCTATTATACAGTTTGCCTTAATTTTTGTACATGATTTGAAGAAAGGGTCAGTGTTCATTTTTTCCCCATATAGATATGCAATAGTTCCAGCACCATTTGTTGAAAATATTTTTTTCCATTGAATTTCCTTGACACTTTAAAAAAAATAACCATATATATGGCATATTTCTGGACTGTCTATCCAGTTCTCCTGGTCTATATATCTACCGTTTGCTAAGGCCAAACTGGTTTGTTACTGTAGCTCAGGGCTTCTCAGTTTCAGATTATTTAAATTTTGGTTCCAATAATTCTTTGTTGGTAATATTTTCAAAGAACTAGCTTTTGGTTTTGTTAATTTTCTCTATTGTGTGTTTTCTATTTTTCTGACTTTTGTTGTAATTAATTTTATTTACTTTCTGATACTTACTTTGGGTTTTTTTTTAGCTTCTTAAAATAATCATTAATTTAAAACTATCAAATTGTTTTCTAATACAAGCATTTAAAACTATACATTTCTCCCTAAGCACTGCTTTACCCACATCCCATATATTTTTATGTGTTCTATTTTTGTCATTGTGTTTAACATAATTTCTAAATTTCCTTCTGATTTCTCCTTTGACTTATAACATTTGAAAGCTTGCATTTAATTTCCAAATATTTGAGGTTTCCTAGATATGTTACTTTTATTGATACGATTTGTAATTTAATTCTATTGTGGTTGGACAATATGCTCTACATGCTATCAATTCCTTAGAAGTTATTGAGATTTGTTTTATGGCTCAGCATATGGTCTGTCTTGGTGAATGTACCATGTGTACTTGAAGAGGATATGTATTCTGCAATTGTTGGATGTAATATTATACAAATGCTGATTATATCAAGATATTTTATAGTATTATTCAAATCTACTATGTCCTGAATTTTGTCTAGTTGTTCTATCAATTGATAAAAGAAGTATATTAAAATATTTTACTATGATTGCAGAATTATCTGTTTCTCCCTTTAATTTGGTTAATTTTTTTTCTTCATGTATTTTGAGGTTCTGTTATTAGGCACATATTTATAATTTATATGTCTTTCTGATGGATTGCTCCTTTTATATTTCTGATATATTCTCTTTTATCTCTGGTAATATTCTTGTCTTATTGTTTATTTAATCTGATATCAATATATCCTCTTCAGCCTTCTTAGGCTTACTTATTTTTCCAAATACCATCTTAGTTGGGGCTAGAGCTTCAACAAATGAATTTTGTGGAAACACAAACATTTAGTCCCTAAAAATGTTCTTAGGATTTGTATTTGAAATGAGTTTCTTGTAGACAGTATATAGTTAGGCTATGTTCTTTATCCACTCTGCCAATCTTCGTCTTCTAATTGGTGTGTTTACACCAGTTACATTTAATGTAATTATTGATATGTCAGGGCTTAAATCTTTCATTCTATTTTTTTCTATTTTTAGTTTTCTGTTAGTTTCTTCTTTTTTGTTTATTTTTTCTGACTTCCTCTGGGTTGCTTAACATTTTTTAAAAAGAATTATTGGTGTATATTTTTCTTTCCTTTTTTTTTTTTTTTTTTTTTTTTTGAGACAGGGTCTCACTCCCATTGTCCAGGCTGTAGTGCAGTGGTGCAATCATGGCTTACTGCCCCCTCAACTTCCTGGGCTCAAGCGATCCTCCCACCTCAGCCTTCCAAATAGCTGGGACTACAGGCACAAACCACCACACCTGGGTAACTTTTTGTATTTTTAGTAGAGATGAGGTTTTGGCATGTTGCCCAGGGTAGTCTCAAACTCCTGGGCTCAAGGAATCTGCCTGCCTCAGCCTCCCAAATTGCTTACAGGCATGAACCACCATGCCAGGCCAGTATGTTTTTCGTTGCATGTACTTTCAAACCTATTTGTGTCTTCTTACTTAGAGAAGACACAAATAAAGATGGTATCATGTACAGAGCATATAGTTGAGTCTTGCTTTTTTCTACTCACTCTGATAATTTTTGCTTTTTAATGTGTTTAGATCATTAACATTTAATGTAATTATTGATATGGCTGAATCTAGGTCTATCATTTCATCATCTCATCATCTGTACCCTTCATTTTTTGTTCTTCTGTTCCCATCTTATTGTTTTTTAAACAATTTTCCTAGTATTCCATTTTAATTTATCTATTTGATTTTTAGCTATATTTCTTTGTATTGCTATTTTAATGATTGCTCTAAGAATTATAATATACATCCCTAAGCAGATCTTGCCTTTTTAATACAGTGCTTCAAAGGTTTTCCTGGAAGCTTACCTAGCAGATATCTGTTTACATCTCATTGGCTAAAATTGGGTTTAATCACTACCTTTAGACCAACCATTGTCCATGGATAGTGACTAGGTTAGACAAATTTGATTCACATTCTAGAATTGGAGAATGAATCCATCTACACTGAAATAGGGGATTCTCTTTGTTTGATATTTGCTAGTAGGAAAGAAGGAGGGTGAATACAAAGTAAACAGCGGTCAGTGCCTGCCAAGGTCATTAAGCTTGTCAAATGTACTTAGTGTGCCAACATTTTAACCTCAGCACATTTTTAACACAGTTCTTTTTTTTGTTGTTGTTATTTCCCTTTAATTATCTTACTAATAAAGGAAAACTGTCCCCTTTAAAAAATTACATTAAATGTAGCTTCTAGTATTTGTTGCCCATGTCTCCTATTCCCATTTTGTTGTTTATTTAGGCTAGGAGTGCCCTTTGGAATAAATTTTGAAAGTCTGTGCAAAACTGGCCTATGGTAGACAATGTTTATTATCTACAAATGAGTGATTTAATAATGAATGCATAAAATTTTCTGACTACAAAAATGAAATTTCCTAAAGAATCAGTTCAATTTTATTCTAACAGATCAGAATTTCTCTTCAGATTATTTTGCTGTAAAGGAGACAACCATAACTTTTCTTTAAAAAAAAAGCAAAAGAGAGAAAAAAAAGATTAATTTGGGCCATTGACTAGTTCCTTTCCCATTTTAAAAAGAAGGTAGTTGTCATAAACAATGTTACATATAATTTTGTTTTTAAAAGCCTAAGTAGTATTTTAAGTATCTTTGACTTAACACATTTTGGTACAATATGGATATTCATAACTAGAGAAAAAAAGAATTGGCATTTACAAAGTTTAATTAAAAATAAGATGTTTGGTTTGCGAAAACCAGGCCCATAATTTTGAAAGCACATTGCCCACTTTCTTCTCTAATAGGAGGGTACAGCTACTCATTACTGATGATTGAATTATAAATTCTCTAAGGCAGAGACTATTTTCTGCCTCATTAGCAACTTGTGTGTGCAGAGGGACAGGTTGGTCAGTCTCATGATGACTTACAACTTAATTAATACATACATACATTAACTTATTGGATATCCTTAACCTTCCGAGAAGGTAGTGGAGGAAATTTCTTCCATTTTTTGGATATTTCCTCTATGCCAGCATCCCCAGGCCCCCCATGCTGTACAACTTCCTTGGAGTTGGGCCACGTACAACCTGCAAGAAGACTTTCCTGCCTCCTAAGTGTTTTCCAGAGGGACAGCATGGGGAGTCTGGGTGGAAAATCATTGATTGTGCAGGACTGTTTCATTTAATATCCCCAGACCTCACTCAAAGTGCCAGCACTGCCCTCCTGCCATCGTGACATTCAGAAATGCCCCTCCCCACCAACCACCAGATGCCCCTGGGAAGCAGTGCCATGTCAGGACTTGCTACCACGCTGCCTCTCTAAGGTCATAAGTGGCAGGATTTATAACCACAGTGAATAAAAATGGCCTTGACAAAGAATTTTGAACATTTTGGACCAACCACATAAACCTTCCTGTATGCAAGCTTGCTTGGACACACAAGGGAGTGCTTGGAAGGGATTGAGAAATATTCGGACCAGCCGGGCGGGGTGGTTCATGCCCATAATCCCAGCACTTTGGGAGGCCGAGGCGGGCAGATCACAAGGTCAGGAGTTTGAGACCGGCCTGGCCAATATGGTGAAACCTCATCTCTACTAAAAATACAAAAATTATCCGGGTGTGGTGGCGGGCGCCTGTAGTCCCAGCTACTTGGGAAGCTGAGGCAGGAGAATCACCTGAACCCGGGAGGTGGAGGTTGCAGTGAGCCGAGATCATGCCACTGTACTCCAGGCTGGGCGACAGAACGAGGCTCTGTCTCAAAAAAAAAAAAAAAAGAAAAGAAAAGAAAAGAAAAGAAAAGAAATATTTGGACCAGCCTGGGTAACATGGGGAAACCCTGCCCTGTCTCCATAAAAAATGCAAAAATTGGCCAGGCACAGTGGCTCACACCTGTAATCCCAGCACTTTGGGAGGCCAAGTCAGGCAGATCATGAGATCAGGAGTTCAAGACCAGCCTGACCAACATGGTGAAACCCCATCTCTACTAAAAATACAAAAATTAGCTGGGTGTGGTGGTGTGTGCCTGTAATCCTAGCTACTCAGGAGGCTGAGGGAGCAGAATCGCTTGAACCCAGGAGGTGGAGGTTCCAGTGAGCCGAGATCGCGCCACTGCACTCCAGCCTGGGTGACAGAGTGAGACTCTGTCTCAAAAAAAATAAATAAATAAAAGCAAAAATTAGCTGGGCATGGTGGTGTGTGCCAGCTACTTGGGACGCTGAGGTGGGAGGATGGCTTGAGCCTGGGAGGCAGAGGTTGCAGTGAGCCATGATCATGCACTGCACTCCAGCCTGGGTAACAAAGCAAGACCCTATCTTTAAAAAAGAGAAAGAAAGAAAGAAACATTTGGAATCCCTCAAGCAATATCAGTGCCAAAGCTTAGAAAAGGAGTTGGCGTAGAAGAATCACCTCAAAATAATAATCATGATGATAGCAATAAGAATGCTCAAGCCAGGTGTGGTGGCTCAGACCTGTAATCCCAGCACTTTGGGAGGCCAAGTTGGGTGAATCACTTGAGCCTAGGAGTTCGAGACCAGCTTGGCAACATGAAAAAACCCCATCTCTACAAAAATAAATAAATAAATAAATAAATTTTAAAAACACACAAAAATTAGCTGGTGTGGTAGCGAGCACCTGTAGCCTCAGCTACTTGGGAGCTGAGGTGTGAGGGTCGCTTGAGCCCAGGAGGAGCTCACCCCACTGCACTCCACCCTGGGCAACAGAGCAAGACCTTGCCTCAAAACAAACAAACAAACAAACAAAAGAATGCTAACACTGTTATTACTATGTGCTAGGCACAATGTCAAGCTACCTGCACGTACTATCTTATTTAATTCTCACAACAGTGCCGTGCAATTGTTGCTACTGTTACCCTCATAGATTAGTGAACTACCATCATCCCTTGCCACAGTCATCATTATAACCTCCTTTCTGGTCTTATTGCTTCCATGGAGTAAGCAATACTTTTACTCTTCTGGAGTCCACTCTTGACAAAATCAACCAGAGCCAATTTTATAAAACAAAATCAGATCACGTAACTCCTCTGCTAAAACTCTCCAGTTGTTTCCTGTCACTGAATAAAATCAGAAGTCCCACAGTGGCCACAGGGTGCATATGTCCTAGTTCCACGTACCTCCCTCATTTCCTTCTACTCTGTCCCACACAGACCGCACTCCAGCACACCAGCTTGTCGTTCTTGGAACAGGCCAACCTTAGTCTCACCTTGCTGTCTGCAATCGCTGTCTCTCCCCAAGATGTGACTCACTCTCTTACCTTATTTGGTCTCTGCTCAGACCTCATGACCTGAAGAGCTTTTCCTGGTGGCTCCATCCAAAGTAACCTCCCTCCTTCACTCTCTGCCCTTCCCCCACCCCAACCGCTGACCTTTGCCTCCCTCTTACACTTTATTAAGTGCCTCTTTGTTCTCCCATTGATTGTTTCTGCCATATGTATGTGAGCTTATAAAGTGGGGGCTTTATCTTGTTCTCCCCTTAATCCCCATCTCTTAGAAAACATACTACCTCAGTAAATATTTCTTGAGTGTCTGTGGCTGACAGAAGTAAAGGGACTTGTCCAATGTTCAGAGCTAATAAGGGGTGATTTACACTCTGAACTCCCAGACTGTCAGAGAAGGCCCTCCTTTGGGAAGAGGAAAAAAAATACAGATGGAAGAGAAGTTTAGTATGGAAGATGGGAATGAGAGAAAGGCCTTTCTCCTCTCTGCCAGGGAATGCTCAATGGAACATTTTTTTTTGAATGCATGCAATAACCAAAAGACAATTGTATAAAAGGCAAAAACCAAGGGGCAGACACTGAGACTTCAGCAAGTTAGGAGTTTGTCAGTAAATTGGAACCAGAGTTGTTTCTTTCTGGGCTATGCAGTTGCTAGATTGCTCTCTGCTTTAGCCTTGCTGTCTAATTGTCATATGTAGGAATCATGCAACTGCAGAACTGTGTACCCTGTCTCTTAAAGCAGCTCTGTAGTGGTCATTCTGAGTGAATTAATTTAGGATTAGCTCAGAAATAACTAATGCCTCCAGGGTAGCCAGAATTGCAGTCTGCCTATTAACATTTGCTTTGTTCCATTGCTTTAGAGTCATATTCAATTTATCAATTTCCCTCTTCCAGTTTTTGGCATGGTATCCTTTTGTCCCTTTCTCCTGTATCATAACTCTCAGGGAGCCTAGCTTGCTATGTGTTGAATACTTGAAACATTTTTTTAAGTAATTATACAATTTTAAAAATGGCTTATCTTTTTGGCTAGGGGGAAGCAAGGGAAGTCGACAGAATAGCACCTCAAATGATGTGGACTCAGTTTCTTGCTGGAATTTGCAAAGCCTATTTAAATACGATCTTAATTGTCAGAAGATTGTTTTTAAAATATAGAAATTCAAGAAGACAGACTTTGAGAATGCAAATTTGAAGAACTTGGAATCTTTTTCATTTCAAATATAATATTAACCACAGAGCTTGTCTAGCTGGATGCCACAGTCTGTGTACAACATAAGGAAATCATCATAATAAAAACAGCTTCACAGCCTTGCTGGTGTTGGGTGCTGTCTTTGCCCTTACACCATTTTTTGCATGTTGTTGGTTAGAAAAATAGCAGTGTATGTAGGAGATCTAAAGGGCAGATTATTAAATTATGGCCACTAGCGATGAACCAATGAATGAATGTCAACAGAGGAAGTGTGATGACTTATAATACAGAAATGATGCTTCCAAAACTTTCCAAGTCTGTTTCCATCACTGTTAGGGGCAAAATAAGGTTTATATGGAGAAAAAAATTCAAGAATGCCTGTAAGTCACATAGCAATTATGACAAAAATTCAAAGCAGTTCACAGGCAGGAATAAAGGTGTAAGGAAGGCAGGGTCTAAGCTGGTGCAATTTGTGTAGGGAGGGAGGGGATGATGGTGGGAGACAGGGGGAGGGGAAGAATCGTTTAGCCCTCCATGGTTTATGTTTAGCATTCTATTAAAGAACACTAGGATTTAATCCAATGCTGGCTTTACTCTAAATCTGTTTGATTATGCAGGCAGGGAGCCGAAGGGCTGGAGGCTAAGGATTGACTTGCTTAGTTAACTAGAGAAGCAGATGGGGTTGGGAGGTTCTGTGCTATGTCTCTCCCTCCACAGACAAGGCTGAACCTGGGAGCAAAATAAGGAGTTGGGGTTGGGTGTGGTTGCTCACACCTATAATCCCAGTGCTTCAGGAGGCTGAGGCAGGAGGATTGCTTGAGGCCAAGAGTTCAAGACCAGCCTAGGCAACCTGGGAGAGTCTGTCTCTACAAAAAAATTTTTTTAATTAAAAAAAAAAAAAAGTTTGGGGGCCCTTCAATCTTGGAGCTCTAAGACCACATCTAAGGGAGTGGGAATGTGGTTGGGGTTGTGAACAAGTCCAGTAGAATGTGGGACATGGGGCAAAAGGCTGGGCTCAACCCTAGGGTACGTACTGGCAGGTTATGCTACGAACTCTCTAGGTCTTTACAACCTACTGCCACTCAGAGGAAAAGGGAAGAAGGTAGGAGAACGTTTGCTGGGTCCCCTCTCCCCCTCGTTCAACACCGCAGCCCTCACGTTCCACCTCCACACTCCCCACCCTCGATTACGTCACTGCTCATCCACACCACAATAGGTCCCAGTTTGCCATTTCCTGGTGAAACAACATTTCCTTTTTGGTATCAGTAATGATAATTTTTTTATGTTCCAGCAACAATGATAAGAGTTATAAAACGATCTTTGCCAACCACCTTCCTCCTGCACTGATTAAACATTAATAGTGGGGTTGAAGGAAACCTCATTAAAAACAAACCCATGCTGACAAGCGGCTCTCCAAGGCTTCATCTGATCTCTCTGACAGCAAAGTACAATGGTGATGGACTGGGGAGTGAAAGAACTGCCCCATAACACAAACACCCTGTGGGTAGAAAACAAGCAATGGCTGAGATTTTGGAAGCACCAAGGCTAATGGTCTTCGTTCTTCATTTTAATGTCCTGGCCGCTGGACATAGTAGGCGCTCAATAAGTGTTGAAGAAATAAATGATTGAACGCAACTTTTTAGGGTACTCAAATCCCTCCCTTTTAGCACTGACTTCCCCAAACCTGTCTTCTGACATCCTAATTTTATCCCCAATAAATGGTCCAGCTGTAATTATTTTCAACGAAATTCCTTCAGAGGAATTTGTGTATCTGTGGCTATGCAAAAATATCTTGACTCTGGTGATGTCAAATAAAGCTCACATACTATTAAATACTAGGCATGCATTAAAAGAACAAGGTAAGCCAGAGTATAGGTGAGGAATAGACCTGACCTTGTGGGAAGCATTGGTAGGAATAACCTCCT
Source organism: Homo sapiens (assembly GCF_000001405.40). Lineage (NCBI taxonomy): Eukaryota > Metazoa > Chordata > Mammalia > Primates > Hominidae > Homo > Homo sapiens. The sequence goes on along the minus strand of NC_000007.14, from coordinate 22,894,037 downwards.
CAGAGATCATCAGCTTTTCCCACTCACATGACTTTTTTCACTCTGACATTTGAAAAAGATCATTTTTCTCTGTCTCAATACCAAAATACTGATTATCATAGCTGTTTGGAAACTTAGAAACCATATAGTCCAAATCTCTCACTTAATAGATAAGGGAACTGAATTTCAGAGTGGTCTAATGATTAACGCAAGGTCTCACTTCTAGTTAGAATTGCTAGAGCCAAAAAACAAATGTCCAGTGTCTCAGGCTAGTAAGCCGTTTCCCCCACAAAGCAATGACTTCTGGAACAGACAGAAGCAGGCAAGGGATGGACATCCATCAGGCCTATTGAAGCAATCCATTGTGGTTATTGGGAATAGGCACCATTTTTTTTTAAAAAAAGAATACTAACATGGAAATAGCTCCAGACATTATTGAATGAAAAAAGCAGTTGCAAAATAACGCATAGGGTGTAAGTCCATTTATGTGAACCAAAATGAGCAGTGTAAATTTTTCCATGGACAAGGTGTGGAAAGATGGATTCTACTCTGACAACAGTGCTTCCCTCTGAAGAGGACTCTAGGATCAGGGATGGTGGTCAAAGGCCAATTTGTCCTTACCTGCAATTGTTTGAATTTTTATAAGGAGGATCTATCTATGCATGAATTGTTTAAGAACTAATTTAAAAGGGTAAAACTGGCTGAGCATGGTGGGTCATGCCTGTAATCTCTGCAGTTTGGGAGGCTGAGGTAGAAGGATCAGTTGAGGCCAGGAGTTTGAGACCAGTTTGGGCAACATAGTGGGATCCCATCTGTTAAAAAAAAAAAAAAAAGTTTAATTGAGTGTGTTGGCACATGCCTGTAGTCCCACCTAGTAAGGAGGCTGAGAGGCAGGAGGATTGCTTGAGTCCAGGAATTTGAGGTTGGACTGCTTACTAGCTGTGATCATGCCACTACACTCCAGTCTGGAAGACAGAGCCAGGTCTTGTCTCTAAAATAAAATTAAACAAAAATAAAAGAGTAAAAGTGTATTTCTTGTTGTGTTCTATGGCACTCTGATGGCTTTATTCCTAACACTATGAATCATGCTCTGGGGGACTCAGCCTTTGACCTTAATCCCAATGGAAAGTCTAGATTCATCCCAAAACATTAGGGTTCATGGTCTACCACAGGGAAAGAAGAGAGTGTGTTTGTGAGGGTATCTTCCCAAAACGTGTTTATTGCTCACTTCTTCGCATTGATTGCCATTTCACACCTGGAATATAATAATAATGACAATAATGATAATTGAATATGTAAATGCTACTAATAATAAATGACAATAGCTATGCTCTTTTGAGCTCTAACTCTACCCCAGGCACTCCCCTAAGCACCTTCATGCATTCTCATTTAGTCTTCATAACCACTCTGAGAGGTAAGTATTATTATTATTCCCATTATTATTCCTATTTTAGAGATGAAAATCTGAGGCTTAAATAAATCAATTAACCTGACCTTGGCCACAGGGCTGTTGGGATCTGAACCAGGCAGTTTCACTCCAGAGTCTGTGATGGGACACAGGCATTGGCACTTCTCGCGCCTGGAGAAATGCTGACCAGTTTCTGTAGGAGGAGTGCATCGGGCTGGAAAACATGATTTCATCCACAGCAGAAAATGCTGCTTCCAGAGAGACCTTCTGTCTAATCTGCTTCCCCATTGCTTTCTCTTCGAGTTCCTTTGAGCCTTCTTACCTATGGATTCAAATGCCCCTGGGTCACTAAGTCAAGTGCATAATTCTATCACGCAGTGTGCACTGAGGGGAAAATATTCTTATTTGGAGAGTAAAAACCCATCTACTATCGTGTACAAGCTCAGCAACAACTTCTCAATTACCTGTTCATTTTATTTAAAACAACAGTCAATAAAAACAGCAAGAAACTTTCTTTGAAGGAGGTAAGGGCTGATCTGCCTGGAGCCAGGGAATAATACCTTTTTTCTTGGGTTCCCATTTACTTTGGATATGTCAGTTTTGGACCTTAAAGGTGTGGACGGCATAAAGTGGTAAGTTTTGAAATGATTTTTGGAGTTTATATTAGAGAAAGGTACTTTTCAGGAAGCTGGTCATCTTATGCTAAATGGCATTTTCTCCCTGCCCCCACCTCTGTCCAAAATTAATGAATTATTTCATTATTTCTTTTTTTTTTTTTTTTTTTTTTTGAGATGGAGTCTCGCTGTGTCACCCAGGCTGGAGTGAAGTGGGGCAATCTCAGCTCACTGCAACCTCTGCCTCCCAGGGTCAAGCAATTCTCCTGTCTCAGCCTCCCGAGTAACTGGGATTACAGGCACGTGCCGCCATGCTCACCTAGGTTTTTTGTATTTTTAGTAGAGACAGGGTTTCATCATGTTGGCCAAGCTGGTCTTGAACTCCTGACCTCAGGCAATCTGCCCGCCTCAGCCTCCCAAAGTGCTGAAATTACAGGTGTAAGCCACAGCACCCGGCCTTGTTATTTCTTTATTAATGACCAAGGCGTCTCTGATTCAACACCGAAAGTTTGAGTTAGATCATAGAAATCTTTGTTTAAATATGTATATACATACTTACGTATGTGTTATATATGTAGACCTATGTATATATACATATTCTATAACCTATCTATTCTATATCTATTATGTACAGATATGTAAAAAATATAGCTTTAATTGGGAAAATTTGCACTGGATGAAGCACTTTAAAATTCTTCTCCCATGCCCCAGTACTGTCAAGTTTTTGCCTAGAGCAACGTACTGACTTTTTGAGTTCTGCTGGATCCTGCCTAGAGAAACCGCTTGTCATTTCAAAGTTGCATTTATATTTCCATACACTTTTTGAATATTTCGTTTTGGAAAGAGTAACTCCACCTGCTTCTTTTTTCCACATGTGTACATCAAAGGTGAAGCTGGGATGTGTCCTCTTTCCTCTTAACCCCCTAGCTCAGGACCTGGTAAATACAGCAAACGGGGAGTGAGTTTCTCAAATGCCTGGCTGTGTCTGCCCTGTGGCTGCCCCGAGATGGGGTGGTGGAATAGCAAGAGGAGCCTTGCCAGCCTGCAGGACTCAGGTGCTGCTGAGCCCTCCAGTTACCACGACTACAGCGCTTTCCAGCAGGTGAGGAGTTTTGATAAATGTGTGGTACACATTTCTGCAAACAAAGCCATTTATTTTAGGCCAAAGCATTTGTAGCAAAATGTAGATAATATATCTAGAATGTGTCAAATGGAATGCTTTCATTACATATTTTTGGATTGATTTCTTAGGTTGCACATTTATAAAGTAAAAGCCTTGTTATCTTAGATTTCTCAGCTAACTCTTTGCCATTAACTGCAAACAAGATGTATGGACTAAGTGTGTGGAGGCTGTCTCAGGAACCTGAGCCCATCTGGGAGAAATATTTTAGGTCATTACTGAAGGGAATCAGTGCCTTGAGGGTCCTTTCTCAATGCCCTAAGGTCTTGGGACAGAAAAAATGTTTTTGTTGGGCCACAGTTGCCACTAAGTGGTATCTATTATATGATGAGCCAAAGACCTGGAAAACCGTCCCCAATCCCCAATCCCTCTCCCCTTCACCCAAAAGAAAATACTGGTTCCTGAAATTCTCATTAAAAATGGAATCCTTTTGGTTGGGTTAGCATGGCTCTTGGAGGAAAGGCCAATCAGGACAGGAGCGGTGGCTCCCACCTGTAATATCGGCACTTTGGGAGGCCGAGGTGGGCGGATCACCTGAGGTCGGAAGTTTGAGACCAGCCTGGCCAACCATGGCCAACATGGTGAAACCCCATCTCTACTAAAACTACAAAAATTAGCCAGAAGCAGTGGCGGGCACCTGTAATCCCAGCTACTCAGGAGGCTGAGGCAGGAGAATTGCTTGAACCCGGGAGGCAGAGGTTGCAGTGAGCCAAGATTGTCGAGATTGTGCCACTGCACTCCAGCCTGGGCGACAGAAGGAGACTCCATCTCAAAAAAGGAGAGAGAGAGAGAAAGCCAATCAACCCAGAAGGACCAGCCCAAAGCTTGTGCTTGGGATTAACCTTTAGTAGGATTTATCTGTTCAGGGGCTGGCCGGCACAGGTGGCCTAGGGATCCGGCACCACACATGAGAGTCAAACTTCCAAAGGAAGACGGGGGGAGGAGAGAGAGAGATGCTGGACAATGTTGCCCTGGAAAGGCCTGGAGAATCATGGGTACCAAAGGGGCAGCCTCTAAGCCTGGAGATCTAGGGCATGTTAGCCACTTACCTCTGCAGAGGGCCAGATCTTATTTGCCTTCAAGTGATTTCTGACATATTTCCAAGTGCAAAATAAAACTTTCTTCTTTGAGAATATTAATGAATGTTCCTGTATGTGTCCTAGGTTTCTATAAGACAAGGATGTTTTGGACATGTTCAAGCCCCCAGAACTGGCTGCACCCCGTGTGCCTTTCTCTCAGTGCAGCAACTTATGGGCTAATAATGGCCCCTGCCAGAGCATATTGTGCTGGGCGGTCACGGGTGGCAGAAACTACTGGCCTCTCTTTTGACAACCCACAGGAAACATTTGCACCTCCAGCACTTTCCGCTCAAAGTGCTCCATGGTAGCAACACCTGTGTGTGGTGCAGAAGCTGGGGCTACACTGCTTTATAACTCGTCTTTCTATCTGACCTCTGGAGTCCAGTGAAAGACCAAAACTTTACTGCTGTCCATGTTCGGTAAGCAAACTTAAAGGTTTAAAATTCCTTATTCGAACTCCATTTAGAATTCAAATAGTCATTAGCAGGAGCAAGCATTTTCTTCTTAAGGATCTATGTTAGTGAAATTACAATGAAGCTTTTATTTATAACTTGCCAAATAATCAATTTACCCTGTTGAGAAATAACATGTTGAAAGAATAACATGTTAAAGAAGGACAAATTGGGCCGGGCGATATGGCTTACATCTGTAATCCCAGTACTTTGGGAGACTGAGGAGGGAGGATTGCTTGAGGCCAGGAGTTGGATCCTCCCTGGCCCCAGAAACATAGCGAGACCCTGTCTCTATAAAAAAGAAAAAAAAAGAAAAAAAGAAAATAAAGGACAAGTTACTTACGTCATTGTTCCTGTTAGAATGGCGACACAGATAATTTAGTTAAAACGTATCTTTAACCTTTTTTTTGCATGCGTGATTAATCTGTGAGTCTCTGATTATAGCTGGTTGAATATTTCCCCCTAAATAATTGGTTTTGAGCATTAATAATAGGCCTTTATGTTGATGACAATTGTTATGACTTTATTCATGTGCAATAAAGCCCTTATAATAGATTATACAATTAACTTTCTACAGTTGAAATAAGTGAAATATAAATGGTTTTAGAGGGATCCAATTGGAATTAAGTTAAAGCACATTGACTTCTTCCAGTTTAGGACCGTATAACAGTTTTGAATATATTTTTCATTATTTGAAACCTTTTTCTTCTAGCATGTAGTAATGGTGGGAGAACTAAATGACACTGAAAATTCTGGAAATGAGGAGAAACAGACTAAAGCCACGGGCACCGGATGAATGAAGAGAGAGAAGAGTGCTTTAGGTAAGCCTCTGGTTAGACCTAACTTTAATAAGCTCTACTTGAGAAAGGGGGCACATGGCCTTTCCTGGGGTACTATGGCTTCATTCATGTCACCCTGAAATTGCACAGTTCCTCTGAGCATAGTGGTATTAATTAGGGTGGGAGGTTAAACAAAATAAGCAAAATTAACAAAGCATTTGTCCTTCTATGTAGCAATGTTCTAGAAAAATCTTAATGGATTTCACTAATTTAAATGTCACAACACAATTAACTTTGTTTTTCCATCTCTTCTAGATTGTGGGTGCATCCTAATTTTTCTTATAGTTATAAGTTATAAAAAGTGTTGACTATTTCATATACACAATTAGTATTGTAATTACCACAACTGTGGATAAAAATGTCATCTCTTGTTTATCTTCTCACACTGTTACTTGTGAATTGTGGAGTGTGATGTGTAGAGCTGTTTTGGGAGGTGGGATACAGGTAGGACCCCTAACCAAGAAGCCTGGCTCACAGAGAGGGTGCCTTACTCCACATTAAATGTTCACAGTCCTTTGCCTCACTGTCTAATTGAGAAGAATATTAGTACATCACGAGCTCAATCCCAAGTAAATTTCCAAATGGGAAGTCTTACAACACTTTTGGAAGATACGTGGATGAGGCTTTTAGGTGACTTGTAAGTCTTTTTTTTTTTTTTTCTTGAGACAAGAGTCTCACTCTATCACTCAGGCTGGAGTGCAGTGATGTGATCTCGGCTCACTGCAACCTCCGCCTCCCAGGTTCAAGTGATTCTCCTGCCCCAGCCTCCTGAGTATGGGACTACAGGTGCACACCACCACGCCCGGCTAATTTGTATTTTCAGTAGAGATGGGGTTTCACTGTGCTGGCCAGGCTGGCCTCAAATTCCTGACCTCAAGGGATCTACCCGCCTGGGCCTTCCAAAGTAAATCAGCTTTATGCATTTAAATTTAATCAACGATTAACTTTAAATTGCGCCTGGCTGGATTTGTTAGTCTTAACGCCAAAGCTTTATTCCAATCTTCCCAGGGGCACTATGGGCCCAGAGCCAGCATGGTCTGGAAAATGAAACTTTGTAGCCACAGGCGGAGAGAGTGGAGAATGTTTCTTTTTTATTAAAAGGAGAAGGCCAGTAGTGGTGGCTCACCTCTGTAATCCCAGCACTTTGAGAGGCCGAGGTGGGTGGATCACTTGAGGTCAGGAGTTTGAGACTAGCCTGGCCAACATGGTGAAACCCTGTCTCTACTAAAAATACAAAATTAGCTGGGCATGGTGGCGGGCACCTGTAATGCCAGCTACTCGGGAGGCTGAGGCAGGAAAATCGCTTGAACTTGCGAGGTGGAAGTTGCAGTAAGCCAAGATCGTGCTATTGTACTCCAGCTTGGGTGTCACAGTGAGACTCCGTCTCAAAAAATAAATAAATATAAATAAATTAAGTCTGGGCGCGGTGGCTCATGCCTGTAATTCCAGCACTTTGGGAGGCCGAGGCAGGTGGATCACAACATCAAGAGATTGAGACCATCCTGGCCAATATAGTGAAACCCCATCTTTACTAAAAAAACAAAAATTAGCTGGGCGTGGTGGCAGGTACCTGTAGTTCCAGCTACTTGGGAGGCTGAGGCAGGGGAATCGCTTGAACCCGGGGGGCGGAGGTTGCAGTGAACCAAGATCACACCACTGCACTCCAGCCTGGTGACAGAACGAGACTCCATCTCAAAAAATAAAAAAAAAATAATAATTAATTAAATTTTTTTTAAAAAGGGAAAAGAAAAGGGAAAACAAAATCCCAAGTCCCGTTTGTATGAACATTTATATGAAAATTTTATCCAACTACAAAAACACATTTTTGTGTTAAATGTGTTTTGTGATAAAGGAAACCGAATATGGACTAGTGTTCAGATGATATCACAGAATCATTAATATTTTTAGGAGGGATAATAGCCTTGTGGTTATGAAGGAAAATGTTCTTCTTTTTAGGAGATACTTGCTGAAGGGCTAAGCGTTATGTCTACAATTTATCTTCCACATATATTGAAAACTTAGAGAAAAAAGCAAATGTGGTAAATATTAGAAGTAGTTAAATTTAGATACTGGGTGTATGGGTAGTCATTGAACTAGTAATTAAAGGTCTGTGAATCAGTTGGAATTGCTTCTGGCTGCAAATAAAACTCAACTGACAAGAGTTTCAATTTTAAGAACCTTCAACCTTGGCTAAACAAGAATTGCAGCTGTTGTCCATTTAGTGTTGGTGCAGCCACTCAGTGATGCCATTGAGACCCCATGTTGATCTATCCATCTGCCTTGTCATTTTCAGCAGATTGGCTTCTGACACTGTCAATTCATGATTGCAAGACAGCTGCTGCAGCTGTAGGCACTGTCACACTCCCAGACAGGATGTGGGTGGGGAAGAGCAAAAGCAAACTCTCCTCTTGCACTTGCATCATTTATCAGAAAGCAGATTCTTTCCCTGAAGCCCCCAGGAGACTTCTACTTATACCTCACTGGCCAGAATGGTCCTATGCCAATCCTAGCTACAGGGTAGTCTAGGGAAGGAAATCACCACGTGGAATTTATATCTACTGTGATTCATCCCCTTGGGCTACAGGTGTACTGTCACCCTGAACAAAAGTGGTGTTAACAAAAAAAAAAAAAAAAAAAAGAAAGTTAAAAAAAAGGAGAAAATGGAAGCTGTTTGTCATTGGCTAAATAGATACCCTTTTTCTCTGGAAGGGAAATTGTTCTGTTCCACAAGATATCAGAAATGATTTTTAAATGAAACTAAAACTCTTGCCACATGACATCAGATTGATGTTTAACAGAAAGATAAATGGTGCCTGAAAGGAGTTTTAGTTTCTTGTTCTTCTTTAGCTCAGGAAAAACAGAAAGTTTTTAGCTATCTATGGAAACTATTTTTGCTTAACTTTCGATTTTGGTAATACATTTCAATATACAGTTTACTTCCCACAATTGTTTTCATTGTGATAGACATTGTGAGGCAGAACAGAATATTTATTTCTACTCATCATATTATTAGCCACCGTTTGTTGAGTGTCCCTTATATGCAAGGCATTATAATAGGTGGTTACATCTTCTCTCATTTATGTAAGAGGATGTGCCTGGCTGTTACAAAAAGCCCTAGATCAAGTCTGAGTCATCAGACTTAATAAAGAAGAAGAAAACGGAAAGTTTTCAACAACCATTCTAATTTCTACTTCATTCCCAGCCTGTGTGAGGCCACTATAATAAGATACTCTTGACATCTGGGCTCTTAAAATGGAAATCCATTTATTGGTTAAAACAAAGAACAGCCATAACTAGAATTCCCTTCTGTTCCCTTCCCTATCCCTTGGCCCAAGGGTAGGGTTTCTTTTAGAAAGGAAGCAAGACACTCATTGTAGAGTCTTAGCTCAGTAATAGCCACCTAACCATCACTGGGGGCCACAGTCATGTGTCCTGGAAAGGCATAGAAGGCGTGACCTATGCCCAGAAGGTTTCTGTGTGTGAAGTCCTTCATCATGAGGCCATTTGGTGATGATTTAGCATGTGGTGTGGATGACTGAGGTCCAGCTTCTAACTCTGGTTGACTGCCGAGAGATGCCGTGAAGTGCTGTGTTGTTTTCTGGAGTCTTAGCAAAGAAGAGAAGCATAGGCTGACAGCACTCTTGGCCTACCCCATGGCTCTTGGCCATTTGTTGTCTCAGGTAAGCCTAGTTAAAGAGAAGCCCAACAGAGCCAAGGCTGGCAGAGAGGACCAAGAGGCTATAGACTGGTGGGTTGAAGTGAAGGTAGTGGGTACACCACTGGGAAACTAGACACTGGTTTCTGAAGGAAGAAACCATTCAGAAGGAGAAGGGCCAGAGGAACCTATGAACATCCAGGTCAGGAGATGAAAGTTAGATCAACGTCTGGCAAATTAGCAGAGAGTAGACATGGACAGAGAGCAGAGCAATGCCTGGGTGGAGCTTGTAGAGTCTCCTACTGCGTGTTCCTTCATTTAACAAAGATTTTGTTAGTATATACTATGTGCCAGAAACTGTTCTAGGTACCAGAAATATAGTAGTGAACAAAACAGACAAAGATTCCTGCCCCTCATTCTCCGTGTAGTCATAATTTGTTTTTTCCACTTACATTCTAGTGAGGAAAACAAATTATAAACAAGATGTATGAATAAATTATAAGTAAATTATGTAGTATGTTAGTGGCAAATAGTAAGCAAAAAAATAATGCAGCAAAAAGAGATAAAGGAGTGTAAAGATGCTGTGCTTACAACATAGTGGCCACTAGCCTTGTGTGGCTGATGATATTTAAATTAGTTAAAGTTAAAAATTCCATTTCCATGTCATACAAGCCACATTTCCAGTGCTCAAAAGCCTCATAGTGGCCATCCTATTGGACAGTGAAGATAAAGTTTCATCAAGCACAAAGTTCTGTTGGTCAGTGCTTTTATAAAGGGTGCAATATTTAGGTGGGGTGGGTAGGGAAGGTCCTACTGCAAAGATAACTTTTAAATAAAGACCCAATGGAGTTGATGGGGTTGATGGGCTGATGGCCTGACTCCTGAGCCTGCCTAGAGGAAGAGTATTCCAGACAGAGGGAATGGCAAGTGCAAAGGTTCGGGAGATGGGAGTGAAGTCCATGTGGCTGGAGCATAGTCGATGGGGTAGGGTAGTAGAGGAGGTCAGAGAAGTGAATGGAGGGAACAGATCCTGAGGCCCTTGTGGACCTTTGTAAGGACTTTGTATTTTACCCTACGTGAGATGAGAACCATTAGAGGTTTTGAGCAGAGGAGTTTCATGATCTGACTTAGATTTTTAATAGAACCCCTCTCGCTGCTATGATGAGGATAGATTGAAAGTGGGCCAAGGCACAGATAGGGGATAAGTGAGGGGATATTGCAATAACCCTGGAAAGAGGTGGGGGTGTTTAGGCTGGTAGCAGTGGTGGTGGTGAAAAGTAATCAGATTCAGGATATTCTTTTGAAGGCTCAGGCAACATGATGCCTGACTGGGGTGTAGGGTTTAAAAGAGAGAACAGATGAAGGTTTTCTGGTCTGAGCAACAGGAAGAATGGAGTTTTCACTCACTAAGATGGGGAAGCCGGGGGTGGAACGAGTTTGAATGGAATAAGATCAGGAGTTCCGTTTTGGACATGTTAAATGTGATACGCCTACTCAGGCTCCCATGGATGTTGGACAAGTGGTGGTTGCTGGACTTAGAAATTTGGGACTTGTCGGCCTTGTGGTATTTTAAATCATGAGGCTGGTGATATCCTTAAAGGAGTGGGTTTAAATAGAAAATAGAAGAGGTGGCCAGGCTCACTCCTGTAATCCCAGCCCTTCGGGAGGCCAAGGCAAGTGTATTGCTTTAGTCCAGGAGCTTGAGACCAACCTGGGCAACATGGTGAAACCCTGTCTCTACTAAAAATAAAAATTAAGAAATAGCCAGACATGATAGTGCATGCCTGTAATCCCAGCTACTCAGGAGGTTGAGGTGGGAGAATCATCTGAGCCCGGGAGCTCAAGGCTGCAGTGAGCCGAGATCACACCACTGTAATTCAGTCTCGGCAACCAGAGTGAGACCCTGTCAAGAAAGGAAAGAGAAGGGAAGGGAAGGGTAGAGGAGGAGAGGGCAGGGGAGGAGAGTGGAGGGGAGGGGGTCCAAGACCAGATGCTTGAGGACGCTAAAGATAGGAGGTTGGTAAAGGAGGCAATAGAAGGAGCAGCCAGTGTTGGAAGAGAAAAGCCAGGAGAAGGGGGTGCATGAAGCTTAGTGAGGCAGGGTTCACAAAGGAGGAAGGGAGCAAGGTGTCACATGCAGAGATGAGCACTCAGAACTGACAGCTGGATTGCACCCTGTGGGGGGTAATTGATGACCTTGTGAGGAGTAGATATGTTGAGAGATGGGGATGAAAGTTGTTCACAGTGGGTTGAGGGAGAATTGAAGCAAGAACAAATGATCCTTTCAAGATATAAAGGTGAGTAGAGAGCTGGGGTAGTAGCCAAGAGAAGAACAGGGAGGCCAAGAGAAAGTTATTGTTGCTGTTTTTGTTTTTTTGTGTTTTTTTTTTTTTGTTTGTTTTTCAAATGATCCTTTATTGAAATATTTTCCTTTGTGCTTCTTAATTAGCTGGGCATTCCACAGCACCACCGTTGATGTCATCTATGATATCATGAGGGTGGCAGCCATCAACATTGCAGCCCACAGACTGGGGAGTCCCCAGGATCTCTTTAATGATTCCAGAGAGTTCTCTGGCTAAAGATCGGTGCCACATGTGTTGAGCAACATTGACAATCTCATCAAAAGTGATATTTCCACTGTGTTTAATGTTTTTCTGTTTCTTTCTGTCTCTTGGCGGTTCCTTGAGGGCTTTGATGATCAGGGCAGAGGCAGAAGTCACCACCTCAATCTGGGCCTCTCTGTTCTAAATGATCAGTTTCACTGTAATCCTCAGATCCTTTCAGTCACCAGTTGCTTTAGCAATGTCATCACCAACCTTTTCTGAAGACAGACCTAGGGGGCTGATCTTGGGGGCCAACACAGACGTGGCACCCACTTCATCCCCAGTACACCTTAGGTATGTGACTTTGATCTCATTGGGGTAGAACTTCGGCAGCATGGCAGAGGTGGCTAGATTCAGGACGACCCAAGAAAGTTGCACCTTGGCCTCCTCCCAGCTGAAAGCTGAAAGCCTTGTTGCTGTTTTTTGAAGAGATTCTTGGAATAACAGCTTGTTTGTAAGACCTAGTAAAGAGAACGTTTGAGGACACATGAGCAGGGGGGAAGAAAGACTGGAGGGAAGAGGGATGTGGGGGGGAATTGGTCTGTGCCAGGAGCCTGGAGACAGGAGGAGTGGCAGAGCCCAGGGCCTGGGTGCAGGCAGGGGGGCAGGTGTGGGGATGAGAGCTCAAGGAAGTCCTCTCCCATGCTTTTTAGATCTTTAGTGACACAGGAAACACAGTCATCAGTGCAGAGTGAGTGTGGGAGAATTTTCAGGAGAGAAGAGAGGTCATTTAGGGAAGTGGGAATGTCAGTGGACACGAGAAATGCAGTCCAATGGCAGCCCAGCCCAAGGACCAACCTGGTGCTGAGACTTTGAAGGGAGACTAGCCAGTGAGGAGTGATCTTCTCCTGGCCAGACCCTCTACCCAGACTGGGCCAGATGGAAGATCCTGACACATTCCAGAGAATTCCTGCTGTGGCAGGCTAGCTCCCAAGAAGCTCTTTCCACCAGCCGATGGGCCAGTGGGGTTGGCTTGAGCAGACTGTGGTTCCAGCACTTTAATGCAGTTTCTGTCACTGGAGGATTTGTCCAGTGCTGGGGTGTGGAGTGACAGCAAAACCCTGATGCCTCAGGCATGGCTGAAGTGCTGAAGCACAGAGGGTGCACCTGGGGAGAGGCCACAGGGTTGGTGACCTCTGCGGGTGTGAATGACCCCAGGCACTGTTTCAGTGTTGGGGTGGGTGGCTGGGTAGTGCTCCTGTGTCAGGGGTTGACATGTCCAGAGTCAATGTCCTTCCTCAGTGCCATATGCCAACCTTTAGGTTCCAGAGGGCCTTTTGAGTGACCTGCCATGGTTCCTCCATGACTAGCTTCTGGGGTGATGGGGTGGCACCTCACCCTGTCTAAGCTGAAACTTATCACACTGGGTTGTAATTCATGGTCTATTTGCTGTTATCCCTGGGCTGTAAGTGTAAGAACCCTCTCCAACTTTCTTACCACTTTATCCCCAATGCCTGGCAAAATACCTAAATACATGAATACATACAAGAGGGCAGGTGAGAAGGAAGGATGGGAGGAAGGAAGAGGGAAGGAAGGAAAAAAGAAGGGAAAGAAAAGAAAGGAAGGGAGGAGGGGAGGAAGGAAGGAAAGGGTAGATATGGAATCCCTGCCACTATAGCAGGGCTATTCTGCTGAGGGTTGCAATGATGGATCTGAATCAGTGGTAGCCTCCATAGGGGATGTGGCGATGAGGTAGGGTAGAAGGCAGTGGGTGCCATAAAGAGGGCTTTCAGCAGGGCTCTCTAAAACCAGGAAGACACACATGAGATTGCAGGGCATAACCAGGAAGACTGGGATGCCACTGCCTGGCCAGATGGGGGTCTGATCCACTCTCCTAAATGACCTCTCTTCTCTCCTGAAAACTTTCCCACACTCACTCTGCACTGATAACTGTGTTTCCTGTGGCACTAAAGATCTAAATCAGAACCGCATTTCTGACCCCCATTTATGACCCCCATTTCTGATGGGCATCAGAAAGGTGAAAATAAGGAGTGATGGTCAGGATGGGCAAGAGGAAGCAGGAAAGGAGTCCTGGCAAGTAGCTGAGACAGGCCCTGGCCCCCAGCTCTGTGGGGAAGGTGCAGGGTGAGTGTGTTGAAAGGCTGGAGAGGAGGCCGCCTGCAGCTGGGAATCCACAGAGGGCTGTATTAGTCCATTTTCACACTGCTGATAAAGACATACCTGAGACTGGGAAGAAAAAGAGGTTTAATTGGACTTACAGTTCCACATGGCTAGGGAGGCCTCAGAGTCATGGTGGGAGGTGAAAGGCTCATCTTACATGGTGGCGGCAAGAGAAAATGAGGAAGAAGCAAACGCAGAAACCCCTAATAAACCCATGAGATCTTGTGAGACTTATTCACTACCACAAGCATAGCGCAGGAAAGACTGGCCCCCGTGATTCAATTACCTCCCCCTGGGTCCTTCCCACAACACGTGGAAATTCTGGGAGATACAATTTGAGATTTGGATGGGGACACAGCCAAGCCATATCAGGGCACAGCAGCTTTGGTGATCCACCGCTCCTTCCTGCTCCTCCCAGGTAAAGGGGAGTCTCTCTCCAGACTTGATTCATCCCTTCCCTTTCTTATTCCTCTCCGACTTTCGCACCTTCCACCCCAACCTCTGGATTTTGTCTGCAGTTATCCTTTCTCTTTTCAATAGGCCTCTGTACCCACTGTTCTCCCAACCTGGAGAGCTGTCTCTACCCCTAATCCTCACTTGCTAGTTCAGTTCCTTCTTGGCCCTCAGATTTTGCCGTGGGGCAACTTCCTGCCATTTTTACATACTTTCATTGCATTCTGGGCTACTTCCTTTATGGCACATATATCAATGGAAATGCCTTGCTTATTTCTCTATTTCTAGACTTAAGAAAAGGGATACAGGTGGATATTTCCCTAGCGGTCCCTCAGTGACAAATGAATGAAGACAACTTTGTCAAAAGAAAACAAAATCCCTGAGAATCCCCTAACTTGGTGCCTGTATTTTTATCCAGCACTGGTGTACTCTCTAAAAGCAAATTCATGCTAAACAGCATTTTACTCTTTCTGATTAGCTGGCAAAATTTGCTCCAAATAAATAATGTATATATATTTATTGTTTAATAATGCTCGTGGTTTAAATACATGTGTTTTAGGAGCAACTTTGATTTACCTCATGAGTCCAAGATTTTTTATTTTTATAAGTTGTGCCTTATGAATGTGGGTAAGAGAGGAATCAAAATGAAATTAATCTTTTATCTTTGGATGGTTAAGAGAACTGCAATATTAAGGACATTAGGATGTCTCAAAATATTAGATGCAAAAATGTGTATTTTTGTTTAAATATGTTTGAATTATCAAATATAGAACAAATAGAGGAAGGTGGCTGGGTGTAGTGGCTCATTCCTGTAATCCCAGCATTTTGGGAGGCCAAGGTGGGCTGATCACTTGAGGTCAGGAGTTCAAGACCAGCCTGGCCAACATGGTGAAACCCCCGTCTCTAATTTATTTATTTATTTATTTATTTATTTGAGATGGAGTCTCACTCTGTCACGCAGGCTGGAGTGCAGTGGCGCTATCTTGGCTCACTGGAACCTCTGCCTCCCAAGTTCAAGCGATTCTCCTGCCTCAGCCTCCAGAGTAGCTGGGACTACAGGTGCACGCCTCCACGCCTGGCTAATTTTTTATATTTTTAGTAGAGATGGGGTTTCACCATATTAGCCAGGATGGCCTCGATCTCCTGACCTCATGATCCACCTGCCTCAGCCTCCGAAAGTGCTGGGACTACAGGTGTGAGCCACAGTGCCCGGCCAACCCCATCTCTATTAAAAATACAAAAATTAGCTGGGTGTGGTGGCGCATGACTGTAATCCCAGCTACTCAGGAAGCTGAGGCAGAAGAATCACTTGAACCCAGGAGGTGGAGGTTGCAGCAAGCTGAGATCATGCCACTGCCCTCCAGCCTGGGCGACAAGGGTACTCCATCTAAAAAAAAAAAAGCAGGTACATAAAAACATATGTGTTGGAATAAATATAATAAATAATTATAAAGGCTGGGTGTGGTTGCTCACACTTGTAATCTCAACACTTTGGGAGGCTGAGGTGGGAGTATTGCTTGAGCCCAGGAGACCAGCCTGGGCAACATAGTGAGACCCCATCTTTTTTATACATAAAAAAAAAATAACTGGGCATCCTGGTGCATGCCTGTAGTCCTGGCTACTTGGGAGGCTTGAGGTGGGAGGATCTCTTGAGCCTGGGAAGTTGAGGCTGCAGTGAGCTATGATTGCACCATTGCACTCAGCCTGGGAGAACGCGTGAGATCCAGTCTCAACATAATAATGATAATAATTTGTATATTATTTTATAAAATTTTTATTTTATTATTATTATTGTAGGAATACTTTGAAGCCTAAGATGGTGGCATCTTCCTTTAGAGATAACTTTAACTAGCTTCTACCAGATGCATAGTGGACACTAGTCATTTGGTAACACTTTAATCCATGTTCAAGGTTTGAGATTTCCTGGCCCATTGGGATGAGGCAGAACTGGACTACAAGTCCATGTGAGGGTCAGTTTACTTCAGGTTTACCCTTGCTTACATTTAGGATGTAATTACATGGGAATCTCAGCTTAAAATGGGAACTGGTTTATCTCAGTCCCCATCTTTGGTAGCATGGACTTCCATAGTCTGTCTTTCTGAGGACAACAAACCTGCTGTTGTATTTCACAGCTGTTGCTTCGGAATCAGCAGATGTCCTCAGGGCATTGTGGGCTTTGTTCTTGGAGGTCTCATGTTCTTCCAAGTGTTTGTCTGATATTTTCTCATTAGCTTGTTGACTCTGTGGAGCTTTTAAGATTTTAAAATACATTCTCTCCAGCTTTTAAAATTTATAACTATATTGCACAAAAATAAAGTTATAGATGTACTGCATAAAAGTATAATTTTGACATTCTGTCTTGTAATCCTGCATATTACATGTCCCTGGGGAGAAATGCATCTTTCTGGATTTTAACTTTGATCCATCTTTTAGGTCAATGATGAAAACATGCTTTGCCTGTACTGCCTTGCAGGGAGATCAAATGTGGCACTTTGCCATGTCTGTCTTCCTGGTAGAATTATATGGACATAATCTGCTTTTATCAGCAGTGTTTGGCTTAGTGGTGGCTGGATATGTATTAATATTTGGGGTCTTAATTGGTGATTGGATTGAAAAGAAACCAAGAAATAAAGGTAACACTCTTAACTGTGACATACATATTTATGTGGTACATTATGACTTCACTGGCTTTTTTGGTTTATTTAGTGAAATAAAATTCATAAATTGCTATGAACTTAATAGCAAAAGAGCATAAGTTAAAAACTCTAGATGAAGTTATACAGCTTTGTGTCATCATTCTCTGATTCTACATGTAAAATATTTTAATGTAGTTTTTAGATTTTTGCTAAGTATAGGTTTTTAATATCAAATTCCTGAAAAGTGCTTTCTTTTTAATATTTTGGCATTACCTATGCATAATATACTTGTGTTGTTTTTATCAGAGGCAATTTATTTGTGTAAATGAGTTTTTGTACTGGGTAATCTGTCTAAACTAGTCATTAATATCTGGAGACTTATTTGTTCAAATGTAGATCTATTTTAGCTTTGGGCTATACTATCTCTTTAAGCGTCTTTGTCCAATAAGAATGTAGGCTATCCTAAGTTTTTCCTATTCCTTGATTTCTAGTCAACGTGACTGCCTTCCTTCTACCATGGAAGGTAGGACTTTTCTCCTTCTACCATGGAAAGGCATTCTCTGAAGCCACACCATTGAAAAGACTAGCTGATTGAAAATCTGGTGTGCTGGTCTTTACGCTAAATTGGTAAATTCAGTTACAAATTAAATCCAGAAGAGTGTGATGTAGCACTAGAACATTTTAAGTTTCTTGACTTACCTAGAATCCAGCTTTTCATATGATCCGTCTCTCAGATATGTTTTCATTCACTTGCAAAGTACAGCTTTTTTCTCTTTTGGTTGCAAAGGCTTTGTCTTTAGTGAGCTCAAGAGTCTGCTCTTTGCCTCTTAAGCCTGTGATCACCGATGGAAATGCTAACCCTGGTTGCACTGGGATTTGGTCTAATGCAACTGCTCTGCATTATTTTTTATTATATTTTATTTTTTTGAGACAGGGTCTCAATTTGTCACCCAGGCTGGAGTGCAGTGGCACAATCTCAGCTCACTGCAACCTCCGTCTCCCAGGTTCAAGTGATTCTCGTGCCTCAACCTCACGAGTAGCTGGAATTACAGGTGTGTGCCATCACGCCTGGCTAATTTTTGTATTTTTAGGAGAGACAGGGTTTTGCCATGTTGGCCAGGCTTGTCTGGAGCTCCTGACCTCAAGTGATCTGCCCGCCTTGGCCTCCCAAAGTGTTGGGATTACAGTTGTGAGCCACCGCACCCAGCCTCCTCTGCATTAAATGATGATATAGCTGTGAACTGCCTGTTAAAACTGAGAGTAGAGATTGGGCTGGGTGTTTCCATTCACAGTTGCTTATACCTCGCTCTGCATGCAGAACGCCTCCGTCACCGCCTGTTGCACTGTCCTGATGCTTGTGCTCCCCTACAAGAGGCAGATGGAACAAATCTGGGATGGCTGGCTCACTGTGAGTGTCTCCCATGTCCCTACGTCACAGACACCCTGAATGTCCACCAGTTAGTGTTTTCTTTGTGGCCACGCTCACTGGTTTTGGATCAGGCTAATCTTTCCTCAGTGTCCTCCTCTCCCCTAATTTGTGAGTCTGAGCTGAAATCCCACTGACATGAAGGCAATAGAACAGCAGAGTCTGTGTCTGCAAGGTGCAAATTAGCATCGGCTCTGGCTCTGATGGGGTGGGAGGAAGAAAATGCTTAGCATTAACACAGTAGAATTGGGCTCCAAACCTACATTGAATCTTTTTCTCTCTCAGGTCTTTGTGTTCATTTAGATGTTCCTTGAGCTGTCAGATAAATAACCTTATGCACTGCAGTGGGGCGGGAAAATCTATTCTTGGGTTCCATACACCCTTTCCCCTCCTTCGGTAGGTGGCCTGCTGTGCACTGGTGACCACCCTAGTGGCCTTGGCAAACCTGGCCGGCACGGCGCTGACCGTCACCATCCAGAGGGACTGGATCGTGAGCTGACGGGTGACAACAGAGGCCAGCTGGTTGGTGAGTGGTACCGCCCTGGGTACTGATCCTCTAATCAGCTGAGAAGTAGAGAGCTGACAAGGCAATCAGGGCTCTGAGAGAGGCTGACAACAGCCTTTAAGAATATGTTATTTGGAGTCAATGAGACCTGGGTTTGAGTCTGAATTCAGCTAAAATCAGCTGTGCCTCTTACTAGATGCATACTCCAGGGCAAGTTACGTGACTTTCCTCATCTGTATAATGAGGGAAATAAAGACACACACACACACACACACACACACACAGCTCAGCTTTGGGAAGGATTCTATAAGATATAGGATTTGGAAAGCACTTAACACTATGTCTGCATGTAGGAAGTGCCTAAAAAATGATTGGTACTGTATTATCTAAAGAATATATAGGCCAGGCGAGGTGGCTCACGCCTGTAGTAGTCCCAGCTACTCGGGAGGCTGAGGCAAGAGAAGTGCTTGAACCCGGGAGGTGGAGGTTGCAGTGAGCTGAGATCGCGCCACTGCACTCCAGCCTGGGCAACAGAGCAAGACTCTGTCTCAAAAAAAAAAAAAAAAAAAAAAAAAAAAAATATATATATATATATATATATATATATATATATATATATATATATATATATATAGGCTGTACTTTTAGGAGAGAAGCTTCTCAAAATGTATCACAGAGGTACCTTGGCAATTTTAGGCCTAGAAAATAAATAAATTAAAATATTTATTGGCCAGGCTTGGTGGCTCATGGCTGTAATCCTGGAACTTTGGGAGGCCAAGGTGGGAGGATGGCTTGAGGCCAGGAGTTCAAGGCCAGCCTGGGCAACACAGGAATACACTGTCTCTATAAAAGAAAAAAGAAGGCTGTGTGGGGTGGCTCACACGTGTAATCCAAGCACTTTGGGAGGCTGAGGCAGGTGGATCACCTGAGGTCAGGAGTTTGAGAATGGCCTGACCACATGCAGAAACCCTGTTTCTACTAAAAATACAAAATTAGCTTGTTGTGGTGGCACATGCCTGTTATCTCAGCTACTTGGGAGGCTGAGGCAGGAGAATCACTTGAACCTGGGAGGTGGAGGTTGTGGTGAGCCGAGATCGCACCATTGCACTCCAGCCTGGGCAACAAGAGCAAAACTCTATCTCAAAAAAAAAAAAAAAAAAAAAAAAAGATTTATATTTCTTAATTCTGGCCAGTGATAAGCTTCCACTTTAAAAAAAAAATTCATTTTCAAGCGTAACTGTCAATTATCATTGATAATAAAGGTAAACACAATTTTTTAAATAATGGAGTTAAATGAAAGAATCTGGCATTTTTGCTTTTTCTCCCATTTGCAAAACTTGGATCATTCACATTGAGATATATACACGTTGCCAACTTAAAGCTGAAGATCTCATCCTACTCTCTATTTGTGCGGTTGGTACTCTGCTAGAAAATGTTTGTGAGCACGGATGGCCAAGATAAAGGAAGCTATTAAGGAGGAGTCTATAGAAATCATGCCTTGCAAAAACTGGGAACCCCTTATAATCATGATTTCTTTTAAACTACACTTATTTGGATGTACTCTGGTTCAAATAACAGCACCTAAAATAAGACAGCTATGTGGATAAAAGCCAAGTAACATGGTATCGTCCATCTCCGGGTGAAGAATAGAAAGTCTTCCTATTCTTTGTTAATTAAATTTTTTTTTTAAAAAAAGATAAAGCACAGAATTTATTACAATTAAAAAATCTTGTAAATATATCCTTCGATGATGGTGGAATAGTTAAGATAATAAGCTTCATAGTCACACTGCTTGGGTTTGAATCTCAGCTCAGCCATGTGCCCTCTCTGTGACTTTGAACAAATAAAATCACCTATCTGTGCCTCAGTTTCCTAACTTGTGAAAGGGAAACACTATTGACCTGTAAGAGTTGTTGTGAGGATTGAAATGAATAGATGTAGAAAGCTTAAAACTATCGCCTGGCACAGAGTAAGTGTTCAACTAATTCTGTCCTCTACCCTCCTCTTGTCACCTTTCTCCCCGACAAACATGTTGGTTATAATAATGGCTGTTAGTACTATTATAGTTGTTAAGATAATGGGTTGTGTTGGGAAAGAGTGCTGAGATGGGAGTTAAAATAATTAGCTACAAGTAACACAGTCTGTCTGTTTCTCAGTTTATTTATGTTAATTGTCCATGTTCCAATAGAATTGATCTTGAAGGTCTTTTCCTGGTTGCAAATCCTATGGCTAATCTATAGTTAAACCCAAAGGGATCTTTCCTGTTTTCACCATAACTGCATGGCTAGCAAATCTAGCAAATGCATGATGTTAAATTCACCAGAAGGAAGGACTCACCCATTAAGTTGCAATGTTTCCTTCCTCTCACTTACAGGGATGAATACCAACAGTCCGGCAGGAGGACCAGATCATCAATATATTTGCTCCCCTGTCTGTGGGTCAAGTGATGACATGGGCATCTCACGTGATCAGTTGTTGTTTCATTCTTGGATGGAACTTTGTTTCACTTCTTGTAGTTTCTATTTCTGTCCAGGGTTTATCAGCTAGTTCGCCAATTGGCTATACGACCCCAGCAATACACAGTAGGGCACCTCCTAGAAAGGCAACAGGAGGCTGTGAACATTGAAAGTTATGCAAACTCAGAGGGAGTTCCTGTTCTTTTCTTCTCCTTTATGTCAGTGTTTCTTTCCAGAACTCTTCTTTCCAGAACTCTTGAAAGTTCTGATCATAATCTGATCACAATCTCAACATTTTATCTGCAAATGTGCCTAGAAACAGTGACAAATGAGAGGGCTCCAGCTGTGCCATTGGTCATGCAGTTCATATGGCTGATCTTATTGGTGGGGGCAGGCAGGGCTGCCTTATACACAGGTTGTGCACTGCATAACTCTGGGGACTCCATTCAGAGAGACTAACACCCCCATGGGACTGTGCAGTATACAACGTGCACAACCTATCCCACGGTCCTGGGGGGCGATTACTCCTCCAATCTCACTTACGAACATCCTCCCCAGAGATACTAGAGAGGCAAGTGTGTCACAGTATGAGCTGCTCTTTGGTCAAGACAATATGATGAATTGGTCATTTCTGTTATCAACAGTATTTTTTTTAAATCAGAAATTCCCAAGCAGTATAGTGGGAATAAAGGGAAGGGGGCCTTGCCAGTAGATATGACCTCATTCTCCCAAAGAAAGAGCCAACACTGCATACTGACTATATTGCCCATCTGCCTGGTACAGCACAGTCCAGGAATTGCTTCTGCTCTGTTTCTTTTTCTGTACTTCTTATAATTAATTCTCTTTTCTCTCAAGTTATTTTGCAATTAAAGTCCACCAGATCTCACTGCATAAATAAAATATATGTATTTGGAGAGATAGATAAGTAGAGATACATATTTAGATGAGGGATGAATAGATAGATATGCAAGCAGATAGATGGATAGATAGAGTAAACTATATCCTTCCCCTCTGTGGCTATTACCTGTGTGACCATGCAAGGTTAGTTTATTCACATTCTGTCTCACTATCTGTAAATTAAGGACAACAAAAGAAGTGATATCATAGGGATGTTGTGACAATTAAATAAGATAGTTTATGTAAAGCCCTATTTTACTCCCTGGCATATAGTAAAACTTAAGTCAACATTAGCTATTTTGTTCATTGTTGTCATTGTGACCTTTTTAAAAACTGTTCTGGCAATACATTCATTTCTGCAATTAAGAGCCTAATCCTTCCCACACTTCTTGGTCTACAATGGATCTGGCCCACCTGCCCCTTTGTCCTCCCTCCACAGTCCTATTTGGTTCCTCTAGTCCTTTGCAGGATTTGTCTTAATTTGCACTAAATACCCCTCACAATGGTGTGTGTATATATTTTATTTTATTTATTTATTTTGACACAGAGTCTCACTCTGTCACCCAGGCTGGAGTGCAGTGGCATGATCTCGGCTCACTGCAACCTCCGCCTCCTGGGTTCAAGCGATTCTCCTGCCTCAGCCTCCCGAGTAGCTGGGATTACAGGCACATGCCACCACGCCGGGCTAATTTTTGTATTTTTAGTAGAGACAGGGTTTCACCATGTTGGTCAGGCTGGTCTCGAACTCCTGACCTTGTGATCCACCCACCTCGGCCTCCCAAAGTGTTGGGATTACTGGCGTGAGCCACTGTGCCCAGCGGTTATATATTTTTAATCTGCTTATAATCATTGTCTATTCTATCCTGGAAGACTGAAAGGTGTTTAGCTTTTTTTCACATAAGTATCTGTTTCTTCAGAATAACCAAAGGAAGTATCTATCACTGTTTCCTGGGGCTCATGACTGAGTTCCAAGCATGTGGCATTTTATCTTCTACAAAATGTGTCCTCCTCTTCCTCCTCCTTTCAGTGTCATCTTCCTGGCTTGACTATGTTTTAGTTTGGGTTCTCTCAAAAGTAATCCTGGAGACAAAGATTTGGGGGTGAAAAGTAATCTATTAATATTTGGAAGATGATCCCAGGAAGCATGGTGAGAGAATGGGAAGTGAGACAGAGAAGGAGAAAAGCCAATAAAACTTATGTTAATATATAGGTTACCGCTGATGGCCACTGGGGTCAGTCCTTCTGGGGACCTTATGAGAGACTGTGTAGGACATACTTCAGAACTGTCCCACCAAGGCCCAAGGAAACTAGGATGTTTATCCAGCAACTCTTGTCTGTCCTTGGTTGAGAGCTGTTCTCAGGGCAACTTACAGCCCACCCCTCATGTTCCTATGGCTGGAGAGGGATCTTCAGGCAAAGAGACACAGGTGCTTTGGGTAGGAGGCCATCAGTGTACACAGGAGTTGTCCAACAAAGAAGCAGATGAGACTGGGGATGGTTGAGGGGAGATGAACAGGCACTGACTTAAAGCTTGTTTGGATTTTGTTTTGGGTGAAATGGACTGTTGGGAAATTAATGATGGATTCGTCTACAAGCCTAGGCCTTTGGAAAAGCCAAAGGACCACAAGTTTAACCTTGAAGAACAGACCACAAACACAGGTTTTCCTTTTCACCTTTTTTTTTTTTTTTTTTTTTTGAGACAGAGTCTCGCTCTGTCACCCAGGCTGGAGTGCAGTGGCGCGATCTCGACTCACTGCAAGCTCCGCCTCCCGGATTCACGCCATTGTCCCGCCTCAGCCTCTCGAGTAGCTGGGAATACAGGCGCCCACCACCATGCCCGGCTGATGTTTTGTATTTTTAGTAGAGACGGGGTTTCACCGTGTTAGCCAGGATGGCCTCGATCTCCTGACCTCGTGATCCGTCTGCCTCGGCCTCCCAAAGTGCTGGGATTATAGGCATGAGCCACTGCGCCCGGCCTCCTTTTCACCTTTAAAACATGCAAAGGCTGCTCTGCATGTGCCATGAGGGATGGGAAGCCTACTGCAGGCAGATGGTCTTCTTAGCTGGCTTGTGCTTGGTCTTCCTCTACATGACAGTTCTGGGGTCTGGCGGCATCATCACTGGCTATGCCTGTACCCAGGGGGTTGGAGACTCCCTGCTTAGCATCCTCACGGCCCTTTCAGCTCTCTCTGGCCTGATGGGCACCGTTCTCTTCACCCAGCTTAGGGGGCACTATGGCTTGGTCACAACTGGAGTCATATCTAGCCAGCTCCATTTAGGCTGTCTAATGCTCTGCATGTTTTCTGTCTTGGCTCCTGGAAATTCTTTTGATCTGGCTGTTTTCTCACTTCCATTAAGTAAAAATCCTTCAAACTATGAGTTATTGGTCCAGTGGATGGAAGAACAGTCCAGAGGAATGGCTTGGTTCAGGTTTCTTTCAAAGGGATAAACATGGGTCTGGTTCTCTTTTAGCAACTCATGGTAAGACTTGGGATGCTCAGAGTCCTGCAGTTTGAAGGCTAGCAGGACCCTGAGCATCCCAAGTCTTCCATCTCCATTATCTTCCTCTTCTCAGGTGTGATCCTGGCAAGAACCGGTGAACAGCAGGTCATATGTGGCACGGGATTCTGCAGCTTGTGATGTTGCCAAGTGCAGTCTTAGAAGCATTCAATGGCCTCACCACCGTGCTGTTGTGTCTTCATCAGTCATTCATCTAGAACCTGTTATGTGACCAGAACTGTCTTAGACAGTGGGGATACAAGAGTTATTTGATCACACAAGGTGTTAACTCTATGGAGCTTACAGTCTGGTCAATAAGTAAGTAGTTAACAATACTCAACAATACAGAGTGATAGGAGCTTTGATAGGGAAGAGCAGAGCAATGGGGACATATGGGAGGGATACCAATGTGGTCTTGTGGGTTAGGGAAGCCTTCCTAAAAAGAGGCACAATTAAGAAATCCCTGTAGAGCAAGCTAGGCAGGTGACGGAGAGGGCAGACTGTTCCAGGCAAGGCAGAGACAGTGGTGCAAAGTTGAACACTGGGAGATGTGGGGAAGTGAAAATAGTTATTTCCTGGGTGTCAAGCATGTAAATGCTACAGATGATGTCCACATTAAAGAACTACATTGACCTGATTCCCTTTTCTGCAGAACTGGGATAAGGAGAGAGGAAAGAGACAGCTTGGGGGTGGGGGAGAATGGCAAGTCTTTCCTTAGCTGCCTGGGGGAGAGCAGCGCAATTCTTCCCCAAGAACAGTATGCCTAGCCTTGAGAGTCTACAAGGTACGTGGGTTAGGAGGCCATCAATGTACACAGGAATTCTTCAACAAAGAAGCAGATGAGAGTGGGGATGGGTTGAGGGGAGATGGACAGGCACTGACTTAAAGCTTGTCTGGATTTTAAAGCCTGTACCTCCTACCTCTACTTTGCCTTAAAGCTTGTACCTCCTACCCCAAGTACCTGTCTTTGCTCCTGGTCTGCTCCAAATAATTGTTGTCTGAACTCTGCCATCAACCATGTGTCGTTCATACTTGGCAGCAAGAACATATCTGGTTTTGCAAGTGTGTTTATTTAAACAAGTATGTTTAAAATGTTGGTCGTTTGATGCCCGACAACTCCAAAAGTGACATGTTGCGGATCAATGGTGATGGTGACAGAAACCACTTAATAGCACACTGGCCCTAGTAATTAGACCTGCAGATTCCCAACCTGTGAAGAGACTGGGCCGTGCTCTTTGACATGGAATCCCCACAATCAGGTTTCTACCAAGAAAACATCATTTCTTTGAGCCTTTTTCCTTCCTCCTCAATTCAAAGTCACCACCTGCAAAGCCCCTCTCTGAGGCCACAGCTCAGAGCCAGGGGATTCCTCACCCCTAGGCTAGAAACAGGATGGGGAGAGTGGAAATTGTGGCAGTGAGTGGTGGAAGTTGTAGATCAAAAACCCCCTCATTCACCAGCCCTTCCCACATACCGCTTCAGTGCACCACATTCTCTACCCCAGGCACTGAGTTGAAGCAAGGTCCCTGCCCTCCTGGGACTCAGAGCTTCACCTTCTCATCTCTGAGGCCACAGTGGGGTGGGACCATGGGGTTGGGGGAGCTGTTCCTGACTTCTGCTGTCGTGACCCAGAACCCCTTGGTCTACAGAAGCTTTGAAATACTGGGAGAGAGGAAATAAGAATGTTGTAAGCTCAATTAATGAGGTTAGAAAACCATGAGCTAGCCTGGGAGTCTCCTTCTTTTGAGGCAATATGCATGTATGAGAAAAAACTGTGTTCCTAATTCCAAATGATTTAGAAACTTATTCTTTCATCTAGAGATTACCTAGCCTCTAAAATACTGTAAGTTGGGTACCTGATGGGTAGATTATCTTTTATTAGGGCATTTGACTTGCACTTCTAGTCTTTAATTGCACGAAACTGAAGAACAGATTAGCCATTTAAGAGTTATGCAGTTCACATTATATTACACTAAAGTATTTAGCTCAAAAAGAAAAAAAAAGTCCACTAGCAACTCCTGTTTACTAGGATAATTTGGCTCTTACTGACACAAAGGAAATGATCGCATTTGGAAAACACGAAAGCTCACTGCAGTGCCTGCAATCTGGAAAAACATTCAGTATGAGAGACACTTGGTGTTTTCTCTATTGCAATAAGTAATCTTTTTTTTTTTGCTGTATCCCGAATGAGGATTCCAGAGTGATAGAAATCTTTTAATTTTTTTGTTTTATGTTTTTACTCTGCAAGATATTTGGATTTTTTTTTTTTTTTTTTTTTTTTTTTAGATGGCTTCTTGCTATGTTGCTCAGGCTCTGCTCAAACTCCTGGGTTCAAGCAATCCTCCCACCTCAGCCTCCTGAGCGACTGGGACTACAGGCATGTGCCACCGTGCCCAGCAGAAACACAGAACACTCTCGACACTCATGAGGGACAAAGCTCAGGACCCGGGGCCATGCTGTCTGATGATGTTGGCCAGTTACTGAAGCTCCATGTCACCATTTCCTGTTCCATAAGATGGAGATAAGAATAATAATGGTAGCTACTTCTCAGTGAAATCCAGAGAATGCACTGAAATAATTTCCATAGGTAACATGTTTAGCACAGAACTTTCTCAGTTATAGGAAAGACTTGTCCTCATTGTCATCATTATATTTTCGTTACAATTTTGGTGGCTCTCATGAGTGTTGCTGTGTGAGGTCTGGGGTGCAGGGTGGGTAGTGAGACATAGAGAACCTTAGGCCTGAGTGGTGAAATGGATGCTTCTGACTCTCACACACCTAAGGCCAGCAAGCACCATTTACATTTATTCATACCAGGATTACACATGACCTTGGGGTTGGGGGTAAGGGGTTGAAACTGCAGACATGAAAAGCACCAGTGCCACTGGGCGCAGTGGCTCACATCTGTAATCCCAGCACTTTGGGAGGCCGAGGCGGGCGGATCACCCGAGGTCAGGAGTTTGAGACAAGCCTGGCCAACATGGTGAAACCCCATCTCTACTAAAAATACAAAAATTAGCCGGGCGTGGTGGCAGGCGCCTGTAATCCTAGCTACTTGGGAGGCTGACGCAGAGAATTGCTTGAAAGTGGGAGGCAGAGGTTGCAGTGAGCCGAGATCGTGCCACTGCACTCTGACAGAGTGAGACTCCGTCTCAAAAAAAAAAAAAAAAGAAAAGATTAGCCACGCGTGGTGGTGGCACCTGTAATTGTAGCTACTTGGGAGGCTGAGGCAGGAGAATGGCTTGAACCTGGGATGCAGAGGTTGCAGTGAGCCAAGATCACACCATTGCACTCCAGCCTGGGGGACAAGAGCAAAACTCCTCAAAAAAAAAAAAAAAAGAAAAAGAAAAAGAAAAGCACCAGTGCCCTAAATGATATATCATTTCATTTCTTAGCATGGCTCACACTATTGGGCCTGGTGGCTGTGATGATGGATCCTGTCCCCGGGAGGAGTGGCCTGTGGCCTACCTTGGAATTCAATATGTATCATCAAGCATAGGGCTCATCCAGCTGCTTGCTCAGTAACTACTTATTTCCATTCTGATGGAAACTAAGTTACAGTACTCTGGCTACAGTAAGATTTGATGCATTAAAAGTCACTTTGCTTTTTAAAATCGAAGAACTGTAACTCTTTATGCCCTCAATTTAGAAATAATTCTCAGTGCATCATTAGCCCTGACTTGTTTGAGCGCTTCACATTATACCATGGCAGCATTTTACAAATATTTCCTAACTTTGTAAGCACTGCTTGCTAAGAGCCAAGTGTGGGGATTTTACAGGCGAACTCTGGGTCAGAGTCCAGAGTGAATCGAGGTCCTTGACAGGCCAAGCCCAGAGAGACATAGAGGCCAGCGAGAGTGGTCAGGACAGCCCAGGAGGATGGTGGATGGGGGACCTGATCAGGACATCCATGTGGAAGCCACAGCAGGGTGGCTGGAGCAGCCTGGAACAAAACGCCTGGCTGGTGCTCTGCAAAGGCAGACACTGGAGGACAAAGCACATTATCTCCAGATAATTCTTCAGTCCAGAGCTAAGTGCGGGGATCAGGACAGAGGCAACCAGGAGGCCTTTACAGGGCCAGAGGTGGATCTCAGGGAGAATCTAGAAGCTCAGCTGGCTGAAAAACCAATCAGGCAGTCAGAAGCTGGGAGTGGGTCCCCTGGGAGGAGGCACTAGAGCCCCCAGGGGAGATGTTGTCATGTGAGGACATGGTCATTGCCACAGCTCACTTCTGTCCTATTTGATGCCTACACAGTAGGTTCGGAGGCTGCTTCTGAAGTGTAATCAAATACAGCCTCTTCATGTGGTTGAAAGGGGGGGGGGTGGGGGGGGAATGGGGAAACAAGGAGGCCAGTTTTTCCTCTGCTAAACCAGGAAAGGAAGAGGAAACATCTAGAAATGGAACTAGATTGGAAGCTCAATCTTTTCTCTTTGTCTTAAACATGTCTTAAACATTTTTGTAATGAAGTGGGGGCATAAATAAATACCTCCAAGTGAAGTTAGAGTGCATCTGATGATGATGGTGGTGATGGTGATTCAAAAAGATAAATATAAGGCCACAAATTATGACAGTTACTACCATGTACAGTTCTATAGTACTATCATAGAATCTTCCAATGAGATAGCACTTGAAATATTCATATTTCACAGATGAGCAACAAAAAGGCAACCAAGGCAACAGTGCTAGTCAATGCCAGAGCCAGAATTCTCACCAAGGTCCTCTGATTTCTATTCACATTCATTCTTAGCCTACGCTGCTGCCCTGCTGGCCTCTGGTCCTTTGCCCTCACTGTGACTCAGCTTCTTTAGGAAAATGTTTCAGAAGTGGAGTGAGGGGCTGTGGATGGTGTGCAGTGCTCCCTGAACAACCTATGGACCTTGTTTTAGTCCATTCTCATGCTAAGAAAGACATATCCAAGACTGGGTAATTTATAAAGAAAAGAGGTTTACTTGACTCCCAGTTCTGCATGGCTGGAGAAGCCTCAGGAAACTTACAATCATGGTGGAAGGCACCTCTTCACAGGACGGCAGGAAAGAGAATGAGTGCCAGCAGGGGAAATGCCAGACACTTATAAAACCATCAGATCTCGTGAGAACTCACTATCATGAGAATAGCATGGGGGAAACTGCCCCCATGATCTAATCACTTCCCATGAGATCCCCCCTCCAACACATGGGGATTACAATTCGGATTATAATTCAAGATGAAATTTGGGTGGGGACACGGAACCAGACCATATCAGACCACATCCACTTCATCCTCATTACACTGGCCCCATAGCCCCAGCAATTTGGCATGCTGGTTTTCATCTCCAAACTGTTTGTAACCATAGGGCATGTGCTGTACTCTTTTTTTTTATGCAAGAAAGTATAGGATTAAACATGTCCATGCAAATAAGACAACGAAGGGCATTTGGACGCCTTTAACCTAAGAGGTAGGCAGCACCTCTGGTTTCTCAGAGCTCGGGTAACACTGGCACCGTCTCACACTGTTTTCAATGATTTCCCTGTGTTGCTGCTGTGTGTCTACCTTGGGCTTTGCTACATTTGAGAGCAATTGCGTCGTTGCCTTTTGCCAAAAGCATCAACTGCATTAAATGTATCTTGGCAGTGGTGGTGCTATCCAGAGTTTGAAAGGGGTCTGACTCCTGGCATACTCATTAGCCAGTCAGAGATTCCACCCCAGACATCTTAAAGGGGCTTGTTTTGCTTTTGCCAATATAATAACTCAATGTTTTCAGGTTCTTATTGTTCTTCAGGTTTTAAAATTAGTCAGTATTGGCTGGGTGCATGCTCACTCCTGTAATCCTAACACTTTGGTAGACCCAGGTGGGAAATTCGCTTTAGGCCAGGAGTTTGAGACAAGCCTGAACAACATAGCAAGAACCCATCTCTACAAATTTTTAAAAAAATCAGCTGGGCATGTTGGCACGTGCCTGTAGTCCCAGCTACTCAGGAGGCTGAAGCAAGAGGATTGACTGCTCAGAAGTTCAAGGCTGCAGTGAGCTATGATGGTGCCACTGCACTCCAGGCTAGGGAACAGAGTGAGACCCTATCATCTCTAAAAAGATTAAATAAATAAATAAATAAATAAATAAAATTAGAATATTCTGGTCAATGTTAAAATTAGAGAGGTGGAGTGTGGTCAATGATGTTTGGTCTCAATTCATTGGGTGTGGGATTTTGGTTCTTTTCCCAGTTTGTCCACCCTGAGGGGGACACATTTTCCCCACCATCCCCAGTCACTATTAAGAACAACTACTTAAGAGAAATGTGAAAACTAAGGGAAGAATTCAATTACTGTTAAACACAAAAAGACAAAATGTCATTATTAGTAGCAACAAAACTACAAGAGAATTTACACAGACCTGTTTTTTAAAGCACACAGTGAAGACAGGAAAAGGAGAGTTTTATGGAACATTTTGCTTAACATAAGGTAATTTTTTAAAAGAGTGCTTTATACAAGGTAAGATTTATGGTGCCACTTCCCACAATCTCTCCCCTTCCATTAAAAAAAAAAAAAATCAAAAAACCAAAACCCTGAAAGACACTTTAGTATACACACACACACACACACACACACACACACACTAAGATCAGGGATCAAGAAACTAGAACTGGCCGGGCACGGTGGCTCACGCCTGTAATCCCAGCACTTTGGGAGGCCCAGGCGGGTGGATCATGAGGTCAGGAGATCGAGACCATCCTGGCTAACACGTTGAAACCCCATCTCTACTAAAAACAGAAAAAATTAGCCGGGCGTGGAGGTGGGCGCCTGTAGTCCCAGCTACTTGGGAGGCTGAGGCAGGAGAATGGCGTGAACCCAGGAGGCGGAGCTTGCAGTGAGCCGAGATCGTGCCCCTGCACTCCAGCCTGGGTGACAGAGCGAGACTCCGTCTCAAAAAAAAAAAAAAAAAAAAGAAACTAGAACTATCCTTTATATGGTTCTTCATTAAGGAAGTTGCATTTTGATGAGATGTAGCATACCAAGTCCTTTTGCTCTTAACTAAAAAAATTTGGGGTCAGGCATGGTGGCTCAAACCTGTAATCCCAGCACTTTGGGAGGCCGAGGTGGGTGGATCACTTGAGATCAGGAGTTTGAGACTAGCCTGGCCAACATGGTGAAATCCTGTCTCTACTAAAAGTACAAAAATTAGCCAGACATGGTGGCACACGTCTGTAATCCCAGCTACCGGGAGGCTGAGGCAGGAAAATTGCTTGGACCCAGGAGGTGGAGGTTGCAGTGAGCCGAGACCACCACTGCACTCCAGCCTGGGTGACAGAGCAAGACTCCATCTCAAAAAAAAAAAAAAAAAAATTTTTTTTTTTACGTTTATTTAGAGATGGGGTCTTGCCATGTTGCCCAGGCTGGTCTGAAACTCCTGAGTTCAAGCAATCTACCCGCCTTGGCCTCCCAAAGTGCTGGGTGGGAGCCACTGTGAGAACCACTGCACCTGGCCTGCTCTTGATTAATGAACACACAGATGCTTGTAGAGTGGGCATAGCAGAGTGTTTACTAAATACACTCTGAAGTCTTTCATTTAAAATCTCCAGAAGTACTAGCAACTTGAGTATAGAATTTATGTCAAATCTTCTAAGTAGTGCTGAGTACCCCTGCACCTTCTGCCCTTCAAATAATAGCTGCTTATCTGTAAGTTTTTCCATTTTCAAGTGCTAATTTTATTCTTCTTTTCCCTGAAGGTCACATATGGTAAAACAGCAATACCTTTCTCTCTACTGGATAGTGAATCAACTGTTTTAGACCAGTACTGTCCAACAGAAATATAATACGCATCATGTATCATTAAAAAATGTATTTCATTTAACTCAATATATTCAAAACATCATTTAATTTGTAATCAATATAAAATTGAGATAGTTTACATTTTTTTCAAGTTAATTCTTCACTCCTGGTGTTTTTCACCCTTCAGCACATGTCAACTTGGTCTAGCCACATTTTAGGTACTCAATAGCACATGTGAATAGTGGCTACCCCATTGGACTGCAGTTTTAGATTCTGATTTCCAAAGTTCCACATATTTCTCACTGTGAGAGGCCTATAAATGATACAATGTGCTCTATTCTGCCTTAAAGAGTGGCAGTAACATGGCAGGGCACTTGTCCAGCTGCAAAATCAATGGTATGAGACTCCATTCCATCAGCTACAACATTCGGCTCTATTCCCAGAAACATACATCAAACTGATTAGACTGGATTTTGTCTTTGAAACAGATTAGTGTGGAGCTGTCCTGGAGATGGAGATGTCAACGGAGGATGATTCTGAGACAACTGGCCCCTTGCAGTGCAGATAAACTCCATTAGGGGGCCTTCTAGTCATGGTGGCATAATCCTGGATTGTGATTAATGACAATTTTGTAACAAAATATTGCCATCAGAACTTTCCAGTTTATGAATACGAGGTAAATTTTGGAAAGACAATCTTTTCTAGTACAAAATAAAAGTAAGCCTTTCGAACACATCTCTGGCTGTTCACAGAATGTGAGCATGGCTTTCGTCTCAAGAGGAAAAGTTACCCCTGGTTTTAGCTTGAAAATCAGCTGAGTAGGCCCAGGCCCACAGTGATCTGGTCCACTCACCTCCCTGCTCCAGAGGCAGTCTCCACTTTCTCTAGATCCCCATTTAGTTATGCAGACACCTTCTGTTCCATTCCTTTCTTCAAAGTAGAGTACTTGAGATCATGAAGGAAAGAAAGCTTACTCCTCGGCTTTAAAGAGCTTAGAATGCACATGACCACTCCCCTCCTCCATTAGAAAATTATGGCAATTGCCTGATTACTAACTTGCCAGTTGGCTCTTTGCTCTTAGGAAGCTCAGAGACAACTTGGCTGGAGCCTACAGCATGAGATCTAACAGTTAGGTTTTTTATTCTTGCCCTCTACTTGCTGAGCTTTTATCTGCTTCTAATTATTGTTGCTTGATATTTGTTATAAACCATGCTAAATTATTTTGGGAATGTGGTGGTGGGGGGGTAAAACTAGATTTTTTTTTTCAGTTTGCCCTAATAATTTAATCTTTCACATATTGACCCAGACATGAAATGAAATTATTCCTTACAACAGAAGTCAACCAGAGAACATTCTATTAAAACTGGCTCCGACTTACGTACTGAAATGAGTCACACTGTGAAAGCTCCAGAAAGGTAGGAACTGTCTCTATCACAGGACTTGACACAACACAACAGCAAATATTTGCCAAATTACACAATTAAGTATGTAAGGCTTAAGGACCTTCAAAAAGACACATATTTTAGTCTGGAATATTCACTTGAACTACAAAGATTTGGCTACTTTTAGGAAACAGAATCTATTTGTATCCAAGTGCTCAGGAACACCATGGAGTAAGACAAAATGGGATATGGCCATTCTCGAAATCAA
The DNA here is from genome assembly GCF_000001405.40 of Homo sapiens. Lineage (NCBI taxonomy): Eukaryota > Metazoa > Chordata > Mammalia > Primates > Hominidae > Homo > Homo sapiens. The sequence goes on along the minus strand of NC_000007.14, from coordinate 22,859,841 downwards.
ATTGTGACTCAATCTACATGAACTGACATGTCAATGCCACAGTTGTTACACTGGGTCTTATTTACGTCACTATCTGGGGAGGTTTTGTGACCAGAGTTCTTAAATAAGATTTCCTATTTTCAATGAAATCATAACCACTAGCATAAAAATTCTATTTCCAATCACAATTTCTTTTATAGTCATAATTAAAGATTCACATGCCCAAGTTCCTCACTTGGAAGCCCTCTTTGAAAACTTTCAACTCCAGGTTTGCTTCTCTTCATGGCACTTGAGCACAAAAGGATGGTAGTTTAACAGTCCATTCCTGCTTTTAGCTCTGCTAAACACGTAGACAGGCAATGTACTAAGGTAAGCAAGTTGATTCTGCAGAACTGTGGTACTGACTGCAACCACTCATCCCATTTTCCTGGGTGATGCTATGTTTAACAGAGGTTCTATATTGGACAACTCTGCATTGCTAGGCTATAGGGTAAGGGGATTTGGTAGTGGGGGAGTGGCAGGGAAGGTATGAAACCTAGAATCCTAAGGGACATCTGAAGAACTCTGCTCATACGGGCAAGATGGCCTAACTCTGTTCATGTCAGAAAATGCTCTTGGTCACCAGGGCAGGGCTCAACAGGCCCTGTGGTTAGACCTATTACATACAGAAAAGAAGAATGACTCACAACCCATACTTGAATCTATCCCTCTTCTAAGAAGCACCCTTCATTACTCCAAGGAAATGAGGACAAGGAATGCAGACTGGCTTTTTAGCCAGCTTTTCAGAGTCAACCACGTAGTTTATGCAGCATCACCCCGTTTCAACCCAAGACCAATTACTCAGCCTCCTTTCATTTTTCAAATTTCTTGGTTAGCCAGTATTTACCAAGGACATCCTAAGCTTTCCTGAAATGGAAAACAGCCAATATGGAAAGTAATGCTGCAGGGAAGCCACAGTAGTATTCGGAATGGCGCACGGCAACATTTTCCATATCCCACTTTCTGCCATCTCATGCCCACAACAATGGATACATCAGAGGTGAGATTTAAAATGCTGCTGTGGATACAGCATTGTTGTTGCCATCCAGAAGGGGAATTTTTGCAGCACTGATGAGCGTGCCAATACACAACTGCCGTCTGGTCCTGCTTCTTGGGTATTTATTGTGTGCATGAGTCACTTCCGTGACTTATGTCCCAAGAGTGATTTTGATGTATTTTTGATTTTCCAACTTGGCAGTTCATGTAGATAGTGACCCCAAACCATCTTGCCATAGATTTCACTGGAAACACCACTGAAATGCCAAGGAGGGTTAAGTTTTTAAAGTCATGTTTATTGAAGTATGATTTTACATTCAGCAAAATTCATCCTGTTAAGGTTTGACAAACGCACAGTCATACCATAATCAAGATGCAGAACTGTAGAATCACACTAACAATTCCTTCCTGCCCTTGTAATCAACCCCTTTTTGATCCCAAGGAACTCACTGACCTGTTTTTCTGTCAAAAGTATCAAATTTCATCACTAAAATGATCTACAGTACTATGGAAAAATGTGTAAGCACATAAAATACACAAACCTATTTTTTTAAAAGTGAGATACTTAAAATTTCTTTAGCATACCAACAAAAAATGAAGGTAGCATTGCATTTTACTACAGATGTGCGGACATTCAAAGTCCACCATTGTCGTATATATGGCTCAACAGTAATATTTAAGAATATACTGCTGGGTATAGTGGCTGACGCCTGTAATCCCAGCCCTTTGGGAGGCTGAGGCAGGCTGATCACCTGAGGTCAGGAGTTCTAGACCAGCCTGACCAACATGGAGAAACGCCATCCCTACTAAAAATACAAAATTAGCTGGGTGTGGTGGCACATGCCTGTAATTCCAGCTACTCGGGAGGCTGAGGTAGAATTGATTGAACCCAGGAGGTGGAGGTTGTGGTGAGCTGAGATCATGCCACTGCACTCCAGCCTGGGCAACAAGAGCAAAACTCCGTCTCAAAAAAAAAAAAAAAAAAAAAGAATATACTGGGCGGGCATGGTGGCTCACCCCTATTAATTCCAGCACTTTGGAAGGCCGAGGCAGGCAGATCACTTGAGATCAGGAGTTCGAGACCAGCCTGGCCAACATGGTGAAACCCTGTCTCTACAAAAATACAAAAATTAGCTTGTAATCTCAGCTACTCGGGAGGCTGAGGTGGAGAATCGCTTGAACCCGGGAGGCAGAGGTTGCAGTGAGCTGAGATCGTGCCACTGCACTCCAGCCTGGGCGACAGTGAGACTCCGTCTCAAACAAACAAACAAAAATGTGTAAAAATACAAAATTAGCTGGGTGTGGTGGCACGCGCCTGTAATCCCAGCTACTCAGGAGGCTGAGGCAGGAGAATCGCTTGAATCTGGGTAGCAGAGGGTGCAGTGAGCCAAGATTGCACCACTGCACTCCAGCCTGGGCAACAAGAGTGAAACTATCTATTATAAAAAAAAAAAAAAAAAAAAGACTATACTGTAAAATAACAATCTTAGAGTTAAGTCATATCTTTGTTGACCATGTGAACCATGATGAAGGTATTGCTACTTGTTTTATTAACACTGTCAAGTTACAGACCACAGCTGGTTCATGGAAAAACTACCTTAAATAATAGAATTGAATTCCACAGAAATGTTCTACAGGATCAAGTCAGCTATAAGGCAGTTTTGTGTCTCCAAAACTGTCAAATAATATTCCTATAGATGATTGGGGCCATCTCAAAATTCAACCTTGCTACCACTGTGAAAGGGACAAAAAAAAAAAAAAAAAAGCAACCTCTATTCTGTAGATACTAAAGGTTACATATTCAAATATACCTCCTCTACTTGAAAAGCTTCACTGATTCTTTCAAGCGCCAGACCTGTAAAAGAAGTATCACAGTAGGTATTACTAAATAGCAAAATACAGTACTGTCTAGACTGTTTACAAAAACTGTGCAAGTAAGTAAATAAAATCGTCCAGTATCTTACACACTGTTGCTTTAGTAATGTTGTGACATCTAAATTTATGTTTTCACTCAAAATCCTGTCTTTCTCTTGGCTTAGTAGTATTATCCATTTACCAAGAGCTTTTTCCCTTTTACCAAAAGCGTAATTTTAAAAGGGGGGGGGGTATGATTCCATTTAATAAATTCCTGCATACCAATTTGGCCTCAGGTAAATCCTTTAATCCATCACAGCAGAAGCACATAAAATCAGATTAGAGTTCTCATCCTTGGCCACAATTTCAATTCAACTATTAATAACTTAAACCAAATTCTTTCCACTCGGCCCATACCTTAAGTTCATCAGCATCTTGAAACTCCACCAAGCCTGGTTAAAAAAAGTGAAAGACAATGTTAAGAATATCATGCAATTTTGTTTTTTAATGAGTGGTCTTTATGGTGGCTATCCAATAGCTCTCTTTGATGAGTAAATAAATTGCTATCTCTGAATATAATTCCTGTACAAATTCTCCAAATTTCCTGATACTTGGGAGTCTTCTGTAGTTTCCAGCTAGGAGGAAAATGGTCAGGAGTCACTATCTTCCCACTGATGAGCATTGAATCCTATCCATTTTTGAAAAGAAACACTATCCCAACAATATTTGTCTGGGAAAAACTGAAACAAACCTTCCACAGATTTGAAAATCAAAGGAAGCACTATTAAACTCGCTTACCCTGAGGCTGAGTTCAGGGGGCTGGGAAGTTTCTAGTTCTGGGCACTTGCTCAGTTTTCACAATCCTTAGACGCTAGCTCACACTGCTTCCTTGACATGGTGTCTCTCACAGTTTAAACTGAATAGTTAAAAAACAATTTGGCAGGCCGGGTGCGCTGACTCACGCCTGTAATCCCAGCACTTTGGGAGGCTGAGGCTGGCGAATCACCAGCTCAGGAGTTCAAGACCAGCCTGGCCAACAAGGTGACACCCCGTCTCTACTAAAAAATACAAACAGTTGGGCATGGTGGCGGGCACCTGTAATCCCAGCTACTCAGGAGGCTGAGGCAGGAGAATTTCTTGAACCCGGGAGGCAGAGGTTGCAGTGAGCCGAGATTGCGCCGTTGCACCACAGCCTGGGTGACAGAGCGAGTCTCCGACTCAAAAAAATAAATAAAATAAAATAAAAATAAAATGGGCTCAATAAGAATCTCTAACACCTAAAGCAATGGTAAAACAAAGCCTTACCACCGCTATCTTCCTGTGCTGTATATAGGGCTATTCGCCAGAGCTGGAGGTATTCCAGGGAGGGAAAATTGTCCATGCTCTGGGTCTATCTATAACGCTGGATAAAAGATGCCTAGAACCTAGGCTGCAAATGTACAAGCTTTCCTCATTAAAGAATGGTAAAATGGGTCCCATTTGGTTTCATCAAAAAGGCAGCAAATCTTTCACAACTGAGGAAAACAGGTGAACCACGAGCTTCACATTCCAACAGAACTGTGGTACCTATGCTAGCCACAAAGATTATTTGTTGACTCAAATGTAAATTTAGATCTTTATCAATTTTACTAAATTCGCAAAGTATCCCTTTATATAGCATTTTGTACCAGTAATGAACAATTAGTATGCTCAGCGATGCTCAGGAGAGCCGCTCCAAAAACTTACATTATTCCCCAGACAAACGTTCTCTAGGGGCAGCCTTGCGTATTTCTACACCTTAGTAGACCTAAGTTAGGCGTTCAACACCTTGTCCTGGTCCAAGCCAGAAAGAACCCAGTAGTTCAGACTTTTCCCAGGTCAGAAAACCACGAAGGGCCTCCTCACACCCTGATTAAACGTTGGAAGCGGGCCCTGTGCTGTAATAACGCTCTGGCCACTCCCAAAAAAGCGAATCTTCGGGAGGAAAGCAGGCTCCCTTATTAGGGCTCACAGCACTCCGCTCAACTTACTGTAGGCGTCGGCTCCAGCAAGACTCGTCCCTCCAAGCCTTTAAATTATCTGACTGCGGGCCAGTAGCAAATGAACGGCACTGGTGGCGGTGGGGGATGGCTGCGCGAGTGAAATGACCTCCGTGTGTTTGCTAACCCCGCTATTATACTGCCCCGCTTAGAAACTTAAAGCGCTTCAGACATCAGATCTCACTCGCTTCCCAAATAGGCTTCCGTCCGCGCGGTCACAGCCCCTGGGCAGGCAGGAGCCCCGAGTGCACCAAGAACCCAGAGACCGTCCGGGGCTCGGCGCCTCCGCCTGCGGTTGGAATTTGATCCTCAAAATGCAATCATTTAATTGAAAAAGGACTAAAAGCTGCCTGTAGGCCGAATGCGTGGACGGCAGGGACTCAGGCACGGGAGGTGACGGGCGCCTGGCGGCTTCTGCTGAGTGGGGGTGGGATCCTCGAGGAAAGGGGGCGGCCCCTTCAAGCGCACAAGGACACGGGCCGTCCTAACCCGGGACGAAGGGCCCAAGCGCCACGAGGACGCCCCCACCCCCGAGGGGCCCTAACGGAGGCTTCCCCGCGGCGCCGAGCCGAGGCCTCGGCGTGGGGGCAGCGAGAGGCGCGCCTAGGAAGCGCACGGGGTAGCCCCGGAGCCACGTGGTCGGCTCCTGCGTCCAGAAGGTCCGAGCCCACTTACCCAGTCACGCGCCGCGGCCGAAAAGGGAGGGCACTGCGGAGATCAAGTTTAAAAGGGGCCTGGGCGGGGCGGCACCAACCAAAAAGTTGCCGGAAGGCCCCTCCGGGTCCAGCACCCGCCCCGCCCGCGGGGCCCGGAGGCCCTCGCGCGCCCCCTGTCGGCGGCCCGGGCCTTCCCCGCCTTGGGCCCCCCCCCCCACCCCACACGGCCCCGGCTCCCACTTGGCCCCGGCTCCCACTTTGCCCCGGCCTCCGAGTCTGGGGAGTCTGCCCCAAACTCTCGCTGGCTGTGATGTCTCTTTACCTCGTTGAAGGTCAGAGGAAGCTCCTGCCACTCAAATAATGTTAGGTGTCTCTGGTACCCACTCCCCTCCCTTGCCTGGTGTTTCTTAAAGTCTTCAGCCACGCCCCTGGGTGCTTCTTTCAAGACTCGTCTAATTACGTAGCAGAAGACTGGCTCCCGTTAAAGGATGTGAACATTAGCGGAGGTCGGGGGTGCAAACTCATCGAAGAGGGGTTGAAGCACGGGGAGGACTCCTGGTGCCTGGAGTGCTGCATGCTTAGAATGATGGCCACGGCCCGCAAATATCTTGCCCCCAAAGCACGTCTGTGTCATTGGACTGTGAGGAGGAAGGGGAGAAGGTATTCTGACTGCAGTAAAATAAGCAGGTCTGTTGGCTGGATGCCTAAGCAGCACTACATATAGAACATGAGTGTTAAGGACTGAATTTGTCCCCACTCCCAAAGACATTGAAGACCTAACCTCCAGCACCTGTGAATGCGACCTAACTTGGAAAAACTGCGTCTTTACAGATGTGGTCAAGACGAGATCATTGGGGTGGACCCTCCTAATTCAACATGACTGATGTCCTTATCACACGGTGTCAAAATGCCACTTGAAGACAGAGACACACGAAAATGTGGCGGGACAGGGGCAGATCAGAGTGATGCAGCTGTAAGCCCAGGAATGCGGTGGATTGCCGGCCACCACCGGAGAAAGGCTAGGAAGAGGCAAGGAAGGACCCTCCCCTGCAGATTTCAGAGGGAGCTTGGTGTTTGGTTCTGCTGACACTTTGATTTTGGACTTCTAGTCACAAGAAATGTGAGACAAAACATTTCTGTTAAGTCACCGAGTGCTTTGTTAAGGCATCCCTAGGGAATTAATACAAGGACTGTGGGGACTTTCCCTCTGCCGTTCTGTGTAAAATCTGGCCATAAAGACATTATTTGACTTCCCTTGTTTGACTGTAGGTCATAAGACCCCCATTCCAGAGGGAGTCCTGTCCCATACCCAGAAGGAAAGAGTGCATGCTCAGAGAGGCCAAGAAGAATCCAGACAGACAGGCCTTGCTGGGTTTTCTCCCTCTATTAGTCTTAGATCATACACTTTTTGTCCGATCACATTTCTACGTCACTGCCCATACTTTGTTGAACCTAGGCATAAAAATGGATAATTTCCCCTGTATCTTTGGGTCTTCATTTGAAGGATCCCGGGTATACACATTAAATACATTTATATGCTTTTTCTCCAATTAATCTGCCTTTTGCAAGTTGATTTTTTAGTGAACCTTAAGAGGGCAAAGGGAAAACTTTCCATGTTGGCCCCTACAGATTGCTCAGTGCAGCAAATACTTATTGAGTGCCTATTCTATGCCAGGTGCTGTGATTGGTGTTGGAGGGTGTGAAGTTCAATGAGAAACTGCCCCTGCACTAAAGTGAGGAATATAAAATGAGATTCACCCACTGATAGAAGCCCATGAAGAGTGCCAAGGGCACAGCATAAAGCCACAAAGCCCAGCCTGCTAAGGCTACAGGAAAGGCTTCCAGAAGGAAGAGGTACCTATTAGTACAATGAGTGTAGCATGACCAGCAGGAAACTCATATGCTGCATGAAATTTAGGAGAGGAAAGAAGCAAAGAGGCCAAGAGAGTTACAGAAAAATCATAGGATAATAGAGTGCAGGGGACTTTAATAGGTCATCTAGGATTATTCTCTGGTGGGTGGAGCTGGTCTTAGGGTGTTGTCATGCAGAGTTGCCATGATGGTGCAATGTAGGCTCCATGAGAACTCTGTTTCCTTCTCTACTGAATCCCCCGAATTCAGTGTAAACGCCTAGAATATATTTAGATAAGGGGAAAAACTCCTTATCTAAATATCCTTATCAGAGGAAGAGATTATTCCCCCAAAGCAGTTCAATATTCATACCATAAAACTCTTCAAGGCTGATAATGGGGCAGTAGTGGGGTTTTATCCCAGGCGGTAGCTTCCTTGGGTCACCTTGAGTGTGAATTTATTCCTGTATTCCCAGTACCTGGCCTAGGGCTTTGCACATTGTAAATGCTTGATAAAACCTACTGAATTTCCTTTTCTTGCTGTCCATTTGACTTGTCTTTCACACATGTGGTGAACTACAGATATTCCCTGACTTACAATGGTTTGATTTATGTTTTTTTTTTTTTTTTTTACTTTGTGATGGTGCAAAAGCAATACGTAGCTCAGTAGAAAGTGTGCTTCAAGTATCCGTACAACCATTCTGTTTTTCACTTTCGGTACAGTGTTCAATAAATTACATGAGATATTCAACACTTTATTCTAAAATAGGTTTTGTGTTCAATTGTTTTGTCTAACTGTAGTGTAATGTAAGTGTCCTGAGCACATGTGAAGTAGACTAGGCTAATGGGATAATAGTAGACTGGGATGTTCGGTAGGTAGGTGTATTAAATGCACTTTCAACTTACCATATTTTGAACTCACAGTGGGGTTATCAGAACATAAATCCATTATAAGCTAAGGAGCATCTATGCTTGGAGAGTAGGAATCCCAGGGCATTGGGAGGCGTTGTGCACTTCCCTGGCTTGTTTTGCTGCTGTTAGTGGGGAGCCTTTTCCCCCAGTCCCATGCTTTTCTGTAGAGGAGCTTCTCCCAGACAATGCCCCGGGCCTTTTACTCATTCTTTCCTCATTCCTTTCCAGAGAAGGAAGGAATTTCAATACAATTCTGTGCCAACATGAATGCTGAAATCATGCAAACTGTGGTGGTCCTGTTGGCTTCCATCCTCTGCCTGTCACCTGTTTTCAAGGTGGACAGGTGCAGACTATTATTTCCTCTGTGGGACTAGGGGAAATGGGTGTGGTGAACTGCACCCAGCCATTTTTGTGTTTTTTCGATGGTCAAAGTGGAATTAAAAATAATGTCGCTCCCAGCACTTTGGGAGGCCGAGGCAGGTGGATCATCTGAGGTCGGGAGTTTGAGACCAGCCTGACCAACATGAAGAAACCCCATCTCTACTAAAAATACAAAATTAGCTGGGCGTGGTGATATATGCCTGTAGTGCCAGCTACTCGGGAGGCTGAGGCAGGAGAATCACTTGAACCCGGGAAGCAGAGGTTGTGGTGAGCCGAGATTGCGCCATTGCACTCCAGCCTGGGCAACAAGAGTGAAACTCTGTCTCAAAAAAAAAAAGTATCTCTCATTAACCCTGCAATAACATAATCCTGGAAGCCACTGAGGGTTTTCTCAGCTCAGTGTATAGTCAGTCAATTGGGGACATTGTAAGTGTCACTGCCTTAACTTTTGTGCTTTTCTTTTTTTATTTCTTTTTTCTTGAGGTGGGGTCTTGCTCTGTTGCCCAGGCTGGAGTGCAATGGCAGAATCATAGCTCACTGCAGCCTTGACCTCCTGGGCTCAAGCAATCCTCCTGCCTAAGCCTTCTAAGTAGCTGGGACTACAGGTGTGTGCCACCGTGCCTGGCTAATTTTTTTTTTTTTTTTTTTTTGTAGAGGTGGGGTCTCACTATGTTGCCCAGGCTAGTCTTGAATCCTGGGTTCAAGCAGTCTTCCTGCCTTGGCCCCCCAAAACACTGAGATTACATGTGTGAACCAGCATGGCCTGCCACTTTTATGCTTTTTGATGGTCAAAACGGTATTAAAAATAGTGTCTCTTGGTTGGGCGCAGTGGCTCACGCCTGTAATCTTAGCACTTTGGGAGGTCGAGGTAGGTGGATCACATGAGGGGAGGAGTTCAAAACCAGCCTGGCCAACATGATGAAACCCCATCTCTACTAAAAATTAAAAAAAATTAGCCAGGCATGGTGGCGGGTGCCTGTAATTCCAGCTACTCGAGAGGCTGAGGCAGGAGAATCACTTGAACCCAGGAGGTGGATGGTGCAGTGAGCTGAGATCATGCCACTGCACAGCCTGGGTGACAGAGTGAGATTCTGTCTCAAAAAAAGAAAAAAGAAAAAAGTCTCTCATTAACCCTGCAATAACATAATCCTGCATTTTACCCAATTTAAATTTTTGGCCGTCACTTATGTTGGCAGGTGACATCCACTGGCTCATCTTTCTCAAAAAAGAAACACATCTATTTGAAGGCTGCAGCTATGATGATTCACTCCCCTTTTCTTCCCTCACTGTCCAAAACCAGCATAAGGCAATGATGGCCCAAGGTCTAGACTGGGATGGGGAATAGGGTGTCTCAGCTCTGAAGACACAATCTGAACAGTAATAAAGCTAGCACCTTAATTTCCATTCTTTCTTATGTCTGAGTTGGTTCTGAATGCAGAAGGAAGGGAAAGTGCATTATTTTTCACCCTCCCCCTATCCTACCATTGCCTGATCCTTATCCCCAGGAGGATCTAAGACTCACATGTTATCGACAGACTAACCTCAGACATTTGCTTTCATGAATTAATTGGCCCATTCATTTACTCTTGTGTCTGTGTGTAGTGCACATTTTAGTGTGTTGTTGCAGTGTAGAGTCAGAATATAAAGCAACTACAGACATTATTTATGATTTAAAGGATCACTCCAGTTGGGTGACATTTTAACTGGGGTCATTGGGCTGTTTGCCATGAGCAGGTCTCTGCCCAACAGCTTGCCTTTTCCAAGCAGCTGTTGGCTTGTTTTCAAGCCAAGAGAAAATGTCTGCCCTTGCTGAAGCATATTGGTTTCATCTGCTTAAATAAACCCATGTGGCTGATTTCAGCAATTAGAAGGTACACACGTGAGTATCCTGGAAGCCCTGGGATATGAGTGCTCTGATCCCCACGTGGGTACAAAATGGCCTTTTGTTTCTGATTCTCATATAGGTACAAAATAGCCTGTTAAAAAAAATCCCGACAGTTTCGTTATTTACAAACATGAGCATTGTTGTTCATGATACTTCTAGAAAATACATGAATAGAGTATAAAACAGAATTGTTACATATTTAACTATATCAAACATATTACCTTAATTGATAAGAATGATCAGATTTGCTGTAAAACAAATAAAATACAAACATTTTTAACTCCATATCCTTCCTCAATGAACTGCTTATTTCTTTGTTTCTGCTTATAGCAGAACTCCTCAAAAGAGTTGTCTGTATTTGTCTCTAATGCCTTGCTTCCATTCTCATCTGAATCCAATTGTGGTGGGCAGCCTCTGAGATGGCTCCTAATAATCCCCATCTCCTGCTATTCAGGCCCTTGTAGAATCCCTTCTCCTTGAGTCTGGGCTGCACACCGGAAGTGATGGGGTGGCATCTTAGAAAAGATGCTAAGCATTGTAAGTCATTAGGGAATTGCAAACTGAAACAACACTCAGATCCCACTACATACCTTCTAGAATGGCTGAAATTCAAAACACTGACCATTACAAATGTAAGTGAGGGTGTGGAGCAACAGGAACGCTCATTCATTGCTGGGAATGCAAAATGGTACAGGCACTTTGGAAGACAGTATGGTGGTTTCTTACAAAACTAAACAAACTCTTACCATAAGATCCAGCAATTGTGGTCTTTGGTATTTACTCAAAGAAGTTGAAAACTTATGTCCACACAAAGGCTTGCACGTGAATGTATTAGCTTTATTCATAATTGCCAAAACTTGGAAGCAACCAAGATGTCCTTAAGTAGGTGAATGGATAAATAAACTGTGGTACATCCAGACAATGAAATATTATTCAGTGCTAAAAACAAATGCTCTATCAAATCACAAAAAGACATGCAGGAGCCTTAAAGGCCTATTACTTACCAGGTATGGTGGCTCACACCTGTAATACTAGCACTTTGGGAGGCCAAGGCAGGAGGATCACTTTAGCCCAGGAGTCCGAGACCAGCCTAGGCAACATGGCAAGACTCTATTTCTATAAAAAATTTAAAAATTAGCCCAGCATGGTGGTGGGTGCCTGTGGTCCCACCTACTTAGGAGACTGAGACAGGAGGATCACTTAAGCCCAGGAGGTTGAGGCTACAGTGAACCAAAATTGCACCACTGCATTCCAGCCTGGGCAACACAGTGAGATCCTGTCTCCAAAAAAAAACTCCAAAAAGGTCTGGTGCGGTGGCTCACACCTGTAATCCCAGCACTTTGGGTGGCCAAGGTGGGTGGATCACTTGAGGTCAGGAATTCGAGACCAGCCTGGCCAACATGATGAAACCCTGCCTCTACTAATAATACAAAATTAGCCGGGCATGGTGGTGCATGCCTGTAATCCCAGCTAGTTAGAGAGGCTGAGGCACGAGAATAGCTTGAACCAGGGAGGCGGAGGTTGCAGTGAGCCAAGACTGTGTCACTGCACAGCCTGGGCTCCAGCCTGGGTGACAGAGTGAAACTGTGTCTCCAAAGGAAAAAAAAAAAAGCCCACTGCTAAGTGAAACAAGCCAATCTGGAAAGGCTACATATTGTATGATTCCAACTAACATCTTGGAAAAGGCAAAACTATGGAGACAGTGAAAAGATCAGTAGTTGCCAGGGGTTGGGGATAGGGAGGGATGAATAAGTGGAATGGGGAATTTTTTTTTTTAATTTTATTTTTAGAGATGAGGTCTTGTCCTATCACTGAGGCCGTAGTGCAGTGATGAGATCATAGCTCACACAGCCTCAGACTCCTGGGCTCAAGGATCCTCCTACCTCAACCTCTCAAGTAGCTGAGATTAAAGGTGCAAACCACCACACCAGCTGAAGAGAGAATTTTTAGAGCAGTAAAACTGTTCTGTATGACACTATAAGGGTAGATACATGTCATTATATAGTTGTGAAAACCTGTAGAATGTGTAACACAGAGTGAACCCTGATGTAGACTATGGATTTGGGTTATCAGTGATGTGTCAATGTTTCACCACCTGTAACAAACGCACCATGCTGGTGTGGGATATCATGGTAGGGGAGGCTGTGGGGAGGAGGGATGAGGGCATGTGGGAACTCTCCATTTTCTGCTCAATTTTGCTGTGAGCCTAAAACTGCTCTAAAAACTGTAGTCTTTTTAAAAAAAGTGATGTGGGCTGGGTGTGATGTCTCACACCTGTAATCCCAGTGCTTTGAGAGGCTGAGGCAGTAGGATTGCTTGAGGCCAGGAGTTCAAGACCAGCCTGGGCAACAGAGTGAGACCTTAACTCTACAAAAAATTAGAAAATTAGCCAGGTGTGGTGGTACACACCTGTAGTCTTAGCTACTCAGGAGGCTGAGGCAGGAGGATCACTTGAGCCAGGAGCTGGAGGTTGCAGTGAGCTGTGATTATAGTACCGTACTCCACCCTGGACAATAGAGCAAGACCCTGTCTCAAAAAAAAAAAAAAAGGTGACGTGATGTCACTTCCAAGATTAGGTTGCAAAAGACTATAGCTTCCACTGTAAGCTGCCTCTTTCTCTTGTAGATTATTTGCTCTAGGACAGGGGTCCCCAACCCCCAGGCTGCAGACTGGTATCAGTCCGAGGCCTGTCAGGAACCGGGCAGCACAGCAGGAGGCGAACGATGGGTGAGTGAGCATTACCACCTGAGCTCTGCCTCCTGTCAGATCAGCTGTGGCATTTGATTTTCATAGAAGTGCTAACCCTGTGATGAACTGCACATGTGAGGGATCTAGGTTGCACACTCCTTACGATAATCTAATGCCTAATGATCTGAAGTGGGACAGTTTCATCACTACCTCCCCACCCACCCCCCAAGCCCCCACGGGTCTGTGGAAAAATTGCCTTCCAAGAAACTGGTCCCTGGTGCAAAAAAAGTTTGGGTACCACTGCTCTAGGGGAAGCAAGTTGCCCTGTTTTGAGCTGCCCTATGGGGAGACCTACTTGGCATGGAATAGGTGTCCCAGGCCAGCAGCCAGCAGGGATCTGAGCCCTGCCAAAAGCCAGATGAGCAAACTTGGAAGCAGATCCTTCCTGTCGGGCTTGAGACCATTCTCACCCCAGCCAACGTGAGGATCCTACCCTTGTGGAAGACCATGAGCCAAGCCATACCCAGATTTCTGACCAACAGAAGCTGGGAGATAGTGAATGTTTATTGCTTTCAGCTGTTAGGTTGGGGTAGCTTGTTACACAGCAGTAGCTAAGTAATACACCAGTCCACCACTCCATAAAAACAGCTCTTTTTGAGGGCAGCAGTGATTTTGGTCTTTGCCTTAGTGAACCTTCATCTCAGTTGTGTGATCACTCTCTCCTTGAGACACTCTTCATTTGGCTTCCAGGTCACCACACCTTCTCTGTCTTTATCCAGCCTCCAGCCTGCCTCTTTTCTGCCTCTGTGACTGGATCCTTTTCATTTTGCCCGCCTTTTACTGCAGAGCTCTCCAGGGCTCAGTCCTCAGATCTCTGCTCTCCTTGATCCACTCCTGTCTAGGTGATGGCTTCGTTTAGTCATACGGTGTGAAATGACATTTTTATTTGATGAATCTTACATTTCTGTCACAGGCCTAGACTATTTCCTGACTTGCAGACTCATCTCTCCAACTGCCCACTCAACATTTGCACTTAGGTTTCTAAAAGGCATCTCAGAATTAACTTATCCAAAACTGAATTCTTGATTTTTCGCCCTCAAAAACTGATCTTGCCACCAGTAACCCCACTGAAGTAAATAGCTATTTCATTCTTCAGATGCCTGTGGCAGAAACCTGGGCAGCATCCCAGACTCCCCTCCTGCTCTTACACCTTACATCTGTCCATTGCAGCAATCCCAGCTCTACCTCTAAACCCCAACTCTGACCACTTCTCAACCACCCTAGTCCAAGTTTCCATGGTCACCCTTCCTGATGATTTTAACAGCTCTCTATGGTACTTTCCTTCCATCTTTGCACCTGCAGGTTATTCTCCACACAAAAGAGTGAACTCTTAAAACGTAAGTGTGATCATGTTATTTCTCTGCCTAGAATTCTTGAGTGGCCTCTCATTTCTTTCAGTGTAAAGTCAAAGTCCTTTCAGCGGCTTACATGGCTGTACATGATGTGGCCTCCATCTGCTGTCTGTCCTACTTCCTGACACTCTGTCCTTTTCACATTTGCTCCATGTACACTGGCCTCCTTGCTGTATTTTGAATGTAGCAAACATGCCTGCCTCTGGGCCTTAGCACTTGCTGTTCCTCTGCCCAGAATGCTCTTCCCCCAGGTTTCATTTTGGCCTGCACTGTCTCTTCCTTGAGGTCTCCAGTCATAAGCCACCTATTATGGCTGAATTGTGTTCCCCCAAAATGCATAGGTTGAAGCCCTAACCCTCCATGTGACTGACTAGACAGTATTTAGAGATTCGGCCTTTTGGGAGGTTAGATGAGGTTTTGAGAGAGGGGCCCTAATCCAACAGGACTGGTGTCCTTATAAGAAGAGGAAGAGATACCAGAGGCCCTTCTCTCTCCCCGGCACACATGAACAGAGGAAAGACCATGTGAGGCACTGCGAGAAGGCAGCTGCCCATACTCCAGGAAGAGAGTCCTCACCAGCAACCATCCCTGCTGGTACCTTGATCTTGGACTTGGAGCTTTCAGAACTGTGAGAGAGTGAGTTTCTGTTATGTAAGCCCCCAGTCTGTGGTCCTCTGTTATAACAGCCCAAGTCCACTAAGACACCACGTTAGAACTGCCTCGTATAAAGTGCCAACTCCCCTCATCTCACCCAGCATGCCTGTCCTCCCTAATCTGTTTTTCTCTTCACAGTGCCCTAACTTCCTTTTCTTGTTTGCATGTTTGTTTTTTTTCCTCTTCCCTGAATAGAACATCAGTGCCATGAGGGCAGAGGCTTGTACTCACAGCACCTAGCACTGCGTCTGGTGCATCTTAGGCCCCCACTTAATGGTTAAGTGCCCACGATTGAACTGGAGAAAATTCCACTGTGCTACCATTGCTCCAAATTCTGCAGACAACTACAGGTGCCCAAGAGGAAGAAAGCACTGTCAAAAAGTGAGCACCAGCCACAGTGGCCACCTAATTTATATAGTCTCACTTCTGTCATTCCTAGAACCAATTAAGGATTGCATTTGGCTACACATAATAAAAATCTGACTACAGGGGCTTAACCAAATAGAGATCTCATTTTCCTCACACAACAGTTCAGAACTGGTTCAAAGGGACCCAGGATCTTTCTTTCTGTTCAGCCATCCTTAAAATATAGCTTTAGCCCTTCTAATTAACTCCTCGCGGTCACACATCCTGCATTCTCATCTGCATTCTCAAGAAGACCAAGAAGGGTGAAGGGCAAAGGGCAAAGGTGAATGTCAACTGAGGTAGCCCTTTTAAAAACTGTTTTTTCCTAGAAGCCCTACTTGGTGATTCCCTTTACATCTCATTGGCCAGAACTGTGTTACATGCCCTCCTCTAGCTGAAAATGATACTGAGAAACACATTAAAAAAAAAAAAACAACGCCGGGTACAGTGGCTCACAACTGTAATTTCAGCACTTTGGGAGGCTGAGGCAGGCGGATCACCTGAGGTCAGGAGTTCGAGACCAGCCTGGCCAACATGATGATGAAACCCCGTCTCTACCAAAAATACAAAAATTAGCTGGGCGTGGTGGCGCATACCTGTAATCCTTGCTACTTGGGAGGCTGAGGCAGGAGAATTGCTTGAACCCGGGAGACGGATGTTGCAGTGAGCATTCCAGTCTGGGCAACAAGAGCGAAACTCAGTCTCAAAACAACAACAACAACAACAACAACAACAACACCACGCTAGGCACATTACCACTCTAAATAAAAACAGAGTACTTTTGTAGAAAAGATGCCATGGAGTAATAACAATTGGCTAGGTGTCCAACAGTGTGGGCCTATCCCTGTTTTACAGGAAAAGGCCCGCACTTTTCAGTTCCTGGAAGAGTATAAGCCAGCACCACATTCCAAGTGTCTACTATAATCTGGATGGAGTTCCAGGTAGTGAGAACAGCTTGTACAGAATTTCTGAGTGGACATGAGAAAGAGCTTCCCTGTGGCTGGATCTCGGAGTGGGCGTGTGGGAGAATAATTGCAGGTGAAGCTTTGTTTGGTTCCTTTTTTTTTTTACGTAATTGTTCAAATCAACATTGCCAAGTTTAAATTTCAAGAGGGTAGGAATTGTGACTGCTTAATTTCTGCATATAAAGCCCAGGCTGCCTGAGCCACATGCAGGCAGTTACTAACAATTGACCCTCACAGAAATGGTAATAAATGACGTAAAGCCACTTGATTGCTTTGTCCTTTTTGATTAACGCATATTTATGACCCACATGTGGTGTGGGAGCCTGGAAATAGCTGCCAGGCCCATCCAGATCTGTGCTGGGTAATTGAATGCGGCAATGCCACAAATGGCTACTCCTAAATCATGCTTTTTGCTTTAGAGAAATTATAATGAAAAATGAATAATCCTTTTATTCTTTCCAGAGAAGTACACAATGTGTATTCAGTTCCTAACCCGTGACATTCCTAAGCATCTGTGTGAACATGACTTCCTGCCTTCCAGAAAAGCAACAGGGCCTGTTTAGGTTCCTTTTGCTTCCATCCTGTGTCCTTTCTCCTCTCCTTGCCAAATGTAGTCTTCAAGTTGGGGCAGCAGCGTCACAAATGCTGGCTTGAGAACAGAGTTACTCTGTATTTTTCTGTTGCTGGTCTGCGCTTCCTGTTGAGCCCATGTTCTGCTGGATAGGGCTTGAGGTGCCTTGCAGGTCTCACACTTTAGTCCAGTCAAGTAATTTATTCAGATTCAATAATTTAAACAGGCGTTTGAGGTAAATGTTCAGTCTATTTTTGTAACAGACTTAGTCTTTCGGGTTTCTGCTCCCCTTCCCTTTGCCTCTCCAGATGGCATCTGGTGTATGTGTGTGGCGGGGGGAGGGAGGTGCTTACGGCAGGGGAAGGGAAACAGGGTTACGGGGTTGATGCACATCCTCACTGGCCTCTGCTGGGGTCTGAACTGCCCTCAGGACAGTGACCGCTGAGATGCAACTGTTCCCAGTCTTACGTCGTCTCTGGAGTTTGCTGCTGAAACCTGAGATGTGATCACACGCTCTTGGGTTGGGCAAGCCTTGGGAATCTGCCCTGGACAACTCCAGTCAATGTTGCCTGCTTTGGTCACTCTATCTTTTTTTTTTTTTTTTTTTTTTTTTTAAGACGTAGTCTCGCTCTGTCGCCCAGGCTGGCGTGCAGTGGCACGATATCGGCTCACTGCAAGCTCCGCCTCCCGGGTTCACGCCATTCTCCTGCCTCAGCCTCCCGAGTAGCTGGGACTACAGGCGCCCGCCACCACGCCCGGCTAATTTTTTGTATTTTTTTTTTAGTGGAGACGGGGTTTCACCGTGTTAGCCATGATGGTCTCGATCTCCTGACCTCGTGATCCACCCATCTTGGCCTCCCAAAGTGCTGGGATTACAGGCATGAGCCACCGCACTGGCCCCCTCCATTACTTTCTATCGCTTTACCCTGCTTTCTTTATTGCAATTATCTTTCTCCATCTATTTGTCTCTCAATTAGCTTCTGCTAATAAAACTTAAGTGCCTTTGAAGATTATCATTTCTGTTTAGAGGTCTTCTATCCTCTAGAACGGTGGGGGAGTTATTTCCTTATCTCTCTCTCTCCCCATGTCTTTCTCCCTCCACCCCCCTATCTACACCAATACGTATCTATATCTATATGTATCTATATTAGTCAAATACATGAACTCTAAAATTTAACTTCCTGGATTCAAATCCCCATTCTGTTACTTTTTAACTCTGTATACTTGAACAGGTTGCTTAGCTTGCCTATGCCTTAATGTCCTTATTTGTAAAATAAGGATAATAGCAGTACCTGCTGTATAGGTTGTGATAAAGATAAAATGAGGTAATGTGTAGAAAGAGTTTAGGAAAGGGGCTGGCTCATGGGAAGCACCATGTAAGTATTTGCTGCTGGTATTATGGTTGACTGCTTATTGTTACTATTATCCGCCATTAGAATACAAAGTCCACAGAAGCAGAAACTTTATCTTTTTTATTGTTATATTTTCTAGTCTTTAAGCAATGCCTAACACATAGCAGGCACTTAATAACTACTGTATTGGTTGGGTGAATAAATAAATGAGTGTATTGAGAAACAACAACAACAAAAAGAAAAACACAGTCTTTCAAAAAAGATGACAACCCTTTCACACTCCCTCTAGTAAAAGTTTATGTTTCTCTCAAGGTTCTTCACTACTACTTAGGGCTGTCCTATCCCTAAACTAGTGATAACTAGGTCTTAGGCTTTAACGGATTTTTTTCTACCCGGAAACTACACCACTGTAGGACTACCAAGCCCGCTGGGTGACCTGGTCCTGGGGAAAGTCTCACCTCCTAACTCTCAGAAGTTCCTTCCTTTTCCTTCTGTTACCTCTCAAGAATTCCTTCTCCTGCTCTGAGAACCCAGCATGTGGACGGTCGAGGGGTAATTTTTTTTTTTTTTTTTTGAGATGGAATTTCGCTCTTGTTGCCCAGGCTGGAGTGCAATGGCGCAATCTTGGTTCACCGCAACGTCCACCTCCCGGGTTGTAGCGATTCTCCTGCCTCAGCCTCCCAAGTAGCTGGGATTACAGGCATGCACTACCACACCCAGCTGATTTTGTATTTTTAGTAGAGATGAGGTTTCTCCATGTTGGTCAGGCTGGTCTCGAACTCCCGACCTCAGGTGATCCACCTGCCTTGGCCTCCCAAAATGCTGGGATTACAGTTGTGAGCTACCATGCACGGCCCGAGGGGTACATCTTCTATTGCTGGAGGGAAGGACTTAAAGAAGTCTTGCTGTGCGTGTGCGTGTGCGTGTGCGTGTGTGTGTGTGCAGTGAGGGAAGGCAGATGATAATGAGCAGCTCTCACTGCTTAAAAGCAGCCAGTTCCCCATATTCTGTATGGTTTGAGAGAGAGCTGTCCTGTGCTAGCTCTCCCCACCGCACTGTGGTGCTCATCACTGTCCCCTCCTGCCACGCTAGCGGCTGCTACTAGCTGGAGGCTTTCATTCTAATTTATCTCCCCAATTATGTCCCAGGTCATCCCACTAGTGGCAGGAGTCACTGTTCATGGAGATGAGCTTCCCCCTTTGATAAGAGTCTCTGAATTCAAAGCAATCGCTCTGAGTTTGAATTTTGGTATGGCCTCTCCTCCATCTTTCTTCTACTGACTTTCCTCTCTCTGCCTCAGCACAGCACCCCCCTTGCAGGATTAGATTCAAGACCTGGCCAGGTGCGGTGGCTCATGACTGTAATCCCAGCACTTTGGAAGGCTGAGGCAGGTGCATCACTTGAGGTCAGGAGTTCCAGACCAGTCTGGCCAACATGATGAAAACCTGTCTCTACTAAAAGTACAAAATTAGTCAGGTGTGGTGGCACACACCTGTAATCCCAGTTACTTGGGAGGCTGAGGCAGGAGAATTGCTTGAACCCAGGAGGTGGAGGTTGCAGTGAGCCGAGATTGTGCCACTGTATTCCCACCTGGGCGACAGAGCCGGACTCTGTCTCAAAAAAAAAAAAAAAAAAAGCAAAAAACAAAACAAAACAAAAAACTTGAATTCAAGATTTGGCTACTTAGTTTGAATATAGAGGGTTATAATCAGCCCCCAGGGCAAAGAAGTGAGTTGGGCATGTAGCAGGAGAGGGATTGACTATTGTTTAACCCCACCCAAGTAAAGTGTTAGGGCTCCATCCCTTTGGGCACTAAGGCCCTTAGTGTTCAGGGATGCGGGGGTACCCAAAGATGAGCTCATATATGACAATTTGAAAGGGCTCAGCAGTCTTGGGGCGTGGCTGCGTTTCCTTTTGCTGGACAATTCACAGGCACCGTGCAAGCCCCCATTGACAGAAAACCCTTCCCCCATAGCAAAGAAATGATTAAATCAATCTTCCACACAAGTACTCCCAGTGGCGTACACTGCTCTGCGAATGTTGACTTGGTGTTTAGGTCTATCTGGCCAGAGAGGAAAGTCCCTCTTCTCCTTGCCAGACCTTTTATTATTCATTACTTGGTTCTATTTTTTTTTTTTTTTTTTTTTTTGAGGCAGAGTCTCTCTCTGTTGTCCAGGCTGGAGTGCAGTGGCATGATCTTGGCTCACTGCAATCTCCACCTCTCGGATTCAAGTGATTCTCCTGCTTCAGCCTCCCAAGTAGCTGGGATTACAGGTGCCTGCCACTATGCCTGGCTAGTATACTTGTTTCTTTTTATAAGGTGACGAGAGAGAAATCCTCTCTGGGAGAAAGATATATACATATTTCTGCAATTTTAAATTTTAATTTTTTTAGAAACGGGGTCTCACTGTTAGGCAGGCTGGAGTGTCATGGTACAATCGATAGCTTACTACATCCTCAAAGTCCTAGGCTTAAGTGATCCTCCCATCTCAGCCTCCTGAGTAGCTGGGGCTACAGGTGTGCACCACTGTGCCTGGAGACAATTTTTAAAATATATTTTTCTCTTCTGAGGAATTATGCATGCTTGCTACTATGTGATATTTCTATTAAAAATAGAATGGTGGTTATTTAATAAGATGTTAACTACAGTGGCTTCTAAGCCCTCCCCTTGGGATGTTGCTTTTGTTTTAAAAGTCTGAATGGTGGAGAATCCCTGATCCAATCTGACCTAGTTTTAGCAGGGGCTTCTGTGGGGAAGCTCTGCGTATGTGACCTGGCCACTGCGTCCCAAAGGACAAGGTGACTCGACTTTCTCTTTTAAAATGAAAGTTCCTGTCTGTGATAATACCCAATTTCAACTTTTCTTTCTTCATTTGAGGCCCTGAGAGGGGAACTTCTACCTTCCAGTAGAACTGTTACCCTGCAGTAAGCATGCAAAATTCCTTAGAATAGAGAGAAATGTACAAGTGACATTGCAAAACATTTTATATTTTTGTTAATGCTTATATTTTGTTATGTTTTGTTAGAGATAGGAACTCAGGTGGCAACGTACCCCTTGATGTGTATTGTAGGTGTTGGAAAGGTCAATAAAACCAGGAAAATAAAACTGAGAGCAATTGGGAAAAGAGGTCTTATTTTACACAGGGTGGTTGGGGAGGCCCCTCTGAGAGGCTGATATTTATGAAGAGACCTGAAGGAGATGAGGGGCTGAGCCATGGGAAGAACATTCCAGGCAGAGGGAATGAAAATGCAAAAGCCCCGGCTGGGCATGGTGGCTCATGCCTGTAATCCCAGCACTTTGGGAGGCCAAGGCTGGTGGATCACCTGAGGTCAGGAGTTCAACACCCGCCTGGCCAACATGGTGAAACTGCCTGTCTACTAAAAATAAAAAATTAGCCGGGTGTGGTGGCATGCGCCTATAGTCCCAGCTACTTGGGAGACTGAGGCAGGAGAATCGCTTGAACCTGGGAGGCGGAGGTTGCAGTGAGCCAAGATCATGCCACTGCACTCCAGCCTGGGTGACACAGTGAGACTCTGTCTCAGAAAAAAAAAAAAAAAAAAGAAAGAAAATGCAAAAACCCCGAAGTGGGAGCCTGGGTGGCGAGTTTTGGGGTCATAAGGAAGGTGGGAACGTGACTTCTTGGCATGAACCCCACAGGCTGATGCTTCTCAGCAGGCCCTTTGATGTGCATGGCCTGCATTCCTGGCACCATCTCTGACCTCCTTCTGCCCCTCCCTCATCCCTTCCCTAGGTCTCCTAGGAGCAGGGGATGCGGTCACCTCTTTCTCTTCTTTCCTATCCCAGGCTCCAGTCCTTTGGTGTTAGCTCTGTGCCCTGCTCCCGACTTCCTCCCCGGGCCTCATATTTTAATTCATAAACCACTTATGAAAAATTTTTTAAAAGCTGAAATGGACTGTTTCCACTTCTTTTTGTTTCAGTGATAATAATTCTGCTTCTGTTGGAAGCAAAGCAGATGTCTCCACCTGACTGTAGTCACATACAAGACAGCTGGGTAGGGGAAGAAATAAAGAAAAGAGCTTACTGCGTTGCTTTTTCACCCTCCACCTACTTAGTCCCTGGAGATCTGGTTTTATATCTTAAATCCCACAAAATTGTCTTACAGTATTGTGACTTGTGACTTCCTAATTTCCAAAAGCAGTGGCTTTGTTCTCAGTACTCCTCTTAAATAATTTATCTGCAGAACCTGGCACTGTGGCCACATAGTGCTTCCAGGAACTAACTACTGTTACCAGTGGAGGGTTCCCAGGTTCTTGGTGTTTTGAACAAAGAATTGGACAAAATGCACAAACAAAGCAAGGAAAGAACAAAGCAACAAAAGCAGAGACTTATTGAAAAACTGAAGTACACTCCACAGGATTGGAATGGGACTGAGCATAGGGGCCCAAGAGCCCCTTTACAGAATTTTCTGGGTTAAATACCCTCTAGAGGTTTCCCATTGGTTACTTGGTGTATACCCTATGTAAATGAAGTAGTGGCCCGCAATCAGAGCAACCAGAGACTGAAGTGAAGTTACAAAGGTTACACCCTATGCAAGCATCTGATTGTGGAAAGCAACCAGTAAGAGGCTGAAGTGAAATTACAAAGTTACTTTTTTTTGAGATGGAGTTTCTCTCTTGTTGCCCAGGCTGGAGTACAATGGCACAATCTCAGCTCACCACAACCTCTGCCTCCTGGGTTCAAGCGATTCTCCTGCCTCAGCCTCCCAAGTAGCTGATATTACAGGCATGCACCACCACATCCAGCTAATTTTTTTTTTTTTTTCGAGATGGAGTCTCGCTCTGTCTCCCAGGCTGGAGTGCAGTGGCACGATCTCAGCTCACTGCAAGCTCTGCCTCCCGGGTTCATGACATTCTCCTGCCTCAGCCTCCCGAGTAGCTGGGACTACAGGCGCCCGCCACCACGCCTGGCTAATTTTTTTTGTATTTTTAGTAGAGACGGGGTTTCACTGTGGTCTCGATCTCCTGACCTTGTGATCCACCCGCCTCGGCCTTCCAAAGTGCTGGGATTACAGGCGTGAGCCACTGCGCCCGGCTGTATTTTTAATAGAGACGGGTTTCTTCATGTTGGTCAGGCTGGTCTTGAACTCCTGACCTCAGGTGATCTGCCCACCCTTAGCGCCCAGCCTTTTTTTTTTTTTTTTTTGAGATGAAATCTCCGTTTGTCACCCAGGCTGGAGTGCAGTGGCATGATCTCTGCTCACTGCAGCCTCTGCCTCCTGGGTTCAAGTGATTCTCCTGCCCCAGCCTCCCGAGTAGCTGGGATTACAGGCATGCGTTACCATGCCCAGGTCATTTTCGTATTTTTAGTAGAGACAGGGTTTCATCATGTTAGTTAGCCTGGTCTTGAACTCCTGACCTCAGGTAATCTGCCCGCCTCAGCTCCCAAAGTGTTGGGATTACAGGCCTAAAATTGCTTCTTGATGTGTCCAGCAAAATGATTTTCCTACTAAATGTACTACCACAAAGGGGTCAACTTGTTGGATGGGTTCATTATTATTACTATTGTTATTATCCTTTTGAGGCAGAATGGCTACCAAATGCAAGTATTTTATTTACCATTATTACTGTGTGGCATACCTTCTGATAGTCATTAGTGACTGGATTAGAAAACAGAAGGGCCCAGAAAGCCATATTATTTGTAAAACAAAAATAATATGGACTAGGGTGCAGCTCTTTTTGATGCTCCTTAAACTGAGATAGAATCTGTCATGAGATAAATCCTATGACTTCTATGATTGCACACACAGGATTATGATACAGCCTCTAGGTGAAAATCATACTTGCCAGATTTTTTATTTCCACAGTGGATTCAACTCAAATAAACAACTGTTACAGGTATCATCTCATTGAACACTCAACCTAATTGGGAAGTAACCAGGTGGTTAATCCCAGTGTCACAGGTGAGGGAACCAAGACTAGAAGGCTAAGTGATATGCTCAATGTCAAACAAGTAGCAAGCAGCTGGACTAGGAGGAGAACTGGGTGCCCCTGATTCCCTGGCCACTGCTCTCTTGTTAGAATTTTTATTGTGGTTACATAATTGGGTCCACAGACAACTCTTAACTATGGAGTCAGAGATGGGACATACAGTGATGGACACTGTCATCAATTTTCAGTGCTAAGAAAATCTGAAATAGTTTGCCTTCTTAGAGGATAAATTTTAAAAATTATTTATTAAAGGTGTGACAGTACTGTGCATCTATAAAAAAAAGGAAGCTATGTGTTGATATGGAATAATCACCAAGAAATATTTATAATACTTTTTATTTTGACATATACTTCAAGACTCACAGGAAGTTCCTAAAATAGTACAGAGAGTTCTTGTGTGTCCTTCACTCTGTTTCCCCAGTTGATAACATTATACATAATCATGATACATTGTCAAAGCCAGGAAATTAACATGGTGCAATACTATTAATTCAAATAAAGACTTTATTTGGGTTTCTAAAAATATTTTTAAATAAAAAGGACAGGTGTTACATTGAGTGTATAGTTTGCATCCGATTTGTTTATTTTAAAAGAGAGGGGAAGGATGTGTGTGTATTTATTTCCATATGCCTAGAATATCTCTGGAGGGATATATAAGAAACTAGACACCGCCTCCAGGGAGAACAGCGCAGCAAGTTGCAGAAGAGTTAGAGACAATTTCGCCTGTATATTCTTTTGTACCAATGCATCTATTTAAAAAAGAGTGAATGTTGAATTTTCATAGCATAATTTAAAAAAGTGAACGAGGACCTTTTTTATGTATTCATGCAAAATAATCTGTAAGTTAGATTTTGGAGTGAAAAATGCAAGGTAAATAAGTGTCTACGCATCTCATTTACAAAGGAGGAGGGAAAAATTTATGTGCGTCTTTATTTCCATGGGCATAGTTATCTCTGGAAGAATATATAAGAAGCTGCTAACATTGGTTTGCCTCCAGGGAGAAAAATAGGCAGCAGGGGACCGAAGTGGGAGGGAGACCTTTCACTATTTATTGTACTTTTTCAATTTAGACTATGTGAACTTATTTCCTTTCAGCAAAATAAAGAAAACTGAAAAAATCAAATCCAAAACTGCTTTCACTTTGTAATTTTTTTCCCTTTAAAATATTCAGCAGCTTTCCAGCTACTCTCTGGATCAGTTCCAAATTTCTTAGCTTGACATTTTGGTTCTTTTTATAATTCGATCTCATTATTTCCTGACTGGAGCTTTCTGTTCCACCTAAAGTGTTTGACTCTCTGTCTTTTTTCTGATAATGGTGCACTTTGTGACATTTCTTCTTTTCCTCTTCTCCAGCCATCAGAAATCATCCCTGGCTCACCTCTGTGAGGTTTTCCCTGAACTCTTCAGCCTTTTGTGACTTGCCTCTCTCCTAAATTCCTGTAATATGTATTGTCTGCCCGACACTGGGCCCTAATCCTATGCTTTCTAGACTTATCAGGGGAATGTGCACTCTGTCCCCAAAGAAGATTACCATATCCTCACTGGCAGTGGCTGGGTATGACAGTTTTCTGAAATTCCCTTTTCCTCACAGAGCCTTACACTTGGTTGGTGTCCCAGTGATGCTTTTTGACGAATCTCTTCTTTGTAGAAATTTTATTTCATACATATGCTTGCCTGGTGTGCTTAAGAGTTCCAGGCTGTATCCTGGCAATAAGAAATTGTTTGTCTGCTCAAAAACACCCTAGCAGAAAAAAGAGGACAAAATTAAGAGTTAAAACTCAATAAAGCACATGGTGTTTTGAATATTGATATATTTTAAAACATAACATTTCAGAAAAACAAGATGCATGACAAAAATTTCCCTCTTTTTTATTTGGCTCCTCTATTTGGCTGTACTTTGGAGACTAGGCCCTGTTTTCCTGGTAACCATGGCAAATTAATTAGCTTTTCTGATATGCTATCAACTGGTTCTCAAGGTCCTCATATGAAGTAAATGGCAGAATTGAATTTAAATCTTTGCAAGTCTTATCTTAGATCCATGTGACTTCTGAGTTTGTGTTCTTTTCTTCAAGGCAAAAAATATTTCTTGGGTTTCCTCCATTACATAGCACTGTGTTAATATCTAATGGAGACAAAATATAAAACACAGTCTTTGAGGACTATATGCCATTATTCTTATATTACACATTCCATTTTCTTTCCTTGCCCCATTATGGCTGTATATAGTACATACATGTTACGGTGTATGTAGTAGGTACAGTCAGTTCCCAGGTAGCCTTAAGATGAAAGAAAAATCTTTTGAAAAAGGCTGATCTTAGAAATTGCAATAGTAAAAAGCAGGAAGCAAACAACAAACGGTAATAGTCACAGCTTACATTTGATTAGGTCTTTATTTAGCTAGATATATTTCAGGCATATTATCTCTTTGTGTATAATAAATGATGGAGGTGGGTGCTATTATTTCCCTGTTTTGCAGATGAGAAAAGGGAGAGGTTAAGCAATTTGACTGTGATCACACGGCTAAGTTATAGAGCTGGGAGTCAAATGCAAATCTTTTGGACCCTGGGTCCCTGTGCTGAATCTTGACTTTATATGATTGTTTTTCCAAAGATAGTCATATGGGCCAGTAACATTAATATACTTGTCTTCATCTCTAACTAGATGGTAAAATATTTAAGTGAGGACTGTGACTCATTTTCTTGTTTCTCCACACATAATAATCCATAGCACAGAAAGCTGAACATCCTTAGTACTTACTTTTCCAAAATGAATACATTCATAAAGACAATTATGGCTTATAAACATGGTGTTAATAAGACTATGATATTCATATCCCAAATTCAACAAGCCGGCCGGGTGTGGTGGCTCACTCCTATAATCCCAGCACTTTGGGAGGCTGAGGTCGGGGGATTGCTTAAGGTCAGGAGTTTGAGACTAGCCTGGGTAACACAGTGAGACCCTGTCTCTACAAAAACATTTAAAAAAAATTAGCCAGATGTGGTGGTGCATGCCCATTGTCATAGCTGCTCAAGAGGCTGAGGAAGGAGGATCTGTTGAGCCCAGGAGTTGGAGGTTTCAATGAGTATGATCATGCCAATGCACTTCAGCCTGGGCGACAGAATGAGATCTTGTCACACACACACACACAAATCAACAAGCCAACTATGTGCCTGGCAGCATGATGTGGTGCAAACAGCATGTGTTTTGGAGGACTAGAGATGATGGTGAAGTGCCTGGCACAGGGAGGTGCCCAATACATGGTATGTTTATTAATGCATTTATATTTTCTGATTTAATTCTTCTCATTCACTATTAGGTAGTGTATTAGTCAGCTTGGGCTGCCATAACAGAATACCACAGGCTGGGCGGCTGAAACAGCAGAAATTTATTTTCTCACTGTTCTGGAGGCGTGAAGTCCAAGTTCAAGGTGCCAGCAGAGCTGGTTTCTGGTGAGGACTCTCTTCCTGGCTTGTAGACAGCTGCCTTCTCATGGTGTCCTCATGTGGCCTTTTCTCTGTGCACGTGTGGAGAGAGAAAGATTTTCCCATTGGATTAGGGCCCTATTCTCATGACCTCATTTAACTGAAATTACCTACTTAAAGCCCTTAGCTCCAAATACTGTCACATTGGGGTGTTAGAACTTCGATATATAAATTTTGGAGGGATACAATTCAGTCTATAACAGGTAGTTACTCTTTCCATTTTGCAGATGTGGAAATAGATATTCAAAGAAGTGGTTTCTTTTCTTCTGTGAAGCCTGTCTGTGCAGTCAGAAATATCCACCAGCTATATTTCCCCAGGTTTCTTTTTTCCTTACGACCTAAAGAGTTCAACTATTTTATCCTCTCTGGAAGTTGTTTTTTTTTTTTTTTTTTTTTTTTTTTTTTGTGACAGAGTCTCGCTCTGTCGCCCAGACTGGAGTGCAATGGTACAATCTTGGCTCACTGCAACCTCCACCTCCTGGGTTCAAGCAATTCTCCCTGCCTCGGCCTCCTGAGTAGCTGGGATTACAGGCACCTGCCACCACACCTGGCTAATTTTTGTATTATTATTATTATTTTTTTAGTAGAGACGGGGTTTTGCCGTGTTGGCCAGGTTGGTCTCGAACTCCTGACCTCAGGTGATCCAGCTGCCTTGGCCTCCCAAAGTGCTGGAATTACAGGTGTGAGCCTCCACACCCAGCCATATTTTTAAAAATAATACAACAGAGCTGGTAGCATCTTTTCCTTGGATGGTGCTAGTGAAATCCTGACAGTTGATTCCCCACCTGGGTTTCTCACCTTGATGCTTTTACCTCTCTTCTGTTATTTTGTAATTAGCAGAGACCATGGGGTTATAATGTACTTAATTATACATTCAGTACTTGATGTACTAGCAGAGAAAAATTCTACTTTTCTCTACATCAAAAAAAAAAACAGGAATTGGCTGGGCATGGTGGCTCACACCTGTAATCTCAGCACTTTGGGAGGTTGAGGTGGGCAGATCGCCTGTGTTCAGGAGTTCAAGACCAGCCTAGCCAACATGGTGAAACCCGATCTCTACTGAAAATACAAAAATTAGCCAGGCATGGTGGTGGTGCCTTAATCCCAGATACTCGGGAGGTTGAGGCAGGAGAATTGCTTGAACCTGGGAGGTTGAGGTTGCAGTGAGCCAAGATCGCACCACTAAACTCCAGCCTGAGTGACAGAGTGAGACTCTGTCCCCCTACCCCTTCCAAAAAAAAAAATACAAAAACAACAAAAAAAACCTCCCAGGAATCATGTCACAGCCAGACTTACCAACTTTGGACCATAGCTGGGGAATGAAAGGTTGCTCAGCACGTAGCAAACTCTAGGGTGGGATTATCTTGCTGCCCAGAAAGCACATTGTTCTCCATTCCTGTGCTTTGATATCACTATAACTCGGTATTCTCTGCCCACTGGTGGATTCTATTGCTTCATGTCTTCTAGTCTCTCTGTCTAACTAGCTTCAGTCAAATGTATTTCTTTCTATCTTGAGTACAAATCTCACTTACAGTGGATCTGATTGGTTCAGGTAGTCAGCACCCACCCCTTAAGTCCCCAACCAGCTTTTGGTCTAATCATATGTGCCACTATAGTACCATGAAAACAGGTCTCTTATCTATCATAGCTAAAGGAAAATATTCTTTGAGAACATATAAAGGTTTGTCTTCTATTTCTATGTTTATTTCTCACCTATAGGGCAAAATAGTGTTATGGTTAACATTGAGGTTCTGCAGTAAGACCGCTGGAGTTTCCATTCTGTCTTTACCCCTTACTAGCTGACCTTGGACAAAACAAATTTACTTCACCTTCCCATGCCTCAGTTCCTCATCTATAAAATGAGAATGATAATACAGTCCCTGCCTCACAGGGTTGCGAAGATTCCATAAGTTA
The DNA here is from genome assembly GCF_000001405.40 of Homo sapiens. Classification (NCBI taxonomy): domain Eukaryota; kingdom Metazoa; phylum Chordata; class Mammalia; order Primates; family Hominidae; genus Homo; species Homo sapiens. The sequence continues at coordinate 22,829,879 of NC_000007.14, read as the reverse complement.
ATGCGTGTGAGGCCTTAGCACAGTGCATCATATACTACTAGTAAACACCCAGGAAGTATTAGTTAACATTATAATTGGTTGCTTGAGTGTTCTTGCCCACCAGAATGGAGAATGCCAGCTTTTATTCTCAGGATATCTCTAAGGGTAAAGTTACAAATAAGCGTTTTAGATACCCACTTTATGGAAGATTAAGTAGCATGGTAAACTAAGGCTGTTTCTGATGAAATTCATTCACCAGTTCCACAAGTGTTATATACACAGTCAATGGGGATATGAAATGAATGAGACAGAGTCTTTATCTGTAGTTTACTTGGGGGAGATAGTCAAGGATCTAAGTTAGCTTGAGATGGTAGCGAGAATAAGATAGAGTAGGAGTCACCATGGAGGAAGTGCTCAATTTGCTCTAGGCTGGTGCAGGGGTAGGGACAGGTCACAGATGACATCTTGGAGGAGATACTTGAGTGAATCGTAAAAAGCAAGGGGTATGGGAAGGCATTTCTGGCAGAGGTAACAGCAGAGATGAGACAGCATGATGCCTTCAGGGACCATGTAGCTTGTAAATGGATTTTAATCTTTTGTCGTAAAGACAATAAAGAGCCCCTGGAAGGTTTTATTTGGTTTAAAGATCTATCTACCTTTATTGTTTTTTTTTTTCTCTGATGACAAATCATATATGCTCATTATAAAAAGCAATGAACACATTACAAATATATATATTTATCTAGATACATATGTGTGTGGGTATGTGTGTGTATATATATAAGTGTATATATATAAAGTAAAGCATATATATCTATATAAAGTAAAGATTTCCAGTAATTCCCTTCCTTATCTCCTGAGATAATTACTCCTACTGACAGTTTAGAGTACATTTTTTCTAGATTTCTTTCTATGCACATACTAACCACAAATATATCATAATTTCATTATTATTATTTCTAATATAGGAATTGCTTATACGTATTTTTCGTTTTTTGAGACAGTCTTGCTCTGTTGCCCAGGCTGGAGTGCAGTAGTGCGATCTCGGCTCACTGCAGCCTCTGCCTCATGGGTTCCAGCGATTCTCCTGCCTCAGCCTCCCGAGTAGCTGGGATTACAGGCGCATGCCACTACACCCAGCTAATTTTTGTATTTTTAGTAGAGACGGGGTTTTGCCATGTTGGACAGGCTGGTCTCGAACTCCTGACCTCAGGTTATCCACTCAACACGGCCTTCCAAAATGCTGGGATTACAGGCATGAGCCTCTGCACCTGGCCATGCATGTTTTTTTAAAATATCTTTTAATGATTTAGTACTGGAGGTTTTCTTTTTCTTTCTTTTTTTTCTTTTCTTTTTTTTTTTTTTTGTGATGGAGTCTTGCTCTGTTGTCCAGGCTGGAGTGCAATGGCGTGATCTCGGCTCACTGCAACGCGATTCTCATGCCTCAGCCTCCCGAGTAGCCTGGGATTACAGGCATGCACCACCACACTTGGCTAATTTTTGTATTTTTAGTAGAGATGGGGTTTCGCCATGTTGGCCAGGCCAGTGTCGAACTCCTGACCTCAGGTGATCCACCCACCTCAGCCTCCCAAAGTGCTGAGATTACAGGCATGAGACACTGCGCTAGGCCATGATTCAGTACTGGAGGTTTTCTTTTCTTTTAATTCCTTCCTTCCTTCCTTCCTTCCTTCCTTCCTCCCTTCCTCCCTCCCTCCCTCCCTTCCTTCCTCCCTTCCTTCTTTTCTCTTTCCCTTTCTTTCTTTTTCTTTTTCCGGGATATGAAGTTTAGAGGGAAAATTGGAGACTGGAAGGTCAAGGCTGAAGGAAAGGAGACCATCTTGATGTAGGGCACACAAGCCCCAAGCCCAAGAGGGTTTTTGGCTTCACACAGTAAAGAAGCCAAGGGTGAGCTGGTGGTTTTAGACAGCAACTTTTACTGAAGCAGCAGTGTACAGGAGCAGCAGAGGTATTGCTCCTTCCACAGCAGGGCTAATCCACAGGCAGTGTGCCCAGAGTAGCAGCTCAGGGGCAGTTTCACAGTCATATTTATACCCAGTTTTAATTATATGCAAATTAAGGGGTGGATATTCAGAATTTTCTAGAAAAGAAGGTGGTACTTCTGGGTCATTGCCACAGAAAGGGGAGGTGACTTCCAGGTGTTGCTATAGCAATGGTAAACTGACATGGTACTTGTGGGCATGTCTTATGGAGAGGTGCTTTTGCCTCTTCCCTGTTTCAAGTTAGTCTTCAATCTGGTCTGGAGTTCAAGCCCCACCTCTGGAGTCAAGTCCTGCCTCCTACCTCAATCTTGTCTCAACCAGATAAAGTTGAGTTTCTGGATCTGTAAACGCTCATCAAGACCAACTATGCTCTCTGTGAAGTTTTTCCTGAGTATTTTAGCTCATAAGGCTAGCTCTCCCCTCTTAACACATTTAATTTTTTTTTTTGTTGATTCCACTCATTTAGCACTTTCTGGGTACTGTCTTTTATCATTGACTATGATGTTACTTACTATGTATCTAATACTCTAAAATTTGCAAAGATCTTTTATATATTAACTTTTTTATTTCTCACAATAATATTCTGAGAAGTACACTTATTTTCAGAAGATAAACAGATTTAGGGAGGTAGCCCTTGGTAACTCACTGGAGGTGTTTGAACAGGGGAGTGACATGAGCAGAGCAATGATGTAGAAGCCTGATCTTAACTACAGTGTATAGAGTATATAGCAAAGGTGGAGACTAGAGGCTGGTAGACGAGATAGCTTCCAGCTATTATAGTTTAGGCTATAAGGAGCTGAACTAGGAGGGCACATCAAGAATAGAAGAGAGGTTCTCAACCTTTTTTCCTTCAACAACAAATGTATCCAAGGAATATAACATACTTTTGGCCATTATAATGTTGTCTCCATTTCCAACTGTATATGTGGGAATTACTGTAGAGGTGAATCTCTACTGTGAGGTAGGAGGCAAGACTGAGCTCCAGAGGCAGGGCTTGGACACTGGACAAAATTGAGGACCAGCTAAAACAGGGACAGGGTGGAAGCAGTTTTCCATAAGTCACACCTCCCATGTGCCATGTGCCATGTGTGCTATGTGCCATGTCAGTTTACTGTTGCCATGGTAACACCGGGGAGCTACCACCCCTTTCCATGGCAGTGACATGACAACCCAAAAGTTACTACCCCTTCCCTAGAAATTACTGCATAAACTCTGCCTTAATCTACATGTAATTAAAAGTAGGTATAAATACGACTGAAAAACTGCCCTGAGTTGTTATATCTGCAGGAGCAGTCATGGAGCTGTAACACCTCTTTAATAAAGCTGTTTTCTTTTACCACCAGCTTGGCCTTGAATTCTTCCCTGGGTAAAGCCAAGAACCCACAGGCTAAGACCCACTTTAGGGCTCACCTGTCCTGGATCAAATCTACATAATTTAGACTTTGTGGAGGTCAAGGAGTAAGATTAACCCAGTATGTTACACAAGCTCAAAACTTGACAGTCATCCTTGACTACTTCTTTCAATGTTGCCCTACATATTCATTTGGCCGACAAGTCCTGCTGATTTCACCTTCTTAATGGTTTTCAAATTTACTCCTCTCTCTAGTTTAACTGCATGGGGTTCTTCAAAAGTTCCCTGACTCCTCTAGGCAGTGTTAGTTGTCTTTCTTCTGCCTTTCTGTCAAATTTTGAGCATAACTTTATTGTGGGACTTAGTATATATATTCACATTACATTGGAATCATCTGTTTACTCATGTTTCTCCATTCAACCATGATATTCTTAAGGGCAGTTTAAAAAAAAATCTTATATCTCTAGTGCCTAGCATATAATAAGGCTCAATGAATGTTTGAGGAAGGCAAATGACTTTGGTATTTTTAGCCCATCTGGCAGGATAAGTGCCACATTCACTGCATTCTTACTATGTATGAGGTATTTGAATAAAAAGATGAGAAACAGTTTCTGCATTGAATACATGGACACTAAGAAGGGAGCAATATACATGGGGACCTACTTGAGGGTGGGAAGAGGGTGAGGATCCAAAAACTACCTATCAGGTACTATGCTTATTGCCTGGGTGAGAAAATAATCTATGCACCAAACCCCCACAACATGCAATTTACCCATATACCAAACCTGCACATGCACTCCCTGAAACTACAGTAAAAGTTTGAAAGAAAAAAAAAAAAAAGAAATAGCTTCTGTTTTGGAGGAGCTCAGATAACAGCAAGGGACAATATAATGACTAAGAGCAACCAACTGTGTGATCTTTTATCAATTATTTAATATCTCTGAATCTCAGTTTCCTTATCTGTGAAATGAAACCATATATATCCTTACAAGAATTAGTAAAATAAGCTATAATGCAGTGCAATCTTACAAATTCCTGTAAGGATTAAAAGAACAATTATTCAGCCGGGTGCGGTGGCTAACGCCTGTAATCCCAGCACTTTGAGAGGCCGAGGCGGGCAGATCACGAGGTCAGGAGATCAAGACCATCCTGGCTAACACGGTGAAACCCTCATCTCTACTTAAAAAAAAAAAAAAAGTACAAAAAATTAGCTGGGCATGGTGGCAGGCGCCTGTAGTCCCAGCTACTTGGGAAGCTGAGGCAGGAGAATAGCGTGAACCTGGGAGGCGGAGCTTGCAGTGAACCGAGATCGTGCCACTGCACTCCAGCCTGGGTGACATTCCAAGACTCCATCTCAAAAAAAAAAAAAAAAAAAAGAACTATTTTTCAGCACTTAACACAGTGACAGGCATAGTAGACACAGGTTGTTATTATTCATGATGATGAGCCTAGCAGAAGAACACTATAATATGAGGTGAATTTTTTTTTCTTGTTTTTAAAGATGTGGTCTCACTCTGTTGCCCAGGCTGGATTGTAGTGATGAAACTGCCACTGTAAAATTATAACTGAGACGGCGAAAGACATCTGACATCACCAACTCCATCTTGCTTCTAACCTCCAAGCTGTCCTTGTTCACTCCTGGGCATAGGCTGAACTAACTTTGGAAAGAACTTTTAGTTTATAGCTTAAAACAAAGATGATAACAGCCCTTTCCCTAAACAAATCCCCTTCTTGCCTAAAAAAATTCTTTTAATCCTTACAGGAATTTGTAAGATTGCAGTGCATTATAGCTTATTTTACTAATTTTGTAAGGATTTAAATATATATAGTTGGCTTCATTTTACAGGTAAGGAAACTGAGATTCAGAGATATTAAATAATTGATCAAAGATCACACAGTTGGTTTGTGCTTTTAGTCATTATATTGTCCCTTGCTGTTGTTATCTGAGCTCCACCAAAACATAAACTATTTCTTTTTTTTTTTTTGCTCTTTCCAACTTTTACTTTAGTTTCAGGGAGTGCATGTGCAGGTTTGGTATACAGGCTAACAGATTAGCGAAAAGATTAGACATTATGGTTTAGGAGTCATGCAGCTGGAGGCTACAAGATTCTGACCCTCCCCAAATTGCTCCTGGGGATAACAACTCTATTGTAAAGCCTAACATCAGTGTTTGAGATATTTTGCAGACCCTGCAAAATGGATCAGCTGGAACCACCCAGATAGGTAAACTGGCTCATCTGATCTTGTGGTCCCAACCCAGGAACTAAGATTCTGACCCTTCCCAAATTGCTCCTGGGAATAACACTATTGTAAAGCCTAACATCAGTGCTTGAGATACTTTGCAGAGCCTGCAAAATGGATCAGCTGGCACCACCCAGATCGGCAAACTGGCTCATCTGATCTTGTGGCCCCGACCCAGGAACTGAGGCAGTACAAGACAGCTTCCACTCCCTGTGATTTCATCTCTGACCCAACCAATCAGCACTTCCGACTTACTGGCTGTCTCCCCACGCACCAAATTGTCCTTAAAAACTCTGATCCCCGAATGCTATGGGATACTGATTTGAGTAATAATAAAACTCTGGTCTCCTGCACAGCCAGCTCTGCGTGAATTACTCTTTATTGTAATTCCCCAGTGTTGATCAATCGGCTCTGTCCAGGCAGCGGGCAAAGTGAACCCTTTGGGAGCTTACAGCAAGTGACCCAATCACAGCTCACTGCAGCATCAAACTCAAGTGGTCCTCCCGCCTCAGCCTCCCAAATAGCCAGAATTACAGGCGCAAGCCACAGAGGTCAGCAAGGGGAAATTTTTAGGAGCACAGACATTGGGCACAGAAAACGACTACGTACCTTCAGAATGAGGCAGGAAAGTCTTAAAAGTCAAAGTCTTAGAAATGTCTTACAGCCTTAAAAATCAATTAAGTCTTAGACCTGGGGGGGTCAAATCTCAAATACGACAGCAGCCAGAAATTTATTACATCAGAGGTTGGGAATCACTTGGGAAACTTCAAAGGCAGATCAATGGCCAGTTCCCAGCCCCAAACTCTTTAGAATTTCTAGGAGTAGGTCTCCAGCGTGAGTATGGTTTTACCTCTCCTAAAGTGATTCTAATGTGCAGCCAGGGTTGAGAACCACTGCCATTCTAAACCAATGAGGGCAAGATGGCCAAACAGAAGTGTCATTTCCTATTTAGTCTCCTTGATTGTTGCAATGGAATTCCTCAGCTTCAAAAGTCCAGAATTTCATGTGAGATTTCCAAATTCTAAAATGTTGGCAAGTAATTAAAAGAAATTTTTTTAAAAAAGATTGGGATCAAAGAAAACATGGATTCGGGCCCTACTGAGTGTCACTTCGTAACCTTTTTGCAGTTCAACCTCAGGTTTGAACAACCTGATTCTGAGAAGTTAAATAATTTGTCCACGGTTACACAGCCAGTAGGAATAAGAGTTAGGACTAAAACCCAGTCCCTCTGAATTTAATTAATGTTCCTTCCATGAGAAGGAAGGAACACCTGAAGATGCGTTTTAAAAATGGGTAACAGAAACGCGAAGTTACCGCCAGCCATGATCGCAACCACGCATGCGCCTACTACTGCCGGCGAGGCGGAAGAGCAGGGAAGGTTAAAGGCGATGAATTACGACCTCTGCTGGCGACGCTCACGACTCCTGCCGTAAAGGCCGTGTGTGGCGCCTGCGCACCTCCTTTCCCTTTCGGATTCCCGACGCTGTGGTTGCTGTAAGGGGTCCTCCCTGCGCCACACGGCCGTCGCCATGGTGAAGCTGAGCAAAGAGGCCAAGCAGAGACTACAGCAGCTCTTCAAGGGGAGCCAGTTTGCCATTCGCTGGGGCTTTATCCCTCTTGTGATTTACCTGGGTCAGTGGGAGAAGAACCGGGAAAGTGACTGGAGGGAAGAGGGTGGCGGAGACAGCAGCCCCATTTTTGGCCGTCGGGGGAGGGAGAGAAAAATAGGGGACACTGCCGTGCACGGCCCCTGAGGCTGTCTGGTCAAGTGGGGCCGATCTAACCTGAGTTCGAGTTCCCGTTCTATCGCTTTATAGTTGCATGGTCTTTAAGCAGTCTTGCAATCCCTCCTTTTCTATTTTTGCATCCTTAAAGTGGAGGTCATATTTCTCGGGATTGTAGGGAGGGTTGGATGACCCCAGTGGATGTGAAAGTCACTAATTCACTCTCTAGCACTAGGTGGTTCTCGGGGTGTTTTTCCTCACCGCTCCATGTGGTCCTAAGTGGAAAGAGTCCTGTTCAGGGAATCGAGACACCTCGTGAAAGTACCACTGCCATGAAAGCATGATTATAATAATAGTCGTTGGATGCCTCTGCTTTCTTACCTGTACGATGAAGGGTTTGGATGATTTCTATTACTGCCCCCATTTTACAGGTGAGGAAACAGCCGTAGAGAAACTTTTTTGCCAAGGTCGCACAGCTATGCTGACTGAGGGAGTTAGGGGCTCAGGCAGTGGGGCATCAGAGCCCATAGTCTTAACCATTATAGCGCACTTAAAGGATTTGGGGTTTTTTTGGTTTTTGTTTTTAAGACAGAGTCTCGCTCTGTCACCCAGACTGGAGTGCAGTGGCGCTATCCCGGCTCATTGCAACCTTCCCCTCCTGTGCTCTAGCGATCCTTCCACCTCAGTCTCCCAAGTAGCTGGGACTACAGGCTGGTGCCAACAGGCTCGGTCACTTACTGCAAGGATTTGTTAATATTTTTCAGTTAGGGTTGCAGACTGGGACCTATTCTGTAGTTTTTTCTTTTCTTTTCTGTCTTTTTTTTTCCTTTTTTCCTTTTTGAGACAGTCGCTGTGTGCCCAGGCTGGAGTGTAGTGGCGCGATCTCTGCCCACCGCAATCTCTGCCTCTCGGGATCAAGCGATCCTTCCCCCTTAGCCTCCCGAGTAGCTGTGATTACAGACTTGCAGCCACCGCTCGCGGCTAATGTTTATATTTTTAGTAGAGACGGGGTTTTGCTTATGTGGGCCAGGCTGGCCTCAAACTCCTGGCCTCAAGTTAGCTACCTCCCCTCCAGCCGGCCTCCGCCCCGCGCGCGGCCTCCCAAAGTGCTGGGATTACAAGTGTGAATCACCGCGGCCAGGCTGTAGTTTTTTCTTTTTCTTTTTTTTTTTTTTTTTTGAGACGGGGTCTGCCTCGCCCAGGCTGGAGTGCAGTGGCGCGATCTCAGCTCACTGCAAGCTCCGCCTCCCGGGTTCTCGCCATTCTCCTGCCTCAGCCTCCCGCACAGCTGGGACTACAGCGCCCGCCACCATGCCGGGCTAATATTTTGTATTTTTACTAGAAACGGGGTTTCACCGTGTTAGCCAGGATGGTCTCGATCTCCTGACCTCGTGATCCGCCCGCCTCGGCCTCCCAAAGTGCTGGGATTACAGGCGTGAGCCACCGTGCCTGGCCAAGTTTTTTCTTTTTAATTTTACTGCCCCACTCAGGCAGTTCGGTGAAAGGGAAAGAGCAGGTTTTTCATCCCAGCTGTGTCAGTTTGAGCATATAGTTTGACAATTGTAAAACTCAGTTTCACATTTTAAAATGCTATGGTTTTAACAAGGTGCTGCTTCCTATTTAATTTAGGTGTCATGCATTGTATAAGATAAAGTACACTCTGACTAAGCAGCTGTGGTTTCTATTTCTCCATGAGTTGCAAGCCAACTGATAACCTGGGATTATAGAACTTAAAAAGACGTTTTTCTCCCTTATTCTGGGTGCAATTTTTTAAAAAAACATTACTTTTCTAGATTTTAGTGACTTTGTATGGGTACCAAGGATTAGAGTAAATATGACAGTTGGTGTTGTCCCCACTATTCTTGCAGCACCTCCCCCCACACCCACTTCTTTCACTTACTGATAGAAGGGCCTACTCTGGCTGGTCAAACACTGGGACTAGCTCCCCTTTTAGCTAAGAGAGGTGTGGAAGCTTGATTCTTCCCCTTCTTTGTGCCACCTTTTTTCACTGCGTGTACGAGGTCCTATTTTAGCGTGCTCTTGCTTTTTGTGTCCCTTTGGTTTTTTGCTTCTCTGTAAGTCTTTTCATCTACTGTTCCCTCCTCCTCCCTGTTTTGAGATTCCGTTTCTATTGCTAGAAAGCTGTAGCTGGTTGCTGCAATCTGCATGCCAGGGGCTTCGTGTAAGAGTGGATAATGCATTCCTTTTCCATACTAGAGTTTATCTTTCATTTTATGCACACTGGCTATATTCCCTTCCTAGGACTACCGTTACGGTGATTTTCACCCCAACATTCAATTCAAGTTATATGAGATTGGTGTTAAGGTTGTCTTTCCAGTACTTGTCTATCATTGTCTTTTCCTTTATACTGTATATTTAATTTTATGTCTAAACCAGTTCCCATGTTGAAATAGAGACAGGGTCTTGCTGTGTTACCCAGGCTGGTGGTCTTGAACTTCTGGTTTCAAGTGATCTTCGATCTTGGCCTCCCAAAGTGCTGGGATTATAGGAATGGGCCACCACACCTGGCTCCAGGTTGTTCTTTTACTTCCTCCACCTCAACTCTCACTAAAACCAGCAACTGCGGATTTAACTTTGTGTGTAATTTAGGTTCAATCATAACTTTCAGTGCTTCAGGGAGTATAGTGCTATAAAATATGACAAGCAGTGGCACGATAATAGAGAATCTGTCTGGACATTTACTAACAAAAAGGTTTTAATGAGCCGCTTGTTGGAAGACAATTCTCCATGGTGTCTTGCATTTCTGCACATCTTATAAGCAGAGGCTCTGATGACCCTTTGTTCCATATTATCTTTTGAGGATGTTTGTAGAAGAGCCTTGGAAAATAGTACCTTCAGCCAGAGCAAAGAGAGACATGCTTACAGGCCATTATAAAAGACTCTTGTTCCCTACACTCCAGTTAATCTCCTGCAGTGCAATCCACCACATGTGCAGGAGGCTGGGGCGGGTGGATTACCAGGGGTCAGGAGTTCGAGACCAGGCTGACCAACATGGAGAAACTCTGTCTCTACTAAAAATACAAAAGTTAGCTGGGTGTAGTGGCGCATGCCTGTAATCCCAACTACTCAGGAGGCTGAGGCAGGAGAATCGCTTGAACCCGGGAGTAGGTGAAGGTTGCAGTGAGCTGAGATCGTGCCACTACACTCCAGCCTGGCGACAGAGCGAGACTCCGTCTCAAAAAAAAAAAGAATAGTGTTTTATACCAACATCTGTGAAATTGGCAGGCCAGTTTGTTATCTTTTATTTATTTTAATGGTCTAAGTCACAGAAGATTTTTTTTTTAAATATTAACTTTTATTCCCTATTACATATACTATTTTTTATCTTTTAAATAAGATAAAATTGCAGACCCCTCATAGTTCTTGAAACCTCCCTAACTTAGTCAGTTGCTTCAACAAGTGAACATATATGTCATCAGGTTAATTTATAAATATATTTTAAATGGTAAAAGATATACTTAACCATACTTGTAACGAGTTGATTTAATTAGGTTGTTAAATAATAAGTATTGGATGATCCATCCCCTGCCGCCAACCCCCCCGCCCTCCACCCCGTCCTTTTTCTATCATTGGTCTTTGTTTTATAAAAGGAGAGGTTTATGGGGGATAAAATATCCTCAGTTGTGTTTTTTAAAAAGTTCAGTAGTTTTTCCTCCAGGCATGGTGGTTCACGCCTGTAATCCCAGCACTTTGAGAGGCTGAGGAGGCTGATCACTTGAGCCCAGGAGTTCAAGACCAGCCTTGAACTGTATAGTGAAACCTTGTCTCTAAAAAAATTAAAAAGTTTAGTTGTGTGTTTTTCCAAAAATCATTTTGCTCTTCATAGTCTTTCATCCAGTATAATTTGGGAGTTGTGGTATCTTATTTCTGGGTAAATGACTAATAATGAAAGATAGAACATGCTAAGGGCAACTGTGCCAATTGTGTATATAATAGGAATAATGGCCGTGTGCAGTGGCTCACTGAAAAAGTTGTTTGTTTTCGTCGGGGCATGATGGTTCACACCTGTAATCCCAGCACTTTGGAAAGTCGAGGCAGGTGGATCATTTGAGGTCAGGAGTTTGAGACCAGCCTGGCCAACATGGTGAGACTCTGTCTCTACTAAAAATACAAAAAAATTTAGCTGGGTGTGGCAGCACGTGCCTGTAATCTTAGCTATTCAGGAGGCTGAGACAGGAGAATAGCTTGAGCCTGGGAGGCAGAGGTGACAGAGGTTGCAGTGAGCCGAGATCATACCACAGCACTCCAGCCTGGGTGACAGAGTGAGACTCTGTCTCAAAAAGAAAGGAATAAGATAGCTTGTTCTTCCTACTGATTAGTCCTGGACATAATTTCATACTCTAATGAAGATTGGAGACTTCTGTAGCGTAGGTAAATTTAGATAGTACTGGTTGGTCTAGATATCATTCTAACTATCCTAGGTTGGATTACAAAGAAGAAAAAGTCTTGATTGTAAATGTTTTGTCTGCTGGGGTTTTAATTAATATTTTTTCTCTTCTGTCTTCCTTGATTCAGGATTTAAGAGGGGTGCAGATCCCGGAATGCCTGAACCAACTGTTTTGAGGTACTGCTCTTAAAACTAAACATTTCAGGACAAATGTTCATACAGTAGTACTGAATCACTAAGATGTAAAAGAGTAATAGTGGCAGGCCTTGAAATGGAGCTTTATCAGTCAGTATAGTTTTGGGCTATTGGAAAACTGCAACTACTTTCTCTTCCCCCTCCTAATTTGTATTTACTGTACCATGTTATAACTACAATGAAGCATATTTTAACAGAAAAAGAATTTATTATCCTACCACTTTAAAATACGAACTGTTTTAAATTTCTCATATTCCCGTCTTATCCTCATTCAGATGAATACAACCTTTTATATCGCTCTGACAAGGGTATGCAGGATTTTGTTTTCACCTAAAATTTTAGTTGGCTGTCCCATATGTTTTCCAGTTGCGGTTTACATAGGTTTTTCAATTTTTCAGTATTTTATACAACAATACAATTAACATTTGGGCAGGGTGTGGTGGCTCACACCTGTAATCTCAGCACTTTGGAAAGCCAAGGTGGGAAGATCATGGGAGGATTGCTTGAAGCTAGGAGTTCAAGACCAGCCTGGGCAACGTAGCGAGACCCATCTCTACCAAAAAAAAAAAAGTAAATAATTAACATTTGTGTGTACATAGCTTTTATAGATTTTGATTTCCTTATAAATTGTCATGGGATTAATAAAGTATGAGCATTTGTGGCTCTTGACTGTCAGATTCCTTTCTCAGAAATGATCTTGCTGGTATGTGTAAACACTTGTGAAAACTTCACACACACAGTATACATATTCATATACATATGTATGCGTATATGTGCATACTTATGAAAATTATATATATAGGTATAATCTCAAACAGGCAGGTTTGCTCTGGAGGAACGACTGATACTTGTGGCACTATGATGACCATGACTACTGCACACTAGTGAATCGGATTTCTCCTTGATCCTGTCTCAGACATCTCTTGTGGGTTGCCCTCACAGACTGTTCACTGACTATTCTAGGGCTTTATTCATTTTCTTCGAACTTTTACTCGAAGCCATGTTTTTCTAGAGTGGGCAGAAAATATGTTATTCACTATCACCTAGAATGTGTCAGCCACTGCTTTAGGTGCTTTTTATGCAATGTGTCTAGTTGTCAACTTCAGTCCTTCAGAGCAGGTTATACAGTCAGTAGGTGGTGGAATATGTTCTATTTCCAAAGCTCACATTCTTTCCACTGGATCATGTGGCCTTCCCCAAGTAATTTTACCTCTTTCTTAACTTAGCACAATACTATCTGATATGAATTTCCTCCACCACATCTGCCTTGCTGCTCTCTTCTTTTTCAGAGGAAGGTCTTTTTTATTCTCAAAGGGTACTACAATATGTGCTTTCAAATTGTTCACTTCTGCAGTTATTCTGTTTTCCCTGATAAAGTTTTTCAACAAATGATCTTCACACACTACCTTCTTCACCTCCCTCTCTTCCTTTAACTGTTTATGGCATGACTTTTAGAAACTGTTTTCAGAGATTCCCCACTAAGTCCTTTTTTCTTAGCCCTTACTCTTTGATCTATCAATTTTCTTTTCTGTAAAATAGCGATTGAGGTAATATATCTTCTGCCTACTAGTTGAGTGGCCTTGGCCTTAGACCAGTTATTTCCTTAGAGAAACATTACCTTGGGAAACATAAGAGAGGACTACTGAGTCAAGCTGTGTGGACATTTTCCAAGTATTGGAAATTATCATCAAATACCTTCCTCCAAGAAGCCATTAACCTTTCTAAGCTGTCATCTCCCCTTTTTATCAGTTGGGGATAATAATACCTACCTAATAAGGTAGCCATGAGCATTGAATATTATATATAAAGTATTAGCAGTACTTGTCAAGTAATACGTGATCAGTAAACTATTAATAGTAATTTTTAACCTTTTCAGTGTCATCTTTTTTATCCCCATTTCCTTATGAAAACAGTGCTCTAGCTATATGATACTGCATGCTAAGTCCCAGAATAAACTATATATATTTTTATGCCTTTGTTCCTATGCTTGTGCTCCCTCAGCCTGGAATGCTTTTTCCCCTTAGTTTCCACTGGATGGAAATCTGCTTCTAGAAAAGCCCAATCTCAAATGTCGCCCCTTCTGTAAATCTCTTCCTTCTTTCCTCCTAGCTAAAACTACTCTGTTTTTTGTGTTTCCATAGTTTCTTTTTTTTTTTTTAATTTTTATAGAGGCAGGATCTCGCCCTGTTGCCTAGTCTGGTCTCAAACTCCTGGGATCAAGTGATCCTGCCTCGACCTCCCGAAGTGCTGGGATTATAGGCATGGGCCACTGCACCCAGCCCCATAGTATCCTTTTGTATCTGTCATTCTCTGCCTTGTATTATGCTTGTAACTATATTTTGTCTCATAAGCACCTAAAGTAGTTGCTCAACAAGCATTGAATTAACTAATGACCCTCATCTCTTGATGGTCTTCTGTGGGTTTTTTATATTTTATTTTAGTTTTTTTTGTAGCAAGAAGGTCTCACTGTGTTGCCCAGTCTGGTCTCGAACTTCTGGGCTCAAGCAGTCCTCCCACCTGGGCCTCCCAATGTGCTAGGATTATAAGCATGAGCCACAGCACCTGGCCGTCTTGGTGGTCCTTTGGACAGGAATTGACAAAGCATTGCATCTTGTACAAATTTTAGGCTGGACCTGCATGCTAGGAAATAACACTTTTTTGTGCCCTGGGTGATTTAGGATACAGAAGTGGGGCAAGAATGTGTCTTTCTGTTGTCCTTTTTTGGGGCTGCATTTATCCCAACAAGATTTGAACCTTCAGCGACTAGATGAAGCATCCCTGTCCTACTGCTTTTCATTTCTTCATCTTATTGTCTTCTCAGTGCTTCTCTCCTTCCTGATACTAACCCTCTTGATCTTTTCTGTCATTAAGAGCATCTTCTGGTTTCCCTCCAGAGGCATTTGTGTTTTAGGAAAGAATTGAGTGAGTGAGTGCCTGCAAAGGGTTACTCAGTTACGGAATTTCATGTACTGTGCTCCCTGCACTGGGAAGAGTGACTAGAGAGATCTGAGCTGCCTAATCTGTACTCTGAAAGGAACAGAATTATACCTGCTATGGTTTTTATTAACGTAAAATTTATTGTTTATTAATATAAAGTCTGTTGTTTCTACATATATTTATTGTTTATATAATACTTATGTAAATAATACAGTTAATTATCTACTAGTTTGTTTCCCTTGCCAGGTTGTTGGGTTGTTTGAGATTAGGACCACATTCATCTTAGTATCCTCTTTCACCCAGGATGACTCATTGTATGTGGTCAGCAAATATTGGTTGACATGAATGCCTTATTCAAAAGTACTTTAATATATAAGGGGCAGTGTCTTTGTAAAACATTTAGGCAAAATATGTGACTATCAAGGTTAAGAGAATCATTTCCATTATCTGCATAAGGCTGAGCAAGATTTCCTTTTTATATTTTTGCTGCCCATTACCATTGAAGAAGAGACCTTCATAGATCTTTTTTTGTGTGTTTTTTTCTGTCACCCAGGCTGGAGTGCAGTGGCGCAGTCATGGCTCACTGCAGCCTTGACCTCCTGAGCTCAGGTGGTCCTCCCACCTCAGCCTCCCGAGTAGCCAGGACCACAGGCACGCGTCACCACACCTGGCTAATTTTTTTTTTTTTTTTTTTTGAGTCGGAGTCTTGCTCTGTCACCCAGGCTGGAGTGCAATGGTACAATCTCGGCTCACTGCAACCTCCGCCTCCCAGGTTCAAGCGATTCTCCTGCCTCAGCCTCCTGAGTAGCTGGTATTACAGGCATGCACCACCAAGTCCGGCTAATTTTTGTATTTTTGTATTTTTTTTTTTTTTAAGAGACAGGGTTTCACCATGTTTCCCAGGCTGGTTTCGAACTCGTGGGCTCAGGCGATCCACCCACCTCAGCCTCCAAAGTACTGGGATTACAGGCATGAACTATCATGCCTGGCCAATAATTTATTTTCATATCTTAACTGTGTGCAAAAATACTTAGGGTTTAAGAGGCGATTTTAATACACATTTGAAAATTGGAAATAGATGTGTGTTTTCTTCTTAGGCACAGGGAAAATATTTTTTAAAAATAAACTTTACAAAACTGTCAGTGTCATTTAATAATGCAGTTTTATTCAACTGGGCTACATTTTTAAGCAGCAGGATTTAGAAATGAAACCATCTCTTTTCTCCTTCCTACACTCTATTGGAGTCAGCAAATGATTTGGGAGTTTGGGCTTCTTAGTGGCTGGAATGTTTGGGGTAAGAGTTAGTTGAGGTGGAAGTGGAGGCTAATTGCTCCCCAGGAACTTAATGGTTGTAAGGGCACTTAGGCCACATCGCACTCTACCCACTTAAATGATATATAACTATCTCAGAGCCTCAATTCCCACATTAAAATAGGGATCGTAGTTGGGAGTTGTGAACTTTCCTCAGTGTCTAATGCACAGAAACCATTCAATAAATGTTATTTTAGTATTACTGATACTGCATCTAGTAATGAGATAGCTTTGTTTTCTGGGTTTATCAGGCCTACCTGTTAATGGAAATCAGTAATCGTTTTCCTTTTGATTGACTTCATTTTATGTCTGCTCACATTTTTGTTTTTGTTTATGATAGGTAACTGTGCTCAAAAGAAAAGTGTATTTGAATACAGTTCTGTATATTTAATTTGTTTGTTCAGTGGGATTGATCCTTGTCTTTCACAACTGAATTTGATAGATGAGGAAACAAACATAAATGTATAAAATTTTCTAGGTCTTAGGTTATGTCTAGAAGATTTTTATTTCGGAATTTAATTTCTTTCTTCTCTTCACAAACATTTTAGCCTACTTTGGGGATAAAGGATTATTTGGTCTTCTGGATTTGGAGGCAATCAGCGGACAGCATGGAAGATGTGTGCTCTGGCTCGGATAAGAGATGGGACATCATTCAGTCACTAGTTGGATGGCACAAGGCTCTTCACAGACGCATCTGTAGCAGAGTGGAACTTGTACTAACTTATGATAGAATGTATCAGAATAAATGTTTTTAACAGTGTTATGCTTGAGTCTTTTTTGAATTGAACATGCTAGGATTATCAGGTAAAAATTAAGCCTTTTGGTACTTTCTCAAAACAGGGAATTTATGTGTGTACCTAGGTGCTATTTAAGCCTGTAAATCCCAGCACTTTGGGAGGCCAGGGCGGGTGGATCACGATATAAAAAAATTTTTCCAAGTTATTCCTGCCCATTGACCTAACATATGGATTACAGTTTCCCTTTGCAGTGAATTAATAACTCCTTCTAGGATATTCCGAGGTAGTAAGAATACAGATAGTTCTGTTTGTGACAAACCAAGCTGTTACTTCCTCCTCTGCATTAAAGTTCTGACTGCAAGAAATAAAGGTCCTGGCGGCTCTGTTGCTAGGGGGTGGGAATGGCACTGGAGAGTTGTGTGATTTATTTGTAGGTTAAATGTGAGGCTAAAGTTTCCCTCAGTTATATTAGGAAACTAGAGCTGGCTGGGCAAGAGCCCGTGGAGAGCTACATGGAATAGTAGCACTATTTTCTGGTAGAAGGAAAGGCAGCTAATTAATGGAAACTAGTTTTCAGTTCTAGACACTGGTTTCCTGGGACCTTCACCTGTATTTGAATCCTACTTTTATTATTTAGTTTTTTCCGTTCTTCTAACAAAATAGCGTTATTTACTACGTTTGGCCATTGTTACTAATACAAGAAAGTAGAACCTGAAACGGACAGTTTGGAAAGAGCCTATTGGGTTGAATATTTTAAGCATCCAGTGTTTAGGCATGATCATGACTATAATCCCTCTCAGGTGCTGGGAGCTGCCATCACCAGAAAGTTCTTATTTCTAATGTAAAACCCTCTTAGCTATTTAAGCCTATTTCCTCAAGGCTTGTTACCTTTGCCATGGAGACATAGAAGACTATTGTGGTGTCTTGTTGCATAAAGGGATTTTAAAGTGGAATTCTTGAGAGCTAACTGCAGGAAATCAGTTTTGGTAAGTACTTAACGTAACTGCTTCAGCATCTTTGTGAATCTAGGCGTGTGTAATTTTGCTGAAAACTGTATTAAAATTCCATAGAATTGCTTAAGTTTGTAGTTCCCCCCAATCCTTTTTGCCAAGTGCATTGTCAGGGAATTTTTGTTTAGTAAGTATTTTGTTTATACGTTTTTCTTCTGTTTCTCACTTGGGATTTTCAGAAATTGAGAAAGCTGTGTCAGGTATCTGTTTTGATTACATAGTAATGTGAAGGGTAAACAACTGGTTGTGGTTTTTTTATTTTTTATTTTTTTGTTTTTTGAGATGGAGTCTCGCTCTGTCACCAGGCTGGAGCACAGTGGTGTGATTTTGGCTCACTGCAACCTCCACCTCCTGGGTTCAAGTGATTCCCCTGCCTCAGTCTCCCGAGTAGCTGGGACTACAGGTGCATGCCACTACAGTTGGCCAATATTTTGTATTTTGGTAGAGATGGGGTTTCACCGTGTTGGCCAGGATGGTCTCGATCTCCTGACCTTGTGATGCGCCTGCCTCAGCCTCCCAAAGTGCTGGGATTACAGGTGTGAGGCACTGCGCCCCATCTGGTTGTGTTCTTTTAAGGATGACCTTTGTGAACCCCAAATGTCTGAGACAGGTTTCAGTCAATTTAGAAAGTTTATTTTGCCAAGGTTAAGGATGCGCCCATGACACAGCCTCAGGAAGTCCTGAGGAGGTGTGCCCAAGGTGGTCGGGGTACGTAGTTTGCTTTTATACATTTTGGGGAGATGTGAGACATAAATCAGTATGTCTAAGATGTACATTGGTTTGGTCTGGTAAGGCGGGACAACTCTAAGTGGGGGCTTCCAGGTTATAAGTAGGTAAGAGACAAAAGGTTGCTTTCTTTTGAGTCCTTGGTCAGCCTGAATACACAATTTAGTCTGGCTCAATGAGTCTGCATTTTTACATAAATAGTGCAGAGGAAGCAGTCATATGCATTTGTGTCAGGTGAGTCTCAGAGGGATGACTTTGAGTTCTGTCTGTCCTTTGTCCACAAGAAATTTCCTGTGGGCAAATTGTGAGGGAGGTATGTAGCTTCTTTTCTTTGTGGCTGTCTTATTTACAAATAAAACAGGAGGAAGTTTGGCCTGACAGTTCCCAGCTTGACTTTTCTCTTGGCTTAGTGATTTTGGGGGTCCTGAGATTTATTTTCCTTTCACACCTTGTAGCTATCTGTAAAACCTCAGAAGATTTTAAAATAAGGCATCCAGAATTAAGTAGGAAGGAACCAGCTCCCTGATCTCAGGTCTACGGAAGCTAGGAACAGAGTTTAAGCACTTCTTCAGGGCACAGCCTAAGAGCTGAGACTAGTACACAGTTTAATGTGTATGTATATATTATAAAGTTTGTGAAATGTTTAAGCTCCCACATTTTATGAGTTTTAGTTTTTAGGACAGTACAATTCAAGCATTTATTGATTTCTGTTCTGTGCTAGACACTAGAGAGTCCTTATGATTGAGATTATTCCTGACCTTGATTAGCTCATGGAAAAACACTGAGCTGGTAGGACCTGATTTAAGTCCTGGCCCTGTCAGTTCTAGAACCTTTGGTGAAGTCACTTTTGTTTTTTCCTGTTGTGGGGAGAACAAGGCCTCTGTGTTGCCCAGGCAGGTCTGAAACTCCTGGGCCCAAGCTATCCTCCTGCCTCTGCCTCCCAAAGTGCTGGGATTATAGGCGTGAGCCACCGCGCTTGGCTGAAGTCACTTAATCTTTAGGTTTCTTCCACAAGATAGGAACAATAATACCTGCCCCAGGATATTATTTTCTAAACAAGTGATTTTCATAGCTGGTCCCAGACTAGCTTCACCTGGAAACTTGTTAAAATGCACATTTTCAAGTCTTACTCCAGACCTGAATCAGAAACTGGTGATGAAGCCCAGCAATGTGGGTATGCCTGTGTGTTTCATTTCCTCAAACATTATTTTAAGCATATTTTGAGAAAATTGTAGAGTTGTATACAGTGTAAGAAATGATACAGAAAGATCCCTGTATCCTTTACAGTTTCCCCCAATGGTAATATCTTGTGTGAACCCCAATTATCGGAGACAGATCTCAGTTAATTAGGAAGTTTATTTTGCCAAAGTTAAGGACGTGCACCTGTGACACAGCCTCAGGAGGTCCTGATGGCATGTGTCCAAGGTGGTTGGGGCACAGCTTGTTTTTATACATTTTAGGGAGACACAAAACTTCAATCAATATATGTAAGATAAATAGTGGTTTGGTCCAGGAAGGTGGGACAACTCGAAGTGAGGTAGGAAGCTTCCAGGTCACAGGTAGATAAGAGACAAATGGCTGCATTGTTTTGAGTTTCTGATTAGCCTTTCCAAATGAGTCAATCAGATATATGTTAATCTCAGTGGACAGAAGCATGACTTTGAATAGAATGGAAGGCAGGTTTGTCCCAAGCAGTTCCCAGCTTGACTTTTCCCTTTAGCTTAGTGATTTTGGTGTCCCAAGATTTATTTTCCTTTCACACTTGCAAAACTGTGGTCAGCATCAGGATATTGACATTGATGAAGTCAAGAAAGAACATCTATCACCACAAGGATCCCTTGTATGGTGGGATATAGTCAACCTTTCTCCTCCTACCCTGCCCCTACCGCTAACCCCTGGCAACCAGGAAATCTGTTGACTACTTTTATAATTTTGTCATGTCAAGCAAGTTCTATAAATGGAATCAGACAGCTTTTGGGTTTGGCTTTTTTCAGTCAGCATAATTCTCTGTAGATTTATCAAAATAGTTTTTTCCTTTTTATTGCTGAGTAGTATTCCACGGGATGGATGTACAAGGATGACATCTGGGCTCCCAATTTTTAGCTGTTACAAGCAAAACTGCTGTGAGCAATTGTGTACAGGTTTTTGTATGATTAATCTGTGATTTAACAAATCACAGGTGCTTCTGATGCAAGTCAAGTTTGAGAACTTCCCCAGACTTGCAGTAGCCTTCTTGCTTTCACCTGTGCATTACAGTGTGCTCTCAATGGAACATCCAGAGTGATCCTTTTAAAAATAAGATCACATCACATCCTGATCAAAGTTTTCCAGTGATTTCCCATCTCACTGGGAATGAAATCCCAAGTACTTATTTTCTGTGACCTACAAGACCCAATGTCATCTGGCCTTCTGCACCTTTGGTCTCTTTGTTGCCTATGATTCATCACCCACATTTGCTTGTACTCTTTCTGTTTTGTTCCTATCCAGAGAAAGTCCAAGTATAGTCTCACCTTGTAGTCTGTACTACCTGTTCTCTGCTAGAACTCTCTCCTCCCAGATATCTATATGGTTGGCTTCCTCTATTCCAGTCTGCCTAAATGTCATCTTGTTAGAGGGCTTCCCTGATCCTTTAAAATAGAAGACCCTAAACCTGTGTTGCGGATGCAGAATTTTTGCTCCTTAGTTAGCTAAATCCAGGTTCTTGTGTCATGACCAGGAGAAATTAGGCACACAGACACATTGAAGGGTGAGGAGGGCTGAATTTATTGGGTGAGAAGGAAAAAAAAAAAACTCAGCAAAGTGAGAGGGGGTCCTGCTAACAGAGGGAACCCCCCGACCCACCTCGCAGATTGAATAGCAGGCCACCACAGACATTGGCTGAAGAGACCAGGCTCCTCCCCACTGCACAGGGTGAGAACTTCCCATGGCTCCACCCCGTTCCCCCAGTGTGCATGTGGGCATTATTCAGAAAGAGTCAGTTGGGAAAGGGTGGGCAAACGGGCAGTTCTCCCTGAGGGTCGAGGGTTTCATCTGGGACCAGCAGTCCAGTCCCTCAGCCTTCGAGCTGTTTTAGGCTTGAAGGTGAGGTTTGCCAGTGACTGTTGACTGTCTCCTCTATCACGCTCTTCTCTAAAGAAGTACATCTAATTGCCATTAGATAAGCATAAGGATGAGGACAAATATCAATCTTAACTGCTTCCTTCTGGCAGGGGGTGCTGTTTTGGGAAGACAGCAGTCAGAACTCCCACAGAGGCCTATCTAAGGGTCTCTGGCAAAAGGGGCCATTGTCTGAGGCTCTGGTTGTATGACCGTTTCGAGTTTGATGTCCTGAAGGCAAGAAGAGACAAACTGGGTTATTAGAAAACAGGTATCAAAACAAAACAAGGGGAGGGTAAGGACAGCTCAAAAATCCTGAGGCCTTTTATCAGTTTGCATAGGGATAGGGAAGCCAAAAGCCTGGCTGATAAAAACAACAACAATAACAAAAACTTTACCCTTTTGCTGGCATGTGAGGCTTCTGGGTTCCCTTCCCCAAGCCCAATCCTAAGCCAACCAGTTTAAGGTTTGGGAAATTAACTTTTCCCAGTTTAGAGGATGTAGCCAAGGGAAGTGTCCCATAGTGCAGAGATACGATTACGTATCTGTGAAGAAATAACAGAGGAGGAAAAAAAAAAAGGTGTTTTTTCTAAAGGAGTCCCAGGGGTTCAGGATGCATTTGAAAGGGATACAGACTGAAGATGAATGGCTACTCATTTAGAAAGGAGAGAGCGAGGCATCCCAGGTTCCCTTCTCTTCCTAGCAAATACCCACAGTACATGAGGGAAAGTGAGGTGTTCCTCTCCTCTTCCTTTCCTCCATCCTTGTATCCCTGAGTCCCAGTGACTGTGACAGTGTGTTGCCCATGGGTGCTAAAGTGGCTTCCATCCATGTTAACGGGGGCCTAGGGGCTGGGAATATTCACTCTTACCCATGTATGCCCTATCTCCTGTGCTGTCAGTAGCCTTTGAATTCCCTAGACATCATTTATGCCATGGATACTAGCATGAACTTTATCTGTGAAATGGGAAGCTTGGCTTAGTTGACAGGAATCAGTCACACTTACCTGCACTGTGTCTTTTAACTTTTGTTATTGTCTGCCTCTGGATCCCTCAGATCCAGTTTTCTTTCCTAGGACTTTGACCCGAAGCTTGGAATTGAGTTTGGGACAAAAATGTGTCTTAGGGGCATTGCATGGACTCCTTATCATAAGCTGAATACTAAGGTGAAGCTGTGGAATTGAGTGCTCCTCTAACAAGGGAGAGAAAAGGATGTATTGTGACACACCCTGATAACTGGTGGCTGTAGTTATGCTTGCTAAGATTTGGGTGCATGTGGCTTGGCTGTGGTTAGCTCCCTTGGTCTTTCCCCAAAAGGAAACCTCCGGCTGATGGGCGCTCTATTTATTCCCATCACCCCGCAGGGTCTGCAGGATAATTGCTAGTGTTAAAATATTGATCCAGATTATCCATGCCATTTTGTTCCTTCTGAGCTATAGTTGGAGATACTGGATGGTTCACAGGAATTAGCAGGGTCAGTCTAAAATGTAGGCAAAAACTTGAAAACAACGAATGAATCTAGAAGTTAATGACAAATGTATGATAAGTTTTGAAACATAATTTCTCTGTTTCCAGTCCTCATTTCTGTTAAAAACAAACCATGATAGGACTGAGTTGTTTGCAGAATAGACTTTAGTCTTATACTTGGCTTGATTGTTTGCATAAAGTACAGCAAAAATAATTATTTTTACATAGGCCTGGTAGATTGGCCTTGATGGAACTCTGATCCACAAGAAATTTCAATCTTTCTAAAACCGAGCCTAGCCATGGGTTTGTACCATCAAATACCTGTGAGTTGGGTGATCCTCTCCTCTTAAGGTCCTGAGATAAAGTTGGAGCTCTTGGGCCTGTCAGAAAGTGACATTCTTTACTTATCACAAGTCAGGAACCCTGTACAGGGACTGTGTAGACAAGGTGTGAGGCCAGTTTTCCCAAGGGGCTTTTATTGGCTCTACCAGTTGAGCTTCACTCCTTAAAGGGAAGCACACCCTTCCAGTCAAAGCCTTGGTAAGACAACCAGTTTCTACAATTGTGTCATGTTGCAAAAGAAAAGGGATTCTTATTGCACTGATGCAAATAACTATATTGCCATAAGTTAAGAATACTCACAACTAGTTTCTAAATTCTGGAGAAGCCAGGCAGAGAGAGAGAGAGAGAGAGAGAGAGAGAGAGAGAGATGCTCCAAATTTTGTTCACAGGAGTTTACCTTACTCAATTATTAAAGGCCATAAATAGTTCAAAATAAGCTTCCTTGAGTCTGAAAAACAAAATGAGAATCAGCAGTGTTCCAAGCAAAAGTAAAAAAGATTATTTCAGTTTTCTATTAGTTCAGTCCATTCCATTAACTCTTGTTTTGCTTGATATTCACGAACATGTCAGCTCTTCATGAGTCCTGTATGTTTTCCTTTATTCCAGTGTCACAATCTTCAAAGATATCAGAAACCTGCATTTGAGAGCACCTGTTAAAGTTCTATAGCTGATTACACACCATCTTCTGAAGATGATAAAAACAACAATCATCTATAAATAACAAAATGTCCAGGGTAGTTACAGTCAGAAACATGATTGACAAAGAAATTTGGTTTATTTCTGTGGTTTACAATAATTTAACCACCTTGTGATTGATAGCATATACTCAGGCATTAGAATTTTAGAAATCCCATACAATTTTGGAACGTATATTAATATTCACTAAACCTATATTAATATAGGTTATTAATATTAATTACATATTAATATTAATTATCTATTAATATTAATAACCTATATTAATATAGGTAATATAGGTTAGTGAATATTAATATATGAAGATTAAACAACATTTTGGCAATCCCATGTACCTAGACATGTCCGGTAATTCTGTTTACCTCTCTTCTGGATGTTCCAGGGGCCCTCTATAGCATCCAAAAGGCAGGTGTCAGGAAAGACAATTTTGAAATAGAAGTTTGATTTTGGGAAGCTTGTTAAATGTTAGAAGTTTAAAACACTTGATGTTATGAAATAGAATTCCAGATTACCATAACTTATTTATTTTGCCAAAATGATGACTCAGAAATGTAAAAGCAGGAAGGTCACGGTGGCTCAAGTCTGTAATCTCAGCACTTTGGGAGGCCAAGGCAGGTGGATCCCTTGAGGTCAGGAGTTCAAGACCAGCCTGGCCAACATGATGAGACCATGTCTCTACTAAAAATACAAAAATTAGCCAGGCGTGGTGGTGGGTGCCTATAATCCCAGCTACTCAGGAGGCTGAGGCGGGAGAATCGTTTGAACGCAGGAGGCAGAGGTTGCAGTGAGCCGAGATTGTGGCACTGCATTCCAGCCAGGGTGACAGAGTGAGACTTCATCTCAAAAAAAAAAAAAAGAAATTTAAAAGCAGAAACCTTTTATAACTCTTTACAAATTTTACTAAAGAGCAGATTGGTGCTCAGTACCTTGTGCTTTTATTTCAATGTTTAATTTACAGAAAAGCCATATTTGAATTTAGCCAATGTGTTCACACACAGAATTTCTTTTGCAAGATTAATTTTTACATTCCTTTTACAACTTGTTTGAACTTTTAGCTTTATTTTATCTAATTCAAAACAATCGTTTAACCTTAGGCAAGAATTTTACATTTCCACACCTTCCTATAATCTTTTATTAAAAACGTATTTTACTGTTCTTATACACCTCACATGTATTTCTCACAAATCTATTTCCAGTAGTCTTCATTATATGTTACAATGGTAACTCCTAGCATTTTTAAACTTTAATGTAAAACCTGGTAAGTTTTTTTTATTTTTGTTTTTTTTTTTTTGAGACAGAGTCTCACTCTGTTGCCCAGGCTGGAGTGCAGTGGCACGATCTTGGCTCACTGCAAGTTCTGCCTCCTGGGTTCACGCCATTCTCCTCCCTCAGCCTCCCGAGTAGCTGGGACTACAGGCACCCGCCACCACACCTGGCTAATTTTTTGTATTTTTAGTAGAGACGGGGTCTCATCATGTTAGCCAGGATGGTCTCGATCTCCTGACCTTGTGATCTGCCCGCCTCGGCCTCCCAAAGTGCTGGGATTACAGGCATGAGCCACCATGCCCAGCAAGTTGTTTTAATTATGTACTAGGTACAGCCAAGTTTTGACTTCTAGCATAATTTAGGGTGTGGTTAATTCCATATGTCCTCAGACCTTACTGGTTTTGAAGCAGGCAAGTCGAACAGTTCTCAAAAACCACAAAGCAGTTTATAGCCTTAAAGCCTTTTGCAAACCTAGTATCTGATCTGCATAATTTAGTCCACCTATTTACATTTTGATGGCATTTTACCAATAATCTTTAAGGCTGTTTTTATTTCTCAAACACTAAAGTCATGTGAACTAAAAGTTACCACAGCTTTTATCTTCCCTTTAAAAAATATTTGATCCAAGCACTTATCCTTCTTTAAGTAAATTAATTAGATCTCTTTTTAATAGACATCACACACAGCATATATATAACTACACAGACAGGCAAAGAAAACCCAGTAACCATAAGACTTTTCCTTTTGCCAACCTCCTAATTGGATTATTTGCCTCTGGGTGGAGCCCTTCAAGAGCAAGGCTAGGAAAACATGCAGTTTTTAGGGTCTAATAAACAGGTACAGCTGGAAGGCAAAAACAGATTTTGAGAGGGATCCATGGGGAAAACAGAGGTCTCTCTCTTCTTGTGTATTAAGAGTGGCAAGGCAAAATGGAAAGAAATAATTCAGTCAACTGAGATAAAACCCTAAACCCCTTTCCAGCAAAACAAGAACCAAGAAGAGACAAATATAACGGCCTTTTAAATATACCTATAACTTGGATATCCACTTTTAATTAAGCTGAGTGCTCTTTAAGAAAATCCTTTTAAATCCCTTGTTACCCAATTTTAGCTGTGCCAAGTGGCCAATATTTCTGGCTTTCAAACTTTACTAAAGGTGACCTCCCAGGTGCTCAGAGAAAGGAAAATCCAAGGTGGTTCATGGAGGGAAAGAGAATCAACAAATGATAAAAATAATGCAGATATCAAACCAGAAAAGACTCATTCCCTCAGCCAGGATTGAACCTGGGCCACCATTGTAAAACGGCAAAAGCTAAAACAAAGCATTGCCACGTGGTTACAGGTCACACTTCCAAGGATGTAAAACAAGATGGAAGCCTGCAGCAAAGTTTGCTACTGACCATACAGAAAGACATGCAAAGCACACCAGATTGGCTACAGCTTAAGACCAACCTCACAAATCCTTTTTCATAATTAAAACTTTACAGAGAATATAAACTGTTAGTTAGGGGCTTGGCCTCGTAAAATGTCTTCTAAAAAGAAAAAAATCGTCTTGCATTAAAGTTAACTCCTGACCTGGTGGAGAAAAGAAAAAAAATAGCTTAAATGCAGGGCTGTGTTAACTGCTGACAGGGTAGAGAGAAGAAAAAAGATGTATGCAGAAGAACCTCCTATTCTTATGCAAATAGGTTCCTCTAACAGGGAGACTAACTTAATTGCTGTCTGACAGCTGGACCCCTGGCCAGGGGAGGGGAAGACACTGTGGATGTGTGGTGGCAAATGCAAGCCAGTCTGCCTCCTGGCACCCTTGGGCCATGCGCCTTAGCACCAGGGGGAGGAGAAGGGGGCTGGGGAGCTGCTATTTGCCCATTCATCTCATGCATGCCTGCGGCTATTGGGGGGCGGGTGGTGTGCAGTTTCCTCTACCCTCAGAAGTCCAAGGACGAAAAGGCTTAGAAATGAAAGGGAAAAATATTTTTTTGTTCACATCTTACTCACCCTTCCTTGATCCCCAGATGTGCCACCAAACTGATGTAGAAGTTTTGCTCCTTAGTTTAGCTAAATCCAGGTTTTTGTGTCACAACCAGGAGAAATTAGGCACATGGACACATTGAAGGCTGAGGAGGGCTGGATTCATTGGCGAAAAGGAAAAAAAAAAAAAAAAAACTGAGCAAAGTGACAAGGCATCCTGCTAATGGGCCCCTACCTCCCAGGTTGAATACCAGGCCACCACACACAAAAGCTGAAAAGACCGGCCTCCTCCCCTGGCATAAGGCATGAACTTCCTATGGCTCCGCCCCATTTTCCCAGTGTGCAAGTAGGCATTATTCAGAAAGAACTAGTCAGGAAAGGGTGGGCAAACAGGGGCAGTTCTCCCTCTGGGTTGTAGGTTTCATCTGGGACCAGCAGTCCGGTCCCTCAGCCTTCAGGCTGTTTTAGGATTGAAGGTGTGGTTTTGCTGGGGACCCTTGGCTGTCTCCTGTCTCTATCATTGCCTCCCCATCCTTCTCTCCTTTAATCTCACTTTTTCTTTTTTCTTTTTTTTTTTTTTATTGATCATTCTTGGGTGTTTCTCACAGAGGGGGATTTGGCAGGGTCATAGGACAATAGTGGAGGGAAGGTCAGCAGATAAACAAGTGAACAAAGGTCTCTGGTTTTCCTAGGCAGAGGACCCTGCGGCCTTCCGCAGTGTTTGTGTCCCTGGGTACTTGAGATTAGGGAGTGGTGATGACTCTTAACGAGCATGCTGCCTTCAAGCATCTGTTTAACAAAGCACATCTTGCACTGCCCTTAATCCATTTAACCCTGAGTGGACACAGCACATGTTTCAGAGAGCACAGGGTTGGGGGTAAGGTCACAGATCAACAGGATCCCAAGGCAGAAGAATTTTTCTTAGTACAGAACAAAATGAAAAGTCTCCCATGTCTACTTCTTTCTACACAGACACGGCAACCATCCGATTTCTCAATCTTTTCCCCACCTTTGCCCCCTTTCTATTCCACAAAACCGCCATTGTCATCATGGCCCGCTCTCAATGAGCTGTTGGGTACACCTCCCAGACGGGGTGGTGGCCGGGCAGAGGGGCTCCTCACTTCCCAGTAGGGGCGGCCGGGCAGAGGCGCCCCTCACCTCCCGGACGAGGCGGCTGGCCAGGCGGGGGGCTGACCCCCACCACCTCCCTCCCAGACGGGGCGGCTGGCCGGGCGGGGGGCTGACCCCCCCACCTCCCTCCCGGACTGGGCGGCTGGCCGGGCGGGGGGCTGACCCCCCCACCTCCCTCCCGGACGGGGCTGCTGGCCGGGTGGGGAGCTGACCCCCTCACCTCCCTCCCGGACGGGGTGGCTGCCGGGCGGAGACGCTCCTCACTTCCCAGACGGGGTGGCTGCCGGGTGGAGGGGCTCCTCACTTCTCAGACGGGGCGGCTGCCGGGCGGAGGGGCTCCTCACTTCTCAGACGGGGCAGTTGCCAGGCGGAGGGTCTCCTCCCTTCTCAGACGGGGCGGCTGGGCAGAGACGCTCCTCACCTCCCAGACGGGGTCGCGGCCGGGCAGAGGCGCTCCTCACATCCCAGACGGGGCGGTGGGGCAAAGGCGCTCCCCACATCTCAGACGATGGGCGGCCGGGCAGAGACACTCCTCACTTTCCAGACTGGGCAGCCAGGCAGAGGGGCTCCTCACGTCCCAGACAATAGGCGGCCAGGCAGAGACGCTCCTCACTTCCCAGACGGGGTGGCGGCCGGGCAGAGGCTGCAATCTCGGCACTTTGGGAGGCCAAGGCAGGCGGCTGGGAGGTGGAGGTTGTAGCGAGTGGAGATCACGCCACTGCACTCCCGCCTGGGCACCATTGAGCACTGAGTGAACCAGACACCGTCTGCAATCCCGGCACCTCCGGAGGCCGAGGCTGGCGGATCACTCGCGGCTAGGAGCTGGAGACCAGCCCAGCCAACACAGCGAAACCCCGTCTCCACCAAAAAAATACGAAAACCAGTCAGGCGTGGCAGCGCGCGCCTGCAATCGTAGGCACTGGGCAGGCTGAGGCAGGAGAATCAGGCAGGGAGGTTGCAGTGAGCCGAGATGGCAGCAGTACAGTCCAGCTTCGGCTCGGCATCAGAGGGAGACCGTGGAAAGAGAGAGAGAGGGAGAGGGAGACCGTGGGGAGAGGGAGACTGTGGGGAGAGGGAGAGGGAGCTAATCTCACTTTTTCTTCAAAGAAGTTTTACCCACCTGATATATACATGTAAAGTTATAATTTAACATATGTATATGTGTATACATACATACATATATATATTTCTTGTCTCCTGCCTGTAGAATGTAAGCACCATAAATACGGACACTGTCTTTTGCTGTAATTTTAGAGCCTAGCACAGGTCCTGGCACATGGTAGGTGTTCAATGAAAATGAATGAATGGATTGCAGAATTATACGTATTAAGTATAAAATGCATTTGTGAACTGGATATTGGCATAATATGAATCATAAAGGGCCAATATTTTTCACTGTTAGTCATAATGGGTAATTGCAGTCCTGGCCAAGGACTTGACATCAAAGGATGCTGGGAGGAGGTGACATGGGAGAGAGAATGTTTACTATGACTTGGCAGTTTATTCATTTAGTCCCCACAACAACCCTGGGCATTATTGCTATTTTGCAAATGAAACAGCCATGGGTAATTTTCCCCCAAAGCACAGGAAAAACGGATTTGGACCCAGGTCCACTAACCAGATGCTTATGATCCTATTACTGGTATGTGCTACTTTTCAAAATAATTTATACAATGGATGAAGGCTGGGCGCAGTGGCTTGGGCCTGTAATCCCAGCGCTTTAGGAGGGCAAGGCGGGTGGATCACTTGAGCCCAGGAGTTTGAGACCAGCCTGGCCAACATGGTGAAACCCTGTCTCTAAAAAAAATACAAAAATTAGCCCTGTGTGGTGGCAGGTGCCTTTAATCCCAGGAGGCTGAGGCAGAAGAATTGCTTGAACCTGGCAGGCGGAGGTTGCAGTGAGCTGAGATTACCTGCACTCCAGCCTGGGTGACAGAGCAAGACTCCGGCTAAAAAAAAAAAAAAAAAAAAAAAAAAAAAAAAAAAAAAAAAAAAAAAAAAATTTATACAGTGGAAGAAATGTTGTACAGACAATTACAAAAACTAAATTTCAAGTTCCATAGAAAGGGCCCATGTACTTTACCCAATATTCAGTGCCTTATATTATACACATAGAATAGTCAAATTCATATCATAAATTTAACTTCTTTCTCTCTCTCTCTCTTTTTTTTGGAGACAGGGTCTTACTCTGTCACCCAGGCTGGAGTGTGGTGGCATGAACATGGCTCAGTTCAGCTTCGACCTCCTGGGCTCAGGAGTTCTGTCCACCTAAGCATCCTGGGTATGTTACCATGTCTAGCTAATTTATTGTATTTTTTTGTAGAGACTGAGTTTCACCATGTTGCCCAGGCTGGTCTTGAACTCCTGAACTAAGTGATCTACCCGCCTCAGCCTCCCAACATTTTGGGATTACAGGTGTGAGCCACTGTGCCTGGCCGTAAATTTAACTTCTTCGAAATTAATGTGTTAACAGTAGTAAACACTAAACATTTATTTTTCTGGTCTTTCCTTAAATAGCCTACATTTTTATTGTGTCTATTACATGCAAAACAATGAACAGATCTGTTTTTGTTTTTTGAGATGGAGTCTTGCTCTGTCGCCCAGGCGGGAATACAATGGAGTGATCTCGGCTCACTGCAACCTCTGCCTCCCAGGTTCAAGCAATTCTCCTGCCTCAGCCTCCTGAGTAGCTGGGATTACAGGTGTCCACCACCACACCCAGCTAATTTTTGTATTTTTAGTAAAGACAGGGTTTCACCATGTTGGTCAGGTTGGTCTGAAACTCCTGACCTCAGGTGATCCACCCACCTTAGCCTCCCAAAGTGCTGAGATTACAGGCATGAGCCACCGCACCCAGCCACAATGAATAGATCTTAAATGCACATGCGATTTGTTGAATGTTGCCAATTGAGTATACCCTGTAACCACCACACCACAATGGGGACCAGGATCTTCTTGAACCTGGTATCCTTAGTGTACCATACATGGTAGATACTCAATACATGTGTGATTTTGGTTTTTCTCTGCTGAACAGTCCAGGGGGATTTTTAAATTAAGTATTAAAAACTTTGATGTTGACATAGATAAACTAATATGGGAAATTTTAGCTGATGCTGTTCTTTCCTGTCAGAAGCAAAGTTATAAGGATATTAAAAGGTGAATAATAATCTTGGAGTTTTACTCAAAACTGAAAAAAACAAAGTGCGCAGCAGCACTTTCTCTTCTTTTTCCTCCTGCCTCAAGAATAGCCCAGATGAGAAAATAAAGAAAGGGACATGGAAACAGGGTGAGGAAAAACACTTTTTTTCTCAAGAAAACTTAGACTTGCACCATTAATATGGTTTGTCTGTGTCCCCACCCAAATCCCATCTTGAATTGTTAACTCCCATAATTCCCATGTGTCATGGGAGGAACTTGGTGGGAGGTGGTTGAATTATGGGGGTGGCTCTTTTATGCACTCTTCTCATGATAGTGAATGAGTCTCATGAGATCTGATGGTTTTAAAAATGGGAGTTTCTCTACACAAGTTCCCTCTCTCTCTTTCTTTCTTTCTTTTTTTTTTTTTGAGACGGAGTCTCACTCTGTTGCCTAGGCTGGAGTGCAGTGGCACCATCTTGGCTCACTGCAACCTCTGCCTCCCGAGTTCACACGATTCTCCTGCCTCAGCCTCCAAGTAGCTGGGATTATGGCATGCACCACCATGCCCAGCTAATTTTTTTGTATTTTTAGTACAGACAGGGTTTCACCATGTTGGCCAGGGTGATTTCAAACTCCTAACCACTTTGGCCTCCCAAAGTGCTGGGATTACAGGCGTGAGCCACTGCGATGGCCCACAAGCTCTTTTTGCCTGCTGCCATCTATGTAAGATGTGACTTGCTGCTCCTTGCCTTCCACCATGATTGTGAGGCTTCCCCAGCCATGTGGAACTGTAAGTCCAGTTAAACGTCTATCTTTTGTAAATTGCCCAGTCTCAGGTATGTCTTCATCAGTAGCATGAAAATGGACATATACAGTAAATTGGTACCAGTAGAGTGGGGCGCTGCTGAAAAAATACCCAAAACTGTGGAAGCGACTCTGGAACTGGGTAACAGGCAGAGGATGGAACAATTTGGAGGGTTCAGAAGAAGACAGGAAGATGTGGGAAAGTTTGGAAGTTCCTAGAGACTTGTGGAATAGCTTTGACCAAAACACTGATAATGATATGGACAATAATGTCCAGGCTGAGGTGGTCTCAGAGGGAAATGAGAAACTTGTTTGGAACTGGAGCAAAGGTGACTCTTGTTATGTTTGAGCTAAGAGACTGGTGGTATTTTGCCCCTGCCCTAGAGATTTGTGGAACTTTGAACTTGAGAGGGATGATTTAGGGTATCTGGCAGAAGAAATCTCTAAGCAGGAAAGCATCCAAGAAGTGACTTGGGTGCTGTTAAAGGTATTCAGTTTTAAAAGGGAAACAGCATAAAAGTTCAAAAAATTTGTAGCCTGACAAGGCAATAGAAAAGAAAATCCCATTTTCTGAGAAGAAATTCAACCTGGCTGCAGAAATTTGCATAAGTAATGAGGAACCAAATATTAATCACCAAGACAATGGGGAAAATATCTCCAGGGCATGTCAGAGAACTTTCTGTAGCCCCTCCCATCACAGGCCTGGAGGCCTAGGAGAAAAAAGTGGTTTCGTGGGCTGGGCCCAGCGTCCCGTGTTGTGTGGAGCCTAGGGACTTGGTGCCCTGTGTCCCATCTGCTCCAGCCATGGCTGAAAGGGGCCAACATAGAGCTCAGGCCATGGTTTCAGAGGGTGGAAGCCTCAAGCGTTGGCAGCTTTCATGTGATGTTGTGCCTGTGAGTGCACGTAAGTTAAGAATTGAGGTTTAAGGCTGGGCATGGTGGCTCACGCCTGTAATCCCAGCACTTTGGGAGGCTGAGGCAGGAGGATCACAAGGTCAGGAGATCAAGACCATCCTGGCTAACACGGTGAAACCCTGTCTCTACTAAAAAATACAAAAAAATTAGCCAAGCGTGGTGGCAGGTGCCTGTAGTCCCAGCTACTTGGGAAGCTGAGACAGGAGAATGGCGTGAACCTGGGAGGCGGAGCTTGCAGGGAGCCGAGATCGTGCCACTGCACTCCAGCCTGGGCGACAGAGCAAAGACTCCATCTCAAAAAAACAAAACAAAAAACACAAACCAAACAAACAAAAAAAGAATTGAGGTTTAAGAACCTCTGCCTAGATTTCAGAAGATCTACGGGAATGCCTGGATGCCCAGGCAGAAGTTTGTTGTAGGGATGGGTTCCTCATATGGACAGCCTCTGCTAGGGCAGTGCAGAAGGGAAATGTGGGGTGGGATCCCCCACACAGAGTCCCTACTGGGGCACCACCTAGTCGGGCTGTGAGAAGAAGGCCACCATCCTCCAGACCCCAGAATGATAGATCCACTGGCAGCTTGTACCACATGCCTGGAAAAGCCACAGATGCTCAATGCCAGTCCATGAAAGCAGCTGGGAGGGAGGCTGTATCCTGCAAAGCCACAGAGGCAGAGCTACCCGAGACCATGGGAACCTACCTCTTGCATCAGCGTGACCCGGATGTGAGACATGGAGTCAAAGGAGATCATTTTGGACCTTTAAGATTTGACTGCCCTGCTGGATTTCGGACTTGTGTGGGGCCTGTAGCCCCTTTGTTTTGACCAATGTCTCCCACTTGGAATGGGTACATTTACCCAGTGCCTGTACCTCTAAATATCTAGGAAGTAACTACCTTGCTTTTGATTTTATAGGCTCATAGGCGAAAGGGACTTGCCTTGTCTCAGATGAGACTTTGGACTGTGGACTTTTGAGTTAATGCTGAAATGAGTTAAGACTTTGGGGGACTATTGGGAAGGTGTGATTGGTTTTCAAATGTGAGGACATGAGATTTGTGATGGGCCAGGGGTGGAATGACATGGTTTGCCTGTGTCCCCACCCAAATCTCATCTTGAATTGTAACTCCCACAATTGCCATGTGTTGTGGGAGGAACCCGGTGAGAGATGATTGAATTATGGGGTCAGGTCTATCATGCATCGTTCTCATAATAGTGAATGAGTCTCATGAGATCTGATGGTTTTAAAAATGGGAGTTTCCCTATACAAGCTCTCTTTCTGCCTTCTGCCATTCATGTAAGACATGACTTGCTCCTCCTTGCCTTCCACCATGATTATGAGGCCTCCCCAGCCACATGGCACTGTAAGTCTAATTAAACCTCTTTTGTAAATTGCCCAGTCTCGGGTTTGTCTTTATCAGCTGTGTGAAAACCGACTAATACAACCACTAATAAAGAGTGAGCTATGGAAGGTCTGCAGCTCGCTGATGCTCCCTAATGCCTATTTAAGATGAGGCCACAGAAGATAGTGGACAAGAAACAACCTCAGAGGGCAAAACTAGAAGCCTCCAAAGGAGTTTCCCAGAGAGCACAACTGAAGGTCCCAGGTACTGCCTGGGAAGGAAGTCACTCTTCCTGCCCCATAAGATTTAATATTGCTGTAGACCAGTGACTATAGCAGGCTTTCCTTTCTCCCCTTTCCTGGTGGGCAGTTTCAATGTTTTAATCTTTTTTTTTTTTTTTTTTTTTTTCCTGAGACGGAGTTTCGCTCTTGTTGCCCAGGCTGGAGTGCAGTGGCGCGATCTCGGCTCACTGCAGCCTCTGCCTCCTGGGTTCAAGTGATTCTCTTGCCTCAGCCTCCTAAGTAGCTGGGATTACAGGCATGCACCACCGCACCTGGCTCATTTTGTATTTTCAGTAGAGATGGGGTTTCTCCATGTTGGTCAGGCTAGTCTCGAACTCCTGACCTCAGGTGATCCGCCTGCCTCAGCCTCCCAAAATGCTGGAATTACAGGCGTGAGCCACTGCGCCTGGCCTCAATGTTTTAATCTTGCTCCTACTCCACCTTTGTATGTTGGGTAAGTTGGGGGCAGTTAACTCATTTTTAAGTTTTTTGATTGCTGGACCATGAGATGCTGTCTGTACCAGATGGAAGGTACATATTTCCCAGAGTTCCTGAACTTTGACCTGGATGCAGTATCTGGATGAAATTTGAGAACTGTATCCCTGGGAGAGATTCATTGTGTTCTGTATATGAGAAAGCGTGTATCAATATTTGGCAATCAAAGAAGTAGGCATGGCAGAGAATGTTAATTGCCTAACAAAAATCCATTTCTGTCGCTCTCTTGCAAAGTGTCACTTTTAGCTGGCTATGTGGCAACCAAGCTACAAGATTCCCAGGCTTGCTGTTAGATATAGCTCTATGACTAATATTTGATAATTGAGATGTAAGCAGAAGTGTTGTGTGGTACTTTGGGTAAGTCTTCCTGAAAGGGAAGTATGTTTCTTGAAATGGATGTGAAATGACTGGATGATAGCTATCTTGGATCAGGAGGAGAAAGGCCAGACTCTAGGAATGGCAGAGTGATGTATGTTTGGGAGAGTAGATCTCTGAAAACTCTAGTGAGAGCCCCTTTTGTCCATACCTTTGCTGAGTCATGTGTTATCAAACTTAATGGTCTTTCCAAACTGATGAAACATGGTGTTTTATAGATTTAGTTACTATTTTGCTTTGAGTGAGATGGAGAATCTTTTCATATATTTAAGAACCATTGTGTTTCCTTTAGCGCATTTTCTGTTGGCATGTTGGCCTTTTTCATATTGATTTATGGGTCCTTTTATTTATTTACTTTTTAAATGATAGAGAAGGGATCTTGCCATGTTGCCGAGGCTGATCTTGAACTGCTGGACTCAAGCAATCCTCCCACCTCAGCCTCCCAAAGTTCTAGGATTACAGGTGTGAGCCACCACACCCAGCCTGTAGATCCTTTTGTATTTTACAGAAATTATATCTGTGATATGATTGGTAGGTATTTTTCCAGTTTGTCGTTTGACTTTGATTAGAGCAAATTTTTTTTCCAAGCTTCTCTTGGTATATTTTGTTTTAAATTTTTATTTTATTTTATTTTTGAGACAGAGTCTTGCTCTATTGCCCAGGCTAGAATGCCCAGGCTCAAGGGATCCTCTCATTTCAGCCTCCTGAGTAACTAGGATTACAGGCACATGCCACTTCACACAGCTAAATTTTTGTGTTTTTTTGTAAATTTTTGTGTTTTTTGTAGGGATGGAGTTTTCCTGTGTTGCCCAGGCTGGTCTTGAATTCCTGGGCTCAAGGCGTCCTCCCACCTCGGCCTTCCAAAGTGTTAGGATTACAGGCGTGAGCCACTGTGCCCAACCAAGTTGTTTTTTTTTGTTTGTTTTTTTTTTTTGAGACAGAGTTTCGGTCTTGTTGCCCAGGCTGGGGTGCAATGGCATGATCCTGGCTCACCACAACCTCCGCCTCCCAAGTTCAAGCAATTCTCCTGCCTCAGCCTCCCAAGTAGCTGGGATTACAGGCATGTGCCACCACGCCCAGCTAATTTTTTTGTATTTTTAGTAGAGACGGGGTTTCTCCATGTTGGTCAGGCTGGTCTCAAACTCCTGACCTCAGGTGATCCGCCTGCCTTGGCCTCCCAAAGTGCTGGGATTACAGGCATGAGCCACTGTGCCCGGCCATAGCCACGTATTATTTTACATCCCACTCTCACCTGCTTTTTCTTATTAGAAAAAATAAGTTGCCTGGGAGAAAGGAGAATAAAAAGAGGAGTGAATGAGGGGAGTATCTCCCAAATAATATATTTAAGGTGACTGTTATTTTTTCTCTCTGTGTTTCAGTTTGGATATATTCCTCTGACCTGTCTTCAAATTAATTAATCTTGTTTTCTTTTGCACTGTGAATCCAGCTGATAAATTCTTAATTTCTGATATTGTATTTTACAAATATTGAATGTCTACTTAATTCTCTTTAAAAAAGATTCTAATTCTCTGATTTTATACTTCATCTTTTCATTCTCATTGTCAATCTTTACCCCTCTTTTCTTTAACATATTAATTATAGTTATTTTGAAGTCTTTCTAGCTAACTTCAATATCTGGATCATCTCTACCTGCTTCCATCTCTTGGCTACTAGTCACTTAAAAAGTAAAAATAAAAATAAAATTTTTTTTTTTTTTTTTAGAGATAGGGTCTTGCTCTGTCATCCAGGCTGGAGTGCAGTGGCACAATCATAGCTTACTGCAGCCTTGAACTCCCAGCTCAAGTGATCTGCCTGCCTCAGCCTCCTGGGTAGCTGGGACTACAGCTGTGTGCCACCATGCCTGGCTACTTTTTTTATTTTTGTTTTTTGTAAAGGTAGGGACTTGCTTTGTTGCCCAGGCTGGTCTCAAACTCTTGTCTCTAAGCAATGCTCCCATCTCAGCCTCCCAAAGCACTGGGATTACACGTATGAGCCTCTGTGCCTGGCTGGCTATTAGTAACTTTAACCAGTTTCTTGCCTGGTAAACTTTTCATGCTAGATATTATGAATGACATTTTATAGAAACTCTGGATCATGTTAACTTCCTCCAAAGAATGTTGAATTTTGTTCTGGCTGGCAATTAAATTATTGACAGATAATTTTAATTCTGATGAAAATTGGGTTTAGGCTTTGCTATGGTGGGTTTACATCAGTTTTGACCTTACTCCTCGGGTATAATCCTTACTCCTAGAGGGTAATGTACATTTTTAGGACATGACCTTTTTTGCTTTGTGACTCATCTGGAAGTCTGGGAATTCACCAATATTTCTTTACCCTGGCTGGATTAGAATGCCACCACATTCCCAGCACTGTGTGGCCTCTGAGATTTCCGTTTAGCTCTCCAGCCTCCCAGCAGTTATTCTCTGATAGACCCTGGGTGTCTTACCCTACAGTCAGGTCATATGGCCTGGGCTCAAGGACCTGAGAAGAATGTTTATAAACTTTCAGGGTTCAATCTCTGAAGTCCTCTTCTGTGTGATTCCCTGCTCTGCAGCACCTGGCTTCCAAATCCCAGCCACTGTGGCAGGCACAAATTCTAGTTTCTCTTTCCTCTGCCCTATACAAATGCAACTTTCCACTTGGACTCAACTTCCCAAGCAGTGGGGGACATGAAGCTCACTTCGTTTGGTTTCTTTCAAACATCATAACTGTTTTAACTGGTGTCCAATCCCTGAAAATTGTTTTATCTATTTTGGCCAGTTTATGGTAGGAAAGCTAAGTCTAAGACTTACTCTGTCATGGCTGGAATTGGAAGTTAGAGACAACTTTCTTTTTTCTTTTTTTTTTTTTTTTTGAGACAGAGTCTCGCTCTGTTGTCCAGGCTGGAGTGCAGTGGTGCGATCTCGGCTCATTGCAACCTCCGCTTTCTGGGTTCAAGCAATTCTCCTGCCTCAGCCTCCTGAGTAGCCGGGATTACAGACGCGTGCCATCACGCCCGGCTAATTTTTGTATTTTTAGTACAGACAGGGTTTCACCATGTTTGTCGGGCTGGTCTCCAACTCCTGACCTCGTGATCCACCCACCTCGGCCTCCCAAAGTGTTGGGATTACAGGCATGAGCCACCGCCCCCGGCCTATTTTTTCAATTGACACAGTTGTCAATGAGAGATGGAGTTGACGTATATGCTTGGCTTGATCTTATTTTTCTTTCGATTTCTTTTTTGGTTATACTTCCTTTTAAGTAAACAGAGGCTCTAATTAAAAGTGTTGATGTGGATGAGTAGATTATGAGAATTTTTAAATGCTTTGAAAAGAACTCCTGTGAGTTATTTTTCATTGAAAAGATCTCTGTAGAGCTGTTAGTTTAATTTCTGTTTTTTAAAGTATAAGATTCCTCTCTGAAAGCCTGTAGCTGTAGGAAACTCAGCCTATGTCAATGCTTTTTCGGTTTTTTTTTTTAAAGCTCAGTTGGAAGAAAATGTGTGACTGTCATTTTGCTTTCTGATTATATCAGAGAATGCATAGATCTAAAAATGATGGCAAACAAGATAGGCCTAATCTCAAATAAAACAACATTTTGA
This sequence comes from Homo sapiens, assembly GCF_000001405.40. Classification (NCBI taxonomy): domain Eukaryota; kingdom Metazoa; phylum Chordata; class Mammalia; order Primates; family Hominidae; genus Homo; species Homo sapiens. The sequence goes on along the minus strand of NC_000007.14, from coordinate 22,790,368 downwards.
AATACAACATATTAGGACATATGGGGGTGAACCTAAAAGTCTTTTTAATGTTCTGCATGCTACAACTACTTAAGTTTTGGATGGATGCAGTGGCTCACGCTTGTAATCCCAGTGCTTTAGGAGGCCGAGGTGGGCAGATCACTTGAGGTCAGGAGTTCAAGACCAGCCTGGCCAACATGACGAAACTCCATCTCCACTAAAAATACAAAAATTAGCTGGGTGTGGCAGTGAGCACCTGTAGTCTGAGCTACTTGGGAGGCTGAGGCACAAGAACTGTTTGAACCCAGGAGGCAGAGGTTGCAGTGAGCCGAGATCGCGCCATTGCACTCCAGCCTGGGCAACAGAGCAAGACTCTGTCTCAAAAAAGAAAAAAGACTACTTAAGTTTTAAATTCTTAAATAATAATAGAGATAGGAGGCAGAGAAATTCTGGGCAGACAGGATCGGGTCCCCGGTGAAACCCCACCTTCACCCTCAAAAACAAACAAACAAACAAACAAACAAACAAAAAAACAGCCTGAAACCGGCAGCCCAAAGTGAGAACTTCTATTGCTGTTTGCCTGTTCTCTCCTGATTGGTTCTTTCTGAATAATGCCTTTTTTTTCTTTACCAACTGAATGTTGCCTTTTTCAAAACTACCTATGGCCCAACCTGCCCCCATCATGTGCCTATAAAGACCCCAGACTTGGTAGAGGGGAAATGGCCTGACTTCAGAGAAGAGACAACCTGACTTCGGGGAAGACGACCTTCCCTTCCCGTCCCCTTTCCAACTCTCCTCTTCGCTGAGAGCCGTTTTCATGGCTCAATAAAATTCTCTGCCTTCAGCATCCTGCAATCATCTGTGTGACCTCATTTTTTTTTTTTTTTTTTTTTTTTTTGAGATGGAGCCTTGCTCTCTGCCCAGGCTGGAGTGCAGCGGCGCAATCTTAGCTCACTGCAACCTCTGCCTCCTGGGTTCAAGTGATTCTCCTGCCTCAGACTCCCGAGTAGCTGAGATTACAGGTGCCCGCCACCACACCTGGCTAATTTTTGTATTTTTAGTAGAGATGGGTTTCACCATGTTGGTCAGGCTGGTCTGGAACTCCTGTCCTTGTGATCTGCCTACCTCGGCCTCCCAAAGTGCTGGGATTACAGGTGTGAGCCACCGTACCTGGCCCAAACCAATGTATTTCTTAAATATATTTGATTGCTGTTTTGTACCTCCCTAAAATATATAAAACCAAGCTGTACCCAGACCGCCTTAGGCACATGTTCTCAGGACCTACTGAGGGCTGCGTCACGGGCTATGGTCACTCATATTTGGCTCAGAATAAATCTCTTACAATATTTTACAGAGTTTGACTCTTTTTGTCAGCACTGCTATAACAAAATACTACAGACTGGGTGGCTTAAATGAGAAATGTATTTTCTCACAGTTCTGGAGGCTAGAAGTCTAAGATCAAACCTGTCCAACCAGACCTGTTGACAGTTTTAGTTTCTCTTGAAGTGTCTTTCCTTGGCTTGTAGGTGGCCATCTTCTCACTGTGTCCTTACCTGGCCTCTCCACTGGCACGTGCATCCTTGGTATGCTTTTGTTTTTTTTTTTTTTTTTTTTTTTTGAGACAGGGTCTTGCTCTGTTACCTAGGCTGGAGTGCGGTGGCGTGATCCTGGCTCACTGCAGCCTCAATCTCCCAGGCTCAAGCTATCATCCCACCTCCGCCTCCCAAAGTGGGATTACAGGTATGAGCCACTGCACCCAGCCCCTTCCCCTTCTTATAAGGACACCAGTCATATTGGAGTTAAGCACACCTATATACCTTCATTAGCCGTATTACCCTTTTTAAGACCTTATCTTCAAATACAGTCACATTCTAAGGTACTAGGGGTTAGAACTTCAACATTTAAGTTTTAGGATGATTCTGTTCAGTTTGTAACAATGATCTTGTGTAATCCCCTCCCCTTGAGTGTGGGATGGATCTAGTCACTTGCTTTTAATGAATCAAATATGGCAAAAGTGATGCTATGCCACTTTTGATATTAGGTTACAAAAGACTGTGACTTCTGTCTGATTCAGTCTCTCTCCCTGGCTCTTTTTGCTTGTTCTGATGCCAGCAAGCTGCCATGTTGTGAATTGTCCTAAGGAGAGAGCCACATAGCAAGGAACAGAGGGTGTCCTTCAGCCAACTGCCAGCAAGGAACTGAGGCCCTCATTCTGACAGTCTACTAGGAATCCTGCCAACAGCCATGTGCATGAGCTTGGCAACAGAGTCTTCTGCAGTTCAACCTTAAGATGACTGTAGCCTTGGCTGACACCTTGATTGCAGTCTGGTGAGAGGCTTTGAGCCAGAGGATCTAGCTAAACTGCACTGGCATTTCTGACCCACAGAAACCATGAGATAATAAGTGTTGTTGTTTTAAGCCACTGAGTTTTGGGGTAATTTGTTACAAAGCAATAGATAGCTATTATTATTGTTTATTGTTATTATTTATATTATTTTATTTTATTGTTATTTATTGTTGAGAACAAATAATAGTTACCACCCATGACTAAAGTTGGTCCTTTGTATCCATGGGTTCCACATCCATGGATTCAACCAACCATGCCTTGAAAACTACAACAAAAACTACCCCCAATAATAAAAAAAATACAACAATGAAAAATAATACAAAATTTTCTAGGCTCTCAGGCCTCCCTGGTAAAATAAAATAAAAAAAACCCAACAAATTAAAAAATACAGTATAACAAATATTACATAGCATTTACATTGTATTTGGTATTATAAGTAATCTAGAGATGATTTCAAGTACGTGGGAGGATAGTACATAGGTTATGTGTAAATATTTTATATAAGGGACTTGAGTGTCCATGGATTTTGCCACCTGAGGGGGTCCTAGGACTAATCCCCCATGGATACTGAGGAATGACTGTATTTATGTATATACAACGCTATATTTTTCCATATATTATTTCCTTAATCTTCACAACAATCTTTTAAAATCCTGTTTATAGACAAGGAAACAAGTCTAAAAGGTATTAGATGTTATGCCCTAGTTCATACATCTAAAAATGATAGATCAGGGATTTGAACCCATAGGCTGACTCCAGACCTGGCACCAGGAGAGTCTACATAATTTATGGGGCCCTGTGAAAAACAAAAATATGGGGCTCCTTGTTTGAACATTGTTCAAGATGGTGACAGCAGAGCATTAAACCGTGGTTAGGGTTATTTTGAGTACAGGGCTCTCTGTGCCTGCGCAAGTTGCTTTCCCACTGAACTTGCCCTGCCAGCACTCTTGCTTGCTACGCAATATTGCCTCCCATCTATAAATAGGAAAATATTTCAGATGAGGGTCCTAAAGCCAGTTGGAAAAAATGACAGGATCAGGTGTCCTCATTCTAAACCTACAATTTATTTCTCTGCATCACACTGCCACTCTAGGGCAGTAAACTCACACTCTACCTAACACCTTACCTGGGCTTGAACCTCCTGCAAGATCTTCACACTGATGGACTATTCAGCCACGTTGCTAGGAACACTGATGCCCTTCCTGCTTGAATGGCCATATTCTAGCACATGTTCTACTGAGGGCATATTGCCTGCATAGGGAAGGGGCACACAGCACCAGGGAGCACTGCACCCAATTCCAGTACCATCTGGTGAGCTCTTTGCTATCTAGGCAACTATTTCCTTGATGGCTTCCTGTCAGTAAAGGCAGGCAGGATGGCAGATGGCAGTAAAGAGTTAACGCAGCAGGCCTGGGTTGTCCAAACACCACACATTCCAAATGTCTTTAGGACCGGACTTTGACCACCTGCTGATAAGCTCCAAGCCCTTGTAAAATCCCACCATGAGAGTTTATTTGTATACCTGAGGCCATGGGCCCTTCTGGATATTATATATTAACAATGTAATTTAAGATGAACACCTGTTTTTGTTGTTTTTTTGCCTGAGGGCCTAGGCCACTGCCTTACCAATTTGACCTCTGAGGGCAACTAGAGACTTACATTGTTAAGGTTAGTCATGTGGTTACTCCATAAAAGCCCTGGATACCAACCTTTGGGTGAGCTTTTCTAGTAGGCAACACTTCACATCTATTGTCACACATCATTGCTGGGAGAATTTAGCACTGTCTGTGCAACTCCATTGGGAGAGGACAACTGGAATCTTATACCTGGCCTATGCCCTTTGTTAATAATGACTGAGATTTTTTTTCAGGATTAATGAAAACATCAAACCTCAGATTTAGGGAATTCCCTTGCTGATTTTAAACTCTATCCTTGCCATGTGGACCTCTCCATAGGATAATTCACAGCATGGCAGCTTGCTTGCATCAGAACAAGCCAGCAAAAAGAACCAGAGAGAAAGAGAGGGAGATATTTAGCAAGACAGAAGTCAGTTACAGTCTTTTGTAACCTAATATCAAAAGTGGTATATCACTTTTGCCATATTTGATTCATTAGAAGCAAGTGACTAGATCCATCCCACACTCAAGAGGGAATTACACAAGGTCATTTTGTTGTGAAGATGAGAACAATGACTTCCAAGCTCTTTAAATGTTGGACTGGGAACTGGAAGTCCCCATTACACTACTAAATTAATACACATTCGCTTCTTTGTCTTGTTAAAGAAATATGGATTGTGAGTGGAGTCTTCCAGCTTTCAACAATGGGAGAAATATTTGTTATGATGAGCAAAACAAAATACAAGAATGCAACATATTTGTAGTCTAATTTTTTTTTAGCCCTGAATTCAGAGCTTCAAATATAATGTAATCTTAACATGTTTCTTTTCTTTTTCTTTTTTTTTTTGAGACGGAGTCTCACTCTGTCGCCCAGGCTGGAGTGCAGTGGCGCGATCTCGGCTCACTGCAACCTTCGCCTCCGGTTCAAGGGATTCTCCTGCCTCAGCCTCCCGAGTAGCTGGGACTACAGGCGCCTGCCACCGCGCTGGGCTAATTTTTTTTGTATTTTTAGTAGAGACTGGGTTTCACCGTGTTAGCCAGGATGGTCTCGATCTCCTGACCTCGTGATCTGACCTCGTGATCCGCCCGCCTCGGCCTTCCAAAGTGCTGGGATTATGGGTGTGAGCCACCGCGCCCGGCCAACATGTTTCTTTAAAAAGCACAGAAATAAAACTAGAAGGAAGTATTCCCAAAGATTAACAATGAGTAAATATTGATCTTAATCATAGTATATTGGAGGATATTAGCTCTTCTTTCTTTTTTTAATTTTTTTACAACCTTAGCATACACCAGAGGATGCTCTTATTTTTGGTTTTATTTTCTACATTGAGCATATATGTCTTAAAACTTCCAAAAAATGGAAAAATATGTTTTCCCCTGAAGTTGTCATGGAATAAGGAACAAGGTTTCTTAATTTGGGAGCATATGCTTACTGAAATGGCTAATTTTATTTATTTGTTTTTAGAGACAGGGTCTCACTCTGTCACCCAGGCTGGAGTGCAGTTCTGTAATCATAGCTCACAGGGCCCTTGAACTTCTGGCCTCCAGCGATCCTCTGGCCTCAGCCTCCAGAGTAGCTGGGACTATGGGTACATGCCACCACACCCAGCTATTTGTTTTTATTTATTTATTTATTTATTTATTTTTTATTTATTTATTTAGTAGACATGGAATCTTGCTATGTTGCCAAGGCTGGTCTTGGACATCTGGTCTCAAGTGATCCTCCTGCCTTGGCCTCCCAAAGTGTTGGAATTACAGGCATGAGCCACTGTGCCCAGTCTGGCTTATTTTAATATGTGGTAATTACTGCTGACATGTTAGGAAGTATGCTGAAGAAACATGAGCCTCGTCCTTGTTGCTATAAATTGACCATTCCCTATTGTGTTTGTCTTTGTTATCTCTAACCAGTAGAGTGAATAGTGTGATGATGTGAAAAGGTTTGATCTGTACTGGCTGTTTCCCAGTCTCCCTGGAAATACCAGCAAGATAAATTCCCCATTGTGCTGGATGATTGTGAGTGAGCTACAAGCAGAACTTGATATGCTGAAACATAACACAATTTGTAAGACATTACTGAACTTCTTAGGCAAAAGCAGATATCAAAGTATATGTTGATTAAATGCATATTGCTGAGATTTTCTTCCCCTGAAATTCACCTACCCAGATGATAAGTAATTGCACCACATCTCCTACTTTCCCTGTTAATTCTAGAAGTCTGTAAGAGACGTGCTTTGTGTTACTTCATCTTACTGCTTCTATCCTTTTGTAAATTACCAAAGATCACTATTAATTTGAGCTCATGACATCTTTCTGATATTTTCCTTTGGTACATGTGGAACTGAGTGATAAATGTGGTTCTTTGTCATGAGCACTATGGTCGTAATACCTTCCATTTATATTTGTCCCTTCCTTTGATCTCTTCTTTCCCCTGTGCATCCTGAATCACTTCAGGCCCCCATCTCTCTTTGGCAATCATGATTCCTTCCTGTATTTGCCCCTGTTCTCCCCATCTCATGCCAGCCTTCACATTGTCTTTGGTAAACTTCCTCAGACATGCTGTTCACAAAGCTTAGATGGCTCTGCACTGCCTGGCTGTCATGTTCAATCTCACAGAACGCTATGGTGTCCCAACCTGTCCTCATAACCCCATTCTCCACTGTGGCACCTCATCGCAGGGTGCGGTCAAGCTGGAGTTCTTCATATCCCCAGAACCATCATTCCTCTGCATCGTGGCCCTCACTCTTTCTTGGGTCTGGGAGGCCCTCTCCTCATCTCTGCTGACAGCAATCTTACTTGTCTTTATGACCTGCTGCAGCATGAGACACTCATGAGGTCATCTGTGATTCTTGCTCGACCCTCTGCCTCAGGCAAATCAAATTTTCTTTTCTTTTCATTCCTATTATTATTTTTCTTTATTACTAATATGGCAGTCAATCTCCTATTTGAAGTACAGTTATTCTCATGCATGCTTATTTCATCCACAAATTTCCAAATCTCCACAAAGATCAAAACTACCATTGTCATCTGTGTCTCTTCAAAGTGCCAGACAGGTGTTGTTGTCATTGATGAATTAGCATAGCACTTAATGATTTACAGAGTGCTTTGACAAACATCTGTTCTCTCATCTGCCCCAGCCAAGTCTCACAGGTAGGCTGAGCAGGTATTATTGGAATTACATAGATGAAGCCACTGGGGTGCCAAGAGATTGTGTGCCAAGAGCTTAGTTGCCAATCGGTGTGGACAATAACAATTGGATGCCTGCAATTTATCTCATTTAATCTTCATATCAACCATATGGGGAGGGTAGTGTCACCTGTGCTTTACAGGTGGGGAAACTAAGGCCCAGGGACACTTGGAACAACTTTCCTAATACCCTAACTAGATTGTGACAGAATGGGGGCTCACAGCCAGTCTGCCTAACAAGTAGCACCTACCTTTTTCCACTGAGGGGTACTCCATTTCTCTAATTTGGCATTGAAGATAATTAAATATGAGATTAGCAAGTGTGGCTTCTCTTTAACGTTTAGTCTACACCTCTTGGGGCAAACATGGGTGTCTGATCATTTGGGGACTGTGGACTTTGGAAGCATCGCCCCAGGACCTCGGTGTCCAGCAGGGGGAGTGGGAGAGCAGCATCTATCTGGTAAGAGGTATGAGCTCCTGTCCTGGTGCTGGTGGCTTTGCTGTCTTAATATCTCACTTGGCTTCTGGCTGGTAGTTCAACATCAGTGGTTTGCTATTGTTTTCCCTTTGCTACGAGGAAGGCCTCTGCCATTACTGTTGACCTGTCTTAGATGGCGCGAGAATTGATGTCACAGAGAAACGCTGTCTTTGATTCCCTGTGCTTCATAGGGCAAATAGAATGAGAAGCCACATGGGTTAAGAAGCCCACCTGAGAAAACATGGTAGGACTATAGTATGTGTTGTCTTGTCTTTTCTGGAACAAGGGCAAGCACAAATAAAAATAGAACATGGGAGATGGTATAAACTAGTGGGGAGACTGGGCCCCTGACAGGCAGAGTGTAGAAGGCAGATGGTGGAGGTGGGCCAGGGGAGGGGCACAGAAGGCTCAGGAGGCAAGTGGTGAGGCCACAAGGGTCCAGGCGGGTAGCGATGGGCTGAGCGTGGTACTGCATGCCTTGGCAGCTGGTGGGTTATGTTTGGCCTGCAGAGATAACATTGAAGTAGAGATGGCAGGGATACAGTTGCGGTTGAAAGCTAAGTAAGGATGCAACAATGTACAAAGCTCCGAACTGTGGCTGGAATTGGGCTTTGAGGCAGGGAGCTGGAAGTCTGGAAAGATGAACTGGGGCCTGGCATTGAGCTTGTCAGCATGGGGTTAGGGGAATGCTTATGGCATGGAGGAGGGGATGTACTCATAACCCTGAGAAGGCAGGCTGATGCTGGCAAGCAGGTAGTGGTGAACGCCTAAGGAGGATGGCACCAGAGAGGACCATGGCTTGGCAGAACTTGCTGCAGGAGTCCTGCACCTCTCTTTTCAAGGTGCCCATCTGTAGTGCTTTCTGAATCCAGCTCCCCACATTGTTTGTCCTCTGGTGGGCCTGCAACCAGTTCTGTTCTAGAATTACTTGCTTAGTGAAATGTTGGTAGATGACACATTGCACTTTGATGGTAGGAGTGGGGGCGATAAATTTTGGAATTAAAAATTCTTCCAGAGCCAAGCAAATACAGCTTTTTTGGCCAGTGCCTGGATGGAAGGAACAGACACAAGTGCACAGCAGTGTCACGTACATTACCTCACAGAGGAGGTATTTTGAGATAGGAGCCATGCTTTACGCCCCCTCAAGTATGCCTTGCTAAACATCCTGATTACTCAGAAGATGGTCATCTGAAGCCGAGGGGTCTAAGATTCCTGGTGGCCACCTTGACTTGCCTCCCAGCAAAATCTGCTTTCTTTTTAATTTCCCGGTCTTCAGCACAAATGCATTCTTCTCTTGATTTGTGACAGGCTGAGGAGAAATTATTAGGTTCCTCTTCCTTCTGTTGTTGACTGAGATTCAGATGCGCATAGGTTTGAGCTTCTCTGATGACCCAGGGAATAGTTCCAATTATTTAGTGGAAATGAAGCAACTGTTTCAACATGAGACCCACAGAACTTAAGAAGACATAGTGCCAAGAATTCATTTCCAAGTAGTTAGGGAAACCATTAAGCATTTTTGGTTACTGATGCCAAATTAAGAAACTCACTTAAGCTAAGGCTCATTGTTGGCTTATCAAAATCATAGTTTTGAAAACTCAAAGCATTGAAAAAATGTTCTTTATTAAAACCAAGGAGAAGAAATATGTCTAAATGAATTTTTTTGATGCAAAATCATGATGTGTGTTTAAAAATAACATCCTCCCCCCAATTTTAAAAGTGGTGAATGCTCATGGTAGAAAAAATTGGGAAATATGAAACTAAAAAATTAATTAAGAACATAGCATCTGTAATCTTCTACTTAGAAATGTCCTCTCAAGATTTTAGTGGATTCATTCTGGGCTTTAGTTTTCAGTGTGTGAACTGGCTTTTGTTTTTTTTCTCCCAATAATGCTATGTAGTGAACATTTTCCAGTGTCATTCAGAATAATTACAAACCTTTTAAATGGCTGCATAATCACTGTGTGAATGTGCCATTATTTAATTTTTCTATTTTAGAAATATTCATCTTGAAATAATTTGTCTTACCCAAAGTTGCAAAAACAGCACAAAGATTTTTAGTATACTTTTCAGCCAGCTTTTGCAAATGTTAACATCTTGCATAATCATGTACAATGATCAAAACCAGAAAATTAACTGTGATACAATATTTTAATCTTCAGACCTCACCCACATTTCATGAATTGTTCCACTAATATCGAGGACCATGTCATGCATTCAGTTGTAGTGTTTCCTTAGTTTTCCCCATTTGGGGATAGTTCCTTCATTTTTATTTGTCTTTTATTACCTCAATTTATTTTGTAGAATGTTCTTCAATTTGAGTTTGCTTGACATTTTCTCATGATTAAATTCAGGTTATGCATTTTTGGTAAGGATACCACAGGGATGACGTGCCCTTCTCTGAATCTCAGTGCATCAGTTCAGAAGGTGATGTACCATAATTTATTAAGCCATTTTTCTGGACTTAAACATTTAGGTAGTTTCTGATTTTTACATGTAATTCTGCATCTTTATATCTGATTCTTTTCTTTCTTTCTTTCTTTCTTTTTTTTTTTGATACAGAGTCTTGCTCTGTCACCCAGGCTGGAGTGTGGTGGTGCAATCTCAGCCCACTGCAACCTCCGCCTCCTGGATTCAAGTGATTCTTGTGCCTCATCCTCCTGAATAACAGGGATTACAAATGCACATCACCACACCCGGCTAATTTTTATATTTTTAGTAGAGATGGGTTTTGCCATATTCCTCAGGCTGGTCTTGAACTCCTGACCTCAAGTGATCCGACTGCCTTGGCCTCCCAAAGTGCTGGGATTACAGGAGTGAGTCACCACACCTGGCCTATATCTGATTATTTTCTAACAAGTGATTCTTAAAAATGGAACGACTCAAAGAATGTAACTTTTTTTTTTTTTTAAGAGACAAGATCTGGCTCTGTCACCCAGACAGGAGTGCATGTAACCTAAACCTCCTGGGCTCAAGCAATCCTCCTGCCTCAGCCATCTGAGTAGCTGAGATTATAGGTACAAGCCACTGCATCTGGTGTAAACATTTTTAAGGCTTTCACCAGCATATTTCAAAATTTTTTTCCTGAAAAGTTTTATCCATTTACTCTTATGAATAGAATGCCTCTCTCTCTGACCTTGCCATCACTGAATGTTATTAGCAACAAAATAAAAACTCTGTTAATTTGATTACTATGGAGGCCAATCAGCTCTACATGTATTTCTTGACCATTTAATTACTCTCACACTCTTTTGCACAGTGCTAAGTGCTTTGAATATACTGTCTCATTGAATCCTTCTAACCACTCCCTGAGGATAATACAATTATTATTTATATTTCACAGATTAGAAAAACCTGGGGGGGGGTCAGAATATTTAAATAATGTTTAATTTTAATGTTTACATTCAGATAGCTATTAACTGATGGAGACAGAATTAGAACTCAGAACTTCTGATTTAAAAGCATACGCACATAACATTTATGCTCTCATCTCTTTTTGTGTTACAAAGTATTTTCTTTAACAGTGACAGCTTTTATGTTTAATACTTCCAACATCTTCAAAATGGTAACAGAAAAACCTGTGCTGAGTGGTTCAATTCTTAAAACGTGAAAAGCTTTCAGAAAATGAGAACTCAGAAGGGTTTATTCTTTTCATTAAAAACCTGTCAGTTGCTGAATTTCTTAAAATTGATACTGAGCTCTTTAAAAATAGTTGCAGTAAAATTGCTCCTTTAAAACTTTTGGTGTGTGTAAAACTCTGTTTTAAAAGTGCAAAAATCTTCTAATCTTGCCTCCTTCTGTTTTAGGAATGATATCCTCATGAAAGCAAAGAAAATAAATAGCTTAGTTTTTTTTTTTTTTAATTTAAAAGAGACAATAGTAACTCCAGACATTGGTTTCCCTCTTTCATTTTCAAAATGCTCATACTTGAATTACCTACCCTGTGAATAAGGGAGGGCAAGTTTTTCTATCTCCTTATAGAAACAGAAGCTGAGAAAGGTTCAGTGATCTCTCTAGTCATACAGCTAGTTTGTAGCAGATTTGGTACCAAAATATAGGCTATGTATATATCAGCTCTTTCCACCATATAAAAATAACTTAGGAATGAGGTGTGAAACACTGAAATTCTAAATACTCCTCAAACTTTTATGTCTTTTCTGAGTAAGAAAACAATATCCATTCTGGATATCTTAATTTTGGTATCTCACAAATTATCTTAAGAAAGAGGGCCGGGTGCAGTGGCTCACGCCTGTAATCCCAGCACTTTGGGAGGCCAAGGCAGGCAGATCACAAGGTCAGGAGATCGAGACCATCCTGGCTAACAGTGAAACCCCATCTCTACTAAAAATACAAAAAATTAGCCAGGTGTGGTGGCGGGTGCCTGTAGTCCCAGCTACTCAGGAGGCTGAGGCAGGAGAATGGTGTGAACCTGGGAGGCGGAGCTTGCAGTGAGCCATGATTGAGCCACTGCACTCCAGCCTGGAGACAATACAGCGAGACTCTGTCTCAAAAAAAAAAAAAAAAAAAAAAAGAAGAAGAAACAGCATGTCAAAAATGAAACTTATTTTCTCCCTAAATCTATTTTCTCAAAATGTCAGTGAATGCCTCCACCATCTTTCCATGTGCTTAAGCCAGAAACTTGGGAGTCATCCTTAGCTCCTTTTCTCTTTCATTCAATCCTCAAGCTCTGTGGTTTTATCTCCTGAGAACACTCTTATTCCCTTCCTTAGTTTAGACTATTACAGTATGGAGTTGACCCTTCAACAAAGTGAGGGCTAGGAGTGCCATCCCCCCACACAGTCTAAAAACCCTCATACAACTTTTTACTTCCCCCAAACTTAACTACTTATAGTCTACTATTAATCAGAAGCCTTACTAATAACATAAACAGTAGATTAACACATCTTTTGTATGTTATATATATATTATATACTGTATTCTTACAATAAAGTAAGCTAGAGAAGAGATTAATATTATTAAGAAAATCATAAGGAAGAGAAGATATACTTACTATTTATTAAGTGGAAGTGGATCACCCTAAAGGCCTTCATCCTCATTGTCTTCATGCTGAGTAGGCTGAGGAGGAAATGGAGGGGTTGGTCTTGCTGTCTTGGGGGTGGCAGAGGTGGAAGAGGTAGAGGGAGCAGGAGAGGCAGGCACCCTCGGGGTGACTTTATGGAAATACATCATAATTTCTGTTAGACTTTTGTGCTTTTACATTTATTTTAAAATGTTTCTATATGGTACCGATCCTTCTTCCACTGTTTGCTTCTGTTTTAGTGCCTGTAACATAGCAGAGTCCATGTCTTAAAAGTAGTCCAAAGCAGTCTTGAATAATCAGAACCCTTCTGCCAGATTGTCTAATGTCAGTTTGTTTCCTGGCACTGCTTCTACATCTTCCTCATCCTCTGGCACTGGTTCAGAAGCACTCGTCTCCATCAAACCATCTTCTGTTAATTTCTCTAGTGTGGTGTCTATTTGCTCTTAAATATTTCCATGATTGCTATCTTGAAGCTCTTCATCACCCACCCCCTCCACCCCACTGTTTTTGCCATATCCAGTTTCTTTCATGATTTCCTTGATTGGCTCTGTTGTTAATCCTGTGACGTCATGTACAACCTCTGGACGGTTTTCTCCAGCAGGAGTGTATTGTTTTGGGCTTGATGGCTTTCATGACTTTTTCTATAACAATGATGGCATCTTCAATGGTGTAGTCCTTCCAGGCTTTCATAATGTTCTATCAGGTTCGCTTTCATAATGTTGACAATTCTTTCTAGAGATTGCACTATGTAATGAGCTTGAAGGTCTTTATGACCCCCTGATCTAGTGGCTGAATTAGAGACCTTGTGTTTGGGGGCAAGTAGACCATCTCAAGGCCTTTAATGTTGAACTTTTGGGGTTCTGGGTGGCCAGGGGCATTGTCCAATATCAAAAGAACTTTAAAAGGCAACCCCTTATTGGCAAGGTACTTCCTGACTTCAGAGACAAAGCATCAATAGAACAAATCCAGAAAAAGTGTTCTTGTTGTTCAGGCCTTTTTGTTGTATAACCAAAATACTTATAGTTGGTATTTATATTTTCTCATCAAATCTCAGGGGTTAGCAGCTTTTTAGTTAAGAGCAATCCTGGTCATAAACCTGACTGCATTTGCACAAAACGGTAGAGTTACCCTCTCTCTTTCTGCCTTAAATCCTGGAGCTCACTTCTTTTCTTTACTAATAAATATCCTTTGTGGCATTTCTTTTTTTTTTTTTTCCAGAACAGGGCACTTTCATCTACATTAAAAATCTGTTCAGGCAGATAACCTTCCTCCTCCATGATTTTCTTAATGGCATAAGGGAACTCACCTCTTGGTCAGCAGAAGTTGCTTCTCCTGTTATCTTGACATTTTTAAAGCAAAACCTCTTTCTAAAATTATAAAACCATCCTTTGCTGACATTAAATTCTCCAGTTTTATATCCTTCATTTTCCCTTTAAGTTGTGATTTAATGACTTTACTTTTTCTCTAATTATATTCGAGCCCATAGATGTGCCTTTCTTATAGCAATCCTGCCCCGCATAAAAACTGCATTTTCTTTATTTTAAAGACAGAGTCTCACTCTGTTGCCAGGCTGGAGTGCAGTGGTGCCATCTAGGCTCACTGCAACTGCCGCCTCCCAGGTTCAAGCAATTCTTCTGCCTCAGCCTCCTGAGTAGCTGGGACTACAGGTGCACACCACCACACCCAGCTAATTTTTTGTATTTTTAGTAGAGACGGGGTTTCACCATATTGGCCAGGATGGTCTCGCCTGCCTTGGCCTCCTGAAGTGCTGGGATTACAGGTGTGAGCCACTATGTCTGGTAAAAGATGCATTTTCAATACGAGACAGAAAGGTGTTTTGGAAAAAGTGCAAAATTTTTGCACCTAGTGGCATAGCTGCATTGACAGCTTCACGAATTTCCTTTTCTTGTTTTACAATGGTCCTTACGCTGGATTTATTTATCTTGAATTGGCAGACAACTGGAGTTGCAGATCTCAATCTATGGTGCATATCAAGCAATTCAACTTTTTCTTGTAATGTTATGACTTTTTTTCTGCTTTTTGGGAGCATTTCCAGCATTATTTACTAGTGGCACTTTGTATGGGTCCCCTGGTGTTATTAAGGTAAATGGTGTTACACTTAAGCATGATGAACCAGAAGAGGTCACTTTTTACTGTGACACACAATTTACTGGAAAGATGAAATGTTCACTCAGAGATAATTAGTGTTACATGGTGTTAAGCATATACTTGTGACACTTGAGCTCACTGCAGTAGCAGCAGGAGGTGGCTACAAAATTATTACAATAGTATAGTATTACTACACTTAATTTCATGTAGTTATGATTTAATACTACATCTTTATATTTGGTTACATTTGTCTTGACTGTGAATAAGTGTTTGCATGTGTTTTGATTAATTTTAACCTTTTATGGTAGATTCGTGTATATTTTATGGTAGTAAATGGTAAAATAGATTGATAACTACATGTTCTATGCCTTCAAGACATACCTTTTTCTTAATTTTTAAAATATTTCTCAACTGCGGGTTTGTGAGTTTTTTTCAAATTATTGTAAATCTCCAAAATCTTTTCTAATACATTTGTTGAAAAAATCCACATGTAAGCAGAACTTTGCAGTTCAAACCTGTGTTATTTGAGTCAACTATGGTCTCTTTCCTGAGTTTACAGCAGTTACTTAACTGCAATCTACCCCTCCAATCTTGTCCCCTGACCTATCCCATTCTTCCTTATGTGGCATCCAGAATGGCCTGGCTCCAGGCCAATAGCATCTGTACACCTAGCTGGGACATGGGTAGAGGAGCTGCTCTCAACTGGCCATCCAAGGAAGATATTGTATGGACGGTTACAGGGGTCTTGGGTGTAATTGATATCCCCAACACATTGTAATATTCTTTTAAATTATATCAAACTATACCATCATGTCTTCTCATATCAAGGACATATTAAGGGGGATACAAATGGATGGACACATGACAGCTAAGGTCTGACTGTCTCAATCAGGTTTAACTAGGTCCTAGCGAGGCAATTATTCAGAGCCTTGTTAGTTTAACAGCTTTGATCTTCCTGGAAGCTGAATTTGAATAGAAGGAAAACTGCTGATTGTGATTAATGTTATACCCAAGGATTTCTGTGGGAAAGTATATGTGCGTGCATGTGTGTGTGTGTGTGTGTGTGTGTGTGTGTGTGTGTCTTAATGCTTAGTCTGTCTAATTATAATATCTGAATCCTATCAATTTTGTGTTCTGCTGTCATGTAGAAATGATTCACTTGGGACTAAAATTGTCCAGATGGATGAATTCTTTGGAGAACTGAGGATTTACTTCTTTAAACTCGAAAACTGTGTATTCGGCATTTTGAATCAGAAATGTGTTATATACTCCCCCATCAATGTAACCAATACAAATTGTTGTTTTATTGATTACTCAGGACTTTAAATATAAGTGGGTACAGTGATGTTTCTAGGGTCTATTGAGAAATAGCAAGGTATTTGCCCCATCATTAAATAGCCACAGATAGCTATTTTCAACTTTTTGTAGTTTTTCTGTCTCCTCCACTTGATATTTCATGCTGTTGCCAGTGAGTTTACCTGTAGCAACTCTTGTTTCCATTTCCAATTTTGTTGAATCCTGGAGAAACCAAACCAAGCCTTAGATGGTTGTATGTAACACAGGAGTAAATAGGTCCAGAATAAGAGTGTAGGGGCTTATCGCTCTCTCCGGTCCATGCCTCCAAGATGACAAAGAAAAGAAGGAACAACGTTCGTGCCAAAAAGGGCCGCGGCCACGTGCAGCCTATTCGCTGCACTAACTGTGCCCGATGCGTGCCCAAGGACAACGCCATTAAGAAATTCGTCATTCGAAACATAGTGGAGGCTGCAGCAGTCAGGGACATTTCTGAAGCGAGCGTCTTCGATGCCTATGTGCTTCCCAAGCTGTGTGTGAAGCTACATTACTGTGTGAGTTGTGTAATTCACAGCAAAGTAGTCAGGAATCGATCTCGTGAAGCCCGCAAGGACCGAACACCCCCACCCCGATTTAGACCTGCGGGTGCTGCCGCACGTCCCCCACCAAAGCCCATGTAAGGAGCTGAGTTCTTAAAGACTGAAGACAGACTATTCTCTGGAGAAAAATAAAATGGACATTGTACTTAAAAAAAAAGAGTGTAGGGGCTTATCTAGGATCAAAGTGTATACATGTCAGAACAGAGGCTTTGTTATATCCACTATTTGAAATTGGTCTTTAAAGACTAATCGTAAAATAAACATCCATATATTACATCTGCCATTTGAAAGTCAAAATGGTAGATTATTGGCAGTTTCATCTGGTTAAACCTAATATATATATACCATGCTTGAGTGAGCTGGATCAGTGTTTCTCAAATTACTGTGGTTAGCTTTTTTTTTTTTTGTAATTTCCACTCCATCACAGACTAATTCTTTTGCAAAAGACAATAAAAATAAATTGCTAGAAAAATTAAATGAAAAGAAAACATACAAAATAAAAGCCCGTTTATTTTATTAGATTATAGGCATAAAATTATATTTTAATAAAAATAATCAGAACAACCTCATATAGGAAAAAGATAGAAAACTGCACATAATATGTATACATACACTTGATTAATATGGAAATTGCTGTACATGCACATTTTGTCCTTTTCCATCATAACTAAACACAGTTATAAGGGAAATAATGATTTGTGGTTTTGAACTTATGTTTTTTTAATTCAAACACCACTTAGGTTTCAGCGTTTAGGTGGTTCCATTACTTCCCTAGCTTCTACAAATAACACCCGGGGGTTTAGCACTTGACCATAACTTACAGCTACAAAATCAAACGAACCCAGCATTTGAGGGATCATATTTTGAGAAAAACAGGTACAAACTCTTTTGACCTTTTTCTCTTTGGAATCATTCCCATTGTCATCATTTAGTCAACAACTATCACTACATTAAGAAAAAGTGTGTCTTCTTTGAGCAAAAATGTCCAGTGAAGTTTATTTTGCCATCTGTTTTTTAAAAGGGCTTGACCAATATTTAAATTGGTGTGAGGGGGTGGAGTGGGGGTTTTAATGTACACAAGTCTCTTAATCCCTGGTCAGTGAAGACTGGAGACTCCAGGGCTTGGAGAATGTGTTTCTTAGATCAAGACATCTAAACTGCTCAAATGCTAAATTACTAAGGATCACTGTGCCAACTGTTGACTTGCGACTTATTATTTAGTTATGGTTAATTTGTGAATCACGTGAATATATCAATACATCTTAACATCTGAAAACTGATTATTCACCTAGCTAATGCTGTACACTATTGTAAATTATAAAGTGGAATTAATCTATTCCACTCATATAATGAAAACAAAATATTCATAGTAGAGATAAAATATATAAAAACAAGCAAGTTGGTTTAAGTGGTTCATCAAGTCTCGGAATATTTTCATTGTGTAACTAAAGACACTTGTCTAGAAGGTGTGATTTCCTCTTAGATTGGGGCCCCACAATCTGTGTTTAAACAAGCCCTCCAGTGATTTTGATGCATGCTAATTATTGAGAAATATTGGGTGAAAGCGCACATTCTACTTATCTTCAGTTTTTCTAGGTTGTAGGGCATGAAGAGGAAGGCAGGAGTGCTGTTAACCAGCCTATGGTCAAGTTAGGCTGAATATAGATAACAATATAAGCTGGCTTATCTGGGCATTCTGTCCTCTGTTTCAAAGGCAGTAGGCGTCCAAGGGATAACAGCTCCCCAGCACAGCTGCCTTTTGGTCACACTGCTTCAGTCTGGACTGTTGTCCTCTAAACCTGATACACCGGTATTACCCAGAAACCCCCCTCATCGTTCCACCTTGAGATTACCTTCAATTCTCTCCTCTTTCCTCTACTCCATGTCTTCCTTTTCCTTGGCTTATTTTCTTGTTTTGGTGAAGCCCAAATGCAGTACTTACTTCCAAAAGAATGCATGAGATGTACATTTTTGGAGTCCTGGAATGTCTAAAAATGTGTTCATTCTGTCTTCACACTTGATTAATTGCTTGGATGAATTGAGAACTGTTGACATGCCATTGCTCCATCCCTTCAAAAAATTTCCGCAATTTTTTTATTGTGATAAAATACATATCACATAAATTTAGTATCTTAATGATTTTAAGTGTATAGTTCAGTGTGGTATTACCTACATTCATAATGTGCAACTATCACCACTGTCCATCTCCATAACTCTTTTCATCTTGTAAAACTGAAACTCTGTACACATTAAACAACAACCCCTCATTCCCTTTTCTCCCCATCCCCTGGCAATCATCATTCTACTTTTCCTTTCCTTTTTCCTTTCCATTTTCCTTTCCTTTCCTCTCCTTTCCTTTCCTTTTCTTCTTCCTGATGGGATCTTGCTCTGTCACCCAGGCAGGAGTACAGTGGTGTGATCATGGCTCACTGTGGCCTCAACCTCTCAGGCTCAAGCAATTCTCTCACCTCAGCCTCTCAAGTAGCTAGGAATAGAGGTGCATGCCACCATGCCTGTCTAATTTATTTTTATTTTTATTTTTTGTAGAGATGGAATCTCTATGTTGCCCAGGCTGGTCTCAAACTCCTGGACTCAAGCAATGCTGCTCCTGCCTTGGCCTCCCAAAGTGTCAGGTTTACAGGTGTGAGCCACTGCTCCCATCCCCACCGTTCTACTTTCTGTTGCTATCATTTTCACTACTCTACCTCATAGAATTGCAATCATAGGCTGGGCACAGTAGCTCACACCTGTAATCCCAGCGCTTCGGGAGGCCGAGACGGGCGGATCATGAGGTCAGGAGTTCGAGACCAGCCTGGCCAATATGGTGAAACCCCATCTCTACTAAAAATACAAAAATTAGCAGGGTGTGGTGGTGTGTGCCTGTAATCCCAGCTACTTGGGAGGCTGAGGCAGGAGAAACGCTTGAACTCAGGAGGTGGAGGTTGCAGTGAGCCAAGATCATACCACTGCACTCCAGCCTGGGCAAGAGAGAGAGACTACATCTCAAAAAAAAAAAAAAAAAAAATTGCAATCATATAATATTTGTTTTTTTTTTTTTTTTGCTTATTTGTCAACATTTGGCTTATTTCACTTAGCATAATGTCATCAAGTTTCATCCATGTTATAGCATAGGTCAGAATTTCCTTCGTTTTAAGGATGAATAATATTCCATTGTATGTCTATGCTGCATTTTGCCTATTCATCCCTCAGTGGACACTTGGGTTGCTTCCATGTTTTAGCTATTGCGAATAATGCTACTACGAACATGTGTGTACAAATGTTCAAGACTCTGTTTTCATCCCTAAAAAACTAAAAACAGAACTGCCATATGATCTAATAATCCCAGTTCTGGGATATATTCAAAGGAATTGAAATCAATATGTTGGAGGGATATCTCCACACACAGAAAGACAAATACCACATGATCTCACTTATATGTGAAATCTAAAAAAGTTGAATTCATAGATGTAGAGAGTAGAAATGATGATTACCAGAGGCTTGGGAGAGCACTGGGGAGCAATGGAATGGGGAGTTTTGTCAAAAAGTACAAAGTTTTGGCTGCACAGAAAGAATAAGTTTTGAGATCTATTGCACAGCAGGGTGACTGTAGTCAATAATAACGTATATTTCAAAATAACTAAAAGAGTAAGTTTCAATTGTATCACCACAAAAAATGTTAAGTAAATGAGGTGATGGATGTGTTAATTAGCTTGATGTAATCATTCCCATTGTATATATATGTCAAAACATCACATTATACTCCATAAATATAATACAATTATGATTTGTCAATGAAAATAATATTAAACAATTTAAAAAATAAAATTGCAACCACTTCTCCACCTCCTCAAAGACACCGTTTCAATTCTTTTTTTTTTTTTGTAATAAAGTTTTATTTCTTTCAAGTAAATTTTATTGTGTATATTTGAGGTTGACAACTTGATGTTATGGGATACATATAGATAATAAAATGGTTATTATAGAGAGGCAAATTAACATATCTAATGTCACACAGTTACTTTTTTGGAGCAAGAGCAGCTAAAGTCTACTTATTTAACAAAAATTCCTAATACGATTTTATTAGAGTCCTCATGTTGTACATTAGATCTCTACACTTCTTCATCTGTGATTGCCACTTTGTAGCCTTTGACTTACAGTTCCCCATTCCCCACGCACCCCCTGCCCTGGTAGTTACTATTTTCTGTTTTATTCTCTTTCTCTATATGTTTGACCGTTTTTTTAAAAAAAATTTAAGATTCTACACATAAGTGAGATGAAGCAATATTTTTCTTTCTGTGTCTGGCTTATTTTGCTTAGCCTAATGTCCTCTAGGTCCACCTCCTATTGTGGCAGATGACAGGATCTCATGTTTTAAGGCTGAATAATATCCCATTGTAAATATATCTATATAACTCTCACATTTTCTTTACTCATTCATTCATTGATGAACACTAAGTTTGATTCCATATCTTGGCTATCGTGAATAGTGCTGCAATGAACGTGGGAGTGCAGATATCTTCAGGAGGTGGTGACTTCACCTCCTTTGGGTATATACCCAGAAGAGGGATTGCTGGGCCATATGGTAGCTCTATTTTTAATTTTTAAGGACTCTCCATACTGTTTTCCATAATGGCTACACCAGTCTACATTTCCACCAGAGTACTAGGGTTTCCTTTTCTACACACCCTTGCTAGCATTTATTATTTCTTGTCTTTTTTATAATCTTGTTTTTCATCCTGTATTGTTCTGTTTTCACATGCTATAAATATACTACCTAAGACTGGGTAATTTATAAATAAAAGAGGTTTAGTTGACTCACAGTTCCACATGGCTGGGAAGGCCTCAGGAAACTTACAGTTATGGCAGAAGGTGAAGGGGAGGCAAAGTATGTCTTACATGGCAGCAGGAGAGAGAGAGAGGGAGCTCAGGAAAAACTGTCACTTTTAAAACCATCAGATCTCGTGAGAACTCACTATCATGAGAAAGGCATGATCATGGGAAACCGCCCCCATGATCCAGTCACCTCCCACCAGGTCCCTCCCTCAAGGGGATTACAATTCCAGATGAGATTTGGGTGGGGACACAGGGCCAAACCATATCACATATTTTTGACTATATACTGTGAAGTGAAATCGCTGGATCAAGGTAATTCTACTTTTAGTTTTTGAGGAACTACCACACTGTCTTCCACAGCAGCTGTACCATTTTACAATCTTGCCAATAGCGCACAGGGGTTCCAATTTCTCTACGTCTTCACCAACACTTGTTTTTGTTTGTTTGTTTTTTGTTCTTGAGATGAAGTCTCTCTCTCTTGCCCAGGATGGAGTGCAGTGGCACCATCTTAGCTCACTGCAACCTCCGCCTCCTCGGTTCAAGTGATTCTCATGCCTCAGCCTCTGCAGTAGCTAGCACTACAGGCATACGCCACCATGCCCTGCTGATTTTTGTATTTTTAGTAGAGGTGGGGTTTCACCATGTTGGCCAGGCTGATCTCGCACTCCTGACCTCAAGTGATCCGCCTGCCTTGGCCTCCCAAAGGCAGGGATCATGCTGGGATTTCAGGCATGAGCCACCATGACTGGACTGTTTTTATTTTTTATTTAATAGTAGCCATTCTAATGGGCGTGGGGTGGAATCTCATTGTAACTTTGATTTGCATTTCCCTAGTGATTGGTTATGTTGAGCACCTTTTCATGTACTTACTAGCCATTTGTATATCTTCTTTGGAGAAATGTCTGTTCAAATCCTTTGCCCATTTTTGAATCAGCTTGTTTTTTGTTATTGAGTTTCAGGGGTTCTCTATGTATTCTGGGTATGAATCTTTTATCAGATATATAATTTGCAAATATTTCCTCCTATTCCATAGATTGCCGTTTTTCTTTCTTGGTAGTATCTTTTTATGCATAAAATCTTTAAATTTTCATGAAGTTCACTTTTTCTGTTTTTTTCTTTTGCTGCTTATATCTTTGGTATTATATTTAAGAAATCACTGTCTGCTCCATTGTTTCTCATTCTTCCAGTATTCTTGCTTTTAATGCTGTTTTGAGAAGTCTAAGGCCATTTGATTCCTGTTTTTTTCTTTCTATGTGACCTGTTTGTTTTTTCCTCTTTGAAGCATGCAGAATCATCTATTTGTCCCCAGAGTTCTGAGATTTTAAAAGAATATGCTTGGTGTGGGGAGTCTTTTTATTAATTGTGCTGTGCATTCAATAGCCATTTCACTCTGGAAACTTGTATATTTCTATCCTGGAAAAGTTTCTTGAATTGTTTTGTTGATTTCCATCCTTCTGTTTTCTCTGTTCTATCTTTCTTTAATTCTGGTTTGTTGTTACTTTTAGATGTTGCACTATCTGGACCTGTCACCTTTAAAATTTTTTAATGTTTAACTTGCTTTTTGTTCTTGAAATATTCCCTTTTTAATAGCCTTCTGTTCTTGTTTTATGGCTACAATGTCTTCTCTTACATCTCTCAGAATATTGATAATATTTTTGAATCTAAATGACTTTGGGTTTGGTGATGACATTTTAGATAAAACATCAAAGGCACAATCCATGAAAGAAAGAATTGATAGGCCAGATTTCATCAAAATTAAAAACTTCTGCTCTGTTAAGGACAATGTCAAGAGAATGAAAAGAAAAACCACAGACTGGGAGAAAATATTTGCAAAAGACATATTAGATAAAGGACTTTATCCAAAATATACAAAGAACTCTTAAAACTTAACAATAAGGAAACAAACAACCCAGTTTAAAAATGGGCCAAAGACCTTAACAAATACCTCACCAAAGAAGATATACAGATGGCAAATAAACATGAAAATATGTTTCACAGCATATGTCATCAGGGAAATGCAAATTAAAACAACAATAAGATACCACTACACTGTTAGAATGGGCAAAACCCAGAACACTGACAACACCAAATGCTGACAAGGATGTGAAGCAACAAGAACTCTCCTTCATTGTTGGTGGAAATGCAAAATTTGGAGGACAGTTGGTGATTTCTTACAAAACTAAACATACTTTTACCATATGATTCAGCAATTGTGCTCTTTGGTGTTTACTCAAAGGAGCTGAAAACTTATATCCACACCAAAACCTGCACACGAATGTTTATATCAACTTTATTAATAATTGCCAAAACTTGAAATTGACCTTCAGTAGATGAATAAACTACAGTATATCCAGACAATGGAATATTATTCAGTGCTAAAAAGAAATGAGCTATCAAGCTGTGAAAAGACATGGAAAAAACTCAAATTCATATTATTAAGTGAAAGAAGCCAATCTGAAGAAGCTACATGCTCTATGACTCCAACTAAGTGACATTCTGGAGAAGGCAAAACTATAGGGCGTAAAAGATTAGTGGTTGTCAGGAGTTAGGGGGAGGGAAGGATCAATAGGCAGACCACAGGATTTCTAGGGCAGCGAAACGACTCTGTATGATATTATAAGGGTGGAGACATGTCATTATACATTTGTCCAAACCCATAGATTGTATGCCACCAAGAGTGAACCCTAGTGTAAACTATAGACTATAGGTGATAATGACATATCAATGTAGTTTCATCAGCTGTAACAAATTTACCACTGTGGTGGGGGACATTGATAATAGAGGAGGTTGTGCATATGTGGGGCCAGAGGATGTACATTCTGCTCAATTTTGCTGTGAACCTAAACTGCTCTAAAAAATAAGTCTATTTAAAACAAACCCCAATAGCACAGTTAAATCTCCACACGTATTTGTGTCCAGCATCATTCAGTAGGTCTTTTGCAGCCTTAAACTGAGGTGTAGGTCCTTGAGGGCATTTGCTTTTAACAAAGATTGGTATAAAAATGAAAGCGTGACCTGATCCAGGTGTTAAGTGTTTCTTCATTTATTTTTTTCAATATGGGGGAAATGCCTTTGCAGTTTTTCGTCTGTACTTTCACTTCCCTGAAATGGTTACGGTTGTAGAAAATGTAGGGCTTCTTGAAGTCACTAAACCAGCCAATACTTGTAGTAAAGGATTTTCAGCCTCTTTTTGCCCCCTTCAGGATTTCATATATTGTTAAGATTTTCTTTTTAATTGTAGAAGTTTTGCCCCTGGTAGCATCAAACTGACTGGAAAAGGTCACCTAGGAGCCTACACAATTTCCCCATTATACTGGTATTGTCTAATGACCAACTGTATTTGAATCCATTTTCATTAAAGGAACATGTATGTCTGAACAGACCATGCACCTCGCTTCTGTGGCCCATTGCTACCCTCAGGACTAGATGCTCTAAAGATCTCCGGGTAGCCCTCAGAATGCAGACAATTCCTGCATTGTGCGGGAGCTTTGTTCCTCCCACACTTCTGACCAGACTCCCCAGGTTCTGGGCTGTGTACTTGTGAAATGGTGCTGTGATTGGTTCCCATTTCACTGATGATGTTGTTGTGTTTCTTTTTTCCCTCAAATTTTCATCCTTATTGTTTTCAGAAAAATTTGAGGAGGGCAGTGGAGTAAAATATCATTACCCACCATCTTTATCCAGAAGCCCCCAGGAACAGCCTTTGAGGAAGCTGAACTCCAGGTTAGCTCACATTTTACAGGTTTGCTTTGGCCCCAGAGAGGAGTCAACACTGGAGACCTGGAGGAAAGAGAGGCTATGAGGAGTTGGAGGGAGGGAGAGCATAGAATAAGCCTTTCTGGAAACAACAGAGGCTATGGTTATTGATCTAATTTAATTGAGCTTGATTTTGGGTTTTGTAGTATTCCCTTTATCTCTACCTTTGGGATCATCAGAATCTCCAGCTCCATCTATGTTGCTGCAAAGGACATGATCTCGGCTTTTTTGTGTGTGTGTGTGGCTGCATAGTATTCCATGGTGTATATGTACCATATTTTCTTTAATCCAGTCTGCCATTGATGGGTATTTAGGTTGATTCCGTGTCTTTGCTATTGGGACTGCTGCAATGCACATACATGTGCATGTGTCTTCATGGTAGAATGATTTATCCTTTGGGTATATATCCAAAAATGAGATTGCTGGGTCAAATGGCAATTCTGTCTTAAGTTCTTTGACAAATTGCCACACAGCTTTCCACAATGGCTGAACTAATTTACACTCCCACCAGTACATAAGCATTCTCTTTTCTCTGCGACTTCACCAGCATCTGTTATTTTTTTGACTTTTTAATAATAGCTATTCTGACTGGTGTGAGATGGTATCTCATTGTGGTGTTGACTTGCATTTCTCTGGTAATTAGTGGTGTTAAGCATTTTTTCATTTGCTTGCTGGCTGCTTATATGTCTTCTTTTGAAAAGTGTCTGTTCGTGTCCTTTGCCCACTTTTTAAATGGAGTTGTTTGTGTTTTGCTTGTAAGTTTGTTGAAGTTACTTAAGATGCTGGATATTAGACCTTTGATGGATTCATACTTTAAAAATATTTTATCCCATTATGTAGGTTGTTTATCTGCTGATAGTTTCTTTTACTGTGTAGAAGCTCTTTAGTTTAATTAGATCTCATTTGTAAATTTTTGTTTTTGTTGCAGTTGCTTTTGGTGTCTTCATCATGAAATCTTTGCCACGTCCTAAGTCCTAATAGTATTTCCTAGGTTACCTTCCAGAGTTTTTATAGTTTTAAGTTTTACATTCAAGTCTTCAATCCATCTTGAGTTGATTTTTGTATATGGCATAAAGTAGAGGTCCAGTTTCAATCTGCAGCATAAGGCTAGCCAGTTATCCCAGCTCCATTCATTGAATAGGGAGTCGTTTCCCTATTGCTTGTTTTTGTCAACTTTGTCGAAGATCAGATAGTTGTAGATGGTGCAGCATTATTTCTGGACTGTCCATTCTGTTCCATTGGTCTATGTGTACCAGTACCATGTTGTTTTGGTTACTGTAGCCCTGTAGTGTAGTTTGAAGTTGAGTATGTGATGCCTCCAGCTTTGTTCTTTCTGCTTAGGACTGCTTTGGCTCTTTTTTGGTTCTATATGAATTTTAAAACAGATTTTTCTAATTCTGTGAAGAATGTCATTGGTAGTTTGATAGGAGTAGTTCTGAATCTATAAATTGCTTTGGGCAGTATGGCCATTTTACTGATAATGATTCTTCCTGTCCATATACTGCTTTTGTTTTTCCAAACAATATTTGACTCTATGAATCACTCAATTTTCATTTTCCTTGTGGCTCTTTTTCAAAGGGTAGAGACCTCTAAAGGCTGAATTATCTACTGTGTATAGAACTACCTATTATACCTCTTAGTCATTATGGCATTTCATAGTTAATTATTATGGTGCTGGAATAGAACCTCATTAAGAATTTAAATGTTTGTGGATATGTTAAACAAAAATTCAATGAATTTATTTCTCAATATATACTTAGTCTACCAAGTCTACTGAAACACCAAGATCCCTTATTTGAATAATTCTGGTCACTTGCCAACATTTACTTCATTATTTCTGTAGTGGGCATGAATCTTAAACTTTCAACACAGGTATGTAAGACATATATTTTTAAAATGGAATGTGATTTGTATATTAAGCCCCTGTTTCATAGAAGCTAAATGGGGTTTCCCATGTCAATTCACACTCTAGCTTCCGGCATGGCCCTCACACCTTCAGGAATGAGCATCATTCCCAGGAATGCTGAAATTTCCCAGGGTGGGGGTGAGAACAAGCCCACTTGGGATCTGTCCTTACATGGTTGTCATTTGTTCCCAAGCAATGGAATGTAAATCAGGCTTCCACTCATCAGACACAACGTGGCTGGTTGTTGTGTCTGCCTTGTCCTGTTCTAAGACCTCTCCAGGCTGTTCTTACTTGGATCCTCAGACACACACAAAACACGTGGCTGCCATTCTGAGAGATATTTATCAGCAAGTAACACTCCTGTTTTTCTATCTTATGACTCCCTATCTCCCACAGCTAAGATAATCTGTATTTCCTCTAGGATAGCAAAATTTGAATTTTATATAATTATGCATTCTCTCCAATCGTTTGATAATACATACGTTTTGCCATATACTCACAATATTAGGTTGTTATAACTGAGAAAACAATCTGCTGTTCTGTGGAAGCATCTCTCCCTGTAGGCAGTAGATGACTTAGAGTATGGTTTGAATGGAGGAAGAATCATAGGGCAAAAAAGAAATGACTAGAAATGAAAAGAATATCTGTTTAACCATTTGCCCTGAGAATACTCACCAGTGGCACTTGAGGCTGTAGCGTTTACCCTGAAATATCTTTGTCACTAAATATCTCGCTTTTATTATTATTGTTGCATCACTCTAGCACATTGATTTTGGAAACAAAAGACATCATTCTATTTATAGCTCTCTCTTTTTAGTAGTGGTATTTCCATTTACAAAATACAGTAATTCTCGATTGCTGTAAATGTCAAATACTAGAAAACGTAGCATTCCCACGCATGATATTAACATCGTTCTCGAACAGTTGTTGGCCAAAGGTTCATTCGATGAATCCATTTTTTTGGAAATAGATGATTCTCATGATTGAGATGATTCTGATGTTAGTTCTGTTTAGAAATAAATCCAAGAACAGTTTTTATGTTTCATTTTCACATTGAAAATCAGTCAGATTTGCTTCAGCCTCAAAGAATGTGTTTATGTAAAACCAAATGAGAGCTGGCAGTAAGCTGCACTTCGTTTTTTCTAAATGGGAGAAAGGTTAATGTATGAAAATATTACCCACAGAAAATTATAATGGAACTTGAAATACATGATAGGTATCTATTGTCACTTGTGGATTCTTTTTTTTTTTTTTTTTTTGAGACGGAGCCTCACTCTATCACCCAGGCTGGAGTACAGTGGCGCAGTGGTGCAATCTCAGCTCACTGCAACCTCCCCCTCCTGGGTTCAAGCAATTCCCCTGCCTCAGCCTCCCAAGTAGCTGGGATTACAGGCGCCTGCCACCACACCCCGCTAATTTTTTGTATTTTTAGTAGAGACAGGGTTTCACTGTATTAGCCAGGATGGTCTTGATCTTCTGACCTCGTGATCTGCCCGCCTCAGCCTCCCAAAGTGCTGGGATTACAGGCGTGAGCCACGGCGCCCAGCCATGGATTCTTAATTTTAGTTTGATGTTCTGTTTTTCCTTTATAAATATTATTTCCATCTGTCCCTGTGGGGAAATGGAAAGCCAGTGGTGGTGAGAGATGGATCATTGGCAGGTACTCCCTGTGATGAGAATGTGGCCTTGCAAATCTGATCTAGGGTTAAAAATTGGGAGTACCTGATTTAGTACACATTGTCTTAAAAGGAAGCATGTCTTCTTCCAGGAAGATGGAATATTCACATATCCCCCTATTTCTCCTGCTAAGAACAACTACAATCCTGGACATAATAAATAAACCTAAAAAGACTGAAAAGTGAAGGGGCACACCAGCTGGAGACCTCAGAACCTGTGGAATGACACAGTGGTGAGTTCCCAGGCTTTTCTTTTTGTTTCATATATTTCAGACTTGATACTAGAGGTGACAGTATCCAAATAGTTTCTGGAGAATCCAGAAACGTCAATGGATGCAAACAAATAACATGTCCTAAGAAAAGCTTGATTTCTTCAGCCAAAGGACCAGAGAAGGGATGGCCTAGAAAAATAGAAAAGCTTGAGATAATAACCACCAGACTCCAGCCAAATATACAGAAAAAACTATGGCCCCACTACCTCCCCCAACATGGGAGGCCAAGTGAGAAGCCCAGCCTTCTACCCCCATGAGGCTATAAGGAGGCACCCAACACCCCACTGGGGTAGTGTCAGGGAATGCTTAGTGAAGAGCTGGGACTTTTACCTCTGCCAGGAAGCAATGAGTCCCCTTCCTTCTTTTCCACTGTGGTGCTAGGAGAGACCATGTGGAGAGCCTGGGCTTCCACTCCCTCCATCCTTAAGGAGGTGGTCTTTCCCCTCCCCAATAGGATGTCAGTTAAGGCCTAGTGGAGAGTCAGTACCTTCACCAACACTCAGCAACAACAAGGCCACCACCTACCACCTCCCCAGCTATGTCAGATGCATCCAGATGGGGAGCAGGCACTGCTCTCCAGGCAAGGTGTTATCACTGGAGGCCCAGTGGGGAATCTGAATTCCCACCCCTGCCTAGTAGTGACTAGAGGCCCCTCTCACCCTGGGTGTCAACAGGGCAAGTAGAGAATCTAGACTATCTTTTCTATCTGAAGACTAAAGACAAAGAAAAATTCTTAAAAGCAGCTAGAGAAAAATAACACATTACCTATTACCCATAGCAAAAAAAAAAGTTTGAATGACAAGCAGATTTCTCATCAGAAACCATGGAGGCCAGAGGGAATGACATAACACTCTTCAAGTGCTGAGAGAAAAGAACTGTCAACCCAGAATTCTATGTCCAGTGAAAATATCCTTCAAGAATGAAGGGGAAATAAAGACATTCTCAGATGATGGAAAACTAAAAAAAATTGTTGCCAGCAGACCTATTCTAAAAGAATGGCTAAAGGAAGTTCTCTAGACAAAAAAGAAATAGTAAAATAAAAAGTCTTGGAACAGTAGGAAGGAAGAAAGAACATGGGATGAGTAAAACAATCAGTAAAAACAAGACTTTCCTTTTCTTGAGTTGTTAAATTATGTTTGATTATTGAAGCAAAAGTCTAACTGTCTAATGTGGCTCTCAGTGCATGGAGAGGAAATAAGACAATTATATTCTAAAGAGAGGGAATAAAGTGATATGAAGAGACATAAGGTCTCTATACTTCATTCTAACTGGTAAAATGTTGACACCAGTGGACTCAGATAAATTAAATGTCTGTAATGTAATACTTAGAGAAACCACTAAAAGAGATCTACAAAGAAAATCACTCAAAAGCACTATAGGCATATCAAAATGGCATTTAAAAAATGTTTGAGTCATCTACTAGAAGGCAGAAAAATAAAAGCAGAGAAACAGAAATACAAAGATCAAAGATAAAGTAAAAAATAAAATGGCATATTTAAGCCTTAACAGATCAGCAATTACATTAAACATAAATAGTTTAAACATACCAATTAAAAGACAAATTAGCATAGTGGACTTAAAAAAATGACTCAATTATATGTTGTATAAGAAATTCACTTCAAGTAGTTCAAATTATACATGTAGCTTAAAAATAAAGGATGGAAAATACACACCATGCAAACTTTAATCAAAATAAAGCAGATGTGGCTCTGTTATTATCAGATACAGTAGAGTTTAGATAAAAGAAACATATCAAAAACAGAGAAGGACATTACACAATGATAAAAGGGTCAATTCACCAAGAAAACATAGCAATCCCTAGTGTGTGTTCACCAAACAACAGAACTGCAAAATATATGAAGCAAAAACGGATAGAAAGAAAAAGTTATGGATAAATCCACAGTTCTCATTGGTGACTTCAACACTCCTCTCTCAACTAGAACTAGCTGTTGATAGAACAACTAGAGAGAAACAGCATCAAAGATGTAGAGAACTCAACATGACAATCAACCAACAGGATCTAATTGACAATAAAACACTTCATTTAACAATAGTAGAATTCATGTTTTTTTCAAGTACCCTTTGAATATACACCAATATCGACCATATCCTGGGTCATAAAACAAATGTCAACGAAGTTAAAAATATTGAAATCATACATAGATTATGCTGTCTGACCACAATGGAATCAAACTAGAAATGAATATCAGAAAGAAAATTTAAAAATCTTCAAACACTGAGAAAGTATAAGCAGCACATGTCTAATACCTGTGTCAAAGGGGAAGTCTTAAGAGAATAACAAAAATGCATCAAACTAAATGAAAATGCAGCGTACAAAATTTGCGGGACAAAGCTAAAGCAGTAATGAAAGAGATATTTGTGGCATTAAATACCTCAATCAAAAGGAAGCATATAGATTGTTTAAAGTTCTTCCTGAATAATGATGCAAGCTCTTAGTATAAAAGGGGCAGTGTTGGAGCAAGAATTGAGCTTTTCAGATTCTGGGAGACCTTATGTCATGTGGATACTGTTACCAATAGGCTTGTGCCCTGATTAAAAAGACCTAGGCATAAAGGGAAGCTGTGCTCAGACATGCTGTCTGCTCCTGTCCTACATGATTATTGTACTTTCTGCATGATTCTTATTAAGAATAAATTATAAGCTGTGTTAGTTAAAATATAGGCTAAGGTGCTGTAACAAAGATATCCTCAAATACAGTTGTTTAAATAAGATATAAATATATTTATCATCTAACAGTCCAGTGATTGTTAGTGTTCTAGGCTGATAAGTCTATTCAGTTCCATGAGATCATTTAGTGACCAAGTTTCCATTCATCTTTTTGCTCCACTAGCCTCTAGGGCACGGCCATCCAATAGATATTTCTGCAGTGATGGAAGTGTATTGTATCTTCACTGTTCAATATGATAGCCACTAGCCACGTGTGAAATTGGGGTTCTTAATTTTAAACTTTATTTAATTTTAACTAATTTAAATTTTAAATTAAATAATACATGAAGCTGCTGTGTGCCATGTGGACATTGCAACTATGGGTGTTGCTTTCTTCCACGTGATTGTAGCTGATTTGCTGCTTCAATCATGTTCTAATCTACAGGAACATAAAAGACACATAATGGAGGGCAAGCAATTTCTGTTTAGGCCAGTGAAAGTAAATTTGCATCACTTCCACTCACATTTCACTGGTGAAAACTTAGGCACTGTGTAAGGGGTTCCCAAGACCCTCAGAATTGGGGATTTACTGGGAGGGCTCACATGACTCAGCATAGAGTTATACCCATGGCTATGATTTATTGCAGCAAAAGGATAAAAAAGAAACTCAGCAAAAGCACACGTGGGTGAATTCAGGAGGAAACCAGGCACAGGCATCCAAGAGTCCTCTTCCAGTGCAATGACACAGGATGCACTTAAATCCTCCAGCAATGGGTTGTGAAAACATGTGTCCACCAGGGAAGTTATTAGCAACTCAGTGCCCAAGACTTTTATTGGGACACCCTCTACTTTGCATATTTTAAAATTTCAGATTCCCAGGAGCAATGCAGGTGGTTAGTATAGACCATATTGTTTGTACAAATCATTTAGGTGCTTTTATCATTTGGGGAAAGTTTTATTTTGACATAGGGAACTGTTTATTATTCAAATTCCCAGACACAAGGCAAGGGCCAAGCTTATAAGCAGGTTTTCCTAAGGATTGCAATGTTAAGCCTTCCATGTTCTCTTTTTAGCACAGCCACACCTAATTGCAAAGGAGGATGAGAAATGTAGCCTCTAGATGGGCAGCCACATGTCTATTATTACCATAGAGGTGGTGAAGAATAAAGCTGAAAGGATAACTAGCAGTCTGCTATGGAATTTTCAAACTTTGTGACTGCACAAGTTGCTTATCCTC
Source organism: Homo sapiens (assembly GCF_000001405.40). NCBI lineage: Eukaryota > Metazoa > Chordata > Mammalia > Primates > Hominidae > Homo > Homo sapiens. Next base: position 22,757,379 of record NC_000007.14, on the reverse strand, counting down.
TCTGCTCCTTTCATTAATACATGTGCCTCTGAAATAACATACATTGAACTGTTCCTGGCACACAGTCAGTTCTCATTAACAGCTATATCATTGTTATCATTATTATTAATCTTGTTACAGCACATAGACATATTTGGACTTTGGTTTATCTCTTTCTTCCCATCCTTAACCCACCAGAAACTCTGCAGTTTTTATCATAAATGGAGTCTGTACTGCTGCCTCCCTATTGGCTTTCTCAATTGCAAATTTTTGGGTTGTATTCATAGTGTAACTTAAGTGTTCTCAAGCCTCTAGCATCCACATAGAGCATTCAGCGTCTTCATCCGAAGCTGACTACGAGAATTTCACACTTTCTGGTTGTTGCCTGTCCCTTCTCACCTTGAACTCTTACCTTTGGCTTATCCTTGACCACTTTTTGAGGTCTTTGAATCTTTTTGTGATTTTAACCATCCCTCATCAATTTTACCTCCAAACACTGACATCAACATCCCTTTATTTTTCAGAGTTGGGTTAGCACCTGGCTGACAGATATTTGCTTTGTGCTAGTGAACAAAGCTTATGGAAGTTCTGTGAGTAAGGGGGAAGATAAATTAAAATTGGCTACTAGACATCACAGTATCTGGAGTTACTAGGGAACATCTGCTACAAGGAGCTCCTTATTGTCATCTCCTTTGTGTGTGTGCGCGCGTGTGTGTGTATGTATGTGTATGTGTGTGTGTGCCTCGCCTTCTTGGTGCTGTGTGCCCTGTTGCTGGAACATGCTGCAGAAAGCTGCACCTCTTCTAGATCTTCTCCTCCCTACCTCTGGAGCCCAATCTCCTGACCCTATTCTACCAGAAGAAACTGAAAAATCCCTTAACATTAAAAATGAAAGCAAGACTGGGTGCAGTGACTCAAGCCTGCAATCCTAGCACTTTGGAAGGCCAAGGCAGCGTGTGCCCCTGTAGTCCTAGCTATGGAAGACCGAGTCAGAAGGATTGCTTGAGCCCAAGAGTTGGAGGCTGTAGTGAGCTACTGTCATGCCACTATACTCCAGCATGGGTGACAGAGGAAGAAAGATCCTGTCTTAAATAAATAAAATATAAAATAAAATTTAAAAATAATAAAAGCAATGCCCAGGCACAGTGGCTCATGCCTGTAATCCCAGCACTTTGGGAGACCAAAGTGGGTGGATCATTTGAGCTCAGGAGTTGAGACTAACCTGGGCAACATGATGAAACCCCATCTCTACAAAACAAACAAACAAAAACCCCAAAATTGGCAGGGCTTGAAGTAGGTCCCAGCTACCTGGGAGGCTGAGGTGGGAGAATCGCTTGAGCCCAGGAAGTCAAGGCTGCAGTGATCGGAGATGGCACCATTGCACTGCAGCCTGGGTGACAGAGTGAGACCCAGTCTCAAAAAAATAAAAATAAATAAAAGTGAAAGCAGGTGGATAATTTTTTTAAAAAATACCCCAATTAAAAGCTCTTTCCAAGAAAGTTGCTCTTTGTCTTTCTGTTATATGAACAATTTTATTTAATCTGTTCACTGTGCTCTTTCATGGCTACTTCAGTGTCATTTATAATAATTCCATTTTTGTAATTTAGCCATTTAGGATTTCTTCAATTCCTCCAATGTGTTCTCTCTTGCCTCGAGCCTTCGGACCTGCAGCGCTCCCCAAGTGGAGCACCTCTCCTGCCTCCAATGGCTACATCCTACACATTCTTTTGCTATAAATTTAAATGTCATTTCTGCTGGGAATCCTTTGTCAACCCTCTGCATTACATTCAACTCTCCTCCTGTGCACTGCCTTAGTAGCTGTATTAGTTTCCTAAGGCCGCTGTGACTAATAGACCACAAGCAGGATGGCTTAAAACAGCATGAATTTAATCTTGCACAGTTCTGGAGGCTGGAAGTTTGGAATCAAGGTGTCAGCAAGGCCATGCTCCCTCTGAAACCTATAAGGGGGGATCCTTCTTTGCCTCTCCCTACCTTCCAGTAGTTGTTGGCAACCCTTGGTATTCCCTGGCTTATAGATGCTTCTCTCCAATATCAGCCAGTCTTCATAGGAAAATCTCTCCTGTGTCTTTCTGAGCCTCCTCTCTTCTCGTAAAGCCCACCCTAATGACCTCATCTTATCTTGATTACATCGGCAAAGATACTATTTCCAAATAAGGTCACATTCACTGAGGATTAGGATTTCAACAAAGCTTTTTGGGAGACACAGTTCAACTCATAACAGTAGCACGCATACTTGCATATGGCAAAGAAGTAATTTCTTTATATTTTTTTCCCTAGACTGTGAGTTCCTTGAGAGCAGAAATCTTGTCTGTCTTATTCACTATTGTATCCTCAGGGCCGAATAGAGAAGATGGCACATGGTAGAGACCTACAAAGAGACTTAGACTCCCACACAATAATAGTGGGAGACTTTAACACCCACTGTCAATATTAGACAGATCAATGAGACAGAAAATTAACAAGGATATTCAGGACTTGAACTTAGCTCTGGATCAAGCGGATCTAATAGACATCTACAGAACTCTCCACCACAAATCAACAGAATATACATTCTTCTCAGCACCACATCACACTTATTCTAAAAATGACCACATAATTAGAAGTAGAACACTCCTTAGCAAATGCAAAAGAATGGAAATCATAACAAACAGTCTCTCAGACCACAGTGCAATCAAATTAGAACTCAGGATTTAAAAACTCACTCAAAACCACACAACTACATGGAAACTGAACAACCTGCTCCTGAATGACTACTGGGTAATTAACAAAATTAAGGCAGAAATAAATAAGTTCTTTGAAACCAATGAGAACAAAGACACAATGTACCAGGATCTCTAGGACACAGCTAAAGCAGTGTTTAGAGGGAAATTTATAGCACTAAATGCCCACAAGAGAAAGCAGGAAAGATCTAAAATCGACACCCTAACATAACGATTAAAAAAACTAGAGAAGCAAGAGCAAACAAATTCAAAAGCTAGTAGAAGACAAGAAATAACTAAGGTCAGAGCAGAATTGAAGGAGTTAGAGACATGAAAAACCCTTCAAAAAAATCAATGAATCCAGGAGCTGGTTTTTTGAAAAGATTAACAAAATAGATAGACCACTAGCCAGACTAATAAAGAAGAACAGAGAGAAGAATCAAATAAACACAATAAAAAATGATAAAGGGGATATCATCACTGATCCCACAGAAATACAAACTACCATCAGAGAATACTATGCACACTTATATGCAAATAAACTAGAAAATCTAGAAGAAATGGACAAATTCCTGAACACATACACCCGCCCAAGACTAAACCAGGAAGAATTCGAATCCCTGAATAGACCAATAACAAGTTCTGAAATTGAGGCAGTTAATTAATAGCCTACCAACCAAAAAAAGCCCAGGACAAGATGGATTCACAGCTGAATTCTACCAGAGGTACAAAAAGGAGCTAGTACCATTCCTTCTGAAACTATTCCAACCAGTAGAAAAAGAGGGACTCCTCCCTAACTTGTTTTATGAGGCCAGCATCATCCTGATACCAAAACCTGGCAGAGACACACACACAAAAAAGAGAAAATTTCGGGCCAATATCCCTGATGAACATCAATGCAAAAATCCTCAATAAAATACTGGCAAACCGAATCCAGCAGCACATCAAAAAGCTTATCCACTATGATCAAGTCAGCTTCATCCCTGGGATGCAAGGCTGGTTCAACATATGCAAATCAATAAATGTAATCCATAAACATATCCATAACATAATCCATAAAAGTAAAACATAAACAGAACCAATGACAAAACCACATGATTATCTCAATAGATGCAGAAAAGGCCTTCGATAAAATTCAACACCCCTTCATGCTAAAAACTCTCCATAAACTAGGTGGTGATGGAACGTATCTCAAAATAATAAGACCTATTTATGAAAAACCCACAGCCCATATCATACTGAATGGGCAAAAGCTGGAAAGCATTCCCTTTGAAAACCAGCACAAGACAAAGATGCCCTCTCTCACCACTCCTGTTCGACATAATATTGGAAGTTCTGGCCAGGGCAATCAGGCAAGAGAAAGAAATGAAGGGTATTCAAATAGGAAGACAGGAAGTCCAATTGTCTCTGTTTGCAGATAACATGATTGTATTTTTAGAAAACCCCATCGTCTCAGCCCCAGATCTCCTTAAGCTGATAAGCAACTTCAGCCAAGTCTCAGCATACAAAATCAATGTGCAAAAATCACAAGCATTCCTATATACCAATAATAGATAAACAGAGAGCCAAATCATGAGTGAACTCCCATTCACAATTGCTACAAAGAGAATAAAATACCTAGGAATACAGCTTACAAGGGATGTGAAGGACCTCTTCAAGGAGAACTACAAATGACTGCTCAAGGAAATAAGAGAGGACACAAACAAATGGAAACACATTCCATGCTCATGGATAGGAAGAATCAATGTTGTGTAAATGGCCGTACTACCCAAAGTAATTTATAGATTGAGTGCTATCCCCATCAAGCTACCATTGATTTTCTTCACAGAATTAGAAAAAACTACTTTAAATTTCATATGGAACCAAAAAAAGAGCCTATATAGCCAAGACAATCCTAAGCAAAAAGAACAAAGCTGGAGGCATCACACTACCTGACTTCAAGCTATACTACAAAGCTACAGTAACCAAAACAGCATGATACTGGTACCAAAACAGATATATAGACCAATGAAAACAGAACAGAGGCCTCAGAAATAACACCACACATCTACAACCATCTGATCTTTGATAAACCTGACAAAAACAAGCAATGGGGAAAACATTCTCTATTTAATAAATGGTGTTGGGAAAAATGACTAGCCATATGCAGAAAACTGAAACTGGATCCCTTCCTTACATCTTATACAAAAATTAATTCAAGATGGATTAAAGACTTACACATGAGACCTAAAACCATAAAAACCCTAGAAGAAAACCTAGGCAATAACATTCAGGACATAAGCATGGGCAAAGACTTCATGACTAAAACACCAAAGCAATGGCAACAAAAGCCAAAATTGACAAATGGGGTCTAGTTAAACTAAGGAGCGTCTGCACAGGAAAAGAAACTATCATCAGAGTGAACAGGCAACCTACAGAATGGGAGAAAATTTTTGCAATCTGTCCATCTGACAAAGGGCTAATATACAGAATCTACAAAGAACTTAAAGAAATTCACAAGAAAAACAAACAAACAACCCCATCAAAAAGTGAGTGAAGGATATGAACACTTCTCAAAAGAAGACATTTATGCAGCCAGCAAACATGAAAAAAGCTCATCATCACTAGTCATTAGAGAAATGCAAATCAAAACCATAATGAGATACCATCTCATTCCAGTTAGAATGGCGATCATTAAAAAAGTCAGGAAACAACAGATGCTGTTGCCCCAAATTTTGGTCCACAGCCTTCATTGGGTTACCTGGGGCAAATGAAATTTAGCCATGTAGACAGGCCCCAATTTTGTCAGAAATAATTTAGATCCAGCTACCTTTTATAGGCTGATGAGATTGTGATGCTGTCTCATGGCTAAAGTTCTGAGGTAAAGCGAATGGATCTTTACTTGTGTGTGTGTGTATGCTTGTTTAAATGTGTTTCTATATATGTGTATATACGCATTATATATTGTGTCTAGCATGCTACCAAATTTGCTTATATGTAAATGAATACTCATAGATTAAGCAAGTCCAAAAGCTTTCAAGTTCACATGACAAATAAATATTTAATAAATAAGCTAGCCTTAAAATTATTGTTTAGCCAGGCATGGTGGTGCATGTCTGTGGTCCCAGCTACTCAAGTGGCTGAGGTAAGAGGATCACTTGAGCCCACAAGGTCAAGGCTGCGGTCAGCTGTGTTCATGACACTGTACTTCAGTCTGGGTGATGATTTTGAAGACATTGTTTTTGTCTTCAAAATTGTCAGTATACATTTTTGTCTAGGTTTATTAGTCAAGTGGCTTCATATTTATCTCTGCTATGAATTATAAGGTGTCAAGGTTTGGCACAAAGGTTATAAAACTGCAAACCCAGCCCCAATCTTTGTTCATGTAATTTTTGATAAATAAAACATTTAATATTGTTGGCTTAATAAGAACAGCTAAATCCTAAGCTATTGGCAAAAAAATAAAAATAAAAAAATACCCATTTATTTAACCTTAAGATTCTGACTTGGGTAAATATATGATATTCATAGGCTATTAAAATGGTTAACAGGGGAATAACTTTAAATAATGACTAGCTTTGTCTAATATCCCAGTTTTCATAAATAACCTAGGTAAACTATGAAAAATAAAATGAATAGAATAAAATGCATATAAATAAACTTGTCATATAATTTAACATCTTAAAGTTATATTAAATTACATAATACATATTCATTAAATGTCTTGGTCATTTCCAATTAAAATTATAGAAAAACTTTTTTCTATAAAAATTAATTATCAAAGATTCTTATCTATAAAATGCTAATGTAACAGACAATTCAATATTTCTTACTTCCTAGCTATTCACAAAAATTTAACATTACTAAAAATAAAAATTCTAGTTAATACATAATTCTGCATATAAAATGTGCCAAAATGAAATGTGTTTTAAATAAAAAAGTTATAAGAAAGACAAAAAGTGTGTTCTTATTAAAAGGAAAATAATTTTTGTCTAATTCAAAAGTTAAAGATTTTTCATGAAACCAGTAAGTAAAGGAACCAGTAAGTGAGAGAGATGTGAAGAAAGTTATAAAGATACATTTTTAATAAAGAAAATTAAAAGGAAAATAATTTTATATGAGAAAAAATCTTAGGCTGGGTGTGGTGGCTCACACCTATAATCCCAGCACTTTGAGAGGCCGAGTCGGGGGGATCACTTGAGCTCAGGAGTTCAAGGCCAGCCTGTCCAACTTGGTGAAACCCCGTCTCTACTAAAAATATAAAAATTAGCTGGGCGTGGTGGCACATGCCTGTAATTCCAGCTACTTGAGAGGCTAAGGCAGGCGAATCACTTGAACCTGGCAGGCAGAGTTGCAGTGAGCCAAGTTTGTGCCATTGCACTCCAGCCTGGCAAAAGAGTGAGACTCCATCTCTCTCTCTCTCTCTCACACACACACACACACACACACAGAGAGAGAGAGAGAAAGAAAAAATCTTACATGGTAAAGTTTGTCCTAAAGTAAAACGACTGATTATTTAAGAAAGGGTCATTTTTAGGACAAAACACAAAGTCCAAGCATATCACAAATGGTCTGTGTAAATTGTCATAAAGTTTATAAAAAGAGAATGTATAAAATAAGTTTTATATGTGATTAAGTTGGCTTTAATTAAAAGAAAATTTGTCTTTCTAGAGATTGGGTTTTGATATTAAAAATAAACTAGTACAAAACCAAAGAACTGATGAAAACAATAAGATTTTCTTATTTATTTACTCTTAATGAAATTGCAACAAGTTTCCTTTCTGTTATCTGTTTCTTTTCAAATTTCTCAAATTGATATCTCAGAAGTTCACCTTCTGCTGTACCCTGCTGCTTTCAGCCTCTCTCCCTTTGAAAAGGCCTGGAATATTAACTCTCTCCTTCAACTTTTGTGGGCTCCTGTAACATTTCTTCCCCTACTCTAGTTCTAAATCTGTTGTTATGGCCTGATGCTGAAATGTTTTATCTTGAAGGTTTTAAAAAGGCAATGTTTTACTCTGATTTAACTTAAGTCTATATTCTTGTTTTTTCTTAATATGTTTTAGGGACCAGAGGCCCTCTGAAGTTTTGCCAAAAAAATCAAGTCACAAAAGATAGATTGATGGAGAAAAAGATATACAAATTTGTTTAGAGTATATATGTGGGAGTTTTCAGAATAAAAGCCTAAGGTACAGAGGAAATTGTTCGTTTTTATGCTTGGGTTCAACAAGACATGGACAGCCATATAAAAGTATAATTAAACAAAAGGGTGTAATTTAATGCTAGTAGACTACCCGGCAAGGCCTGTCTGTCTAAACTCTTCCTTACCTCCCTGTGCATGCATTTCCTTCCTTCTGGCTATGTGATCTTATGACCTACAGTCCAACTAGAAAGGTTAGATTATTTGTTTATGGCCACATTCTTACACAGAAAGGCAAAGAAAAGTTAGAGTAATAGTTTTTAGGTTTTATGGCTGGTTTTGAGGAAAATGAGTTCAGGTTTCTAGGACCCACTTTAGGGAAGAGAGATCCTAGTTGCTATGGCCAGCCTTGAGGGAAAATGGGACTGAGAGATGGAATGGCAAGAGAAAGCCAAAGAAAAACTTCTACTTCTGAGGCTGCTCCTGAGGCTTCCATTTTGGGGCATTATTTTTCAGAGCACCAATATATGTCTAAAATGTTCAATACAACCAGGCAATTTCCCCTGCTGTTGCTGAGTCACATGTTTCCCTGTTCAGGGTCTTTATAATATAATGTCTACTCAACCCTGGACATGCTCTTCCTGTTCCTGATTAATTCCTTCTGTATGCATGTCTACGCACACTTTCCTTAAACATATTCTCGATTAACTCCACAACCCCCCAACCATGAAAAATCATCATTGTATTTCAACTGTACGAACCCAACATCCAAGAAACTCACCCCTTAATAAAAATCCTTAACCACTCATTCATTGATGGCACCATCAAATATTTCCACATGGTGAAATTTTGGCTCACTTCCAGGTGTTTGCCTGGCCCGACAAATCATTACAGGACTATTCCTAGCCATGCATTACACATCAGACACAATAACTGCTGTCTCCTCCATCACACACATCTGCTGAGAGGTGAATTCCAGCTGAATTATTTGGTATCTACATGCCAACAGAGCCTCAATATTCTTTATGTGTTTATTCTGACATGTAGGATGAGGCCTATAGTATGGATCTTATACTCTTCTAGAAACCTGACATGTTGGTATTTTCCTATTATTTGTGGTAATAGCAACAGCATTTATAGGTTACATCTTGCCATGAGGACAAATATCTTTTTGAGTTGCAACAGTAATCACCAATCTGCTGTCACTATTCCATACACTGGCACTGACCTAGTACAATGAATCTGAGGTGTGTTTTCTGTTGATAAAACTACCCTCACATGATTCTTTGCCTCTACTTCATTTTACCCTTAATCATTGCAGCCCTAGAAGCCATCCACCTTTTATTTCTCCATGTAACAGTGTCTAATAACTCCTTGGGAATTTCATCAGATTCTGATAAAATCCCTTTTCAGCCTCATTTTACAATCAAAGACATTTTAGGCCTAATTCTACTACTGCTATTAATTATATTAGTTCTATTTTCACCTGACCTGTTAGGCGATCCAGACAACAATACCCCAGCAAACCCCCTCAACACACCGCCCCATATTAAACCAGAGTGATTCTTTTCTTTTTTGCCTGCACAATCTTATGCTCTGTTCCCAAGAAACTATGGGCCTACTAGCCCTCGTTCTCTCCATTCTTACCCTAGCCATTGTCCCAATACTTCACATGTCCAAACAACAAAGTATAATATTTTGACCATTAAGTCAATGCCTATTTTGAATCCTAGTAGCAGATCTTCTCACACTCACATGAATCAGAGGCCTACCCATTGAACACCTCTTCATAATCATCGGTCAAACAGCATGCATTGCATACTTCTCCCTCATCCTTTATTTTTTTGTATACCATTTACTAGTCTAACTGAAAACAAGTTACTTAAATGAAGAAGTCCTTGTTGTACATTATACATTTGGGTCTTGTAAACCCAAAATGGAGGGCCTCTACCTTCCCAGGACAATTTCTGGAAAGAAGCCTCCCACTCCACTGCCAGCACCCAAAGCTGAAATTCTACTTAAATTATTCCCTGAATTCTTTACTTAAGGTGCAATAATTTTATTTTAACTGCTATGTCAGTATCAAAGAAACTCACAGAATTAATGCTGTGACAATGGTATTACTATGTACATCATGCATTCCTGCTCAACCACATAAATTAATGTAGCAGTACCATATATGCTTAACTGTATGTTATACATCTATGCATTATCATACATGAAACTCCTGTCTGCATGAATATTAAGCAAGTATAACTTTATATAACAACTTTATATCGACTTATCAGATATTCTATTAACCTCCCATGAAACAGAACTCGTGCGTATATCTATTGTCCACCTCAATAACTCCTTAATATTGCATAGTACATTTAGTCATTTATCATACATAGTGCATCCAAGTAAAGTCATTTCTTGTCAACATGCTTATCACCTCCAACCTAATTTCTTGACTACCGAACTTCACGAAACCAACAACCCACTCGGGAAGTACTACCCTTCTTGTTCTGGACCCATTCACGCTTGGGGGTGACTGTACTGAAACTATACCTGGCATCTGGTTCTTACTTTAGGGCCATGTTCATTGAGAATGCTCACACGTTCTCCTTAAATAAGACATCTCCATGGATTAGTGACTAATCAACTCATGACAACTCATGGGAGCACTGCCATGCACTTGGTATTTTTTTTAAATTTGGGGATGCTATGATCCAGCATGGCGGGAGCCTGGACCCAGCCAACTCAGTTGTAACTGGACTTAAATTGAAAGTCATGAGAGAGCATTTACAACCACAAGGTGCTATTTCACTCATGCTTAATGGACATAATGATAATAAAAGACATGTTTATGCATGTTTATGCATGCCTACACATGCTTCCTCCAAACATATCCCTGATTAACTCCAGAAACCCCCTCCTGATGGTTTTTCCCATGTTTGACTTTGAGGTTATCCAAATGGGTTTCCCATAAGGAAAAACAATCACTGGCGAAGGTTTTTTTTTTTTTTCTTTTCTTTTTTAACCTTTTTGATAACTAGCCTAAGAAACAAAGATTTTACGTTGTATGAAGATGATTCCTGTGTTGCGTTTATTAGGAAAATATTACTTAAAAAAAAACTTTAAAAGGGTTAAGGTTTTTACATCCATATAACTTTCTTTCTTGCTTTTAACATCTTTTAATTGTCACTCTGGTTAAATAAATATTATTTTCTAATGACCTATAATTCTATTTTAATAAAATGTTTTGAGGCTTTCAACATCTTTTGACAAACCTTCTCAAAAAATTGAATCCCAAATTGAATCCTAAAGTGTCTTTGACTTAGATTTATTGCTGGGGGATTATCAAAAATATAAATATTAATCACTCCATTGTTGTAGAATCTTTCTACAGCTTCTAAGTCATAAACCCTAGTATCATCACCTCCAGCCTAATGATTAGATATCAGTTGAGATAATTCCTCCAGCCTCATTAAATAAAAGGTCTTTATCAAATATTGTTAACTAACCCTTGCGCTGTTAAGTTCCAGGGCTTTGACTCCTGGGAATCTGGCTCCTACCGAATCTTAAACATCAATGCTAGTATCTGACACCAAAGTCAAGTTAACCAAAGCCTCATCTTTAGACCCAGGAAAAGGCACCAATCAAAATAAACTGCTTTCATGTGACACTAGATCAGGCCTATATGGTAATACAAAGGCATAATATCCCTTTAATATTTTTGTCTATCTAAATTAATATATTTATTCTATGTCTTCATACTAGATGATTTATTTATCTACCTGTGAGTTTCCTTTCTCCTATTATTGTCAGAGCTAAGCAGTGCTTACGTCTTTTTTGTTTACAATGTTGCTAATTTTATACCTAGTTTACAAAATTAGATAAAACAACAAAGATTCTACCTGCTATCTCCAAAATTTAAAAACATTTAGAATCTCACTGGGCCTAATATATTTTCATTGCTAATGCCCTGCTGCTAAAACTGTGTAAACACCTTCCCTCTAGGCCCAGGGACTATTGCGGAATAGGTAGGTGTGTAAGATTATAAGGGCTGATTTTGAGCAATAAAATTAGTTTAGATTCTCTAAATCAAGGACAGGCACATAGATGCCTGAACAGCTGGAATTTTGCCTCCTGGGCCATTATGTGGCCCCTTTCCATCCATTTCAACCATAAAGAATTTCCTGCTTCAGATATATATTAAATTTTTTTTTAATCAGCCACCTTAGGACAGATTACTAAAAAGACCTCAAAATTCATGGTGATACAATAAAAGTCTCTAAATTCTTTAGCTTAAATAGTTTTAACAAAATACTTTTTAAAATATGACTAATTAGGCCAGTTGCAGTGGCTCATGCCTGTAATCCTAGGACTTGGGGAGGCTGAGGCCGGTGGATCACCTGAGGTCAGGAGTTCAAGACCAGCCCAGTCAACAAGGTGAAACTTTGCCTCTACTAAAAATACAAAAATTAGTCGGGTGCGGTGGCGCATGCCTGTAGTCTAGCTACTCAGGAGGCTGAAGCATGAGAATTACTTGAACCCAGGAGGCAGAGGTTGTGGTGAGCCAAGATTGCCCCACTGCACTCCAGCCTGGGCAACAGAGTGAGACTCTGACTCAAAACAAAACAACTATATATATATATATATATATATATATATATATATATATATATATATATATATATATATATTTATATATAACAAAACAACTATATATATAAATAAAATATATATATAAAACTAATTAAGCCAAGATTACAGTAGCTCAATTCATTAAATTTATAAATAAGTCAGTTTCATAACCTTGACTTTTGGCTTTTCTATTACTTAAAGGATTTTAAGGTTAATAGATGCCTGCCCATCTCCATTCCCATTTTGTCTAGAACATTTAATTGACTATAATTCTTTTTACTCGAAGTCCCTTGGCCATAGGGGTCCCACTGAGGTACATGATGGACCTGGGGCCAGTAGCCACACCACCACACAGTGCTGTGAGACAAAGTAAAAGTTTGACCAGTAATGTTGCCTCTGGCAAATCTTGGCCAGAAGGGGGAGAATATAAACCAAAAATAAAATTCTGGTCCCCCTAACAGACAAAATAGACCCCCTTATTGGCCAAAGGGATCCCGAAGAAACCTGAAAAACTAGTTCAGGCCATGGCAGGAAGTAGTGGTGGTACATGGCTCATTATATCCTCCCCACTTTAGAGTTTAGACACAAGTGAGCAGCCTTAACATTAAGATACAGATCATGACTGGTGCGGTGGCTCACACCTGTAATCCCAACACTTTGGGAGGCCAAAGCAGGATGATTACTTGAGCCTAGGAGTTCCAGATTAGCCTGGGCAACACAGTGAGATCCCATCTCTACAAAAAATATTTTAAAAATTAGCCAGGTGTTGCCAGGCATGTGGCTCACGCCTGTAATCCCAGCACTTTGGGAGGCCGAGGCAGGCAGATCACAGGGTCAGGAGTTCGAGACCAGCCTGATCAACATGGTGAAACCCTGTCTCTACTAAAAATATAAAAATTAGCCAGGTGTGGTGGTGCGCACCTGTAATCCCAGCTACTCACGAGGCTGAGGCAGGAGAATCACTTGAACCGGGGAGGTGGAGGTTGCAGCGAGCTGAGAGCACACCATTGCACTCCAGCCTGGGTGACAGAGCAAGACTCCATCTCAAAAAAAAAAAAAAAAAATTAGCCAGGTGTGGTGGTGAGCACCTGTGGTCCCAGCTGCTCGGAAGGCTGAGGTGGGAGGATTGCTTGAGCATGGGAGATTAAGGATATGGTAAGCCATGATTGCACCACTGCACTCCAGCCTGTGCAATAGAGCAAGACTCCATCTCAAAAATAAATTTAAAAATTCTAAAATAAATAAAATACAGATCATAAGACTGACAAACCCTTTATAACAATAAAATACCAAGTTACAAACACGACCTAAGACCATGCCAGGCAAAGATTAAGTCACATATTCCTACACTTTAAAAGTACACTATATTCTAATTGCCACAAGGTTTTTCTTTTTCACCAGCAGCCAAAAAAACACTAGTCTCTACATAAGCAGACTAACTGACCCTCAGCTCCTGTTCCACCAGCCATAGCTACAACTTTAATTAGACAAGAGATTGATTTCAATAACTTTCTCTTGATAAAAAGACTACCAACCATGGTCTAGTTCTGGCCAGTTTACAGAAATTATACATGTGCATGGCTTTGTGACTTGAAAAGACCTTTTGATGTATATGATCTAATTATAATACATTTAAATATTACGTCTCCAGCACAAAATAGACATGGACTATATGTTACATACATATTTGTTCAATATCCTTGTGTCAGGACCACCTTCATAAATATGCATAGCTCCTCCTGTAGCCTATTAAATATGTATATTTAGCTAACTTGTCATCTCCCCACAGAAGCTCTGGATACAATTGACAGTGAAAAACATGCACTATAAGAATAAATGCCGTATGCACATCCTGGGTAACTCCGAAAACATATCCTCAGCGTCTAAGACATACACAGGAAAATTAATGCTATGTCTCATCCCACAATGCCCTAAAATCAACGGCTTTCCTCATGATTTAGATCAGGCTTCTCCTGATAAAAAAAAAATTACTCATAATTTTAGCCATGATTCTAGAGATAGGTTTGTTCCTCCACTGTGAACTATATTGCTATTACACACTCACCATAATGCTCCAGTAATCTCTTCTGTAAGCCCAAGGACTCACAAATACTTTCCACTCAGGGTTCAACTCCAGGTTCCATTCCATGCCCCCACAACTACACACCTTTTCAGCAAAAAGTAGCCAAAATAAATATATTACTCATTTTCCATAAAAATAAAATAAAACTTAGGTTGGGGGTGGTGGCTCACGCCTGTAATCCCAGCACGTTGGGAGGCCAAGGTGGGTGGATCACTTGAGGCCAGGAGTTGAAAACTAGCCTGGCCAACAGGGCAAAACCCTGTCTCTACTAAAAACACAAAAATTAGCCAGGTGTGGTGGTGCATGCCTGTAATCCTAGCTACTTGGGAGGGTGAGGCACGAGAATTTCTTGAACCTGGGAAGCAGAGTTGCAGTGAGCCGAGATTGTGCCACTGCACTCCATCCTGGGCAGCAAAATGAAACTCTGTCTCTAAATAAATAAATAAATCTTAACAGAGGGGTGTTTATAACCAGGTACTTCAGTTTTAAAAATATATTTTAATCACCCACTTTTATTTACTTATTATTTTTAACTTTTGTGGGTTCCTAGTAGGTGTATATATTTCTGGGGAATATGAGGTGTTTTGATACAGGCATGCAATGTGAAATTAGCACATCATGGAGAATGAGGTATCCATCCCCTCAAGCATTTATCCATTGAGTTGCAAAGGATCCAATTACACTTTTTAAGTTATTTTAAAATGTACAATTATGTTATTATTACTATAGTCACCCTGTTGTGCTACCAAATAGTAATTCTTATTCATTCTTTCTATTTTTTTGTACCCATTAACCATCCTTTTCTGCCCCCATCCCCACAATACCCTTCCCAGCCTTCGATAACCATCCTTCTATTCTCTATGTTTATGAGTTCAATTGTTTTCATTTTTAGATCCCTCAAATAAATGGGAACATGTGATGTTTGCCTTTTTGTGCCTGGTTTATTTCACTTAACAATGATCTCCATTTCCATCCATGTTGCTGAAAATGACTGGATCTCATTCTTTTTTTATGGTTGTATAGTACTCCATTGTGTATATGTTTCACATTTTCTTTATCCATTCATGTGTTGATGGACACTCAGGTTGCTTCCAAATCTTAGCTATTGTGGATAGTGCTGCAGCAAACATAGGAATGCAGGTATCTCTTCGATATACTGATTTCCTTTCTTTTGGGTATATACCCAGCAGTAGGATTGCTGGATCCTATGGTAGCTCTACTTTTAGTTGTTTGAGGAACTTCCAAACTGTTTGTTCTCCATAGTGGTTGTACTAATTTACATTCCCACCAACAGCATACAACAGTTCCCTTTTCTCTACATTCTCGCCAGCATTTGTTATTGTCTGTCTTTTGCATATAAGCAGTTTTGACTGGGGTGAGACAATTTCTCTGATGATCAGTGATGTTGAGCACCTTTTCATATACCTGTTTGCCATTTGTATGCCTTCTTTTGAGAAATGTCTATTCAAATCTTTTGCCCATATTTTGATCGATTTATTAGATTTTTTTTTCCTACAGGGTTGTTTGAGCTCCTTGTATATTCTTATTACTAATTCCTTGTCAGATGGGTAGTTGGCAGATATTTTCTCCCATTCTGTGGGTTGTCTCTTCACTTTGTTGATTGTATCCTTTGCCACGCGGAAGCTTTTTAACTTGACGTGATCCCATTTGTCCATTTTTGCTTCGGTTGCCTGTGCTGGTGGGGTATTGCTCAAGAAATTTTGCCCAGACCAATATCCTGGAGTTTTCCTCCAATGTTTTCTTGTAGTAGTTTCACAGTTTGAGGTCTTAGATTTAAATCTTTAGTCCATTTTGATTTGATTTTTTTTTATATGGTGAGAGATAGGGGTCTAGTTCCATTCTTCTGCATATGGATGTCCAGTTTTCCAAACACCACTTACTGAAGAGACTGTCTTTTCCCCCAGTGTATGTTCTTGGCACCTTTGTCAAAATTGAGTTCACTATAGGTGTGTGGGTTTGTTTCTGAGTTTTCTATTCTGTTCCATTGGTCTATGTGTCTGTTTTTATGCCAGTACCATGTTCTTTTGGTTACTACAGCTCTGTAGTATAATTTAAAGTCAGGTAATGTGATTCCTCCAGTTTTGTTCTTTTTTCTTAGGATAGCTTTGGCTAGTCTAGGTCTTTCATGGTTCCATATAAATTTTAGGATTTTTTTTCTATTCTGCTTCTGTGAAGAATGTCATTGGTATTTTGATAAGGATTGCATTGAATCTGTAGATTGCTTTGGGTATTATGGATATTTTAACAATACTAATTCTTCCAGTCTATGAACATAGAATATTTTTCCATTTTTTGGTGTTCTCTTCAATTTCTTTCATCAGTATTTTATAATTTTCATTACAGAGATCTTTCACTTCTTTGGTTAAGTTAATTTCTAGGTATTTAATTTTATATGTGACTATCGTAAATGGGATTACTTTTTTAAATTTCTTTTTCACATTGTTCCCTGTTGGAATATAGAAATGCTGCTAATTTTTGTATGTTGATTTTGTATCCTGCAACTTTATTGAATTTGTTTATTAGTTCTAATAGCTTTTTGTGTGTAGAGTCTTTAAGTTTTACCATAGATAAGATCATATCTTCTGCAAA